>NC_000010.11:71620368-72870368 GCF_000001405.40 Homo sapiens | reverse complement strand
AGGTGGAGCCTGCAGTGAGCCGAGATCGTGCCACTGCACTCCAGCCTGGGCAATAGAGTGAGACTCCGTCTCAAAAAAAAGAAAAGAAAATATAGGTAAAATACTAGCACAATTCATGAAACACAGTAAATATTCTATCTATAAATGATGAAAATTATTTTTCAGGAATCAGAAAATGCAAAATACTAAGAGTATTTGTTCCCTTCCTTACTCCTTATAATCTGATTTCTTAAAATTGAAATATCATAGAAAAAAATAAAGGTAACATATGTTCATTGTAAACATTCAGAAAAGTGTAAAGAAAAATCAGTCATAACCCGACTACTGTACTAGTATTTTGGAATGTATTCCTTCTGATTTCTTTCTCTGTGTATGTATATATATAAATGCGTATAGGTATATATATAACACATTTAAAAATTGGATCATAGTATGCACACTATTTTATAATTTGGTTTCTATGGCAAATTAAATCTATATAGTCCCTTTAATAGTTGCATAATATTCTATATACAGTTGTCCCTAGGTATCTGTGGTGAATTGGTTCCCGGATACCCCCCAAACCAAGATATCAAAATACATAGATGTTAAAGTCCCTTATATAAAATGGGATAGTATCTGCATATAACCTATGCATATCCTCCCATATGTTTTAAATCATCTCTAGATTACTTATAATACAATGTAAATGCTATATAGTCATTATATTGATTTTTAAAATTTGTATTTTTTTGTTGTTGTATTGTTATTTTGTTGTTGTTGTTTTTTTGTTTGTTTGTTTTTGAGACAGTCTCGCTCTGTCGTCCAGGCTGGAGTGCAGTGGTGCAATTTTGGCTCACTGCAACCTCCACCTCCCAGGTTCAAGTGATTCTCGTGCCTCAGCCTCCCAGGTAGCTGGGACTATAGGCACATGATACCACAATGCCCGGCTAATTTTTATATTTTTAGGAGAGACGGGGTTTTGCCATGTTGGCCAGGCTGGTCTCAAATTCCTGACCTCAGGTGATCTGCCTGCCTTGGCCTCCCAAAGTGTTGGGATTACAGGCGTGAGCCACCACGCCCAGCCTTGTTATGTTTTATTGTTTTTTTCCCCTGCAAATATCTTCTCTCTGAGGTTGGTTAAATCTGCAAATGTAGAACCTACAGATAACAGAGGGCCAACTGTAATATTCATTCTTAACTTGGCTAAAATCATTATCCACTATACTCAAGAGCCTTTCCTGATCAGCAGTTATTCTGATCTTAATTTTAAAGGTGGTAAATCTGGTTAAGGGCAGTGCATTTAGAACTGAAAGCTCTAAGTCCATTATCAAGGCTCCAAATGATTCCTTTTCAAGCCCTTTCTTAGCTTTGACTTAAACTTTTTTATGGTTCAGTCCCATAAACTAAAGAACTAACTTGATTGACATGACTCAATTGCATAAAACTTACAAGAAAAAACAGAAACATATATGCTCTGGAAAAAATACAGGTTAAGGTAAAAAACCTGAGATTGGAAGTTTTACCTTTTCCAGGGGAGCCAGCTGCTCTTTGAGATCCTCTAGTCTTTCAATAAGCTCCCTTTCCTTGTTTAACTGGTGCTGCTCAATGCACAGTGTGGTGTATAGTTGCTGGACCAATGTCTTTACATCATTCAGCGTTGCTGCATTTTCATGACTTAAGAGGTCTGAAACAAAAGTTACATTTTTTAAAAAATGTATGCCTTAAATGATTGCTATTCCTGGGACTATCAGATGAGGCAGATTCATCCATTATAGGTATCTCACCTTCAGTGTTAAACTGAAGGAAAGTAATAGCTCTCTTTTTTTTTTTTTTTTGAGACAAAGTCTTACTCTATCACCCAGGCTGGAGTGCAGTGGTGTGATCTTGGCTCACTGCAGCCCCTACCTCCAGGGCTCAAGTAATCCTCCGACGTTAACTTCCCAAGTAGCTGGGACTACAGGTGTGCACCGGCCACAAGCCTGGCTAATTTTTGTATTTTTTGTACAGACAAGTTTTCACCGTGTTGCCCAGGCTGGTCTCGAACTCCCGGGCTCAAGCGATCTGCCTGCCTTGGCCTCCCAAAGTGCTGGTATTATAGGCATTAGCCACCATGCCCAGCCAATAGTTTTTGTTAAAACAAAAAAGTTGTCCACAAATGTAAAAAGTAAATTCATATTTGGGTAACTCAAAAAATTTGAAATAAATATCTACCATTATATTCTTGGAAGTCTAAATGCTACAAATGAGGACATGATTAACATTAAGAAAAATAATACAAATAATAATGATCTTCATTAGATAAAGACAAAATTAAAGCAAATGTTAAAAACTAGTAGAGAGGTTTAGAATCAATTTGATTATTATGCTTATTAAAATGGTGACAATAATTTATCTGTAGTCCTGCCATTTTAATTCATTTTTTTCCCCCTTAGTAAGTGCTAAGGGAAAAATATATAGTATTTCAAATTTGCAAATACAAAGGCATAAATAAAAATGCCATCATCCTAATAATCTTTTTTTTTTTTTTTTTTTGAGACAAAGTCTCACTCTGTTACCCAGGCTGGAGTGCAGTGGCGCGATCTCGGCTCACTGCAAGCTCCACCTCCTGGGTTCACACCATTTTCCTGCCTCAGCCTCCCAAGTAGCTGGGACTACAGGCGCCCACCACCATGCCCGGCTAATTTTTTTGTATATTTTAGTAGAGACGGGGTTTCACCGTGTTAGCCAGGATGGTCTTGATCTCCTGACCTCGTGATCTACCTGCCTCGACCTCCTAAAATGCTGGGATTACAGGCTTGAGCCACCGCACCCGGCCCATTCTAATAATCTTAACCCTCATTCTTCTTCTCCCTAGTATACCAACTTTTATTCATTCCTGTTGATGAAAGACAGAGAATAGCTGTATGGGCCTCAGTATCATGGTCTAAAGGGTATGAAGTTATGAGAACGACTGAAAGGGTGAAAGATTAAATTCTTTCATTCAATATCCTCTATTGTGAGTAGCATGTATTTCTAGAAATCTAAAAATTATGTTTTCAGAATCAAATAAAAACTCTGCTGATTAAAGCTGTCAATTTTTTTTAAGCACAATTTTCTTTTAGATTCTTATTAACTTTAAATGTTAGGTACAGCATAAGGGTAGCACTCTTCTAAACAAAACAAGCCACAGTCAGAATTAACCACATATTTCAAACATTCTTTAAGGATGTCCTTTACTACAGTTATTATAGAAGTTCAATCAATGAAAAAATTCAGATGAAGGTAGCAAATTGGATTAGAGAAGAGCTGATATAGTAAAATGGGATACAACACCTAGCTGGGTATCTTGTATGCCTCAGTAAATGTGTGCTGAATTAATGGGAACATAAAAGCAAGAGCACTTTGAGTTCCAAAAGTCATCTATGTCAATCAACAGTGTCTTCCTTGTACCAAAGCTGCTGCTCACATTTGCATATAGCTTTAAATTGTCCAAAGTTACCAGAAGAAACTGCACTCTAGGAGGCTGAAGTAACTTGTTCAGAACGTCACAGTAAGGGGTAGAGTCCAGGTCTCCTGATTTCTAGGCCTGGAGCTACATTACAGTGCTTCTACTATACCAATATTAAATCTCTCCTGCAAGCTCAGTCCCCTTTCATGAACTATTTTATTAGATAAAGCAGATTTCTTCCATCTTCCCCATGTATTTATAAAACCCTAGTACTGGCCAGGCGCGGCCTGTAATCCCAGCACTTTGGGAGGCAAAGGTGGACGAATCACGAGGTCAGGAGTTCGAGACCAGCTCGGCCAACATGATGAAACCCCAACTCTACTAAAAATACAAAAATTAGCTGGGCGTGGTGGTGCATGCCTGTAATCCCAGCTACTGGGGAGGCTGAGGCTGGAGACTCGCTTGAACCCAGAGGCAGAGGTTGCAGTAAGCCGAGATTGCGCCACTGTACTCCAGCCTCAAAACAAAAACAAAAAACAAACAAAAAAACACAAAAAAACCCTAGTATTATTCCTCTTAAACATCCTGAACCTAGTGCCTTCTATTTCTTTCCTCCATTTAGCCCTTTCACTAAAGCGTTGCAACACGGGGCAGAGGAATGGAACATGCTTATTCAATGAATGTCATCCCTCTTAAATACAGAATTTCAAACCACTCTCTTACTGTAGTCAGCTGAAAAAGAGTGGTGGTACCTTGGGCGCCAGCAATACCTTCCTCAACCAGGGACAGAAAGACACAAGGTAGAAACAAAATTTGAGCCTATTTTGCATTTTATCAAAAGAAGAAAAAAAGATTTTCTTTACTATGTTTAAAAACCAGGGAAGGCCGGGCGTGGTGGCTCACACCTGTAATCCCAGCACTTTGGGAGGCCAAGGAGGGCGGATCACGAGGTCAGGAGATCAAGACCATTCTGGCTAACATGGTGAAACCCCGTCTCTACTAAAAATACAAAAAAATTAGCCAGGCATGGTGGCAGGCGCCTGTAGTCCCAGCTACTCAGGAGGCTGAGACAGCAGAATGGCATGAACCCAGGAGGCAGAGCTTGCAGTGAGCCAAGATTGCACCACTGCACTCCAGCCTGGGCAACAGAGCAAGACTCCATCTCAAAAAAACAAAAAAAAAAACAAAAAAAAAAACAAAACCACACAGCCTGGGCAACATAGGGAAACCTCATCTCTACAAAAAATAAAAAATTTGCCGGCGTGTGGCATGTGCCTATAGTCCTAGCTACTTGGGATGCTGAGGTGGGAGGATCTGCTTGAGTCTGGGAGGTCAGGGCTGCAATGAGCTGTGATCACACCACTGCACTCCAGCCTGGGTGACAGAGTGAGACCCTGTCTCAGAAAAATAATTAAATTTAAAATCAAGGAAAACAAACTGTTTATGGATTTAAAATCATATTGAGTTTCTGTGAGAGATGCTGATGGCATAATCTCTCACTAGCAAATAACAGAACTAAGAGAGCTATGATGTGTGCATCTAAACATTAAAAAGGTCTTTTGAAATTCTACACCAATGCTGCTATTGAATTACTTAAGTTCACACTTCAATTTATGATTATTTCCATGAATTACAGATTTTTGACCCTTGCAAGCTTTATACCCTAATTTACTTCTAGAGAAGCAAGGTAGATATTCCAGAGTTCCTGGATACAGATAAAGCAACGGGTTGTTTTAGGCTGCCAAATCACCAGGGAATCAAATACAATCCCCTGTTTTTTCAATTTCTGCCTTTTCTTATTCAATTTGAGAAAAGCTTTATTTAAAAAACTAAACGTTCATTTCTGTTTAAAAAATACGGTTATTACAGGAATGGTTGGTATTTATTAATTGATTAATATACCTTTAGTTTTTGACAACATAATACATGGAAACTCACATCTTAACTTTCCTGATTGTTATACTTTATATAGGAATATATTAGTGAACTTTCAGAATGTTACCAACAGAAAATCTAAACAGATGAACTCTCTAAGTAATTTACACAAAAACACACCTCTGTAAAATAGGCCCTGTACTTCTGTTATTTTAAAGAGAACTTCTAGCCCAAGAATCAGGGAATAAAGAAGAAAAACACATTAGCATAGCTGATAAATGGCTAACTGTCCCTGATCTACATGTTTAATTATTCCAACTTCAAAAAATCTGATTCGATAATGTCTTACTACAGTTGACCCTTGAACAATGTGGCGGGGGTGTTGGGGCACCACCCCCCTGCAACTTTTGAAACCTCAAAAACTTAACTACTAATGGCCTACCTGGACTAGAAGCCTTACCAATAACATAATTAATGAATGTTTTGTATATGTATTATATACTGTATTCTTACAGTAAAGTAAGCTAGAGAAAATAAAACATTAAAATCATAAAGAAGGGAAAATAAATTTATAGTGCTGTACTGTATTTATCTACATTGTAAGTTTACATTGTCTGTTTACAAGATAAATCATCTGTCTAAAATGATGGGCAACTGTAGCTGCAGACCTCAGTCTACGGTACGTATCAAGCAATCCAACTTTTTCTTGCAATGTCATATCACTTTTTTCTGCTTCTTGGGAGCACTTCCAGCATCACTGGTAGCACTTCGTATGGGTCCCATGGTGGACTAAACACAAAAAAATTTTGAGAACTGCAGGAGATCAATTTTTACTGCAATAGACAATTTACTAGAAAGAAGAACTACCCATGAGGAGATAATTAGCACCACACAGCATTTTAAAACTGTGTGGTATGTGATATTAAAAACACTTGAGTTTACCGCAATAGCAACAAGAGGTGGCTATGAAATTACTAGAGTAGTATACTATGTACCAGAGTCAATTTTATGCAGATATTATTTAACACTGCATCTTTACATTTGTTTACACTTCTCTCAACTGCAAATGGCATCATGCATGGTCTGTAAGTGTGTGCATAAGTTTTGATAATTTTTAACTTTTTATAATAGATATGTATATATTTTATGGTAGTAAACGATAGAAAATAGGAAGGGCATGGTGGTTCATGCCTGTAATCCCAGCACTTTGGGAGGCCAAGGTGGGTGGATCACCTAAGGTCAGGAGTTCAAGACCTGCCTGGCCAACATGGTGAAACCCCATCTCTACTAAAAATACAAAAATTAGCCAGGCATGGTGGCACGTGCCTGTAATCCCAGTTACAGGGAGGCTGAGGGAGGAGAATAATTTGAACCCAGGAGGCAGAGGTTGCAGTGAGCTGAGATTGCACTGCTGCACTCCAGCCTGGGGGACAGAGAGAGACTCCGTCTCAAAAATAAAATAAAATAAGATAGACTTGTATCTACATATATTTCATGCATTCATGACATACTTTTCTTAATGTTTTTGGATATTTCTAGGTTATGTGGTTCGTTTGCAAGTTTTTTCAAACCTGCTTTGTTCAACAATCAACTGTATTTAAAGAATATCTTTCCATTCTATTTAAGGATACTTTTCTATACTTTCTCCCAGCTAGCTCCCTCTCATTTAGCTTAAAGAAAGTGAATATGGCCTCTGCACAATCAAAATGCTACCCAGCGAACACATTTAATTCACTCAATATAGAAGGAATCAATGGGGAATACAAAATCACAGTGCCTTCCCTCACAGCATCAAAGAAAAGGACGAAGCAAAATTCAGAGAAGAGATTAATCATTTTTGGTTGGTCAGGGGTCAGAGACAGAAAGAGTATGATCATTAAAGGCTTATTGGAAGAGTCAATATTGACAATTTTGACTTGAGAAAACAGGGGTTAGGAAGAAAGACATCTTAGGCAGAGGAAAGTGGGCAAACAGTGAGATGGAAAAGAACGGGGCATAGTTCAGGAAACCATGAAGGAATACACAGTGGAGAGAAAGTAGGCAACATGTAGGAGGGAAAGAAAACATTTTAAAAGGTAGATGGGGACCAGATTATAGAGGAATTTAATAACAGGGTTTCACTCAGAACTTTTCTATGTTAGACCCAATTCTTTCTTTTTTTTTTTTCTTTTTTTTTAAAAAGATGTGTTGCCCAGGCTGGTTGCTACTGTGTTGCCCAGGCTGGTCCCAAACTCCTGGTCTTAAGCAATCCTCCTGCCTCGGCTTCCTAAAGTGCTGGGATTACAGGTGTGAGCCACCTTACCAGGCCTAAACCCAATTCTTAAAAGCAGGATTGAAAAGAAGGAATGTCCTACAGCAGTGGTCCCCCACCCCTGGGGTGCGAACCAGTACTGGTCAGTGGCCTGTTAGGAACCAGGCTGCACAGGAGGAGGCCAGTGAGTGAGCATTACTGCCTGAGCTCCACCTCCTGTCAGATCAGCAGCAGCATTAGATCTCATAGGGCACAAACCCTATTGTAAATTGTGCATGTGAGGGATCTAGGTTGTGCGCTTCTTATGAGAATCTAACTGATGCCTGAGGATCTGAGGTGAAAGTTTCATTCCAAAACCACTGCCTCTGCCCCCGCCCCCACTGTCAGTGGAAAAATTATCTTTAACAAAACTGGTCCCTGGTGCCAAAAAGGTTGGGAACTGCTGTCCTATGGGGCTGGTGGAAGGAGTGGTGGAAGGGGCATTAACAACAGCAGTGAGTTACAATGAATATTAAGGGTAAATAGAGAAACAGGACCAAAAAAGACACAACTCGGCCGGGTGCGGTGGCTCACGCCTGTAATCCCAGCACTTTGGGAGGCCGAGGCGGGCAGATCACAAGGTCAGGAGATCGAGACCATCCTGGCTAACACGGTGAAACCCCGTCTCTACTAAAAATACAAAAAATTAGCCAGGCGTGGTGGCGGGCACCTGTAGTCCCAGCTACTCAGGAGGTTGAGGCAGGAGAATGGCGTGAACCTGGGAGGCGGAACTTGCAGTGAGCCGATATTGTGCCACTGCACTCCAGCCTGGGTGACAGAGCAAGACTCAGTCTCAAAAAAAAAAAAAAAAAAGACACAACTCAAAACGCTATTTTAGAGGGCTACTTAGCATTGTACTGTGCAGAGCCATAGTAGAGGCTAGGATGAAAAGAAATATTAGTAATACTGACTCTGTCTTTATTTAAAATTTTGTTCATCATGCATTTTTTGCATTAACTCTGGTTTTTTAAAATAGTACATAAAAATACTATTTATCTTGCTGGGTGCGGTGACTCACGGCTATAATCTCGGCACTTTGGGAGGCTGAGGCAGGTAGATAACTTGAGGTCAGGAGTTCAAAACCATTCTGGCCAACATGGCAAAACCCCATCTCTACTAAAAAAAAAAAAAAAAAAAATTAGCCTGGCGGCTGGGCATAGTGGCTCATGCCTGTAATCACAGCACTTTGGGAGGCCAAGGTGGATGGATCACCTGAGGTCAAGAGTCCGAGACCAGCCTGACCAATATGGTGAAACCCGTATCTGGCTTGAACCTGGGAAGTGGAGGCTGCAGTAAGCCAGTGTCATGTCACTGGGCTCCAGCCTGGGCGACAGAGTGAGACTCTTAAAAAAAAAAACCCAAACAAAAAAACCCAACAATTCTTTATCTTGATTACCGAGTTTTTTGGTGCCCTCTTACAATTTGTGTCTGAGAAGAGCACCTTTCCTTTTCCCATAAAAGCATATACAGGCTGGGAACAGTGGTTCATGCCTGTAATCGCAACACTCTGGGAGGACAGAGAGGGAGGAGTGCTTGAGCCCAGAAGTTCAAGACCAGCCTGGGTGACATAGTGAGACTTCATCTCTACAAAAAGAAAAAAAATTATCCAGGCATGGTGGCACATGCCTGTAGTCCAAGCTACTCCAGCTGCTTGAGAGGATGAGGCAGGAGGATAACTTGAGGTCGAGGCTGCAGTGAGCTGTGATTATGCCACTGCACTCCATCCTGGGTGACAGGGTGAGATCTTGTCTCAAAAAAACAAAAAACAACAACAACAAAAAACCATGCACCATGTCAGAAGTTCCTAAGAACTATTATTATTGTACAATAACTGACTTTCAGATTGCTGACCTTGAGCCATAAAAAAAGCTCAATACTTATTACAATGCTTAAGAGAACAGAGAAGCCTATAGCTTATTTTAAAAAGATATCCCCTGCAATGTTATTAAAGTAGTATGACTTTTGGCCTTTATGAAGGGAAGGGGCTTCAGTTATGTAGGACATTCATTTATGTGAAACAGAGTGACAATATCAGATAATGAAGCATTCTGGAATCTAGGCAGAATCGAAGTGATTTTTGTCGACGTACTAGCCAAGTGCCAAGTACTCAATGAGCTCTTCAACTGAAATAGTGTCTATCTGTATATAAAACTTTCAGTGTTCTTTGAATACTGTCTGTTTCTCAAGGTTACCCAAGGAAAAAAAATAAAGTTATTTCCAAAAGCCCTTCCCACATTTCTGTGACCTTACCAAGGTTACTATTTTACCTCTTTTTGGTGGTCGTACGTGGTATGTTAAGTCATTAATGACCAGCTTAAAGTCATCAAGGAGGAGGAGGTCTATTCCTGTTGAAGCAGCAACGCGAACACCATCTGTGAAAATTTCAAATGAAACTTGTCATAGGTCCATAATTATTCAAGAATGGTCAGGAAAATTCAATCTTCAAAATCGTTTTTAAAAATTACCTCTTCCTTTTAAAATTTCAGTTAACTTTTTGCCTCATTTCCTATGCAAACAAAGTTTAGGTTGAAGCTCTGTTTTTAGGACTCAAGTTTGTGAAGATTTAACAACAGCTTTTCCTGTGAACTATATGAACAAGTGAAATAATTAATGGTCATAGTTCTATAGGTGTACATTGGAAATCTAGGGTCACTGGGACAGCTGTATGGGCTTAATACTGCCTATAATGGAAGCTGGTTGAGTCAAAAAAAAATTTTCTGACATATGGTACTTTTCAGTATAGTCACTGATTAGTTGCCAATAATTCAGTAGAGATAGACGCTGGGGTTAGCAAAGTATTATACATCCACCAGCTGGTCTACTAATTATATTGCCAGATGAGTAGAAATGTGGTAATTGTTAACTGGTGAATCCAGGTGAAGGGTAAATGGGCATTTATTGTACTTACCTTTCAAGTTTTCTGCAGGTTTGAAAAATTTTAAAGTAAAAATGGGGAAAACACAATGGGAAAAAAACTTAAAAAGATTAAAAAATAAATAAATTAAATACATAAAATGGTAATTTTTAGTGCCTTAGTTTATATTCTTTTCAAATTATATACTTCTTTATTTTGGCAAACTTTTCTTTCCAGAGATGAGGGTTTAACTACTGGAAGTATTTATTCTACACCGAAAGTAATGATAAAAAGTCTCAATAATATAAAATGTGATTGATTGTTCATCCTTGCTCATGGCATTATATGTGAGCTGCTTTTGAATGAGATTCCCTGTGCATACACATTTGCTAAAACCGATCAATTATACTCTGAGTACCACTGGGAGAGAAATCCCTTTCTCTCCTGGTAAGTGCTAAGCAAAAGAAAAAAGTTTTCTGAAGTTAACAGTATAGGGTTCTTTTGTAGCTACGTGTGTGGTGTATGTATGTGTCTAGAAATGGTGTGGGGTGAAATGAGGGATAGATGGTAATTAATAATGATGGTGACTATACCTGGTGAATAGATAGCAACTCTGTCAATTCCCCGATCCTCTTCTTGCAGTTGTCGTAAAAATACACCAACAGAGTCAGAGATAGGCTTGAGTGTGAACTGACAGCGTTCACGCCGGGATGGTAGCCTCACAGATATCACAGGTAACCCATTTTGATAAACCACTGTAACATCTGAATGAAAAAGACCCACAAACATATGATAATTGGATTTCAATGTAAGTTAAAGTCACATTATTACCATTCTTGCATGGGGGTCTATTATTAGTGTGATTTAAAATGTTTTCAAAGAAGGTTTAAGAACATGCCCTTTAGCTTTAGTTGAAGGTTATTCTGGGAACTGGCTTATAAAAGATCAAATGGATCACATAGCTCATTTTACAGATATGAAAAAACAGGCAAGGAACTGTCTTCTGAGTGGGTCAAGGAGAGGCTTTCCCAAGGATATCAGGTGAAGTTCTTGATATTGGTGAATACAAGCCCTGGTTCCATTTAGCAAGATTTTATTAAGCAGTCAGAGATTGCTGGGCTAGACTTCATAGCCTGTAGGACGTGGCTCTCGGGATCCAGAGCTTTCAAGAAGTACACTAATAAGTGAGACTCTTACTCCAAAACAGTCAATTCATGTATATATAGTACAGTATTATATCCAAGCTGATAAGTGAGAAACAAAAGTGAAATCCTAAGCCCCTCAACTGACTGAATGGACCCCCTCTTGGCCAAGGGGACCCCAGGGTAAACCTTTAAAGCTAAGTTCTCAGCCATGACAGGATGGGAGGTCAGACACAATTCATTATACCCCTTCCTTGCTAGCCACCATTAGGCATTCTTTCCTAAGGGCTTAAGAGAAACTAGCCCTTTCAGAAGACTCCACCACTGATATCAACCAATTAACTGACCAACACTGCCCCTTTTTTTTGCCTGACAAGAGGCCACCGACCGTGGAGTGGTTCTGGCCAGTCTACAGAGAATGCGCAGTGAGGGTTTTCACACCCTCTGCTTCATCTTTTGATGCCAGAGAGCTGAAAACTCCACCCTCAGATCATGCTGACGCAGCCATTTTTTGTACACGGGACCCATGAAGGGGCATGAAGATCAGTTGTGCATACACACATTTCTCCTTTCATAAATATGCATGGCCTCTCCTATAGCGTACTGAGTATGTATATTTGGCCACCCTGCTCAGCATGCATCCTGTTCTTTTTGCCTCTTCCTCAAAGTGTCTGTTTTTGGCTTCTGAATGGAGGCTACACTTCCCAGCCTGTCAGAATGGCCACCCTGCAGCCTGCAACCTTTATGAGAAATATAGGTCTCCTTTCCAAATTTATGAACCTCGCCATTCTTCAGTTGTCATAAGTTAGCATTCTATCAAAAACAATTCATGTTCTCTTGAATGTCTTCATGAGCTTGGCTAGACAGAACCAAAACTCAGATGTTTAAGATTTTATAACAAAATGTTATGAAGGGAAAATTTATTATGAACTATTAAATTGAAGGGATCTTCTACAAAAGTATAGCATAGAATGCCTATTTCCTTATTTTCTCCCTCAGTATTCTTGATTTGTAGGGTCCCAGTAGAACAACTATCAAAATAGCCCTCTTTTGGAATAATTTTCACATACATTTTTTTAAAAATGCATTTTTAAAATAAAAAATTTTTACATAAGCAACTGAGCATTTAAAGATGATGTTAGCACTGAGGAAAGAAAACAGGCTTTGGAGTCAAATATGGGACTGAACCTTGGCTCTGTAATTTTGGGTGTATTATATAACTTCTCTGAGCCTCACTTTTTTCGTATATAAAATGGGCTTTGGCCAGGCATGGTGGCTCATGCCTGTAATCCCAGCACTTTGGGAGGCCGAGGTGGGCAGATCATGAGGTCAAGAGATTGAGACCATCTTGGCCAATGTGGTAAAACCCTGTCTCTACTAAAAATAAAAAAATTAGCTGGGCATGGTGGTGCACGCTTGTAGTCCCAGCTACTCGGGAGGCTGAGGCAGGAGAATCACTTCAACCCAGGAGGTGGAGGCTGCAGTGAGCCAAGATCGCGACACTGCACTCCAGCCTGGCAACAGAGTGAGAATCTGTCTGAAAAAAAAAGGGGGGGGTTTAATCCCTAACTCACAGAGCTGTTGTGAGAAATGAGTGAAATACATAAATAATTTAAAACACTTAGCATATTACATGATACATAAATGATAATGTTTCCTTACTAGCTTCTTTGAAGAATCAAAAGTTGACCAGATGTGGCGACATGTGTCTGTAGTCTCAGCTACTCAG
The DNA here is from genome assembly GCF_000001405.40 of Homo sapiens. Taxonomy (NCBI): domain Eukaryota; kingdom Metazoa; phylum Chordata; class Mammalia; order Primates; family Hominidae; genus Homo; species Homo sapiens. The sequence goes on along the minus strand of NC_000010.11, from coordinate 72,857,069 downwards.
GAGGCTGAGGCAGAAGGATTGCTTGAGCCCAGGAGTTTGAATCTACAGTGAGCTATGATTGTGCCACTGCACTCCAGCCTGAGCAACCGAGTGGGACCCCATGTCTAAAACCTTTTTTTTTTTTTTTTTTTTTGAGACATCTTGCTCTATCACCCAGGAGTGCAGCGGCATGATCACAGCTCACTGCAGACTCGAGCTCCCAAGCTCAAGCGATTCTTTTGCCTCAGGCTCCCAAGTTGCTGGGAACTACAGGCGTGCACCACCATGCCAGGCTATTTTTTTTTTTTTTTTTTTTTTTTTTAGAGACAGGGTTTCACCACGTTGCCCAGGCTGGTCTTGAACTCCTGAGCTTGAGCAGCGACCCACCTTGGCCACCCAAAGTGCTGGGACTAAAGCCATGAGCCACTATGCCTGGCTTCTAAAAACAATTTTTAAAAATAAAGTAAGAGTCAAAAATTACATTCTATTATGCTTCTAAGGATTTATATCCCTACTAATCAAAGAGTTTATAGCAAACATATGTTAAGATTAATGTTTTGGAAATCCAAAATGCATCAAGCTTTCCATAGTTGTAGTTGTAGACATTTACATCTTATTTCCTTGTCTATTCTAGTAATTCATAAGGCCTACATTATATACAAAATCTTCACACTAAAATCTTTCATGATTTGAATTTTCAAGAAATAAACCTAATTGAGACATAGTTTATAAATAACAAAATACATTCTTACTTAAAATGGAAATCTGATGAGTTTTTACATAAGAATCAAAATAAAGAACATTTCTATGATTCCCCCAAATTCTCTGATCCCCATCCCAGTTAATCCCTGGGTAACCATTGATCTGATTTTGTCACCACAGATTATATTAGGTTTTTATAGATTTTTATATAAATAAAATCACGCTATGGACCCTTTTATATCTGGCTTCTTTCTCTTGGCATGATTATGAGATTCACCTATGTTGTTATTAGTAGTTCATTAATTAACTAGTTCATTAGTAGTCATTCATTTGTATTGCTGAGAAGGGTGTCAATGCATAGACACACCACAACTTGTTTATCCAGTTGACGAACATCTGGGTTGTTTCCAGGTTTTGGCTACTATGAATAAAGCTTTTATGATTATTTGCATACAAGCCTTTGTGTGACATGTTTTCATAGTATATCTTTCCCTATCCTTTTACCTTATCCATGTTTTATTTAAAGTGAGTTTCCTGTAGAAAGCTTATAGTTGGGTCTTGCTATTTTATCCAATCTAACAATCTCTGCCTTTTAATTAAAGTATGTATATTATTTGCATTTAATGTAATTTAAGTATGGCTGAATATAAGTCTTACCATCTTACTACTTATTTTCTTTTTGACCCTACTGTTCTTTCTTCTACTTTTCCTCTATTCTTGCCATTTTTAGATTTACTATCTTTTAATCTCTTTAAAAAGGATTTTTTCATTTAATCACTATTTATTATAATTTAATCTCTTTTTTTAGAGACAGGGTCCTAATCTGTCTCCCAGCCTGGAGTACAGTGGTGTGATCACAGCTCACTGCAGCCTTGATCTCCTGGGCTCAAGTGATCCTCCTACCTCAGCTTCCTGAGTGGCTAGGACTATAGGCATATGTAACTGTGCCTGGATAATTTTTTTTTTTGGTGGGGGTAGAGACAGGGTCTCACTATGTTGCCCAGGCTGACCTTGAACTCCTGGACTCAAGCTATTCTCACACCTCAGCATCCCAAAGTGCTGGAATTACAGTATTGAGCCACAATGCTCAGGCTAATCTCTGCTATTGACTTATTAAATATACCTTATTTTATTTATTTTTATTTTTTTTGAGATAGGGTCTTGCTCTGTTGCCCAGGCTGGAGTGCAATAGTGGGATCTTGGCTCACTGCAACCTCCACCTCCTGAGTTCAAGCCATTCTCCTGCCTCTACCTCCTGGGTAGCTGAGACTACAGGTACCCATCACCACAACCATACTAATTTTTCTTTAGTAGAGACAGGGTTTCACTATGTTGGCCAGGATGGTCTCAAACTCCTGACCTCAAATGATCCGCCCGCCTTGGCCTCCCAAAGTGCTGGGATTACAGGCGTAAGCCACCACACCTGGCCCTTATTTTATTTTTTTAAGCATTACTCTAGAGCAAGTATTGCTAAACTTTTTTCTGTAAAGGCTGAGGTATTAAATATTTTAGACTCTGTGGGTCATAAGATCTCTGTTACAACTACAAACTCTGTTACTGTGGTGCAAAAGCAGCCACAGGCAATATGTAAACAAATAGGCATGGCTGTGTTCCAACAAACTTTATTTATAATAAGCAATAGGCTGGCTTTGGCCTGTAGGTTAGGGGGTCGCCAACCCCCAGGCCACAGACTGGTACCATCGAAAAAGTGTCTTACACAAAACTGGTCCCTGGTGCCAAAAAGGTTGAGGAGCACTGCTGAAGGTCATAGTTTGCTGAATTCTGCTCTATGTTATACATCTTTACCATATCACAGTCAGTCTTCAAATAATATAATATCACTTTAGGTATAGTTTAGAGGACCTTACAACAAATACTTCCATTCCCCCTGCTTGCATTCTTCGTGGTATTGTTCTCACACGTTTTTCTACATATATTATAAACTGCACATTATTTTTGTGTGGTTTACCTTTTGATTATCTTTTAAAGAAATTTTGTTTTGCATAGTATATGATATGAGTTTGTGTATATTCTTATCTTTGTTCCTCTATGTCTTTTTTCCTCTGTCTGCCTTTTTAAAACTTTTACTTTTTAATAAAGACAGGGTCTCATTCCGTTGCCCAGGCTGGAGTTCAGTGGCACCATCATGGGTTACTCAGTCTCAAACTACTGGGCTCACTGGATACTCCCGCCTCAGCCTCCAAAGTAGCTGGGACTACAGGCATGTGCCACCATGCCCAGCTAATTTATTTTATTTTTGAGACAGAGTCTTGCTCTGTCACCCAGGCTGGAGTGCAGTGGTGTGATCTTGGCTCACTGTAGCCTTCACCACCTTCAAGCGATTCTCCTGCCTCAGCCTCCCCAATAGCTGGGATTACAGGTACACACCACCACACTTAGCAAATTTTTGTATTTTTAGTAGAGATAGGGTTTCACCACGTTGGCCAGGCTGTTCTCGAACTCCTGACCTCAGGGGATCCACCTGCCTCAGCCTCCCAAAGTGCTGGGCCAGCTAATTTTTTTAATTTTAATTTTTAATTTTTATTTTTGTAGAGACAGGGTCTCACTATGTTGCCCAGGCTGGTCTCAAGCAATCCTCCTGCCTCGGCTTCCCAAAATGCTGGGCTCACAGGTGTAAGCCACCATGCCCAGCCCTCTGCCTGCTTTTCAACATTTTCCTTTTATCACTGGTTTTCAACAATTTGACTGTGATGTGCTTTGCTTTTCTTTATGAATGGTTGGGAGTTGTTAGATTTTTTAGATCTGGCTTTCCTCAAATTTGGAAAACTTTTGACCTTTATTCAACTATTATTTTTTTCTGTCTGCTACCCTTCTGGGATTCCAATTACACTTATGTTAGGCCATTGTGATATTGTCCCACAGGTCACTGAGGCTTTCTTCATACATTTCAGGGGCTTTTTTCCCCCTCTCAGTTTCATTTTGGATAGTTTTAATTGCAATATACTTCAACATCATGGATTTTTTTCTTCTGCAGTGTCTAATTTCCTGGTAATTCCATCTATATGGTGTTTTCATTTCAGACATATTTTTCACCTCTAGAAGTTGCATTTCTTTTTATATCTTCCATTTCTTTTCACATTATACTTATATTTTTCCTTTTCTCTATGAGCATAAGGATCATATTTATAATAGCTATTTTAACATTCTTGGCTGTTTATTCCATTATCTCTGACATTTCTAGGTCTGTTCATTGACTGAATTTTTGGAAGGCTTATTTTTTGCTTCTTCATATGCCTAGTAATTTTTGATTGGTGGTTAGAAATTTTTAATTTTACATTGTTGAGTGCTGGATCTTGTATAGTTAAATTAGTTGCATGTTAGTTTGGCCCTTTCAAGACTTCAAAAAATTATTTTAGGACAGATCTAGAGAATCCTTTATTCTAGGACCAATTTGTCCCTACTTCTAAGATATGGTTCTTCTGAGAATGTCTACCAAATGTTCATGTGTCCAAGGCTATCTCTCTACTGTGGCTAGAGGGAAGCAAAATTATTCATTTTATATTACTGGCAATAGTTATGTTCTAGGAAGTTGTTCTAGCCTGGTCTTGTGGTTTAGAATTCAGCCAAAGCCTCACAGGATGCCTATGCAGATTTCCGAGACTCCTCTTTCTCTTCATAGCTCCTTCCTCTGTAAACCTCTGTCTCATAAATTCTAGCTGCCTTGGGATTTACAAACTCTGATCTCTGTTTCTTCATCTTAACTAGATGGCCAAGCTCTGTTTCCCCTCTCTGTGATGCAATTTAGAGGCCGCCTCAGGCTGTAAACTCAACCAATGCAGGGTTCAACTCATTTGTTCCTCTTATCTCAGGCATCACAGTCCTGTGTGCCTATTGTCCAGTGTCTGAAAACAGTTGTTTCAGATATTTTGTCTGGTGTTCTAGTTGTTTATAGCAGGATAGTAATTCCCATAGCAGCTAATACTTCATGGATGTACGATTTGAATTTTTACATAAAAACTAAAAGGCAAAATCAGAAATCCTTATTGCCTTTTTCCTTCCAAAGGAATAGTCTGTTTCCTAAGGAAGAAGAGGTCAAAATAGTAATTTGAATTGAATATATAGCATGTACTATCTAAAGTCTGCAATACCTAAAGATATTTTTAAAATTTGTTATATTCCTTCTTGTTCTAAAAGAATCCTTAACAATTAATCTACTGTTTCCTGAAGTCAGAACCACTAACATGAGAATATTTCTATCTTTTCTATAGGCAGTAATGATGACGAAGTCATTAAGATTAGTGATTAAATTATCCAATTATCCCCTTTCTGTATGTGAAAAAGAGTAACCACAGATCAAGAAGTAGAGAGAGTTGAATTGAAATACGAGATAGAATCTGTGAGTCTGAAATATATTTGGAGGATCTTGAAGCTGTCTTTGCAAAAATTATAAAAGTGAGAAAATTATGACAGTGAAAGACACCTAATCTAACCAACCCCATATTTCCTTTAACCTCCAAACTGCCCTTGGTCATTCCTGGGCTTGGGCCTAGCTAGCTTTGGGAGAAATTTAGTTTTTAGTTTAAATAATATGCCTTCCCCCAAAATAAACTGCCTTCACAAAAACTAACGAAAGAGCAACAGGTTAGGAAGATGGGAGGAGGCTGAATTCTGCTAAGATGTAAGTGGAAGGGATTACACCAAGCCATTATTCCAGAGGTCACAAGATTTGCAACTTCCCCACACCCACTCATGCAGATAACATCACTGTTGTAGAACCTAAGATTGGCCTTTTGAGATGTCCTTTCAGGCTCCTGTGGCCCCCACCCAGAAGAGGACTCAGCACATGAGGACCATTTTCCACACCCCTATGACTGCATCCACAACCAATCAGCAGCACTCATTCCCTTAGCCCCCTGCCCACCAAACTATCCTTGAAGAATCCTGGTCTCCAATTTGGGGAGACTAATTTGAGTAATAAAACTCCAGTCTCCTGTTCAGCCAGCTCTGTGTGAATTAAACTCTTTCTCTATTGCAGTTCTCCTCTCTTGACAAATTGGTTCTATCTAGGCAGTGGGCACAGAGAAGCTGTTGGGCAGTTACAAATGCACTAAAACATCAGTTTCACAGGTAAATGCTTAGGGGTTACTGTTTTAAAATAACTGAGACAAAGTCAACAGAGAATATGAAGGTCTTTCATACCCAATTTAACTTCTTCCTTTAAAGAGCATGATGCTTTTTTCAAGGGAATGAAATAAGAAAGCTTTTGAGAAACTCTACAAGGAATAATGCAATTCAGAGCTGACAAGCCTTTATTATACTGCTTTTGAAATCCCAATGCCTACTTCTTTCCTACACAGTAGACTGTAATGTCAACGTTAGATTTCTTAGTTTGCAACTCAGGAATAACTATTGCCAAGGTTCCTCAAGTTTCACAATATAAACAATAAACAGCTGGCTGTAGCGAAGTCACAATGGGTATTCATAAGCTAATGACAGTTGTCAGCTACTATTACCTAGATAAAAAATATTCTTTTAAAGTATAAATTGCATCAAGTGGCTGTTTGGTTGAATTTTTTAATCTTTTGCTTTGATTTCCATGTGAATAAAGTAAGAAATAATATAAGTATGTTCCAGAGCAGTGTGCTTCAAAAAAAGCCTAGAAATTATGGAGCATTCAACATGAATACTTAGAGCTAGAACATGATAACAGATTTAGGCATAAAAACCAAAAGATGCGGAATTGTGCAGACTAAGAAGAGTAGTGCAGGAACTACAAACAATTGCATTTGAAGAAGGAATACATATTTTAAAAATGCCTTTGAGGCATCAGGAGTTGAAAAAAACAGTCATAAAATACAAATGCTTGTTATTTTGTAAAATATTTTTTAAATGCTTGTAAAAATATATAGTATGAAGTTTGGCTGGTGTTCAAAACAATGAGTAAAATCTCCACTAAAATATATCACCTGTATATATCTTGAGGGCTTATTATGAAAGGGACTTGGTACACAAGGAAGCACATGTTGGGGTTTTTCCGCAAAGCTACTTGGAGTAGAACTATATATGATGGATGATTTCAGGGGCTTATGATCTTAACATTGTCGATTTCCTCCCCATTTTCTGTAATATTCTGCATCATAAGTGTGAGATATAATCATAGAATTTCAGTGTTGGAAGGCCAGACAGATCATACAAACTAACATCCTTCTTTTGCAGCTAAGAATAACAGAGTCTAGTAACGTTAGATAATATTCCTGGGCCAGGCGCGGTGGCTCACCTGAGGTCAGGAGTTCGAGACCAGTCTGGCCAACATGGTGAAACTCCATCTCTACTAAAAATACAAAAAATTAGCTGGGTGTGGTGGCAGACACCTGTAATCCTAGCTATTCAGGCACCTGAGGCAAGAGAATTACTTGAACCTGGGAGGCGGAGGTTGCAGTGAGCTGAGATCGTGCCACTGCACTCCAGCCTGGGCAACAAGAGCAAAATTCTGTCTAAAAAAAAAAAAAAAAGAAAAAGATAATACTGCTAAGGTCACAGAGTTCAATCCAATGCAATTTGGATCTCATCATTTGACTAAGAAATCCTCTTCTAGGTCACACATGACATTAGGTTGCTAAATTCAGTAGAAATTTTAGCTCTTAACTTGCTTGTTTTAGCAGTATCTAATGATGTTAACGACTCCCTCCCTTTGTAAAAAGTTTCCCCACCAGCTTCTATGATGCTTCTAGCTTTTCTTTCTGTCTAGACCTTCTAATTTCCCCTCATAAGCTATTCTTCCTCTATTCATCCCTTAAAAGTTTCTAAGTGCTTTGTCCTAGGCCTCTGTGCTTCTCAATTCACACACTCTCTAGGAAATCTCACGTCCTCCCAAAGTCTCATGTAAATGCTGATGATATCCCAAGCCTATATTCAATTGTCTGCTAGAAATTGGGTCTCCCACAGCCATAACTGAAACTCAAAAGTCCTAAAAGTGAATCCATCTTCCCTAACCACCCATAATCTCAACCAATAACACCACCATTATTTTATTTTTGACCAAGCCAGAAAATTACCTGGCATCCTTGACTATTCATAGAGCCAGAATCTGACATTCCTCATATCTTATCAGTCATCATGTGCTTTCATTCGATTTTTTTTTTTTTTTTTTTTGGAGTCTTGCTCTATCACCCACGCTGGAGTGCAGTGGCAGAATCTCAGCTCACGGCAACCTGCGCCTCCCAGGCTCAAGCGATTCTCCTGCCTCAGCCTCCCGAGTAGCTGGGATTACAGGTGCCTGCCACCATGCCCGGCTAATTTTTTTGTATTTTTAGTAGAGACATGGTTTCACTATGTTGGCCAGGCTGGTCTCGAATGCCTGACCTCGTGATCCACCCGTCTCGGCCTCCCAAAGTGCTGGGATTACAGGTGTGAGCCACCAACCCCGGCCCTTTCATTCTATTTTTTAAACAGCTCTAAGCCCTCTGATACTGTCTACACTACCACCATTTTAGTCCAGGCCACCACCATCTCTTTCTTCTATCAGCTACATTGTAATTGGAGTCCTTAATTCCAGCCTTGCTCCAGTTCAATTTTCCACACTGAAGCAGGGTGATCTTTTTCCAAATGAAGCCACTATCCTGAAGTTGGTAGTTGGTGTTTACCATTTCCATCCATTTATACATACACACACGCACAGGCAGACACACACACACACATACACAAACATATATCTCAATACACAATATTTAGTACTGTGATAGCCAGCCTTCAAGAAGGCTCTCTATAATTCTTGCCTGTAAGTATTTGCTATGGTTTGAATGTCTCCTCCAAAACTCACCTTGAAATTTAATTGCCACTTTAACAGTGTTGAGAGGCAGGACCTTTAAGAGGTGATTAGGTCATGAAGGCTCTGCCCCATAACTGGATTTTTGCCATTATCATAGGAGTGGGTTAGTTACTGGGGGAGTGGATTCCTGATAAAATCCACTCCCAAAAACGGTGAGTTCAAGTCAATTTCCCCTCTCTGTCTTCTGTGCACACTTCCTCACCATGTGATGCCTTCTGACATGTTACAATGCAGCAAGAAGACCCTCACTAGATGGACTCCTCGATCTTGGATTTCCCAGAACTGTAAGCCAAATCAATCTTTTCTTCATAAATTACTCAGTTTGCAATTGATATAGCAGCAAAGAAATGGACTAAGATAGTATAGATGCCTCTTGACTTATGATGAGATTACCTCTGCATAAACCCACTGTAAGTCAAAAAATGCATTTACTACTCCAACAAATCCATCATAAAGTCAAAAAACCATAAGTTGAACCATCAGAAGTCAGGGATTGTCTATATTCATGCCCTGTGTAGTGTCACCCACATCAAATCAGGGCTGGTCTGCAGAACCAATATGATACAGCTGAAGTGATGATGTGTACTTCCAAGACTATGTCATAATAGGCTTTACTTCTGCTTTGGTCTCTTGTACACTTGCTCTAGGGGAAGCCGGTCATCATATCATGAGGACAATCCTGCAGCCCTATGGAGAAGCCCACATGGAGAAGTGGTACCTTCTTGACCAAAAGTAAACTTGTCAACCATGTTAGTGAGTCACCTTAGAATCAGATCTTCCGGCCTCAGTCAAGCCAGATGATTAAGGCCCTGACTGACATGGGGCTGCACCCTCAAAAGACTACAAACTGCTCAGCCAAACTATTCCTAAATCCCTAATCCACAGAAACATGAGAGATAATAAAAGATTAGTTTATGCCCCTTTGTTGTAATTTGCTGTACAGTATTAAATAACCAAATATAGTATGACTTTGCATATATTTATATTTTATAGTAATATCTCCTATACATGGAGGATATGTTCTAAGACTCTCAGTGAATACCCAGCTGCAGATAGTACAGAACCCTATATATAGTATTTTTTTTGCTATACATACATACCTATGATAAAGTTGAGGAACTACCTATTTCTGGCTTTTGACTGGGGGCTATGCTTCCCAGCCTGTTAGAATGGCCACCCTGAAGGTTGCAACCCTTTATGAGAAATGAAGTTCTCCTTTCCAAATTTATAAACCTTGGAATTCTTCAGTTGACACGAGTGGCCTATGAGGATGGGATCTGTGGAGAACCCCAGGTTCCCCCAACTTGATCAGAAATCATTATACAGGACAGGTGCGGTGGCTCATGCCTTAAATCCCAGCACTTTGGGAGGCCGAGTCGGGCAGATTACTTGAGGTCAGGAGTTCTAGATCACCCTGGCCAACATGGCAAAACTCCGTCTCTAGTGAAAAAGTGCAAAAAATTAGCTGGGCATGGTGGCGTGTGCCTGTAGTCCCTGTTACTTGGGAGGCTGAGGCAGAAGAATCGCTTGAACCCGGGAGGCGGAGGTTGCAGTGAGCCCAGTTTGCACCACTGCACTCCAGCCCGGGCGACAGGGTGAGACTTCGTCTCAATAAAAAAGGAAATCAATACACTGACATCTAAAGCTCAGCTGTCTCCCTGACCACACTGGGAGGAAGTTTCCCTGGATCTAAGATCTCCTACTTTTAGGTAGATTTTGGAGGCTTTATTCCTCTCCATTTGGATTATTCCTTTCCACTCCTTCCCTTCATTGCTTCCTGGTCCCTTCCCAGTCCCTATCCTGGTTCCCTCCATCTGGACCCTAAAGGGAACAACTTTGTTAGCTCTGGCTTTGAGGGGTGGGAGGAGCCTTCCCAGGCCAGTCAAACATTTTCATTTTCAAAAAAGAAGAAAAAAAATTTTTTTAAGTTTAATTTATAAATTAGGCAAAATAAGAGATTATCAGAAAGAACTAAGAAAAAAATAGAACAATTAAAACAACATGCCAGCATCACTACTCTTGTACATGGGGGGTTAGTATTAAGTAAAATAAGGGTTACTTGACCACAACTGCTGCAGTACTACAACAGTCAATCCGGTAACTGAAACAGCTACTAAGTGACTAATGCGCGAGTAGCATATAAAGCATGGATATGCGGAACAAAGGGATGATTCACATCCCAGGTGGGACTGAGCAGGAGAGCACAAAATTTCATCACACTACTCAGAATAGCATACAATTTAAAACTTATTAATTGGGCCGCGTGCAGTGGCTCACACCTGTGATCCCAGCACTTCGGGAAGCTGATGCAGGCAGATCACTTGAGGGCAGGAGTTTGAGACCAGCCTGGCCAACATGGTGAAACCCTGTCTCTGCTGAAAATACAAATATTAGCTGGGTGTGGTGGCAGGCACCTGTAATCCCAGCTACTCGGGAGACTGAGGCAGGAGAAGTGCTTGAACCTGGGAGGCAGAGGTTGCAGTGAGCTGATATTGCACCACTGCACTCCAGCCTGTGACAGAGCAAGACTCTGTCTCAAAAAAAAAAATTGTTTATTTCTGGAATTTTCCATTTAATATTTTCAGACTGCGGTTGCCTGTGGGTAACTGAAACTATGGAAAGTGAAGCCATGGAAAAAGGGGTGGAGGGGAGACTCCTATATATAAAGGATCATGGTGTATACAAACCTCTAAAACTTGCCTTTTATGATAATCATTGCTTTGAGGTTTATCAAAGTTGGATCGTATTTCTGGAAATATTCACTTAAACTCCTATATATAAGGAAGTGGTAAATTTTAAAAAAAGAAAAAAACACTCCTATATAGAATTTCATTCTATGAATACATTGCTTAACGACAGGGATACATTCTGAGAAATGCATCATTAGGTGATTCTGTCACTGTGTGAACATCATAGATAATATTTACAAAACCTAGAAGGTATAGCCTACTACACACCTAGTAGGTATCTAGGTATTGCTCTTAGGCTACAAACCTGTATACCATGTTACTGTGCTGAATACTGTCAGCAACTGTAACACAGTGGTAAGTATTTGTATATCTAAACATTTCTGAACACAGAAAAGGTGCAGTAAAAATACAGTATTATACTCTTTTGGGACCAACATCACATATGTGGCCCATTGTTGACTGAAACATTGTTGTTATTCAGTACATGCATGACTGTATACCGTAATTTATATATCGAAAAACCAGATTTTCCCCCTATTATAAATAAAAATAAGGCTAAGAGAAAGTAGCACTACTCAATGTTTTTAGTTTCTGATGTAAATTTTTATTTCCTTTTAGAGCCTTGTGTTTCACATTTTACTCCTTAATTCATCTGGAACTTACTTATTTTTGTAATGTAGAGAAGTTGACTGTAATAGCACCATTTATTAAATAGTCTGCCCTTTCTCCTTGGCTTTACAATGCTAATCAATCACATGTCAGATTTCTATATATGCAAGCTTCCTCTAATCTGATCCAACAATCTTTCCTATACTAATACTTCATTGTTTTGATTATTATAGTTTTAGAAATACATCTTAATATGTGCTTAGGTACCACATGCCCCCTTGTTTTCCTATTCCAAATTTATCTTAGTTTTTTATATAGCTTTACTCTTTCATGTGAATTTTTAAGTAAGTTGATCAGCTCCTACTGGGGTTTTGATTAGCATTGCATTGAGTTTATAAATTCATTCTTCATATCTATTAACATGGTATAACTCTGCATTTATTCCTATCTTATGTCCTTCAATAAAGTTTATTATTCTCAATAAATGTCTTACATTTTATTTTTACTAGTTTCATGCCTAGATGCCCTCAAGTAATTTAACAATCACTTATATTCCTAAGGATAATTCCAAAAGTCTATATGCTTTTTTGTTAAATTATATGTTAGACAAAATATAAGATTGTCATTTTAATAGAATAAACTAAATATCTATCTACTTTGGTGACAATAAGGAGCTTCCTTATACATTACCGCAAAAATATCCTCAGAATATCTATATATATATATTTTTTGAGACAGAGTCGCATTCTTGTCACCCAGGCTGGAGTGCAGTGGCATGATCAGGGCTCACTGCAGCCTTGACCTCCCAGGTTTAAGAGATCCTCCTGCCTCAGCCTCCTGAGTAGCTACAACTACAGGTGTATGCCTCCATGCCCAGCTAATTTTTTGTATTTCTATTTTTTTACATTTTTTTTGAGATGGAGTCTTGCTCTGTTGCCCAGGCTGGAATGCAGTGGCACAATCGTGGCTCACTGCAACCTCTGCCTCCCGGGTTCAAGCGATTCTTCTGCCTCAGCCTCCTGAGTAACTGGAATTACAGGTGCCCACCACCACACCCAGCTAATTTTTATATTTTTAGTAGCGATAGTGTTTTGCCATGTTGGCCAGGCTGGTCTCGAACTCCTGACCTAAGGTGATCTGCCCGCCTTGGCCCCGCAAAGTACTGAGATTGCAGGCATGAGCCACCACACCCAGACTAATTTTTTGTATTTTTAGTAGAGATGGTTTTACCAAGTTGCCTAGGCTGGTCTCAATCTCCTGAACTCAGGTGATCAACCTGCCTTGGCCTCCCGAAGTGCTAGGATTACAGGTGTGAGCTGCTGCACCTGACAGAATATCTATAATTAATATGTATAAACAAAATGTGTTTGCTTCACAATAATCTCAGAAAAATATACTTAAATATGTAAAATAATTAAAATTTTCTTTAAATGTCAAGAGAAGAAAAATGACTGCTTCCACTGAGTTTAAACAAGGGGAAAAGACTGTAAGTTAAACATCAAATGCTGGCAAGGATGTGAAGCAACAGGAACTCTCATTCATTACTGTTCGGAATACAAAATAGTACAACCACTTTGGTAGACGGTTTGGTGTTTTCTTACAAAAATAAACATATTGCTACCAACCACAATTCTCTGTATTTATCCAAAGGAGCTAAAAAATGCCCATATAAAAACTTGCACACAGATGTTTGTAGTAGCTTTATTCATAACTGCCAAAACTTGGAAGCAACCAAGATGTCCTTCAGTAGGCAAGTGGACAAATTGTGGTACACCCAGATAACAGACTATTATTCAGTGCTAAAAAGAAATGAGCTATCAAGCCATAAAAAGACATAGAGAAAACTTAAATGTATCTTACTAAGTGAAAGATGTCAATCAGAAAAGGCTACATGCTGTATGATTCCTACCATAAGACATTCTGGAAAAGGTAAAATTATGGAGATAATAAAAGATTAGTACCTGCCTGCCAGGAGTTAGGGAGAAGGGAGACATGAATAGATAGAGCACAGAGGATTTTTAGGGTGGTGAAACTCCTCTGTGTGATACTATAACAGTGGATACATGTCATATATACATTTGCCCAAAACCCACAGGATGTAAAACACCAAGCGTAAACCCTAACGAAAATTATGGACTTGGGGTTGTAATGATGCGTCAATGCAGGCTCATCAGTTACAACAAATGTATCCCTCTCATGGGGAGACTATGCAAGGATTTGGGGGCAGGGAATATATAGGATATTTCTGTACACTTCTCTCATTTGGGATGTGAACATAAAACTGCTCTTAAAAAAGTCTGCTTTTTAGTATTTTTGGTTAATTAACCTCTGAGAATCTGATAAAGCTATGGATGAACTTCTTCCTCAACATTTCCTGAAAAAATCCAAACAGTTTATACATGAAAATTTTAGATATAATTTATAAAATAAATTATTTTATTTATAATTTTATAATTATATTTACTATTTATAAAATAAATTATTTTATTCCAATGCAATTATTATTGCACTGGAAACTGATTTTCTTCATATTGCCATATTTTAAAAATAAATGTTTACAAAACCTGAAGGATTCTTTCCCTCAGTTTTGAACCAAAATTAATGGCCATTTCCTGGTTTTTAAAAAGAAATAAAATATACAAATTAAACAGAAAATAAATGTTAATTCAAGAGGAAAGAACATGTAAATTACAAGCTGCTATTGTTTAGCTTGACTAAAGAAGTCACATACTGCCCTAGTTTTGGAACATGGTAAATTGAATATTATCTTTGATATCCAAAAGGTTGTGTACTTTCTGTTTTGATGAAAAGTGGTACTGAAAATTCCGAGAAAGGTACATGGTAACAAATAGAATCACAGCTCACTTTGAGAAATGATGCTAGGTTAGGCTTGTGCAAGGAAACTAAGAATTGTCTGAGAATTATTTCATAACACTACTCAATACAATATCAAAAGTGAAAAGATTATAAATCCAAGTTTCATTTGTGAGGTTTTCTGTGTGGAGGTAATCCTTAAGATCTCTGCGGTTTTTCTATATGCCTACAGAGAAACTGACAAAACTTTTCATTCATGACTGGCCTACAGAGATACTTCAAGTAGTAGAAAATTCACATGGTTGTCCATGTCTACAGGACTATAGGACTACAGGTGTGCGCCACCACGCCCAGCTAATTTTTTGTATTTTTAGTAGAGACGGTTTCACCATGTTGCCTAGGCTGGTCTCAAACTCCTGGCTTTACCTTACTCAGAGCAATAGCTTGGCTAAGAGTTTATGATTTTTCTGCCAAATCCATAACAACAACTATAAGGTCTTGAATTAGATTACTCATTCATAAAGCCCGAAATATCCCCAAGTAAATCAAGCCATGATTAAACTCCTCCTGTACTAATCTTTCTTTTCTCTTAAAAAGCAAAACTCCTGCCAAATTTAATCAAGCAAAGGAAGATTTTAAATTTTTATCCTTTTGTTTGATAAAAACCTGTTCTCATGAAACTGATTACTTCTGGGGTAGCAGGCAAAACTTTTAGGCCTAAGAGTCTTCAAAGCCAGGATGTGCCAGTGAAAGAAAAGCAATGAATTATTACAATGGGTGGAGCTGCTTTCTCCTCTGAGGCAGTATAAGCGTGCACATTGCTAAGTTTGGAAGATGCACCATCTGTGCAGAGTACTAAGATCTTCATTACAGTCAAAAATTTTTTTGGGGTCAGGCGCGGTGGTTCACGCCTGTAATCCCAGAACTTTGGGAGGCTGAGGTGGGTGGATCACCTGAGGTCAGGAGTTTGAGAACAGCCTGGCCAACACGGTGAAACCCCATCTCTAATAAAAATACAAGAATTAGCCAGGCATGGTGGCGGGTGCCTGTAACCCCGGCTACTCGGGAGGCTGAGGCAGGAGAATCACTTGAACCTGGGAGAAGGAGGTTGCAGTGAGCTGAGTGCCATTGCACTTCAGCCTGGTGACAAGAGCAAAACTCCATCTCAAAAAAAAAATTTTTTTTTTCTGGTAGTTATTTTGGCAAAGAAATTTAACAGTCTGTCAGAGATGCCGGTAGCCATTAATATTAACAGCCTTTGTAATTTTCACAAGAGACCTGGATATTAGGAATTTTTCTTTAATTGTGTCAACATGCATGTTAACAGACAAAAACTAGGAACTAACTGCTTTGAACAGTATCAGTTATTTTCATCAAGCTGCATTCTGGAGGAAAATGAGTTAGTTTCCAATTCCCTCAAAATTCACTTCAAAATATTGGAAAAAATGATGACAATCCTGAAGTGGATCTGAAATCTGACATAAATTTGCTTCTGCTCCAAGCGAAGTAGTTCACTGTCAGCACATAAAGCTTAAAGGTCTTTCCAATTTCATGTGGCTTCTTTTCTTGGTTGACTTTTCTATAAAAGTCAATCTTGAAGAATCCTTCAAGAAAAGAGTTCTGTGATGAAACAAGTTCATCCACATTTTGGTAAAGTTTCAAACTGTAATTACTACTTACAAAAAAAATCTGAACTGTTGCATATATTTTTAAAATAAAAAAATATAAGGTGCTTCTGTTTTCACAACTTTGTATTTAAGTTGGTGAGAACTCTGCCACATTAAAATACTTAGGCTCTGTGTGCCCTATAATTTTTGGATTTTTGGTGATTAAGTAGCTTTAATGCTTCATTTCTTTTTTGTTGTCAAGTCTTTTTAAAGTTGGAATGAAAGATATATAGTGGTGGGGTATAGTGGTTGGGTATGTATGTGTCCTCAATACAATAATGACACAGAATTTCCAACTGTGTACAACAGTTACTAACATGACTTGACAAAAAAGTCATTAATAACATTTGTCCCCTTTCCCTCCAAACTATTTTTAAAACTCACAAGAAAAACTCTAGACTATATAAAGAACACTTACAACTCAATAATAAGAAGATAAATAGTCAAATGTTTTCAAAAGGTCCTTTGAATAGACACTTCACTAAATAAAATATCTGAATGGTTAATAAACACATGAAAAGATGTTCAATATCATTAATTATCAGTGAAATCCAAATTAAAACCACAATGAAGTAATATTACACATCCATTAGAGTGTCTATAATCAAGATTGATTGTACCAAAGTTGGGGAGGATGTAGGGAGACTGTCACACTGATGTACTGCTGGTGGGAATGTAAAGTGGTACAGTCACTTTGGAAAACAGTTTTCAGTTTTTTAAAAAATTAAGCATATACCTACAATATAACCCAACCATTCCATTCATAAGTATCTATCCAAGAAGAATGAAAACATGTCCATACAAAGACTTACAGGCAAATGCCAGCAGCAGCTTTTTTTTTTTTTTTTTTTTTTTTGAGACGGAGTCTCGCTTTGTCACCCAGGCTGGAGTGCAGTGGCGTGATCTCAGCTCACAGCAAGCTCCGCCTCCTGGGTTCACGCCATTCCCCAGCCTCAGCCTCCTGAGTAGTTGGGACTACAGGCTCCTGCCACCACACCCGGCTAATTTTTTTTTTTTTTTTTGTATTCTTAGTAGAGACAGGGTTTTACCGTGTTAGCCAGGACAGTCTCGATCTCCTGACCTCATGATCTGCCCGCCTCAGCCTCCCAAAGTGCTGGGATTACAGGTGTGAGCCACTGTGCCCGGCCACCAGCATTATTTTTAATAGTTCAAAATGGAAAACAATCCTAATGTCCCTCATTTGGTGAATGAATAAAGAAATGTGATATTTCCATATACCGGAATACTACCCAGCAATAAAAATAAAGACCTACGAATACACACTACAACATGGATAAGCCTTGAAAGCACTGTGCTGTGTAAAAGAAGCTAGATGCGAAAGACTACATATTGTATGAGTCCATTTATACGACATTTTTGGAAAAGGTTTAACTACAGAGACAGAGAGCAAATTAGTGGTTACCTGGGGTTGAGGGTGTGAGTGAAGATTAGAACTGGGGAACTTAAAAAAAAAAATTTGCTACCCTATCAACTGACAAACAAGCAAGCGGTCCAAAGATGGATTGTTGTGGCCAGCCACAGTGGCTCACCCCTGTAATCCCAGCACTTTGTGAGACTGAGGTGGGTGGATCACCTGAGGTCAGGAGTTCGAGACCAGCGTGGCCAACATGGTGAAACCCCCTCTCTACTAAAAATACAAAAATCAGTCGGGCGTGATGGTGCGTGCTTGTAATCCCAGCTGCTAGGGAGGCTGAGGCACGAGAATTGCTTGAACCCAGGAGGCAGAGGTTGCAGTGAGCCAAGACCGCACCACTGCACTCCAGCCTGGGTGATGGAGCGGGACTCCGTCTCAAAAAAAAAAAAAATAGATGATTTGTTGTGACAGATGTACAATGATGGGTAAATTTTATGGTATGTGAAATATAGCTCAGTAAAGCTTCTTTAAAAAGTAGCAGGACAGAAAACAAACAAAAAAAGCTGGAGCATGTATCTGGTTCCCAAAACCATGCACAGACCTTAGGTTTCGAATTTATATATTATCTATTACTTGGGTTGACTAAACAGATGATTGTTTATTAATTAAACAGGAATTTTCAGATACTTTCATTATTAAAATTATTTGCCCGCAAACAATTTTTGTAGGGAAATCTTGTATCTTTTGTTAAGTACAAGATAAACATAACAACTCTCTAGCAATTCTCTCTCACTCTTTTTTTTTGTGTGTGTGAGACAAGGTCTGACTCTGTCGTTCAGGAGGGAGCAGTGAGCAGTCAAAGCTCACTGTCGCCTTGACTTCCCACCTCATTGCAGCCTTGACCTCCTTGGGCTCAAGCAATCCTCCCACCTTAGCCTCCCAAGTAGCTGGGACAACAGGCACATGCCACCACGCCCAGCTAATTTTTGTATTTTTTAGTAGAGATGAGGTCTATGTTGCCCAGGCTGGTCTTGAACTCCTGAGCTCAAGAGATCCTCCTGCCTTGGCCTCCCAAAGTGCTGGGTTTACAGGCATGAGCCACCATGCCTGGCCCTAGCAATTCTTAATACAAGGCAAATTGAGTAGGATTACATTTCTGGATAAAAAAATAAAAGCAGCTAGATAAGGCTATTTTTCTTGTTCTTTCTCTAGTTCACCTTTCACACTTTCCCAATAGCTAGAGTGAAGATAGGTCCTGGTCTACACTATTAAAAAGTATTTGGCAGCCGGGCGCGGTGGCTCACACCTGTAATCCCAACACTTTGGTAGGCTGAGGCGGGTGGATCACAAGGTCAAGAGATCGAGACCATCCTGGCCAACACAGTGAAACCCCGTCTCTACTAAATATACAAAAAAAAAAATTAGCCAGGCGTGGTAGTGAGCGCCTGTAGTCCCAGCTACTCGGGAGGCTGAGGCAGGAGAATCACTTGAACCCGGGAGGCGGAAGTTGCAGTGAGCCGAGATTGCGCCACTGCACTCCAGCCTGGCGACAGAGTGAGACTCGGTCTCAAAAAAAAAAAAAAAAAAACCAGTATTGGGCATCTCCTTTCACTCTCAAAAGTGTTCTGAGTTGGATGATAAATTATACAAACTGTCTACAGCAGAATTATCCACATCCTTAACTTCCACTAACATGAAGGGAAACCCCTGGAGGCTTTAAAGACTTCAAGTAAGTATAAACCATATAACCATAAAAATTTTACTATCAGTCATTTTACAGTTGAGGATCTGGGGCACAGAGAAATTAAAATGAGAAGTCTAAGACCACGTGTTTTAGATTTGAGGTCTTTAGCACTACCACAACCACTCCTTACAGAATAAGTACTGTTTCTACATTTTTCTGTTGGAGGTGTTAACTATTACTATCTACATTTCACGAATGAGGAAACAGGCTTTGACTTATTACTTACCGGGGGTTATAAGGAGGTTAAGTGGTAGAACTGGGATATAAACCTAGGTCTGCTTGTCTCCAAAGCTTACACTCTAAACATTTAAGCAGATTGCCTCTCATGAAAGCAAACATGGGTGTGAGTATGAGTATGTGTTTGTTCCATGGTTTGGTCTAGGGGAATCTGTATCACTATAAAATTGTATGCAAAATTTCCTATGTTTATATAAATTCTTCTAGAGAAAGGGTCTAGAACTTTCAATAGATTCTCATAAGTATTTACGATACCAAAAAAAAAAAAATCTAGAACCTGTTAGATTGCTTTGTTAGAGAGGTAAGCATTTAAGATAATCTACATATTTTATTATCAGCTGTTACCGTCATAACCAGATTCGTCAACTAACATAATTAACAAGCAATTACTGAAAAGCAGTATATATAGGTATATTTACTAAGCATATAATACCATAATTATAGGATATGATATTTTAGACCTTATACTTCTAAAAACTGAGGGTCAAGCCCTCATTTAATACTGAAGATGACCAACAGTCACAACAAAGAGCAGGGAGTGATGGTAGAAATTTCTGTTACTGGTGACCAAACTCTACTTATTGGAGTAGCTGTGGATTAAGCAGTTTTCTCACATGCTATACTGACCTAAGGTGAAATTAACTTAGAAGTACAAAATTAGAAAGATATATAATAAGGACATCAAGCTACATTAAATCAAATAATTTTGTGCTTTTATTTCTTGATAACTAATATGAATTAGTTTTCTTAAGAAGGATAGTGTTGGTAGGAATTTGGGGAGACACTCTTTTTTTTCTTAAGTTGGTATCTTTTTAGCTTTTGTAAAAATAATATTGCCTTCAAACCCTCATAATGGCAACCTATCAGCATTTATGTCCTCTGATAACATCTGGCCTAACTGTACCATTGTTAAATTACTGAAATATCTCCATATGGATAGAATATAGGTATACATAACTGTACCATTGTTAAATTACTGAAATATCTCCATATGGATAGAATATAGGTATACATAACACAGCCTATATATAGATATATATAACAGGATAATAGTAACGGTAATAAGTAGCAAAATTAGTATCAATTCCAATATGAATTCATTAGTTCAAGTTAATTGCCACTAAATATCATAACCACCAATGGGACTTGACCTTCCAGCTGTAGTATAACATGTGACTTGGTTGATATTCTTTATGAATATATATTGATATATGTGGATATTGAATATATGACAATTTCAAACACTATCATAAATACTAGAAATTTTTGAATGAAATAGTTCAGCAAAACTGAGTGGATTCAGCAATGTAAACTTTTTTTTTTTTAACAGTGAAATTCTTTTTATTCAAACTATCTAATGATGGCACCCTGCAGTGGTAATGGAGTAAGTCAGAACCTGGGAGTGGTGCTGGCACAGATGTGGACAGTCACCATTTGGCTATTTAATGGACCAAGCAGTGTCAAGAGGAAGAGAGATACCCACCCACTGCATTGAAGGAGCTTAAGGAGGGAAAGGAATATGTAGCATAGCCAGGTGGCATTATGGTCCTCTGGCTCTTGGCCACGTAGAAAGTACTGTTATCTGGGTACATACTGACTCTTGACTGGGGGCAACACAGCTACCTTTCTGGCCACAACACAGTGCTAAGTGCTGCTTTTTAACTTATACATTAATTGGTACTAATTTTTAGTTTTTTGTCTTTAAGAGACTGGAAACAGAGAGCCAGCTAATATTTTCCTTATTTTGATTTTGGTCTATTTTCCCCTTTTTAACCTTTCCATATTACAAATGAGTAATCACAATGGATTTTTCTTCCAAATTTAGAAGATTTGGCAAATATGAGCACACTGTCTATAAATTCACGTAACAGCTTTGGGAGGTGATTCTGATAACACTGCAAATATTATACTGACTAAATGTTGGGGATTCTAGTGTTCTCATGATTCATTTTCTGGGCTTCTTTAGTTTTAGGCACCCTTGTAAATTTGCAGGATGCTCTTTCAGTGGTTGTTATGCTTACGAATTAATGTTTCTAAGGTTGAAATCAGAGCTCTATCAAACTAAACTTTATACAGAGGAAACATATCTAACAGTCAACCCCTAAACTAAGCAACCTAAACTGTAAATGCACAATACCGGGTAAGAGAAATGACAATAAGAGTTGTAAACACATCTCCCTCCACTACCATAAAAACAACAAAGGTTTGGATCCTGTCGCCAGTTTATAGCATCATAGACATTTACGAAGGATTGCATTGGTCTCCAAGCATCTGTTTATCCCTTCCCACATCAAAGAAGAGTATTGCAGTCCTATGCCTAAGTAGGGAAAAAGATAAGCAAGAGCAGGAGGTCTCAGACTTTGAGTTCCTTCTGTCTAGGCTCTGATACAACAAGAGGCTGGAGTGTTTGATCATTATCCATAATGTGAAGACCCAATGGTTAGAAAACACCAAAGATGGTGCTTCTGTGATCTTCACATTAACTATGTCCCTAGTTTTAACAGATAAATGAGGCTGGGCACAGTGGCTCATGCCTATAATCCCAGCACTTTGGGAGGCCGAGGTGGGCGGATCACGTGGGTTCGAGACTAGTCTGGCCAACATGGTGAAACCCTGTCTCTACAAAAAATACAAAAATTAGTTGGGCATGGTGGTGCTCGCCTGGTCCCAGCTGCTTGGGAGGCTGAGGCAGGAGAATTGCTTGAATCCAGGAGGCAGAGGCTGCACTAAGCTGAGATCGCGCCACTGCACTCCACCTGGGCGACAGACCAAGGCTCCATCTCAAAAATAAAAGATAAATGATCATTTAACCTATAAAGTCTTAATGGAACTTAGTGTTTCTTCTTGGTTTCTTCTCTAAACTCACTAGATTCTCATCCAAATTTTATTTTCCTTCTCCTCCTTTCTCTCTCTGACCCCTAAGCCCACCTTAACTGAAAGAGTATGGTTTATAAATTTTTGTGTCAGAGAATAGGAAACACTGAGCTAAGAAGGAAATAATATTAGACATAAAAGGTGGATTTGCTGAAACTCACCATCAGAGGGCACAACAGTGCTGCAATAAACAGCTCCCAAATTCTGCCAGGAAGCGATCCTCTGGTGTACCTAGAAAACACAAAAGATACATCTACTGTCAGAATGGAACAACAAACATATACTTATGTGTGTGTATATAATAAATATATACATATGATTACTTAAGTAATATGCATGCTTTGTAGAAAACTTTAAAAATACAGATAAAAGAAAATAAAAGTCTTTCAAACTCCTATCATCCTGAAATAATAGTGGTGAACATTTTGGTATGTTTTCAAGATTTATGCAAACACATTTACATATACAAACACAAGTATACATGTTACATTAAACAAAATTAGAATTATACAAATCATGTTTTATGTACTTTTAAAAACATTTAATATTGATTCTAGGTGCTACCAGGCCTCAAGTAAACTTTCTGGCTTTTTCTTCCTCCGGTTACCTTTCAGATCTGCGTCTCCTTCCTATCTCTTACCAGGTATGAGAGTTATTAAGTAGCTGTATCAAGAATTTACTATTATTGAGTAGGCATCTGGTCTTTATGTTCACTCTCCTTTTTAAAAAACCTGGAGAGGCAACCTCACTAGTTGAGTCCTTAATCACGACCGCTTCAGAGTGTTAGAAAAAATCACTCACACTCACATCCACCTCTACTACTTCCTCGAAGAGCAATCACTGTGGATGTGGATCTGGGACTCAGGTTCTCATAACTAAACCATGTTTCAGAATGAATACTGAATACATTTCTCACTTGCCAAATGCTTAATTTATTCCTTTGTATCTTTTACTTTCCCAACCCCAAAAAGTATCAAAGGAAGAGGAAGGGCAGGCATTAACTGAACAAAATCCAATATACCAGCTTCAGGCCTGACATATTCCATTCCATCAGCACAAAGAAAAATCATTTAGTATCTACTAAGCTGTATTAAGGTGTGCATTGTCACAGAGTCCTAAATGATTTTTCTTTGTGCTGATGGACTTTGTATGACTATCATTAATTTCCATCTCGTTTCAACTTAAAAGAGCATGCAGAAATGTAAGACTGACATTTATAAACAATTTAAATAAATAATTTAAAAATTACTTGAGACTTGGCTCACAGCTAGTTTCGTTTTAAATCTTTGATTCATTAGGAATTACTTCTAGTCAAAGTTACTAAGTAGAAATCTAACTAATTTCCCTCTAATGACAACATAGCTGTCCCATACAGTGAATAATACATCTTTTCCTTTCTTATTTGAAATGCTATCTTTATAATTTTCCAAATAATTACATGAATTTGGATCTACTTCTGAAATTCTATTCTGTTCATGCTCTAGTAGCCACATTGTTTTAACTAACATTCTAGTCTTATTTCAGTATCTGGTAGGGCTAGTTTTCCCTTATTACTTTTCTTTAAGACAACTCCCAGCTATTCTTGTTTATTTGTTTCTCCACATGAACTTCAGAGTCAGTTTATCTAGACACACACACACACACACACACACACATAGCTATTGGTTTCAAAAAACAGTATCATGTAGTGGTTAAAAGCACAGAATCTGAAATAATCTTGCCTGAGTTCATTTTGTGGTTCAGTAACTTTAACTGCAACTCTTGGGCAAGTTATTACCTTCTTTGTGCCTTGGTTTCTTCACTGAAAAATGGGCAAAAAGTGGTACTAACATCACCCATATAAAGTAGTTGTGAGGACTAAATGAGTAATACATGTAAAGTCCTTAGAACATGCCTGGCATAGAGTAAATTCTCAATAAATATTAGCTATGTTTTGTTTTGAGGTATTAACTTCATGGGTTAAAAAAGGATTTTGATTTTTTCCAAAGAATCTTGTTAAGTCTTTCCATTTAAGTCTCTGTTTGTATTTCTGAGAAGCACTTTGAAGTTGTTTTCATGCAGATCCTGTAGGCTCTTTTTTCCTCATGTAATGGTTTTTGGACTAAGTCTTGTCCAATATTAGGAACACAATCCCTGCACGTTTGAGTTTGCATATGCCTGTTACATCTTTGTGTGTTCTTTAATTTTGTTATCCTTTCTGAGTTTCTTTGCTTTCATTTTCTTAGTAATCTGATCTGGGAATGTTTTAATAGGAGAATTAGCCTACATACTTTAATTAATATAACATACATACGTAATCTCTTATCAGTTATGAAATTTTATGCTATGCTTTCTAAAGTAAAAATACTTTACTAGTGACTAGGCATGGTAGTTCACGCCGGTAATCACAGCACTTTGGGAGGCTGAGTGAGAGGACTGCTTGAGCCCAGGAGTTAGAAGAGGCTGCAGTGATCTATGATCGTGCCGTTGCACTCCAGCCTGGGCAACAGAGTGAGACCTCATCTCTTAAAAAACATTAAAATAAAATTACTCAAAGATTTGTGCTTGCTTTGTTTTAGTTATATATATATTCCTTAAGAAAGGCTTACTTTTTTGTTCTAGTAGTTACTTCAGAGTAAAAGTCAAAGTTCTTTTAACGGCCTTTGAAAGTCTAATATTCTCTGATATCCCATTATCTCTGACTTCATCGCTTACCACTCTCCCTCCTACATTACTGTGCTTTACCCCTTTAGACTCTTCCCTGTTTCTTGAACTCAGCTACATTTTTGCTTCAGGGCCTTTGCAATAGCGATTACCTTTGCTTAGAATACTGTTTCTCTAGATAACTACATGGCTCCCTCAGTTCCTTCAAATATTTGCTCTACTCATCCACTTCAAAAAAAGCAATCTCATCAATGGGTACTCCGAATCCTTTTATGCTGTATTTTCCCCCCATACATTTAACACCTCTTAACAAATTATTTACTTATTTTTGTCTCCTCCAACCCACGAAGCAAAAATTTTCATCTGTTTTGGTCACTGACAGTGCTTGACAAATAACAAGTCCTCATCAAATACATGTTAGGCAAAAAACAAAACAAAACAAAACAAAAACCAACCCTATATTTTATAGTTTATGTTATAACTATAATTTTATATAAAATATACTGTAACATATAAAAATCCTATCTCTATCGTCAGCAATGATTAATACAGCTATGTTTCTTTTTTCTTTCCCTCTACCATTCGGTTTCGTTTATTAGATTATTTCTCTTAGCATTTACCTTTCGCTCTAACCTACGTATCTATGTATCAACTACAGACTCCCCTCCACCCCAATCTTAAGATTTTACTAGATTTACTGATTTCAAATGACATCTTTTGACAGGTTGTTATAAAACATGACAACATCATTTATTTCCTCATCTTTCCGACTTTCATTACTGCACTGTCAAGGTTTTAACGATTCATATTCTTCTCTGTAAATCTAATTTCCACATTTGTTTTAGTCTTAATGCTATAGATCAATGGACTCTATGTTCACTGCCAATACTTTAGCTGTAGTTTCTCCTTTCATTTCTTGGTTGGCTGCACATCTTCCTGTAGAAGTAGGACTCATGAGAGCTAAATTTCCTGCAGCTTGGCATGTTAATTTCTAAATTAATCTTTCCTTGAGGATTTGGAAGGGAAAGAATCAGTGTTGAATACTGCTTTGGAGAAGTCTGAGGTCGGCAGCTTCCTTTGGAGAACTGTGTTTGGCTGGCTTTGTTGGGGATCTGCGACCACAGGTGTCATTCCTCAGGGTTTCCCCACACACCTCTACTTGACCTTCACTGGATCTGGCAACCTTCCTTTATATAATTAGTGTTTTGGAATTGCAGAGATCTCCCTAGTTGTGCTGAAGATGGGGTCTGTATTTTTATCTTATTCTCCTTCCTATTCTAAGATGTGAGAAGAGAAGGGAGAAACTGCTGCCTTTACTGGGCCATTATTTGTTTATGTAGTAACTTTTAAATACTGACATCTTCAGACACATACAGTAGGAAGCACAGTGTGAAGAAATCTCATGAACCTATCATCTGCTTCTATATTTATCAACATTTTATCAAATTCAGTTCATCTACAGCCACCCAGTTTTTCCCCTTCCGTATCTCTTAAAAGGAAATCCCAACCATCATATCACTTCAATATACATACACTGGGCCGTTTTACAACAGAAATCCTCTGTCCTCTATGAGTTCATAAATTATCCTTGACAATAATAAAAGATGTTTTTGTGGGGCAGTGAACCACATTAATACATGGCTGGTTATGAGTAATATTTGTTAGATGATATAGAACATGGGTTGGCAAGCTGGCTGCCTGTTTTTGTAAATAAATTTTATTAGAACATAACAAAGCTCATTCATTTACTTACTCTCTATACCCCACTCAACTACTTTCACATCACAACAGCAAAACTGAGTGGTTGGTATATAGCTGCAAGAGTTGAGTAGCTGCAACAGAGACCACACGGCCCACAAAGTATCAAATATTTACCATCTGGCCCTTTAAGAAAATGTTTGTTGATCCTTGCTTATAGAACAGTTTCTGTAGTTTTGGGACAACTCACTTTCTCAAAGTCCTTCCCGCCTACTTCTATAATGACACTGGCAATTATAAAATACTACATATTAAGTATTTACAAACACACATGTAAGTCCTTTTATTTCTTTAAACTTTCCAGAAGCTTAGAATCTACTAAAGACAACAAAAACAAAAATTATTTTGCTCTTGCCTTTTTTCCTTGAAATATGGCAACAACAAACAAAAAACAAAAACCAAGGAAGCAATTGTAAGAGCTCAAGATCAAAGAACCATTGCTATTCTAAACTCTTCCATAATTCCCCTAAATTGAAAATATTTCATGGTTTAAATTTTGTATTTTTAACATGTCACAAGAAAATAGTAAGTTTGTAAAAGTTTTTTTCCTTTACTGTTTAGGTTTTTTTTTTTTTACCCTTTACTTTCCTTGGAAGCTTTTAATAAATATTTGACTGAGGCTGAAAGTTTGAAAAATATATCAAGAAGTTAAAAAAGAAAGAAAAGTCAGCAAAAACATTCAGGCAAATGATATGTGATATTTATATATTTAAATTTCATAGGCAGATACCAAGATTAAAGTTAAGTAAAGTTAATTAAGTTAAATCTTGGCAGATACAAAGATTAAAGTTAATTATTTAGAAAGTATTTCAAAAATTATCAGAGAAAGGGAAAATCTCTAGGAACTTTTTTTTTTTTTTTTTTTTGAGACAGTGTCTCTCTCTGTTGCCCAGGCTGGAGTGCAGTAGCACAATCTTGGCTCACTGCAATCTCTGCCTCCTGGGTTCAAGCAATTCTCCTGCCTCAGCCTCCCGAGTAGCTGGGACTACAGGCGAGCACCAACCATACCCGGCTAATTTTTATATTTTTTAGTAGAGACAGGGTTTCACCATGTTGGCCTGGCTGGTCTCGAACTCCTGAACTCAAGTGATCTGCACACCCTGGCCTCCCAAAGTGCTGGGATCACAGGCATTAGCCAAGGCGCCCGGCCTCCCTAGAAATATTGGTGCCAAATGAATAAGGTGATTTGGTGCTCCCATAGTTCCTTGAAAAGAAACAGCAAGTTTATTCTTTTGGTACCAGTCCATATCTTTAATAAGTAACTTGAGAACTTTAAGGAAAATCAGGGACTTGGAACTAAAAGAAAGTATAACGTCTGCCACAGTATTATAATCATTTACCTTTGATCTTAATCCCTAGTGTTATCAATTTAGAGTCAGGTTACAAAACACTGTAACTTTATTTCTCCAAAACATAAGATTTAAGCCAATAAAAATTAGAATGATAAAAAAGATATTTTATGTCCTCAGAAAATTATTAAATTCAAGTCAAAATTTACTTTTAAATTCCTTACTATGATCATAAATTATTCAACTATACCTAATTCATCTTTCATAGTTCAAAAGAGCAAACTCAACAGTATACTCCTTCCAGAAACTTGGGAGGATTGTCAAATCTAAATAACCTGTCAATAGCCCCCAAATATTCACAGCCAGTTAGACATCAGGCTAAAGGAAGGGGAATGCTGAGGGGGAGGAAGGGAGGGAGTGGCAGGGGGAGAGAGAAAGAGAAAGAGAGGGAAAGTTATTTCCTTATTAACCTAGTTCCCTTTAAGAAAATCTTGGGATCTAATTTCATTAAGAAACAAACACCTATTAGCTACCTCAAACTAAACTACATTAACTACATCAAACAGCTTTAGATGGAACACTGTATCTATATATTTGTCCATGGCTAAAATCTTATTATAAATAGCCTCACTCTGCCTTAAGTTTGGATATGACCACTTGTATCTCCCTGTTACATTTCCCTTAGCACAACATGGAATGCTTATAAAAAATGAACCCCTTTCAATAATGTTCCAAAAATTTCTTTTCTAAGACCAGAGTACCCATGTTTCAGCAACTTTGCCAAACCTGTCTCCAAAATTCAGTGCTTATACGGATACTCCAATTAGCAGTGTAAACTATTTCAGTTGGTCTAATGCAAGACACACCTATAACAGCTTCCACAACTTGGGATCAGTTTTTTTCTATATCCCTGATACAGTAAAGTTGTTGAAGCATCATATCAGCAACATTTACTACTTCTAATCTACCAATATACTAAATAAGGTCTGTGGCTTTAAACCCTGGACATTGGATAGTGGGGGAAAACACTGGAGTGGGAAGACTTGGGCCCACTTCCACAACTCACTACCTTGAATTTCCACTTCTAAGTCTCTGTTTCTTCATCTGTTAAATTAAAAATAATGCAACAATGATAACAATAAAACTATTTCACAAGGCTGGTTTCACTTAAGGAAAGTGACAATATAAACATGATAACACTTGAATGACTAATATTCTACAGAAATATAAACTCAAAACTTCAATATCCATAAGAGATTGACTCAACATAAAAAATTTAATTACTATAACACATTTCAAAAACCACAACTATCTAGAAACAGAGATAATATGCAAAATAAACATCTTATGATGTTAAAGGTAGAAATATAAGGTTTTAAAAAAGTATCTCTTTAGATACCAATGTAAAAAACATTTGAAGATTTGTTGTTTTACTGCTAAGCTACTCTGATAAATAAAAGTAATTATGATTTCCATAAGCATTTTTTGATACAGAATACAAATTTCTCCATATATATTAAAGGGCTGCTTATTTTTGACTGATGTAGGTACAAATGCATTCCGTGTTGTATTGAGATGGTCATTGAATGTATTGTTCACTATTACTTTTCAAAAACTAAAAACCCAAATGCAAAGATCTTTACTTAAAGGACTCATTGTCACATAAAACCTAGCATTTGTACCTTTTAACAATCATTTATGCAATTCAAAGCAGCATACAGATTTAGATGTAAGGGAATAAAGTCAGAATGTAAACTCCATGGGAACAGAAACTCTAACTATTCCCCCGTTATCTGTGAGGGATATGTTCTAAGACTCTCAATGGATGCCTGAAGCCACTGACAGTACCAAACTATGTTTTTTCATATAAACACATACCTATGGATAAAGTTTAATTTATAAATTAGGCACAGTAAGAGATTAACAATAATAAAATAGAATAATTACAACAATATATTGTAATAAAAGTTACACAAATGTGGTCTCTTAAAATATCTTATTGTACTGTACGTGGGATGATTTACGTCTTGGGTGGGACAGAGTGGGAGAGTGTAGGATGGTGTGAGATCTCACCATACTACTCAGGACAGTGCACCATTTAAAACTTAATTATTTCTAGAATTTTTCATTTAATATTTTCAGACTACAGCTGACTGTGGGTAATGAAAACCACAAAAAGTGAAACAGCAGGTGAGGGGGAACCACTGTACTGTATCTGTTAAATGAATAAATGTAGTTGGCTTAAAGAATTTTATTGAGAGTAAAAATAGAACTTCATTTGGCTGCCCTTTTTGATAGACAGTTCAGTTTGGCAATGGTTCTTTTCATCACCTGAATTCATATTTCCTTACACAGTGCCATTAAAGCCTGTGGAATCTCAATGCATTTGCTGACATAACAATATTGGGGAAATAGTTGCATCTATAATAACATATTGAGATAAAACTTCCTTCTTAAAGTGCCATAAAAGTTAGGAAAATACAAAGCACTTTTAAAAATATTTTATTTTGGTTTGGTGATGGATAAACAGGTGTTAGTTACATTTGTGTCTATTCCTTATAGAACTGAAGTAGCTTATATTTTTAAGTGTTTTTTTCTACTTTGATGATGCCTAGGGCCTGAGAAATCTGTGTTTGTTCTAGAAAATGGCTACTCGAAATGTAGTCCATGGACCTGGGGCATCAGCATCACCTGGGAGCTTGTTAGAATGTCGATTCTAACCTCTAACCCCACCTCTGACTTACTGAATCAGAATCTGCATTTTAACAAGGTCACCAGGAAATTCACATGCAACATTAAAGTTTGAGAAGCACTACCATAGTTCACGCAAATAAGTTCAAAGGGATGCATTAGTTAGCTAGGAACAGTATTGTCAGACCCTTCACCATTATTCAACGAGACCCCAGCATAAGCAACTAGGGCTCATAGAGAGGAAACATGACATAGCAGAAACCAATGCGTTGAGTTTCAAAGGCTAGATTCTAGTCTCATCTCTAGTTGCATGACCTTGAATCTTAGTTCTCATCTGTAAAATGCACGGGTTATACAACACACATTGTAAGGCCCTTCCAACTCTGAAAGTCTATTAATTCATGAAAATAAATACAAATACATTATTTCCTGACACACAAGACACACACTACAAAGTAGTTTAGAGAAACAGTTCAACCATACGTGATAGAGTAAGAAATTGGGCCTACTTAATGCTATGGGGCCTTGTCTATCAATTACTTTGTATTTATTTGGTTTGAAAAATCAACCTCTTTGTTTTCCCACTTGGCTTCTGGAAGATGCAGGGTGGTGAATAACTTAGGAAGTGGGTGGTTGCTATTAATTTCTCTCTCTGCTTCCTTTGTTCTTGAATACTGATAAA
Organism: Homo sapiens; assembly: GCF_000001405.40. Classification (NCBI taxonomy): domain Eukaryota; kingdom Metazoa; phylum Chordata; class Mammalia; order Primates; family Hominidae; genus Homo; species Homo sapiens. The sequence continues at coordinate 72,825,526 of NC_000010.11, read as the reverse complement.
ACACAGGTAATAGGATTCTGGAAAAATTAAAAACAAATTTTGTATTTTGTAGAAGAGCAAGAGGATGTTATTGTTCTTAGAAAAAACATGGCTGAGATGTTTAGAGGTGAAAGATTAAGATGCCTGACACTGTCAGATCAGGAAACAATAAATAATATGCTTATGTATGCATATACACATGTGTATGTACATAGGTAGAGAGAAATAAAGCAAATGTGGCAAAAGATGAGTAACTGGTGAATCTAGGTAATGGGTATAAGACTGTACTTTGTAGTCTTTCTGCAATTTTTCTGTAGTTTGAACTTTTTCAAAATAAAAAATTAAGGGAGAAAAAGAATTATAAATATCTACTGACCCAATTGTGCCCTGTTGTATTCTTCTCTTTTTTAAGGTGAAATATAACAGATTTATTTAATTTTCTGTAACCTTTAAAAGGCATCAGAAAAGCTAGGATAGAATAAAAAAAGATCAGTACAGAAAAAATTTCAGTAATGTACACTCCCATGTTGCTACTGTATTTTGACCTTGACTTACAGACTTAACTTTTTTCTCAGGTAAGCCTAAAATAAAAAGGGGGAAAGAAATGCTGGTGAGAAGTCATCCCAAATCTTCTTTGCATTAATGAAGTAAACAATTTCAAATCAAGAAGTATGCTTTGTGTGATTTTCATTTTTGCTCTAGCTTCAGTTAATAATAAAAAGAATGCAGTTACCACTCACAAATATAAATAACTATAGACCTTTCTTATTCCCCTGCAATGAGAGGGATACAACAGCTGCTATAAAAATCACTCTCTACCCTCCCATGTGTTGTTTGAGTGTGAAACTCATACCATGAAAAGAAAAAAATACAAAAAGAGAAAGCTTTAGCAAAGTAGCTGGTTTTGTTTTCGAATTCTTTTTCCATTTACTGTAAGTTATTTTACCTAATTACAAATAAAATAAACATGCTACCTACATTTCTAACATAACTGTCTTACTTAGTTAGAAACCTCAAAACTGGAAAAATAGACATCATGGGCCGGGCGCGGTGCCTCACGCCTGTAATCCCAGCACTTTGGGAGGCTGAGGCAGGCGGATTTCCTGAGGTCAGGAGTTCAAGACCAGCCTGACCAACATGGTGAAACCCATCTCTACAAAAAAAAAAAAAAAAAATACAAAAAATTAGCCAGGCGTGGTGGCAGACACCTGTAATCCCAGCTACTCGGGAGGCTGAGGCAAGAGAATCGCTTGAACCTGGGAGGTGGAGGTTGCAGTGAGCTGAGATCAAGCCACTGCACTCCAGCCTGGGCAACGAGAATGAAATTCCATCTCAAAAAAAAAAAAAAAAGAAAGAAATCATGTAACAGCTGACTAGTAAGATTCCTTCATTCCTTCCAGATTGTATCCAGTAGGAATACCGTAAGAACAACAAATCACATTCCATTAATTGGAGATTTTAGAGCATTCATAAAGCCCTTTTTGGGGTGACTAAGGGAGGACAGGGTCTCACTCTGCCATCAAGGCTGGAGTGCAGCAGTATGATCCTAGCTCATTGCATCCTTGACCTCCTGGGCTCAAGTGATCCTCCTGCCTCAGCCTCCTGAGTAGCTGGGATATGCCACCATGCTTGGCTAAGTTTTTTAATTTTTGTGGAGATGAGGTTTGGCTATGTTGCCAGGGCTGGTCTTGAACTCCTGACCTCAAGCAATCCTCCCAACTCGGCCTCCCAAAGTGCTGGGATTACAGCCGTGAGGCACTGTGCTGGCCCTAAGTCTTACTTGTCTTTAACTCTTTGGCTTCATACAAATGCACCAATTTTGATAGCCTCTATTCTCTTTCTCTACCTTTAGCTAAGGGGATTTATTTTTATTTGCTTGATTTTTAAAAATATCCTTAACAAAGCCATGCCAAGGTGTAACTTCACATAATGAACACATTAAGATTAATACCAAAGAATAATAGTCATTAAAGGTCTTAGTGCAGTATAAAAGGGAAGATCAAATAAGAGAGTTAAGATGATTTTCACATATAATTCAAAACTGAAAACACTCAACCCAGAATGGTCCTCAGCCCACTCTGTCTATGACTCCAGCTGACCTCTCCTGTCTGTTTAGGGATCACATGGGGACCAGTCTCTTAGCAAGCAATTCTAAGTCACAACTTTACACAGTTGAGAGACCAGCAGATGCTTATTTGCATATAAAGAAAGAACTCCATTACTAACATCACTACCATCTTCTGTATTTTCTAAGCATGCACGGGGCCCAATTTGTGGTCTTTTTGTGACTGCCTTCTTTCACTTAGCATGATGTTTTCAAGGCTTATCTATGTTGTAGCACATATTGGTACTTAATTCCTTTTTATTGCCAAATAATATTCCATTGTATGGATATATGACATTTTGTTTATCCACTCATCAGTCAATGACCATTTGGGTTGTTTCCACTTTTTAGCTATTATGAATAATGCTGCTATAGACATTTATGTACAAGTTTTTGTGTGAACATATATTTTCCTTCTTCTTGGATAGCTATCTAGGAGTAGAATTGTGGGGTCCCATGGGAACTCTGATAACATTGTGAGGAATCGCCATACGAGTATTTATATAAAGTAGCTGCAATATTTTACATTACATTTACATTTACAGTGAGGGTTCCAATTTCTCTATATCCTTACCAACACTTGATACTGTCATTTTTTTTTTTTGAGACAGGGTCTCACTGTGTTGCCCAGGCTGAGTATGGTGGCACAGTCAAGACTCACTGCAGCTTTGACCTCCTGGGCTCTAAGCAATCCTCCGGCCTTGGCCTCTCAAAGTGCTGGGATTACAGGTGGCAGCCACTTCACCCAGTCCTATCTGTCTTTTTGATTATACCTATCTTAGTGGATGTTAAATGGTATCTCATCGTGGCTTTGATTTCCATTTCTCTTATAAGTAATGATGTTGAGCATCTTTTCATATGCTTACTGACCACCTTTATGTCTTCACTGGAAAAATGCCTATTCAGAACTTTTGCCCATTTTTACACTGGGTTGTCTTTTTATTATCAAGTTTAGTGTTGGTTTTTGGTAAGTCATGTTACTCTAGGAATTTGTCCATTTTGTGTGAAATTTTAAATGTGTTGACATAAAGTTGTTCAGAATACCCTCATAACTTTTTAATGGCCATAGAATGTGTGGTGGCATTGCCTTTTTTTGTTGTTCCTGGTATTGGTAAACTATGACTACTTTTTCTTGATCTGTAGTCTTGGTTGTTATTTCCTTATTCATTTATTTAGAGGAGTCTCGTTCTGTTGCCCATGCTGGAGTGCAGTGGTGCGATCTCGGCTCACTGTAACCTCTACCTCCCAGGTTCAAGCAATTCTCCTGCCTCAGCCTCCTAGTAGCTGGGATTGGTGTCTGTCACCACGCCCGGTTAATTTTTGTATTTTTAGTAGACATGGGGTTTCACCATGTTGGCCAGGCTGGTCTTGAACTCCTGACCTCAGGTGATCTGCCCACCTCGGCCTCCCAAAGTGCTGGGATTACAGGCGTGAGCCACCACGTCCAGCCGTTATTTCTTCTTTGATGCACATTTCAAATACCAGAAGATTTTCCAGTGAAAATGTAATTTCTATCTTAATTCCACTGTGGTTAGAGAACATACTCTGTATGATTTAAATCCCTTGAAATGTATTAGGACTTGCTTTATGGCCTAACTGTGGTCTGTTGGAAAATGTTCCATGTGCACTTGAAAAAAGCAAGAACCCTGTAATACCTTTTGTTGGATCTGATGTTGCCATGGGCTTTTAATACCAGCTGAGTTGAAGTTGACATTTTTGTGTGTATGACAAAGGGCTTAACTTTGTTTCCTCACAGCCTAGAGAGATATTCTATCCTTGTAAAGTTAAGATTTTCAAGAAATTGTTGTGAGGAACTTTCTAAATATAATATGCTGCCACCCTAAACATTGTGGAGTAAAAGTCAAGCAGAAAAGCATGCTTGTTTGTTTCCTTTTGATGAGGAGATCAATTTCATATTAAGAACTCAGGCATGCATATCAATCTTATTGAGACTGGAAAGAAAGATAGGAATGGGTCACTTTCATTCTCCAGACTTACATAAACCAATTGGTTTTTAAACCAGTTTTCTAGAAGGAATACACATTATTCAAAAACTTTCTCACAAATAAATCATACTATTTAAACACCAGATGAAATTTAAAATTTGCTGATTACTTAATTACATTTTATATGAAGGGTGCATTCCATTAAGAAAATGTTGATCCTCGTACTTCATGCAGGCCTTGAAGACCAAAAGTTTTAGTTAAAAAAAAAAAAAAAAGTCTTACAAACCTATTTGACTTTTGTCATGGATCTTTGTTCCCGTTGTAGTTTGTTTCCTACAATATAGGAACCCATCACTTCTCTTAAACAGAAGTAATGATCACAAAGAAGTTACAAAGTTAACAAAAAATGGGACAATGCTTTAGAAATAAAGGAAAAATCCATTTCAGTTAGCAGAATGGGCACTGAATCTAGGAATAGAATTGTATGTACAACATTCAAGTTCTGGTCTCAATACTGAGCTGTTAAAGGGCAGATTATTCTCTGGAGTCTAGTACCATGTCACCACTTGGGGAAAAAAAAAAAACCAACAACAGAAACGGAACACGTATGGAAAGTAGTAGGGAATAACTACTGACCAAAAGTACTGTTAACTTCATTTTGTTATCCCACTAAAAAATACTAACCAGGCCGGGCGTGGTGGCTCACGCCTGTAATTCCAGCACTTTGGGAAGCTGAGGTGGGTGGATAACCTGAGGTCAGGAGTTCGAGACCAGCCTGGCCAGCCTGGCCAAACCCCGTCCCTACTAAAAATACAAAAAATTAGCTGGGCATTGTGGCGGGCACCTGTAATCCCAGCTACTCGAGAGACTGAGGCAGGAGAATCGCTTTAACTTGGGAGGTGGAGGTTGCAGTGAGCCAAGATCGCACCATTGCACTCCAGCCTGAGCAACAAGTGAGACTCCGTTTCGGAAAAAAAAAAAAAAATACTAATCAAACTGATGAAGAAGTCCAGAAGGGCACCTGTGTTTCTCTTTCAAAGCAAAGTCGGAGCAATTTTGACAAATAATCACCTAAATGTTTACCCTACAGCAACTATGAGCATGAGGTCAAAAGTAAAACTGAGAAATATCAAAACTATCTATTTCCTTCCAACAATTAAGCTGGGAAGTTCATGAGTATGAGAATAGGAGAATGAGAAAAATTATTAAGAATCAAATCTAATAAATAGTTCCTATGGTACCCGGCACATACTACCTTATTTCTTACTGACAAAACTATCTAGAAATGTTTGCAAACGATAATGACAAAAACACAAGGCATGTAAATATATTCACATGCACAGCACAAATGAAATATTCTTTGAGGCAGAAATGTAAACGGATATTTTGTGACACATTCCCATTGATGCAGGATCCTTACTTCTAGCATGATTATTTCTTCCTGCCCTATAACAGACATATACCACTCATGTTCACAGAATAAAAAGTACACACTTTCCCCTCAGACTTTTCTTCAATGGGTAAAATGTATTTTCCATTGAGGCAGGCAGAAAAAAATACAATTTTCCTTGAGTTAACAAGTATCTCACTATATTTTTCAATAGACTATAATTTAACTATATACTACTATCAACTAAGATAAATTTATTGAGTATAAAAATTGTATTATTATGTAGAAGAATGTCCATAGGAGGCACATTATGAACTTTTTATGAATGAAGTGTCAATGATGGCTCAAATGGCTCAGTGCAAAAAAAAAAAAAAAAAAAAGACTGGAAAAATGTTAACAACTACTGAATCTAGGTAAAGGTAATTTCAATGTCTACTGCATTATTCTTTCACTTCTACATAGATTTGAAAATTTTCAAAATAAAAAATAAGGGTATTTATTAAAAATCCAAAAATGCTAAGGTTGATGAGTTATTACAGCCTAGGAAACTGAAAGTGATAAATACTTAGAATATTGTAAGCTCCTTGAATGTAAAAACTTTCCCCTTGCTTTATATTTAATAAGAATGCTGCTATCCAAACTTACTGATAAAAAATAAACAAATAAACAAACAAACTTATGGATGAGTATTTAGCATGTTGGGGTAGAGGGAATGGTGGGAAACAGAAGTAGCAACAATTAATGAAAGGGCTAACAAGTTGTGTCTTGATTGTATGTGTGTAGCTATCTGTTCTCGCCCCTCTTCTTTCTCTTCTACCTGCCTTCTCACAAAAATGTCAGACTTGCCACAAAAGCTACTTCCTCAAAGTAGCAAACTTGTATGGCCTGCAAGTCATAAGGCTGCCTGGCTCACTTGATTTGTCAAAATAAGGAAAATTGAACTAAATCCCTCTCTGCTATTGATTTTTAGAGATGTTGGTAAATTTCCAGACACCATTCTTCATGGACTTCTCCCTTGAAAATTTCAAATGTCATCCCACAAAATATCTTATCTATTGTTCTGTCTTGCCCATCAGAAGAAAACATAACAGAGATACAACAGAGTAAAAACTGGCATCTGTTTATATACTGAATTAATGTTTCTAAAAAAGGAGGATTAAGAGCATTAAGAGTTAGAAGTAACTTGTATTTGCCAATATGTTTAATATCATTTAACAGCATTGATAAGACAATGTTGAGTCAGTAGTATTTTTTTTTTTTTTTTTTGAGACAGAGGTTTGCTCTTGTTGCCCAGGCTGCAGTGCAATGGTGCAATCTTGGCTCACTGCAACCTCTGCCTCCCAGGTTCACGCAATTCTCCTGCCTCAGCATCCCAAGTAGCTGGGATTACACGTATGCACCACCACGCCCGGCTAATTTTTGTATTTTTAGTAGAGACAGGGTTTTCACCACGTTGGCCAGGCTGGTCTCGAACTCCTGACCTCAGGTGATCCACCCACCTCGGCCTCCCAAAGTGTTGGGATTATAGGCGTGAACCACCACACCTGGTTGAGTCAGTACTATTTTTATGTCTCCACAACACAAGCTCTTTAGATTCAATGCTACTAAACAATTCACTAATTGATCTTCAGTAACAATGGCAATAAATAAAAACTGGTCAGTTCTACAATCAGGGTATGGTAAAAGAGTTCAAGTTTCCAAAACAGAAATCATAGAAGTCAAGAAGGTCAAAGAACGTCGGTGGCTTCTTAGAACACTACTTTCTGCTTTATTTTCATTATGTGAGTTAGCAAAACACTGTGAAAATTATTAACCACAACAAAGCAATCATGGTTTGCTCACACTTAGCCTCTCTCTGCTCACTAATCCTAGCTTTGAAGCACATGAAAATCTGAAAAGTCACAGGTGACCTAGGTTAGAGAGGAACTTTTCATTTTAAATCAAATTTTTCAATCTAATATAGCCAGAAGAGTTGCTTAATTATCAACTGTTTAAGCCTTTTAAGTTTTATACTCTATGACTTTCCTAACAGCTAATTCTTTTACAAGTGGGAAATTTAACATTGTCAATTTTGCTTATTTTCAAGCAGCTATTTTCCATTTTACAAAATTCTAAAAGAACAGTGCAAGTCCAAATATTTTTCACATTTAGAGGTTAGAGTTAGTACTTGATTGGATTTTGTTAAAGTACTTAGTACATGCAAAGCCACTCAATAAATGTTAATTGCCAGTGGGACAAAAATCTTAGTGCTCCCTGGGTCACTGAACTCCATTAAAGGCTCTAGTATTGTCTACTTACTACTTTACTAATACAAAATAAGACACAGTTTTAATAACATTTAAAATACTTGTTGAACTAAACTGGGTGTGACAGCACACTCCTCTAGTCCCACCTACTCAGGAGGCTGAGGTAGGAGAATTGCTTGAGCCTAAGAGTTTGAGTCCAGCCTGGGCAACAGACTCCATCTCTTAAAAACAACAACAACAATAAAACAAAAACTGTTGAACTGAACTGTAAGCCCTTTAAAAACAGGAGTAGTGCATTAATTAATGCTCATTTATAGTAACCACTTAATAACTGTCATCTTAAAGACAATAAAATTCTAATGCCCAAGGACAGTGGTCACGGCAAGCAAAGTCTAAAGAACAGATTCACATGTTTATTCAAAATAATATCAGGTTTTCTTATACAGTATAGCAAACTAGCCTACCTCAGGCTACTATTAAGAAGGAGGTAAGGTCAATAAAAGAAAATAAAGTAAAATTGGCACTCTGCAAGGAAATGACATGTGATGAAATGGAACTGATTAAAGGTTCCTATTACTGTATTGTGTCAATGGTGCCAGGTAGAAGGGTAAAAAACAAACATATCTGAGGAGAGTTTACTCTCTTCTCCAAGGCGGAAGCTTGAAATTACTCTACTTGAAATATACATAGATATAGGGTATTTGCTTTACAATATAGAGGTCTTATATTTGATGCCACAGAAATTCTGGACCAAGTAACAGAAGGTGGAAGGGAAACTACCAACCAAACATGATTCTCCTGAATGCTTCTGGATTACATGAATTTTAAGGTGTCAGGGGAGGAATATGCAGGAAACTAGCCCAATACATAATTATAAATCACTAGTAAAGAAATAGAAATACATTAGTAGTTAAGTTTGCTGTAGAACACTTTTTATTAGTCAATTAAGTTGTTAAATGCAATTATTTAAATAATGACAGTATGTTACCATTCCTCATCACACTTATATGAACTTGTTTGTTTGCCTGGCTGTCCAGAAGATTCTTTTGTAATGAAGGTCTGTAACCTCACCAGATTATGTACTAGTTTTTGTTTGTTTTGTTCTGAGATAACGTCTCCTGTGTCACTCAGGCTGGAGTGCAGCTCACTGCAGCCTGTGCCTCCTGCACTCAAGCCATCCACTACCTCAGCATCTGAAGTAGCTGGTGGTGCTTGCCACCACCCCAGCTAAATTTTTAATTTTTTAAATAGAAATTAAGTATTGCTATGTTGTCAATGCTGTTCTCAAATTTCTGAGCTCAAGAGATCCTCCTGCTTCGGCCTCCTGAGTGCTGGGATTATGTGTGAGCCACTGTGCCCTGCTGATGTCTTAGTCTTAATCACTGTTGTTGGCTATTTAAAAGCACACACCAATTGGCTGTAAAGGAACAGCTTTCAATTACTGAAGTTCAGGAAGCCAGAGGAAATTTCCTTTTACTTAAATGATTACTAAAACTTCTATTGTACAACTGAATAAATCTCATCTTTATGTTTTGCCCATTCCTACGTATTATTTAAAAAATATTTTAAAGTTTTCACTGAAATAGCTGAAGAAAAAAAATCTGATGTAAAACTAGACTTGTTAATGAGTGTTGAATCATATGGCATACCAGTTCCTAAAAGATCCCTCTAGAGTTTATTATTATTTTTTTGAGATGGAGTCTCACTCTGTCGCCCAGGCTGGAGTGCAGTAGCATGATCTTGGCTCACTGCAACCTCCGCCCCGCTATTTCAAGTGATTCTCGTGCCTCACCACCTAAGTAGCTGGGATTACAGGCACCCGCCACCATATATTTTTGTATTTTTAATAGAGATGGGGTTTCACCATGTTGGCCAGGCTGATCTTGAACTTATGGCCTCAAGTGATCCTTCTTGCTATGAAGGAATAACATTTACACCTCCCTTCCCCACCTGATTTGTTATTTATTTTTATAATATCAAGATTATAAAGTGATAATCTATTCTGAAAGTATAATTTCCACTGAGGCATATTAGCTCTGTAATGAAATGAATTTAATTCTTATCACACTATTTTTTATCAGTTTATTTCTGAATTCTTTGATTAATCTTTCGATTAGGTAGGTTTTTATCACGATGTAATCTGTCTGAAAAAGATCTCATGGGTATTAGATTTGTTGAGCTTTCCCATGCTAGAGCACATCCGTGTATTAATATTTATGCTTAAAGTATTTTGCTGGTTAAAAAATCCTGGGTTAACTTCAAGACATGGTCAACATTCCTCTATTGTTTTCTAACATTGTTTCTTGCTAAAGAGAAAGCTAAGGTAAACCCAAGTTCTGTCCCCCATCCCACTACCTACATGTCCACCAAATTCTTTATCCATTTAAGTTCCATATTTTCACCAAAATATGCCTCGATATCAATTGTTCTATATCAATTATTCCTGGGCCACAGGGTAGTCATCTTTGATTCAAGGTTTTAATTATTTCAGAAAAATTTTTCTCCTATTATACCTCTAAATATTACTTCAGTTCCATTTGTTATTTTTCTCAAGAACGAAGTTCAGCAACCAAGATCAGGCAAAATCCAGTCCACTATCTGTTTTTGTAAATAAAAGTTTTACTACAACACAGCCATATATAGTGTGTATGGCTGCTCCTGTACTATAAGAGGCAGAGCTGAATGCCTGTAACAGAAACTATATGGCTGCAAAGCCTAAAGTATTTACTTTTGGCCCTTTACAAGTTTGCTGATGCCATGCATAGATGTCTTTTGTTTCCCCTTATCATTTTCTCTATAATTTTTATATCTGTATTTTCTTAAATTGATATAATTTCCTCAAGCCTCTTAGCCATGTCTCTGATTACATTTACTCTTTGTTGTTATTTCTGATGTGTTTTTCACTTCTCTAATGCTTCTATTTTTCTTTTATACTTCTTTCCTAAGATTTTCCCACTGGTTTTTCATCTCCTCCTATTGCCTTATTATTTCTTAACACTTGTGTTGGACAGATTCTTATTTTTTGTAACAGATCATATCTATAATTTGAGTCTATAAAAAACTAAATGTCAGAACACTACAATAAAGGTTCACTGGTTAGACCCTTAAGATAATATAACCCTTCCTTTTAGAGAAATCAGTACATTGCTTGGAATTCCCAGAAGAGGTTCAGCAACCTCCTATATGTGGTCTAGATTTCATAGTATGTATTTGGCAAGTTATGCTTCATTGTTTGTATTCCGGGGCTGAGCTTTGTGCCTAGTTGCACTAATAATGGACTTCTTTTCTATTTTCCTGTCTTTTTTTTAGTGAGTTTCAAAAAAGAAAGGAAGAGTAAAAATTCCTTTATTCTGCTACTTTTAATTGAAGTCTCTTCCTCACACATTACATTGTAAGAAGAGCTAATCTTTAAAGCAAAAAATTATAGGCTTGATAGGTTTTAATGCACCAGGGAATGAAAGATATATTAAAAAAAAACAAAAAACTCCAATGTCAGCAGTGTGAAAGAATTGCTCAGAAGAAGCCTGTGCCAGGAACAACATTTGTTTGGAGATCCGTTCCAGCAGCCATGCCAAATCAGTTGTACCACTTGGATTAAAGGCAGTTGCAGAATGCCATACTATAAAAGACTTCCATGGCATGCTTACAAATTAGGTTTTTACCAGTTTACCAGGATCAGGATTACCAGTTTCACCTGACCATTACTAAAGTCCCTTGTTGCACTCTTCCATTTGATTTGACCCTCATTTGTTGAACATGTGTGTAACTGCCTTTACTTTTCCATCCCCTGCCACTTGGATTCAAGTACCTCCTCCAATTTCAGAAGGTTAGATTAGGGGATTTTTAAGGTTTAAAATTCTTTGGGTCTAGGTGTTGAAACATCACACTGTCAGTTACAAAACACAGTGTGTAGCAAGAACCTAAATTATGTTTAAAAAATATGTATGTATAGACCTGAAGAACATAGACTAAATAGACCTGCAGGTTATAATTTATGTATAGTTTGCAAATTGTTTACAACAATCGTGTTGTTTCACAGTCAGGAAAAAAAAAAATCACAAAAATATGCTATCCATAGTGCAGACATCAAGAGAGATGGTATTTGCTGGGCGCAGGGGCTCACGCCTGTAATCCCAGCAATTTGGGAGGCTGAGGCGGGCAGATCACTTGAGGCCAGGAGTTCGAGACCAGCCTGGCCAACATAGTGAAACCCTGTCTCTACTAAAACTACAAAAATTAGCCAGGTGTGGTGGTGCATGCCTGTGATCCCAGCTACTCAGGAGGCTGAGGCAGGAGAATCGCTTGATCCCAGGAGGCGGAAGTTGCAGTGAGACAAGATTGTGCCACTGCACTCCAGCTTGGGCAACAGAGCAAGACTCCATCTCAAAAAAAAAAAAAAAAAAAAAAAAAAGAGAGAGCTGGTATTTAAATTAACAGATCCTCTTACACTTCTTTCCCAAGTTTTACCTGATTTTTCATTACCTTCTATAATTAAAGGGTTAGGTTTCTGCAGTCTTCAGAGTCGTTTACAGCTCTGGACGTTACATCACATTGTTGGTTGATGCCTTTGCTCATAAAAAGACACTGACTCTAAATGTTAATTTCCAAGTTGGCTGGTCAGCTGTTGCTCACTAGCAGTCCACAGCTAGCTATATATCATTTGAATTTATGTTCCAATGGGTTCTACCTGCCTTGCCAAAAGCTCTCATTTCAGCTTCCTATGGGGAATCTGTTTGAACGAACTCTTGCCATGAGTCATCCTCACAGCATATATAAAAAATCCAGAATGTTGGGCTAGGACACTGGGCTAGGAACTAGACTGTATTCTAAATGCTGGCAGCAAGGAACCCTCATGTTATTTAATGTTTAGTACAGCTTAGAAAAGACAGTGATGAAAGTGATCCAGGAATCAGAGGTGACAGTTAAAGCACATCTTGAAGCACTAAGCCACAGAGATGATTAACTTGTCAAGCTGCATATTTTTGAATTTACTCAGGGCTGGATACTCCTCTCCACCAACCTCCCACAGGACACTAAAAACCGGACAACATAAAGCCAAAGCATTTGATAAAACATTACATAAAGCAGTAATGGTTTGAAGAAAGCTTACTTCCTCTTTACATTGCTTTGCAACAATTTGCTTCTGTAAGGATAGAAAGTTATGTCAGAAAACAGCCCTTTATGTCAGAAAACAGCCCTTCATGATACTATTTTAAAGCATATCTCAATAATGAATACTAAAGATTACTCACTAGAGACCATCCCTGAGGTTCCTTTGTCCTTTTGCATCATGTCTTCAACCACTAAATCTCTGCATAGAATTCTGTTCTCTCTGGTCACTTTTCTTCCTTTTGTACTCTTTTGCTCTGCCCACTGTCTCCACCTCATATCAATAATGAAGTATAAGAAATCTGGAGTATGGGCGCAGTGGCTCATGCCTGTAATCCCAGCACTTTGGGAAGCCGAGGCGGGCGGATCACCTGAGCTCAGGAGTTCGAGACCAGCCTGGCCAACATGGTGAAACCCCGCCTCTACTAAAAATACAAAAATTAGTTGGGCATGGTGGCAGATGTCTGCAATCCCAGCTACTCGGGAGGCTGAGACAGGAGAATTGCTTGAATCGGGCAGTGGAGGCTGCAGTGAGCCGAGATCACACCACTGCACTCTAGCCTGGGCAGTAGGGCAAGATTCCCTCTCAAAAAGAAAAAAAACAAAAAGAAAAGAAACCTTGAAATTACAAATTAAAAGCATTTTACTCTCCATGTTAAAAAAAAAAAGCACTATAAACATCCAAAATGAATAGGTAAATAATATTATTTCCTAAAATACATTCAATATAGGAAACTGTTTTCAAGTGTATCTAGTACATAAATGACAAGGAACACAGGGTTGGCTGAATAAAATTTATTTTTTAACTAAACAAGAAGGAAGATACAGGGAAATGTTTCTGAATATATCTGTAATAAAGGAAAAGACAGCATTCAGAATTCTATGTATATGAAAATAATACTGAAAAAGCCAGTATGGTCTTTTGGTAAAATTCTTTTCAAAACATGTTATCTTGAGAAATTATCTTTTATCTTCAAAGATAAGTTAGTTAACATGAAATTTATTTTGCAAAAATTCAAAACATTATCATTACTTAGTCTCTTAATACAGAGATAGAAGAAAATCATTAAATGATAAGCTCAAAGACAACTTACACATTTTAATTAAGTGGGCCTTTTCAATCAAACTAAACTGAGTGAAAGATTCCTTTCCTCTTGCTCTGGAACTCTAATGTCATTGAAAGAAAAGCAAAGAGAGATTGAGTAGCTGCTTAGTTAAGAAAAGAAAATCCAATTGTAAGAATAATCTGAAGGGACCCCACAGGTCTTACAAAACAAGTCTTATTATTCAGATTAGTAGAGGACCAAGTCTATTGGTTATATTGGCCCTCTTCTCATTGAACAACTACAACAGACACAAAAAAATGTTTGTCATAAAAATGTCAACTCACTTCAACAAAAAACACACATGAACACATTAACAAGTTCGCAACAAATTCTATTTTGGCTCATTGCGTCTAGAATGCAACTATCCTTTAACATCAATAACCTTTTTCTCAAACAACAGCCACCACAACCGAACTGAAAAGGCAATCTAGACTTAAATCTTATCAACTATTTTATAGCCTATCTTTCCTACATTATAAATTACGCATTTTCGCCTTGAGAAATTGGCAGTAAAAGATTCATGTTTATTTTGGTTCAAAGGGTGACCCCAGTTGGTAAACTAATAAAGTATACACTGAATAGCTATTTCTAAAAGCATGTGCTGAGCAGGTTGGAGGTTTCTTACTGGATATAACCAATAGAAGTTACCAAGTCTTTTCAATATTCTCCAGGCCTATTGTCCTTTCTCTACTATCTCCATACTCAGTATAAGCCTTATTTTAACTATGTTCTCTGGCATTTTGGTTTCCTTGACCTCCTAGACCTACTGTGCCAATCCTTACTTTCTGGTAAATTTATTTCATCAACTCCTGCTGTGGGATAAAGCAAGGCCTATGAGAAAAAGGCAACACAGACCAGGCGCAGTGGCTCACACCTGTAATCCCAGCACTTTGGGAGGCTGAGGCAGGTAGATCACCTGAGGTCAGGAGTTCAAGACCAGCCTGGCCAACATAGTGAAACCCTGTCTCTACTAAAAATACAAAACAACAACAACAACAACAACAACAACAACCTAGCTGGGCGTGGTGGCAGGCGCCTGTAATCCCAGCTACTTGGGAGGCTGAGGCAGGAGAATCACTTCAACCCGGGAGGCAGAGGTTGCAGTGAGCCGAGATTGCACCACTGAACTCCAGCCTGGGCAACAAGAGCGAAACTCCGTCAAAAAAAAAAAAAAAAAAAAAAAAAGGCAACATAATTGTCTTAACTGATGTCACTACAAAATCATGTTACTCACTAAATGCTTTCACATATGTCAGTGGACTCTCAGACTTCTTCCCTACAGAAGTTGTTCAGAACTGTTTCCTGCCTCTCAGTCAAAGACGTCACCTCTTATTTTACTGAAACCAGTAAAATAGGAAATTTCTGAAATTCACCCTCACAATTCCTCTCTTCTCCAACACCAAGTTTCTCTCAATTTTCTTTTTTTCTCTTCTTTCACTCTAACACAGGGAAAGAAGTCTCCCCACTCCTTTGCAAGGTGAATACCTTTACTTCTTCAGTTAGTTCTTCTCTCTTGCATCTTTAATGTCTCCAACTTCAATAGCTCCTTTCTCCAACCTTAGACATGTCTAGTTCTACACTATGTCCACCCCCATACACATATGTTCACGCGCACACACATACAAACACACACACACATGCACACACAGAAGCCTGCCTTCACTAATCCTACTTCCCACTGATATTTTCTCATTTCTCATACTATTATGCCTTCTTGGAAACATTTGATACTGCTGACTACCTCCTCCCTCCTGAAATTCTTTTCTTTGAATTCTATGACACTCTAGGAGTTCCTGAATTTACTTCTTACTCTACTGTCTTTGACCACTTCTATGTCTCCTTTATTGCCTTCTTGCTCTTCCAGCTATCCCCAAAATACTCATCAAGGCTTATTCTTTGCCCTTGTTTTTTCATACTTATTCTGTTTGGAGAGCTCAACCTTTCTTAGAACTTCAAGTTATTATCTCAATGAAAATAATGTCTTGAGTCCTTTCTGTACTGATTTTCAGATTCAAATTTCTAGCTGCTTATTAGAATAGCTCTATCAAATATACCTCTAAGTCCCTGAAGTAAAATATGTTCCCAAACCTGCTCCACTCCAATGTTTCCGATTTCAATTAATTGTACGTCAAACTTTTTGGTCAGTCTCTCAGGCTTTAAGACCCATAGCCATTTTAGAGTCTTCACTTTGTACTCCCAGCCAATTCCAAGTCTCATCAAGTCTACCATCACCCTTTTTGCTTCTTTTTGTTCCTTCTTTTTTCTATGAATATTAATATAATTCAGTGGTTAAGAGCAGAGGCCCTAAAGTCACAAATGGATTTGAATCCCAGCTCTTCCATTTATTAGCTTTGTGGTTTGGAGCAAGTTCCACTGACTGCCTCAAGTCTTAGTTTCTGTTTAGATAAATCCAGATGTTGTGAGGTGACAAAGGGCTAATGCATATAAAGCATTAAGCACAGTGAGCACGTGCCTGGCACTCAAAACAGAATGGTTATTGTTACTACTACTACAATGCCTCCAATCTTTTGTCCTTCTAATATATCCATCAGAATGCACCAGTCACTCTCCAACAGAAAGACTGGATGATATTATCATCTCTTCAGAACACTTTCACTGGCTCCTCATTGCTGAAAGGATAAAGACAAAACATCTTATAATTTCCAAGGTGATACGGTTTGGCTCTGTGTCCCCACCCAAATCTCATGTCAAATTCTACTTCCCAATTTCGGTAGGGGGACCTGGTGGGAGGTGACTGAATCATGGAGGTGGATTTCCCCCTTGCTGTTCTCAAGAGAGTGAGTGAGTTCTCACGAGATCTGGCTGTCTAAAAGTGTGTAGCACTTCCCCCTTCACATTCTCTCTCTCCTGCTCCACCATAGTAAGATGTGCTTGCTCCCTCTTCGCCTTCCGCCATGATTCTAGCCATGATTCCGCCTCCCAGCCATGTTTCCTGTACAGGCTGCAGAAATGTGAGTCAACTAAACCTCTTCTTTATAAATTACCCAGTCTCGAGTAGTTCTTTATAGTTATGTGAGAACGGATTAATGCGTGAAGCTTTCCAGAAAATAAACCAATCCTAACTCTCCCTCAAGGTACTGAAAGGATACTTCCTTCTACAAGATGACCTTTAAAAATGTTACTAGAGTCTTATTTCCTTTCCTCTAATGGCTATGTATGCCATGAATATTAAGAATGTACCTGAAAACTTAATACAATTTTATGGGAACTTCATTCTTGAGTCAAAATTATGAAATATTTCTTTGGATTCTGCAATCATTATATGTTCCGTTGAAGCTAGTGTTTCAGATGCCTATGACTGTTCTTGCCTCACAAATTTCTACAGTAGACTCGTCTAATTTCAGGGCAAACATTTACTTGAATCTGTTCTCATTTGGCTGGTAATGAGATCTGCATCAGAAGCCAAAGACAAGAGAAACTGGCTGAGTTTCAAAGATAGCAGGTGGAAGAAAAGGTAAGCCAACTGCTGAATATAATGACAAAGGAAACCTAATATCCATTAGTGGTGATAATATGGCATTGTAAAATGTGACTATTCTTTAAATTCAGGTTATTCTTCTCCTAAAAAGTGTTCCGTAAAGAAATCATCTATTTACCATCAAGTAAAATAAGCTTGTCAATAGACTGCTATAAATTTTCCTATTTCATGTTGCTTATTGACTAGATTGCATTTAAGTGACTGTTTCTATTTGGAAAAGTTATTAGATGTTTAAGTAAGTAAACAGAATCTGGACAGAAATCAATTATTTTCCTTTTCAGTTTTTTCTATTTCCTGCTAATAATTTGCAGGAAATACATATTAACAGAATATGTTATTTTATGAATAATAGATGTTCTTGGGTGAGAAAAGGAAAACAATTCTCAGTGCCCCATCTTCTGTTGGCCATCCCTTAGAACAGCCAGTCAACACTGAAGTAAAAAATCCAGCATCAGGTCTATTTTCTGAGCAAAGCTTATGTGTGTGTGTGAGAGGAGAGGGAGGGTGGGTATGTATATGGTGAAAGAAGTAAAAGGAGGCAAAATAATCAAAGCATTAGATTCACTGTTCCAACGAACTATTTAGAATTGAGTTACCTGGGAGCTAAATTTTGGAGTTTGATTACACTATGATGACTGGCCTCCTTTTCTAATAAAAATGACAAACAAAAAAAAGAACTCATTGAACTTAAGCAAATTTCATTAGTCTTCTTGGCTTAGACCACATTAAAAGTTGCCATTTCCAAGGAGAAGCACTGTCACTTTTTTTTTTTTTAAGATTTCAGAAGAAGTGCACTTGGCACAATAGGAAGCCATTAAAATGTTATCTTTAGGCTTAAGTAATATACTCCTCAAAATTCTCATTTAAGTGTTAGTTCAGCTGACTGTACTAAATAACTAAATTACTGTCAATGCATCTTCTTTCCCCCTTCACTCTACAGATGTACCACCTTATAAAAGTCTTTGTGGCCATCAGGCTTTTAAGCTCAGCTAAATTTCCACATAATAAATGAAAATGCTACTCCTGAGTGTGAAAAGCAATAAAATAAATATTGTTTCTCAGTGACTTAAGGAACCACGTTCACTACCAAAGCAAATGTCACTCCTTAGAGCTGTGTTATTTTGTGACTAATTCTGTAATATGGTTTAATAGCTATATGTTAGCTGTATGCCTCTCCCAACCTTATTTTGTAACTCTGACATCCTCAATCCTTATGTCCCAGGCCAATGTCTTCTTGAACTGTTCCTTGAACTGGCCAAGCTTGCTTCTGGCCTCATGGCCTTGCATAATTTCGTTTCTCTGCCTGAAGTATTCCTTCCATAGATTCTTTTTGCATGATTGGTTCCTTCTCATCATTCAGGTTTCACTAAACAACCCCTCCTCAAAAAGGTCCTCTCTTTCCATTCAATCTAAAGTAGCTCAACAATTGCTTTAAACACAAGACTCTGCTTTATTTTATTCTTGGAACTTCACATTATGTGATTCTTTCTTATTGATTTATTGTTCCCACCCTCTTCCCCGCTGCCTACACCACCACTAGAATGCAAGGTCCATGACTAGTTCTGTATGTTCCTGGCACCAAGAGAAGTTCCTGTCACATAAGAGACATATTCCCTCAAATAACCACTGCATATTTGAATGAATTAATGAATCAAAGGCCTCCACATAGCTGTCTTTAAAGCTCTTCATGCCGGGCGCGGTGGCTCACGCCTGTAATTCCAGCACTTTGGGAGGCCAAGATGGGCGGATCAGCTGAGGTCGGGACTTCAAGACCAGCCTGACCAACATGGAGAAACCCCGTCTCTACTAAAGACACAAAAAAATTAACCAGGTGTGGTGGTGC
The DNA here is from genome assembly GCF_000001405.40 of Homo sapiens. Taxonomy (NCBI): domain Eukaryota; kingdom Metazoa; phylum Chordata; class Mammalia; order Primates; family Hominidae; genus Homo; species Homo sapiens. The sequence continues at coordinate 72,806,304 of NC_000010.11, read as the reverse complement.
ATGCCTGTAATCCCAGCTACTTGGGAGGATGAGGCAGGAGAATTGCTTGAACCCAGGAGGCGGAGGTTGCGGTGAGCCAAGATAGTGCCATTGCACTCCAGCCTGGGCAACAAGAGTGAGACTCCGTCTCAAAAAAAAAAAAAAAAAAAAAAGCTCTTCATGGCCCATTCCCTACCTATGTCTTTGACTTCATCTCACATCAGCCTTCTCACTCTCTGTACTTCACCACATTGGCTTTTTGAAATTCCCTATATTCTTCATTCTCCTCTGTGGGCTCCAGGCCTTTCCCCATTCTTCTGGTTAGAGAAAGATCCCCCAGGTCATTCCTTCATCCCTTTAATGCCTACTCATTTCTGCAGACCTCATTCAATTACCACCTCCTTGATAACTAGAATAGGTCAAATCCCTTATGAAATGCTCTTAAAGTTTTCTTCACATCTCTCTTCTAAGTGCTTATGAAATTAAAATTCTATATTTAATCGTGAGATGATCAGTGTTTGTTCATCTACTAGACTGTTGCTCTATGAAAGCAGGAAGTGCCTGTACATAACAGACTCTCAATAAATATTTATTAGATGGGTAAATATATAGATGACTAGCAAATTCCACAGGGACTTTCTATAGCACAGTTGAATTGGTTTATTCAACAAATAAATGGCAAGGGGGAAAAAAAGGGGGTAAACTGTAAGCAAAGGATTGGGTTCTCATTGACACCTTATCAAAATGGAAGTTCTCTGTCATCAGAAATATACTAGGGCAGCCGGGTGAGGTGGCTCACACCTGTAATCCCAGTACTTTGGGAGGCTGAGGTGGGCGGATTGCCTGAGCTTGGGAGTTCAACCACCCTGGACAATATGGTGAAATTCTGTTGTCACTAAAATACAAAAAATTAGCTGGGCATGGTGGCAGGCACCTGTAGTCCCAGCTACACGGGAGGCTGAGGCATGAGAATCACTTGAACCCAGGAGGCAGAGGTTGCAGTAAGCCAAGACCACACTGCTACACTCCAGCCTGGGCAACAGAGCGAGACCCTGTCTCCAAAAAAAAAGAAGAAAGGAAAGGAAAAAGGAAAGGAAAAAGGAAAGGAAAGGAAAGGAAGAAAGGAAGGAAGGAAGGAAGGAAGGAAAGAGAGAGAGAGAGAGACAGAAAGAAAGAAAGAAAGAAAGAAAGAAAGAAAGAAAGAAAGAAAGAAAGAAAGAAAGAGAAAGAAAGAAAGAAAGAAAGAAACAAACTAGGGCCAGGTGAGGTGGCTCATGCCTGTAATTCCACAACTTTGGGAGGCAGAGGCAGGAATATCACTTGAGTCTAGCAGTTTGAGAGCAGCCTGGGCAACCAGCAAATCCTCATCTCTACAAAAAATAAAAAATTAGCCAGGCCTGGTGGCACACACCTGTAGTCCCAGCTACTTGGAAGGCTGAGGTGGCAAGATCGCTTGGGCCTGGGAGATTGAGGCTGCAGTGAGCTGTGATCACACCACTGCACACAGCCAATCAATCAATCAACCAATAAGTAAGAAGAAATTTATCGGCTAAGACGTGGATACAATTACAATGCAACATACTTTGTTTTCATTTTTGTTGGGAATCACACAAAATAGAACTGATACTCTTCTGTGTGCATTAATACTACAATGACTGTGACTGTATGTGAATTTGCCAGTTTTTTTGCATGTGATCTACAACAAAAAAACAAATTTCAATCAACTATGTTAGGAAAAAGGCTGAATTAGGTTTATTCTCTATAAGAAATTATATTAGAAAATCTTTGTCACATGAAGAAGTGATCAAAGAGTATGAAGACAAAGCAGGAACAAAAAGTATTATAGAAGTGTATCAGGTAATTAATTAAAATGTTTTGTTTTTCTTCTGGATTTTGTGGTATTTGAGCCATTTGTTGACTTTAAAAATAGGTAAATTGTCCGAGCGTGATGGCTCACTTCTGTAATCCTAGTATTTTGAGAGGCCAAGGCGGGCAGATCACCTGAGGTTGGGAGTTTGTGACCAGCCTGGCCAACATGGTGAAACCCTGTCTCTACTAAAAATACAAAAAAATTTGCCAGATATGGTGGTGGGCACCTGTAATCCCAGCTACTTGGGAGGCTGAAGCACGAGAATCACTTGAACCCAGGAGGTGGAGGTTGCAGTGAGCCAAGACTGTGCCATTGCACTCCAGCTTGAGTGAGAGACTCTGTCTCAAAAAAAAAAAATGTAAATTGTTGGCACTCTTATTTTATATATATATATATATATATATATATATATATATATATATATATATATATATATATTTACTTACATTCCAAAAACAAAGAGAAGGATCCTACAGATTAAGAAAGAATACAATGTCTGGTCCTTGTTTGGATTCCATTTAAAATGAGCTAAGTGTAAATTTATGGGACAATCAGAAAAATTTAAACATGACTAGATATTCTATGATATTAAAAATACTGTTAATATTTTTAGATTTAATTATGGTATTGTGGCTACCCTTACATGTCAGAGAAATATATTGAAGTATTTACAGAAAAACAATAAATAATTTCCATAAAACAATCCAGTATTTTGTGTGTGTGCAAAAAAATGAGTGGGGGTAAAAATGAAATAAGATAGGCTATGTGTTGGTAACTGATGAAGTTAGGTACTGGGTACATGGGATTCATTAAACCATTACTCCAACTTTCATAAAGGTTTTCAACTTTCATAATAAAATATTAAGAAGAATATGAAATGGAAGTTTATTACAAAAAAAATTGGAGAACAGAAACTGAAAAGCCTTTAAAAACAGAAGCCTTTTCTCAGACTTTACAGCTTGCATAAATAAATTAATAGCAGAGGACACTACTGCAGAACAAATTAAACAGGCCAGATTTTTGAGTTTGGAATTTTTTCTTTGTGGCAAGCATTTGTCAATTGTTTCTATTTCTGCATTTTTAAATGAAAGTTCTGTAGCTCCTCAGGCTCACTGAGTATCACAATAGGCAAGCAGAAGATGGGGGAAAATGAGAGCCAACTGGATGAAGAAATACAAGAAAAATTCAAGGAGAATTGTTGCTGATTTTGTGAAGAAATCATTTCTTAAAAAAAAAATACAAGCAGGAAAAAGAAACAACAAACCATCTACTGTATGAGCTATATTCTCCTCCACAATAATAAAAGCCAAAATGGATTACCCAGATGGAAAAACCCACGTAATTTTGCTCCTGAAAATTATTCTGTTTTAAGCCTATCTTCTCTTACAATAAAATCCACAAAGGAGAAGAGGAGAAAAGGAGTATTAGTCTATTTTCGGTGAAATACAGAAACAATGAGTCATGAGTAATACGTGAAATAAGATACAATTCTTTTGGTACACGATCTAATGTCTGTACAGGGAATGAAACCACTGTTGGTTAAACTATAGTGAAATGCTACTCAACATAATTACTCAGGAGTTGCAAATATTTCAAAGTAAGTTTGAGTGGTGATGTTTTTGTAAAGGATTTAACAGATTTACCAGATCATCTTTCATATAGAATAAGGGGATATACATATAAACAAATATTGTTTTAGTGTTCAAATAAAGGCATAAAACACAAACCAGAAAGTGAAGCTTTAAGGATTATACAAAGGAATAGTGTTCTATTTGCCTTTTAAAGCAAAGGCTGAATATTTTGTATGTATATACACACTGAATATATTTCAGCAAGGCAGGCTCTGAGAGCAGTGGCTATCCAATGGTCTACAATGGATAAGTATTTATCTTTACCATAAATTTCCTTTTGCTCAGTTTCTGATGAAATTACAAATTTGTCAGCCTTGTTCTTGTCAGTTTTATTGGAGAACTTTTAAGACATCATTCAGAAGCTCTAGCCAGAGTGGTTAGCTCTGAGTCACTCATCTTTTTTTTTTTTTTTTTTAAAGAAAGCTCAAACAGCGCTCATTTATATTTCAATTAAGTACAATATTATTTTTAAATGAAAACGAGGCTAATAAAATTTGTCTTGTTTATTCTTTATCCCTACTCTATACTTTACTGAATCAAAAGACTCACCGAAAATGCTAAAGCTACTGAAGCAATGATAGATGATCGTTTAAAAGGAGGCAGGGAAAATCCTCAGGAACACTACAAACCTGCCCCTCCAGAACCATGTGCCTCCTGAAGAGGTACAAGTTAAACCTAGAAGGACAGCAGGAAATGCCTGTTGTCCTTCAGGACAGAATGGATGAACCTCTCAATAGTGGAAGTTTCCAGTTTTGTGTTGAACGCTTGGTATCACAATTCCTCAAAGACCACATAGGTGGCTTAAAGGAAATGCCACACAAATGTGTAAAAACACAATTAAGAGTTACCTAGGTCTGGGCACAGTGGCTAGCACCTATAATCCTAGCACTTTGGGAGGCCGAGGTGGGTGGATTGCTTGAGCTCAGGAGTTCAAGACAAACCAGGGCAACATGGCAAAACCCCGTCTCTACCAAAAATACAAAAACTTAGCCAGGCATAGTGGTGTGTATCTGTGGTCTCAGTTACCCGGGAGGCTGAGGCAAGAGGTTCGCTTGAGCCTGGGAGGTAGAGGTTGCAGTGAGCCAAGATCACACCACTGCACTCCAACCTGGGTGACAGAATGAGACCGCGTATTAAAAAAAAAAAAAAAGAAAAAAAGAGTTACCTAGTTACCTTGAACCTAGACTCATCAGGAAACAGGATGTTAGAATGAAGTAGCAATTTTAAAGAAAACAAACTGGCAAAGAATTATCAAAAATAATCTGAGAAGTCTGTGGGTCAGAGTCAGTCCAAGCCTCTCAAGCAGAAGTAGGGTTTATGTGAAGAACATGAAACTACAGTCAGAAGGGTAAAGTTCTAATGTTAGCTCCAGTACTGGCTGGCACTTACATTCACTACACTGTACCTATAAAATCAACAGAACCAATTACTAACTTTAAAAAATACTTTCAGCAAAAAAAAAAAAAAAAAAGAAAGCATTATGAGTTAATACTATCTAGGAAATTATGTAATCAATGAGAACCTCTCATCACCTCCATTTCTACAGCACTTTAACCAAATACTTACCTTAATAGGTGATAGTGTATAATAACACGAAAAGTACTATAAATTTTCTAGAGAACACTGCCCAAAGTACTATGAATATGGCCTCTACCTATCCCCACCCCCACAAATTAGTGAAAATACACTAAAATTTTTGGTTTCTCACTTCAGTGAAACTTTTTTATTTTAAGAGACAGGGTCTCACTCTATCGTTCAGGCTGGGGTGCAGTGGTGCAATCAATCATAGCTCACTGTAGCCTCAAACTTCCGGCCTTCCACCTCAGCCTCTCAAGTACCTAGGACTACAGGTGTGTTCCACCATGCCCAGCGAATTTTTTAATTTTTTTGTAGAGACAGGGTCTTGCTATGTTGCCCAGGCTGGTCTCGAACTTCTGGCCTCACAAACTGTTGAGATTAAAGGTGTGAGCCACCGTGCTAGGCCTCAGTGAAACTATTTAAAAAATAATCCAACACCTTAGATTGTGTACTTCATTGTGTGTAAATTATATCAATTAAAAATGCATGACGGCAAGGTTAAAAAAGATCATCCAAACACAAATGAATTCAAAAATTTCTTTAGGAAGGCACAGCTCTCTCTTGTATTCAGTATTCTGTTACAGGATGTTTGCTTTTGTTATCAGTGATTCTCAGCCTTTCAAATTGAAAGAACAATTCAGAGGCTGTAATCTACAGACAGGGTTTTTGGAAGATATATGGACTCATTAAGTCATTCAGTAAATAAATCTTGATACATGACCAACAGGCTTTTCCATCTGTTTTGCATTACCGGTTGAGTATTCTCTATCTAAAATCCTTGGGACCAAAAGTGTTTCAGATTTCAAAATTCTTTGGATTTTGAAATATTCTCTCACACATATTGAGATACTTTGGGAATGGGACCCAAATCTAAACACAAAATTCATTTATGTTTCATATACACCTTATACACATAGGCTAAAGATAACTTTATACAATATTTTAAATAACTGTGGGCAGGAAACAAAGTCTATACACTGAACCATCAGAAAGCAAAAGGTTTCAACTATCTCGGCCACCATGTGGACAATTTGTGGTTGTTTGGCATCACCATCATGCTGTGCTTGGAAAAGACACATCGCAACTGGAAGGCACTGGGGGGAGGGTCTTTTTGCCTTAAGATCCCTGAACAAACTGTGTGTTGTGTTCCTGCGTTTTGACTGCAGCATGTTACATGAGGTCAGGTGTGAAATGTTCCACTTGGCATGTCATGTCAGCACTCAAGAAGTTTTGGATTTTGGAGCATTTCAGATTTTGGATTTTTGAATTAGAGATGCTGAACTTGTATTTGTCAAGACTGATTATTAATAAATGAAATAATAGGAACTGTAATCATCCAACCAAATGTTATATGTCTAATATGTTTCAAAAGCAATGTATTATTACTTATCAGATATTATTTGTGATCCTTAAAATATGAATAGGTAATTCGTAAAATAAGAAATACAAATGGCCAATGACATAAAAAAAAGTTTAATCTTAATAATAATGACATTTATTAAAAACAATGACATGGGTTTTGCTTTACCTTTTTTTTTCTATCAGATGAGAAAAGATTAGAGAGATTTAGCAGTATCTAATGTGAACTCTTAGCCCCAAAAATTCTGTTTACAAAAAATGTTCTGAGTTGGGCATAGTGGCATGTACCTGTAATCCCTGCTACTCAGGAGGCTGAGGAGGGAGGATCAGTTGAACCCAGGAATTCAAGTACAGCCTGAGCAACATAGTGAGACCGCATCTTGTTTAAAAAAAAAAAAATGTTATATATTGAAATTGTCACGAGTACACAAAGCTAGGAGTGCTTACAGAGAACAGCTTTGTGAAGGCTGGAACTTAACATTTGTTTACCACAGTTTTCAACACCAAAAATAGTGCTTGGCACACAGCAGGTAATCATTAAATATTTATTAAATGAATGAATGTTCACTGTAATACTATTAATTATAGTGAATATTTGGAAATCATCTAATAAATTATATCAATACAATGAAAACTACATAGCTTTTAAAAAGAATCAGGTTGAGGCCGGGCGTGATGGCTCACGCCTGTAATCCCAGCATTTTGGGAGGCTGAGGCGGGTGAATCACAAGGTCAGGAGTTCGAGACCAGCCTGGCCATATGGTGAAACCCCGTCTCTACTAAAAATACAAAAATTAGCTGGGCGTGGTGGCGGGCGCCTATAGTCCCAGCTTCTCGGGAGGCTGAGGCAGGAGAATCGCTTGAACCTGGGAGCCGAGATCAGGTCACTGCACTCCAGCCTGAGTGACAGAGTGAGACTCCGTCTCGAAAAAATAAAAAATAAAAATAAAAGAATCAAGTTGATCCACATACACAACTGTCAAAGTATATTACAGAATCTTAGGTATAAAAATTAAGTTATAAAATTAAATATAGTTTGATTTTATATTCAAAATATACAGTATGATTCTATACTTTAGATTAAATTATATCCACACATTGTATATGCACTGAGAAAAGTCTGAAAGAATGTATATCAAACTGCTAATGAGAGGGCTTTCACTTTTTGCTCTGTAACACTTCTGTATTATTTTGACTTATAAACAACACATACTACTCCAGTAAGAAAAGATTTCTAAAAAAAAACAAGAAAAACAACAACAACTAAATACATATAGAAAAAAAGTCCTGAGAGGAGCATACAAAATGCTAGGATTACGCCTGTAATCCCAGCACTTTGGGAGGCTGAGGCGGATGGATCACGAGGTCAGGAAGTCGAGACCAGCCTGGCCAGCATGGTGAAACCCTGCCTCTACTAAAAATACAAAAATTAGCCGGGCATGGTGACATGCACCTGTAATCCCAGCTACCTGGTAGGCTGCGGCAGGAGAATTGCTTGAACCCAGGAAGCAGAGGTTGCAGTGAGCTGAGATTGCGCCACTGCACTCCAGCCTTGGCAACAGAGCGAGACTCCATCTCAAACAAACAAACAAACAAATAGTGGGCACCTTTGGATGTTGGGATTATGGGTATTTTTTCCCCATTTATGCATTCAGTTTAGTAAAACTATCCCACTGAGTAATTTTTCTGCCTTTACGTGTTATGTACAGTTTTATTTTCTTTGTATGCATTATAGGCACATTTTTCCTTATGCATTTATGTATTGTCCAAATTTTATACATCATTGAGTATGTATTACCTCTGTAATAGAGCAGAATAATTAAAAAATTTTTGAACCTCAATATATTGAACTATATATTAGTACTTTTTTTTGGTCAATCTGAAGCTCATGGAAGTTAGATAATGTACAAGGTCTAACAGCTATTAAGGGGCTATCTAAACTGCCCCCTAAGAGGTATGATTCACAACTAAGATGGAACAATTATGAATATATATGTGCCAAATAGCACAGCTATTACCTTGGTGCAAAAGTAACTGTGGTTTATGCTATTAAAAGTACATTATGGGCTGGGCGCCTATAATCCCAGCACTTTGGGAGGCCAAGGTGGGTGGATCACCTGAGGTCAGGAGCTCGAGACCAGCCTGGCCAACACAGTGAAACCCTGTCTCTACTAAAAATATAAAAACTAGCCGGGCGTGGTGGTGGGCGCCTGTAATCCCAGCTACTTGGGAGGCTGAGGCAGGAGAATTGCTTGAACCCAGGAGACGGAGGTTGCAGTGAGCCGACACAGTGCCACTGCATTCCAGTCTTGGCAACAGAGTGAGACTCCATCTCAAAAAAAAAAAAAAAAAAGTATATTATGGCCAGTCGCAGTGGCTCACACCTGTAATCCCAACACTTTGAGAGGCTGAGATGGGCAGATCACTTGAGGCCAGGAGTTCGAGACCAGTCTGGCCAACATGATGAAACCCTGCCTCTACTAAAACTACAAAAAAATTAGCTGGGCTTGGTGGTTTACACCTGCAATCCCAGCTACTCAGGAGGCTGAGGCAGGAGAATCGCTTGAACCCAGGAGATGGAGGTTGCAGTGAGCCAAAATCACACCACTGCACTCCAGCCTGGGTGACAGAGTGAGATCCCGTCTTAAAAAAAAAATAAAATAAAATAAAATAAAAGTATGTTATAAAGTAGAAACAGCAAGGCAAGCTGAAACATACAGAAATATACTAGTAACAGGAGACTTTTACTTCTTAGACCATCGCAGTTCATGTAGACAAAAATAATGAGGCTACTTAACCTAGTCGATAAGCTACAATATTATGGGTGCACTCTGTACCCTGAAATTAAAAAACAAAACTCTTATCAAATGTCCATGCAACATTTATGAAAACTGAACACTAAGTTACAAAGAAAACATCAATAAATTCTAAGAAGTAGCAAAAATTTTTTAAAAATCCTTAATCATATTGCAATAAAACAAAATCAGAAAATAAAGTCATTCCACCTGGAAATTTTGAAACTCTGTTAAATAATTCTTGGTCAAGGAGGAAATAGAATTATTTAAATTTATCTGTTAAATCCCTGTAATCCCAGCACTTTAGGAGGCTGAGGCAGGAAGGTCACTTGAGGCCAGGAATTTGAGACCTGTCTGGGCAACATAGCAAGACCCCATCTCTACAAAAAAAAAAAAAAACAAAAACTAAAAAGTAGCCAGGCGTGGTGGTACGCACCTGTAGTACTACCTACTCGGCAGGCTGAGGCAGGAGGATCACCTGAACCTAGGAGGATGAGGTTGCAGTGTGCTATGTTACTCCAACATGAGTAACAAAGCGAGACCTGTCTCTTTAAAAATAAAAAATTAACAAAATAAATTTTCCTGTTAAAGCTCTGGCTTTGTATTCGATAGGATATCTCCTTAATTGTTGTTTTAAAGGTTTTTTGTTGTTGTTGTTATTGTGGTTTTTTAGAGACAGAGTCTCACTCAGGTACCCAGGCTGAAGTGCAGTGATACAATCATAGCTCACTGCAGCCTCGAATTCCTGGACTCTGCCTCCCATGCAGGTAAGACTACAGGTGCGTGCCATCACACCTGGCCAATTTTCCTTTTTTTGGAAGAGACAGGGTCTCACTATGTTGGCCAGGCTGGTCTCAAGCTCCTGTCCTCAAGCCATCCTCCCACACTGGCCTCCCAAAGTGCTGTGGTTACAGGCATGAGTCACCACAATTGGACCGTTTTAAAGGTTTCTCTTTGAGAAATGTTAAAGTACTGCATGCAGTTTAAGACAATGGTTCTGAGAGTATGGACCTGGGTTTCCTGGTGTTTTGTGAGAAACTCTTGGTGGATCAGTGAGCTCTAACAGTTACAGAGTGGCATATTTTTTTTTTCATTGAGATGGAGTCTTGCTCTGTCGCGCAGGCTGGAGTGCAGTGGTGCGATCTCAGCTGACTGCAACCTCGGCCTCCCAGGTTCAAGCGATTCTCCTGCCTCAGCCTCCAGAGTACCCGGGATTACAGGCGCCCGCCACCACACCCGGCTAATTTTTGTATTCTTAGTAGAGACAGGGTTTCACTATGTTGTCCAGGCTGGTCTTGAACTCTTGAACTCGTGATCCACCTGCCTCAGCCTCCCAAAGTGCTGGGATTACAGGCATAAGCCACTGTGCCCGGCCCCAGAGTGGCATTTTTAACTACACTGTTCCTTTGTGCCAAGAAACAGACACCACATAATAGATGCCTCATCAGAAGCCACCAACATTTTCAGTCATCAGGAGCCACGATCAAACTGTACCCACACTCCATTTCCCCCACTAATATATTGCTGATATAAGTCCCAGAAATTATATCATGTTATACACTAATATTTCAACATCTCTAAAAGTAAGATTTTTAAAATCACCGTATCATACATATATACACATTTCAAATTTTTAGCAGTTTTAATGGAAAAGTTTCTAAAATTTACTCATTTTTCTTAAAACATACTGAATATGAAACAATTTTAACTTGATAACCCAGAGTCAATATTACTGGAAGTGGGATGATGCCATATCAAAAACCAAAAATGTGTGGCACTGACTGAGAAGGGATGGCAGGTGGAGGCAGGGTGGGCCTGAGGAAGGTGATGATGAAAACTTACAGGAAAGTGAGGAAAATTTTATTGGAAGCTAGAGTGGTGAAAAACTTGGCAATATAGTCACCTATGGTAATGTGGAAAATAAGAAATATACCTAATGAGCTCAATGAGGAGATTTTAGGACAGAATTTTGAAGGTACTATTTTTCTTCCTCTAGCTGTCTATAGTTAAATAGAAATGGAAGAGAGGTGGTATAAATTTTAAAAACTCATTTTCAAGGAAAATTTTAAGAAAATATAAATAACCTAGGATTTTCTGGGTTTGAAAAATAAACATTTTTTTCATTCAATCCAAAAAGCAAGCTATTCTCAAATGAAGAAATGCACTCTGGGCAAATATAAAATCCAGAATGAACCTTTAAAATATTTTATTAAGACTCAGGGAGATTTACATAGGTACTCTATAGACCCTATCAAACGGGAGGTGGGGGAAGCTATTTAAAGATCTTAAGGGCAGGCCTCACAGATACTCTCCATTAAAGAGAGATTTCTAAGAAGCCTAAGGGTCTTGTTCCACAGTAGTCTCAGAGGGAGCTCAAGGTAGAGAGGCTTATCTTTTAGAAATTTGGGGGTGTCGGTCTGTCTAATGAATTGAATTCATAAACTGATTCATAAGAAATTCAGAGATTTAAAAGAAATTATATCAGCTTGGACTGAAAGGGACAGAAACAGAACAAAATGAAGGGAGGCTTTTGGACTTCCCAAACTTCTTTCTATAGGCAAGAAATAGGCCAAGAAAACTACTCAGCAATAAAAACAGGCTACTTTTATGCAGAATCAAGGATGACTCAGCGAATGAAGAGCCCAGAAGGCAGAACCAAGAGCCTTAGGAAACAACCCCATAGGCAGAAAGACTGATCCCCAATCAAGGAAATAGCACCATGTGTCTGGTTGGATTCCAGAACTGCTAACATTCAGTAACTCTATGAATCTCGTTTTCCCCCTATTTGAATGGGAGGGTCTGTAGTGGTGATCCTATGTTTTTCCCACCACTGTATGTTGTGTATATGTGGGGCAGATAACTTACCTCTTTAGTAAAAGGTCTTCAAATCAAGAGGAATGACTCCCAAGAAGTTGGATGAAAGTAACTGCGACCAAGGAGCCTCAATCAAACATGGACTTGATTTATTTTTTTAATTAAAAAAAAATTTTAACAACACCTGCTAGAATGGGATGGACTTGATTTAGATAATGAGATCCTAGACTTAGAGTTGATACTGTAATAGAATGTAAATTGGGAGCACTGATAGAGGTATTGAATGTAATTTGCATATGTGAGGGATGTGAATGTTTTCTAAAGATGGCCATCACAATACATCCCATCTCACATGCTCAGCTCACAGTATGATCAAGCTGTTATTCCTCCCATCAAGAAGTGGGTCTTGAATCTGAGTAGGCCTGTCCATAAATATGGAAGAAGTAATGATATAACTTCTGAAGCTAGGTCATGAAAAGCAACACACCCGGATCTTTTGGGATGCTTACTCTTAGATACCAGCCACCATGCAGTTAGGAAATCTAAGTCACACAGACCACATGTAGATATATTCGAGCCTACAGCCCCAACCAAGGGCCCAGCTAATATAGTCAGCCTCGGTTAGATCTGTGTGAGGAAGTACCAGCCATCATCTGATTGTGACCATATGAGATATTCCAAGCAAGAACCACCTTGCTGGGCCCAGTCAACCCCCAACACTATTAAGAGATAATAATAAAATGATGGTTGTTGTTTTTGATACTAATTCTGATTTATTACAAAGCAACAGATAACCAGAACCCAGTATATTCCTGCTTTAATAAATTAAACCCTCATGGCCACAAAGGTATATAGGACTGTTTGCCTATTCAGTAAGTGGTCCGAAACTACTGGGCTTCTATAAAAATATTTTAATAGTTCCTCCATTTCTTCCTTTTGTTGGTTGCTCTCTCTTTTTAAGTGGTTTCAATATCTGGCTTCTCATCTGTGACTTTATTTTGCCTGAGGATTTGAGGCAGGCTCTCCCTCACCTTGGTGACAATGCTGATTTCTAGGTACCTAGCTATATTGTGGCAGTAAGCCTTAAAAAGCAGTGTAATCAGGCCAGGCACGGTGGCTCACACCTGTAATCCCAGCACTTTGGGAGGCCAAGGCGAGCAGATCACCTGAGGTCAGGAGTTTGAGACCACTGGGCAACATGGTGAAACCCTGTGTCTACTAAAAATACAAAAATTAGCCGGGCATGGTGGCATGCGCCTGTAATCCCAGCTACCCAGGAAGCTGAGGCAAAAGAATCACGTGAACCCAGGAAGCGGAGGTTGCAGTGAGCCAAGATCGTGCCACTGCACTCCAGCCTGGGCAACAGAGTGAGACTCCATCTCAATTTAAAAAAAAAAAAGAAAGGCAGTGTAATCATCATTGCCACTAATGTCCACTGGGCACTAGCCCTATAATGCACTGTACCTTACACACACTGATGTCATTCAATCTATGACGCAAACTCCTGAGAAGATCTTAACATTATTTAAGATGAAGCAAGCAGCCCCTTTTGGGGAGAGTGGGTGGGGGTGGGGGGGAGGGGAGAGGGAGAGTTATTGGGGGTGGGGCAAGCATAGAAATAAATAAAGGAAAACCCTGAGTTCCTTCAAGGGAAATTCCAGGCACCTGGCCCTGAGATGTCCCTGAGTTTTTCAAAAACCGGGAGTTTTTCATGACCTAGGATTCCCTGGGAACTGATCCACTGGCAGGTAGACCTCAGATATGGAAGAACTGAAGGCTGAACTCTGACCACCTTTCTTTGTTCTAAATTTCTTCCTGAGAGGCCTGGAGGGAGTCATCCCCAGGAAGCAGTTTAACATTCTTTTCCGCTGATTCCAAATTTTTAAACAAAGCTTCTCTTCCTTAAGCACAAATCGGAAAAGTTTTGACTCTACCTATGATCTGTAAGCCCCTGCTTCAAAATATCCTGTCCTTTTAGGCCAAAAACACTGTGTAACCTCCATGCATTGACATATGATTTTGTCTGTCACTTCTGCTTTCCTGAAATTTACCCCGCCTTTAAAAACCCTTACCTGTAAGCTACCAAGGAAGTAAGGATTTACGCATTAGCTGCCCGGTCCTCCTTGCTTGGTGCCCTGCAAATAAATGCCTTTCTTTCTGCCACTGCAAAATGTGTGTGGATATCTGGTTTTGCTGCTCCAGGCAAGTAAACCCCAGTTCGGTTTTATAACACTATTTTCATATTCACATGGAGATACTGAAAGACTTTACCCAAAGGTCAAACAGCTAGGAAGTGGAAGAGCTGGGATTCAAACTTGACTTCAAAATCCCCCCTCTTTAAAATTACTACATGTATAGCTGCTTTTGATAAAAGGAACTGAGGTAGCAATCTCTTCTGGATAGAATCACTTAAAAATCTTTTTAGTTTTTTTTTTTTTGGCATTTAGAAAGAATTTCCTACATAAAAGAAAACATGTTCAGAAGGGAAAAAATTAAAAATAAGTTCATGTAATTAATATTCTTACATAAAGATGCAGAGATAATTTTACAACTAGTATACCTGTACTCAGTTACTAATTATTCAGATTAGTTGCACCGGTGATTTGTGCATTTCAATAACTATGGGAAAGCACACTGGGCTGAAAGGCTTCCTGGGGATAAAAATAAAAATAACTTATCCTATATCTACACAAGCGATATAACTCAGATAAAACCTCAAAGAAAGAGAAAGAAAAGGCATAGCCTTTTCAGCACTGTTTCTTGAAAAGAGAAACATTATCTAAAGAGAAACATTATCTAAAGAGAATTCATCCAAGGACTGACATAAAAAACACTGACATTCTTCCCCTGGACTACGGTATAGATAGGGAGGTTGTGAAGAGAGTAAAAATCAAAAAGAAGTGAAATAATGAATACTAATGGATACGGTTTACAGTCTATACACAACATTAAAATTCAGTCCATTCTGCACAACTTTTTAACTGTGGTAAGAGAGAGCCAGCCAGCAGCTGAGCTTCATACATGTGATTTTAAGACACTATAGTCATTCCTAAATTTAAAGGATCTAAAATGATATAATACTCATCATTAATTTGAAATTGTTGGGAACAAGGCAGGGCAACAAAGGTAAAATGTGCCACTACTTGTTACCTCTTAACAATGAGAAGATGATTTCACTTTAAATTTTAATATATGTTTGCCACCCCTCTCCCCAACTTCTAAGACTATCAAGAATATAGAATATGAACACTATTCCTTCTGGGGAGAATAAATCACTCTGAAGAATATACACTAATTATATACGAATAGAGCAAGGCTTTCAAGATTTTAAAATGCTTCCAAAATACCTGATCTATCTTTGTCAGACCACAATATGTTTCCTTGTTTCTTAGTTCTCTGTAATAAAAATGAAAAGCACTATTATGATTTAAAATAAATACTGGAATGAGATCCTAGGAGATTACATTTCGACTGAAGTGGTGTTATTCACAAAAGAACTTCTGCAATCAAAGCTTTCTGAGCATAGTGGCATAAAGCGTGCCTAGTAGCTTTTATTATGTAGCACCAGCCTTCCCTAGATACAGAGCTATAAATAAATAAGTACCAGGGAATCCCAGGAATATCCAGTTATTTAATCAAGCAATCAGATATTTAATTTAATAAGAGATGTATACTTCAACTCTATACCTTTTATATCATCATCTCCAATCATCCACAAGATAATAGAATTCAAAAATAAAATACATCAGAATTATGTTGCAGTCTTTTTTTAATACCATAATTTCTAAGAGGAGTGTGTATGATTCACCTAAATTTCATTCCATTCAAAATCTTTAGATGTTTGTTTAGGCTTCTGGGAGTTATAAAATACATACAACATTCATGTAGCTTCTCCCCCAGCCCCCAACTGGGTGTGGAAGAAGGAAGAGGGAAGGCACTGGAATTACCTGAGAATTATTTCTCTTCTCTTTCTATAGCAAATTCCAACATTCAGTGGGTACAGATTCAGGGAATGTGTTTTCCCCCATCTTCTTTGGTGAATTTTGCAACATGAAAAACAGATACTAGACCTAGACCAAAATGCTGCTGTTGGGACTTCAATGCTGTAGGGTTAAGAAAGATACACAGAGTTCAGAATTCTGATGTGTACATCTACAGTTTAAATGTTCTATGATGTGCATGGCATAGAACAAGTTCCATATAGAGTCTGCTGAATCAAACCACTGTCTGAATTAGAACCAAAGCCAGCAAATATATCAGAAGTGTATAACTAGAAATGGCTAGTGGACCATGTAGTGAGAAGAGGAGCTGCCATCCTTTTGAAGGTCTTTGATTATGCCAGGTAGCTTTCACATTCATTTTCCTGTGCTCCATATTGTATGGTGTGATTTAAATGGCTTGAAGTCTGAAATGCCTTTAAAAGAGGAAAACTACTTTCATGCCAGAAAGTAGATTATTAGAAATATGAATCTAATTTCAGAACCCCAGGAAGGTTACAAAGATTAAGATATTGATAGTCTTTTTCCTGGGTGAAAATTTGATGGAGAATAATGAGGGAACAGGTCTTAACAGGGATTAATGGAAACAGAAAGGGCAAGCTAGGAATCCTGGAGGTAAACTTTACCAATCTTACATTTGAGGTGAGCAGAACTAATCTTGTGTGTCAAACATGGTTTGACCTTTTTTATCTGGATGTAGTATGAAAATGGAGCAGTTTCTCATAAAAGAAAACTGAAAGTTGAAGCAAGTTGATTCAAGAGTTGAAAACAAGATGATTAGACTATAAGATGACATAAAGCTAGCATTATAAATTCTTATAAGCTCCTATACTTGACATGAAGCTAAAGCTAAGGTAGCTAAACATAACACAGAAACTATAGACATTTTGGGAATGTTATATTATAATTAATATGTAATGGCAACCACTCAAATTCAAGTCATTTGACCCTTAGATACTAACTTGTACACACACCACCAACAAGAAAACTTTAATTACATATTATTTATACCTAAAACATCTTACTACCTATTGTGCTAAGATTATATTCTTTAAGTACCTTTGATGTTTCCAAAGTCTCTAGCCATTCAATCTCATTTTCAGAACTGGTACAGTCACCCAAGGAAAAGGAATTAGAAGTTACAAGCTGGCCCTCGAATTTTCCTCATCTAATACCCCAAACCTACTCCTTAAAGGCTCAAGGAGTAGACACAATCATTCTAGAAAGCAAAAATGAACAAGTTACAGGACTCTAAGTATAGTCTTATCTTTTTCACTTAGGGAAAAAGATAAGTCTTTAAGTGGCTCCAAGACATCACACTCCATTCTAGACTGTTGTCAAAGGAAGGGATTCAGATATATCCAGCAATTCCTCAGCAAATGTGAGGTTTATTCCAACAAACCACCTGGTTCACTGCAGTACCTTTTAAAATACGGTTTGCTATGGACTAGCAAGCAAGTACTTTATCAAGAATCAACTATACATAATTGCTACTAGGTGACAATGCAAAATGTGAAATGCTTTCTAAAAAGACATTTTCCTGTAGCCATCTCTTAGAAATATGGATGTGGTGTAAAATTTCCAAATAGAAAGCACGAGATGAACTTTACTCATCACTAGTTTGTGGTTTTTGTTTTTTTAGACAGGGTCTCATGAGACAGGGTCTCAATCTGTGGCCCAGGCTGGAGTGCAGTGGTGCATCATGGCACACTCTGCAGCCTCCAACTCCTGGGCTCCAGTGATTCTCCTGACTCAGAGTTCCGTGTAGCTGGGACTACAGGCACGCACTACCATACCTGGCTATGTTTCTTAATTTTTTGTAGAGACAAGGTCTCATTATATAGCCCAGGTTGGCCTTCAACTCCTGGCCTCAAGGGATCCTCTTGCCTTGGCCTCCCAAAGTGTTGGGATTACAGGCATGAGCCACTCATCACTAGTTTGTATGTACAACCATTTATGCCAGCCTACTACCTATGTGTTTGTGTTTTCACTACAATCCCATCATTTCAGCGCTGCTGAAAAGCAGTCATTGAGTTGTTTAACCAACTGGAGTCATATACTCATAGTCAGCAGCTACTTATTTGGATAAGGACTCTATACCTATTGAATAAATAAGCCAGAACCTCCTGTACAAATTGAACACAGAAAAGAACCTGTTCTTGTTTCTTCACATTGTTAACACTTTCCTCAAGCACCAGGTATCAACTCATTGCCTATCACGTACACAGCACCACGAGATATTGTGAAGACAGTAACTAATTCTAGGCCGGGCGCAGTGGCTCATGCCTGTAATCCCAGCACTTTGGGAGGCCGAGGCGGATGGATCACCTGAGGTCAGGAGTTCGAGGCCAGCCTGACCAACATGGTGAAACCCCATCTCTACTAAAAATACAAAAATTAGCTGGGTGTGGTGGCGCACCTGTAATCCCAGCTACTTAGGATGCTGAGGCAGGAGAATCGCTTGAACCTGAGAGGCAGAGGTTGCAGCGAGCTGAGATCACACCACTGCACTCCAGCCTGGGCAACAGAGCGAGAGTCTGTCTCAAAAAAAAAACAAAAAACAAAAAAGAAAATAACCAATTCTCAGACAAGGTCTATGGCTGCTAAGAGGTTACAATCTAATTGGCAAGGCAGGACACAATAATAAAAATAGACATATATTGGTTTATAACAACGCTTAAATGCCAAATGAGAGGTAAACTCAATGAAATTGGCTGGCCACGGTGGCTCATGCCTATAATCTCAGCACTTTGGGAGGTTGAGGTGGGCAGATTACCTGAGGTCAGGAGTTCAAGACCAGCCTGGCCAACATGGTGAAACCCCATCTCTACTAAAAATACAAAAATTAGCTGGGCATGGTGGCACACACCTGTAATCCCAGCTACTCTCGAGGCTGAGGCAGGAGAACTGCTTGAAGCCGGGAGGCGGAGGTTGCAGTGAGCTGGGATTGCGCCACTCCACTCCAGCCTGGGCGACAGAGCGAGATTCTGTCTCAAAAAACAAACGAAACAAAAACTCAGTGAAACTTGTATAACCAAAAGAAACTGAATTTTCAATGAGAAAAAATTACCGTGGGCGGGAGTGGCCAGAGAAGGCTTCGTGGAGATAGGACTTCAGCTGGGTTTAGAAGGACATGTTATTTTGTAAGATGCAGCAGATTTGTCTTTCAAATCATGTTTTGTTTAGCTTAACATGAAAATAATTTTTATTACATTATTAAATGGATAGAAATTTACCCTTTAAGCGTGAGATTAAAATATGGTCCTTGAAAAACCCCTCTCTCTCCATATATAAATTTTCTTTGCTATTTTGCTATTTGACATTGGGGATGTAAGGATTCATAAGAGAGAGTGGAAAAGCACACATTTGGTGATTTGTGTAAGAACAAGTGCTATGGGAAATAACCTAAATACCTAATATTCTACCAGTGATGGCATGTTTCCAGGAGGATTAAATTTAGTGAGAAAACTGAAAAAGCAGTGCTTTTGTGCTTCAAAATACTTTATTTATTTATTTTTACTTATTTATTTATTTTGAGACATTGTCTCGCTCTGTTGCCCAGGTTGGAGTGAAGTGGCACAATCTCGGCTCATTGCAACCTCCACCTGCTGGGTTCAAGCGATTCTCCTGCCTCAATCTCCCGAGTAGCTGGGATTACAGGCGCCTGCCACCACGCCCTGCTAATTTTTGTATTTTTGGTAGAGACGGGGTTTCGCCATGTTGACCAGTCTGGTCTCGAACTCCTGACCTCCACGTGATCTGCCCGCCTCAGCCTCCCAAAGTGCTGGGGTTATAGGAAAGAGCCATGGCACCCAGCCATGCTTCAAAATAATTTAATCCCAACAAATCTGTAAATTAGTAACTTACATTCCAGTTCTTCCAATGAGAAAACTGAGGCACACAGAGCACACAGAGCTAAGAATGAGCACAGCCAGGATCTGAAATCAAATATATCTGATTCTCAACCCATCTCTTTTTACTATGTGACTCATTTTTAGGTAACAAAAACAGTAACTTCTCACTCTATGTTGATGTGTTCAAGTATAACACAAGAAACAGGATAAGGACATTAAAAAAACAAACTAGCCAGAATTCCACAAACAGCTAGCCAGAACTACATTAACTAAACTGGATGACATCTCTGGACATCAATCTCACATATAATGAAATGATCTCCACAGCAAATCGTTCCTTTATGTATTATCCTATTCTTGAAATTTTATTGCACAGCATAATACCGTTTTTTCACACAGTGCTTGTTCAGTCCCTATTCTACGGACAATCTTCATCTCCTCAAATTGGTAAGCAACACCTTGTAGGCAAGGATATGTTATTCTTTAGAATCTCTAAAGCGTGCAATACATTCCCATAGTATATATTCAGTAAACACCTATTAAGAGTTGCTGGGCAATACTCCTTTGATTTCTATAAAAATCTCCTTTCCAAAAGGATTTTCTTCATCCATTTCTACTACGACATTGACAATTGACACTAAATTAAAACAAGTAGCTATACGTACATAATAATGTTTTTCTTGCAAATTAAACCAAGATGAAAATTGCAGCCCTTGTAAGGGTCTTACTACAGATACAAGTTACAGATGAAGTGAGCCTTTATTTCCATGAAATGAGCCAGCAGGAGAATTTTACATAAACACTAAAAGTGAAAAACTTGCAATTCTGGACTATGAGCCAACACACAAAAGAAGCTCATTTCAATCTGTCAGATAAATGCCTACTCAACAAGCATGACTTCCTGGAATATATTTGGCTATTTTATATTCTGTTTCCTTAATCTGCCACTAACTGTGACAATCTCAGAATGTTTTTGAACTTTAGGATATATTTCTATTATGCACATTTTTGAAAACTCTAAAATGTGTTTTAAAGATGCATGTCTGACTAGTTTCTGCATACCACAGGGAAGTTCATTAACCTAAGTGGTAGGGGGCAGCAGGAGGGGAGACAGGGAGACAACAGAAGCAGGGAAAGAGAAAGGAGAAACAAAGTTGTAGCTTTGGTAAACACCACCACTAACCTTGTTGCAGAGACACCAAGGTTATTAGAAAAGTGACGGCAGTAGCACTGCCAGGTTTGGCTGGAGCAGCCACCACTACCACTTGCTTCGCCGACTGTGTAATATATGTGGAAATGTGGGAGATTCTCGTGCTACATCATGAAACTGCATCTGTATGCTAAATATCTAGAGACAGGAAGAGCCCTGGAAAAGGAAAAGAAGAGCAATCCCTGTACTATGTAGAAGCCTAAAATCCTTGACAACGCAAGATTCTCCTTGAACAGCTCTATCAAGCAAGTAAAAGACACACACACCAGGAATTGGTTGACTGGTGCTTTAAAATCATTATCCATGTGTGTTTTGCTCCTCACTCCAACAAGGGCATTATATAGAGCTGAGAACACATCAGCATTTAGGAATTTCCCAAAATACTCTTGGTAGGAGGGATTCCCCACACCCAAGCCCATGAAAAGGCAAAGCTGCTCTGCAACTTACTTCAGCCAGAGAGGCAGGGTGCACAGCCAGCCCTCACTCACACACCCACGCACACATACGGACAGGCTTTCCCTAGCATCCTGCACTGAAAATGAGGAGACTGTTCCCTTGACTCCCTGCACAGTGCCACATTAACATTTTCAGAAGCTACTGGATACACAGAAGGCTTTTCCTGACAAACAAGGACATCCAGAGATCTAATCCCTGCTGACAACTGCTTTGTGGAACTTTCTGTCCTTTTCAGACATGCCTACTTAAATCTATTCTTTAACCTCTCCTGCAACCAAATGTAGCCAATTAAAAATTGTACTTACCTTCAACAAAATGGGAAAATTACTCACAGCTACAAGGTGGCTTGATTTTAAGTAAATGAATCACATTTATATTAGCTTTAAAAATCACAATTACTATTTGCATAAGACACATCCTTCTAAGAGATCTATCAAAACAGAGCAACATTTTCCAAACGTGACAGTATTAATTTGATAGGATCTGAAAAAACAAAGCCTTTGTACTTCCCTTTTAGTGAAATTCAAAGTAATCTCTCTGAATTACATACTCTTTATATTGTTCTCAAGAGGGAGCAGAAGAAAATCTTCTTTTGGAAAATGTCATCCCCTGAGAGATCCAGGTAAGTGGGCATTCATCTTTGCAGTACAACATGAGGGGTTAAGCAAGGAGCTACACCATCCAACGGTGCCCGGCTTTCCCCCGGCTTCACTTGGATCAAGCAGCAGGGTTAATTACGTGGAACAGCCAAAAAGGTAAAGTAACTGGGTATTGACTTTTGGGGGCTGGTAATTTCTATAGTGCCTATGGCTCTAGACTTCCTAATAAGCTTTTCCTTAATCTGCTTTTGAAACTAAAGAGTCAAGAACAAAGTAAAACAATTTTTTAAAAAGAAATAAAGAAAGAAACAAGCAACATCCTCCCCACTCCCCAACATTTGGAGCTAATCATGGGGAAAATCCTTCCTATAGGCATTTGATTTTAGGTACTTGTCACATTTTCTTTCCCAACTCCACTCCACCCCACTCTATGCGTTTTTCTTGGCATGATCTCTCTCCCTTCCTTTGAGAAAATAAACTGCATTTGCTCTATATTAACACTTCAGATACAACAGCTCCCCCCAACAAAATCCTCTCTTTATCCTGGAAGGTTTAACTTGACATGTTTTTTTCCTCAGAAGAAACCAGGCTAGAAATCCCAACACTGCTCCACTAAGTAAACTCTCCTAGGAAGAGAGGATTCACATGGCATATGCAAAGCCTCCTAGATGCCAAAGAGTTGAATAAGTGGCACATGGCATATGCAAAGCCTCCTAGATGCCAAAGAGTTGAATAAGTGGCATGTGGCAGTTCCACACCTGAGTCCAAAACACATCCCTTCAAAGAGCCACCAGTGTGATGTCCTCAATAATATTCTAAAATGAATAGCATCACACTGTTTTGGACATGAAGGTGATGGTTCTGAAAGGATAGGAAGGAATGTAAAACATAATCTATTTTAAAGTATCTGGAGGCTCTACATATAATGTAACTAGGTGGTATGCCTATGCCAGATGATAAAATCTAATTTGAAAAGTCTACACATTGACATTCTCTACCAAGGTGGAGCACACACAATGCGGTGGTTTCATTCAAACTATTCAATGAAGTACTTAGGGTGAATATTGATTATGCTTAAAGTGCATTCCACAAATACTTCAAACAAACTGAGTTATTTCCTTTTTCCATGGCCAGAAACTCCCTTCGCATTTTCCTATAGGAAGCTTAAATATAAGCTCTCATATTTAAGCCTCAACTGATTCTGCAAATTGCTCAGGTTTGCCTTAGGTTCAGTGAAAGACATAACCAGTCACAAATATTTCTAAACTCCTTCTGCAGGATGTTGGCTCACAGTAACACAGCTGCACTAGAATCAAAATAACTTCTGAAGCTACTGGCTTTGCTGGACAAGATACGAATAATACATAAGCCCTATATGCAAGAAACTAGTGAGAGGAACTAGACACACATCCCTGTAAAGTTAAATAAGCAAACAAAAGTTAAAATGAGTTCCACAGAAGAGGCAGAAATTCAGTTTGATTTTTAAGGATTATGGGCCGGGCGTGGTAGCTCATGCCTGTAATCCCAACACTTTGGGAGGCCAAGGCGGGTAGCCTGAGGTCAGGAGTTTGAGACTAGATTGGCCAACATGGCGAAACCCCGCCTCTACTGAAAATACAAAAATTAGCTGGGTATGGTGGCAGGTGCCTGTAATCCCAGCTACTCAGGAGGCTGGAGGCATGAGAATCGCTTGAACCCAGGAGGCAGAGGTTGCAGTGAGCCGAGACTGCGCCACTGCACCCCAGCCCAGGTGACAAGAGCAAAACTCCATCTCCAAAAACAACAACAAAACAGATACACGATTTTAAGGATTATGTACGAGTTAGAAAAACGGAAAAGAATAAAAGAGTATTTGAAAAAGCACAGGGTGAAGAAGTACACATAGCATGAGGGTATGAAGGTACCGGGCACTCTACAAGTAGAAATGGACAAGCTTAAGTATCGCTCTAACTCTATAAGCACTCCACAAAGGAGTATTGGGGCAGGCTAAGGAGGAATATGGCACAATCTTTTGTACTGCCAATTGCTGTGTTCCTCTCATCTGAATGTGTGTCATGGTATTTTTTGTGGAATCAGCAATGGTGAAGGAGAGCTCTGGGGCAGAGTATAGAGACTCATGATCTGGGGACTGTGGGGAGGAGTCTGCAGTGTCCTGGTAGCATTCATTGGTTTCTTTCATGAAAGTGACCCCAAACATCTGATGAAGATGAAAAGGAGTTTCCCCTTTTTGCAGCCTATTCATGGCCACAAAGCACAGTGTCCTTGTTTTGTCAGAATTGACTATTTGGATCTTCCAGAGAGATCCTGTCACTAAAATGGATTCCAAGATCATTATTCCTTTGGCCAAGTCGCAAAGACCTTAAACATACTGCAGCAACCAAAGGAAGAAGAAAAAAAAAGAAATAACATAAAAGTAGGTTCCTATTTTTCTGAAGTATTATTTGGGAACTAAGTAACCTGTCACTCTCATTCTTCACCTAGGAATTAGCTCAGGCTAAGCTCTCATATTTAAGCCTCAACTGATTCTCAGGAAAACAAAACATCTGCTTAAGTTTTGCAGATGCACATGACCATCTATTTCTGAAAACAACCATAAATACTCAAACTCCGAAAGGCTTGTTTTAACCAAACATGGAATAAATGAATGATACTTCAAATACTGTATGCTCTGTGTATTTCTGGTTTTGTGGAATCTTTACCACCTATAACCTGACTAGGACTTAAGAGATGACTTTAACTCTACAATGATTCATTTAAAAATAATAAATCTAAGATACTGAGTAGGCTGTAGCAGAAAGCAAAGTGTCAGAGGCAAAGTTAAGCCATGGGGAAAAATTCTGAAAGCATGCAGCCCAGGCTAAGAGTATGATGATTAGCTTATACATCTAAACAAAGATGTCCTATTGGCTCCAAGTAGCCTCAGCCTCAATAATTTCTTATCTCCAAACTCTGCCCGACAAATTCAATTCACCAGAATTATCCTGATTACCAGTAACAACACACCAGATTCTATATCAAATATTTTCCTACCTAAATTTCCTCCATAGTTCCATCCTCTTTCTGCCCACTACAGTGTTCCAATTCTTTAAAAAAAATTTTTTTTATTTTTTGAGTGTTCCAATTCTTAAAATTCCATTAAGAAGGCAAATACCCCCAAATAAATGAATAAAATATTAATCAAATTCTCTATATGTCAGTCAGACCAACTAAACGGGTATCACAATGTCACCAAATTAAAACACCATTCAGTGTTTCATTATATTTGTGTTACGTTTGCAGAATGATTTTAATTCTTTAAGAGTCCTTTCCCATCTAAAACTTCATTTAACTATCACAAATAAGCCTGTGAGTGTAAGGAAGATATTAACATTGGAGAAAACCAGAGATGCAATGACATGGTAAGATCCAGACATCACTCTTCCAAGTCTTTCCTTGCTAGATCTTTCCAGATGATGGGAAGGTTAGGAGAGGGCAGCAGGAGAGAAGCTCTGAGTGACTTCATCTAAATCAAGTAGCCCTGGTGTTCCTGCTATGGTAAGAGATTATGGCAAATTTGTTTTAACAAATGATGACAACAGTTATCTCTCTTCCTCTCTTCCAAATTCACCCAACACACACACACACACACACACACACACACACACACACACTTAGCCAAAGAATACTTCAGAACATTAAAATAACTGGCAGACTTAATTTTCCATTTTGTCCTTCCACAGCTATTTTTTAAAAAATCCTTTTGAGATATAATTTATATACCATAAAATTCACCCTTTTAAAATGTACAATTAAGTGGTTTTTGGTATACAGTTATGTAACCATCACCACTATCTAATTCCAGTATATCACCACCCTAAAAAGAAACCTCATACCCACTAGTAGTCACTCCCCATTATCCTCTACCCAGGCCCTGGCAACCACTAATCTACTTTTTCTCTATGGATTTGCCTATTCTGGACATTTCAAACAAATTATGTGGTCTTTTGTGACTGGCTTCTTATCATTTACCATATTTTCAAGGTTCATCTGGGTTATAGTATGTGTCGGTATTTCATTCCTTTCTAGGCTGAATAATATTCCATCGTATGGATATACCACCTTCTGTTTATCCATTCATCAGATGACAGATATTAGGGTTATTTCACTTTTTGGCTATTGTGACTAATGCTGCTATGAACATATGTACATGTTTTTGTGTAGATATGTGCTTTTATTTCTATTGGGTATATACATATTTACAAGTAGAATTGCTAGGTTCTATGGGAAATACATGTTCAACATTTTGAGAGGCAGACAAACTATTTTCCTAAGTAGCTGTACCATTTTACAATCCCAACAGCAATGAATGAGGGTTCCAATTTCCCCATACCCTCACTAACACTTGTTATTTTCTGTCGCATTATTATAGCCATGCAGTGTGTATAAAGTGGTATTTCATTGTGGTTTTCATTTGCATTTCTATAATGACTAATGATGTTGAGCATCTTCATGTGCTAACTGGCCATTTATACATCTCCTTATAGAAATGTCATTTCAAATCATCCCGTTTTTATTGGGATTTTTGTTCCTTGTATTATTGGGTTGTGAGAGGTTTTTTAAAAAAAATTCTGGATGCAAGTCCTCTAACAAATAAATGATCTGCAAATATCTTCTCCCATTTAGTGGGTTGTTTTTTTACTTCCTTAATGGTATCATTTTGCACCACAGAAGTTTTCAATTTTGATGAAGTCTATTTTCTCTTTTGTCACTTGTGCCTCTAGTGTTATACCTAAAAGATCATTTGACTAGTCCAAGACCAAGACCATGAAGGTTTACACCTGTTGTCTTCAGAGTTTTATTGTCGTAACTCCTACATTTAGGCCCTTCCCAAAGTGCTGTGAAAATATACTTCTGAGGCCAGGCGCAGTGGCTCACGCCTGTAATCCCAGCACTTTGGGAAGCCGAGGTGGGGGGATCACGAAGTCAAGAGATTGAGACCATCCTGGCCAATATGGTGAAACCCTGTCTCTACTATAAATACAAAAATTAGCTGGGCATGGTGGCACGTGCCTGTAGTCCCAGCTACTCGGGAGGCTGAGGCAGAGGAATCACTTGAACCCAGGAGGCGGAGGTTGCAGGGAGCCAAGATCGTGCCACAGCACTCCAACCCAGCAACAGAGTGAGACTCCATCTCCAAAAAAAAAGAAAAAGAAAATATACTTCTGAATTCTCGATTCTATTCCATAGTCCATCCTTATGCAGGCTCCACACTGTTTTCATTACTGTTGCTTTGCAGTAAGTTTTTTTTCCCCACTGAAATTTTTTTTTTCGGTTTTCCAGTATTTATCATATACTGAAAAATCCTTTGTTGCTTAGTACATTATTTCAATGTGCACTTGGTAAGGATAGTGATTTTTTATATTAACAGTCAAAATCTAGTTTGACCAGTTAGTCAAATATTCAATCGTTTTCATTATTTCCATGCATGATATTTTTTAATGCCTGTGGGACATTTTAATTATGAATATTGGTTTATTACAAAACAAGGACAGTGTTCTTGCTAGCATGAATCAATTAAGTTATCAACATGATTGTGCTACCACTTTATATTCTTTTGTCCTCTACCCATGCCTCCCAAACCCCACCCCCCGGCTCCAACCATTCCCAGCCTCTGTAACTACCATTCTACACTCTATCTTCATGAGATCCACTTTTTAAGCTCCCACATATGAATGAGAAGATGTGATATTTCTATCCGGGCTTGGTTTATTTCACTTAACATTATGGGCTCCAGTTCC
This sequence comes from Homo sapiens, assembly GCF_000001405.40. Classification (NCBI taxonomy): domain Eukaryota; kingdom Metazoa; phylum Chordata; class Mammalia; order Primates; family Hominidae; genus Homo; species Homo sapiens. The sequence goes on along the minus strand of NC_000010.11, from coordinate 72,778,384 downwards.
ATCCATGTTGCTGCAAATGACAGGATTTCATTCCTTTTTAAGGCTGAGTAATATCCCATTGTGTATATATACCACATTTTCTTTATCCTTTCATCCATTGATGGGCACTTAGGTTGATTCCATATCTTGGTTATTATGAATATTGCTGCATTAAACATAGGAGTGCAGATAACCCTTAAAAATATTGATTATCTTTCTTTTGGCTATATACCCAGTAGTGAAATTGCTGGATCATATGGCAGCTCTATTTTTAGTTTTTTGAGGAAACTCCATATTGTTCTCCATAGTGGCTGTAGTAATTTACATTCCCAAGAACAGTTTACGAGGGTTCCCTTTTCTAGACATACTCATCAATATTTGTTACTGTCATTTTTAATACAAAACATTTTAACTGGGATGAAATGATATCTCATTGTGGTTTTGATTTGCATTTCTCTATTAGTGATGCTGAGCATTTTTCACACACCTATTTGGCCATTTGTATGTCTTCTTTCAAGAAATGTGTTTGAATCTTTTGCCCACTGTATAGATTATTTGTTATTCTGCTATTGGGTTGTTTGAGCTCTTATATATTCTGGTTACTAATCCCTTGTCAGATGCACGTATTTTCTCCCATTCTCTATGTTGTCTCCTTACTAGGTTGACTGTTTCCTTTGCTGTGCAGAAGCTTTTTAACTTGATGTAATTCCATACCTATTTTTGCTTTTGGTTGCCTGTGCTTTTGAGGTCTAACCCAAAAAATCTTTGCCTAGACCAGTGCCCTGGAGGGTTTCCCCAAGATTTTATTCTGGTAGTTTCACAGTTCCAGGTCTTAGATTTAAAGCTTTAATACATTTTGATGTGAATTTTGTGAATGGAGAGAGTTAGGGGTCTAGTTTCGTTCTTCTGCATATGGTTATCTAGTTTTCACAGTACCATTTATTGGAAAGACTGTCCTTTCCCCATTGTATGTTCTGGTTCCTTTGTCAAAGATCAGCTGGCTGTAAATGCATGGACTGATATCTGGATTCTCAACTCTGTTCCATTGGTCTATGTGTCTGCTTTTAAGCCAGTATCACGCTATTTCGCTTACTGTAGCTTTAGAGTAAATTTTGATGTCAGGTAGTGTCTCCAGCTTTGCTCTTTTTGCTCAGGATTGCTTTGACCATCCAAGGTCTTTTGTAATTCCATATGAATTTTAGAATTTTTTTCCCTATTTCTGTGAAGGATATCATTGGTATTTTGATAGGGATTGCACTGAATCTGTAAATTACATCAAGTAGTACTGTCATTTGAAAAATATTAATTCTTCCAATTCATTAGCATGGAATATCTTTCTGCTTTTTTGCATCTTCTTCAGTTTCTTTCATCAGAGTTTTATAGTTTTCCTTGATCTTTTACTTATTCAGTTAGATTAACTCCTAGGTATTTCATAGCTATTATAAGTGGGATTGCTTTCTTGATTTCTTTTTCAGATTGTTTGCTGTTAACATATATAAATGCTACTGATTTTGTATGTTGATTTTGTATCCTGCAATTGTACTAAACTCATTTATCAGTGTTAACAATTTTTTGTGGAGTCTTTAGGTTTCTCTAGGTATGAGATCATGTCATCTGTGAACAAGGCTAATTTGACTTCTTTCTTTCCAATTTGGATGCCCTTTATTTCTTTATCTTGCTTAATTGCTCTGGCCAGGACTTCTAGTATTATGCTGAATAACAGTGGTAAAAGTAGCCATTCTTATCTTCTTCCACTCCTAAGAGAAAAGGCTGTCAATTTCTCCCCATACAATATGATGTTAGCTATGAGTTTGTCATTTATGGCCTTTATTATTTTGAGGTATGCTCCTTCTATACCCATTTTGATGAGGGCTTTTATCATAAAGGGGTGCTGAATTTTATCAAATGATTTTTCAGCATCTGTTGAAACAATGATGTGGTTTTTGTTAACTCTGTTAATGTGATATATCATGTTTATTGATTTGCATGTGTTGAATCATTCTCTTATATCACTGGAATGAATTTCACTTGATCATGGTGAATGATCTTTTTAATGTGTTGTTGAATTTGGTTTCCTGGTATTTTGTTGAGGATTTCTGCATCTATGTTCGCCAATAATACTGGCCTGTACTTTTCTTCTTTTCTTGGGTCCTTATCTGTTTTGGTATCAGGGTAATCCTGGCCTCATAGAATAAGGTTGAAAGTATTATCTCCTCTTCAATTTTTTTTTTTTTTAAGAGATAGGGTCTCACTCATGTTGCCCAGGTTGTAGTGCAGTAGTGCAATGATAGCTCACTGCAGCTTCAAACTCCTGGGCTCAAGCAATCCTCCCACCTTAGCCTCCCACATAACTGGGGCTACAGGCACATGCCACCAAATCCAACTATTTTTTAAAACTGTTTTTGTAGAGACAGGGTCTCACTATGTTGCCCAGGCTGGTCTCAAATTCCGAGTCTCAGGGGATCCTCCCACCTCAGCCTCCCAAAGTGCTAGGATTACAGGTATGAGTCACTGCACCTGGCCCAATTTTATTACAGCTTCTATTTCATTACTCATGATCGGTTTGCTGAGGTTTTACATTTCTTCGTGGTTCAATCTTGGTAGGTTGTACGGTATCCAGGAATTTATCCTTTTCTTCTAGATTTCCCATTTTGGTGGTGTATAGTTCTTCAAAATAGTCTCTAACCATTCTTTGTATGTCTGAGGTTTCAGTTATTCCTCCTTTTTCATTTTTTATTTTATTTGGGTCTTCTCTCCTTTGTAGACTAGCTAAAGATTTGTTGATATTGGTTATCTTTTTAAAAGAACAACTTCTTGTTTCATTGTTCTTCTGTGGAGTTTTTTTGGTTTCGATTTCATTTATTTCTACTTTGATCTTTATTTCTTTCCTACTACTAATTTTGGGTTTGGTTTGGTCTTCCATTTCTAGTTCTTTGAGGTGCGTTGTTTACTTAAATTCTAATTTTCTTTTTTGATAGAAGTGTTTATCATCATAAACTTCCCTCTTAGTAAGGCTTTTACAGTATCCCATAGATTTTGGTATGTTATATTTTCCATTTTCATTTGTTTCAGGAAACTTTTTAATTTTCCTAATTTTTTCATTGGCCCATTGGTCATTCAGGAGCATGTTGTTTAATTTCCATGTGTTTGTGTATTTTCCAGGGTCCTTCTGTTATTGATTTCTAGTTTTATTCCGTGTGGTCAGAAAAGATACTTGATATTATTTCTGTTTTTTAAAAATTTCTTCAGACTTGTTTTGTGGCCTAAGGGAGACTCTATTCTAGAAAACGTTTGATGTGCTAATGAAAAGAATGTGTATTCTGCAGCATTTGGGTGAAATGTTCTGTAAATATCAAGTCTATTAGATCTAGTGTGTAGTTTAACTCAGATGTTTCTTGATTTTTCTGTCTGGATGATCTGCCCATTACTGAGACTGTGGTGTTAAAGTGCCCTACTATAGTTGTATTGTAGTCTGTATTTCCCTTTAGATCTACTAACATTGGCTTTACACACTTAAGTGCTCCAGTATTGGGTACATAGACATTTATAATATAATTGGTATATCTTCTTGCTGAATTGATCTATTTATCTTATATGGTGCCCTTCTTTGTTTCTTTTTACAGTCTTAGATTGGTAGTCTATATTATTCAATATAAGTATAGCTACTCCTACTCTTTTTTGGTTTCCAGTTGCATGGAATGTCTTATTCCACCCTTCACTTTCAGCTTATGTGTGACTTTATTAGTGAGGTGGGTTTCTTGAAGGCAGCATATAGTTGGGTTTTGTTTCTTTATCCATGGAGCCACTCTATGCCTTTTAATTGGAGAACTGACAATACTACCTTCAGTGTTATTATTAATAAGTAAGGACTCACGACTGCCATTTTGTGGCTTATTTTCTGATTGTTTTGAACCACTTTTCTTCCTGTCTTCCTTTGTGGTTAAGTGACTTTCCCTAGTAATCTGTTTTTAATTTGTTGTGTTTTTAGTAAGTCTATTATAGGTTTTTGTACTCTGGTTACCATGAGGCTTACAAAAAACATCTTACAGACATAAGAAGCTATTTTAAAGAGATGAGAACTTAGATCAAAAATACACAAACAAAGGTAAAACAAAAAAAGAATTCTATGCTTTAACTCCATCTCCTCCACATTTTGACTCAATTTACATTTTTAATATTACCTACATTACCTATCTCTTAACAGGTTGCTGTAGCTATTATTGTTTTTGATAGATGTGATTTTGGGCTTCATATTAGAGTTATAAGTGTACTGCACACCACAATTGCAGTAAGAGTATTCTGTATTTGCCTGTGTACTTAATTTTACCAGTGGATTTTATATGTTGAAAAGTTTATGTTATATGTTGAAAAGTTTTCCTTTAGCACGTTAGTGGTTTGTTGGTTTATGTTTTCTTTCAGATTGAAGAATTCCCTTTAGCATTTCTTGTAAGATGGGTCTGGTGGTGGTGAATTCTCTCAGCTTTTGTTTGTCTGGGAAACGCTTTGTTGCACCTTAATTTCTGAAAGACAATTTTGCAAAATATTCTTGGGTGGCAGTTTTTTCCTTGAGAATTCTGAAAATGTCATTATACTCCCTCTTGGCCTATATGGTTTCCACTGAGAAGTCTGTTGCCAGACCAATTGGAGTTCCTTTATATGTTATCTGCTTCTTTTCTTTGCTGCTTTTAGGATCCTCTTTCTGTTCTTAACTTTTGAGAGTTTATTATATGCCTTGAGGTAGTTTCATCTGGGTTTAATCTGTTTGGCACAGACTTTCCTGTGCCTGGATATTTCTATCTTTTTCAAGTTTTAAAAAATTACCTGTTATTATTTCTATGAATAAGCTTTCTATCTTTCCTCTTGCTCAGCTCCCTCTTGAACACCAGTAAGTCTTAAATTTTGCCTTTTGAGGTAATTTTCTATATCTTATATACAGTCTTTGTTCCTTTTCATTCTTTGTTCTGCACTGACTGTATATTTTCAAATAGCCCATCTTCAAGTTCACTATTTTCTCTGCTTGATCCATTCTGCCATTGAGAGCCTCCACAGAGTTTTTTCAGTTAAGCAAATGTGTTTTTCATTTCCAAGATTTCTGTGGGTTTTTTCTTTAATTATTTCAATCTCTTTGTTAAATTTCTCTGATAAATTTCTGAACTGCTTTTCTTTGTTATTTTGGAGATCACTCAGTTTCCTTAAAATTGCTATTTTGTGCCAGGTATGGTGGCTCATGCCTATAATCCCAGCACTTTGAAAGGCTAAGGTAGGAGGAACACTTGAGCCCAGGAATTCAAGACCAGCCTGGCCAACATGGTGGGACCATCTCTACAAAATATTCAAAAATTAGCCAGGTGTTGTGGCATGTTCCTGTAGTCCCGCCTACTAAGGAAGCTGAGGTGAGAGGATTGCCTGAGCCTGGGAGGTTGAGGCTACAGTGAGCCACGGTCGTGCCACTGCACTCCAGCCTAGTGACAAGGAAAGACCGTGTCTCAAAACAAACAAACAAACAAACAAAACCTGCTATTTTGAATTCTTAATCAGAAAGCTCACAAACTGCCATCTTGTTAGGGTCAGTCACTGGATTTTTGCTTTGTCCTTTTGGGAAGGTCATGATTTCCTGTTGTTTCTTATGGGTATACCTTCTATGTCTTTGAAGGATTTGTTATTTTGGTTTTTTCTATCTGGCTTGTTTTGATTTTGTTTTGTTTTGAGACAGAGTCTCACTCTGTCACCCACCAGGCTGGAGTGCAGTGGCACGATCTCAGCTCATTGCAACCTCTGCCTCCCAGGTTCAAGCAATTCTCGTGCCTCAGGCTCCTGAGTAGCTGGGATTACAGGTGTGCAGAACCACGCCCAGCTAATTTCTGTGTTTTTAGTAAAGACAGGGTTTTGCCATGCTGGCCAGGCTGGTCTTGAACTGCTGGCCTCAAGCAATCTGCCCACCTTGACCTCCCAAAGTGCTGGGATTGCAGGCGTGAGCCACTGCACCCAGCCTTGTTTTGATTTTTATTAGATGTATCTGCTTAGTGAATCAATATTGCTAAGTCACTGCCTCCTTTTCAGCTCTAGGAAATGATCAAACCACTGCCTAATCTGAATAGGGGAGGTCCCAAAGGGATTATCCCAGCAGTGTGTCAAGGCTGGCTAGGAGTTTGTGCCCATGGGACTTATGGAACATACCTCCTACAGCATGGTGCTGCTGAACAGCCACTATGATTTGGCATTTCCTTTGACTGAGTAACAGAGCAGTTTTCAGGGCTGAGGATGGTAGTCCCACCTCCCCACTTTGTCTCTGCCTGTCCTCAGGCATTTTCTCCCTTCAGGCAGTCACTGTGCTTCCCACAGGTTAAGGCAAGGACAAGTCTCCCGACAGGGAACCCAAGATGGTGGGGAAGTTCGCTGACTACCTCAGCCTCACTGTTTCCAGTGTAGAAGCCATGAGTTGGAAGGAGATTTTACAAACTATTTGTCCTGGGTAGAATGGGGTGGTGGGGCAATGAAGATGTGGAAGTCTGATTCTCCTACTGTCTGCTTAAAATTTTTCACTTCTCTGTGGCCCTACTGGGGCCAGTAGTGGGGAGGAGGGCAAGGGGAGGGAGAGCATTAGGACAAATAGCTAATGAATGCAAGGCTTAAAACCTAGACGATAGGTAGATAGGTGCAGCAAACCACCATGGCACACGTATGCTTATGTAACAAACCTGCACATTCTGCACTCATATCCCAGAACTTAAAGTGAAATTTTAAAACATAAAAATAAAAAATGAAGCTTCCAAGGCACTGGGATGACATTCTAAGTGTTGAAACAACAAAAAAGGTGTCCACCAAAAATCTTATATTCAGCAAAGTGGACTTTAAAAATGAAGGCAGATTATAAATCAGTCTACTATAAAGACACATGTACATCTATGTTTATTTCAGCACTATTCACAATAACACAGACTTGGAGTGAACCCAAATGCCCATCAATGATGGACTGGTTGAAGAAAATGTGCACATATACACCATGGAATACTATGCAGCCATAAAAAAGGATGAGTTTGTGTCCTTTACAGGGACATGGATAGAGCTGGAAACCATCATTCTTAGCAAACTAACACAGGAATAGAAAACCAAACACCACATGTTCTCACTCATAAGTGGGAGTTGAACAATATGGACACAGGGAGGGGAACATCACACATTGGGGCCTGTCAGGGATTAGGGGGCTAGGGGAGGGATAGCATTAGGAGAAATACTTAATGTAAAATGACGGGTTGATGGGTGCAGCAAACCATCATGGCACATGTATACCTATGTAACAAACCTGCATGTTCTGCACATGTATCCCAGAACTTAAAGTATAATAATAATTTTTTAAAAACCATGAAGGCAGATAAGACATCCCAAGATAAAAACTGAAAGAATTTCTTGCTAGCAGATCTGCATTACAAGAAATAGTAAAGAAAGCTATTCAGGCTGAAAACACATGACCCCGAAAAGTAATTCAAATACAAAGGAAAAAAAACGAAGAGTTCCAGTAAAGGCAATTATAGTTATAAAAGACAGTACAAATGCATATTTCTATATTAACTATTTAAAAAGCAATTATATAGGATAATATATATATAATTGTACTACTGGGTCTATAACATTTAGGAATGTAATATATTTGACGCTATCAGAACAAAGAAAGTAAGTAGAGGCAAACATGAATTGAAGTAAGGAAACAATACCAAAAGGTAACTTGAAAGCACAGAAACAAATGAAGACAACCAGAAATGGTAAATAAGAAGGTGAATATTAAACTCTATAAAAAATCCTTGCTCTCCATATTTCTCTTGGTGTCTTTAAAAGGTGTAAAATTATGCAAAGTACCATTTATAACATTGTTAGGTTTGTAACATATATACCTATAATATTTAATAATAATAGCACTGAGAAAATGTAATAGCACAAAAAAGAAAGAGGAAATAGAGATAAATTGGAGCAACTTTTTGATATTTCACATGAATTGAGTTAGTACAAATCTGAAGTGGATTTTGGTAAATTAAGATGTATATGATAAACCCTAGAGCCCAGTAAGAAAACAATCTTTAAAAATAGTGGAAAAAAATCATTAGAGGAATTTAAATGTTACATTAGAAAATATTCACATAATGCAAAAGAAAGCAGTGAGGGAAAAGAGAGGTATAAAAATATAAGACATCACATGCTAGGCCATAAAGCAAGCCTCAATAAATTTAAAAGGATTGAAATAATAAAGTATGCTCTCTGATCACAATGAAATAAAATTAGAAATCAGTGACAGAAGTAAATTTGGTAAATTCATAAATATGTGGAAATTAAACAACACACTACCAATAACCAATGTAAGAAAGAAAAAAAACCACAAAGGAAAAATAGAAAACGATTTTGAGATGAATGAAAATGAAGACACAATATAACAAAACTTACGGGATGCAGCTAAAGTGGTGCTCAGATGGAAATTTATAGTTGTAAATACCTATATTTTAAAAGATCTCACATCAATAACCAAAACACCGACCTAACACCACACAATGTATGATTCCATTACAGAAATGTCCACAGTAGGTAAATCCACAGAAACGAAAAGTAGCTTACTGGTTGCCTAGGGCTGGAAGGATTGTGGGGAAATGAGAAATGACTGCTAATGGGTATGGGGTTTCCTTCTGGGGTGATGAAAATGTTCTAAACTTGATTGTGGTAAAGGCTGTACAACTGTGATTATACTAAAAACCATTGAAATGGGTTACATTTTAAATGGGTGAATTGTATGGTTTGTAACTGCATTTTATAAGGCTGTTAAAATCAACACACTTCTACAGCCAGGCACAGTGGTACATGTCTGCAATCCCAGCTACTCAGGAGACTGAGGCAAGAGTATCACCGGAGCCCAGGAGTTCAAGACTGGCCTCAGCAACATAGAGATCTTGTCTCAAAAAACAAACAAAAATGAAAAATAAATAAAATAGTATGTTTCATCAATATTAAAACCTTTCCTCCCCATATTTAACATGGATGAAACCAAGATGCATCTACCTGCAGTGGAATCTCTGACAGCAAAGCAGCAGTTGTAACACAGTTGTCATTGTTTGTGTGAGCAAGAACTCGGTTTTATTCTTCATGGCATAACTGGTTACCTAAAACCCTTTGACAACAAACCACTTAAGGTTCATTTTAGGAAGAAATAAAAGTCATGTTGCTCAGACATTCCACTGACACTAAGATCAAGAAAGTTCCAGGACCAAAAACTACAAAATGGCTGGGCATGATGGCTCACACCTGTAATGCCAGTGCTTTGAGGAGGGAGGATCACTTGAGCCCAGAAGGTAGATACCAGCCTGGGCAACATACCAAGACTATATCTCTTAAAAGAAAAAAAAAAAATTAGCTGTGCATGGTGGTGCATGCCTGTAGTCCTAGTTACTCAGGAGGCTGAGGCAGGAGGATCACCTGAACCCAGGAATTCAAAGTTACAGTGAGCTATGATTGCACCACTGCACTCCAGCCTGGGCAACAGAGCAAGAAGACCCTGTTTCAAAAACAAAAACCATGCATAACATGTGTCAGCGGCTTGGAATAGAACTCCTGAGACAATTTAAATGTCTAAAAGTTGTATCTAATTTTTTTTAAAAAACTAAGTTTTTCAATAAGCATAAAATAAGAAATTGCATGACAAAGCATTGTCATCTTAACTGTAATTTTTCTTACTGCTAATAAATAACAGTGTCTTACAACTGATGGCATCTTAGAGGCAATGAAATATGGTACAATATATTAGTAATGACAATCAAAGTGAATGGACTAACCTCACCATTTAAGAGGTTGAAACTATCATCATGCTAACTTAGTTCTATGCAACCTTCTGAGCCTATTTTGCAACCACTGTATAGATACACAATATTACAAAAGAGGTTTGATAACTTCACTACTTAGCATAGTGTTCAAGACTGATTTGCCTAATTCTAATTTACTGGAATTCTAACATGAATATTAAATCCTAAATTGACTGAGATTATATAAATGTTTTTAAAAACAAGAAATAAATTTCCAGAAGCCTTTGTGTAGTTCTTCAGAATCTTATTGACTACAAACCATATGTCTATCTCAAAACCTAGGCAAAATGGATTAATAAAATACCAAAATGACTTCATAGTCAGTAGTTCCACCTAAAATTCCAAGGATTGCAGAAACAGAATTTAAGAAAGATTCTATGACAATTTTATTTTATGCAAAAATTAATGCAACTTCTTTTTTTAAAAAAGTCTTTTGTTTGTTTTTTTGTTTTTTTTGTTTTCCTCTCTGGTTCAAAGATAACTGCTCGTTGTTTCATGAGCCTTTTTTATTCGCCTTGGAAACTCTTCATCTTAATAGATAGTACAAGTCATTTTAAGAATCTTGACATTTTCTATGTTCCCTCAAATATTGTTTTTCCAAGTTGATCTGATCATCTAACATCTGCCTAAATTAAAAGAGCCTAACAAGATGAAGATGAAACAACCAGTAAAATTTATCCCAAAATTAAACTCCTGTCTATTCATACATTCCCTTTTCATTCCTATAAGACTGTGAATTATTATTTCATTTTACAGATCAGAAAACTAAACTTCAGAAATCTTAAGTGACCAAACCTTTTGACCAAAGTCATCCCCCCAAAAAGGGAAAGACTCAGCACTCAAACACAAATCTTAAATCCTTAATTTCTGTCCCTTATAAATTCATCAGAACCTAACACGCAGAGACAAGAGAGCTGAAATGGGTCAGGCGCAAAGAATTGTGCCTGTAATCCCAGCACTTTGGGAGGCTGAGGCTGAAGGATCACTTGAGCCCAGGGGTTCAAGACCAACCCAAGCAACATAGTGAGACCTCATCTCTACAAAAAAAATTAAAACACAGTTAAATTAAATTAAATTAAATTAAATACAAAAGAGCTGAAATGAACCTATTTGATATTACAAACCATAAATATAGTCAAATCAAAATATTTTCATTCTCCTCACAAGACTTCCGAGTCCTTTTTCAACAAGCAAGAACTCACATAGTCCTATGTAATCTCTGAGCCTCTATAATACCTGTGTCTCAGTTTTCTTAACTATGAATTGCAGCTAAGACCTTTCCTAGGCAACTTCAGAAACGAGAAGATCATGACAGACAGCAGAAAGGAAATTATTTTAATTTGGAAACTCCTGAAGTCTTAAACCAAAGTAATCCATTAAAATAAAAAAAAAGACATGAAATCATCCTTTTCACAAAATAACGAAAAGACAAATAAATCATAATTCTTATATACAGACTCTAAAACTAATTTTTAATGACAGAAGACAGGTAACTTTGCAAAGCAGCACAAGGGAACTTATAGAATGATAAAAATGTTCTATATTTTATTGTGGTAGAAGTCACATACAATTGTCAAACTTATTACTTGTACACTTAAAATAGGTTTAAATTCGTTAAAGTTGATTTTAAAAAGATTGAAAGATACAAAATCAAAGCTAGATCCTGTAGAAGCAGTTCTCCCCACAAGAACAATCTCTTCTGAGTATTATTTTTCATACCTACTCATCTTTGGGAAATGAAATTTATTTAAATCAGAAGGAATAAACAGTTTAATAAATAAAAGTTCATTTGAAGACTGACAGAGCGTTAAACAACCTGGCTTTCAATCATAATTGATCAATAAGTATCAGAAATACAGGATCAGAAGGCTATGAAGTACCAATTTTACACAGAGAGAAATGCAAGTACCAAGAAATGGGCTATGACTTTGAATGGTCAGTTTTAATACCCTCGCCACAAGATTCTGCAATCTCCTAAAGTACAGATGAGAAAGGAATTTTTTTTAGTTAAAGGTAAAATTGAAAAATATTCAAGGGTTCTAGTAGTCCAAGCAGCTCTAAGGTACAGATTTCTAATTCATGACTTCAATGATCTATGTGTAATGAATAAACATAGGTTGTCTTTTTCTTGCATATTTTGTACTTAGCAATATATAAAGGCCATTAAAAGAAAAGCTGATATCTGAACTGCAGAGACTGTGGCAAACCTTGACTTTTGCCATAAATTGCTAATGCTAATTAAGACACGTTGGGTTTAATCTGAGATTCAAGAAAATCTAGTCTTGTCATACTTATACTATAAAAAGAAAGACAAGAAAAAAGAGCCACACAAAAGGTACTTGAAATTTGCAACTTTCTCTTAACTTTATTCCAATTGATATGAATGTCAAGAAATGAAAAACAGTCAGTCATGGTGGCTCACGCCTGCAATCCCAGCACTGTGGAAGGCCATGGTGAGAGGACTGCTTGAGGCCAGGTGTTCAAGACTAGCCCGCAAAACAGTGAGACCCCCACATCTCTACAAAAAATTTAAAAATTAGCTGGGTGTGGTGGCACATGCCTGTAGTCCCAGCTACTCAAGAGGCTGAGTCAAGAAGATCAGTGGAGCCTAGGAGGTCAAGGCTGCAGTGAGTTATGATCTCGCCATTGCACTCCATGTCTTCCAGCCTGGGAGCAAGATTCTGACTCAAAAAAAAGAAAAAGAAAATAAAATAAAAGAAAATAGTCATCTGAATTGTTTTTATTCTGTCGAGTTTCTTTCTTTTTTTTTTTTTTTTTTTTTTGAGACAGCGTCTGGCTTTGTTACCCAGGCTAGAGTGTAGATCATAACTCACTGCAGCATCAACATATTGGGCTTAAGCAATCCTCCTGCCTCAGCCTCTGGAGTAGCTGGCACCAGAGATACGTGCCACCATGCCTGGCTATATTTCTTATTTTTTGTATAGATGGAGTCTTGCTATGTTATCCAGGCTAGTCTTGAACTCCTGGGCACAAGCTATCTTCCTGCCTTTGCCTTCCAAAATGCTGGGAATACAAGTGTGAGTCACCATGCCCAGACTTATTGCTTATTCTTCCTGGAGGTATTTGCCTTAATAATATCTATAATAGAAAGCCCTACAGATTATTAAAATAATAATCTTTGAAATATAAAACATGACCTAGGAAATAACAACTTTATAGAAGGAGGTAGCATAAAGAAGAACAAAAGGCTAATAAAACCTTTCCCTTCTACTCATTACCCTCTTCTATCATCTCCTCTTTTATAGTACTTCTTACGAAACCATTTATAGATTTTGCAACATTTTATGGGCAAAACTATTTTAATTAATACATTTCTAAACAATCAAATAGTTGTAAATTAACTGCACTATGCTATCAACAACTGAATTTATAGACCGAGGTTAAGGGCCAAAACACAAAAATCTTTTCATTAAAACTCTTGTTCTACATGCCCTAACTCTCTCTTTTTTTTTTTTTTTTTTTAAGAGATGGGGTTCACCATGTTGCCCAAGATGTTCTTGAACTCCTGGGCTCAAGCGATCTGCCCACCTCGGCCTCCCAAAGTGCTGAGATTACAGGCACAAGCCATTACTCCCGGCCCTCTAATATTTAATTCTTTATAAGGGCAAAAATCACATCAATATAAGTCGTATGTTTTCCTGTTCTATAAATATGTGGTCATTAATGAATCTATTTAGTGGCTTTCTCAAAGTATTTACAGTTAACTTGTGCTATAGAAATTCAGACCATTCCCTGATAAATCCTATTCTCTTAATATAGCCAAAAGTCATATACATCTACTCAGAACTTCATGGCAATTACATTTCTTAGTTACTCTGAGTAGACTGCAGCCCATATCTCAATTAGAAATATTAAAATTATAACCCCAAATCTGTTTAGGGGAATGTAATACTTTAAATCCAAATTGTAATTCTTCCCTACTGCATAGTCTTCCCAATGAAAAAGTATAATCACCATTTAAACATTTTATAGTTTTAGCAGTGTAATGTAAGAACTCTTAATTCATCTGGTAAACAACATATTTGGGCACATGTGCTCAAATGTTATGTTACCTTTTAGCTACTGGACCAACCACAGAATCATCTTTCAAAATAGCTAGAATTCCTAGGTATGCAATACATTAGAATGCTGCAAAACCACAAGGTTTTTTTAATACCAGGTCTACACACAAATTCCACTCCCAACCAGTAACTATGTCCCTGGAATGTTTCTGATATCTTCAAATAACAAGTTCCTTCTGCAGACAAGATTACACTGTCCATTAAATTGAATAATGGGCTATTTGGAAAGCCAGAAACTGGCTCAATCACCACAGCAAAATGAAGAAGAAAGTAAACTGGAATGGACTTGTACAATGCCTTAATTTCTTAAATCATTTAGTGGAACTGAAAGCCACAGGACAAGGAAAGACAAAACATGTGTCCAGTCAACATTATGTAAATGTGAAGGGGATGCTAAAGGAAATAAAGTCAGCTCCTAAGAAGGGAAAATATAACAGTTCAACCTAAACTGTTCTGCTTATTTACTGATGGTAAATGGCTACTTTTAGAGAAAAAAAATAGAAATTTAGGCTGACTTTAATCAAGGTTCATTCTTTGGTTGAGCACATGCGTGTGTGTGTGTGGAAGGGGAGTGTGAAGGGGAGAGTATTAATATTACCTTACACCTCTCATAGCTTTCTTTCTGTATTTTCCTATCTCTGATGGTATGACTCAGTCACCTAAGCCAAAAACTTAATCAGCTGAATTATATATAAAGATACCTGAACTATATAGTAAAAGCCTTTTCAGTCTCTTTACCGCCAGCCTATTCCCCCTCCAGACAGCTGAATATGATCTACCTAAAGTGAAATCTAATCAAGTCACTCGCCAGTTTCAAATCCTTCAATGTCATGCCACTGTCTACAGGATAAACTGAAGCTGTAAAGCACAGTATGCAAAGTCCCACCATAATCAAACCTTTCTCTCCATCCCTACTCATCCCCAAGCTACCATTTCATACTACATTTTTACTGATTTGTGATTCTTTAAAAAATAAAAATTAATGTTAAAACCCATTCTTTTTCACACCTCTATATATACTCATGTAGCTCCCCTTAGCTCAAATGCCTTTCCCTCACTCATTTGACACCCAGCCAGCAGCCACTCATACTCCCGCTTCACCCAGTTTGAGACCCAGCTGATCTGCTCCTCGAAGCTTTTCCTGGGCTCCTAAACTGGGTTAGGTGCCAGACTCTTTGATATTTCCTTAGTATGGTAGGTGAAATAAGGACCCCAAAATGTGTCCATGCCCTAATCCTCAAAATTAGTGAATATGTTACCTTACGTGGCAAAAGGAACTTTACAGATGTGGCTAAGGACTTTGATGTAAAAATGAAAAAGTTTGCACCCAGGATTATCCAGGTGGGCACAATCTAATCACAGTTATTTAATCAATTAAAATCAGAAAACCTGTTCCAGCTCCAGAGAACCAGAGAGATGGCAGCCTGAAAGGAACAGAAAACACTAGCTTTGAAGATGGAGAAAAAAATCATGAACCAAGGAAATGTGGGTAGTCTCCAGAAACCAGAAAAGGCAAGGAAACAGATTCTGCTCTCACAGGTCCAGAAAGGAACACATCCCTGAAGACACGTTGATTTTAGCCCAGTGGGACCTCTGTCAGATTTCTGACCTACAGAAATGCAAGATAATAAATTTGTTATTTTAATTTATTACTGCAGGAAAAAAAAAACACCTAATACACTGGGGAACAGTTTTATGACATTATACTATCACTATCTGTGCCTGCTTCCTGACTAAACCTTAACAATATCGAAGGCAGAAAATCTATCTTACTTAAAACTGCATTCCCAGTACCTAGCATAGTTCCTGTACGTAGAGGTGCTCAATAGTATTTTAGAACTGACACATGTTCATAATTAAAAAGATTCTATTAGTATAATTAAAACATTTTTCTTCAATCCAGAATCTTAATTGGCAATATGAGTTCCTTTCACATTTCCTCACCAGTCCTTCCAGTTTACTACTTCTCACATGCCTCTTTTTATTAACAAGACAAGGATTCACTGTGACCCAGTCTTTCCATGGAACTTGCATGTATGTAGTTTAAAAAAAAAAAATCCCTGTTCCTCTATTATATCAAATACCATCTATTTTTTAAAATCATAGTATGTATTGTCATTAGGAATGATTTAGGGAGGATTCCCTTTTTCTCAGTCTTTTGGAATAGTTTCACTAGGATTGATTGGTACCAATTCTTCTTTGAATGTCTGGTAGATTTCAGCTGTGAATCCATCTGGCCCTGGGCTTTTTTTGTTTTTGTTGGCAGTTTTAAAATTACTGATTCAATCTCACTGCTTGCTATTGGTCTGTTCAGGGTTTCTTTTCTTCCTGATTTAATCTAGCAGGTTTGTATGTTTTGATTTTAGAGGGTTATAAAATGGTATTTTCATACTTTCTGAAGATTTCCAAATCCTTGATTTAAGGGCTGAACTTCCAGTACTAATATATTTTGTCAGATATTCAGGGGGCCTAAGGAGCCTAAGGACAAATCACTTTGGATAAATAAAATAGTTCTTAAAAGATCTTGGAACTGATAGAACTAAAAATACGTTCCTAAATCTTCTCACTTACAAGTGGGAGCTAAGCTCTGAGTACACAAAGGCATACAGAGTGATATAATGGACTTTGGAGACTCAGAGGAGGGAGTGTGGAATAAAAAAACTACATATTGGGTACAATGTACACTACTCAGGTAATTGGTACACTAAAATCTCAGAATTCACCACTATATACTTCATCTATACAATCAAAAAACTATGTAACCATCTATGTTACAGGTGGTTGTAACCAAACCACCTGTAGCCCAAAAGCTATTGAAATTAAAAAATACTTTTAAAAAAAGAAATTAAATGTCTTACATCAACATATATATCATTCTTTCCACTAATCAAATCTGGAATTTGGGCAAAGTCAGTCATCACAGTTGAGAAAGAACTTGCAAAAAGACAGGTCCCCATGAAGGCATGGCAGTGCCGATCATAAAATACCAAAAAGTACCATCACGTGACAAGGTGAGAAAAGGTATTCTGGCCATAAGATAACTTCGTTTTCTTTGTACCTCAGAATAAATTTTCCAAGATGAAAATAGGTCTATAAATTATATGACAGCCCTATCTTTCTTATCAACTGTTACTTCCATTCTTTGGGAGACACAAAGTAGAAAGATTACAAATGTAGGCTCATTTGGTGGCTTAAGATTGGTTCCACATACAACTCAAACCTTTTGTTCAACATTTTCTGACGCTTCTCATTACTAATGGTTAGCATTTACACAGGTTTAAAAATGGACTGCAAAACATTAGCAATATTGATCTTCACACTTCACTAATTAGCTCTAATCTTCAGTCACTTCATTAACTCTCTGGACCTTAGTTTTCTCATCCATAAAATGAGAAAGTTAGATTAGATGAAGTCTACAATTTTTTTCCAACTTATAACATTCTACGGTGGCACTAACCTTTGTATCCTGCCTGGCATTTGACTGAGTCCAGTACAACTAGAAGAAACAGAAGGTATCAGGACATAATTTAAAAGCTTCTGAGAGACTATGTTTGAATTTCAGCCCTATCATTTACTAATTGTAAGATCTTGGGTTTTAGTTGCCTTGTCTATTGAATAGGAATGAAAATATCTATGGGCCTGGCACAGTGGCTCATGCCTGTAATCGCAGCACTTTGAGAGGCCGAGGTGGGAGACTTGCTTGAGCCAAGAGTTCAAGACCAGCCTAGGCAACACAGTGAGACCCTGTCTCTGCAAAAAAAAAAAAAAAAAGAAAGAAAAAAAAAATTTAAGTAACCAGACATGGCGGCACACACCTGTAGTACTAGCTATTCAGGATGCTGAGAAAGAAGGATTGCTTGAGCCCAGGAGTTTGAGGCTGCAGTGAGCCAAGATCATGCCACCGCACTTCAGCCTGGGTGACGGGGTGAGACCCTCTCTAAAAACAAAAGAAAACCAAAACATTTATGACGTAGGGTTTTTTGAGGACCAAATTATAAAATATATTTTTAAATAAATCTAAAACAAGCCCTGGTGTTAAGTGCTCACTAAATATTCCTTTCTCTTAAAGTGTGACTTTTGAGCATTATAACCTGGTTTTTCAGGGAACCATTTCTTGAATAAAGATTTCAAAATTTTGGCTGGGTGAGGTGGCTCACACCTGTAATCCCCATACTTTGAGAGGC
Organism: Homo sapiens; assembly: GCF_000001405.40. NCBI lineage: Eukaryota > Metazoa > Chordata > Mammalia > Primates > Hominidae > Homo > Homo sapiens. Next base: position 72,760,303 of record NC_000010.11, on the reverse strand, counting down.
TGAGATGGGAGGATCGCTTGAGCCCAGGACTTCAAGAGCAGCCTGAGCAATATAGTGAGACATTGTCTCCACCAAAAATAAAATAAAATAAATTAGCCCGGCATCATGGTATATGCCTGTGGTCCTTGCTACTCAGGAGGCTGAGGTAGGAAGATCACTTGAATACAAAAGGTCGAGGCTACGGTGAGCTGTGATCACGCAACTACACTCTAGCCCAGGCAAAAGAGCTAGACTCTGTCTCAAAAAAAAAAAAAATTTAAAGTTTTACAGAATTTAAAAATAATGTAGCATCAGGAGTATCTCAGTCTGCTCAGGCTGTCAAAATATCAAAGAGTGGATGGCTTCAACAACAGAAATTTATTTTCTCACAGTTCTAGAGGCTAGAAGCTCCAAATCAAGGATTGGTTTCTGGTGAGGGCTCTCTTCTTGGCTTGCAGGCAGCTACCTTCACACTGTATTCTCACACGGTGGAGAGAAAGAGCTCTGGCATGTCTTCTTCTTAAACAGGCACCAGCCCTATAGGATTAGGGGTCCACCCTTATGACTTCATTTAACCTCTGTCACTTCCTCCCAGGCCACTATCTCCAAATAGTCACATTGAGGGTTAGGCTTCAACCCTATAATATGTAAATTTGTAGTATCAATTTGGGGGGAAGAAACATTCAGTCTGTAAGAGTATTTATTTTTGTACTGAGAGTTTTTATTTTAAAACAAATTTCATAGACTTAATTTAAACTTCATGCTAAGTTTATAAGATTAAGGGAGGAGACCACCCCTCATATTGTCTTATGCCCAATTTCTGCCTCCAAAGAAAGAAAAAGTAAAAACTAAAAGGCAGAAATGAAATCCACAAGCAGACAGCCTGGTGCCACACCCTGGGCCTGGTAGTTAAAGACTGACCCCGACCTAATCGGTTATGTTATCTATAGATTACAGACATTGTATAGAAAAGCACTGTGAAAATCCCTATCCTGTTTTGTTCCGATCTAATTACCAGTGCATGCAGCCCCCAGTCATGTACCCCCTGCTTGCTCAATCAATCACGACCCTCTCACACGCACCCCCTTAGAGTTGTGAGCCCTTAAAAGGGACAGGAATTGCTCACTCGGGGGCTAGGCTCTCGAGACAGGAGTCTTGCCGATAACCCTGGCCGAATAAACCCCTTCCCTCTTTAAGTTGGTGTTTGAGGAGTTTTGTCTGCGGCTCGTCCTGCTACAGATGAACAGAAGTACTATTACCCTACATGCAGACTTGCGGAACAGACATAAAGAGGTTCAGCAACAAACCTTAATAATACAACTAAACAGGTACAGAGCTACAAACAGAACTAGAGCCTTTTTATCTTGAAGCTCATTCCATTAAATAATACTGCATTTTTCAAACCTTATTCTAAGTGTATTATCATTGTCTTATTCCACACTACTTATTAATTCTGTCTTAAAATTGTGTTTCCAATAGAAAATTTAAGTAATATTACGGAAAAGAGAGATTTTTTAAAAGCCTCAAACACTAAATTTCTCAAAGTCAAGAAAATAGATTAAACAGCCATGAAAACCATGGTTTAATTACCTTTATGATTCTGTGATTTCTGCTTTTAGGGAAAGCCAAAAAAATTGGCCCATTCAGCAAAAGCATTGGTTTATTTCTTGACCAATACTCATCAATTAATCTAATCCACCCACAAGCAGCCTGAAGTAAATTAATTCTAGTAACTGAAAGTTGCATATTCATACTTTCAGAAAAAAGAAATAGACTGCCTTAGTAACTATTTCCCTTTCTCTGGGTGGCAGTTTCTCTGAGGTTTCATACATACACCATCAATTCTCTGAGATTTTACACACCGTCTCTCTGTGTACCAATACACAACTGTATCTGTGGACATGATATAGCACAGAGGGCTGTAAAGGAAGCCAGAATATGTCACCCCAAAATATTCCTCTTTGACATAAATATTTTAAACCGAAGAAGCAGGTGCAATGGCATGTGGCTGTAGTACCAGCTACTCGGGAGACTGAGATGAGAGATCACTCGAGCTCAGGTGTTTGAGGCCAACCTGGACAACATAGTTTTAGACTCTCTTAACCAAATCTGTGAAGAGGGAGTTGAGAAAAATTAATGAATAAAGGAAGAGCTCTTTCTATCCTCCTCTCCTGCTTTTCTACCTAAAGATATAAATTCTCCTTTACTGGAGACAACTTATCAACTCAGATATGGCACCAGAGGGATCACAAATCTTACTCCACTAGTTTACTGCCACATATTTACTTTTCCTTCCCATAGTTCCCCACCTTTAGAAGTGTTAACCTGCTTTTCTTTGTCTTGTCACTTCTGGAAAATTCATTGCTCTTTGTTGAAGATGCTACATAGGCAAGTGTTCTAAGCCACTGCTTTGAATTACTTCTCACTGAGGTTTCTCCTGCATCATGTGCACTGCACACGTGAATATACACCTGCTTGTTTTTCGCTTGTTAATCTGTCATTTGTCACAAAGGTCTGTCCCCAACTATGAACTTATGAGGGTTAAGGAAAAATTATATTTCTTCTCTGACAATTGCTTCAAAGAACATTCTCATGGGGGAGGGGGACAGAATTATTTAGTTGGGGAAAAACACTGGCTTATATTATCAAATAACTCTTCAAATTATCTCTTCAGACCACTTCAGCTAGCTAGGCATAAATTCTTTCCCTCTTTAGAGATTAAAAAAAAATTATTATGAACTAGGTGATGTTACTCCAATTTTTATGGCCTTTTAAAAAACTACTTTTATATTTTAGCACTGACACACAGGCTCGCACCTCTTAGAAAAAGTAAAAAGCTTCCATTCAAAAACTAGCAATTTTTACAGAGCTTTCTGTATGTTCTTTGGGTGGGGGTTGGGGAAGTAGGAGGAAGAAGGAGATGAAGCACACTGTACTTGTCCCAAATTATATTTTCCTTTTTCATGTTTTTCCCTGAAACAATATTGTTTGTACTCCTTATACAATAATGTCACATCTCCCTTGTTTCTTCAGCTGGAGGAGGTGGTGGTGGTGATTCCCGTTGCTAATCTCTACATTACCTCACCATCTCCTATTTGGCTCTCAGCTCTTTCACTATCTGCATTATAATTTTCCCTCATTGAATTCCTTCTGTTGTAAATGCCTGAAATGGTTTCTGTTTTCCTTGTGAGACCCTGACTGATAAAACCACTCACTTGACAATGTGCCATTTACTGCTTTTTGAAATGTTAAGTAGCTTTTTCATACACTTATGTACTTTCGTATGGTTCTTTTCTTTTTTTTTTTTTTCCTTTTTCAAGATGGAGGTCTCATTACGTTATCCAGGCTGGACCCATACTCCTGAGTTCGAATAATCCTCCTGCCTCAGCCTCCCAAGTACCTGGGACTACAGGTGTATGCCACTGAGCCCAGCTTCACATGGTTCTTTTACAAATAAAAAGCAAAAGCTTGAGTTGATGAACTCTGAGATCAAAACTCTTAACTTTCCAGTGCTAAAGATGGCAGCAGGGGGCAGGGATTGTGAGGAGGGGAGCTGGACACGGGGGGCGGGGCATAAAACGTCAACAGAGAATGTCAGGGAACAAAATAGATGGCAAACACTAACTTAAGGTAATATGCTAGCTATGCCAAAGTAAGGTCAAATCAAGGAGTCTCCTCAGATTGAGCTCTTCTTTGAATATGGCAAAACTACTACTAAAAACAAATCAGAAGGTGTACTGACCATGAATACAGCAAGCAATGATTATGCTATCACAGCCTCCAAGAGCAATGAACTTGCATTCACCCAGTGAATTATGCAGTTTCTCCTGAGAGGCCCCCCAAATTGGCTAATGACTCAAAAGAAAATTTTTATGTATAAGTAATTGTTAGTGGCTATAACCTAGAGCAATCTACTGAAAAATGTAGTTCTTAAATGCTAACAATCCAAACATAGATTGATAACACAACATGGTACAAATAGTATTGTTTCCAAAAAAGAAAGAGAATACCATACGGCCATGTAAACCTCTTTTAAAAACTGATTTTGGCCGGGCTCACACCTGTAATACAGTACTTTTGGAGGCTGAGGCAGGAAGATTGCTTGAGCTCACGAGTTCAAGACCAGCCTGGGCAACACAGCAAAACCCTGTATCTAATAAAAACACAAAAAATTAGCCAGGTGTGGTGGTTCACACCTGTAATCCCAGCACTTTGGAAGCTGAGGTGGGTGGATCCACTTGAGACCAGGAGTTCGAGACCCACTTGGGCAACAAAGCGAGACCTTGTCTCTACAAAACATGTAAAAGAAAACAATTAGCTGGGTATGGTGGTGCACACCGGTAGTCCCAGCTACTCAGGAGGCGGAGGTGGGAGGACTGCTTGACCCTGGGAGATTGAGGCTGCAGTGAGCTATGATCATATCACTGCACTCTAAGCCTGGGTAACAGAGAGAGAGACTCTGTCTCAATGAAAAAAAAAAAAAAATGGTTTCAATTGGGCTAATATCCCTAAAGCAAGTACTCTGGCACAACCTTTGAAAACTCTTATCTGGCAAAAACAACAACAACAACAAGGGTTGAAGAGATGCCATATTTAGATGATCATTTATCTATTTATGCTTCCGCCGTTCAAATTGCTTTGAATTACAGGCTACAAGTGCAAACTCATAGTGATCTAATATTAATAACAATAACAACAGTTAGCACTTAAATAGTACTTAATGTATTTACTATATTTATGCGCAAGGCACTATTCTAAATGCTTCATGTATTTAACTCATATAGTACTCACAACTCATTGGATAGGTATAATTGTTCCCCACTCTACCATCAACATTACACACCAGGCTTAAAGACATAAAGTAAATTGCCCAAGCTGGCCAGGTGGGGTGGCTCATGCCTGTAATCCCAGCACTTTGGGAGGCCAAGGCGGGTGGGTCACCTGAGGTCAGGACTTCAAGACCATCCTGATCCACATGCTGAAACCCCGTCTCTACTAAAAATACAAAACTAGCTGGGCATGGTGGTGCATGCCTGTAATCCCAGCTCCTTGGGTGGCTGAGGCAGGAGAATTGCTTGAACCCGGGAGGCAGAGGTTGCAGTGACTGAGATCATACCATTGCACTCTAGCCCAGGCAACAAGAGCAAATCTCTGCCTCAAAAAAAAAAAAAAAAAAAATCTCAGGTTCACATATCTAGTAAGAAATAGCTAGAATTTGACCCCAGGTAGTCTGAGACTACAGTCCATGCTTTTAACCACTATACTTATTATATTCCCTTCCTAACTTGATCAAGGTCACACAGCTAACTAGGTAGTGATACCAGGAATTCAATACAAATCTTGAGCCACATAAAAACACAGTTTGTTATGAAATATGTGAGGTTATAACTCTGTAGAAGTGCTAAGAAATCTTTAACATCATCTGCAAAAAATGTCTGCAAACTGGGCAGTATGGGACTTGAGTGTCATTTGTTGGGCTTTTTGTTGTTGTTGTTTTTGAGGCAGTGTCTAGCTAAGCCCAGGCTGGAGTGCAGTGATGCACTCATGGCTCACTGCCACCTCAACCTCCTGGGCTGCTCATGCCTGTAATCCCAGCAGTTTGGGAGGCTAAGACAGGTGGATGACCTGAGGTCAGGACTTCAAGACCATCCTGATCAACATGGTGAAACCCTGTCTCTGCCTCCCAAAGTGCTGGGACCACAGGTGTGTGCCAACATGCCTGGCTAATTTTTTAATTCTTTGTAAAGACAGGGTCTATGTTGCCCAGGTTCATCTCAAACTCCTGGGCTCAAGTAATCCCCCTGCCTTAGCCTCCCAAAGTGCTGAGATTACAGGTGTGAGTCAGCATGCCCCGCCTCCAGTGTCATCTGTAATTCAACCAACCTGCATGATACATAATAGAAGGAGGAAAATACTGATGATCAGAAAATCTGGCTGAAGTCTTAACTTTGCCATTAATTGGCAGCATGCTATTAAACAGAATATAAGCTCCGGACTCAAATAGACCTGGATTGAAATCTGGGCTTTAAGACCTTTGGGTAAGGGTGGCTCAGTTTGTGCACAGTACAAAGGCATCAAGGAAGCAAAATAAGGCTGAAATTCTGCCCATGTTCAGCTCACAGATGCTGAAATAAGTGGCATCTAAGCACAGGTCCCCAAGTTACTGCTTCGGGTGGTGTGCCAGGCCAGAGGAAGTTTGGCTTCCTCATTGGTTCACCACAGGGGGTAACTTTCCTAATTCAAACAGAAGTCTCTCATAGCTAGTGGTGGCTCTGCCTACTCTGCTACTTACCATATAACAATTGCTACTTGCAATATAATCTAGGGTAAGTTACTTAATCACTCTAAACCTCAGTTTCCTCATCTGGGAAATATGGCTGAAAACAGTACTTACTTCATAGTGTGGGTTTGTGTGTGTGTGTGTTTTGTTTTTTTGTTTTTTTTGGACAAAGTCTTCTTGCTCTGTCACCCAGGCTAGAGTGCAGTGGCGTGATCACAGATCACTGCAATCTCAATCTCCCAGGCTCCGGTAATCCTCCCACATCATCCTCCCAAGTAGCTGGGTCCAGAAGCGCATGCCACCACCACACCCAGCTAGTATTTTGTATTTTTTATAGAGACAGGATTTTGCCATGTTGCCCAGGTTGGTCTCAAACTTCTGGGCTCAAGCGATCTACCAGCCTCAGCCTCTCAAAGTTCTGGGACTACAGGCATAAGCCATTACGCCCGGCCCATTATGTGGTTTTCAGTATTAAATGAAATGATGCAAGTTAAGGTGCCAGGTACTTAATAGGTTCTCAATAAACTGTAACTATTAATATCATAATCTCTCTCAGCCTCAGATTCCTAATACACTAAAAATGAATACCACCTACTGCACAAGACATTTCTGGGAATGTTGAATGAAATTTGATAAATGAACAAGCAGTTTATAAACTATATTGTACAATGTAACAACGAGTAAATATAAAGGGTTCTTGGTAACTAGAACTTAATGTATTAATATGATGGAATGTCAAGTAATATTTTTGCTGCTGGTATTAACTCATTTAAAATTTTTACATCATATATTCTTATTTTGGGTGTTACTTATTTTAGGGAAGATAATCATGCTCACAGATCACTTTAAACTGTGAGAAAAAAATTATTTCATTAGCGATATATGTAAACAATACAAATCTAAGAGGTCTAAGGTTAACTGGTATCCTCCAAGAAAGAAAAATTCTTCACCCTATAATGTTTGAAGCAACTTTTTAAAAAGTCACCACAACCACTGAACTTTCTTGCTTTAAATTAGGGCCTCTCAATAGAAAAGATGGTGTTTTATATCCACATGTCATGCAGAAACCAGCAGACTGTTATGATGTTATGATGGCATAACTGCATCTTCTCTGAACTTGGAAATGGCATTCTTCAGAGACTGCCTGTTGATTCATTTCAACTTCAAAATGAATATTTGACCTTGCTTCTTTAAGAAGGGCTCCTTCCACCTTTACTGTAATGTTTGGGATATTTAAAGCTTCTATTACCATAAATTCCAAACTTACAGTCACACAGCAGCCATTGCTCTGCTATAAGAAACACACACCACAGGCCTACAAATGAGAGGATTTTAATAGGTCTCCAGTTCTGTAACTAAATGTTTCCTGTGACCCATGCAGCAGGCAAAACCCAAAACAAAACTAACACCAGATCCCATATTGTCCTTCATATCTCTTTGTCTTCCAAATGTGCCCTCAGTTTTGTTGTTGCTTTGTTGCTATTCATGTTTATTACTGCCACCAAAAAGCTAGCCACACATTTATCAATACAGTACTAAGAAAAGAATGTTTTCAACGTCATTAATGCCTATATGTTCTTAGCATTTAGACATAAAGCACATTCTATATTTACTGTGGATTATTTTGCCCATTCAAAAAAACATTTGGAGGGTGGGCGTGGTGCCTCATGCCTGTAATCCCAGCACACTGGGAGGCCGAGGCAGGCAGATCACTTGAGGCCAGGAGTTCAAGACCAGCCTGACCAACATGGTGAAACCCTGTCTCTAGTATTAAAAAAAAAAAAAAAAATCTGGACCTGTCACTTATGTCCTCAGCAGACTGATCTTCTCTGAGATAATGCGTGAAAAGTATTATCTCCTAAGGGTTGACTTCAAATAGACAAATGAATTAAAGATATAAATGTGCGGCCGGGCATGGTGGCTCACACCTGTAATCCCAGCACTTTGGGAGGCCTAGGGGGGTGGATCACGAAGTCAGGAGATCGAGACCATCCTGGCTAACATGGTGAAACCCCGTCTCTATTAAAAATACAAAAAATTGGCTCAGCGTGGTGGCGGGTGCCTGTAGTCCTAGCTACTCGGGATGCTGAGGCAGTAGAATCACTTTAACCCAGGAGGTGGAGGCTGCAGTGAGCCGAGATGGCACCACTGCACTCCAGCCTGGGCGACAGAGCCAGACTCTGTCTCAGGAAAAAAAAAAAAGAAAGTCTGTCACATGTACCCAAGCAGGCCTGCACAAGAATGTTCACAGTGGCATCTGAATGAATGACACTGAGGGATTAATAACAATGTCTCAAAGGAATGACACTGAGGGATTAATAACAATGTCTCAAAGGAAGCCAGACCCTCGGGAACCTGTGCAACAACAACATCATTAAGAAGAGAAAGAGGTGGAGTGCAGCGGCTCACACCCGTAATCCCAGCACTTTGGGAGGCCAAGGTGGGCGGATCACTTGAGGCCAGGAGTTTGAGACCAGCCTGGCCAACATGGTGAAACCCCGTCTCTACCAAAAAATACAAAAATTAGCCAGGCATTGTGGTGCATGCCTGTAGTCCCAGCTACTCAGGAGGCTGAGGCACGAAAATCACTTGAACCCAGGAGGCAGAGGTTGCAGTGAGTCAAGATCATGCCACTGCATTCTAGCCCGGGGAAACAGAATGAGACTCTGTCTCAAAAAAAAAAAAAAAAAAAAAAAAAAAAAAGAAGAAGAAGAAGATGTTAGAGAAAAAAAAACCATTTGAGGCTGGGTGCGGTGGCTCATACCTATAATCCCAGGACTTTAGGAGTCCGAGGCAGGTGGATCACTTGAGGTCAGGAGTTCGAGGCCAGCCTGGCCAACATGGTGAAACCCCATCTCTACCAAAAATATAAAAAAATTAGCCAGGTATGGTGGCGTGTGCCTGTAATCCCAGCTACTCGGGAGGCTGAGGCAGGAAAAACGCTTGAACCCAGGAGATGGAGATTGCAGTGAGCCGAGATCATGCCACTGCATTCCAGCCTGGGCAACAGAGCAAAACTCTGTCTCCAAAAAAATAAAATAAAAAATAAAAATGAATTAAAATATCAAACTATTGAAACATGCAATAACATGGATGAACCTCAAAGGCATTGTGCTGAGTGAAATAAGCTAATCTAAGCTAAATAAGCAACATAAATGTTATAAACTATTTGATTTCATTTATATGACAATCTGCAAAAGGCAAAAGTATAGAAACAGAACAAATGAAAGGTTGTCAGGGGGGTTAGGGATGAGAGGAAGAACTGAATTCAAATGGGCAGCACAAGAGAAATTTAGGGGCAATGAAACTGTTCTGCATTCTGATTGTGAAGGTGGTTACACAAATCTATGTAAATTCATAGACACGTACATCAAAAAAAGGTCAATTTTATTAAATATAGACTTCAAAGTCTGAAAAAAATCAGTATCTCCTCCAAATGATGCATATCTGTGTCGTCACATACCTACTTCTTGAAAATGTAAAAGCCTACTGGATCATGCAGTTAGACACCCATCCACATAAATGCTAGGATATCTCCCTCAAAGATGGTTAACAAGAAGCCTAAATAAGCGTACTGAACAACGCTCTTAAAAATCAAATTTGTAATCAATGCCTTGCAACAAAGTTTTCTCAGAGCTCAGTTTTGTACCTATTTTATTATCTTAATCTAGAATTTAAAAATAATAATATTACACAATTAAAAGGAAACATCCTTCAGTCACATTGGTATTCATGCACGTAAAACCTTCTTGCAGATATGGGAGAAACTGTTCGTCTGTTAAATTAAAATTATTTACCTTTTCCCTCTTAATCTCTCCAGTTCAGTGTTCCCTGAATAAAAAGTGTTCTAAGCTCTGAGATGAAGGAGACCTCACTCACAGATCAGGAACTTTACACTGATGAATTCTGTGACTTCACTTCCTACAGCCTACCAGGATTCTCCAAAAAGAAGGTAGCAAAGGCTGGGCACAGTGGCTCACACCTGTAATCCCAGCACTTCGGGAGGCCAAGTCAAAGCAGGCGGATCACCTGAAGTCAGGAGTTCAAGACCAGCCCAGTCAACATGGTGAAACCCTGCCTCTACTGAAAAAAAAAAAAAAAAGTACAAAAATTAGCTGGACATGGTAGCACACGCCTGTAGTCCCAGCTACTTGGGAGGCTGAGGCAGGAGAATCACTTGAACCTGGGAGGCGGAGGCTGCAGTGAGCTGAGATCACGCCACTGCACTCCAGCCTGGGCAACAGAGCAAGACTCCGTCTCATTTAAAAAAAAGAAGGTAGCAAAGCTACAACAGCACCCTTTAACTAGGGTGACCATATGTCCCAATTTGCCTGGGATAGTCCAGCTTAACACCTGCTCCTGTAACATATTTATTGTCAGCACTCTCTTTCACTCAAAAGGCACTGCAATTTAGAGGTGACTTATATGGCCATCCTAACCCCCTTTAAGAACCTAACTTTTAATCCTTATCTATCACCAAGACATAGAAAGCAGTCCTTACAAACACAAGTCCCTATAATAGGCCAAAAAAGGCAGAACATTTAATTTGATCAACCTAATGTGTTGTATTTATTTTGTAATTATAAGCTAATAAAATTATATTCTTTGCATTATATAATTGCATATAAATAGCTTCACACTCTAGTAAATACCTTATACCTTAGAAGAAAAGCTCCTATCAGTCAGGTTGGAGAAAAATAAATCACTCATTTAAAATCTCTGCCCATGTCACCATTCTCAAGTTGGTTTTTGATTTTAGAGGCAAGGTTTTTCACTCAGTCGTCCAGGATGAAGTGCCGTGGCATGATTACGGCTCACTGTAGCCTTGTCCTCCAGGGCTCAAGCAATCCTCCCACCTCAGTCTCCCAAGTAGCTGAGACCACATACATGTGCCACCATGACTGGCAAAAAAAAAACAACATTTTTTTTTTCAATTATTGGGAGAGATGAGATTTCACCATGTTGCTGTTGCCCAGACTGGTCTTGAACTCCTGGGCTCAAACAATCCTCCCACCTTGGCCTCCCAAAGTGTTCGGATTATAGGCGTGAGCCATCATAATCCAACATTCTCAAGTTTTACAGCTATTTGATAGTGTGGAATAGTGAGTGCTTTTCATCCCAATTTAGGATGCTGTGTGGCAAATTCTAGAGAAGCTAAATGACTCTAACATCTTAATCCTCAGATGGAAAGTTTACCTGTTTCCTTAAAGTAATACCACTGTCAAGGAAAGAACAGGTTTCAAATTATAATTATTTTCTTGAGACTGTAACAAACATGGATCAGGATGTCCTTCCCTTAGAGTTTATCTTTTTTTTTTTAAACAATGAAGTATTTCTTCAGAGAATGAATTAACCAGACTCCTTATATCTCCTTTTTAAAATTTATTATTTGTAGAGACAGGGTCTTGCTATGTTGCCTAGGCTGGTCTCAAACTCCTGGGTTCAAATGATTCTCCCCTCTAGGCTTCTCAAACCACCAGGATTACAGGCATGAGCCACCTCGCCCAGCCATTATATCTCCTTGACATTCACTTTGGATAGTTCACTAGACAGGAAAAAAGTTATTACTTATCACTCCTTGTTAATCGATCTGATGGGGAAAAGATAACAAAATGCAGAACTACACTGTTCAATATGACAGTTACACGCTCTACTGAGCACTTAAAATGTGTCTAATCTAACGATAATTAAGACGGTTGGCCGGTGCGGTGGCACACGCCTGTAATCCCAGCACTTCGGGAGGCCAAGGCGGGCGGATCACCTGAAGTCAGGAGTTCAAGAACAGACTGGCCAACCTGGTGAAACCGCATCTCTACTAAAAATACAAAAATTAGCTGGGCGTGGTGGCGGGCACCTGTAGTCCCAGCTACTCAGGTGGCTGAGGCAGGAGAATCACTTGAACCCGGGAGGCAGAGGTTGCAGTGAGCTGAGATCGTGCCATTGCACTCCAGCCTGGGCGACAGAGCAAGACTCCGTCTCAAAAAAAAAAAAAGATGGTTGTCGTAAGACTCTTGAAGATTAAGTATGAAAAAAAGGATGTAACTCATTAATTTTTATATTGAATAGTGAAATATTTTTATATTATGTTAAATAAAATATATTATTCAAATTAATTTTACTTGTTTCTTTCCACTTTTTAAAATACGGCTACTAAAATATTTTAAATTAAATATTTGGCCATATTACACTTCCATGGTTTGGTTTGGTTTTGTTTTTTTCTGAGACAGGATCTCGTTCTGTCAAGCCAGTGGCATGATCATGGCTCACTGCAGCTGCGACCTCCCAGGCTCAAGTGATCCTCCCACTCTGCCTCCAGAATAGCTGGGACCACAGGCGTACGTCACCACATCTAGCTTTTTTATTTTTTTCCTTTCTTTTTTTGGTAGAGACGAGGTCTCCCTGTGTTACCCTGACTGGGCTCAAGGGCTCAAGCGATCCTCCTGCCTCAGCTTCCCAAAGTGTTGGGATTACAGGCATAAGCCACCGTGCCTGACCTATTTCTATGTTTTTATGTGTTTCCAAAATAATTTTTGTATTACCAATAGCAGGCATAACAGGCACTGCAGCGAAGTGCAAAAGCAACAAAATTATCTGTAACAAGAACAGTCCTTATTACCTCATCATAACAAGCACTATACATTCTTTAACATATTTTTTAAAACAACGAAAAGAAAAGAAAACCAACAAAAACTCAGAGTTTTTAAAAATGCACTACTCCTTACTTTTCTGGTTCAGAATATATTCTTAATCCTCCAAGAATGCATTAAGTATCTATAACATTCGTATAGACATTGTGTGATCCCTGAAATATCTGCAAACAACACAACAGTGGATTCTGGAAGACCATAATGCCAGCTTGGGAAACCCATGGCAACAGAGAAGGAGTGCAATGGGGAATGAGGAAGCAAAACACAGGCACTAAACATGGACTAAAAGCAGCAAGTGGAAGCAACCAGAGTTAAAAATCAGCACCTCTGCCCTGCACATAGTCCCTAACTTTTTCGTTATATTTTTAGTTTATATTTTTAGCTGGTTTTGGTCACATTTCCAGAGTTAGGCTGAAAAGGCCCAGACAGTTTCATTGTTAGGTTCAGAATTACATTTATATTTCCAAATTTCAAAGAGACTAAATTCATGCCTAGCAACCTACCACTAAGTGTTTACCAAACTTCTAGATAGAGATCATAAATTAGTCACCTCCCCAATTCAGTACATAATAACTACATGTCTTGATATCTCAGAGTCGGCAGGGATTAGAAGTCCAAATAAGTTATTTTTTTTCTGAACCCTGGGTTACCTTCCATGGAAGCAATTATAAGAAATTTGGCATTAAGTTTACATTTCAGATGGCTGCTAAACATTACAATTATGCAATTAGCACAGAATCCCCAAACACATAAGGGCTAGTGTAATCTCTGTTTGGAGACAACTTCAGACATTTCAAACACTGAAGTCTTATTACATACCCTAGAACCAGAAGAAGGCCTGAAAATAACAGACTTGGGCTTGCTGCTTAGGATACTGTTCTAATAGATACAATTCAAACATTCAACTTAATCAGAGCATTTAAGTCAGATTTATCCAACTGAAAAGTGAGGTAGTATTTACATAGACACAGATAACATTTATGCCTCTACTTAAAGTTAAAACGCCTGTACGAAAAATCTTTGTTTTTTACAACCACAAAAAAACTTCTAATTCTCCAGATATGTGATGTGACTTGGAGCTTCTGCTCAAATATTTTTTCATTTTAAGCCTGACTATAATTCAAGTATTTTATGGAGGCCTTTTCTTTTTGGTTTTTGAAAAATTACTGCAACGCCAGTGTGGCTGGTATGAGACAGTCTTATATTCGAATACTATAACTATAGTTTTCCACTAGGTTTCACGCTATACTGTGCACACAAAAGATGCTCAACAAATATTTGTTGAGTGAATAAATGAGAAGAGGAGAAGTAGGTCCACTACCACCAAACAGCAAAGAAAAACTGGATGCAAGGAAACAAAACACAGGCAGGAAAAGCTGGGATGCCCTTCCACCTAGAAACATTAAAAATAGCCACTCAGTACAGAATAATGAAGATGTTCTGGAGGTGGATAGTGGTAATGGTTCACAACTACATGAAGGTACTTAATGTCAATGAACTATACACGTCAAAATTATTAAAATGGTATATTTTATGTTATGTATACTTTACCACAATAAAAAAAAATTTGAATAGCTAGCCAAATGTGACATGTGACTATACTTTCACAGGAAGACAATGAGGCTCTGGTGAGAAAGTCTGGCCATGCAATGATATATGGTATACTACCACATAATGGTAATATACCATTTTATGGTAATGATATATGGTAATATACCATATTATAATATATGGTAAAGGAAAAAACAAACAAGAAAAAAGGCTCTCAGTGAAAACATTGTACTATGAGAAAATTCTATGTGTTTGCCATATCCCTGTGATGAAAGAAGCATGCTATAGTAGCTATTTATGTATAAAATACCAAATAGTGGCCGGGCACGGTGGCTCACACCTGTAATCCCAGCACTTTGGGAGGCCAAGGCAGGTGGATCACCTAAGGTCAGGAGTTCGAGACCAGCCTGGCTAACATGGTGAAACGCTGTTTCTACTAAAAATAGAAAAAACCAGCCGGTGTGGTAGTGTGCGCCTGTGATGCCAGCTACTCAGGAGGCTGAGCCACGATAATAGCTTGAACCTGGGAAGCAGAGGTTGCAGTGAGCTGAGATCGTGCCATTGCACTCCAGCTTGGGCAACAAGAGTGAAACTCCATCTCAAAAAAAAAAATTCTGAACAGTATTCCACTGGAAGAAAAACTAACTTTAGGTAAATGTAAAATCTGAACCTTTAGAAATAAACCAGCTTGCTTTAAGAAAACTGAATTAAATTATTTTGATCTAAATTGTCCATAAGCCTTGAGAGTTTATAAATAGGTTTTTTTAATGCATGCAGACTAACCCAAAAACAATTTTATAATATTAATATGAAACACTTATCTGTGGGCCTTATTATACAAATTCAGAAGAAAAGCTGAGGGGCAGATCATGTTAAGGGGAAAAAACAAAACCAAAAAAGCAAAAACAAAAACCTCTATCTTATACTAAACATTCAAAGGTTTAAAAAACAAAAAAATTAAATCTCAACTGGTGACCCAGGGATTATCTGCTGACCCCAGAGGTCTATCTAACCATTCGTTTAATGATCTCCAACTCAGAAACAGGTCTGGCAGTAAGAACTCTGCAGGGTAGCTCAAAGAGAGCTGGTAGAACCAGATGTTTTTAAGAAAGGAGAGCAGACCTACCCTTTTGAATAACTACCAGCTGTGCTGTTTTATATTCTGTCCCAAAGCTGTGACCAGTTGGCATTTTCTCCTCCCTAAACTCCTGAATTTTGAGACGAAGTCTCACCCTGTCACCCAGGCTGGAGTGCAGTGGCACCATCTCGGCTCACTGTAACCTCCGCCTCCTGGGTTCAAGCAATTTTCCTGCCCCAGCCTCCCGAGTAGCTGGGACTACAGCTGTGTGCCAATTTAAGGAACCAGTTAACAAAATGAAGTTAGTCTACCCTTGCTGTTTTGTGTTCTGCTCCAAAGCTATGGCCAGTGAGCCAAAAATTCTAGCACTTTCTCCTCCCCACCAAATTCTTCTTCATTTAAGAAGCCAGTTGGCAAAATGAAGTCAATCTGTGGATCAAGCCTGCATTCAGTCTGTCACTAAGTAGGAATAGCACATTACTGCTAAAGTTCTCCAAAATATTACGCACCCAAAAATCTTTAAAAAAAAAAAAAAAAGCATCTTTGGATACCTGAAAAATGAAGCCAAAAGATCAACTATATAGTTATACATAGTTATTCCATAATATAGAGAAAGAATTTGTAAACTATATAGAAAATACCTCCTATATTAAGAGTGGGATAAAAGGAAGATGCATGTATATTTTATATATTTATGTATATAAATAACATATATATGTTTTACATACATATAAATACACATACATATATATATATAAACTATTAAGGGAGAGACATGAAAATGATGAGCTACAGCATAACCTACAAAACACAAATGGCTGGATTTCTGGAAAGAGGGGCAGAGTTTAGTTATACTATAGAACAGTATCCTCCTCAGCTTCTTAGAATCAGCTGCTGCCAGGCACCAAGAGAATTTCATATAGAAATATACTATGCAGAACTAAGGTTATTTTCAAGTCTAATTAGTTGGTCTCAAATTCCATCATACACATATAAATCTTTCATGACTTCCTCATAGCCACTCTTCCAATGAAAGCATCCACCCCTCTAGGTGATAATGCAAAATTAATCTGTATTTGTTGAAGTTTTTTTCATTTGCCTCTAAGTTCATAATACACTAATCTGCATAACTTGCACAAGCTTCTAGAAGTAGAAACATGACTTGCATAGCACCTTAAATGTACAAGTACAGAAAAAAAATGCTTCTAATAATTAAAACAGTGCCTCATATACAGTAGGTATTCAGTAAATATCTGCTGAATGAATAAAGGAATGAATTCTAGTGAATATTACTATCTCCCCCCCATAAAGATATATTAAAGGGGCTCCAAAAACCTTTTTTTTTTTTTTTTTTTTGAGATGGAGTATCACTCTGTCATGCAGGCTGGAGTGTAGTGGCACAATATCGGCTCACTGCAGCCTCTGCCTCCCAGGTTCAAGTGATTCTCCTGCCTCAGCCTCCCGAGTAGCTGGGATTACAAGCACCCGCCACCATGCCTAGCATTTATTTTTTTTTATTTTTACTGGAGACGGGGTTTCACAATACTGACCAGGCTGGTCTCAAACTCCTGACCTCAGGTAATCCACCTGCCTCAGCCTCCCAAAGTGCCGGGATTACAGGTGTGAGCCACCACGCCCAGCCCAAAACCCCTCACTTTTCTCGAGACAGTGAATGACGGGGCAATGCCATAAATACAACATGATGATCAAGTCTCTTCCTCTCTCTCTCTCTCCCCCTCACCCTCTCTCTCATACTCTCTCACTTCACTCTCTCACACACTCTCACATGTTCTCACATGTCCATTCGATACCAAAACTTGTTAACCCCCTTTCCCTGACTTCCTACCTTGAATAAAATCCCTAGCAGCATTTATAGCATTGCACCCCCTAGAAATCACCTCAGGAGTTGCCCAAAGAGCAAGCTGCCACTCTAATTACATCTTCAGGAGAAAGACTTTTCCTAACTTGGGTTCCCTGGTGTTTTCTGTCTCCCCTAATGGGTATAATCAATCCCTGCAATTTATCTATAGTTCAGCCCCTGCCCATGGGCCACATACTCTTAAAATTAATGGTTCTTCATTATTAGGCACACTTATATGTGTGAAAGTTTGCAGGCAAGACATGTTTGACTTATCTTCCACTTTGTCCTAATTAAATCCTACTGATAGGATTCTCACACAATCACTCTCCCCAGTAAATATGCAAGCATCCAAAGAACACATGAAAACGATGGTTATAAGAATCATATTCATTTCTGAGTATTATTTACTTAAGTCTAAAAAAATAGCTGAATGATACATAAAAATGCAGAGAACCTCTAGGGGGAAATGGCAACACAACAGAGTATTAATAAAATAGAATTGCAAGTCTGAAAAAACCCTATGATGACAAAGATGGACAGAGTGCAGTCCCGTGTTCCTTCACAATGGGGATATACTCTGAAAAATGCATCCTTAGGCAATTTCATCATTATGCAGGCATCACAGTGTACTTACACAAACTGAGATGGTACAGCCTACTACATATCTAGGACATATGGTATGTCCTATTGCTCCGAGGCTACACACCTGTACAACATGTTCCTGTAACAAATAGTATAGGCAACTGTAAAACAATGGTAAATATTGGCATATCTAAACATAGAAAAGGTACAGTATACGATACTATAATCTTATGGGACCATCCATATATGCAGGTTATGGTTGACTGCAATGTCGTTTTTGTTTTTTTTTTTTTTTTTTTTTTTGAGACGGAGTCTTGCTCTGTCGCCCAGGCTGGAGGGCAGTGATCTCGGCTCACTACAAGCTCCGCCTCCCGGGTTCACGCCATTCTCCTGCCTCAGCCTCCCCAGTAGCTGGGACTACAGGCGCCCGCCACCATGCCCGACTAATTTTTGGTATTTTTAGTAGAGACAGGGTTTCACCGTCTTAGCCAGGATGGTCTCGATCTCCTGATGTCGTGATCCACCCGCCTCGGCCTCCCAAAGTGCTGGGATTACCGGCGTGAGCCACCAGGCCCAGTCTCCAATGTCGTTTTGCAGTGCATGACTATACACAGAAAAGGATAAGAAGACTAATCAGACAGAAGTTTTAGATACACATAACCTACAAGCCATCATCAACTTGGCAGCATAACACAGGAAATGTCAACACTGGTGGCCACTGACCACAGGGAACATGGACACTCTTCTCACTGTTAAGATGCCTCTCACTTTACCTGGCATGGAAATATCTTCTACTGTCAAAAGAAGACTGTCTCTCTATGTTTATCCTTTTCAGTAAATGCCAGTAAACTGGACATATTTTTGACATAATTTGCTTATGCTTATTGAAATCTGTATTTAGTTATGGTCAAGAAAATGCTACTCTCGCCAGGCACGGTGGCTCACGCCTTTAATCCCAGCACTTTGGAAGGCCAAGGCGGGCGGATCACCTGAGGTCAGGAGTTTGAGACCGGCCTGGCCAACATGGTGAAACCCCACCTCTATTAAAAATACAAAAAATTAGCCGGGTGTGGTGGTGGGCGCCTGTAATCCTAGCTACTTGGGAGGCTGAGGCAGGGGAATCACTTGAACCCAGGAGGCAGAGGCTGAAGTAGGCCGAGATCGTGCCACTGCACTCCAGGCTGGGGGACAGAGTGAGACTCCGTCACACAAAAAAAAAAAAAAAAAGAAAAAGAAAACGCTATTCTCTCAAGAACTCAATTATAAACTCATTAACTATTGTATCTGAGAAAAAAAGATTGTTAATTGTGTTTACAATTAAATATATAAATAAATGCATGACTAAGTAAATATTAATATATTGTTGATAACTATTAAAATACAATGGAAAAGCCTATATTACGTTAAACACAGTTAGAATCCTTTTATGTATCCAAGAAGTCTTTGCCTATGAGATTGTAAACTTTTTCTCTCAGAACCATGCTCTCATCTCCCCTCTGTCACAATTGGATTAAATGGATCTTTCCTGAGAGCTCACTGAGACACAGCCACACTTAACAGCAGCACACTGGCTGCCCCAGCAAAGGAGCAAATGACTCATAGCACCTGCTGGTTTGAACTCAACCCTTGTACTACATTAGCTCTTACGACCTCACTGGAATCCAAATCAGAAATCAGGAAAACAAACATGCAAAATATAAATAGGAATACAAGTGAGAAGTCAGAAAGAAATATAGAAATAAAAATCACAATTCTGAAGCTTCATTGTTCAAGACATTCCAACAAAACTGATAAATAAGTTTGATTTTGGAAAACCATTTCTAATAGTATATTCTAGTCATTTCACTATTAACAAATTATGGAGCTTCCCATCCTGAGATAATGGAAGAGTCAGGTTCACACCAGAAGTGAGAAAATCATGAAGATAACACCCTTTTTTTTTTTTTTTGAGACAGAGTCTCACTCTGTTGTCAGGCTGGAGTGCAGTGGTGTGATCTTGGCTCACTGCAATCTCTGCCTCCCGGGTTCAAGCAATTCCCCTGCCTCAGCCTCCTGAGTAGCTGGGACTACAGGTGCACACCACCATGCCCGGCTAATTTTTTATATTTTAGCAGAGACGAGGTTTCATCATGTTGGCCAGATGGTCTCCATCTCCTGACCTTGTGATCCGCCCACCGCAGCCTCCCAAAGTGCTGGGATTACAGGCGTGAGCCACCGTGCCCGGTGATGGCACTCTTTTTACAGTTGGCCACAGAACAGTAGGCAAGACAGCTACTAACCAACACACATCGAGGAGAAAAGACAATGATTGATGGGATCATAAGAGAAGAGAATAAAAATCTTAATTTTCAGCTGGGCACGGTGGCTCACACCTGTAATCCCTGCACTTTGGGAGGCTGAGGCAGGCAGATCACTTGAGGTCAGGAGTTCAAGACCAGCTGGCAAACAGGGTGAAACCCTGTCTCTACCAAAAATACAAAAATTAGCCAGGCATGGTGGTGTGCACCTGTAATCCCAGCTACTCGGGAGGCTAAGGCAAGACAATCACTGGAACTCAGGAGGCGGAGGTTGCAGTGAGCTGAGATCGCACCACTGAATGCCAGCCTGGTCTCAAAAAAAAAAAAAAAATCTTAATGTTCTTCATTGGCTAACTTCATATACCAAGCCTACTTTTAGAGGAAAGAGGCTGAATAATCACATACCCCTAAAGCGGTACCCCTGGAAAAAGTCAGACTTTGGGAACATAAGAAGTTGGCTTTCTTTAAAACGAAAAATGTTTCTCTGTTTCATAAACAAAAAAGGCCTGAAAGACTACTCCCAGGAAGACCATTAAAATGCTGAATTCACCTAGAACTAAAGTTAACATTTTAAAGCTGGAATTCAAAGGAAAAAAAGCACATATATAGTCTGACTTTTATAGCTTTTCCAATTCCCAATACAGGATTTTTAAAATCCTATTTGATGCAATACAATTTAACGAGATTCCAGTTGTGCTAAAAATAATTCCAAATGTTATTTTTAAAGTGCACTGAAAGGAACGGTCTATCTCAAATTCAAATATATGAACTTCACAGTAATGTAAACTGGTCATTCCAGCCTTTTCTTTTTTGAAGATTAGTCACTAGTAGTCAAAAAAAATGTTAAGGCACATTACACCTAGACTCTCTCAATTCATAGTTTCTACTTCAATAACTTAATTATAATTTATTATACATCTATAATATATAGCACATCACTGTGGCATGACATTTAAACCATACTGTTCACACTGTATAAGTGCACATAGTTATGTGTCTTCCCATACATAACCAAATATGTTTTTGGCTCTAGTTGAATATAATAATGAGAAGAGTGTCCTAATAATAGTAAAAACAAAAGAGTTGAAGCCTTAAAAAAAACCGAGCATTTTGACCAGTAGAAAAGGAACAGGAGGATATCCCACACAAAAAGATGTGAACAAAGTCAGAGAACCATAAGGCACATCTCAGGAATCTAGCACAGCAAAAGGCTCCGTTGTAAAAAGGAAAGGAGAAAAAAATAGCCTGGAAGGCTAGACTGAGTTCAACCATCAAGGGCTTTCAATACCAAAGTTCACAGATTTCAAGCTTCATTGTCCAGGCAACAGGCAACACAGGATTTTAAGCAGAGGAGTGACCATTATAAACTGGGTGCCAAATATAGCATTTCCACAGATAAGAAACTGTAAGTTTTACATAACATTTCCTTTGGCTTTGTTATTTATAAACCTTAACTATTAAAATACGGGCTGAGATGTCAACATCACAGCTATCAGCACTCAACATTTCTTTTCTCAAGACAATTAAAAATCCACATTTCCTTGTTTAGCATAAACTTTCTAGAAAGGCTCTTTGTTTTTCTGCCCCATTTTATCTAAAACAAATAGCACAAATCAGAGGAAAAGAGTCTTTTCTAACATTTGTTCAATCTAAAAGCTAAATCCAGCATGTAGGATATACTTACTTTATTGCTATACCATGATTGGCTCTCTTCTTCACTCCAGGAGGCTATTTTTGATTTGTTGGACATATAAGTAAGGAAGAAAGAGTGGGAGCAATTTCTCAGAGCCCCCAGGATACTTATTAAGTTTACTCCAACTTCCCCTTCACCTTCCCCAAATAAATTCTTCTTAATTACTATAATTATTAGTTTTGTTATATTTACAGAATTTGAAAGCTTTTTCCAGTGGTTTTTACTTAGACTGTAACTCTGTTCCCAGTGTCCAGTCTAGGTTTTCTCATTCGTTTAAAATATTTATCCAGCTACATTAACTCCCAAAAGCCTGTAAGTCCTAAAGACTACTAAAGCAGCAATTGTACCTGAAGATAACCGCAACAATACCACTGCTCATCCCTGCTCCCATGCCAACTTAAAAGCAGAAAGAATACGGAGTTCCTAGGAATATAAGAAACAGCTTGTTGCCCTGGTGCCTATACAGCTCACTCTTGAACTTCAAGTCAAAGGTAAGAAACAGAAAAAGGGGAAATAGGCTGGGCATGGTGGCTCATACCTGAAATCCCAGCACTTTGGGAGTTGGGGCGGTGAGGATCACTTAAGGCCAGGAGTTCAAGACCAGCCTGACCGACATGGTGAAACCCCATCTCTACTAAAAACACAAAAACTAGCCAGGCATAGTGGTGCGCACCTGCAGTCCCAGCTACTTGGGAGGCTGAGGCACAAGAATCACTTGAACCCAGGAGGTGGAAGTTGCAGTGAGCTGAGATCGCACCATGTCAATCCAACCCAGGCAATAGAGCAAGATACCATCTCTGAAAAAAAAAAAAAAGGAAAGAAAAAGGGGAAATAACGCGCCAACTTTCCTTCTAAGGAATTCATACATGGCTGCTTCCCTTACCCCCTCTCTTTACATTTCAAATTATCGACCCAATACAACTAGACTATATGCTCTTTAAAGTCTGGGGCCCAGGCCTAGCAATGGGCATTTTACACAGAAGGTACAGAATAATAATTTTTTGAAACAAGTATTTCTTGAATTGAGGTTTCTGCTCATCTATTATTACCACTTTTATTCCTATAATGTTAAAGTTTCTGCTATTAACATTAGTGACTTCTGTTCTTTCTTCCTGACCTCAAAGACACTACCATATCCAAGAATGAAAACTCATGACTGGAGAATTTGAACTACACAACTACTATGGTATCAACAACCGCTATAGTATCAAACTGAAGTTTAGAGAAAGCAAGTTAAGAGTCATATTCAAGAAAAATGTCTGTGGCCATTTAGAGTTTAAACCACAATTCATATACCCCACACGCTTCACTAACAAGACTAGAAAGCTTTTGGGAACACTGTAGTGAAGTATCAACAGTCTTACATAAACTTTTTTTAAACATTGAAAGCGACCAGCCTGTGAAAGCTCTTTTAGCAAATGCTAACACATTTTTCCTAGCACTACCATCTCAAACACCAAACAGCTTTATGTTGACAGCACGCAACAATGTCCAAGATTGTCCACCATTTAGACTGCTAAATGCCTGGCCTAAAAAATCATCAAAAGGGCACTATTGAGCTAAGGCAAAGGAAGCATATTAATAAATCTCTTTACTGACAAAATGTTACAGATTTGTTAAGTACATGAGAGAACTACAGCATTTAAATAATCAAAATCCTAAGCAAACATTTACTAAGATAATAATGGCAGGAGGAGGTGTGGCTCAGTTTCTGTTTACGATCTATTTACTAAAGCAGCTTAGCAACATTTATCCTAAACATACCCAGGATGCAAGTGTTGGTCATAATCCTTCTTTCCTAATAAGCATAAAGGGCCAACCCTTGGTCTCTGGGGGATATAACAGAACCATCTGGGGAAAAACAAAAGATGTCTGGGTTAGAAGGAAATATTTTCCTAAGAATGCAACAATTTTTTCCACTCTCACTTCCTTTTAGGACTAAACCTTTAGACAGGGGTACTAGGCAGCAGCAGTCAGGGCCTTACTGTCTAGTTATCTGATAATCCAAACCTTGGAGATGAAGGTAAATCTGAGCATGCAGAATGATCTGTAACAGCCCAGCTAACTTTCACTGTCACCAGCCAGATCAACTACAGAAAAGAATAAAGGCTAATGAAGCAAATCAGTCTTCCAATGGCAAAAAAAAATCCATATATCCAACGTCCATGAATACACAAATCTGTCAATAGAGGGTTTTAAACACTTAAATTGTTTATAGTAATTTACTAAGTTACTTTTGAAAAATTGTAAAGTATTAATTTGTGTTGATTTGCAAAACGAGAATATTTTTTGCATCAATGTCACTAGCCAAGAAACAAGTGTTTACAACTGTTTTAATAGAGCAATATATACTCATTGTAGAAACTAAAATTAAATACAGAAGTACATAACATGGGAAATGACAGTCTCCTATCCCATCCCCTAGAGACAACCACTATTAACACTTTAAACCCCAGTATTCTGCAATGTTCTATGATTACCAAATATTAATATCAAGGTTGAAGATCCACAAAGATATTCTATATAATTAGGCACCTTCTCCACTCCTGTACCCAACTAGTGAAACTAAAATAGTCTACAATGTCCCTGCCAAGTGTTCATCCAGCTTCTGCTTGAACAAATCTTGTGACATAGATCTGATTACCTCCCAAGGCAGTCCACTCTACCTTACAACAGCTTTATTCTAATACTGAGTGGCTAGTTACCTTCCCATTAGATCATTCTGGTTTCTCTCTTGAATATGCCTTTGTTTTTAAATGTTTACCATTAAAATAAGGTACCTAGACATGAACACAATACTTTGGGACAATCATAGTCCTCATTCTGGACACCATGCTTCTATTAATAGAGCCCAGATAATACTGTGGACTCATGATGAACATGCTGTCAAGTGAAACCCTCCAGGTATTTTTCATATTACCTGCTATTAAACCACATCACATCCATCTACAATAACACTAACTTTTTAGATCATATATGGGATTTTGCACTTATCAATGTTTAATACGTTTTAATCAATTCAGTCAATTCTTTCAGTCTGATAACTATTTTCAATCTCTAGTCTGAAAAAAAACCCAACACACTTTAACAATACAACTTATTTTCATTGCCAGTTCCAGGTCATATATGGGTTTGCAAAGCAAGTCATTAATATTCCATCCATGTCATTAATAAAAATGCTGAACACTGAAATACTACTCAGCTATCAAAAAAAAAAAATTCTGATACATGATACAACACAGACGAATTTTTTTTTTTTTTTGAGACAATCTCACTCTGTCACCCAGCCTGCACTGCGGTGGCCCGATCACAGCCCACTGAAGCCTCAACCTCCTGAGCTCAGGCAATCCAGCCTCAGCCTCCCTAGTAGCTGGGACTACGGGTATGCACCACCACACCCAGCTAATTTTTTTAAAATTATTCGTAGAGACGGGGTCACACCTGTAATGCCAATACTTTGGGAGGCTGAGGTGGGAGAATAGCTTGAGCCAGGAGTTCAAGACTAGCCTGGGCAACATAGTGAGACCTGTCTCCACAAAAAAAAAAATTTTTTTAATAGCTAGGCATGGTGTCACACGCCTTTGGTCCTAGCTACTTGGGAGGCAGAGGTGGGAGGATTGCTTGAGCCTGGGAGGTCAAGGCTGCGGTGAGCCATGATCAGGCCACCAAGCTCCAGCCTGGGTGACAGAGTGACCCTGTCTCAAAAAAACAGTGATTGTTTGTAAGGAAATTATTAAAACCTTGGTTCAATATCCAATATCTTAACTTTAAATTTTCAAATACTTCAAAACTAGTAAGTATTACTATGCCTAAAGCACAGTGCAGTCCAACGGAATATGTGAGCCACATATATAATTTTAACTAGGCCAGTAGTCACATTAATAAGAAAAAGATAAAATTAATTTTAGTAACATTTTACTTAACACAATATATAGGAAATATTATTTCAACACAAAAATAATCCAATGTATATTTTGTATTTGCAGTACATAGTAGTTTGGACTACACACACCTCAAGTCACATGTGGCCAGTGACTAAATGTCCATTTTAGATCTGAGTAAAGCAAGGAATTTCTTTCTTTCTTTTTTAGAAACAGGATCTTGCTCCATCACCCAGGCAGGAGTGCAGTGGCTCAATCATAGCTCACTGCAGCCTCAAACTCCTGGCCTCAAGGGATCCTCCTGCCTCAGCCTCCCAAAGTGCTAGAATTACAGGTGTGAGCAAACGCACCCAATCAGGAATTTCTTTTGTAGTATTCATCAGTTTTTATAGATTCTGCCTCTAGTTCTTACTTGTAATTTCCAATTAACATAATTATTATTTACTCTGAGGAGTTTTTCTTTCCTTCTTGGACCACATTCCCTTTAAAGCTTCTGTTAACAGACTCCTACTATAATTTTCTGAATTTTAAAAAATATTACTTTTAAAATAATTTTTCCAAATTTTCTCCAATAAGCATATTGTACCATCATAATAAAAAGTTAATTCTTTAAAACAAACAAACAAAAAAAGCAGGCCCAGGTTTACTTTATCTACCTTCTGTGAAATTAAACTACCAGAAAGGCTTGTCAAGACTGAGTAGATGCTGCAAGTTAAGCTATATAAGATTATCTAAATGTTCTTTAAAAAAATATATATATATATATATATATATGAAACATATATATCGGGTACCACCAACAGAGTACTCGTTATGTGCCAAGCACTGCCATAAATGCTTTTCACACATTGGTTCATTTTATATTCACAACAACCTTACAAGATTTCCCTTTTTTTAGACATGGGGGTCTGGCTGTGCTGCCCAAGCTGGACTCGAATTCCTGGGCTCAAGCAATCCTCCTGCCTCAGTACAAGATAGTTTTTGTTGTTGTTGTTTTTGAGACAGATTCTCACCCTGTCGCCCAGGCTGAAGGGCAATGGCGCGATCTCAGCTCACTGCAACCTCTGCCTCCCGGGTTCAAGTGACTCTGCTGCCTCAGTCTCCCAAGTAACTGGGATTACAGGCACGTGCCACCACACCCAGCTAATTTTTGTATCTTTAGTAGAGATGGGGTTTCACCATGTTGGCCAGGCTGGTCTTGAACTCCTGACCCCGTGATCCACCCGCCTCAGCATCCCAAAGTGCTGGGATTACAGGCGTGAGCCACTGCGCCCAGCCTCAAGATAGATTTAATCCATCCCATTTTATAGATGAAGACTGAAGTTTAGAGAGATTAATTCCCTTGTCCGAGGTCACTCAAGGAGGAAATGGAGAGTTAAAATTTGATCTGAAATTCAGTCTGGCACCAAAACCTGTGCTTTTTCCAACCCTCTCTACATTTCTTTCAGCACTATTATTTTCTTCCATTTAATATTAATCTGGCATAAATGCTCTTAGTGAAAGATTATGTTAACCTCACTAAATGTAGAAAAAACACTCAAAAGGGCCATTTTCGTCTCATGGATGCTCTTGCCTATCATTTAATCAAGGTAAGAATATATTCAATAGCTTTCATTTGCTCCTACAAAAGTTGGTACACCATAGCTACATGATCTAGTTAAACCAACTGTGAATTCTTTAAACCCAAATTCCTGGTGAGGAAAGGTAAAACAAATACATAATCAAAATGTTATGTACAAAATCTTGCAAAACTAAGCACAGGTGTTTCTTATATTCCTGATAAGGAAGTGTGCTTAAGGAGCATACCAGAAACCAAGGGCAGTTGTTTGACACACTCAGAAGTTGTAGATTACCTGCTCAATCAGATTCCCACAGGAATTCTAGAGCTTTAATTCGGTTCACCAGATCCTATCATGTTTGATCTATATTAGCAGTGCTTTATAATTTCTTTCACATATCTGTCTTTTCACATCAACAGTCTCTATCTCATTTTTTAAAGAATTATAGTTTAATCTCTTGCTGATCAGCATTTAAAATAACTGAAGGACACTGAAAAGGGCACAAAACTGCCTTCTTTGAAAAAACATTCTATGAGTTATCAAATAGATTAACTAAATGAATAGATGCCAGATTCATAATGAACTAAAAAGGAGCTTAAAAAAGGCATCCTTACTCTTAAAACAACAGAAAGACAACCCAATTTGAAAATGGGCTAAAGTGCTGAATAGGTATTTCTCCAAAGATACGCTGAACATCATTTGTCATTACAGAAAGCAAAGCAAAACCACAATGAGATGCCACTTCACATCCAGTAGGACGGCTAAAATAAAAAAGACATGAACAAGTGCTGATGAGGATACAGGGCAATTGGAACCCTCATACATTGTTAGTGGGATTAAAAAACGGTAGAGCCACTTTGAGAAATGTTAATAGTTCAGCAGTTCCTCAACAAGTTAACCATAGGATTACCCTATGTCTCAGCAATTCTACTCGAAGGTATATACCCAAGAGAAATAAAAATATTTGTCCAAATATTTGTCCAACCTGTACACAAATGTTCATAACAGCATTATTAATAGCAAAACAAAAACTCAAATGTCTATAAACTGATGAATGGATAAATGTTTATATCCATCATTATTGTTTAGCAATAACAGGAATAAAATGTCAAAACATCCTACAACACGAATGAACCCCAAAAACATTACGTAAAGTGAAAGAAATCAGTCACAAAAGGCCATGTATTATATGATTCCATTCAAATGAAATGTCCAGAAGAGGAAAATCTATAGAAATAAGAAAGATTAGTGATGGCCACAGGTGTAGAGGGGAATAGACAGTGATTGCTAAACATGGATTGTTGTTTTTTTTTTCCTGCAGTGATGGAAACATTCTGGAATCAGATATTGGTGATGGTTACAGTTGCAGAATCCTGTGACTACCTTAAAACCACTGAATTGTATACTTTAAAAGGGTGAATGTTATGTTATGCGAACTGGACCTCAATAAAGCCATTGCTTAAAAAAAGGAGATTCCTACTCTTTGACACTGAAGTTAAGGACAGCTATAGCTTTCCAATATCCATTCCTTGGGCACTCAGTGACAAGAATATCTACAATAAAATGATCTAAATCTAAACAAGTGGAGTTAATTTCTATTTTCTCACAGGCTTGATCTCTACACATCCTTAATTTATTTTTTTTCTGGCCACTTAAAAAGAATAAGGCAGCCAGGTGTGGTGGCTCACACCTATAATCCAGTGCTTTGGGAGGCTGAGGATCACTTGCGGACAATTCAAAACCAGCCTGGGCAATATAGTGAGACCACATCCCTACTAAGAAGAATTAAAAATATATATATAAACTGGGGCCAGGTACGATGGCTCACGCCTATAATCCCAACACTTTGGGAGGCCAAGGCCGGTGGATCCCTTGAGCCTAGGAGTTTGAGACTAGCCTGGACAACATGGCAAAACTCCATCTCTCTAAAAATAACAACAATTTTTTAAAAACCGACTGGCTTAAGCTGATCAGAACTCACAACTGAGGCTAGGGTCACCTTCAGAAACCATACTGTTGCTGCACAATAGGGAAAAAGCAAAACAGCTGTTGCAGAATCAACCGCTGCATGGCTTACAGTGCACTATTGCATACATAATCTTTTCTGATCTTACAAAAGAAGTATTAGAAAAATCCAAATGATATACACATGGGAAAAGGGATTTTGTCTTCTCATTTTAAAACTATGTTAAAGCTTTCTGCATATTTTGGACAAAGAGGTCATATTCAGAGACTGTTCACATGTAAGCTTTCTTAGCAAAACATCTACAGGGTGTGGTCATCAGATATTATTAAAAAGGACCAATAGGCCAGGCGTGGTGACTCACCCATGTAATCCCAGCACTTTGGGAGGCCGAGGTGGGCGGATCACCTGAGGTCAGGAGTTCGAGACCAGCCTGGGCAACATGGTGAAACCCCGTCTCTACTAAAAATATAAAAATTAGCTGGGCATGGTGGCATGTGCCTGTAATCCCAGCTACCCGGGAGGCTGAGGCAGGAGAATAGCTTGAACCCAGGAGGCGGATTGGTTCTGCATTCTAGCCTAGGTGACAGAGTGAGACTCCGTCTCAAAAAAAAAAAAAAAAAAAGAAAAAGAAAGGACCAATAGGAGAACAAAGTTTAAAAGAATGTTGAAGGCTGGGCATGGTGGCTCATGCCTGTAATCCCAGCACTTTGGGAGGTTAAGGCAAGCGGATTACTTTAGGTCAGGAGTTAGATACCAGCCTGGCCAACAGGGTAAAACCCCATCTCTACTCAAAATACAAAAAATTAGCCAGGTGTGGTGGTGAACACCTGTAGTCCCAGCTACTAGGGAGGCTGAGGCAGGAGAATTGCTTGAACTCCGGAGGCAGAGGTTAACAGTGAGCCAAGATCATGCCACTGCACTCCAGCCTGGATGACACAGCCAGACACTGTCTCGAAAAAAAAAAAAAAAAAAAAAAAGAATGCTGAAGAGAGTGAAGAGAGACACAGCAATGGTTCTCAAGCACAGGTGATATTTGGCAAAGTCTAAAGACATTTTTGGCTATCAGCTAGGGAGGGAAGTGCTACTGCACCTAGTGGGTAGAGGGGCCAGGGATGCTGCTAAACATCTTACAATGCACGAGAGAGCCTCCCAACCACAAAGAATTATCTGAAACAAAGTATCAGTCATGCCAAGGTTGAGTAACTGAGTATTACCACCTACAGTCCGGTTAGTGCATCTAAAGTCCAAATACCACTCTACAGTATGAAAGTATTAATCTATCTGTTCTACTGTGAGGAGCTGAGTTTCACAAATGAGAAAGAGTGAGCAAGAAGCAGAAACCACTTTAATCAGAGTGGTTACTGTTCTAACATTCCAAAACTGAATTTATCTCACGTGTTTGTGGGACTGGTTTCTTTTTTAAAAGGAATATAAAAAGCAGTTTTCTTTTTTTCTTTTTTGAGGCAGAGTCTTGCTCTGTCACCTAGGCTGGAGTGCAGTGATGCAATCTCGGCTCACGGCAGCCTCTGCCTCTTGGGTTCAAGTAATTCTCCTGCCTCAGCCTCCTAAGTAGCTGGGATTACAGGCACATGCCACCATGCCCGGCTAAATTTTTTTTTGTATTTTTAGTAGAGATGGCATTTCTCCCTGTTGGTCAGGCTGGTCTCGAACTCCTGACCTCAGGTGATCCACCCGCCTTGGCTTCCCAAAGTGCTGGGATTACAGGCATGAACCACCGCAGCAGGCCTAAAATACAGTTTTCTATCACTTTACTATATAATGCTATTCTTCAACAGGAAAGATCAGCGTACATTTGGGTTTAGAGCCTTTTGGTATTTTGAAGCAGTCCTGAAAGCTAGCACAATACAAGTAACTGCAACCATAATACACTGTTCCTGGATACCAAGGTTAAGAAGCAATTCTTTTCAAGGCCCACCAGATTTGGACACTAGAATAAAAACAGAAGGCTTCATCCCTCTACTCACTGGAAACATAGTCTTTCTAGTATTTATCTTTGCTAGATCCCTCATGCTATTCTCCTCCTAAACAAATATACAAATAATTTTAATCCCTCCATGGTATCCAATAGTTCATGGGGTTAACAACACAGGAATGCCTTTCTTATCCATATACATATAATTTCATCCCTACTCTCAACAAGTCATTCTCAGAGTAGGAAAGGAAATAAGCTGAGTGTCCTCAAACTATGTTAAAATAGAAACTTCTCCCCAGTGTTATCTCATACTATACTCCCCCTCACTCCCACACTCCCACCACATTAGCTATCCTGCTCTTCTTTCCTGTTGTAAGTATAAGACCATATAATATCCACGCCCTAAACCCCCACCCCCATCTCAAACCAGGGGCTTTTCACTTGTTCCCTCTACTGAAATACTCTTCACTCGTATCTTTACATGGATTTCTCCTTGTCATATATGTCTCAGCTTAAGTATCATGAACTTAGAGAAATCTTCTCTGACTACTCAAATCTAAATTAATCCTCCAATCACTCCACTGTATCAAATTTCCCATAGTTTATTAATAATCAACTAGTTAACTATTCAGTACCTTTAAACAGCCTTTCTCGTTTGGCGAATTTCTCATCCCATAAATCCTGCCTCCTCAAAATAAAAGTCAGAAATTCAGTTACCCAGTCTCTCTTGCAAACCGGAAGCAGGTAATTGACCTATATTATGCCAATAAAACACATTCACATGATATTTATTAGAAGACAAGTGATATAATGGAGACACCATGTGAAATCCATTCTAAAGAACATTTCAGAGTTATATCAGCTTTCTTTCAGAAGCAGAAATAGCAGAGGTCCTAGCAGTGGCATCTCATACTCAGCACAGACAGTTAAAAGTTCTAATACCTATTCCCAGTGGCAAAAGCAGTAGTCTCCAATGATTTGGTCCAGTGGTATAATTTGGGCATTTTTCCTGGCTAAGTAGACACCAAGACTGATTCTCTGGCATCCCTGAAGATTCTGTGAGCTATCTAATATCCTTAAAAAAAAAAAAAAAAATTCTGCTTAAATTAACTACTGGGCTTTGTCATTTCAACTAAGAGATCTGATTCATTCTTCATACATTTTTTCATCAGATTCTTACTGATATTTTCTTGTTAATTATTTATTAGCTGTCTCTCCCCACAAGAATATAAAACTTCTTAAGGACAGGGACATTATCTATCATGTTCATTCCTATAAACCCAATATGTAGCATAGTGCTTCCCATACAAGAGGCACTCAAAAAAAACTTCCTACTGCTACACAAATACATACTCGGGAACCAACACGAAGAATTCAAAGTATCAGTACTCTAGGAGTTAAGAGTGAAAAAGGATCAATGTGGTCTAGAGAAAGCAAAGAGGCTTTATGAAGGGCGATGACACTTGATTGGAGTACTGAAAAGACAGATTGTAATCAGGAATGTAGAAAAGCAGAGATGTATCTTCCAAAGGATAAAACAAATGTCTGGCACTGGGAATGAATGTAGCAGGCAGAGAGTAAAGTGGGATTAGGGAAAAGTATGTTGGGCTCGATAGGAGATATTATCAGACATGCAAGATGAGCAAGATTATGAATGGCTCTGAATGCCAGGCTTGGGGAATGTTCCATTTGATGATGTTTCAAGAACACTAATCCTCAATGAGTATTTTCATCTGTTCTTTATTCTAGATGTTATCTGCTGTGTAAAACTACAGCAGCTACCCACACGTTCTCTACAGCATTCCCTCTCTGAGCACTGGTGCTCTATATTTATCTTTTCAAGCTGAGAGACTACAAGAGGAAGAGATTCCTATAATTAATCCTCTTGCAACCAAGTGGATACCCACTTTAAAGATAAAAATCTATTGCCAAAACGGCCTTTATTTCCCAACCGCCATCCCCAAAGCCATACATTAAAATTTGTCTCAACTCAATTTACCTTCTAGTCTATTAGAATATTTTCCAGGTACTAGAGCTTTGATGAAAGACTTTTGTTTTATTTTGTACTAAGGTAACACAGTCATTCAGAAGATTATCAATTTTATAAATAGAACTCTTAAAGTCTTTTTAAGAATCCAGAAAAATCCTATAACTAACAACTATAAGAAGACTATATATTTTATGGCCTTACATGAACCAGAAGGGACCTTGGAAAGACTCTTAAGTTGGCTAAGAAAAGCAATCTGGCAGTAATTATTAAATATGGGTTGAGTATTCCTCATTGGAAATGCTTTGGACCAGAAGTGTTTCAAATACTGAATTTTGATTTTTTTTAGATTAGGAATACTCAACCTATATCATTAAATATGCATATATCATATGTACATATACTTTGAACCAGAAATCCCACTACTTATCTCATAAACGTACCTGTATATAAGGATATGTACAAGATGCTTATTACAATGTTCACAGTGACAAAAAAAAACAGGAAACAAAGTGAATGTCCACCAGTAAAATATCAGCTGAATAAACAAAAGTACAGCTGCATCAAGGAATAATCCCATATATGATGGCATATTATACGGCCATTGAATTAATGACAGAGCTGTATCAGTTGACTTAGAGGGAGCTCTACTATTTATTACTATGTGAGAAAAACAAAATACAGGAAAGAATGCAAATATGATCCAATTTTACAGAACGAACTACACACACACACACACACACACACACACACGTGTGTGTGTGTGCCTGAAGTATGTGTGTGCTGATAGACAAAAAACAAATAGGGTGGAGCCAGGTGCCACGGCCAATGCCTACGATTCTATCTACTCCAGAGGCTGAGGTGGGAGGATCCTTTGAGCCCAGGAGTTCAAGACCAGCCTGGCAATACAGCAGGATCCTATCTTAAAATATATAAATAAATAAAAACAGATAGGATAATCATTCAAGTATGAAGAAAAATATGGAAGGATATATATACGACATGGTTATCTTGGAGCAAAATGGGAAGGAGAGAGAATCAGGCAAGAAAGGAGGAAATAAATATGATTTTAGTTATATGAAAGGCAGTATGTATAAACACATAGATTAATTTTTTTTCTTTTTTTTCAGACAGTTTCGCTCTTGTTGCCTAGGCTGGAGTGCAATGGTGCAATCTTGGCTCATTGCAACCTCCACCTCCTGGGTTCAAGCAATTCTTCTGCCTCAATCTCCCAAGTAGCTGAGATTACAGGTGCCCACCACCATGCCCAGCTAATTTTTGTATTTTAGTAGAGATGGGGTTTCACCATGTTGGTCAGCTGGTCTCGAACTGACCTTAGGTGATCCACCGACCTCAGCCTCCCAAAGTGTTGGGATTATAGGCGTGAGCCACCGCACCCGGCCTACATTAATATTTTTTAAATGAAAATAGTATGAGCCAGGCACAATGGCTCATACCTGTAATCCCAACACTTTGGGAGGCCCCAGGTGGGAGGATCATTTGAAGGCAGGAGTTAGAGACCAGCTTAGGCAACATAGTGGGACTCCATCTCCATAAAAAACATTTTTAAATTAGCCAGGTGTGGGCCAGGCGCAGTGGCTCATGCCTGTAATCTCAGCACTTTGGGATGCTGAGGCAAGCGGATCACAAGGTCAGGAGATCGAGGCTATCCTGGCTAACGCGGTGAAACCCCGTCTCTACTAAAAAATACAAAAAATTAGCCAGGTGTGGTAGCAGGCACCTGCAGTCCCAGCTTCTCGGGAGGCTGAGGCAGGAGAATGGCGGGAACCCGGGAGGTGGAGCTTACAGTGAGCCGAGATCACACCACTGCACTCCAGCCTGGGTGACAGAGCGAGACTCCGTCTCAAAAAAAAAAAATTAGCCAGGTGTGGTGGCGTGTGTATGTAGACCCAGCTACTTGAAGAGGCTGAGGTGGGAGGATCCCCTGAACCCAGGAAGTCGAGGCTCAGGAGAGTAAGCCATGCTTGTGCCACTGCACTATAGCCTGGATGACAACATGAGACCTTGTTTCAAAAAAATAAAAAATAAACACAGTGTGAAAGTTATTAAAAACCAGCTAATCCAACCATCCAGATGCCCCAAAGATTCGTTTATTCAACACTAAGTGCTTATTTTGTGCAATGAACTGGGGAAAAGGCTGGCATCTCCTTCCCAATAACAAATCTAGTAACGAAGAATCCATCTATTCCAAAGGATTTCCATTCCATTTTGAAGCTGATCTAATAAGAGAAAATTCTTCCATATGCTGAGCTGCAATTTGCTTCTCCATAAAGAGAAGGAATAAATCTAATCTAACCTTCATCCACATAGCTGTCTTCAAATATGTTCAGGACTAATACTGTATTTACTTGGCAACATTTACAGGTAGTTCCCTACTTTCATATATAATACAGCCCTTTAAATGTGCCTAAGAGTTGAATGTCCAGATTCAGACTTAAAGGACTTAAAATGTTAAAAAGTGACAAACTTGTGGGGGAGGGGGTGGTGGTAGAAATGCAGTTAAAATCACAAAGGATTAGTTTCCCTAATATACAAAGAACTCCCACAAATTACAAAGAAAAAGACCAACATCTCTATGAGAGTTAAGGAACATGAGTTTTAGTTCACAGCAAAGGGAAAGACAGTACTTTTAAAAGAATCTCACTTCACTTATACGAGAAAAACATATTAAAGCTTCATTGAGATACCATTTTTTCACCAGTCAGAAAGTTTAGTACCACATTGTATTGGCAAAGATGTAAGCAGAGAGTAATTCTGATACCTTCTACTTCAAGGAATACATTCTATAAACTCATACACAAGCAATGATGAATGCACAAGGTTATTCACCATAGCAATGCAAATAACTGCAAAAGACTGGAAACAACATACATGTGTAATAGGGAATTGATTTTTTAAAAATATAGTATATCTACATAACTATATTAAAGAATCACAAGCTATTTCTTAATATTCTTGATGAGCAAATCTAGAGACAAAAGGATGGGCTTTCCAATGACCTTAGAAGAATCTGACAGTTTGTGTTAAACGTTCTCGAAGATACCATCTGAAACAGATGGACTTTTAAAGATGTTCTGAATAACATTATTAAAATTTGTGGCTGTTACTTGTGAGTGTAAAAGAACATGGTGAGGGCGGTAACCTATTCTATCTGCAGAGCAACAAACTACAAAAGTCATCAGGTGAAAACGAGGAAAGAATGTTTACCTTTAAAATCCTCAAATGTGCTACCAAAAAATATATATATTTTGAAAAGCACGTTGCAAGCACAAATACTGATACAGCCACTCTGGAATATTATGCTGCCATTAAATGTGTATGACAAGTTTGTTAAATATTTGGTATAATGCTGAGCAAAAAAAGCAAAATATAGTTACATGGGTTTTTTTCTTCTTTGAGTCATCTTCGATGGTAAGTTATATGGTTTTATGTTGTATATAAAGATGACCTATTCTTTTATCAAAGCAAGATGAATTCCATTAAAAAATGTCTAAAAGGAAATACATAAAAATGTTAACAATGGTTGTCTCTGAGTAGCACTTTTTCTTTCTTCCATTTTTCTGTACATCTCAATTTCTATGATAAAAGATTTAGTACTTTTATCATAGAAAGAAATTTTTTAAAAATGAATGATTCTGAATATGTTAGAAAAAATAAGAATCATAGCATCATATATAGAACAGAAAACTAAGTTTATTAATTTAATCTTCGTTCTGACAAATTTGCTAATTTTTAAAAACTTAGCTGCAAAAAAAAGACTAGATAATAAACATTTTCTTTTTTTCTTTTTTTTAAGACAGAATCTCGCTCTGTCGCCCAGGCTGGAGTGCAGTGGCCCAATCTCGGCTCACTGCAAGCTCCGCCTCCTGGGTTCATGCCATTCTCCTGCCTCAGCCTCCCAAGTTGCTGGGACTACAGGCACCTGCCACCACACCCAGCTAATTTTTTGTATCTTTAGTAGAGATGGGGTTTCACCATGTTAGCCAGGATGGTCTTGATCTCCTGACCTCATGATCCACCTGCCTCAGCCTCCCAAAGTGCTGGGATTACAGGCGTGAGCCACCACACCCAGCCAAAAATAAACATTTTCTGAAGATAACAGTAATAGAATAAAGGAAATTAAGCTTTGATAAGGAAAAGGGACTTTTTCTCCCATGTCCAGTAGTCTTGAGAAAAGAAATAATGCAAATTTTATTTAAAATGTCACCCAAGAAAGTAACAAAAGGCCTCATAAAAAAGAAACAGATTTTGTCTCTATTTCTTAATCATCTAACAGGAAGAAGTAGCAACTTTCAGTGCAAGCTACTCTCTTCTTTGACTTATAAATCAAACTCCCCCCAAAAATGGGTTGTCAAAGTTACCCCTGAAAAATTAATTTTTAAAAAGTAACTATAGCTATCATGTTTTCAACTCTGGTTACACTAGAATTTTGCTTGTAAAAATAGTTGCATGTTAAAAAAAAAAAAAGAAAGAAAGAAAAAAGTGCCAATAACTACAACTCAATCTTGTTACCTCACTGTAATATTAGCTATGCCTAGACTAAGTCAAGCGGGAGGTTAAAGTTCCTTAATAAAACAGAAAAGAAAAAGAAACAGCTGAGGTTAAGGGGAAAAGGTGGCATCTAGTTCATAAGAAGTCATGTACCTTTTTTTTTTTTTTTTTTTTTTTTTTTGAGATGGAGTTTCACTCTTGTTGCCCAGGCTGGAGTGCAAAGGTGCAATCTCCGCTCACTGCAATCTCTGCCTCCCGGGTTCAAGTGATTCTCCTGCCTCAGCCTCCCAAGTAGCTGGGATTTAAGTGCCCACAGCTTTTTCTAATTATAATAAACAGTATGTTATACTAATCTACACGTTAATATTTATACCAAGAATTCCCTATAAACCCAATTTATCTTCAAATAAAGTGTATAAATTCCATTGTTTCATAACTTAGCACAGATCTTCAAACCCACAATGATGTTACTGTGAGAACAATATACTATCAAATGTACACTTAACCATAAATATTGTTGCATTCCCCATAAGGAGCCTAAGTGGATAGTAATTCAAGTTGCAATTACCAATAAGAGGCCCAAACTGATTTGTTTATATGTATCACAGATATTTTCGTTTCAAACAAAATGAAATGCTTCTTTTTAAGTCTCAACAGCAAATATAACCATTATGCCCACCCA
This sequence comes from Homo sapiens, assembly GCF_000001405.40. Lineage (NCBI taxonomy): Eukaryota > Metazoa > Chordata > Mammalia > Primates > Hominidae > Homo > Homo sapiens. Next base: position 72,721,815 of record NC_000010.11, on the reverse strand, counting down.
CAGATGACATTGCCTAGAAATAGCAGTAATGCATCACTACAGCAAGGCACTAGATGACTACAAAAACACTGTAGTGTATATTAAAATCATCTCAGAACAACCAATAAAATAAAATTTTCATGCAAGGAGATCATGGAAGACCTTACTGAGAATATAATATTTCAGCAGAGACTCAAGAGGGAAAAGAAATAAGAAAACCTGTATATATTCAGGAGAAAAGCATTCTAATGATAGAAAACTGCAGTGCAAAAATCCTATGAGGTAGGTGCATGTTCAGCATGTTTGAGGAATAGCAAGGAGGTCAGTATCACAAAATGGAGTGGGCAAGAGGGAAAGTGGCAGCAGATGGGAGTCAGACGGGGAGCCAAATGTTCAACAGTGATGTGCTGAAGCCGATATTGACTGGGGAGCAGATTGCTGTACATTCTAGAACTTTGAATCAGCCAGAGTGGGAGTAATTATACCAGTAAAACAGGCAAATGCTACAAATCAGAACCTTTTCCCCCTCCAGAGAGCCAGTTTATTGTCACTACCTGTAGGCCCCTTGAAGAACTTTGTCTTTTACTGAGTGAGATCAGAAGCTACTGAATAAGTCTCCTTCTGCCTGATGTCATCATTCCCACTGCTGAATTACGACCAGAGGTAAGAAAGAACAAAAGCAGGGAGACTAATTAGAAAGCTGTTAATATAATCTAGGTGAGATACATTGTTAGCATGAACCAAAGAGCCAGTGGTGAAACAGTGAGAAGTAATCAACTCACTGTCTCACCACTGGCTCTTTCATTCAGGCTCTGGATATAAAGAACTATTCTTACTTGGATCAGTATGTAGCAACAATTACTAAGCTTCCTGTCTAGAAATCAGTATCTAACTCTAACCTAAACATGTCATTCCTGGTTCTGAATTAAGACTGTTAGTTGGATGTATAAAGTACTTCAAGAAGCTCAAATAACCAGGAGTCTTAGATGCACGTTACATATCTTCAGCTATTAAGGGTTCTATTATCATTTCAATTGATCAACATATACATTTGTTGAACATCTATTATAAGACACTGCAGAGAATACAAGTAAAATCTGTAATCCAAGCCCTTTCCTCAAGGAGGTTACAATCTGAAGTTTAAACTAAAGCATCCGTATATAAAAAGATAGATTCAACACAATGGAAGTATAAAATGTGTGGCAGGGCTAAGGAGTATTCTATAAATTGGAAAGGAGAAGGAAGAAGTCACTGAACAGATAGGACTTGAGCTGTGCCTTGAAGGATGGATAGAGTGAGATGATGAGAAAGGAACAAACGGAACAAGTCAGGGCCTAATAGTCAGTGGATCTGCAAAGTGAAAGGGCTAAGAAAAAGGTGGGAATGCACTTGGTGATTAAGGAGTAATCTATTCATGGCATTCAGGAGCATGGGGAGACAGAGGTTACAACTGGGAAGTATGCAGACATATACCTGAATTCCTAATTCCATCACTTACTAGCTTGAGCAAGTTACATAGAACCTTCCTGTCTTTATTTCTTCAGCAGTAGAAATTATAGTACCTACTTTATAGGACTGGTGCACAGAATAAATGAAATAAAATCATGTATGTATGGCATGTCACACAACCTGAAAGTTAGTAAGCAGTCACTGGTTATCAGAAACATTATTGGCCAGGCACAGTGACTCATGCCTGTAATCCCAGGCCATAGTGGAAGGATTGCTTGAGGCTAGGAGTGCAAGACCAGCTGGGCAACCTAGTGAGACCTTGTCTCTCCAAAAAAAAAAATTTAATTAGATGGGCGTAGTATTTTGCACCTGTAATCAGTCCCAGTTACTCAGGAGGCTGAAGTGGGAGGGTCACTTGAGGCCAGGAGCTCAAGACCAGCCTGTGCCACACGGCAAGACTCCCATCTCAATCAATCAACTAATCAATCAATAAAAATGATTGGGAAGTGGCAATGGTTAATGGGCACAAAATAATTAAAAGAATGAATAAGACCTAGAATTGTATAGCACAACAGGGTGACTATAGCCAATAATAATTTAATTGTATATTTTAAAATAACTAAGAGAATATAATTGTATGTTTGTAATATAAAGGATAAATGCCTGAGGTGATTTATCCTCAAGTCACTGGAAAAACCAAAAGTGACAATAAGAAAAATCACAAAAAGAGCTCTGTTTGGGAAGAAAATTCTACATTCTGGTTATGTTAAGTGATACCTTAAAGCCAAAAGAACATGTAAAATACACACACAACCAAGACTACAGCTCACTTGCTGATGTAACAATCAGTGGGAAGGAACACATACCAGCACTCGTAAACACATGAATATTCCAAATGCACAACTATTTGACCGATCATTCTTTACTGTACTAAAAGAATACCTGAACGTTTTGACTTGGTGAATCAAAACAGACCAAAAGGAAAAGATGTCCTTCTTTGGGGCATCTCAAAAACCTGGTTACAATAACAACAGATTATTAACATCAGCTACTTTATTCTTCTTATAATACAAATAAGACTAAGACTGTAACAGCTCCAGTAACATAATGGTACCTTGATAATCCTATAATTCTGACAGCATATATTCTAAGATAAAAGGTTCATTTGCTCAACTGGTTCTCTACATATCCTTTAAATGTTAACAGTGAAATGCTGTGTGTTTTCCAGAATTGCTAATACTTTTAATACTTTTTGTATATACTTTCTGAATAACATGTAAATGAAAAAGTATAAACTTGATAATTTTTTCACAAAATGAACCCACCCATGTAACCAATGCCTAAACCAAGAGACAGAACATTACTAGCACCCCAGGAGCCCCCTTCATACCCTCTGTCAAACACTTTCCCCAAACCCCCAACAAAGGTGATCAGTCTCCTGACTTCTGACACTATTGATTAGTTTTACCTGCTTTTGAATTCATATAAATGGAATCATACACTGTTAGTGTCTGGCTTCTTTTGTTCATCATATTATTTGTGAGAACCATGCATTTTTATATGTAGTTGTAACCTGTTCATTCTGATCACTGTTCAATACTCATTATGTGGTTATGTCACAAATTATATACTTATTCTACTGTTGATGGGCACTTGGAAAATTCCAGTTTGGACTATCAGTCCTGCCATGAACATTTTTGTCCAGGTCTTTTGGTGAATATAGATAGACACATAATTCTGTTTTGTATAAACCTAGAAATGGAACTCCTGAGTCATAGGGCATGCATGTGTTCAACTTTTGTAAATAACTAATGAACTTTTAAGGAATAAATATTTTTAAATCTTCATAGGGAAATATGAATGATTAATAGATTCATCAGAAGGTATGGACTCCAAAACTACTTTCAGCGGGAAAAAACTTATTGACGTAGGATAGTTGATCCACATCATTCCCAAAGGAGGCAATTTACTTTAGAATATTTTCACCAGCAATTTAGCATATGATACTTAATGACAGAAGTAACCAAATCCATCTTGTCCTTTCTGAAATTGATGATGCTAAAATTTAGAAACAATTGAAGAGCCATTACTATCAATAAGATAAAGTAACAATTTTTTTTCCCAACACCTAACAGGAGAATATAAACATTACAAGTCCAAACTTTGCCTGTTGTACTCATTTAAATAGACTCTTGGAAATTGAAAGGGACTTCAGAACTAGCCTAACCTTCAGGTGATCATATAAATGTCTCCTATTTCAACGAACATGCTAATAAAAATTCCTTTAATCCAAGAACAGAAAAAGAACACTAGGCAAAAACTAAGGGAATCTGAATACAGTATGGACTTTAGTTAATAATAATGTATCAAGATTGGTTTGTTAATTGTAACAAATGTACCAAAGTAATGTAAAATGTTAATAATAGAAGAAGGTGAGGGATATATGGGGATTCTGTGTAAGATCTTTGCCATTTTTTTGTAAATCTAAAACTGTTCAAAAATAAAATTTATTTTTAAAAGTCCAATTAAAACTCTGCAACATAATCTACAGATTGTAATACACCTGCTAAACTCCTTTCAAAACGCAATCCAGATGCACTTTTAAAGCTGTTAGACACACATACCCACACACACATACACAAATATACTTTCTATCTATGGTCTTAGATACATAGATATATGAGGAAAGCATTCTATCTATGCCAATTTTAGTTTTGCTCCTAGCTTCAAAATTATGAACAAGGCTCTAACTTCTTTTTTTATTCCATCTAAGCCAACCTTTCTGAGTATATACTATAAGCACTTAGTGACTCATTAAGAAGCAATCCCGGCTGGGCACAGTGGCTCACACCTGTAATCCCAGCACTTTGGGAGGCTGAAGCGGGTGGATCACCTGAGGTCAGGAGTTTGAGACCAGCCTGGCCAACATGGTGAAAGCCCGTCTCTACTAAAAGTACAAAAATTAAGCGGGCGTGGTGGCGGGCGCCTATAACCCAGCTACTTAGGAGGCTGAGGTAGGAGAATTGCTTGAACTCGGGAGGTAGAGGTTGCAGTGAGCCGAGATCGTGCCACTGCACTCCAGCCTGCGCGACAGAGCGAGACTGTATCTCCAAAAAAAAAAAAAGAAGCAATCCCCTAGTTATCTTCAAACAATAAAAGCATCCAAACTCCAATTAAGACCGATACTCTTAACAACCATATCTTTGTGGTTTAAATCATTGAGTCTTTGCTTTTACTTCAGGGGCAAAAAAAAAAAAAAAGAGAGAGAGAGAGAAAGGAAATAGACTGTGCACCTTTCAAATAGTAGGGAAAACAAGCATCGCCTAATATGTTGTGAGACCTAGCAAAAGGAACCCTAGGAAAGGAGGCAGGAGACCTACCCTCTGATTTCAGTAGTAGAACACTGATTTGCTCTGTGATCCTTGAATAACTCTGGTCCTCAATTTCCATTACCCTGACTGGTATTTTAACTGTAATAATTCTTCCATGAATCTGGAAGTCCTTTCTTTCTTTAAGAAACAGGGTCTTGCTCTGTCATCCAGGCTGGAGTACAATGGCGTGATCACAGCTCACTGCAGCCTCAAATTTCCTGGGCTCAAGCGATCCTTTCACCTCAGCCTCCCGAGTAGCCATAACTACAGGGGCATGCCCAACTAATTTTTTTTTTTTTTTAATGGGGCCTCACTATATTGCCCAAGCTGGTTAGGCACTCCTGGCCTCCAGCGATCCTCACACCTCGGCCTCCCAAAGTGTTCAGATTACATGTGTGAGCTACCACGCCCAGCCTATAAAACCTTTAGAGAATCCAATAATAGTAATAACATCCTACCACTGAATGAACGCCTACACCCAGTGAGAAAGCAAAAAAGAGAAAGAGAAATGAGAGTCAGTGTGAAAGACAGAGAATAAATGAATGAAAGAAAAGAAAAGATAAAGAAGCTGGACTGCCATTACAGCTTTCCATTTCAGTAACCTTGTATTAGTAATCAATCATACCACTATGCATATTGCAAATATTTACTTGCTAGTCAGCATTATGACACAGGTCTTGACTTTCCTGGTTTTCTCTTTAGAAGCCTATTTGAAAACAACTGTGGTTCTGGCAAGTTTATTTCTAAATACAATTTGAAGTTTAGTTTGCCTATAGTAGGAGTTGGCAAACTTTTTCTTAAAGGGCTAAATAATAAATAGTTTAGGCTTTATGGACCATATAGTCTCTGTTGTAACAACTAAACTCTGTCCTTATAGTGCCAGGGCAACCACAGACAATCTGTAAACAAATGGATATGTCTGTATTGTAGTAAAACTTTGTTTACAAAATCAAGCAACCATTTATGCTACAGTTTGTCAACGCCTGTTCTACAGTAACAGGGGGCAGAAAAATCAACTGGCAACATAGATTTCATAAAACCACATGAGTTCACACCAAAATAAACTGTTTTGCTTGCAGGGAGAAAATGCTTATGAATCATGATCTTCACATACCTGCGAATGTTCAAGTTTCCCCTGCGTGAACAGGTCACATCACCAATACCTAAGACAGAGCAGGAAAACACTCTCCCTTACATGGTTGTTATGACATACAGGGGATGTGTTAATTTATATAGGCAAAATTTACAAGATGACCTGCAAAAGTAAGATACCAGGTTTTAGCAACTTTAATGATAAACATAGAAACCCATACCTGATTAACCTCAACCATTACTTCTTCCATATATTAAGCCAAATTAATTAAGATAAATGCCAAGGTAATTGGCTTTCCTAGGAGAGCTGCCCTGTTTCCATGCAATCCAGTTGGTTTACACCAGCAGACAGACCCTTGGTCATCCACACCCTATTAAATTTCCAGGAGACCAGAGTAACTGTGTGAGGTAGCATAGTTCTGATTTATTGGGGTTGTTTACCAATATGGTCTAATCAGGCTAAGATCAGATATATTATCCCTTAGGGTGTACCATAGTAAAAATATTCTATTGTGCAACAGTCACCTCACTAAACTCAGCCCCATGTTAGCTACCAAGTGTTCAATAGCAGGCTGGAGCAAAGAGCCAGCCCACAAGGATCAAGCAAGTGCCTTTTTAAAAACTAATCTTAAGAAGCTCCTCTACATGGCTTTGCAAAGTAAGCAAAAACCATGCCAAATAGTAAAAAAGGCACTTACTTGACTCCCACAGGCCAGCTCCACACTCTAGCAGCTAAGATGTCACTGGCATGGTACATGGAGAGTGAGGTAGAAACGGTATCTTGCCAATCACTGTAGGAATGGTAGTGAAAGACCTAAAAGAATAGAAAAAAGTAAAGTAAATGTCAAAGGTAAAGGCCCTCTTGAGCCTGCTAATGTGGGTACCTCAGCATATAATGCCAAAGAAGAAAGAAAGTCTGAAAAGACCTTGTTTAAGTCATTCTTAGCCACTAGTTATCACAGTGACCCTTAGGACAAGAGAGCACTTTTAAAAAAAATTAGTTGTAACCTAGAATAAATCCAGATTGACCGTAAGAAACTCTAAAATACTTTTTCCAGAAACAAAGTATTAAATATTTGGGCAGGGCGCAGTGGCTCACGCCTGTAATCCCAGCACTTTGGGAGGCCAAGGGGGGGGCAGATCACCTGAAGTTGGGAATTCAAGACCAGCCTGACCAACATGGAGACACCCCGTCTCTACTAAAAATACAAAATTTGCCCAGCGTGGTGTTGCATGCCTGTAATCCCAGCTTCTTGGGAGGCTGAGGCAGGAGAATTGCTTTAACCCGGGAGGCAGAGTTTGCGGTGAGCTGAGATCATGCCATTGCACTCTAGCCTGGGCAACAGGAGGGAAACTCTGTCTCAAAAAAAATAGTAATAATAGATATTTGACAATCACATGATAAGCTCAACAGATATAAAAATTGGGAGTTAGCTGGGTGTGGTGGTGTGGGCCTATAGTCCCAACTATTCAAAATGCCAAGGGAGGAGGATTGCTTGAGCCCAGGAATTCAAGGCCAGCCTGGGCCTGGGCAACAAGCAAGACCCCATCTCTTTAAAAAAAAAAAAAAAAAAAAAAAGACCAGGGCGGGGGGAACTGAAGTAACAGCTCATAAACAAATTTTTTTAGAAATATTTTTAGATTAAACAAGAAAAAAATTGGCCAGGCGTGGTAGCTCATGCCTGTAATCCCAGCACTTTGGGAGGCCGCGGTGGGCAAATCATGAGGTCAGGAGTTCGAGACCAGCCTGGCCAACATGGTGAAACCCCATCGCTACTAAAAATACAAAAATTAGCCAGGTGTGGTAGAGCACACCTGTAATCCCAGCTACTCGGGAGGCTGAGGTAGGAGAACTGCTTGAACCAGGGATGCGGAGGTTGCAGTGAGCCAAGATCGCGCCATTGCACTCCAGGCTGGACGACAAAGCGAGACTCCAACACACACACACACACACACACACACACACACACACACACAAATGATGAAAGAGGAAAACAAATTCACCCCATCTCTGTGTGTCCGGAATATAAAAAACTGATAGAACCCTAACAAACAATGAAGAAATAAGAAACATTTTTTAAATTAAAAAAGTCTTAGGCCATCCACTAGTTTCAGGCTTTCACTAGTTTCAGAAACAAGTTTACAAAATTTAGAAACCTTGAAGTACTAAATTAAAAAAAATTCTGGTTCATTTGCCAAGCCACACAAACTCTTTGGTTTAGAGGTTCTGTTTGAAAATGATTGGAAATCATTCCAAAACAAGAAAAATACAAAAGGCCCTTTCACATACCACTATCTCCTCTCCCCATACCTATACTTTTCACGGTAAAATAATTTGTGAAAATTACTACAGAAGTATAATTTGTGTAGTTAGCAAGAAAACCAGCACTAGCGAGGCGGGCAGATCACCTGAGGTCAGGAGTTCAAGACCAGCCTGGCCAACATGGTGAAGTCCCATCTCTACTAAAAATACTAAAACTAGCCGGGCCTGGTGGCAGGCACCTGTAATCCCAGCTACTCGGGAGGCTGAGGCAGGAGAATCACTTGAACCTGGGAGGTGGAGGTTGCAGTGAGCCGAGATTGCGCCACTGCATTCCAGCCTAGAGAACAAGAGTGAGACTTCGTCTCAAAAACAAAACAAAACAAAAAAAACTCTCCCATTACTGGAGGTTCATTCCTGAGGCACTGGAATCTATCAAATAAAAAAGGCAAAAGTATTTTTTCATTCTAATTAAGTTTTAGCCAAAAGACTATTATACCACCCCTAATTAAAATATGCTTAAAATTGGTCACCATTTGTAACAATCTTCAAATTGTACAGATCTCAAATAATTTAATGAGAATGGAAGATTCACTGTTAATAGCATATCTGGCCAGACTTATATCTTGGGTGCCTAACTAACATTTTAATTTTGGCTTGTGTTTGCTTGCCGTAGCGACAGTCCCTGGAAACCATCCAATTTATTAGTGTTTCCCTTGCTGCCTCAGCATTTCTGGTTAATGCACTACAGCAAATCATTTGGAGGGACAACCTGAATGAAGCTCTGCCCTGTGTACTCTGCAAAAATGTTCAAACCATTATCAAGAGTGTTGGAAATGAAAGACAACAGCATGAAATTGAGAAGATAAAATTTTATCAGAGATTGTCTTTTTAAAACAATGACTTCAAAGTAAGAATATACATTGACTAATATGTACAGAATTATTATTAAAACAAATATTTATTTCACACCAACTACCTGTCTCAAAAAGTATGTCCCCTCATTTCTAGACCTTACTTTTCTTTTGCTTGCCCCATAAAACCACGACACAATTCAAGAACAGCCTTTTTACCATAAAAGGCGCATCTCCTTTTACAAAATAAAGCAGATAGTACCCAAATTGCAGATAATTCCAAACACACAGAAAAGAAACAATGAATTAATGCCAACAAATTTCCACCCACAGCTTGTCTGCACTTGAAATATCTGAGAATTTTAGTAACCCAGGCTTTTGTTGCAGCAGCTCAATCCCCCACGAGCTCACTGTTTTGTGGCAGATGCTGCTCTGTATCTTGTACAAGACATGTTCATCTATGTAATAAAACATTCTTCTTCTCTGCCTTCTCTCAGGAAGTACAAAGGATTTTCCCAGGAATATGATAAACGAGGACATTCCACACCAAAAAAGGAAAACTGGTTTTGAAAGTCAAAACAGCATTCCTAGTCTAACTTTAAAAATGACATAATAAATTCCTTTTTCCTGTCCCCCAGAATATTCAGCAAAAAGTCTGTCAGTTAACAGAGGTTTAAATATATGAAATAGAGACAGAAACGCCAAAGTAGTTAAAAATGAATGAACCAGAACCACATGTATCAACTAAATAAGTTTTTTTTTGTTTTTTGGGTTTTTTTTTTTAAGAAACACAGTCTTGGGCAGGGTGCGGTGGCTCATGCCTGTAATCCCAACACTTTGGGGGGCCAAGGCAGGCGGATCACGAGGTCAGGAGATCGAGACCATCCTGGCTAACACGGTGAAACCCTGTCTCTACTAAAAAATACAGAAAATTAGCTGGGAGTGGTGGTGGGCGCCTGTAGTCCCAGCTACTCGGGAGGCAGAGGCAGGAGAATGACGTGAACCCGGGAGATGGAGCTTACAGTGAATGGAGATTGTGCCACTGCACTCCAGCCTGGGGGACAGAGTGAGACTCTGTCTCAAAAAAAAAAAAAAAAAAAAAGAAACACAGTCTTGCTCTATCCCCAGGCTGGAGTGCAATGGCCCAATTATAGCTCAGTGTAACCTCAAACTACTGGCCTCAAGCAATCCTCCCACCTCAGCCTCCCAAAGTGCTGGTATTATAAGTATGAGCCACTGTGCTGGCCTAATTTTTTTTTTTTTAAGTATTAAGAGGGAAAAAAAAAAAAAGGCCAGGCGTAGTGGCTCATGCCTGTAATCACAGCACTTTGGAAGGCCGAGGCAGGCAGATCACTTGAGGTCAGGAGTTCAAGACTAGCCTGGCCAACATGGCAAAACCTCATGTCTACTGAAAATACAAAAATTAGTTGGGTGTGGTGGCACACGCCTATGGTCCCAGCTACTCAGGAGGCTGAGGCAGGAGAATCACTTGAACCCAGGAAGTGGAGATCGCAGCGAGCCGAGATCGCACCACTGCACTCCAGCCTGGTTGACAAAGGGAGACTCCATTCCAAAAAAAAAAAAAAAAAGATTTGCAGAAGGATACATACAGTGTAATACTTTTTTTTTTTTTGAGACAGAGTTTCGCTCTTGTTGCCAGGTAGAGTGCAATGGCATGATCTCGGCTCACTGCAACCTCTGCCTCCCAGGTTCAAGCAATTATCCTGCCTCAGCCTCCCAAGTAGCTGGGATTACAGGCGCCCACCACCATGCCCAGCTAATTTTTGTATTTTTAGTAGAGACAGGGGTTTCATGATGTTGGCCAGGCTGGTCTTGAACTCCTGATCTCAGGTGATCTACCTGCCTTGGCCTCCCAAAGCGCTGGGATTACAGGCATGAGCCACTGCGCCCGGCCAGTTTAATACCTTTTAAATAAGGTTTTAAAACATTCTTACAAAACTATATAAGATAGGTGTAGATAAAGGATAAACACACTCATGGGATGGTAAACATCAAATTTAAGAGAATGTTACTTTTGGGAGAGAGGTCTAAGGAATGGTACTTGGGGGCAGCAATTATAATCATAATGTTCAATTTCTCAAGCTAAAGGTTGTATATTATATTATTCTACTTTTTATAGACATGACATACTTCACAATTTAAAAATAAAAGATTTTTGTCCTTGTATGTCTGATTGAACATAATGTAATTTCCTTATAAAGGACCACTCCACCTCCACCAAAAAAAAAAAAAAAAAAAAAAAAAAACCTTAGGTGATGGAATGGCCTTTCCAAGTGAGCTCCTTTGACAGCATTCCCATCAGTAGTTTACCTTCTGCCTTTTCTTCCACTAGTGCTATGACTGTCTAATGCTGGCTGTGATGTGACCTTCGGATCCATAACTCAGGGTCTCAGATTGTCTCTACTTTTCATCTTACAAAGAACACCCATTTTAGGCAAGAAATCTATTATAGTTTCCTTTCATTTTCTACTTTCTCATGTTAAAAGCTCTAGAATCATTAAAAAGAAAGCCATTAACCAGGCGCTATAGCTCACACCTGTAATCTCAGCACTTTGGGAGGCTGAGGGGGGCAGATCACGAGGTCAGGAGATCAAGACCATCCTGGCCAACATGGTGAAACCCCATCTCTACTAAAAAGTACAAAAAATTAGCCGGGCATGGTGGCATGTGCCTGTAGTCCCAGCTACTCAGGAGGCTGAGGCAGGAGAATTGCTTGAACCAGGGAGGCAGAGGTTGCAGTGACCTGAGATCGCACCACTGCACTCCAGCCTGGGCGACAGATCGAGACTTCATCTCAAAAACAAAACAAAACAGAAAGCCATTATGTATTTAAAGTTCACCCAACTTTGTGGCAGTTGGCCACACTAAGAACTTGAATTCATTCTGAATCGAACACCAATGCAGGATGAGACATTAAACTTAAAGAAAGCACTGACTGGAGTTCAGCTGTCCATTAAGTAAATGAATATTCCAAAATTCTGTAATATGTTACACTAAAATCCTGTTTTACTATCTCAACTGTGCTTAGGCAGCATTTTAACGTTTAAGTCACAGCTGAAAATAAAAAGAAAACAAGATTTCATTTTCTTTGGGGTTAAAACAAGAAAATAAATAAACAAAACCAAACTATTGACATCTATATCTATATCTAGTCAGATACTCACACAAAGTATACCCTAGGGGTCCCCTCAAAAAAGAAAAAAAAACACCAGAAAATCCATTTTTCCTGTCTATTCAGCAGTGTCTAGCACCAGCATTCACAGATCAGGAAAAAGGGAGAAAGAGAGAGAAACTAACAGATCAAGAAAGACATAACCTGGTATTCTTCTGTTTCCAAAAAATGTAATTCCATCAAAAGCAAATGAAAAACCTTCAATCTTCTCATTAGATTTTTACTATTTGTTCCATTCTACTCAATCTATCTTTAAATACTTCTTTAAAGTATTCTGACATCTGTATTGTTTTAAAATGAAAAATAGGTTTTTATCACACTTGGCCACTTGCCACAGCCCTGCTTCACGGCAGCTATCAGAATTCTGGCAGTGCAAAATACAGGATACAGTGGGGACAGAATGGAAATACACAAGACTAGTTCCAAAATAAACACTTCCAAAAATCTGCCTTCTTTGGAAATATATATATACAGAAAGAATCTACAGTTGGCAGCACCTCTTTGAAATAGTTCCTTTCTCTCTTCTGCAGTGTCCAGCATGGCCCATACCCCCACCAATCATGCCAGGTAGATGCCACTGTATCAATTTCTTAAATTTTTTTTTTTTAGAGATAGGGTATTTCACTCTGTCACCCAGGCTGGAGTACAGTGGTACAATCAAAGCTTACTGCAGCCTAGGCTCAAGTGATCCTCCTGCCTCAGCCTCCCAAAGTGCTGGGATTACAAACGTGAGCCACTGAGCCTGGCCTCAAATTACTTTTAACATAATAGCTTTACAATCTTTTTCATTACTATTTTTACTGAGCATTTTATTTAGTCCTGCTTGTTTCAGCACAATCGAAACTGTTTTAAGAGTATTAGCTGCTTCATGAATCAAAGAGAAGTCATTCCTTCTTGACATTCCCATAATTCCCATCACTGTAGTATCTGGGCACAGAGAACAAGATGATCTACAGCTGTGTTACCCACAGGGGAGAAGGATTTAGACAATAGTTGCCAGGACTATTTGACTCTCATTCACCCAACATGGACTGAATGTCTATGTTACTGACACTATACTAGGCTCAGTTCACAGAGCTGGAAGAATTTAAGGGCCACTATGCCTATTGACTCCTGCAGGCAACTAATCACTTAAGGTTTTCACACCTAGGATTCCTATAGTGTTACTACAAAATAAAACATTTTCTGCTTCAGGCTGGCAAGGTACAACTCAGAATTAATAAATTACTAGTACAGTCCCATCTTACTTCAATACTCTGACCTTAACTGCTTTCTTCCTTCTCTCAACTCTCCAACTCTCTGGGCTTTCCACATCTTCACCTCTTCCTCCACTCCCTTCGGCAATTTGGATTAGAGAAAAGAAAACAAAGGTGAAAGATGAGACTAAAGGCATAATGAACTGTTTAAGGGGAATACAAGGTAAATTGTTCATGAAGATGTCAGAAATAATTATGAAAACTGTCTTAAAGAGGAACTTGAAGGCTGTTTTTCTTCATTTCAAGCTCTTGGCCCTTGTGAGAATAAGCAAATACACAATACCTGAGTTTATGATTTTACACAAGCCATCTAATGAAATAACATAATTACTTGTAAAGTACTGTATAAAAATACAACATGTTTTATAATTTTAAAAGTTTTTTTTTGAACTGAACGTGGTGGTACGTGCCTGTAGTCACAGCTACTGAAGAAGGTGAGGCAGGAGGATCACTTTAGCCCAGGAGTTCAAGACCAGTCTGGACAACATAGTGAGACCCCCACCTCAGAAAAATAAATAAAATAAAAATTAAAAGCCCTTTAGGTTCACCTAATCAAGCATCCTTATTTAACTGACAAAAATATTAAGACCAAAGGGGTTAAGTCACTTGTCCAAGATCAAACAGCAAGTTAACGGAACAAAGAGGAACAGATCCAGTTCCTATTATACCACTTGGCACCAAATTCTCTTCAATTACTTTTGTTTTGGTGGGAAACACACACACACACACACACACACACACACACACACACACACCACTCACCACGACCACCTCTTCATTTATTTAACTATCTCAGAAAACTAATAATAAAAATATTCTGTGATGGTACAGCAATCCTTGGCTCCCATAACATTTCAAAAGGCGAGTCAGGTGCAGTGGCGCATGCCTGCAATCCCAGACTTTGGGAGGCCGAGGCGGGTGAATCACTTGAGGTCAGGAGTGCAAAACCAGCCTGGCCAAAAAGGTGAAACCCCGACTCTATTAAAAATGCAAAAATTAGCCAGGCATGGTGATGCGCACCTATAATCCCAGCTACTCGGGAGGCTGAGGCAGGAGAATTGCTAGAAATCAGGAGGCAGAGGTTGCAGTGAGCCAAGATCACACCACTGACCTCCAGCATGGGTGACATAGCAAGACTCTCTCTCAAAAAAAAAAAAAAAAAAGATTTCAAAATGCTCACCAACAGCATTACAAATATAATCTCTCTTCTGGTAGAGAAGATATTGCAGTCCGCCCAGGTGTGGTGGCTCACACCTGTAATCCCAGCACTTTGGGAGGCTGAAGCAGATGGATCATGTAAGGTCAGGAGTTCAAGACCAGCCTGGCCAACATGGTGAAACCCCATCTCTACTAAAAATACAAAAATTAGCCAGGCGTGGTGGCATGTGCCTGTAGTCCCAGCTACTCGGGAGGCTGAGGCAGGAGAATCACTTGAACCCAGGAGATGGAGGTTTCAGTGAGCTGAGACTGTGCCACTGCACTCCAGCCTGGGCGACAGAGTGAGACTGTCTCAAAAAAAAAAAAAAAGGCCGGGTGCGGTGGTTTACGTCTATAATCCCAGCACTTTGGGAGGCCAAGGCGGGCAGATCGTGAGGTCAACAGATCGAGACCATTCTGGCCAACATGGTGAAACCCCGTCTCTACTACAAGTACAAAAATTAGCTGGATGTGGTGGCGCACGCCTGTAGTCCCAGCTACTCGGGAGGCTGAGGAGGAGAATCGCTTGAACCCAGGAAGTGGAGGTTGCAGTAAGCCGAGATCACGCCACTGCACTCCAGCCTGGCGACAGAGCGAGACTCCGTCTCAAAAAAAAAAAAAAGAGAAGATACTGTAATGTCTCTAAAAAATTTCATAGTTACCAAAGAAATAAATACCGACACTTTTGTACTGTAATAACTGGAAAACCAAAGAATGTGTGTTGTCTAAAGCAATCTAGTAAGATACCTAGTCAATAAAAATGCTATAATCACTCCAAATAATTTGTTTTCAGTTATATATTGTTATACCTTCTGAGTCACTAGAGCAGCAGAAGCAGTAGGAATCTCATATATCTATATTTCTAATGTACAGGGGAAGGCTGCTACAATTTTACTACGAAAAGGTTTCATGCTTAGTAATGGCTACTTAAAAAAAAAAAAAAGATAAGACCATCATACAATGCTCAATAGTCCCTAAAGGAAATCAAAACAAGTTAAGGCCATTAGAAAGCTCTTTATCAACTTATATATTATTATAAAAATGAAAAATTAAAGAGAATAAAGTCAAAGAAAATTACTCAAAAGCATTCTTCTAATTAACAAACATAAAATTCAGTTATAGCACAAAGCTTCAGAGAATACAATAAACATATAATAAACAGAATATACCCCCTTTTTTTTTGAGAGAGAGTCTTGCTCTGTTGCCCAGGCTGGAGTGTTGTGGTTTGATCTCGGCTCACTGCAACCTCTGCCTCCCAGGTTCAAGTGAGATACTCCTGCCTCAGCCTCCCAAGTAGCTGGAATTACAGGCGTGTGCACCCACACCCGACTAATTTTTTTTTTTTTGAGACGGAGTTTTTGCTCTTACAGACCAGGCTGGAGTGCAATGGCTCAATCTCAGCTCACTGCAACCTTCACCTCTGGGTTCAAATGATTCTCCTGCCTCAGCCCCCCAAGTAGCTGGGATTACAGGCTTGTGCCACCACACCCAGCTAATTTTTGTATTTTTAGTAGAGATGGGGTTTCTCCATGTTGGTCAGGCTGGTCTCGAACTCCCGACTTTAGGTGATCCGCCCGCCTCAGCCTCCCAAAGTGCTGGGATTACAGGCATGAGCCACTGAGCCCAGTCTTTTTTTTGTATTTTTAGTAGAGACAGGGTTTTACCATGTTTTCCAGGCTGGTCTCGAACTCCTGACCTCAAGTGATCCACCCACCTCAGCCTCCCAAAGTGCTGGGATTACAGGCTTGAGCCACAGCGCCCAACCCAGAATATATCCTTTCAACAAATATTTTCATAATGCTACACAAATTGTTCAAATTCTATGGAACAGAGTAGGGGAAGCAGGCACAAGAAAATAAGGTAGCCATCTGATTTTTGATATATAAATTTTAAAATAAAAAAATTTTTTTGCATGGCACATGTATACCTATATAACAAACCTGCACATGCTGCACACATATCCCAGAACTTAAAGTAAGATTTTTTAAAAAAAATTTGTTTTGGCCAGGCACAGTACCTCACATCTGTAATCCCAGCACTTTGGGAGGCCAAAGCAGGAGGATCACTAGAAGCTGGGAGTTTGAGACCAGCCTGGGCAACATAGCAAGACCCTCACCTCTACAAAAAATTTTAAAATTATGCAGGTGGCTGGGGGCGGTGGCTCATGCTTGTAATCCCAGCACTTTGGGAGGCCGAGGCGGGCGGATTATGAGGTCAGGAGTTCAAGATCAGCCTGGCCAACATGGTGAAACCCTATCTCCACTAAAAATACAAAAATTAGCTGGGCATGGTGGCACATCCATGTAATCCCAGCTACTCGGGAGGCTGAGGTAGGAGAACTGCTTGAACCAGAACCCAGGAGGTGGAGGTTGCAGTGAGTCGAGATCGCGCCACTGCACTCCAGCCTGGGCTACAGAGCGAGACTCCGTCTCAAAAAAAAAAAAAAAAAAAAAAAAAAAATTATCCAGGCATGACAGTGCATGCCTGTAGTCCCAGTTACTTGGGATGCTGAGGCAGGAGGATCCCTTCAGCTCAGGAGTTCGAGGCTACAGTGATTTATAATGGTGCCATGAACTCCGGCCTGGGTGACAGAGGAAGACCTTGTCTCTAGGAAAGTTTTAATTTAATTTAAAAAATAAAAAAAAAATCACAAATTTTAAATCAGGTCAAAATTTAAAATTTTAGCAGGTCAGTACAGTTTTAAATACAAAATTAGAGGCATAGAAAAAAAGCATATTTAACATGATTGTAAAAAGGAACACTCAGCAAAGGTTAAGAAATAAAGTTTCAGTGCCTGAGTAATAAAGTCAAACAGACCGTGAATTGAATGGCCTTTCTACTGGTAGTAAGTGATAATCTACATTCAATCACCAAGTTCTATCAGTTCTACTTCTTAAATCTCTCTTCTCTCTTCCCTTTTCTCTATCTACAACGCTACTGTCCTAGTCAGGCATCTTTTCCTTGGTCCAGTGAGATGCTCCTTACTGGTCTTTCTACCTCTCTGGTCCCATCCTTTCCACCCGGCCTTCATACTGCTGCCAGCGTTACCTACCTGATCACCTGATTCTCCCACTTGAAATTCTTCAGAGGCTCATCTATAGACAAGCAGTATTTTTTCAAACTATGGCTTAAGATGTAAAATCAATTTAGGTCTCAACTAATATTTCTTTAACAAAACAGAATGGAAACTATATAAAATACATAGTAAAAAATATTATTTCATGAAACTTTTTTTTAGTTGTTTTTTGTTGTTGTTGTTGTTGTTGTTGTTGTTTTGAGACAGAGTCTTGCTGTCGCCCAGACTGGAATGCAGTGATCTCTGCTCACTGCAGCCTCTGCCTCCTGGGTTCAAGCAATTCTCACGTCTCAGCCTCTGGAGTAGCTGGGATTATAGGTGTATGCCACCATGCTAGGCTAATTTTTGTATTAGGTTGGTTTCACCATGTTGCCCAGGCTGGTCTCAAACTCCTGGCCTCAAGTGATCTGCCTGCCTCCACCTCCCAAAGTGCTGGGATTACAGGTGTGAGCCACCATGCCCAGCCACTTTTCTTTAGTTTTATGTGTGTACAATGCACACACATAACTGGGTTACAGTGTAAAATGTACTTCTACTGTGGGCTGAGTTAAAAACAAAACATAAAAACACTGACCTACAGAACAAAATTTCAATTTCTTCAGAAGTCCCTTCATAGTCTGATCCCTCACCACAGAAACAGTGGTTAAGAGACAGGATCTGAAGCCACTGTTTGGGGGTTTATATGCTAGGTGTGACATCTGCTAGCTGTGTGATCATGGTTAAGTCATTTACTGTGTGTCACTTAACAGCTGTGACTCTGGGCAAATCATTTAACTCAGTGGGTAACTTAGTTTCACTATCTATAAAATGAGGATAAAAACAGTACCTGGGTCATAGTGTATCACAAGAATTAAATGAGATAATCTATGTAAAATTCTTGGCACATGATATACTTGAAAAATATTATCATTGGTATAACTACTATTGTCCAGCCTAATCTCCAGCTATTCTTGCGCATACTCCAGTTGTAACAAACCAGTGGCTGCTTCTCAAATACATCTTACTCCCTCATGAGGTCATGTCAGATTGGTGCTGCCCAGAATGCTGACCACACTTTTCCAGTCACATTATATTTCCAAATGTTTGCTTTTTTTTTTTTTTTCTTTTTTTGAGACACAGTTTCGTTCTTGTTGTCCAGGCTGGGGTGCAATGGCACCATGTCAGCTCACTGCAACCTCTGCCTCCCGGTTCAAGTGATTCTCCTGCCTCAGCCTCCTGAGTAGCTGGGATTACAGGCGCACACCACCACACCCAGCTAATTTTTGTATTTTTTTAGTAGGGATGGGGTTTCACCATGTTGGCCAGGCTGGTCTTGAGCTCCTGACCTCAGGTGATCCACTCGCCTCAGCCTCCCAAAGCGTTGGGATTACAGGCGTAGCCACTGCACCTGGCCCCAAATGTTTCCTCTTAAGCAAGACCTCTTCTGTGAAGCCTTCCTCAGCTCTCACAGGTAGGTCCCAAGTGCTCCCGCTGAACATTCTTTAGAAAAAAAAGAAGCACAGCCATTTATAGTCTGTTTGTACAATGTCTCCTGGCCAGACTGTGAACTCTTTTAGGACCACCACAAAGGCATCTCTCTCTCCAATGCCCTGGGCAGTGCCTCACAAAATGCAGGAGTTCCACAGATATTTTCTGAATGTCTCCAGGTTACCAAACCCTTCTAAGTCTTCATTTTCCATCTGTACAATGGGAATAGTATTTTGCCAGAAGGACTGTTGTAGAGTACACTAGAGAATGTTATAAAAGTATCTGGTATAGAAGCAACTCAGTAATTACCAGGTTTACTGGATGGGACTTATTTTTTTCTTTTTCTTCTTCTTTTTTTTTTCTTTTTTTTTGAGACAGAGTTTTGCTCTGTCGCCCAGGCTGGAGTGCAGTGGTGCGATCTCGGGTCACTGCAACCTCTGCCTCCTGGGTTCCAGCAATTCTCCTGCCTCGGCCTCCCAAGTGGCTGGAATTATGGCGCCCCCCTCCCCCCCAACCATGACTGGCTAATTTTTTTTGTATTTTTAATAGAGATGGGGTTTCACTATGTTGGTCAGGCTGGTCCTGAACTCCTGACCTCAGGTGATTCCCCCATCTCAGTATCCCAAAAGGCTGGGATTACAGGCATGAGCCACAGCGCCCGGCTGGGTGGGACATTTTAGAAATCCAAACTAAATTAGGAATATCTCCAAGAAGCACATATCTTAGACCTCTAACAGCTAACACCGGGAGGGGAGGGTGAGGAAAGAAATTTAAGAAATGTAGTCAGTGGGGGCCGGGCACGGTGGATCACGCCTGTAATCCCAGCATTTTGGGAGGCCGAGGCAGGAAGATCATGAGGTCAGGAGATCGAGACCATCCTGGCTAACATGGTGAAACCCCATCTCTACTAAGAAGAAAATACAAAAAATTAGCCGGGCGTGGTGGTGTGTACCTGTAGTCCCAGCTACTCGGGAGGATGAGGCAGGAGAATGACTTGAACCTGGGAGGCGGAGCTTGCAGTGAGCCGAGATCGCACCACTGCACTCCAGCCTGGGCGACAGAGTAAGACTCCGTCTCAAAACAACAAGAAATGTAGTCAGTAGGAAGGATGTCGAGATCTCTTGAAGGAAAACAGCAGCAGATACTTGAGGAAGAACATGCTAAAGGAGCAGAAAGGAAAAGGAAGGATGACCCACACTGACACCCAGAACAGTACAGTTCTCACTCTAGCCAGACTCAGGCTTAAATCCAAAACATGCGTCCTGCCTTTCAGTGCATCCCTAGCACTAAACCAGTTTATGACACTTAAATCTATAAAACTGGGTTAATACCTCTCATAGGGTTATAGTAAAAATTAAATGAAGTAACAATGTCCTCAGGTCTTAGATGGTTTCTTCTATATCTATTCCTCTATCTATAGAAACCAAGTGGTTCAAGCTAACCTATATGCTCTCTTATTATCTGACAATTTATCAGTCATACTAACTTTCTCTGAACTAAAGTTTAAAGCAGATATTAATACAGTGCTCTTAAACATCCTCTTACATTACTTATCATAGAAAAGAGGTACAAAGTAGGCGTGTCTCAGCAGACAAAAAAGAAGTTTAAATGATATTGATACCTACAAGGCAGTACACTTCAGGACTGTACATTTCTAACTGTCGTCTACACAGTCTCAAACACCTAATGGACTCCTCAGTAGTTTTCTGATGATTATTACAAACACTCCCTAAACAATAAAGTGGAAAATAAATAGCAAGAAAAAATACATAAAAACTGAAAACTTCAGGAACAAAGCATAAAAATTAATACCCACTCTTCTGGATTAATAAATAGTATTAACATCATTAAAGAACCTTTGGAAAAGGCTCATATCTTTGAGATGTCAAAATGCGATGTCATATCATCAAATTATTCCAGAACTGCATTAGAAAAAGTTCCACCTTTAGCATGCTTTAGACCCAATTGGTGAAAAAATTTATGAAGTTATATTTTTATCAATATAAAAGATTCAAGTGTGTACACAGTTTTTGGACCAATAATTCACTAAACTTATTAAAATTAATTTGCTTGAAGCCAACTTTCATTTTTACACAAGCTAACTGCAAGCATTTAACAAAGTGCAGTGAAATAAATGCATTGTTTTCCTTTTGTGTTCAACCTACAGAGGAAAGGTTTTTTAACAGTTATTATCAAGCTTAATCTAAATTAGAGAGTAATTATTCAAGACTGACTTTGACGTTAGGTACTTTAAGAATTTGGCCGGGCACAGTGGCTCACGCCTTGTAATCCCAACACTTTCCAAGGCTGAAGTGGGGGGATCACCTGAGGCCAGGAGTTCAAGACCAGCCTGGCCAACATGGCGAAATCCTGTCTCCAATAAAAATACAAAAAATTAGCCCAGCATGGTGGCAGGTGCCTGTAATCCCCGCTACTCAGGAGGCTGAGACAGGAGAATCGCTTGAACTCTGGGGGCAGAGGCTGTAGTGAGCCGAGATCACACCATTGCACTCCAGCCTGGGCAACAACAGCGAAACTCCATCTCAAAAAAAAAAAAAAAAAATTTGACCCCAATCCACTTTTTAGAACCACTCTCAGCTTAAGTGTTTTAAATGAAACAAAGAATTGTGTAATTTAGTAGGAAAAGAATTGAATAGGAAAATGAGAAGATGCGTGACCCATTTCCAGTTCTGTATTAAGATGCTGAGCTACTAAGAAAAAAACCATTTCGGCCGGGCGCAGTGGCTCACACCTGTAACCCCAGTACTTTGGGAGGCCAAGACACGCAGATCATCTGAGGTCAGTAGTTCGAGACCAGCCTAACCAACATGGCAAAACCCCATCTCTACTAAAAATACAAAAATCGGCAGGGGGCGGTGGCGCACACCTGTAGTCCCAGCCACTCAGGAGGCTGGGGCAGCAGAATCACTTGAACCCAGGAGACAGAGACTGCAGAGAGCAGAGATAGCGCCACTGCACTCCAGCATGGACGACAGCGTGACTCCATCTCAATAAAAAAAAAAAAAAAAGCCATTTCACCACTCATACTCTTGTTTCCTCAATATAAGGTCTTACTGAACTCTAATCACTAAGGTTCTTTTTTTTCCCTTTTTCCGGGACGGAGTGTTGCTCTGTCACCCAGGCTGGAGTGCAGTGGCATGATCTCGGCTCACTGCAACCTCCGTCTCCCGGATTCAAGCAATTCTCCTGCCTCAGCCTCCCGAGTAGTTGGGATTACAGGCGCGCACCACCACACCCAGCTAATTTTTTTGTATTTTTAGTAGAGACGGGGTTTCACCATATTAGTCAGGCTGGTCTCGAACTCCTGACCTCATGATCCGCCCGCCTCGGCCTCCCAAAGTGCTGGGATTACAGGCATGAGCCACTACGGCTGGCAAACGTTTAAGATTCTTTAAAGTGCACAACTTCCACAGTAACATCTTAGTTTTCCTAACATGTTATCCTAGTAATTCTAATATATCCATGAGCCATGGTATGGCATTAATCAAAGAATAAAGAGTCCGGGCACGGTGGCTCACCCTATAATCCCAGTACTTTGGGAGGCCAAGGCAGGAGGACTGCTTGAGCCGAGGAGTTCAAGACCAACATGGGCAACATAGTGAGACTTCATCTCTACAAAAAATTTAAAAATTAGCCCAGTGTGGTGGATTGTGCCTGTAGTCCTAGCTATTCAAAAGGCTGAGGTCGGAGGATCACTTAAGCCCAGGAGTTCAAGGCTGCGGTGAGCCATGATCAGACTACTATACTTCAGCCTGGGCAACAGAGTAAGACCTCGTCTCAAAAAAAAAGAATAAAGGGCTGAGCATGGTGGCTCACGCCTGTAATACCAGCACTTTGGGAGGCTGAGGCAGGCCGATCACCTGAGGTCAGGAGCTCAAGACCAGCCTGGCCAACATGGTGAGACACCATCACTACTAACAATACAAAAATTGGCTGGGCGTGGTGGCGCGTGCCTTTAGCCCCATCTACTCGGGAGGCTAAGGCAGAAGAATTGCTTGAACCCGAGAGGCGGAGGTTGCAGTGAGCCAAGATTGCGCCACTGCACTCCAGCCTGGGCGACAGAGTAAGACTCTGTGAGGCTATCAGCCTTTGAATCCTCTATTCTAACAGCTATCCTGAGATATTAAAAGGTAATCTTGACCTTAATCACAGGAAAACAAACAGTAATTTTTAAGAAAATCTATAGGGATGCAAAGCTAAAACATAAGAAGAAATAAAAACATCCTAGCAGTTGATAGCAAATCATTTTTTGTTTTAGGGCTACCTCATGTTTGAAGTTGAAATAAAAGAGCATTTCATTGATAACATCATCTGAATGATTTCCTACCAATGTATTGCCTTTGACTTAAACCACTCTTGATGCTGTATTTTCTATTTAGATTTCATGTTAAAGAAAAGAATTACATGAAGCATAAAGAAAAGCCACTTGGGACTTAGAAAAGTTCAAATAATCAGAATTTTAAGATATCCAAGTTCATTTATTCAGATATTTTATGAGTTTTAAAATAAGCATGATTTTGTGCTGGATGTGGTAGCTCATGCCTGTAATCCCAACACTCTGGGAGGCTAAAGTGAGAGGATCTATTGAAGCCAGGAGTTAAGAAACCAGCTTGGGCAACATAGCAAGACTGTTTCTCCAAAAAAAAAAAAAATTCTTTTTATGAGCTAGGCATGGTGACACATCACATGCCTATATACCCAGCTACTCAAGAGGCTGAAGTGGGAGGACTGCTTAAGCCCAGGAGTTGAGGGTTCCAGCAAGCTATGACCACACCACTGCACTGTAGCCTGGTTAAGAGAACAAGACTGTCTCTCAAAACAATAAAAAATAAAAAGAATGGTTGCTTCCTTAAAAATAAAAGAAGTCAGCCAGGCACAGTGGCTCACACCTGTAATCCCAGCACTTTGGGAGGCCGAGGTGGGTGGATCACGAGGTCAGGAGTTCAAGACTAGCCTGTCCAACATGGTGAAACCCCGTCTCTACTAAAAATACAAAAACATTAGCCGGGCGTGGTGGTGCACACCTGTAATCCCAGCTACTTGGGAGGCTGAGGCAGGAGAATCGCTTGAACCAGGGAGACGGAGGTTGCAGTGAACCGAGATTACACCACTGCACTCCAGCCTGGGCAACAGAGCGAGAATCTGTCTCAAAAAAAAAAAAAAAAAAAAAAAAATAGAAGTCTGGCCTGGGTGCAGTGGCTCATGCCTGTAATCTCAGTATTTTGGGAGGCCGAGGCAGGTGGGTTACCCGAGGCCAGGAGTTCGAGACCAGCTTGGCCAACATGGCGAAACCCAGTCTCTACAAAAAATACAAAAATTAGCCAGGCATGGTGGCACACGCCTATATGCCCAGCTACTTGGGAGGCTGAGACAGGAAAATCACTTGAACCCAGGAGGTGGAAGTTGCAGTGAGCCGAGATCACGCCACTGCACTCCAGCCTGGGCAACAGAGCAACACTCCATCTAAAATAAATACATAAATAAATAGAAGAAGTCTGTTCTTAAACATATTTATCCAGAACTCTCAAAATCTTAATATAGAATAAACCAACAAATGTGGAATCTGATTCAAACATATACTTGTAATAATCTGGGTAATTATTATACTTTTGCTGGCTATTGTCAGAAAGCTAATGACCACTGCTGAGCTAATCCAATGGTACCAACTCTTTCCATCAATCCACCATAAAGAAGTGTAATATACAACCAAAGACAGCACTGGCAATACTAAGCTTAAAGGAATTCTCCAAATGTGGCTACCTAAGGAAGGCTATTAAGCAAGCCAAACTGGGGGTAGGGGGATAGGGAGAGGAGATAAAGGGCATATCTTTTCCCTAGCAAGCAGAAAAAGGGGTGCATAGCTAACTAATGCTTGTCTGAGTGTCACCTATGTACCCAGCATTGTGCTAGAGTCTATGAGCCACAAAGGTAATAAGATACACATCATTGCTTTATCTCCCCAGTTAAGATTAGATGCCCACAAATAAAACATTTAGAAATCATGTCGGTGTCAATTTGTGTCCTAAAGATAATAAATCCCATCAGAATTCAGAGAGGACAGAAGACAACAATAGAAAAGGGTTAAGAGCCAGGAATTACACAAATCAAGATTCAAACTAGGAAATGTTTTTTTCTCTACACATTTAGAGAAACTTTTCTAGTAACGAATTATAGAAATTATCCCTGAAAGTATCATCTTCACGCTAGGAATTATTGAATCTGTCTCCATTTAAAGGAATTTTAGGCCAGATCTTCACACTAGGAATTCTTGAATCCATCTCCATTTAAAGGAATTTTTGGCCAGACGTAGTGGCTTACGTATATAATACTAGCTCTTTGGGAAGATGAGTCCAGGAGTTCAAGACCAGCCTGGTAGAAATACCCTGTCTCTACCAAAAAAAAAAAAAAAAAAAAATTTTTTTTTTTTTTTTTTTTTTTTGAGTCGGAGTTTCGCTCTTTCGCCCAGGCTGGAGTGCAGTGGCATGATCTTGGCTCACTACAACCTCCGCCTTCTAGTTTCAAGTGATTCTCCTGCCTCAGCCTCCCGAGTAGCTGGGACTACAGGCGCCTGCCACCATGCCCAGCTAATTTTTGTCTTTTTAGTAGAGACGAGGTTTCACCATGTTGGCCAGGCTGGTCTCCAACTCCTGACCCCCTGATCTGCCCGCCTCAGCCTCCCTAGTTGCTGGGATTACAGGTGTGAGCCACCGCACCCAGCCAAAAAAATTTTTTTAATTAGCTGGGCATGGTGGTGCACATTACTTGGGGAGGCCGAGGTGGGAGGAGAGCTTGAGCCCAGGAGTTCAAGATTGCAGTGAGCTGTGACAGTGTCAATGAACTCCAGCCTGGGTGACAAAGCAAGACCTTGTATCAAAAAAAAAAAAAAAAGTAAAGGAATTTTAATCCTTGGTCTGTTCATAACCACAAACATAACTTAACAAGTGACTTTCCTCAGTTTATTAGGTTTCCTCATGTGTAAAGTGCGAATGTTAGATTCAAAAGGAATTGTACATCACAGTCTGTAACCTGAAATGAACCTTAAAGGCTAGAGGAGTGATTAGGGGTGATAAAGGCTGAAATTCAGCTACAAAAAATCCATAAAGGTTTAGTATGAATGTATGGGACAGTGCAGAGACTAGCTTAAGTACAACAGAGTATTTGTGCTGGGATGAATCTGGCATAATAAGATTGGGCCAGACTATGAGGAACTCAATTAAAGAGTTAGGACCTGCCTCTGTGTCAGGCAGTGTAACCTGTTAAAACTTTCAGGTTAAGCTGAAACAATGTCATTGCCAAAAGAACTGTGATGTGTAAAGTAGAGCAAGTCAGCCACAAACTGTAACAGGACAATGACAGACTTAAGTAAAAGATGTAGTAATTCAGCATAGCCGTTAACTGCTAGAAAATGCCAACAGTGGGGCTGTCATAATCAGAGACGAAATAGTTTGTTTTAGCAATGGAATTACACAGCTCACAATGAAAGGCAGTTCCTCTTCGAAGAATCATACTTAAAAATAGCAGCCACCTTCACTAACCATACAGAAAAGCAGGCAACAAACATTTTACATCAGTTTTGGTTACAGTCACAAGCCGGAGAGAAGGAAAAAAATTACACTAGATGGTGCTAAAAATATTGAATAAGCCCCTGTACCTTTACTCTTATTTACTCAGTTGAATGACATACTAATGGAGAAGGGGGAAGAGACAAACTAAGTTTATAACTTCATAATTGCACTTACCAACTAGCTGAGCTACTGTATTGCTTTGGACTCATTCTCGAAACTTGGAAAAGATGAATTTCTCACTTAAAAAATTAGGCAGTGCTGTAACTGGTTATGCCCCCCTGGTTGTAATTTACCATACCATACAGCGGAACAAAAGTGGCACAAACTGGACTTGTGATCCATTCCAATGCAGACTGCCATCTGCTGCACATACACAGGATGTCTCCCAAGCAAGATTCAACCTTAGTGTCTCTCAGGGACCTTTACCAGAACATCTATTCTTTCTGGTAAGTTGTTTGCTCCCATATTCACCTAATATATGTACTCAAATCAACACCTACTTACAGGAGAATTCCCATTCATGGGGTTTTGAAATAGCAATACTTTCATAATGGACAATAGTAAATTTTATAAGGGAGGAGAGAGATGTAAAGGAGCATTTGCACTTTACAATGAAAAGAACACAATAAGAGGTGAGAATATCTCAGATGAGTGGGAGTCCTAAAACTTACGTATTAGCTAACGTAACCTTGGCCAAGTCTCTCTCTTTTTAGGGCCTCAATATCTTTTAAATGGAATTTCTTGTAAAGAATCACAGACTATCCTATGGAAACAGCTGTATACATGATGGCTTCAGAAGAATTGTAGAAAAATAAAATGTTTATACACTTTAAATAATCAGGTTCAATTTTTTTCAAAATCTTACAATTCTAAATTCATGTACAAGTCACCATTCCCATAACATTCCTGCCCTTTAGAAATAACACTTCGTTTTAATTGTGCTTTCAGTTACAAATTCAGCACTTCATTTTTACCCACCCTAGAATAGCACAGAGAACACCTTCGTGAAGTATCCCCACAAGGGAGACACTCACAGCCTGACAAATTTGCATAGTGGAAAATATACAAGGCACAAATTTTTTAAAATGCTAAATGAATATCACACCCAAACAGTCTTAAAAACTGTGCAAAGTCAGAAGATGTCTTATCAAAATATGGACTTAAGGACAACTTGGGAAGCCTTTAAGTAGTTCGACGGAAAGGGGAATGCAATCAAAATTTGGGGTGGCCTTATGTTTTTAAGAGAACAAAACACATAACTAGAGGCTATGAAACATGCAAATTAAATTGAACTGTGGAAAAGCTCTTGGCTGTCACCCAAAAGCTTCAGCAAAGCAATATGCCAGTATGCCAAATAAAAAGAGGTACAATCTTCTCACAAGAATGAGGATAGGGTCCATACCTATGACTAATAATAACAATACAACCTTGCTTTTGCAGAGCATTAGGTCTTTTCATAGATCTTTCAGGCACTCGATTTTGATGCTGTCATTGGCCTTAGGAGTATCCTCTCCGAAGAGCTCCAGTTCAGTTTCCTCTTAAGAGTTATGATCAGAACAAGGCAGGCGATGTGTTTATTGAGGGTTGAAGGTACTATTGTAGTTTCTCCTATCAAGCTGTTTGCAGTGATCCTCCAATAATCACACTATACAACTCAGCCCCAGCAAATAAAACCTACATTCTTTCCCTCAGAGCTGGCCAGAGACCAACACATATAGGTCTAGAAAGTCCAAGGGAAGGAAACCTCCTGACTTGTTAGGTTAAGAACTCCATGCCAAATTCATCTCTTGCAATTGAAAAAAGAAATCTCTCTCACACTCTGTCTCTCTCTCTCTCACACACACACACACACACACACACACTCACCCAAGAGTGTTCAAACAGAAATCCTCTTTTTCTGCCAGCCAATGAAACCCAGCAACAACTGGTTAATACAACCACCAAATCTCTGCCTCTGTCAACAACTTACCATATTCGCTTCTCCTGTGCCTGCTGACCACCCTTCCCGCTTCAGGCACGCGTGAACACGCTTATACAGTAGCCCTCGAAAGGACCCCCAAAAGCACCTTTAAGGACCCAAGAGGATGAAGCTTGCCTCCTGAAGCAATGCAGCATCCATCTCGAGGGAGCCGGTTCCCCATGCACACACACAGAGGAAGTCACAGAGGGGAATAAAGTTTGATTTTCCTTCCTGCCCGACCCCTCGGGGACGAGAGAGGACGAGGGGCGGCCCCGCCGGGGTCCTGGGCTGCTCTCCGGGGCAGCTCCCAGCAGCATGGCACTGCCACTCTCCTGGCACACACAAGGCGGCCGCGGCAACTCAGAACTCCCCAACCCGCCCGGAGGAGGAGGGAAAGGGGACAACTTCCATCTGGCTCCGTTCAGGGAGCCTTGGGGCAGGGCTGTTAAGAACGAAGAAGGGAGGGAACGCGATTGGGGGCGAGTCGGGGAGAGGTTCAAGTCCCGTGCCTTCCCCGCCCTGGTGTCCCCAGTCCTGCGGGAACATCCCCGCCGTCGCCCCTCCTCCTCCTCTCGGCTTCCTCCCGCCCGCCCTCCCTTCCTGGTCGCCGCCGCAGGCGCCTGAAGGGCACGGCGGCTCCTCGGTGCCCGGCAACCTCCGGAGCGGCCGGGAGTTGAGGTAACTCGCCTGCTGCCCCGGCGGCCTGCCCGCCGGCGGCTCCCACACGCCAGCGCCGCCCCGCCCTCCCCGGAGCCTCCGGGCGCGCTCGCTCACCGTCCGGTGGTGCTGCTGCTGCCGGTGGCGGCTGACGCCCAGCCCAGGGAAGCAGCCGGCAGTCAGCGCCCCGCAGCCGCCGGCGCCCCCGCCGCCGCCGCCCCGAGAGGAGAGGAGCAGCAGGAGCGATCTACCTGCGGCGGCCGCCATCTCTCAACTGGAAACGGCGCCGACCCAGGCAGCGCAGCGGACGGCCAGGGCGGAGCTAAGACCCGCCACTCACCGACGCCGGGCCAACTAAAGCCCTTGACTGAGTTGATGAGGCGGGGCTTCCTGCAAGGTCCAATCGACAGGCGGGAGAACCACACTGGAAGCTGCCAGTCCCTTCCAGAGTTACCTATAGTGGGACATAGTCAATTACGGGCAAATTCTAGGGAACCCATAATTGACACCCAAACCCGTGAAAATAACAGCAATAGAGATGGCATGTTCAGTTCGGCTAATCTTCACCAACAATAGAGCTATGATAAGAGTAACGGGGGATATAGATATTTGTGAAAAGCTTTGTTCGAAGTTGAGTTCTAAGTGAGTGTTCTAAGTTGGCAAAATAGGCACCAAATTAATAACCATTAACGGTGTATGCTGTAACTCTCAACTACACGCCTAGAATTATCATTCATAACTGATAATATTTAGATATGCTGAAATTAACTCTACATCACGGAGTGATCTAATGACTGTGATGCGTAGCATAATATAGGAGAGGTAGAACGATTACAATATCAAAGTCCCAGAATGAGTACATGCCTTCAGAGTGAATTAACTGACGTGTATACATCTCAAATACCCAATTCATTTTTACAGCACCTTTATACGGATATTCTCACACTCTCCAGAAACAGCACTATTTTATCATATTTGACTTTGTGTGCATTTACAGAAACAGAACACATTAATAACGTAATAAAAAATCATGTAAGGCCGGGCGCGGTGGCTCACGCCTGTAATCCCAGCACTTTGGGAGGCAGAGGCGGGCGGATCACGAGGTCAGGAGATCGAGACCATCCTGGCTAACACGGTGAAACCCCATCTGTACTAAAAATACAAAAAATTAGCCAGGCGTGGTGGCGGGCGCTTATAGTCCCAGCTATTCCGGAGGCTGAGGCAGGAGAATGGTGTGAACCCGGGAGACGGAGCTTGCAGTGAACCGAGATCGGGCCATTGCACTCCAGCCTGGGCGACACAGCAAGACTCCATCTCAAAAAAAAAAAAAAAAATTCATGTAAAAGGCTATTTTAATGATGCTTCATAATTTTGCCGAAATAGTTATCAGAATACGCTTTGGAATAACAAACACTTTCTCTTGAAAAACACTTCTTTCCACTTAAACTCACAATGAGGGCTCCTTGAATACTGCCTAAGAAAGATTTTGGGTCCTGAATTTCCTTAGAAGAGTATTTCCTTGCTAGCTGTTTATTATTATGAGCTGATTAAATTCTCACACCTCTTTTTAAAATCTGGAGCAGGAAAATAGTTTGGGAAGCAAATACAAGCATTATTTTAAATTTTGGAAAACATCTTTGTAGTGTAGCCTTAGATGATAAATTTAAAACAAAAACAAAACACACACATAAATACGAAGAAAATGTTATCACTTATTCTAAGAATATTCTTTAAAGTTTGACTGAAATGGTACCTTCTTGGCCAAGAATAGCTAAAAAATGACGTGGAAGTTTTTTGTTTGTTTAATCCTTATGCCCCACCTACACCAAAACAGTGAGATGATTGGCTTCTCCGGGGTAGATATCATGTCACTCACTCAAAAGGCTTTATTGCCCAACAGGTGGAACTTGAGACCTCAAGAATGAGCCCCCATTCAACAGCTGCACACAGTAATCCCCCTAGTTGGAAATCCATGACATTCCTGGAACAATTTCCCTTACAATTATTTTCCACCCATCTATATTTATCCCAACTGCATTTGATGTATTTACCCATGCTGTGCCATTTTCTCTCTCACCCCTTCATGCCTTCTTACAGAGATCACCATGGATTTTAGTTTTGTTTTTATTTTCTGTGCTGTCACCAGATCTAGCTATGAATCAGGATTGCTCCATTTCCACTTTCCACTTTAAGAAATTTTACTAGAATTGCCTTTACTCTATTTTTCCAAGCATGAAAATTAGATGTGCATCCTGCAGTGAGATTTACTCATATGCATTAGCAAAAGAACTAAGTAAATAATACTTTTAAGTGCACAAACATGAAATGGGCAGTATTAGCAAAAGTTTTCATCCTACCTATTTACCAAAATGTGTCATCTTTTATCTACTAAGATGAAACCACTGATGCACCAGAGAGAGATAGGCTGTATAAATCTGAGGATTCACTGACTATACTCAGTTCTGGGTGTTGATAATCCAAGGCCGGCAATTAATTTAAACAAATATCAATTATCTCCTCACAGAGAAAAACTTCTTCATAGCTGCAAAGGACATATCTCATATGAGCTGGTTGGCCAAGCCTGATAAGGAGAAAGTGTAGATAGCTCAACAGAAAGTTCTTCTCAAACCTAAAAAAAAGTATGTGTGTGTGTGCCTGTATATACACACACATTATATAGAGAGAGAAGGAAAGGGAATTAACATACCTGCTATGTGCCAGAGATTGTGCTGATCACTCCAGAGATACTACATTTAAAAAGGAGGGCAAGACAACCACAGAAAACTTTTAAAAATTGTAACTTTCATGAGAAAGAAGTTGAAGAAAACCTCAATGTCTTCCAATAGGGAAATGGTTAAATACATTAGACACTAACTTTGTAACAGAAAATTATTCAACCATTAAAAAATTGAGGGCCAAGCACAGTGGCTCATATCTGTAATCCCAGCTCTTTGAGAGACTGAGGCAGGAGGATCATTTGAGACCACATATTTGAGACT
Organism: Homo sapiens; assembly: GCF_000001405.40. Taxonomy (NCBI): domain Eukaryota; kingdom Metazoa; phylum Chordata; class Mammalia; order Primates; family Hominidae; genus Homo; species Homo sapiens. Next base: position 72,689,419 of record NC_000010.11, on the reverse strand, counting down.
TGCCTGGGCAACACAGCGAGACCCTATCTCTAAAAATATATATTTTTTAATTAGTTGGGTGTGGTGGTGCACGCCTGTAGTCCCAGCTACTCAGGAGGCTGAGGCAGGAGGCTTGCTTGGGCCCAGGAAATTTGAGGTTATGGTGAGCTATGATCATGGCACTGCACTCTAGCCTGGGTGAGAGAGCGAGACTCTCTCTCTTAAAAAAAAATTATTCTATCTATACTTTTTTATTATATAATATATATATTTTTATTTATATATGTGTATATATATATTTTTTTGAGACGAAGTCTCACTCTATCGCCCAGGCTGGAGGGCAGTGGCACGATTTTGGCTCACTGCAAGCTTTGTCTCCTGGGTTCAGAGGCGATCCTCTCGCCTCAGCCTCCTGAGTAGCTGGGAATACAGGTGTTGCACCACCACGCCCAGCTAATTTTTGTATTTTTGGTAGAGATGGGGGTTTCACCACGTTGGCCAGGCTGGTCTTGAACTCCTGACCTCAAGTGATTCTCCCACCTCAGCCTCCCAAAATGCTTGGATTACAGGTGCTATCTATACATTTAAATAATATAGATAACACAGTATAGATGACCCTTTTTAAAGTAATTTATATATATGTATAACTTAGATAGATGGTAATTTCCAGAAGAAAACATGTTACCTCTGGGAAGTTTTAAGGGGTAGCTATTCTTCTGAATGGTTTAAAGTATTCTCATCTGCTTGAATTTAAGATGTATATGTATACACATCTTACAATTTATATATATATGAAAAGTAAATTGTTCTCACCTGCATATTACTTTGTAATTTTAAAAACATGGTCACTAAAACCAACATGGCTGCAGAATTGTTTTCTGTGCCAACTCTTAAGCACAGGTTGATCTTTTTTTTTTTTTTTTTTTTTTAAGCTAAAACTAATCAGAACAGGCTTCCTGGAGCAAGAAACCTTAACTAGGTTCTCTACTATCTTTTTTTTTTTTTTAAGCTAAAACTAATCAGAACAGGCTTCCTGGAGCATGAAACCTTAACTGGGTTCTCTACTAAAATGTACACTGACGTCAGCTCTCAAGTATGACTCAACTCAGTGGAGTATTTGCCTAAACATTCCAGAATAGCTAGGGTAGGTGATGCACACGGTTCATTGACATGATCAGGAAAGCATAAAAGGAATCTGCCCAGAGATCTAGGGGCTGCATTTCATTGTTTACTGATAATACGAATTATTATTCAAGTGAAATCAACAGTATTTAACAGGAAAAGGTATACGAAGAGGAAAGCCAAAAGGAAAGGGTTTCGCCTTCCAATATTTATCACGAACCACAGCCTAGACCTGTTTGCTGGCTATGCTTTACTGTTTTTCCAGATGTTTTTATTCCCATTTCTCCTCATATATCCACCTGCAGTCATCTCTTCATCACTACCACGCCTGTTCCCATGACTTCCTAGTTTCTGTGATGATTTCTGTCTTTTTTCTGTCAGCTCCTCTGGATCATAAATATTTCTAGTCAGTGTAGTTGAGAAGGGTTCTACTCTTAAACTGCAGGACATATATTTTTCTGTCTATATCTATATTTATTTTCACTTCACACACACACACACACACACACACACACACACAATTTTTCCTTCCTCATTTTTCTCTTTTTTCTTCCTCCAACACTCCCATTTCCCTTACTCTAATATAGATTTCGACCCTACTCTAAATCAGAGATACCAGCCTGGGCAACATGGCAAGACCCTAGCTCTACAAAAAAATTAGCCAGGTGTGGTGATGCGTGTCAGTACTCTCAGCTACTGAGGAGGCTGAGGTGAGAGGATCCCTTAAACCCAGGAGTTGGAGGCTTCAGTAAGCTATGATAGGGCCACTGATAGGGCCTGGATGACAGAGTAAGATTATGTCTCAAAAAAGTGAATAAATAAAAATACTAAGTCAGAGATAGATTTATATATTCCCTGTAAAATGTTTTGTGTGGAAGGAGGCTCATGTCCTGGTCTCCAAAGGATGACAGACTCCACATTCATTTTATAACTTAGTGGCCTTATAATCTAACATTGTTTTAGGTCAGGAACATCCAATCTGCAAGTTTTTCTGTCTAGAGCAGAACTCCAGGAAAACATTGAGTTGAGAAGGGCAGGGCTTGTTCAAATAGGATTATCTTTGTTCGTGTTTCTCGGAATCTGAGAGGCTGGCAGCATACTTTAAAGCTGTCCTTTTTGTGTTCCGTTGACGTGTGGTCTCCCGTAATCTTCTGCTTACTAGACTTCTTGATATAGGAAGTCTTTTGTCTCTATCAGAAGTGATTTAAGGGGTGGGACACTAATTTTACACTTAAATAAACCACACCTCCTAAGTGAATAAGAATTCGGCTCACATTCTTATGGGACCCAACACCATCCATTCCAGAGCATTTAAAAGGGCCAAAAGATCACAACTTTCTCTAATAGGGTTGAACTACAAAAAAATCCCAAACTGGTAAAGTGGCTCCTCTCTCAGCAATCCCCTGCCCAGATATCTTTTTTTTTTTTTTGAGATGGAGTCTCACTCTGTGGTCCAGGCTGGAGTACAGTGGTGTGATCTCGGCTCACTGCAACCTCTGCCTCCTGGGTTCAAGTGATTCTCCTGCTTCAGCCTCCCGAGTAGCTGAGATTACAGGCATGTGCCACCACACCCGGCTAATTTTGTATTTTTAGTAGAGACAGGGTTTGTCCATGTGATTCACCCGCCTCAGCCTCCCAAAGTGCTAGGATTACAGGCATGAGCCACCGCACCCGGCCTCCTGCCCAGATATCTACTCTCCGTACCCTGAACATGCCCTGACACTTCCAACCTCCACTCTTTGCTCCTACTCTCCCTGTAGCCACCTGTCCTACTGTTCTTTTGAATACCAGCTTGGTCGCATCTGAGGGTAAATGTCCCAGTAAAATTAAACTCTCCCTCTTGCATCTTCTCATAATTTGTTGTTTGACTTTCTATCTCAGTATCTCGGTCCTGGATCTGAGCTGATCTGACTGGGAGGTCTGTCATAGGCCTTGATTATCACATCTACTTAATTAGGCTATTTTGACTGGCTGGGCCACAGTTCCCTTCTTTCACCATTCTATGTATATTTCATATCAAAATTGTTTATGTTACTATCTTTCTCCTACAGAGCTCTTCCAGGTTAGAGGTGCCAATCTGGCAAATTAATTGAAGCTAACTTTAGATGATGTCAGTTAGATTGCCTCCTTAGATTGCCTCTTTTATACAACACTTATATTTATAGGAGCTTCCAATGCTGATATCTTAAAAGAATTTCACAAAGTATGGCAAGTCTAAAAAAATTATTTTGGTCCCTTAAAAGTCTTCAAAAATTCATCAAATACTGAGCCATATTAGTCTGCCTTCTTCAAGGTCCCATACATCTTTATATCATGCCGGGTTTTGTCCAAATTTCAGCTCCTCTTAAACTAAACTAATATATTTTCAAAATGCTATTTTTGGGGCTGGATGCAGTGGCTCACACCTGTAATCCCAGCATGTTGGGAGGCCAAGCTGGGAGGATCATTTGAGCCCGGGAGTTTGAGACCAGCCTGGGAGCAACATAGTGAGACTCTATCTCTACAAAAAAATTTTAAAATTAGCCTGGTGTGGTGGCATATGTCTGTAGTCCCAGCTGCTTGGGAGGCTGAAGTGGGAGTATCACTTGAGCCCAGGAAGCTGAGGCTGCAGTGAGCCATGATCATACCACTGCATTCCAGCCTTGGTGACATAGGAGGACTCCATCCCTAAAAAAAAAAAGAAAAGAAAAGAAAAGAAAAAGCTATATTCGTTCTCAATTTTGATATAATGTATATAATCTTCATCAGTACTTATTTACACATGAACACATAGAATCTGGGCTATGGATTGTACTTGGTGGCAGGCAGGGCGTGGAGGAAACTGTAGGCGTGAGATTGGTCATTGCCGGTTAACAACAGGTGCAAACGCTGCTCTTTAAATTTAGCCATTGCACTTGGCATCTTGTCTCTCAGTCGTCACTTACAGCAACTGCTGCTGATTTGGAAAGGATCAAGGAAAGGATGACAGAAAGGGTCACATTTATTAAAAGGCAGAGAGAAAAAGTTTTGTTCTCTTTTATTTAATAAAAACTAACCTAAGGAATGAAAAATAGTAAAAGACTTGGAGAGCATAAAGATAGCTTAAAAAATAGAAGAGGGAGGCCAGGCATGGTGGCTCATGCCTGTAATCCCAGCACTTTTGGTGGCCGAGGTGGGCGGATCACCTGAGGTCAGGACTTCAAGACCGGCCTGGCTAACATGGTGAAACACCCTTTCTACTAAAAATACAAAAAATAAGTGGGCATGATGGTGTGCGCCTATAATCCCAGGTACTCTGGAGGCTGAGGCAGGAGAATAGCTTGAACCTGGGAGCTGGAGGTTGCAGTGAGCCAAGATCACACCATTGCACTCCATCTTGGGCAACAAGAGCAAAACTCTGTCTCAAAAAAAAAAAAAAAAAAAGAATAGAAGGGGGAAGGAAATTATTCAGAGATAATTATTAACAAATTGTTCTTAATTAGGCACTTTAAAAGCCATTCCAGCTGCCAAAATTGGGAGCAAAAGCATCTAAAAGCATTGGTTGAAGCTCAGAAAATAATTATTATTAATTCAGAGTTGGGATAAGAGTAGGCGACAAGACCTGGATTGATATAATTTACTAATTCATTCGTTGTCAGTCAGTCAAGAAAAATATATTGAATAGTAGGTGCCAGGCAACATATGTGAGGAGAAATTTTCCAAAATTTGCATTCCCTATATTGTGTATTTCTTTTTCTGAAATATTTATCTAACTACCATAACCCTGACCTTGAAATGGAATAAATCCTTCCCATAACTTTGTAGTCCAACATTTACACATCACTCCAAAGAATGAAAGATCCCTTGAGTAATCTCAGAACATTAACATAACATGAATTTAAAACATACCACCAATGTAATAATCACCCCACTCAATGACTTTATTAAGAAAACATGAAGAGGCCAGGCATAGTGGCTCACACCTGTAATGACAGCACTTTGGAAGGCCAAGGCGGGTGAATCACCTGAGGTCAGGGGTTTGAGACCAGCCTGACCAATATGGCGAAACCCTGCCTCTACTAAAAATACAAAAATCAGCCAGGTGTGATGGCATGCACCTGTAGTCCCAGCTACTCAGGAGGCTGAGACAGGAGAACTGTTTGAACCGAGGAGGCAGAGGTTGCAGTGAGCCGAGATCGCGCCACTGCACTCCAGCCTGGGTGACAGAGCGAGACTCCGGAAAGAAAAAAAAAAGAAGACATGAGGAATAGCCAGGTACAGTGGCACACCTATAATCCCAGCCACTGGGGAAGCTGAGGCAAAGGCAGGAGGATCACTGGAGCCCAGAAGTTCGAGACTAGCCTGGGCATCATAGTGAGGCCCTGCCTCCATTAAAAAAAAAAAGACACAAAGAAATTGTAATTTTTTTCCTGTCAATGCATAGTAGAGTACAATTCTATTTAAATAGTTTTAAGCTACTTCATTGCCTAGGGTAAAAACTAAATTTCTGTCTCAGGGAATTATAAGATGACATTGTGTTACTTTCTTCATGCCTTGCTTTGCTAAGATATATATATATTAGGTTGAAACAGGGCCCTTTGGGTTACTCACTATCGAGGAAATAACTAAACTAATAAGCTTGTTAAAATTTAAGCTGGCCAGGCTCAGTGGCTTACGCCTATAATCCCAGCACTTTGGGAGGCCGAGGCGGGCAGATCACCAGGTCAGGAGATCGAGACCATCCTGGCTAACACGGTGAAACCCCGTCTCTACTAAAAATACAAAAAATTAGTCGGGCGTGGTGGCAGGCACCTGTAGTCCCAGCTACTCGGGAGGCTGAGGCGGGAGAATGGCATGAACCTGGGAGGTGGAGCTTGCAGTGAGCCGAAATTGTACCACTGCACTCCAGCCTGGGCTACAGAGCGAGACTCTGTCTCAAAAAAAATAAAATAAAATAAAAAATTTAAGCTGAGTTTTCAGCATCTATAAATTCTACTACTTTAGGACCCTGAAGCAATTATGCCTATTATTTATTTGATAAAAATATTTTGTTTATTGCCAAGAAGAGAAAGTTTTCACATAATACCACTAGATGATTAACCCAAGACATGTGAAAGGTCCTTACTCAGAATGCCAAGTTAATTTCGAAATATCTTTATTATTACCTCCCACAATATAGATTTGATATCAAAGAGGATTTAATAAAGATTGTAAAGATGTAATGGTTCTTTTAAAATCGCCTTTGCTGCTTTGCTGCTTTCTTACCAATTTTGCCTTTTGGAAGGTGAAAAAATATGAAGAGACAAATAACTGCTTGTTTGCCAACCAGGTCCCCTTCTCAGAAATAGTCCTGGGACCGGCTGGGTGTGGTGGCTCATGCCTGTAATCCCAGCACTTCGGGAAGCTGAGGTAGGAAGACTGCTTGAGCTCAGGAACTTGAGACCATCCTGGACAACACAATGAGACCTTGTCTCTACAAAAAATAAGCAAAATTAGCCAGGCGTGGTGGCACATGCTTGTGGTCCCAGCTACTCAGTAGGCTGAGGTGATAAGATCGCTTGAGCCAGGAAGGATGAGGCTGCAGTGAGCTGAGATCACATGCCTGCACTCCAGCCTTGGCAACAAAGCAAGACTCCATCTCTTAAAAAAAAAAAAAAAAAAAGTCCTTGCCGGGTGTGGTGGCTCCCCATCTCTATTAAAAAATACAAAAAATTAGCCGGGCATAGTGGCACATGCTTGTAGTCCCAGCTACTCGGGAGGCTGAGGCAGGAGAATCACTTGAACCTGGGAGGTGGAGGTTGCAGTGAGCTGAGATCGTGCCACTGCACTCCAGCCTGGGCAACAGAGCAAGACGCTGTCTCGAAAAAAAGAAAAAGTCCTGGGACATAAGTGAATCTTCTTGAATTAAATTTTACATATAAGCTAATACTAAGCAGGCTAATTTTGAAAAGTAAAACCCTAATCATCTCTAGAATGCATCCTTTAGGATGGAATTCTCAATTTTTGTTTCATCTTGACAGATACACTTTTAATAAATGCTGGTCACAAAGAATAGTTCCTAAAAGCATCTGAATAAATAAGATGAACTTTGGCTTTATACTCTTCCAAATCTGTTAGCTGTAACTACACTGCGTCCAGACATCTCCTAGCTAAAAGGATCTGAAATACTTCTTAAATTTAATAAAACAAATTCTGCAACTGCAGTAATGGTTATCCTTGAGGTCCAAGAAATTAACTCTTTATTTCAACAAATAATATGACTTGGTTAAGTTACCACAGCTAACAAAATGAAGTCTCTGGCCTAACAAAGCTTACCATATAATAAAAATAAGGGAAGCAGGGGAGGATTGTAGGAGGTCATTCACCCAGATTTGAGGATCTGAGAAGGCACTTCCAGGGAAGCAATATTGGGTGAGGTCTGAAAGATTAGTAGGAGTAAATGCCAGAGGGAGAGTAGCAACATTTGATATCAGAGAGGCAATAGGAGCAGGTGACAAAGTATCTCATAAAACAGATTAAGAAATTTGTGTTAAGAATTTGTATTGCCGGGCCTGGTGCCTCACGCCTGTAATCCCAGCACTTTGGGAGGCCGAGGTGGGTAGATCATGAGGTCAGGAGCTCAAGACGAGCCTGGCCAAGATGGTGAAATCCCGTCTCTACTAAAACTACAAAAATTAGCTGGGCGCAGTGGCAGGCGCCTATAATCCCAGCGATTTGGGAGGCTGAAGCAGGAGAATCGCTTGAACCTGGGTGGCAAAGGTTGCGGTGAGCTGAGATCGTGCCACTGTACTCTAGCCTGGGCAACAGATTGAGACTCCATCTCAAAAAAAAAAAAAAAGAATTTGTATTAAGGAATCTGTATTAAACAATTTAGTATTCCTCTTTTATAAATGAAGAAATTGAGGTTAAGAATCTGCCCAAATTCAGGTTGGGTGCGGTGGCTCATGCCTGTAATCCCAGCACTTTGGGAAGCCAAGGTGAGCAGATCACTGAAGTCAGGAGTTTAAGACCAGCCTGGCCAATGTGGTGAAACCCCGTCTCTACTAAAAATACAAAAATTAGCTGGATGCCGTGGCTCACACCTGTAATCCCAGCACTTTGGAGCACTTTGGGAGTCTGAGGCAGGCGGATCACCTGAGGTTGGGAGTTCGAGACCAGCCTGACCAACATGGAGAAACCCTGTCTCTACTAAAAATACAAAATTAGTCAGGCATGGTGGCACATGCCTGTAATCTCAGCTACTCGGGAGGCTGAGGCAGGAGAATCACTTGAACTTGGGAGGCCGAGGTTGCGGTGAGCCAAGATTGCACCATTGCACTCCAGCCTGGGCAACAAGAGCGACACTCTGTCTCAAAAAAATAATAAAAATTAAAAAAAAATTGTTTGAATACAAAAATTAGCCAGGTGAGGTGGTAGGCTCCTGTAGTCCCAGCTACTTGGGAGGCCAAGGCAGAAGAATTGCTTGAACCCAGGAGGCAGAGGTTGCAGTGTGCTGAGATTGCACCACTGCACTCTGCACTCTAGCCTGGGTAATAGAGCCAGAGCCCATCTCAAAAAAAAAAAAAAAAGAATCGTTTTAAATTCAGTTCCCAAACTCAGGAATGAAGGACCCCAGCACCTATACTCTTAACTATTAATGTAATCTGCCCCTCCAGAAACCAGCACTCTTGATGTGCAGTCCAATATAGTTCTCTTAAAGCTATAATTCAGCATTGCTTTTATATCTCCCAGGCCATTCAGTTTGCAATGGAAAAAAAGCAAGATAGAAGGTTAGAGCTGAAGGTGGGGAGTGGTGGCTTAAGCCTGTAATACCAGCACTTTGGGAGGCTGAGGCGGGTGGATCACCTGAGGTCGTGAGTTCAAGACCAGGCTGACCAACATGGAGAAACCCCATCTTTACTAAAAATACAAAGTTAGCCAGGTGTGGTGACGCTTGCCTGTAATCCCAGCTACTTGGGAGGCTGAAGCAGGAGAATTGCTTGAATCTGGGAGGCGGAGGTTGCAGTGAGCTGAGATTGTGCCATTCATTGTACCATAGCACTCCAGCCTGGGCAACAAGAGCGAAACTCCGTCTCCAGAAAAAAAAAAAAAGAAGGTTAGAGCTGAAAAAGACTTGAAAGAGTCTCTAATTCAGGTCTCTAATTCAGTCTCTTAGTCCACAACGGAGCCATTGAGGTCTAAGCGCATAACTGACTTTCCCAAGACCACAAAGCTATTTAGTGGTGAAGGCAAGACTATAATCCAAGTTTCCAAACTCTCAAAGCGGTTCTCTTTTCACTATACCACAAAATCTGCCCCTCCTACACTCTCTTCCTTTGGGGTAGGTACTAGTATAGGGTCCAAAGTTCTTGTTGACTCTTTGAATGGACTGGCTGATATGGCTAGGAAGGATTGGCCCTTACACATATGCAGCTTCTACTTCCTTGTCTATATGCAATGCCACGTCCAATTTTACACATTAGCAGAGTAGGCAGGTAGGATGTGCTGTGGGAAAAAAAAAATCCTGTTTTCTTTTTTGTTGTTGTTTTTGAATCGGAGTCTTGCTCTGTCACCAGGCTGGGGTGCAGTGGCGTGATCTCGGCTCACTGCAACCTCCACCTACCCGGTTGAAGCAATTCTTCTGTCTCAGCCTTGGAATAGCTAGGACTACAGGCGCACACCACCATGACCAGCTAATTTTTATATTTTTAGTAGAGATGGGGTTTCACCACATTGGCCAGGCTGGTCTTGAACTCCTGACCTCGCGATCCGCTCTCCTCGGCCTCCCAAAGTGCTGGGATTACAGGCATGAGCCACCGCGCCCAGTCAAAAAAATTATGCTTTCAAACTGCTTTGCTACATTAGCTTTGCCTTAATACCTCAAACCCTCACATTATTTGCTCGTTTGGGTTAGAGCACTGGAAACCTCTGTGAAAATGCCAGTGGACAGTATAACTAAAGAAAGATCTTGTCAATACCTTAGCTGAAATTTATTTATGCAATTAGCACTTGCCTCTTGGAAGAGTCCTGACAGAGTAGGACTCTGGAGAGATTAGGATTTTCGTGCAGAATCAAATGATACAGGATGGCCTAATAGGTATGAGGTAGGTTAGAGTGGGAACTGCAGTGAGGGGTCATGGCATATAAAGTCATTGAGCTCCTGGGGAAAGTGGGAAGGAATAGATAGTGGACCAGAAACAAGTGTAGAGAATGGAGCACTTTTGTACAAATTAGAAAAAGAGGCCCTGGCCAGGCGCCGTGGCTCATGCTTGTAATCCCAGCACTTTGGGAGGCCAAAGTGGGTGGATCACCTGAGCTCAAGAGTTCAAGACCAGTCTGGCCAACATGGTGAAACCCCATCTCTACTAAAAAACACAAAAATTAGCCAGGCGTGGTGGCGCGTGCTTGTAACTCCAGCTACTCAAGAGGCCGAGTCAGGAGAATCGCTTGAACCTGGGAGGCGGAGGTTGCAGTAAGCTGAGAACATGCCATTGCACTCCAGCCTGGGTGACAGAACAAGACTCTGTCTCAAAAAAAAAAGAGAGAGAGAGAGAGAGACCCCTGTTGCACATCTTGGAGCACAGACTGGATTTCCACCCACAGTGGTCCCCTTTTAGATTCTAGAATAACATTGTTTCACCCAATGTTGTTTTATTACAATGCTGATGAGGGGGGTAAAAAAAGAATCAATTCCTGGCTGGGGTCACTGTCTGTGCAGAGTTTGCTGGTTCTCCCCATGCCATGCCAACTACTTTCCTCTCACATCCCAAAGATGTGCACATTAGGTTCACTGGCGTGTCTACATTGTTCTAGTCTGAGTGAGTGTGTGTGCATGTGTGCACGCGTGCATATGTGTGCCCTATGATGGGATAAGGTCCTATCCAGGGCTGCTTCCCACCTTGTTCCCTAAGCTGTCAGGATAGGCTCTGGCCACTCAGGACCCTGAACTGGAATAAATGAGTCGGAAAATGAATGAATGAATGAATATAAATTATTGTAAAATAAAAATTCGTAAAGTAGATGATAATCATACAAATACACAATAAAGTAGACAATACTCATACAAATACACAATAAACAATGAGGTATGAAAGCACTCAGGGAGACTGCTGAATTTGTTCTCATTTACCCTGTGTGGTGGGAGGAGTTGCGCCTTACAATTTTCACTCTGCACACATTTATTCCTTGGTTTAACCCACCACCAGTATGACCACTGTTACTCACTGATTCACCAAAAATAGGTAAATCTTACTTGCTTTTATTAATTTTTTTTTTTTTTTTTTTTTTGAGGGAGGTCTTGGTCTGTCTCCCAGATTGGAGCACAGTGGCATGATCTCAGCTCATTGCAACCTCCACCTCCCAGGTTCAAGCGATCCTTCCACCTCAGCCTCCTAAGTAGCTGGGACCACAGGTGCACACCACCATGCTCAGCTAATTTTTGTATTTTTTTGTAGAAACGGGGGTTTCACCATGTCACCCAGGCTGGTCTTGAACTTTTAGACTCAAGTTATCTGCACACCTTGGCTTCCCAAAATGCTGGGATTATAGGCATGAGCTACCTCACCTGGCCTAATCTTTCCTAAATGCATGTATAGCTCACATTTATTTCAATATTTAATACTGGAAATGTTTTGAGTCTTTTTTTTTTTTTTTGAGACTGCATCTTGCTCTGTTGCCCAGGCTGGAGTGCAGTGGTGTGATCTCGGCTCACCACAACCTCCCCCTCCTGGGTTCAAGTGATTCTCCTGCCTCAGCCTCCTGAGCAGCTGGGATTACAGGCATGCCACCATGCCTAGCTAATTTTTGTGTTTTTAGCAGAGACAGGGTTTCACCATGTTGGCCAGGCTGATCTTGAACTCCTGACCTCAGGTAATCTGCCCACCTTGGTCTCCCCAAGTGTTGGGATTACAGGCGTGAGACACTACGGCCGGCCTGAGTCTTTATTAACAAGTTTGATGATGTTTTTGTGACCAGGAATATATGCCATAGGAACTTAACTGTTGTTTATATCAATTAGGCCGTGATAATTTTTTTTTATAGTCAGTTCACCTAAAGTCACGGTTTCCAAGAATCTATCAACAGCATTAAGTGAAAACTTACTGTGCACTGAACAATTTGTGACTGACTTGTATCAAGCACATACATCATAACGTTGCTTAGGGACTGCTCTGCCTGCACTCCCGCTGTTGTTACTCTTTTCCCAAAATAGCCATAGAAAATGAAAAGGGAGGCTGGGCGCGGTGGCTCACTCCTGTAATCCCAGCACTTTGGGAGGCCGAGGCGGGCGGATCATGAGTTCAGGAGATCGAGACCATCCTGGCTAACACGGTGAAACCCCATCTCTACTAAAAATACAAAAAAATTAGCCAGGCATGGTGGTGGGCGCCTTGTAGTCCCAGCTACTCGGGAGGCTAAGGAAGGAGAATGGCGTGAACCCGGGAGGCGGAGCTTGCAGTGAGCCCAGATCGCGCCACTGAACTCCAGCCTGGGCGACAGAGCGAGACTCTGTCTCAAAAAAAAAAAAAAAAGAAAATGAGAAGGGAACTAATATTCACACTGCCTAGCTGCAGCCCTCACTGAATCTACTGAGCCCCTACTCTGTGCAGTCACCGTGATCACAAAAAACTCCATGAATTGTATATTCTCATCCCAGTTTTACAGATGAGAAAAATAATGATCCAAAGAGCTTAAGTAGTTTCCCTAAGGCACATAACTAAGAAATCATTCAAAGAGGTTAAGTATTATGTGCTGAGCTGAGTCAAATTGAGGTCTTCTGACTCATGCTTTTCTTGTCTCACTCTACCACGCCCTGTCACTGAAAATTGCTTCCTTGAGTTTGTGCAGTTGCACATTCGCAGTTATGCGAACCCCGTTTACTTCACTGCATTGACCTTCAATGGGCTGATTTATCACAGGTGAGCTGTTGGCTTCTCATTTGTAAGTGGGCCATCTGGCAAGCAGCATATGGAAGCAGACCCTTTAACAAGGTCATAAGAAGGTTAATTAACTCTAGATTTTAAACTATTTTTCTAAAACCTGAAAGAAAGAAATACTGTTTGATATTGAGTACCAGCTGTTAGTAAGGTGTTGTGTTGGGTGCTGTATAGATATTACATTATAACTTCTTGTTTAATCCTCACAATATCCCCGTGAGAAAAATACTACACTAGCCTCCATTTTTCCAATGAAAAACAAATGTGACATTGAGAAGTAACTTGCCAAAGATCTCCTGAGCCCAGGAATTTGAGGCCAGCCTAGGTAACATGGTGAGACCTCGTTTCTACAAAAAGTTATTTTCAAAAAAATTAGTCAGGTGTGGTGGTAGCTCCCCTCTAGTCTCAGCTACTTGGGAGGCTGAAGTGGAAGGATTGCTTGAGCCCAAGAGATTCTCGGCTGCAGTGACCTGAGAATCACACCACTGCACTCTAGCCTAGATGACAGAACAAGACCCTGTCTCAAAAAAAAAAAAAAAAAAAAAAAAGTTTGTAGCTCAGTGAATTCACTAGCGTCCTTCTCCAGCTTGTTTAGAAAGCATAGGAAATCGTTTATAGCAAGTCAACTCCCAGTTCTAACTTTAGGATTCTACCTGCAACTATCATTTTCAACTTATAGTACCCTTGGTGAATGCCAAACAAATAGGCATATAGTACCCAGACACATTTGAAGAAATGCATTTCTACCTTATTGCAAAAAAAAAAAAAAAAAAAAAGACTCACAATCTGATGTCTAATGGTCTAATGTCTATACATTGCTTGGCCATACTGCCCAAGGTAATTTATAGATTCAATGCCATCCCCATCAAGCTACCAATGACTTTCTTCACAGAATTGGAAAAAACCACTTTAAAGTTCATATGGAACCAAAAAAGGGCCCGCATTGCCAAGACAATCCTAAGCCAAAAGAACAAAGCTGGAGGCATCATGCTACCTGACTTCAAACTATACTACAAGGCTACAGTAACCAAAACAGCAAAGTACTGGTACCAAAACAGAGATATAGACCAATGGAACAGAACAGAGCCCTCAGAAATAATACCACACATCTACAACCATCTGATCTTTGACAAACCTGACAAAAACAAGAAATGGGGAAAGGATTCCCTATTTAATAAATGGTGCTGGGAAAACTGGCTAGCCATATGTAGAAAACTGAAACTGGATCCCTTCCTTGTACCTTATATAAAAATTAATTCAAGATGGATTAAAGACTTAAATGTTAGACCTAAAACCATAAAACCTTAGAAGAAAACCTAGGCAATACCATTCAGGACATAGGCACGGGTAAGGACTTCATGTCTAAAACACCAAAAACAATGGCAACAAAAGCCAAAATTGACAAATGGGATCTAATTAAAGTAAAGAGCTTCTGCACAGCAAAAGAAACTACCGTCAGAGTGAGCAGGCAACCTACAGAATGGGAGAAAATCTTTGCAATCTACTCATCCGACAAAGGGCTAATACCCAGAATCTACAAAGAACTCAAATTTACAAGAAAAAAACAAACAACCCCATCAAAAAGTGGGCAAAGGATATGAACAGACACTTCTTAAAAGAAGACATTTGTGCAGCCAACAGACACTTAAAAAAATGCTCATCATCACTGGCCATCAGAGAAATGCAAATCAAAACCACAATGAGATACCATCTCACACCAGTTAGAATGGCGATCATTAAAAAGTCAGGAAACAACAGGTACTGGAGAGGATGTGGAGAAATAGGAACACTTTTACACTGTTGGTGGGACTGTAAACTAGTTCAGCCATTGCGGAAGACAGTGTGGCGATTCCTCAAGGATCTAGAACTAGAAATACCATTTGACCCAGCAATCCCATTACTGGGTATACACCCTAAGGATTATAAGTCATGCTACTATAAAGACACATGCACACGTATGTTTATTGTGGCACCATTCACAGTAGCAAAGACTTGGAACCAACCCAAATGGCCATCAATGATAGACTGGATTAAGAAAATGTGGCACATATACACCATGGAATACTATGCAGCCATAAAAAATGATGAGTTCATGTCCTTTGTAGGGACATGGATGAAGCTGGAAACCGTCATTCTCAGCAAACTATTGCAAGGACAAAAAACCAAACACCACATGTTCTCACTCATAGGTGGGAATTGAACGATGAGAACACTTGGACACAGGAAGGGGAACATCACACACCGGAGCCTGTCGTGGGGTGGGGGAAGGGGGAGGGATAGCATTAGGAGATATACCTAATGTAAATGACGAGTTAATGGGTGCAGCACACCATCATGGCACATGCATACTTATGTAACAAACCTGCACGTTGTGCACATGTACCCTAGAACTTAAAGTGTAATTTGAAAGAAAGAAAAAGATGTAAAATAAATATTCTTGCATCCGTTTCTCAAAAACCATCAAGCAGCTTAAAGTTTATCTAGAAATTGCCTCAGGCAGAGTGCAGTGGCTCATGCCTTTAGTCACAGCACTTTGAGAGGCTGAGGCAGGAGGATGTCTTAAGCCCAGAAGTTGGAAACTAACTTGGGCAACGTTGGAAACCAACTTGGGCAACGTGGCAAAACCCTGTCTCTCCAAAAAGTACAAAAATTAGCTGGGCATGGTGGCGTTCTTTCTCCCATGGTCCCAGCTCCTCGGGAGGCTGAGCTGGGAGGATCACTTGGGCCCAGGAGGTCAAAGTTGCCATGAATCATGATCGTGATACTACACCCCAGCCTGGATGACAGAGCAAGACCCTGTCTCAAAAAAAAAAAAAAAAGAAAGAAAAATAAATCTCCTCAAAGGTAAAAATAAAAATATTGCCAAAGCCTTCTAAGAAAAGATAGTAGAAAGAATATTGAAAGTGGTTTTGGAGACATAGATTGTAAATCTAGATCTACTACCACGCAATCTGTGTGACCTTTGAAACTGCTACTCAACTTCTGCTTCCCAACCTGTAAAATGAGAATACTCAATCCTCTAGGCTGTTGTAAAGATGTAAAAGAGAAAAAAGAAAAAGATAATGTACATAAAGCTATATGACACCCTAAAAAATGTCAGTTTAATTAAAACAAGAATGTTACACTAAAGATGTTTCTGCATCTTCTAATTTATTGTAAAAAACTAAGAAAGAATTATGAAGAAATGAGATCTTTGTTCATTCGGCTCCTACCTTTCTGGAATTCTGATTTATATGAAAAGTTTCACTGTTGAAGAAGTCTATATGAGTTTTATATCCCTTTAAGCAGTGCAAATGCCTGTGCCCTTGCAAATACCTGTATGCCTGAGGAGGGGACCAAGTGTCAGCTTATATAATGAGAACTCATCTCACTGGCCAGACATAGTGGCTTATTCCTGTAATCCCAGCACTTTGGAAGGCCAATGTGGGAGGTATTGCTTATAGCCAGGAGTTAGAGACTGGCCTGGGCAACAAAGCAAGACCCCCATGTCTACCAAAAAAATTTTTTTTAATTTAAAAAAAAGAACTCATCTCACTGTATTGTATCTCTTAGAATCTTTTTCAAATTAGGTGAAAAGCCTCATGATTTCTGACTGGTCTCTTTTATCCATATTTGTAAGGTTAAGCAACAGATGTTTTAAATGTAGGACAAAAGATGGCCCCCCTCCTTCTCTTCTATTTTCTCCTCTTCTTCCCTGCTCTATTCTCAGAGCTTGAAATGGACCACATTACCTTTCAGACTGACAATAGACTAACCAACACACTGAAAAACTGAGCTTTCCAGCTTGCTGATTCACACCTTCTTTAAGCAAAGAGATGATTGTTTTTAACTCGTAATGTCTTTATTATTTCCTGACTCCTAACAAGCTTCAGTCAACCGAGATCCTTTTGTATCACACAAGTAAATACTGAAATAGAAAAAACAACAATGTCCAAAAAGAATTTCCATTGGAGATTTTTTTCCCCTCAGGTAGGCTAAAAAAATGAATTATTCTGCTCATATATAATGAAAAGTACTAATGCTGGTTAGCCTCTCATAGCATTAGGGTAACACTTTTTGATGAAATTCAGTAATTTAGTCTTGCAGCTTAATGGCAGGATCAATGAGCAAGGAGTTAAAAGCCTTGGACTCTATTTTCAGTTCTATCTCTGGCTCATTATCATCACTCTGCCCTCACCATCTCCTATTATTACTGGGGATCTCAATTATGTTAGCAATGAAATTCAGAAAAAACACTCTGTTAGCTAACAAATAAGAGGATGCAGCAATGTTATTTCTGCAATTGATGTACCATTATGGTCTCAGACAAGAAATTGGCCAATTTGGTACCCCAGTTTATTTATCTATGAAAGAAATGATAAAGCATTTACTCATCTTCCTCCCTCCTCCCCCACAAAAATGTAGTAATGATCAGGGAATTGGCATCAATGCTATAAAAGATCTTGGATCTCTCTAGAACATCTCTATATAAAGAGGAATGTCCTTTCAATTATTTCTACTGGCACTTTTAGGTACTTAGTACTCTGTGAGTTTGAGCCAGATCAATTCTATTTGGAAAATATTACTATTTATACTGTCATTCTTTGCAGAACATTTGCAGAAATAGAATAGGCTACAGAGAACAGGCTTTAAGAAAACAAAATTATTCCGCAAGATTGTTGGCAATTAAAAATTCTTCTGATTCATATTATTATCCCTAACCAAGAAGCAGCTTATTAATTCAGAGCTGTCTATAGCCATGTTGTCTAGGTAACAAACACCAGCTATCAAATAAGGATACTACTCAGTTGATCCTAGCTATTCCAGGATTTTTGCAAAGTGCTTCAGAAAGGTGTGTTGGTAGTGAGGGATCTTAGAATCCAACAACAGTTGATAGAGAGCTTAAAATCTGTTTAGTTTTGTGTGTGTGTGTTAAACCTAGGAAATGTAAAGGGGTATTCACCAGTCTCATGTAAATACCAGAAGGGTGGAAGATAATAAGTAATATCCTACCAGTAAAAGGATTATTATCCTTACAATATCCATTATAATTTTTGAAGATTGTGATTATTATGTATTTTGTTATACAATCACATGGTCACATTAACGAGTACTACTAAATGCAAAGCTCAAATGGCGAAGGGAAATATTCTCGGATCAAGATGTGAAGCGCTATTAATTCAAAGATGAGTCTGAAACAGAAAGATCAATTTATGGGCCAAAAAGAATAGGCCGGGCGCGGTGGCTCACGCTTGTAATTCCAGCACTTTGGGAGGCCGAGGCGGGCGGATCACGAGGTCAGGAGATCGAGACCCTGGTGAAACCCCGTCTCTACTAAAAATACAAAAAATTGGCCGGGCGTGGTAGCCGGCGCCTGTAGTCCCAGCTACTCGGAGAGGCTGAGGCAGGAGAATGGCGTGAACCCGGGAGGCGGAGCTTGCAGTGAGCCCAGATCGCGCCACTGCACTCCAGCCTGGGCGACAGAGCCTCTGTCTCAAAAAAAAAAAAAAAACAGAGGAATATAAGTTCCAAAAAATCCCAACCAAATGAGACCCAAGATATAGGGTTAGGCTGGTAACTGACAGAGCTCCCTGTAGGCAGATCAGAACTGTAGATGCCTGGCAACTAGTATTGGAAATTAGTCACCAGGAAACTGGAGTTAAAAGGTAGAAAATCCAGTGACTTTGGTTACAACGGGTACCCATAGAAAACCTAGAAACTGGCCTGGCGCAGTGGCTCATGCCTGTAACCCCAGCGCTTTGGGAGGTCAAGGAGGGTGGATCACCTGAGGCCAGGAGTTCATGACCAGCCTGGCCAACATGGTGAAACCCTGTCTCTACTAAAAATACAAAAATTAGCTGGGCATGGTGGCACACATCTGTAATCCAAGCTACTCGGGAGGCTGAGGCAGGAGAATCTCTTGGACCCAAGAGGCGGAGGGTGCAGTGAGACGAGATCATGCCACTGCACTCCAGCCTGGGTGACAGAGCAAGACTCTATCTGAAAACATAAATAAATAAATAACATTAAAAAAAATAAAACCTATAAACTGCTTGAGAACAGATCTTCATTCATTCATTTAATGTTAGTTTGTTTGTTTTTGAGACAGAGTTTCACTCTTGTTGCCCAGACTGGAGCGCAATGGCACCATTTCAGCTCACCACAACCTTTGCCTCCCAGGTTCAAGTGATTCTCCTGCCTCAGCCTCCTGAGTAGCTGGGATTACAGGCATGAGCCACCACACCTGGCTAATTTTGTATTTTTGGTAGAGATGGGATTTCACCATGTTGGTCAGGCTGGTGTCAAACTCCCGACCTCAGGTGATCCTCCCACCTCAGCCTCCCAAAGTGCTGGGATTACAGATGTGAGCCACCATGCCTGGCCTCTTTTTTTTTTTTTTTTTTTGTCTGAAATGGAGCCTCAGTCTGTCGCCCAGGCTGGAGTTCAGTAGCGTGATCTCGGCTCACTGCAACTTCTGCCTCCTGGGTTCAACCGATTCTCCTGTCTCAGCCTCCCAAGTAGCTGGGATTACAGGCACCTGCCACCATACCTAACTAATTTTTTTTGTATTTTTAGAAGAGATGGGGTTTCACCATCTTGGCCAGGCTGGTCTTGAACTCCTGACCTCAGGTGACCCATCTGCCTTGGCCTCCCAAAGTGCTGGGATTGCAGGCGTGAGCCACCGTGCCAGCCCATGCTGTTGAGTTCTCTAGTATTGTCTGAAATATTTCCAATGTCTCAGAGTCTGATGGAAAAATATTTTTTAAGATTTAAAAGTGACAAAAACATCCATGCAAAGTTCTTCTTGGGAAGATATTTTATGAATTGAAAGAAGAAATATTTCTCTTTGAAGCAAATAAATGCAAAGAATATAAAACATAAAGTGATTGAAAATATACATGTACATGCCCTTGAGTATATTATATATTTTGCAATAAACCTTTCATAATGCTCCTGAGACTTAAAGCATTGCGAACAATTGAACAATAGAGCCATGTGTACTTATTGTCTTAATTCACTTTTCACATATATTAATTTGCCTAAGAATCACTTAGAGCCTTTTTTTTTTTTCTTTTTGAGACAGAGTCTTGCTCTGTCACCCATGCTGGAGTGCAGTGGAGCAAACTTGGCTCACTGCAACCTCCACCTCCCAGGTTCAAGCAATTCTCCTGCCTCAGCCCCTCGAGTAGCTGGGATTACAGGCTCCCACCACCACGCCTGGCTAATTTTTTGTATTTTTAGTAGAGACAGGGTTTCCCCATGTTGGCCAGGCTGGTCTCGAACTCCTGACCTCAGGTGATCCACCTGCCTCAGCCTCCCAGAGTGCTAGGATTACAGGTGTGAGCCACTGCGCCTGACCTTTTTTTTTTTTTTTTTTTTTTTTTTTTTTTTTTTTTTTGAGATGGAGTCTCACTCTGTCGGCTAGGCTGGAGTGCAGTGGCACAATCTTGGCTCACTGCAACTTCTGCTTCCCAGGTTCAAGCTATTCTCCCGCCTCAGCCTCCTGAGTAGCTGGGATTATAGGTGCCAGCCATGATGCCTGGCTAATTTTTGTGTTTTCGTAGAGACGGAATTTCACCATGTTGGCCAGGCTAGTCTTGAACTCCTGACCTCAGACGATCCGCCTGCTTCAGCCCCCCGAAGTGCTGGGATTACGGGCGTGAGCTACTGTGCCTGGCCTAGAGCCTCTTAAAGGTTAAAAAAAAGTTTTTCTTTCTCAAATTTATTTTTTCTTCAAAAATGATCAAATTCTTAGAGAACATATAGAAATTGAGAGCTTCTATAGTCTATGGCAAATATTTCTTGAACTTAAAAAAGTGAAAATAGACCAGGCACAGTGGCTCACACCTGTCATCCCAGTGCTTTGGGAGGCCAAGGTGAGGATTGCTTGAGGTCAGGAGTTTGAGACCAGCCTGGGTAACATAGCCAGATCCCATCTCTAACAACAAAAAAATTAGCTGGATGTGGTGGTGTACATTTGTAGTCCTAGCTACTCAGGAGGCTGAGGTGAGAGGATCATTTGAGCCCAGAAGTTTGAGGTTACAGTGAGCTATGATCATGCTACTGCACTCCAGCCTAGGTGTCAGAGCAAGACCCTATTTCAAAAAAGTAAGAGGAAGGAGAAGAAGAAGGAGGAGGAGAAGAGGAAGAAGAGACAATTAAGAAGAAGGAGAGAAAAAGAAAGAAGGAGGAGGAGGAGGAGAAGGAGGAAATTAAATTCCATTGTCACAGCACAAATTACTAACTTTTTGGCCAGGCTCGGTGGCTTACGCCTGTAATCCCAGCACTTTGGGAGGCCGAAGTGAGTGGATCACCTGAGGTCAGGAGTTCGAGACCAGCCATAGCCAATATGGTGAAACCTCATTTCTACTAAAAATACAAAAATTATCTGGTTGTGGTGGCGGGTGCCTGTAATCCCAGCTACTCTGGAGGCTGAGGCAGGAGAATAGCTTGAACCTGGGAGGCAGACGTTGCAGTGACCTGAGACCATGCCACTGGACTCCAGCCTGGGTGATACAGCAAATCCCATCTCAAAAAAAAAAAAAAAAAGGAAAAAAAATTACTAATCTTTCACACTTTTAGATGGGGCTCTACAGGGCTTCATTGCCATTTTCTCTTTAATAACTCAGATAAAAGGTCAGCAGAAATGTTCAATTTGAAGTAGTTTCCTAGAATTCTATGGCAATGATTTAGAGTCTCATCCACAGTTGTTCCTAACAATGTCTTTACTCCTAACAAGTTTCTTTATTATGGGACAAAGTGTTAGCTCTCCTAAAATAACCAGGAAACAGGACAATAAAAACAGAGCTGTTGTTTGTAAATGGGAAGCATAAAGGGTGAGTGGCAACTCACAGAGAGCAGCTTCATGCTCCCTACATCTCTTTTTGAAAATGATTCTGTCAAAGGTATTTCATTATAGTAATGTAATGGTTTCTATTATAATTGGCTCCCATTTCTTTTTTTTGGATTACAGGCGTGAGCCAACATGCCAGGCAATTGGCTCCCATTTCAAAAGAAGCCTATCATGTTGGAAAAGAATGTCAAGAGTATCCAAAAGTTATTCATTTACATGTTCTTGTTTGTAATTTATAAAGTCTTTCAAGATATGATTTCATTTTACCATCTTGCTTTTATAACCTGTACTATAGTTTGAGTATTTTTCCCCTTAAAAACTCCTGTTGAAATTTAATCTTTGGGCCAGGCGTGGTGGCTCACGCCTGTAATCCCAGAACTTTAGGAGGTCAAGGTGGGTGGACCACCTGAGTTCGAGACCAGCCTGGCCAACGTGGTGAAACCCCTGTCTCTACTAAAAATACAAAAAATTAACTGGGCATGGTGGCGGGCGCCTGTAATCCCAGCTAATTGGGAGGCTGAGGCAGGAGAATCACTTGAACCCAGGAGGCAGAGGTTGCAGTGAGCTGAGATCGCACCATTGTACTCCAGCCTGGGCGACAAGAGAGAAACTCTGTCTCAAAAAAAAAAAAAAGGAATTTAATCTTCAATGTGGCAATATTGAGAGGTGGAGCCTTTTAGAGGGGAGTGGGCCATGAAAATTCTGCTCTCATGAATGGATTAATACATTCACATATTGATAAACTAATGAGTTAATGGATTAATGGGTTATCGGGGGATGCAACTGGTAGCTTTGAAGAAGAGGAGAGGAAACCTGAGCTAGCATTCTCAAGCCCTTGCCAATTTATGCTTGCACTGCCTATGGACTCTGTTAGAGAGTCCCCACCAGCAGGAAGGCTCTCACCAGATGTAACCCCTTGACTTTGGACTTCTCAGCCTCTATAACTACAAGAAGTAAATTCCTTTACTTTATAAAATACCCAATTTCAGGTATTCTGTTATAAGCAACAGAAAATGGACAACCTCCCTCTTACAGATAAAATGTCTATCTTCTGCTTTTGATTATTTTTCTTTAAACTAAATATTTATACATTTTCTTTTTTTTTTTTTTTTTTTTTTGAGACAGGGTCTCACTGTGTCACCCAGGCTGGAGTGCAGTGGTGTGATCTGGGCTCACTATAACCTCCACCTTCCGGGTTCAAGCTATTCTCATGCCTCAGCCTCCTAAGTAGCTGGAATTACAGATGCCCACCACCATGCCCAGCTAGTTTCTGTATTTTTAGTACAGATAGGGTTTCACCATGTTGGCCAGGCTGGTCTAAATTCCTGACCTCAAATGATCTGCCCCCCTCGACCTCCCAAAGTGCTGGAATTAAAGGTGTGAGCCACCACACCCAGCAATTTATACAATTTCTAGATGTCTGTTATTACTTCATTTCCTGTTGCTGAGCCTTGCTTTGTTATCTTAATAAAGCATAAATAATACCTCCAGTGGAACTGGGTTTACTCCTGTGACTGATCAACCCCACCCTCCTAATTAGAGATTTATTAGTCATTCAGAGAGTAGTACAGTCAGCATCAAAATATTGTGCCACAGGCATATATATAAACACTTTTTAAAATAAATCACTTTAGGAGGCCAAGGCGGGCGGATCATGAGGTTAGGAGTTCGAGACTAGCCTGGCCAACATGGTGAAACCCCATCTCTACTAAAAATACAAAAAATTAGCCAGGCATGGTGGCACACACCTGTAGTCCCAGCTACTCTGGAGGCAGAGGCAGAAGAATGGCTTGAACCTGGGAGGCGGAGGTTGCAGTGAGCCGAGATTGTGCCACTGTACTGTAGCCTGCGTGACACAGTGACACTCTGTCTCAAAAAAAAAAAATCTGAAAAAATAGCCAAGAAATTTACCAATCACGATGTCTACTCTTCATCTATATGAGATTAATACACTTAATATTTAGTAAGAAAGTCCTCATAGTTACAAAAGTACTATTTTCTATGTTTTCACCAGCTCACAAAAGTCTTCCTCCTCCTCTCCTACCCAACCAGTAACCTTCAAATGTTCAAATTATGCAAGGAAAATTTAGAATGAGGGGATTCTCAGGAGAAAGATTTATTGTTTTTCAGAAAACATTTAAGAGCTTTTAAGAGCTATCTGCAACAACAGGGATGGTTAAGTAATCTATAGTGAATATACCCAATGGAATACTATATAGTTTTTGTTTTATATTTTTTCTAGAATACTATATCGTTTTTTAAAATAATGACATAGGGTGGGTGTGGTGGCTCATACCTGTAATCCCAGCACTTTGGGAGGCCAAGGCGGGTGGATCACCTGAGGTCAGGAGTTTGAGACCAGCCTGGCCAATATGGTGAAACCCCGTCTCCCTACAAAAAATACAAAAATTAGCTGGGCGTGGTGGCACTCACATGTAATCTCAGCTACTTGGGAGGCTGAGGCCAGGGAATCACTTGAACCCAGGAGGCGGAGGTTGCAGTAAGCTCAGATTGCACCACTGCACTCTAGCCTGGGCGACAGAACAAGACTCCGTCTCAAAAAAAAAAAAAAAAAAAAAAAAAAGACATAAATCTATCTTCATTAATGTGAAAAGATATTTATGATACATAAACTGATAAAAGGAGGTTATAAAAACATGTTTTGTTGAACATAAGAAAAAAAAAGGCCAGGTGCAGTGGCTTACGTCTATAATCCCAGCACTTTGGGAGGCCGAGGCAGGTGGATCACAAGGTCAGGAGCTCAAGAATAGCCTGGCTAACATGGTGAAACCCCATCTCTACTCAAAACACAAAAATGAGCCAGGTATGGTGGCGTGTGCCTGTAATCCCAGCTGTTCGGGTGGCTGAGGGAGGAGAATGGCTTGAACAAGGGAGGTGGAGGTTGCGGTGAGCCGAGATCGTGCCACTGCACTCCAGCCTGGGTGATAGAGCGAGACTCCGTCTCAAAAAATAATAATAAAATAAAAATATAAAATAAAATAAGAAAAGAAAGATAGTGTCTTGGTGTTGAACTCAAAATAACTTTAATTTTCTTCATTTTAAAAAATTTTGATATTTTAACAATTAGCATTTTTTATTTTCATAGACAAAACAAAAAATATATTCCTACTTTTAAAAAGGAATAAATATGAGTTGTTTGGTGATGAGAAAACAGTCTCTCTCTCTCTTTCTCTCCCTCCTTCCCTCTCTACCTTTCAATTCTTCTTGCTTCTGATTGGCTTGCTACTACATACAGGTTCTAACCCTAAGGTGGGAAAGATGGCTGCCCCCAGCTCCAGACTCCAAAGTATACCCACAATTAACTCCAGCAGATAGAGATGATCTTCTTTATTAGCTGTAGCAGAAAAGTCACAGGGCAGCTTGACTTGCATCAGGAACCAACAATGTGGTGGGAAGTGAGTGGGGGTAGCTAAGGAATGTAATTTTCTGATGGGATAAGTCTTGGTCACAAGATATCTCCTATAGCCAGGGAGGAGAGGGAGTGAGTCCACACTGAGTTCATTCCCAGTAGGACAGACTAGTTTTGTCATCTTGAAGGAAAGAGGAAGGGTTGCTGAAAAGACTGAAATAATAGATATATATTACAATATTTATTCTAGACTCATATTAATAATAAATTTTAAAAGGAATTTCACACTGGGTTTTTCAGTGTTTGGGAAGTGGAAGGCACTATTCAATATCAAAACCCAATACTTATTCATTCAATAAATATTCATCGATTATCTATTATGTGCCCAGTAGCCTATACACTACTGGGATGGGAAGTAAACAAAAAGCAAACAAGCAAAATATCCCTACTCTCATGGATCATACATGTTCAGACATCAGCAACAACTCTGAAAAATGAGTCTGGAATTGTCCTCTTGCTGGAAATTTTATTGCAGTGGTTGAGATGAAAGAAAATGC
This sequence comes from Homo sapiens, assembly GCF_000001405.40. NCBI lineage: Eukaryota > Metazoa > Chordata > Mammalia > Primates > Hominidae > Homo > Homo sapiens. Next base: position 72,663,688 of record NC_000010.11, on the reverse strand, counting down.
ACTTTGGCTTTTATGTAATTATTTTTTCACTTGTCTGTGAACACCATAATAAGATCCTATTCTTGAAAGAAACTAAGCTAAGTCATGAGATTTACAGGCAAGTGAGAGGAGTACTGGCTTTTATGCCTTGATATTAATGGAAAATTGCATTATCTAGACACACTCCAAGGTGTTCAGCAGCATCCTTGAGCTTTAAACTTTGTTACTTAACCTGCCCTTACAGTGACACTAGGCAAACCAATCTTGGGTTGCATATTTAATTTCTTTTTTTTTTTTTTTTTTTTGAGACGGAGTCTCACTCTTTCGCCCAGGCTGGACTGCAGTGGCGCTATCTCGGCCCACTGCCAGCTCCGCCTCCCGGGTTCACGCCATTCTCCTGCCTCAGCCTCCCGAGTAGCTGGGACTACAGGCGCCCGCCACCATGCCCGGCTAATTTTTTGTATTTTTAGTAGGGACGGGATTTCACCATGTTAGCCAGGATGGTCTCGATCTCCTGACCTCGTGATCTGCCCACCTCAGCCTCCCAAAGTGCTGGGATTACAGGCGTGAGCCACGCGCCTGGCCTGCATATTTAATTTCAGGCAAAAATTCTTTTTACAGTTGACTCAGCAAAGAACAAATTTCTTTTTACAAGCCAGTAGGTTAAGGTACATGGATCAGAACAAGATACTCATTTTGTTTCTTGTTAGTGTTTATTCTTGACATAGCAAACACCTAACACTGAATTCAAAAAGCTTTGGAAGGAGAATCTAAAGCAAGTTTTAGCTAACGTATTTTTATGCTTTTTTAAAAAAACTGTTAAGAACGGCCAGGTACAGTGGCACATGCCTGTAATCCCAGCACTTTGGGAGGCCGAGGCAGGTGGATCAGACCATCTTGGCCAACATGGTGAAACCCTGTCTCTACTAAAGTACAAATAATTAGCCAGGCGTGGTGGCATGTGCCTGTAATCCCAGCTACTTGGGAGGCTGAGGGTGGGGAATAGCTTGAACCAGGGAGGTGGAGGTTGCAGTGAGCTGAGATCGTACCACTGCACTACAGCCTGGCGACAGAGCAAGAATTCCGTCTCAAAAAAAAAAAAAAAAAACAACCTGTTAAGAACATAGCAATTGTAATTCCCTACCATAGTGAATCTCAACTTCAGCTACACATAAGAATCATCTTTTAAAAACTACTGGAATGGGGGTGGGGCCAGGCGCAGTGGCTCACCCCTGTAATCCCAACACTTTGGGAGGGGGAGGTGGGTGGATCACCTGAGGTCAGGAGTTCAAGACCAGCCTGGCCAAAATGGAGAAACCCCCGACTCTACTAAAAATACAAAAAATTAGCTGGATGTGGTGGTGTATGCCTGTAATCTCAGCTACTCTGGAGACTGAGACAGGGGAATCACTTGAACCCGGGAGGCGGAGGCTGCAGTGAGCCAAGATCGCACCACTGCACTCCATCCTGGGCAACAGAGCGATACTCTGTCTCAAAACAAACAAACAAACAAATAAATAGACTACTGGGATGGGGTTGAAGGGTAGGGATTAGACATTGATATCCTTTAAAAAGAGCAGTGTAGGCCAGGTGCGGTGACTCACGCCTGTAATCCCAGCACTTCGGAAAGCCAAGGTGGGTGGAGGTTAGGAGTTCAAGACCAGCCTGACCAACACGGTGACCCCATCTCTACTAAAAATACAAAAAATTAGACGGGGGTGATGGTGCACGCCTGTAATCCCAACTACTCAGGAACCTGAGGCAGAAGAATCGCTTGAACCTGGGAGGTGGAGGTTGCAGTGAGCCAAGATCGTGCCATTACGCTCCAGCCGGGGCGACAGAGTGAGACTCCGTCTCAGAAAAAAAAAAAAGAAAAGAAAAAGAAAGAGCAGTGTAGGTGATTTTAATTTGCAGCTATGGTTGAGAACTGCCTAAAGAATAAGACAGACCCAATAGAGGAGAGAAAATGGTGGACATTTTGAGTCTAGACACACCTTGGTTTCTTTCAAGAATAGGCTCTTACTATGGTGTTCACAGACAAGTGGAAAAATAATTACATGAAGGCCAAAGTGCATTTTCTTTTATCTCCACTACTGCAATAAAATTTCTAGACAGAGAACAATTCCAGGCTCACTTTTTAGAGTTGTTTCTGATGTCTGAATATGTATGAGCCATGAGGATAGGGATATTTTGCTTGTTTGCTTTTTTTTTTTTTTTTGAGGCAGAGTCTTGCCCTATTGCCCATACTGGAGTGCAGTCGCACAATCTCAGCTCACTGCAACCTCTGCCCCCCTGGTTCAAGTGATTCTTGTGCCTCAGCCTCCCTAGTAGCTGGGACTACAGGTGCACACCACCACGCCAAGTTAACTTTTATATTTTTAGTAAAGACAGGGTTTCGCCATGTTGGCCAGGCTGGTCTCGAACTCCTGGCCTCAAGCGATCTGCGCACCTTGGCCTCCCAAAGTGCTAGGATTACAGGTATGAGCCCCTGCACCCAGCCTGTTTTTTGATTACTGCCCACCCCAGATAATACATGGGATAATCGTTCCATTGCTGGCCTGATTGTCATCAGTAGATCACTTTAACTCTTACCATGTATAAACTTTTATTTTATTACTTATTAATTTTTTTGAGACAGAGTCTCACTCTGTCATCCAGGCTGGAGTGCACTGGTGGGATCTCGGCTCACTGCAACCTCTGCATCCCGGGTTCAAGTGATTCTCCCGCCTCAGCCTCCCGAGTAGCTGGGACTACAGGCGACCACCACCATGCCCAGCTAATTTTTTGTATTTTTATTAGAGACGGGATTTCACCATGTTAGCCAGGATGGTCTCAGTCTCCTGACCTTGTGATCCACCCGCCTCAGCCTCCCAAAGTGCTGGGATTTCAGGCGTGAGCCACCGCGCCCAGCCGCCTACTTTTAAAAGGTAAATAATTCTTTATTCATTCATCCATCTTCTCTCCTTTCATTCTTTTTCTTTCTCCCTCTTTTCTTTCTAATCCATTCATTCAATCACTCATTCATTAAACAAGCATTTAATGAAGGCAAGTACTATGCTAAGTAATAAGGATACAGACATATAATTCGTAAGTTCATTCAAGTATTACAGCATTAATAAGGTAGCACATATAAATTAGTCAACTGGAGATTTTCAAGTAAAGTTCAATTTTTAAAAAAAATAGCTGCAAAAAATATACACTAATTTTCCCTCTTTTTGTAAAAAATTGTGTTGAAATTTGAGTTGTTGTGTTAGGTAAACATCAACATTCCTGACCTATTGTGCTATTAATGAATCACATAGTAAGTATCCATCTGTCACAGTCATTTTCAATTTCTCATATATTGAATGCAAGAATGTAAACACCTATAATTCATTAGGTCTCACATAAGAAGAGATTAAAAGATACTACCAACTTTAATTAGGAGTTATCCAAATTTAAGAATCTTTAGATGTCTTTGAGTATTTTGTCAAGTTCTGTTACTTCTGATATACTAAATCTCGCCCAGGGAGGCTAGCAGTATAGTTTGATCTTTAGCTATTATAAAATTCCCAAATCAGGTTACTTTGTAGGTAAAGGCAGAAGAGAAGATTGCTTGAAAATAAGCAGACACTTTCCTCTTTTTTTTTTTTTTTTTTTTTTTTTAATGAGACTGGGTCTCGCTCTGCTACTCAGGCAATGGAGTGCATTGGTGTGATCATGACTCACAGCAACCTTGACCTCCTGGGCTCAAGTGATCCTCCCACCTCAACCTCCTAAGCAGCTGGGATTTTTTTTTCTTCTTTTTTGATATAGATGGAGTTTCGCTATATTGCCTGGGCTGGTCTCAAATTCCTGGGCTCAAGCGATCCTCACACCTTGGTCTCCCAAAGTGCTGAGTCACCACGCCTGGCCGACATGTTCATGCTATTTTCTCCCCTTTTTACGCTTCAGGTTGCAGCTTAGCAGCTGGTCAAAAACCTACTTCAATGGCGAACTCCAAGGCTATGGCCGTTAAATCCTCCTGGGGAGCTGGGCATTATCATAGCACAGAAGTAGTTATTGATAATTTTTTTTTTTTTTTTTTTGAGACGAAGTCTTGCTCTGTCACCCAGGCTGGAGTGCAGTGGTGCAATCTCGGCTCACTGCAACCTCTGCCTCCCGGGTTCAAGTGATTCTTCTGCTTCAGCCTCCCAAGTAGCTGGGACTACAGGCACGTGCCACCATGCCCAGCTAATTTTTTGTATTTTTAGTAGAGACGAGGTTTCACCATGTTAGCCAGGATGGCCTCTATCTCCTGACCTCATGATCCACCCACCTTGGCCTCCCAAAGTGCTGGGATTACAGGCGTGAGCCACTGCGCCCGGCCCTTATTGACAAATTTAAAGCTAAGAACAAACACAGGCTCACCTCACCCTCAGAAGTACCACAGTCATTTTTATGCAGTAGTGTATCCACCTAAAACCAGAGAACAAAAGAGAAATATTTTGAAGTAAAATCAACAACAGAAGGAAAACAGCAGGAGGGTAGGAAGAGAGAATAATCTTTCTGTTAAGAACAGATTCAAAGCTAACAGGTTCCAAGAGAGCAAGCCATTTCCATAGCATAAAGCTCCTTGCAACCAAGAATTTTTATATTGCTATCACCACCTAATTGTGTTTATAATGAAGAGTGAGTTTGCTCACAGAAAGAAAATATACATTCAGAGGAGAATCAACATGAAGAGAATAAAGTATAGCAGGTTCTCAAATAATGTCATTTTGTTCAGTGTTGTTTCCTTAGAATGAGGAGAAAAAAAAAATTGATTCCCAGCCAGGGCCACTGACTGTGTGGAGTTTGCACATTCTCCGCATGTCTGCATGGGTTTTTTCCAGGTATTTCAGTTTCTTCCCATGTCCCAAAGATGTGCACATTAGGTTCAGTGGTGTGTCTACATCGGCTCAGTCTGATTGTGGGTGTGTGTTTGTGAGTGCACCCTGATGGAATGGCATATTGTCCAGGGCTAGTTCCTGCCTTGCACCAGAGCTGCCCAGATAGATTCTGGCCACTATAATTGGGTAAATAATTATCTTACTTGGGTAAGTGTAGTGGCATGCACCTGTGGTCCCAGCTACTTGGGAGGCTGAGGCAGGAGGATCACTTGGGCCTGGGAGTTTGAGGCTGCAGTGAGCTGAGATCACACCACTGCACTCCCACCTGGGCAACAGAGCAAGACCTTGTCTCAAAAAAACAAAACAAAACACAACAAAAAAAAACAAAACTTACTTGTTTTTATCAGTCTTTCTTAAATGTATGTGTAGCTCACATTTATTTCAATGTTTAACATTAGAAGTGTTTTAGTCTTTATAAGTTTGGTTGATATTTTTGTGACATCAATTAGCTTATCGTAAAATTGGTTTCATTGTATGTTGAAGTTTTCAAGAACCTGTTGATGATAAGTAAGGACTTACTGTACTTCTAGGTCTAGGGATGCTTACGGTCTAAATGTTTGTGTCCTCCCCAAATTCTTATGTTACCCCTATATCTTCCCATTGTGATGGTATTAGGAGGTGGTGCATTTGGGAGGTAATTAAGATAGATGAAGTTATGAGGATAGAGCCCTCATGAATGGGATTAGAGCCCTTATAAGAGTCCTGGGAGGCCGGGTGAGGTGGCTCACACCTGTAATCCCAGCACTTTGGGAGGCCGAGGCGGGCGGATCACTTGAGGTTGGGAGTTTGAGACCAGCCTGACCAACTTGGAGAAACCCCATCTCTACTAAAAATACAAAATTAGCTGGGCGTGGCGGCACATGCCTGTAATCTAAGCTACTCGGGAGGCTGAGGCAGGAGAATTGCTTGAACCCGGAAGGCAGAGGTTTTAGTGAGCCAAGATTGTGCCATTGCACTCCAGCCTGGGCAACAAGCATGAAAATCCTTCTATAAACAAAAAAAAAAAAAAAAAAAATTCACCACCGATAACCATAACCTTGGGTTGAACATATTTCAATGATATTTAATTTCCATGCATATAGTGAAAGGTTAAAAAAAATCACTGAATCAGAAAGGAGGAAAATAAGTTTTGGTAATAAGCTTTAGGAGATATAAATATGCAGGTACATAATTTGCTCTGGTAACCTCCAGAAGTATATGTACACAGGCATTTCTAACAGATATAGATAATTTTTTACACATAGTTATGGGCTGCATACCCTGTAGTGGCCATGATGTCAGAAAATCCATGGTCATATCCCCAAAGTCGATATTGCTGCCTGGTTTCCTAGTTGTAGTTGCAGCGTGGTGATGCAGTGATGTTACATCTTAACAGAGGCCTCTAACAATAGCAAGTGATCTGGTGCAGAGTTTCTCACACTTTGTGGTGCATAAGAACCATCTTATGCACAAGAACACCACAAAGTGTGCATAAGATGGCTTTGGTGTGGTGGGTCATGCCTGTAATCCCAACACTTTGGGAGGCTGAGGAGGGTGGATTGCTTGAGTCCAGGAGTTTAAGACCAGCCTGGACAACATAGTGAGACTCCCCCCATCTCTACTAAAAATAATAAATTAGCTGGGCATGGTGGTGCACATTTGTAGTCCTAGCTATTCGGGAGGCTGAGGTGGGAGGATCACTTGAGCTTGGGAAGTTGAGGCTATAGTGAGCCATGATCAAGCCAAGACCACACGTTTTTTTTTTTTTTCCGAGACAGAGCTCTGTCAGCCAGGCTGGAGTGCCGTGGCACTACCTCAGCTCACTGCAACCTCCGCCTCCTGGGTTCAAGCAATTCTCCTACCCCAGCCTCACGAGTAGCTGGGATTACAGGCATGTGCCACCACGCCTGGCTAATTTTTGTATTTTTGGTAGAGACAGGGTTTTACCATGTTGGCCAGGCTGGTCTGGAACTCCTGACCTCATGATCTGCCCTCCATGACCTCCCAAAGTGCTGGGATTACAGGCATGAGCCACTGCGCCTGGCTTTTTTTTTTTTTTAGACTGAGTTTCCCTCTTTCACTCAGGCTGGAGTGAAGTGGCGCAATCTCGGCTCACTGAAACCTCCGCCCCCCCAGGTTCAAGTGATTCTCCTGCCTCAGCCTCTCGAGTAGCTGGGGTTATAGGTGCCTGCCACCACACCTGGCTAATTTTTGTATGTTTGGCAGAGATGGGGTTTCGCCAGTTGGTCAGGCTGGTCTCGAACTCCTGACCTCAGGTGATCCACCCTCCTCGGCCTCCCAAAGTGCTAGGATTACAGGTGTGAGCCACCGCGCCCAGCCCCAAGACCATATTTGTTTTTTGTTTTTTGTTTTTTTAGACAGAGTCTCACTCTGTCACCCAAGCTGGAGTACAGTGGTGTGATCTCGGCTCACTGGAAACTTCGCCTCCTGGGTTCCAGCAGTTCTCCTGCCTCAGCTTCCTAAGTAGCTGGGATTACAGGCATGCGCCACCACATCCAGCTAATTTTTGTATTTTTAGTAGACACGGGGTTTCACCGTGTTGGTCAGACTGGTCTCGAACTCCTGACCTCGTGATCCGCCCGCCTCGCCCTCCCAAAGTGCTGGGATTACAGGCGTGAGACACTGCGCCCAGCTAAACCACACTTTGAGTAGCCCTGATCTAAAAGTATTTGTAAATTTAAAGTTTCACAAATTCTGAACTTTTATCACATTCCTGTCTGAGCCCATCTGATGGTTGCAGAAGATAACTCTGGAGAAAATAGAAACTGGCAAAAGGTACGTATCCTGTGGCTAGATAGACCCATGATTCTTAGAATAGTGAAAATCGATAAATGTTCAATAGAGTTCCTCTTTGAAACAACTAAGGCTCATTCACTCTATGACGATACTGGGACAATGTATACAGAAATTAATGGGAGTGTTTGATGAATGGGTTTACAGAAATTGGAAAAATAATTCAGCTTGAAGCAAATATCCTAATTCTACGTCCTTCACAGTAGTAATTTGATGTCTCTAGACCAGTGGTTGCTAGACCAGCAGCATCAGCATCACCTAGCATTTGTTAGAACTGAAATCCTTGGGCCCTATCCCAGACCAACTGAATTAGAAATTATTGGGGTGAAGCCCAGCAACCTGTGTTTTAACAAGCCTTCCAGGTGATTATAATGCATGCTAACGTCTGAGGTCACTGCCAGACTAGTGGTTCTCAAATTTAGTATGCATCAAAATCAGAATTACCTGGGAGAATTAGTTTAGTTTAGTTCGTTTTTTGAGATAGTTTCACTCTGTTGCCCAGGCTGGAGTGCAGTGGTGTGATCTTGGCTCACTGCAAACTCCGCCTCCCGGGTCCAAGCAATTCTTGTGCCTCAGCCTCCAGAGCAGCTGGGATTACAGGCATGCACCACCACACCCAGCTAATTTTTGTATTATTAGTAGAGACGGGGTTCCATCATGTTGTCCAGGCTGGTCTCAAACTCCTGACCTCATGTGATCTGCCTGCCTTGGCCTCCCAAAGTGCTGGGATTACTGGCATGAGCCACTGCACCGGCCGATAATTAGTTTGAAATACAAACTCCTGTTCCTTCCTCACCATAGGCCAAACTTTTAAATACTTTTGGGAATTCCAATGTAGGCAACATTTTGAGAAACACTACCTGAAATTAGAGGCTTTCAAACTTTTTTGACCAGGACCAACATTTTACATCAAGACTCACAAAATATAAACATATTTATAATTAAAACAAGAGTTTCACAAAACAATTGTTATTCCTATACATGCAATGCGCTCTGTTGTTTTCTGACCTATTTCATTTAAACAATGCTGGTGTCAGAACCACTAGATTGATTTCATGACCCACTAATGGGTTGCAACTGCAACTTGAAAAACATCAGTGCTTCTCAAATTTTCCAGGAAACTTGAATGACCTGGAGATCTTGTTATAATACAAATTCTAATTCAGTAAGACTGGGGTGGGGCTTGACATTCTGCATTTCTAACGAGCTTCCAAGTGTTACTAATGCCATGTAGTACATATATTACACCTCTAATATTAATAGCAAGGCCTGGACCATAAAGAACGCAAAGAGGTGGCAGCAAATTTGATGTCTCTCTCTGTCATGAAACTACCTCCCTTTATGATAGTGAGCTTTAGAAGAAATTGCAACTAGACTAGTGGCATTATTCTGCCCCGATGTGGTAGACCGTGAGCTGTCCTTTAAGATCATTGCCACAGCCTGGCAAGGTGGCTCACGCCTGTTATCCCAGCACTTTGGGAGGCTTAAGGGGACAGATTGCTTGAGCTCAGGAGTTCCAGACCAGCCTGGCCAACATGTAGAAACCCTGCCTCTAGTAAAAATACAAAAATTAGCTGGGTGTGGTGGCGGGTGCCTGTAATCCCAGCTACTCAGGAGGCTGAAGCAGGAGAATCGCTCGAACCCGGGAGGCAGAGGTTGCAGTGAGTCTAGATTGTGCCATTGCTCTCCAGCCTAGGCAACAAGAGCAAAACCCCGTCTCAAAAAAAAAGAGTTGGTCCAAAGGTAGTGAGTTATCTCAACTGATTGTTCATGTCAGTTACAGTTCAAACTCCTTGTTCCGCTCTTTCCTCTCTTCTCACTACTGCCCTTGACTAGTCCCAAAAAAAAGGATATAACTCAGCGTCCTAACAAGAAAAAAATGGCATATGCAAACTAGGATAAATTGAGGAGGGTTTATCTTCAAAGGAACTAATTAAGAATGTGTGGGCAGGGTGTAGGAAAACCAGAAAGATAGTGGAGGAACGTGGTCTAGGCATTCCTAGACTTGTAGGGACGAGGCAAGGGAGAGGTTGGAAGGGGAACCCTGTGTAGAGTGAGTTATCTTAAGAGGAGCAATGGCCTTCGGTTGAAGGATACAGCTGCTTAACATGACCTTCCAGGGAGGGAGCCAGGAGAATAAATATACTGACCTCATTCCGTTAATATAATTCATACAGACCAGGCTTCCAGGAAAGCAAGCACTGTAGAAAAGGGCAAAGAGTGGATCCGTAGGGGTAGACTGAAGATATTCTGGGCATAGCAAAATAACAAGAAATACAACAATGAATAGAAGGAGGACAACAGAGTAGACATGTGGAGAGGAAAAAGATGCTTTGCAAGAGAAAGAGAACATGCTGCCTGTAACAGAGATTGAAAGAGTAGCTCATTTCTAGAGTTGCCTCAGATCCTGATGACTTTCCAGTCTGAGATCTTGTTCCAGTTATAGTCTCAGTGTAGCTTTACAATAGACCCTCTGCTTTTAAAATAGTCTCTGAGTAATTCTGTTTCTTGCAACTCTAAAAGCCTAATAAAATGCTGGGTACAATGGGAATAATTTATTCCTCTTAAAAATCCTGCAAACAAGGCTGCATGCGGTGGCTGACACCTGTAGCCCCACACTTTGGGAGGCCAAGATGGGTGGATCACCTTAGGTCAGGAGTTCGAGACCAGCCTGGCCAACATGGTGAAACTTCATCTCTATTAAAAAAAAAAAATCTGCAAACAAAGACATTTGAGACAGGTAGGCCTCTTACTGAGAAAGAATTATAACACTCTCCTCAGCTTTTTGTAGAGTGTCCAAATTTAAAAATAAAGGTGCCACTGTCATGAAAACCACCTACTGCCAAAATTCCAAAATTATAAAACTGACCTAATTAAATGAGCTCTCTTGGATTATGGAAAACACAGGTCACTCTTTGAACAAATCACAGACTATTCTACAGGAAATTAAGACAATAGTGCATTTTTTCTTTAATTGCCTTCTCTCACCCCCAGCTTTATTGATTTATTGACACACATATTTAATGTATGTGTACATTTTGATCAGTTTTGACATATGTATCCATCATCACAATCAAAATAACATTTCCTTCTGCTCTAAAAGTTTATTCTTACTCCTTGGTAATCCCTGCCTCTGTCTACTTACATCCCCAGGCAACCACTAATCCACTTTTATCGCTATAGATTAGTTTAAATTTTCTAGAATTTTATATAAATGGATCAAACAGTATATATATATATATATATATATATATATATTTTTTTTTTTAGAGGAGTCTGGCTCTATCACCCAGGCTGGGGGAGTGCAGTGGCATGATCTCGGCTCACTGCAACCTCCGCTTTCTGGGTTCAAGCAATTCTCTTGCCTCAGCCTCCCAAGGATCTGGGATTACAGACGTGCACCACCATGCCTAGCTAATTTTTGTATTTTTAGTAGAGACGGGGTTTCTCCATGTTGGCCAGGCTGGTCTCACACCCCTGACCTCAGGTGATCTGTCCGTCTTGGCCTCCCAAAGCACTGGGATTACAAGCGTGAGCCACCACACCTAGCCACAGTATATATTCTTTTTTGCCTGTTTTTGACTCAGCATAATTGTTCTGAGATTAATCTATGATGTTGTGTATATACATAGTTCTCTTTTTTATTGTTGAGTACTATTCCTTGAATGAATTATCTCAATTTGTTTGTTCATTCATATTTAATGGACTTTTGGGTTGTTTCTAGTTTTGGCTATTACTCAACTGTCAGTTTTAAGGTAGGAAAAATATTTTTCTGGATGGCCAAAAGTTGTTAGGAGTTGCTTTAGTACATAGAAATTCAAAGCACTACAGCTGGACTCAGAAGATCTGCATTGGTGTCATTTAATTGCTGTGGGGCTTGGGGCCAAAAACTGTAAATTTGCTGAGCCTAGACTCCTCATCTGTAAAAGAAGATTAATAATACTTGCCTCCTAAAATTGTTGTGATGATTAAATAAGACAATTCATACATTTAACCTTTTATTCAAATATTAGCTATTACTACTATGGAAGTAGAGGGGATAGAATAGAGAAGTTAGGGAAGAGCCTGTCTTAGTCAACTTGGGCTGCGATAACAAAATACCATTGACTGGGTGGCTTAAACAACAGAAAAGTGTTTCTCACAGCTTTGGAGGCAAGTTCAAGAACAGTACAAACATGGTCAGGTTTTAGTGAGGGCTGTCTTCCTGGTTTGCAGATGGATGCCTTCTCACTGTATCCTCACGTGGCAGGAAGAAGGGATTTGCAACCTTGCTTTCTGGTGTTTCTCCTCCTCCTCCTCCTCCTCCCCCTTCCCCTCCCTTCCCTCCCCCAATTCTCCTGCCCTCCTCCTCTTCCTCCTCCTCCTCCTCCTTCTATTCTTTTTTTTTTTTTTTTTTTGAGATGGAGTCTCACTCTGTTGCTCAGCCTGGAGTGCAGTGGCACAATCTCGGCTCACTGCAACCTCTGCCTCCCCAGTTCAAGCGATTCTCCTGCCTCAGCCTCCCGAGTAGCTGGGATTACAGGTGTGCACCACCATGCCCGGCTAATTTTTGTATTTTTACTTGAGAGAGGGTTTCACCATGTTGGCTAGTCTGGTCTTGAACTCCTGACCTTAGGTGATCCGCCCACCTCCGCCTCCCAAAGTGCTGGGATTACAGGCATGAGCCACTGCGCCTGGCCCTTCTTCTTTTTCTTTTTTTGAGACAGGGTCTCACTCTGTAACCAAGGATGGAGTGCAGTGCTGCCATCACAGCTCACTGCAACCTTGACCTCTTGGGCTCAAGCAATCCTGCCTCAGCCTCCCAGGTAGGTGGGACTACACGAATGTACCACCATGCCTGGCTAAGTTTTGTATTTTTTATAGAGACAGGGTCTCACCGTCTTGCCCAGGCTGGTCTCAAACTCCCGAACTCAAGTAATCATCTTGCCTTGGCCTCCCAAAATGCTGGGATTACTGGCATATGCCACCATACCAGGCCTGGTGTCTATTCTAATTTTTTTTATATATATCATTTTTTTTGTTGTTTTTTTTTTTTAGACCGAATCTCGCTCTGTTGCCCAGGCTGGAGTGCAGTGGCGAGATCTCAGCTTGCTACAACCTCCGCCTCGCAGGTTCAAGTGATTCTCCTGCTTCAGCCTCCCGAGTGGCTGGAACTATAGGGGTGCGCCACCACACCAGCTAATTTTTTTTGTATTTTTAGTGGAGATGGGGTTTCACCATGTTAGTCAGGATGCTCTTGATCTCTTGACCTCGTGATCCACCTGCCTCGGCCTCCCAAAGTGCTGGGATTACAGGGGTGAGCCACCGTGCCCAGCCATTTTTTTTTTAAGATGGAGTCTTACTCTTGCCCAGGCTGGAGTGCAGTGGTGTGATCTCAGCTCACTGTAATCTCTGCCTCATGGGTTCGAGTGATTTTCATGCCTCAGCCTCCCGAGTAGCTGGGACTACAGGCACGTGCCACCGTGCCTTGCTAATTTTTGTATTTTTAGTAGAGATGGGGTTTCACCGTGTTGGCCAGGCTGGTCTCGGACTCCTGATTTCATGATCTGCCCACCTTGGCCTCCCAAAGTGCTGGGATTACAGGCATGACCCACCGCACCTGGCTCTGGTGTCTCTTCTTATAAGGGCACAAAACCCCTCGTGAGGGCCCCACCCTCAAGTCCTCACCTAAATCTCATTACTTCCCAAAAGCCTTACCTCCAAATACCATCTCATTGGGGGTTAGGGCTTCAACATATGGATGGTGGGTGGGGGGAAGGATCCAATCCATAGCTGAACCCTTTTAATTTGTCTAGGTCTCCTTATGGGCCTCTATAATGAGGCCCAAAAGACATTGTCAAATATCATGGCTCTGAACAAAAAGATAAAAATATGTTAGTCAATGTCTCTTTCTTTTTGAGGGCAAGCTCCATTTCTTTTTCTCTCCTTTCACATTGTTTAATGTTATTCTTGTATCAGGAACCCTATGAATATTTACTAAGGTAATAGGAAGTACTTATATAGTACTCTATAGATTACAATGTATTTTCAGATACCTTATCTCATTCTGATCCACAAAGTTCCCCAAGGATAGCAGATAATATTAGCCTCATTATCAAATGGGGGAAACTAAGGCTCAGAGAGGTTAAAAACTGAGAGAATAACCCAGCTCTTCAAATGCCAGCTCAGTCTTCTACTTTGGCACCCTGCCTACCATTATTGTTGACAGGATTCAGGTGTGTGCTTTAGCCTCCAGTTAATACTAATACACAGCATCTTTGCAGGATAAAAGACCAAATTTTACTCTCAGAAAACTAACAGTTGGTGGCACTTTGATACTTACACTGCAATATGTGCTTTTATTTTTAATTACTTTTTTTGGGGAGCAGGGGGACAGGGTCTTGTTCTGTTGCCCAGGCTGGAATACAGTGACATAATCATAGCTTACTGCAGCCTGAAACTCCCGTCCTCGAGTGATCCTCTTGCCTCCGCCTCCCAGAGTGCTGGGATTACAAGCATGAGCTATATATATATATATATTTGTTCCCACCCCGCCCCCCCCGCCAAAAAAAAAAGTTGTGGCTTTCATTTCCCTCTAAGTGATTTCAGTCATTTATGCAGACTGCCCAAAGACATGTTGAAAGGCTAATTTTTTTTTCTTTTTTTTGAGACAGGGTCTTGCTTTGTCACCCAGGCTAGAGTGCAGTGGTGCAAACACAGTTCACTGTAGCCTCAACCTTCTGGGCTCAAGGAATCCCCTGGCCTCAGCCTCTTGAGTAGCTGGGTCTACAGGTGCATGCCACCATGCCTGGCTAATTTTTAAATTCTTTGTAGAGACAGAGTCTTGCCATGTTACCCAGGCTGGTCTCGAACTTCTGGGTTCAAGGGTCCTACCGCACCATCCCAAAGTGCTGGGATTACAGGTGTGAGCCATGACACCTGGCCAAAGCTAACTGTTACATTCTTTTTTTTTTTTGGAGACAGAGTCTCCCTCTGTCGCCCAGGCCGGAGTGCAGTGGCACGATCTCAGCTCACTCCCACCTCCACCTCCTGGGTTCAAGCGATTCTCCTGCCTCAGCCTCCCAAAGTGCTGGGATTGCAGGGACTACACCACACCCGGCCTTAAGTGTTACATTCTTTACCAAAAAAAGCCTATCCAGATGCAGTGGCATGTGCCTACAGAAAACAGAAAAACAAACAAAAAAGAAAGATATTACACCATGTTTGTGTGAGCCAAAAAATTCCAAGCACTCAACTGACATTAACAGTTAGTCCTTTCTGGACACGGTGGCTCATGCCTATAATCCCAGCACTTTGGGAGAACCAGGTGGGCAGATCACTTCAGTCCAGGAGTTCGAAACCAGCCTGGACAACATGGTGAGAGACCTTGTCTCTATAAATTAAACAAACAAACAAATTAACAAAAAACCAGTTTGTCCTCATAGATTTTAAAAACTTAGTTACAATAAATAATATTTCTGTTTAATTTATGACATAATAGTTTATAATTGTGTAATTAAGGAACTGAAATCCAGACAGTTGAAGTAAGTGGCCTGAGGGAACTCAGTAATTTAAATACACAGGCCTATTAAAGAAAATTAGTAATAAGAATATAAGAACCCCTTTTACAAAAGTATGGCAAGTCAGTTGTTTCCCTTCTGAATACAATCTTCTTGTGCAAAGCAGCTTAATTTTCTCTTTTTTAAATTTTATTTTATTTTTTATTTTTTGAGACAGCATCTCGCCCTGTTGCCCAAGCTGGAGTGCAATGGCTTGATCTTGGCTCCTTGCAACCTCTGCCTCCCGGGTTCAAGTGATTCTCCTGCCTCAGCCTCCCAAGTAGCTGGGATTACAGGTGCATGCCACCATGCCTGGCTAATTTTTTTTTTGTATCTTTAGTAGAGACGGGGTTTCACCATGTTGGCCAGGCTGGTCTCGAACTCCTGACCTCAGGTGATCTGCCCACCTTGGCCTCCCAAAGTGCTGGGATTACAGGCGTGAGCCACTGTGCCCAGCCAGCAGCTTAATTTTCTAATAGTGAAAAAAAAATTACGTAATGTTAGAACCATAGAAAAAAGCAAATATCTAGTAATCAGTCAAAAATTCTTTCCAATACAGTGGCCTCTTAGGATCTAGTCAACAAAATATTCCCAGATTCACTATAGTCATTTTGCTCAAAAATATTAAAACCACAATTGTCTAGAAATTAAGAGAGTATGATCCAAATTTGTTTTTCATATATCATTGTACGATATATAATGGGATATATATATAATTATATGATATATAATGGGATATATATATATCATTTTTAAAATTTTATTATTATTACACTTTAAGTTTTAGGGTAGATGTGCACAATGACAAACCTGAGAAAAACAAGCAATGGGGAAAGGGTTCCCTATTTAATAAATGTTGCTGGGAAAACTGGCTAGCCATATGTAGAAAGCTGAAAATGGATCCCTTCCTTACACCTTATACAAAAAATTAATTCAAGATGGATTAAAGACTTAAATGTTAGACCTAAAACCATAAAAACCCTAGAAGAAAACCTAGGCATTACCATTCAGGACATAGGCATGGGCAAGGACTTCATGTCTAAAACACAAAAAGCAATGGCAACAAAAGCCAAAATTGACAAATGGGATCTAATTAAACTAAAGAGCTTCTGCACAGCAAAAGAAACTACCATCAGAGTGAACAGGCAACCTACAAAATGGGAGAAGATTTTCGCAACCTACTCATCTGACAAAGGGCTAATATCCAGAATCTACGATGAACTCAAACAAATTTACAAGAAAAAAACAACCCCATCAAAAAGTGGGTGAAGGACATGAACAGACACTTCTCAAATTTTTTAAATAGACGTGTAAGATAGGGTCCTTGTCTAGTCCTAGCCCTGGAAGGAACATTTCACATTGTCTTCCTCATGGACATATTATTAGAAAGTATGTCCCTAATATTGGGGCATATACTCAGTTGAACATGCTAGAATTATCTGATTCATGATAATGACCTGCAGAGGTAATAGCTGAGGGTGAGAGAAACTTGGAATGGATAGTGAAGGAGGGAAATGGTGAGTACCAGTTGTTGCCTGAGACAAACTGCAGTATTGGAAAGCTATAGTTCATCCCACTCTTCTCCAAGTTTCCCCTTAGGAAAAGGAGCCCACAGGAGCCATGAAAAAATCTGCTTCCAGAACATATGTGGGGACATTGATCAGTGCACAAACAAGAGGTGGACTGTGGAAGCCATCGAGGTGCCCCACTCAGATCTCCCTTTAGGATAGCCTGCTACTGGGATCATAGCTTATTGACAATAGTTTCTGGTTTATTAGTATTTTGCTTCTTATGAGCAGTAATACTATAACTTTAGTGTGCTTTCTTTCTGGTGCAAAGCAAAGATAAATGGAAACATCAAACCTTGGGTCTTGCCGAAGCCAACTGATACTAGACCTAATTCATCTACCTCATGTCTCAAATATCGTTCTATACCAAGCTGAGAAGGCTCTGGATTCCTTGAGTGGTTTTGTTTTGATTTTCTTTTTTTCTTTTCTTTTCTTTTTTTTTTTTTTTGAGGCGGGTTCTCACTCTGTCGCACAGGATGGAGTGCAGTGGGGCGATCTCGGCTCACTGCAACCCCCGCCTCCCGGGTTCAAACAATTCTCTGCCTCAGCCTCCCGAGTAGCTGGGATTACAGGCACCTGCCACCACACCCAGCTAATTTTTGTATTTTTAGTAGAGATGGGGTTTCACCATCTTCGCCAGGCTGGTCTTGAACTTCTGACCTCGTGATCCACCCGCATCGGCCTCCCAAAGTGCTGGGATTACAGGCATGAGCCACCATGCCCGTCCTGTTTTGATTTTCTAAAGGGAAAAAAGAGTCATTTTCACTTGGCTTTGAACAAAGAAAGTGGGATTTGGGAAAAAAAGGAACAGTATCATATTTTTGGGGGCATATTTTATCAAAAATAAAATCAGATCAAATTAAAAATTTAGGTTTACTGTGCATAAAAAAGACAGTTTATGAACTTCAAACCAAAAGTGGTAAGAAGCTTGGCTCACAACAATTACAGTACAGCTTATAAGGCATAAACGAAGGAGTGTGTTGAACTTTACTGTGAATGGTTATTGACAGACTCTCTCCTTTGACCAAAACTTCTGTGAGTCCTGTGCTTAATTCGGCCAGATTTTGGGTTTACCTCTCTGTCCTCGTAGAATCCAGTTTGAGCAAAAATCCTGCTAAGTCAGTTTAGGGAAAATTCTCCATGCTTGGTATCTGACTACCCTTGATATCTTATCACCCTGGCCTGCCTTCAGCAACAATACTATCAAGTCAGGTTAGCCAGAAACCCCTTATCCTTGATGTTTCCTCTGAATAATTTTCCATGCACTGATTCCCACCCTGCTCCTTTATTTATTTATTTACATATTGATTTAGTAGAAACAGGTTCTCTTTATGTTGCTCAGGCTGTGCTCAAGTGATCCTCCTCCCATCTCAGCCTCCCAGAGTGCTGGTATTACAGGCATGGGCCACTGTGCCCAGCCAGCTCCATGGTTTTAAATTTCCACTTGTCATTGTTGGAGTTGGAGTTGAGTCCAATCCCTCCTCCCCCACTGTGAGACTCCATTGCAGTGGTCCCTATACCTATCACCATGGCTCTCCTTGAATAAAGTCTGTCTTACCATCTTCAACATGTGTTTAGGTAATTTTTCAGACATTATTATAAATGTTCATTCTTTTTATGGCAAGAAAAGCTGTATAAACTTGTTTGCCTGTAGCTGATTGGTTCTATTTTATTAAAGCATGCTGACAAGAAAGAATGGCTTAAATTTGCTTTATGTTTAGAGCTGGCATTTTGAAGGAAATTAGGATAGCTTAAATTTCTGTTATGTGGCTATGGGCAATTGGCTTAGGGGTATATCCAAACTGTAGCCTCCATTTGAATTTTCTTTAGTAATTCCCCCCTTTTGGTCATTCTTTCAGTTGGATTCAGAGTGAGGCCAGCTATTTAGGATTACTCTCGGTCACCCCATGTTGTTTTTCCTTCCATAGACATGTGTAGGTTGCAAACTAGAATCTCAGTGCGTTCTTCTGATGATTCTTGTTCATGTAGTTTTTGATGTTCAGTCTTCATGAAGATCATCTGTTGAGTCAGTGGCTGCTAACAAGCGTTTAAGACTCTTAGGAGAATATAAGGTTCAAGGAATATTATGAATATGACTAATAGGAGGGTAACACCTCCTATTTGAGGTTTGAAAAATATCCCAAAGCCAAACTCCCCAAGAGCCAAGATTTAACCAATTAAATACATCAACTGATTGTGCCTCTCCAAAGTGTTGTAATATTTGGGTCTGATCTAAAAGATCAAAATCTCTAAGATTTTGGGCTATAATTCCTGACTTATTAACAGAAAAACAGCATTTTTTTTCTTCGATAAGAGCACAAGCTCCTCCTTGAGCAGTTTGGGTATCACAAACTCTCCTATTCTAGAGTACAGCTAAAGCTAAACTACTCATGGATTCTATTACTTGAAAGTAAATTAAGATATCATTAATACTTTTTGAGAGTTATAGAAATATTGATAAGTGATTTTTCTAGTTCAGAGACTCGTAGTTGAAGGAAGAGTACTCTAACAAAAGGATGAAATCCAGAGCTCATGTGTATAACTGGATTTCAAAGCTCATAAAAATTTTTTTAGTGGGAGGTTACTTTATGTACAAATGATCCCAAGTTAGTAACTTGACTAGTATTTAAAAAGTCAGCCAGGCGCGGTGGCTCACGCCTGTAATCCCAGCACTTTGGGAGGCTGAGGTGGGTGGATCACGAGGTCAGGAGTTCGAGACCACCCTGGCCAATATGGTGAAACTCCGTCTCTATCAAAAATACAAAAATTAGCTGGGTGTGGTGGGGCAGGCCTGTAGTCCCAGCTGCGTGGGAGGCTGAGGCAGGAGAATCACTTGAACCAGGCAGGTGGAGGTTGCAGTGAGCCAAGACTGCACCACTGTACTCTGGCCTGGGCAACAGAGCAAGACCCTGTCTCAAAAATAAATAAATAAATAAAATAAAATAAAATAAAATAAAATAAAAAAGTCATATTTGGTTATTTGGGGTGAGAGATATCCTGTACCATAGCATCTAGACCATTTGGGTAGGAAACCTTTGTCCATGTATCTTATTACAACAAAGAACAAATAACGCAGTGTCACTGATGTAAAGTTATGGTGGATCCCATTACCAAAAAACCAGATGTGATACAAAGATCATGATTACTTTTAATCATGTTGGCATCTTTGCATTCCTAGTTTGAATGACCGTGGTTTAAACTAGGATAGGAGAAAAAGACATTTCTATGGCTTGATAAAGTAATCCATGTGTACCATTACCAATTAGGTAAGACTGGTTCTCTTTCTGGATGCGACCTGAATTTTGATCTATCAGTATGTAAAACTGTTGGTAACCTTATATAATGGTATTAGAGAGGCATTTAACTTGCCTTTAGAGTTTCTATTAAACCAATGTATAGTTTCAGTGACCTCTTTAATGGTGTGAATGAGGGTGTCATTGCCATTTTCTGTTTTTATATCTGTCTCATTATATATGAGTCCAGCCTCTACCATCTGAATCAAACCAGAGGGTTTGATTACAGGAGTCTGGGAGCTCACCTAAGTCAGGCCCAGCATCATTAAGGATTTCTATGTGTAGAGAGAAGTTACCAGTAACAAATTTTTTAGTACTTATGGGCCATACTTTGGCTTCTAATGTTTCTTTCCAATGCCAAAACAGTTGGCCATTAAGTATTAGTTAAATGATTTGATTTGCTAGCAGAAGGATGCCAAACCTTTTTGCAAAGGCATTTTCCCAAGTTTATCACCCAAGTGTGTATGGGGGCTAGTTCTAGTATTAGCTGAGATTCTTCCCAAGCATTTAAATGGCGATATAACCACCATCGCTCTGGTTAGTAAGGAAGGCTATATGCGTAACAGTAGACTTTAGTGAGTGTTCAGCCTGTGCGATGAAGGCCTCTAACAAGGAGTAGGAATATGAGTTTAACCATTTTGTCTTAGTTTGCAAAGTAGCAGGATTACAATAATTATAATGGAAATAGAAAATCTTGACAAAATAAAATAAAATCCAATGGGTTCTTGACCCACGTTCTTTAGTGGAAGCTGTCAACCTCATGTTGTCATCTGCTTCTGGGGAAAACATTTCCCTAGATATCCTTAATTTTAAGTCAGCTGTACGTTAACAGGTCCAAGACTTTGTGAGAGTTTTGTTTTTTTTTTTTTCAGATGGTGTTGCGCCAGGCGGGAGTGCAGTGGCACGATCTTGGCTCACTGCAACCTCCACCTCCCAGGTTCAAGAGATTCTCCTGTCTCAACCTCCCGAGTAGCTGGGATTACAGGCACACACCACGATGTGCAGCTAATTGGGAGCTCTTTTTCATCAAGAAACATGAACCCAAGGTTCAATGAATTGCAACTTGCTGTGTGTGAGGCTAAAAGAACCTGATAAGGTCCCTTCCAGGAAGTTTCAAGTGCAGTTTTCTGTTGACTTTTTTTCCCCGAATATCCAGTCACCCGCTTCCAATGTGTGGGGTACAATGTCCTTGAGGGGAAGAATGCCTCTGAAGGCTCCTTGTACCTGGTGGCAATAAGCTTTTGAATACTGCATTAGTGCTTTACAATATTGGATCATATCAGAGTTTACAAGAGTTGATGAACATGGGGTTCTATCATTAAGGGCATAAGTTATCCATTAAGGGCATAAGTTATCCAGTGACAATCTCATAAAGGGTTCATTTATGTTTTCCAAAAGGTATAGATCTTATTGTTATAAGAGCTAAGGGAAGTATTTCAGGCCAGGGTAGTCCTGTTTCAGTTAGTTTTGCTAATTTTAAAGCACCATTGGTTCTTTCTTTCTACCTTTCCAGAAGATTGGATGTAATGGGGCAATGGTAATGCTATAATGCTTGGATGGCCTTAAGATTTTGACTTGTTTTATGACTTGTTTAGTGAAGTGTGTTCCTCCATCACTTAAAATTTTGCTGGAAATTCTCCAAAGTGGAAAAATGTTCTCTAGTAACTTTTTGGCTATAGTAATTGCACCAGTGCTTTCAGCAGGGAAAAGCTTCTACTCACGCTGAGGAGATACAGATTATGATAAGTATATACTGGATAACCCATAGAGGTGAGCAACTTACTGAAGTCCATCTGTGGGTATTCAAATGGCCCTGATGGTGGGGCAGTTATTCCAGGGGCCACTTTAATGGTTTTTCCAGGGTTATGGTTTTCATAAGTCAGACATTGATCATAGACTTGTTTGCCTGATTTCGAAAAGTTTCCTCATCAATGTTTTGTTAGAATCTGAATAATTTTATCCACCTCTTGGTAAGTAAAAAAATTAAATGCTCAGAGGAATGGCACTTTTGAAGGATTTGGGAAGTAATAAGCAGCCATCTGGGCCCTCCCAGAATCCCTTAATTATCTTGCATCCTTTATTTCCCTAATTTTGTTTTTCAGTTTCTGGGGCATTATTCTGTCATTCATGTAAATGTTGGATTTCTTTAATGTCTTTTGAATGAATCTCATTCAGAGCATACAACTTACTTTCACTGGGTGGCAGGTTTAGTATGAAAATCAGCCATGGTGGCTGGGTATGGTGGCTCACGCCTGTAATCCCAGCACTTTGGGAGGCCGAGACAGGTGGATCACTTGAGCCCAGTTGTTCAAGACCAGCATGGGCAACATGGCAAAACCTCATCTCTACCAAAAAAAAAAAAATTATCTGGATGTGGGGTGTGCATCTGTAGTCTCAGCTACTCAGGAGGCTAAGGTGGAAGGATCACCTGAGTCCGGGATATCAAGGCTGCAGTGAGCCATGATCATGCCACTGCACTGCAGACTGGGTGACAGAGTGAGACCCCGTCTCAAAAAGAAAAGAAAAGAAAATCAACTACGGCATTTCCTTGATATTTAGGGTTGGTTTTAAGAGTATGAGCTTCAATTTTTTTTTTTTTTTTTTTTTTTTTTGAGACAGAATCTTATCTGTCTCCCAGCCTGGAGTGCAGTGGCAATCTCATCTCACTGCAACCTCCGCCTCCTGGGTTTAAGCAATTCTCATGCCTCAGTCTCTTGAGTAGCTGGGATTACAGGCATGTGCCACTACACCCAGCTAATATTTTGTATTTTTAATAGAGATGGGGTTTCACTATGTTGGCTAGGCTGGTCTTGAACTCCTGGCCTCAAGTGATCTGCCTGGCTCAGCCTCCCAAAGTGCTGGGATTACAGGCGTGAGCCACTATGCCTGACCAATTTTTTTTTTTAAATATAGAGATGGGGTCTCGCCATCTTGCCTATGCTGGTCTTGAACTCCTGGGCTCAAGCGATCCTCCTGCCTTGGCTTCCCAAAGTGCTGGGATTACAAGTGTGAGCCACCACACCTGGCCGAGCTTCAATTTTTATAATAATTGTTGTAATCATAAGGCCATTATAATTGTCAGTTATAATTGTAAGGCCATTAATTTGCCTGATGATTCCTTTTTTGGCCATGCACCAGGGGAGAAAAGAGAGAAGACCCTAAGAACTTTCAGAGAAAAAACATTTAAAAGCTCAAGAAACAAAATTACATTGTACTTCTTGAAACCAACACTGGAAGCTAGAAGACAGTGCTGCAATATCTTGAAAATCCTCAAGGAAAAGTATTTCTAATCTAGAGTTCTATTCCTAGTCATACTATCAGCTAAGCACACAGCTGGACTAAAGACATTTTCAGACATATAAGATCTCAGTCGCCCTGTTGCCCAGGCTGGAGTGCAGTGGCATGATCTCAGTTCACCACAACCTCCGTCTCCCGGGTTCAAACGATTCTCCTGCCTCAGCCTCCCAAGCAGCTGGGACTACGGGCGTGCACCACCATGCCCAGCTAATTTTTGTATTTTTAGTAGAGATGGGGTTTCACTACATTGACCAGGCTGGTCTCCAACTCCTGACCTCGTGATCCACCTGCCTCGGCCTCCCAAAGTGCTGGGATTATAGGCGTAAGCCACCAAGCCCGGCCTATTTATTTGTTTATTTATTTATTTTTTTGAGATGGGGTCTCACTATATTGCCCAAGCTGGTCTCAAACTCCTGGACTCAAGCCATTCTCCTACCTCGGCCTCCCAGAGTGCTGGGATTACAGGCATGAACAACCACGCCTGGCCGAAAGGGGTAGCTTTTCTGATGAGTTTGAACATTTTATAAGAAAATACATTCATTCACAATGAATATTTATTGAGTACCCACTTTGAGTCACAAACATGGAGCCACTTTCAGGGAGCATTCATTCTAGAAGGGGAAGTGAGATAATAAATAAGCAAACTGTGTAACATATTAGAAGGTGATAAAGGCTGTAAAAAAAGACAAAGTAAAGCAGGGGAAGGAGGATTAAAACTGCTGTAGATGGGGAGGTGGTAGAGTGTGTATTACAGCTTTAAATAGGATAGTCAAGATAGACCTCATTGTGAAGTAACATTTAAGCCAAGACCTGAGGGAAGTTAGGCAATTAGACGTGTGGATATGTGGCAGAACTTTCTAGGAAGACGGAATTGCCAGTAAGGGTGAAGAAGTGTAAGAGGTAGAGATGCAGGAGCAAGAGAAATGAGGTCAGAGAGGTACAGGGTAGGGGGGATATGTCAGATCCTGTGGGCCTTATGGATGACTGTAATAACTTGCTTTGCTTCTGAGGAAAATGGAGAGCTGTTATAGAAGTGAAACAATTGGCATACATTTTTACAAGGTTCACTCTTGCTTCCATTTGAGAATAGACTATTGGCAGACAAGGGTGGAAACAGAGATAATAAAGAAGCAACTGGATTGCCTAATAAGGAAGCAATTATCCCAATAATTCAGGCGAAAGATGTTGGTAGCACAGACTGCAGTGATACATCTGTTAAAGAGTTGAAGGAAGAATTAGTGATAGACACAGAGAAAACTAAGCAAAGTAAATAAAGGAATCAATTATTAACTGTAGATAAACCAGGAAATGGCATAAAGAAAGGTAATTATAGCAGTCCACATGAATCAGTTGTGAATAACATTTACCTAGTGCTATGGTTTCAATATGCTTTGTTTGTCCCCAGAAAACTCATGTTGAAATTTGATCCCCAACTTGACAGTGCTGGGTGGTGGGGCCTAGTGGGAGGCATGTGCATTATGGGAGCAGATCCTTCATGAAAGACTTGGTGCTATTTGGTCAGGCAGTTAATTTTTGCTCTTGAGAAACTGTATTAATTTTCTCAGGAATGGATTAATTCCTGAGAGAACAGGTTGTTATAAAGTCAGGATGCCCTCAGGTTTCCCCCTCTTCACATGCATCTACTTCCCCTTTAACCGTCTCCACCATGTTGTGAGAAAACCCTCGATAAGGCAGGGAGTGGTGGCTCACGCCTGTAATCCCAGCACTGTGGGAGGCCGAGGTGGGCGGATCACCTGAGGTGAGGAGTTCAAGGCCAGCCTGACCAACATGGTGAAACCCCGTCTCTACTAAAAATACAAAAATTAGCCAAGCGTGGTAGCACCCACTTGTAGTCCCAGCTACTTGGGAGGCTGAGGCAGGAGAATTGCTTGAACCTGGGAGGCAGAGGTTGCAGTGAGCTGAGACCATATCATTGTACTCTAACCTGGGCAACAAGAGTAAAACTCCATCTCAAAAAAAAAAAAAAAAAAGAAAAATTAATACCTCATGGAGATGTCACATTTTTACCTAACCAGATTGGCAAATATACAGAATTTTTATAATACATTATGTTGGGGAGGATAATGGGTAAACAGACATTCTCATACATTGCTTGTGGAGTATAACTTGTCATGTTGTCAACCAGCGTGGTGGCTCACGCCTGTAATCCCAGCACTTTGGGAGGCCGAGGCGGGCAGATCACAAGGTTAGGAGTTTGAGACCAGACTGGCCAATATGGTGAAATCCGATCTCTACTAAAAAAATACAAAAATTAGCCGGGTGTGGTGTGGGCACCTGTAGTCCCAGTTACTCGGGAGGCTGAGGCAGGAGAATTGTTTGAACCCAGGAGGTGGAGGTTGCAGTGAGCCGAGATGGCCTCACTGTACTCCAGCCTGGGGGACAGAGCGAGACTCTGTCTCAAAAAACAAATAAATAAATAAAAATAAATAAAAAATAACTTGTCATGTCAATTTGGTAAAATTATAAAAATTACAAAATGTAGACACCCCTTTCCAGAAAGATCTTTTTGCCCCAGCTGCTAGGAGTTCTGTCAGCAGACAGTCTTCATTTGTCAGCCCCTTCAAGTTTTGCCTCAGCAGCAAAGAGCTGTCTCACCCAAGGATATGCTTTTTTGTGGCAACCCACATCCAATGACTGATATAAAGGACTTGCCATTTCCCCCCAGTGCAGGACAACTCTGCTGAGTCATTTCAGCTCCACAGCTTTCCGACGGGGTTATCTTAGGCTGCATGAGTGCATCACAGGCCAGCTTCTGCTTCTGCCAAATTCCGTCTTCCTTCTCCCTTTCATAGCTGTTGAACCCAAGAATACCTCCCAATAAATGTCTGGAACTCTAAATTTCTGTCCCAAAGTCTGCTTCCAAGAGAAATCAGTCTGTGAAACTCACGGCTCCACAGCTTCATTTCCAGGAGTTTACATAGACTCACACATAGACAAAAATGGTGTATATTTAAGGTTATTTATTGCAAAAAAATTTTTTGACGTAGGATCTTACTCTGTAGCCCAGGCAGAATGTGGTAGCATGATCATAACTCACTGCAGCCTCCAATTCTTGACTCCAGTGATCCTGCCGCCTCAGTGTCCCAAGTAGCTGGGACCAAAGGTGCGTGCCATTATGCCTGGCTAATTTATTTTTATTTTTTGTAGAAATGGGGGTCTCTCTGTTGCCCAGGATGGTCTTGAACTCCTGGCCTCAAGCAATCCTCCTGCCTCAGCCTCCCAAAGTGCTGAGATTACAGGTGTGAGTCATGCACATGACTTATTGCAGATTATTTGTAAGAACAAAAATTGGAAATAAATGTTTGATTACATAAATCAGGTGACTGATTAAATAAAGGCATATGTATACAATGAAATATCATGTCACAATATAAAAAGCAGATAGCTGTTTATATAATGATAGCAAAAGATCTTCAAAATGGAGCAGTGTGAAGAAGAGGCGAGAACGACCCCCAATTGACCAAAGCCTATGCGCCCTGCATCTCTGCAATCAGTGCCTATGTTCCGCCACCATGGTTACCAAGCCCAAGAGAAGGGTTGAAGGGGATGTTAAAGGAGATAAAGCCATGGTGAAGGACAAACCTCAGAGAAGATCTGAAAGGTTGTCTGCTAAACCTGCTCCTCCAAAGCCAGAGCCCAAGCCTAAAAGTGCCCTGTAAAGAAGGGAGAGAAGGTACCCAAAGAGAAAAAGGGAAAGGCTGATGCTGGCAAGGAGGGGAATAAACCTGCGGAAAATAGAGATGCCCAAACAGACCAGGCACAGAAAGCTGAAGGCACTGGAGATGCCAAGTGAAGTGTCTGCAGTTTTTTTTGTTTGTTTGTTTGTTTGTTTGTTTTTTTAGGCAAAGTCTCACTCTGTTGCCCAGTCTGGAGTGCAGTGGTGTGATCTCGGCTCACTGCAACCTCCGTCTCCCGGGTTCAAACGATTCTCCTGCCTCAGCCTCCCAAGCAGCTGGGACTACAGGCGTGCACCACCATGCCCAGCTAATTTTTGTATTTTTAGTAGAGATGGGGTTTCACTATGTTGACCAGGCTGGTCTCCAAATCCTGACCTCGTGATCCGCCTGCCTTGGCCTCCCAAAGTGCTGAGATTATAGGTGTAAGCCACCAAGCCCGGCCTATTTATTTATTTGTCTGGAGTGCAGTGGTATGATCTCGGCTCACTGCAACTTCCGCCTCCCAGGTTCAAGCGATTCTCCTGCTTCAGCCTCCTGAGTGGCTGGGACTACAGGCACCTGCCACCACACCCAGCTAATTTTTTTATTTTTAGTAGAGAAGGGGTTTCACCATGTTGGCCAGGCTGGTCTTGAACTCCTGACCTCAGGTAATCCACCCACCTCGGTCTCCCAAAGTGCTAGGATTACAGGTGTGAGCCTCTGCGTCTGGCCTGCATTTTTTTATTTTTTATTTTTGAGATGGAGTCTCGCTCTGTCGCCTGGGCTGGAGTGCAGTGGTGCGATCTCGGCTCACTGCAAGCTCTGCCTCCCAGGTTCACGCCATTCTCTTGCCTCTGCCTCCAGAGTAGCTGGGACCACAGGCGCGTGCCACCACGCCCGGTTAAATTTTTTTGTATTTTTTTTAGTAAAGATGGGGTTTCATCGTGTTAGCCAGGATGGTCTCAATCTCCTGACCTTGTGATCCGCCCGCCTCGGCCTCCCCAAGTGCTGGGATTACAGGCATAAGCCACCATGCCCGGCATGGCCTGCATTTTTTATAACTGTGTACTTCTGGTGACTATACAGTTTGAAATACTATTTTTAAGTCCAGGTGCGGTGGCTCACGTCTATAATTCCAACACTTTGGGAGGCTGAGGTGGGAGAATCGCTTGAGCCCTGGAGTTCAAGACCAGCTGGGCAACATGGTAAAACCCCTGTCTCTCCAAAAAAAAAAAATTAGCTGTGTGTGTGTGTGTGTGTGTGTGTGTGTGTGTGGTGGCACATCTCTGTAGTCCCAGCTACTCAGAAGGCTGAGGCAGGAGGATTGCCTGAGCCCAGGAGTTTGAGGGTGCAGTGACCTGTGATTGCACAACTATACTTCAGCTTGGGCAACAGGGTGAGACCCCATCTCTTTAAAAAAAATGTGTGTGTGTGTGTTTGTGTATGAATGAAGGATGCATTAAAACTGTAATTGGTTGCCTATAAGTAGATTTGGGTGTCTCAGGAACAAAGGTGGAAGGGAGGCTTTTCTTTTCTTTTCTTTTCTTTCTTTCTTTTTTTTTTCTGAGACCAAGTCTCTCTTTGTTGCCCAGGCTGGAGTGCAATGGTGTGATCTTTGGCTCACTGTAACCTCCGCCTCCCAGGTTCAAGTGATTCTTCCTGCCTCAGCCTCCCAAGCAGCTGGGATTACAGGCGCCTGCCACCATGCCCAGCTAATTTGTGTATTTTTAGTAGAGACAGGGTTTTGCCATGTTGGCCAGGCTGGTCTCAAACTCCTGACCTCAGGTGATCTGTCTGCCTTGGCCACCCAAAGTGCTAGGATTACAGGCATGAGCCCCGTGCCCAGCCAAGACTTTTCATAGTATATATATTTGCAGTTTTTGGATTCTACACCATCTGAATGTGTTACATAATCATTAGAAAAAATTTTTGCTTGAAT
Organism: Homo sapiens; assembly: GCF_000001405.40. Taxonomy (NCBI): domain Eukaryota; kingdom Metazoa; phylum Chordata; class Mammalia; order Primates; family Hominidae; genus Homo; species Homo sapiens. The sequence goes on along the minus strand of NC_000010.11, from coordinate 72,634,694 downwards.
TATCTGAATTTTAAGACTACATATAAAAATTACATATGCACAGCTTTGATAAAATAAAAATTAAGTAAACAAAGACTTATCTGTTAAAAATTAAACACAAGAACATATTGTAGGCCAGGTGTGGTGGCTCACACCTGTAATCCCAGCACTTTGGTCAGGAGTTCGAGACCAGCCTGGCCAACATGGCGAAATCCCGTCTCTACCAAAAATACAAAAATTAGCCAGGCATGGTGGTGGGCGCCTCTAATCCCAGCTACTCAGGAGGCTGAGACAGGAGAATCGCTTGAACCTGGGAGGTGGAGGTTGCAGTGAGGCAAGACTATCGAGCCATTGCACTCCAGCCTGGGCAACAACAGCGAGATTCCATCTCAAAAAAAAAAAAAAAAAAAAAAAAAAAGAACATATTGTATAGAGTGAGGGCCAGGCATGGTAGCTCACGCCTGTAATCTCAGCACTTTGGGAGGCTGAGGCAGGAGGATTGCTTGAGGCCAGGAATTTGAGACTAGCAACATAGTGAGACCCTATTTGTATATATATATAAAAAAAATAGCCAGCCAGGTGTTGTGCCACGTGCTACTTGGCAGGAGAATCATTTGAGCCCAGGAGTTCAAGGCTGAAGTGAGCTATGATCTCACCACTGCAATCTAGCCTGGGCAACACAGTGAGACTCTATCTCTAAAATAAAAATAAAAATAATGAAAAAGAACCTATTGTACAGAACTATTCCCATTTAAAAAAATTGTGTAAATAAACAGATACGTACATTGATATAAGCACAAAGAGTTTAGAAGGATACAAAAACTTAATAGTAGTTATCTCTGTGGGTAACATTAGAGTGGAGAGGAGGGCTTACTTTTTATTTCTAATGCTCCTTAATTGTTTGAATTTAAGCGTCTGCATACCTTTGTAATAAAGAAAGTTTAAATTTATAAGAGACAAAATTTAAAAATAGGGAAAAAACCAATTTAGGAATTCTTTTAGAGGAAACTTTAGATGATGCTTACAGGAAGCCGAAAACTAATCGCCTAAAATAAGAAAACTGGAACAAGTATACTAACTTTGCTTTTTCTCCCTTGTTTAACCTTAATTATTCTGGGTAATTGGCTCAACTAATCAATTTCTTAAAACATCTAGAATTAAATTTTAGTTGCAAATGAGAAAAGTTCCTGTAAGAGGGATTGGGAAATGTTTTGGTCTTTTTTAAATTCAGCAGGTTTTCTTCTTATTGGAAGTATATAATCAACTAAAATCATAAAAGATAACTACCACATGACTTTACTAATAAAAGTGGAAATAAAATAACTAAAATCAATTAAAGAGTTGATGATGAATGTTCTGTCCCACTCTGGAATGATGTCTAAGAGAGCAATTATTTTAGAGGAAAGTTTAGATGATGCTTACAGGAAGCTGGGGAGCCGTTAACTTTTTTTTTTTTTTTTTTTCCTTCTGAGATGGAGTTTCGCTCTTGTTGCCCAGGCTGGAGTGCAGTGATGCAATCTCGGTTCACTGCAACCTCCGCCTCCCGGGTTCAAGTGATTCTCCTGCCTCAGCCTCCCAAGTAGCTGGGATTACAGGCATGCGCCACCATGCGCAGCTAATTTTGCATTTTTATTAGAGACAGGGTTTCTCCATGTTGGTCAGGCTGGTCTCGACCTCCTGACCTCAGGTGATCCACCTACCTAGGCCTCCCAAAGTGCTGGGATTACAGGTGTGAGCCACCGCACCTGGCCTAACTTTTTTCTTTACAAAAACTATTTAAATTTATAGAAAAAAGTGCAATAGTAGAGAAATCCTGAATATCATTTCTTTGTATTCACCAATTTCAAACATTTTTTTCCATTTGCTTTATCATTTTCTCCCTTTAGATATTTTGATTTATTTTTTCTGACCCATTTGAGAATAGGTTGCTTACGTCATGCCCCTTTCCTCTTCATACTTTAGTGTATACTTACTAAGAAAAAAGATATTCCTTTTAATAATCACCACAGTTGTCAAATGTAGGAGCTACTTTTATCTAATCTGCGGTCCACATTCCAATTTTGTCAATTGTTCCAATGGATATTTTATAGCATTTGCCCCTTCTGGTATAAGTTCCAATTTAGGATCATGTACTGACTTTTTTTGGTCAAGTCTCCTTAGTCTCTTTTAATATGGAATAGTTAGTTCCTCTGCCATTTTTTTCCTTTCATGATGGTTATTTCACAGAATGCTCCTCAATATGGGTTTGGTTGATATTTCCTCATGATCAGATTCAAGTGATATTGTGTTCTTCTCAGAGTACTATATCATAGGGATCAAAGTGTTGCATAGTTTCTGTTATATAGTTACCATTTCCTTTTGTAAAAAATATAAAATCTGTGGGGAGATGCTTTGAAACATAAAAATACCCTGCTTCTCATAAAATTCCCTGCCCAACCCCTGCCGGATTTAACTGATAATGTTTGCCCAAACCAATCTTTACCATGATAGTTGCAAAATGGTGGTTTTCCCAACTCCACCACTCTCTTTGGATTTATCAGCAAGTAGTCTACTTTAAGGAAAGCCACTGTCTGATTTCCCCATTTCTCTTTCTCTCCTTAATATAGATTGTTGGATTCTTATTTTATTCAGTGGCTGTAACTTACTACTGTTCTTTTTTTTTTTTTCTTTTGAGACAGTCTGGCTCTGTTGCCAGCCTGGAGTGTAGTGGTGTGATCTTGGCTCACTGCAACCTCTGCCTCCTGGGTTCAAACGATTCTCCTGCCTCAGCCTCCCGAGTAGCTGGGACTACAGGCACGCACCACCACACTCAGCTAACTTTTGTATTTTTTTAGTACAGACACGGTTTCACCATGTTGGCCAGGATGGTCTCAATCTCTTAACCTTGTGATATGCCCGCCTCGGCCTCCCAAAGTGCTGGGATTACAGGCGTGAGCCATCCCGCCCAGCCACTTATTACTGTTCTTATGCTGGTACTCCAATTATCCCAGATTTGGCCAGTGATGGGCCTTCAAGCTGGCTCCCTTTGACATGTCCTCATTTTATTTTCTGATTGCTTCCTTACTTTTGGACACAACAAGATGTTCCAGGTCATCTTGTACATTCCTGCTGTAGACTTGAAACCAGCCCTGTTTTCAAGAAGACTTAGTTCCTTTTTGTGGAGAAAGGTAGTTCAGAAATCAAGATCTGGGCAGAGATTCTTTAATTTTGAAGTTAGTTTCAATCATAAAATCAAGGAGAATATGTCAATTTTTATAAATCATCATATTTATGCCATCCTCCCACCTCCTAGTGGTAAAAAGCCAGGAAACATTTAAGCTTTTTTAAAATTTTTTTCATATTTATTTGAACATAATTAATTCTGGCTATAAGTATTAGAGAAGAATACTCACTGCAAGAACAACTATGGGTCATAAGTCTCTAGATAGCTACTCAAGTACAATATAACTTCAAAAAGGTTGGGTGTGGTGGCTCACACCTGTAATCTCAGCACTTTGGGAGGCCAAGGTGGGTGGATCTCTTGAGCCAAGGAGTTCGAGACCAGCCCGGGCAACATAGTGATATGTTGTCTCTACAAAAATTACAAAAAATTAGCCAGGGCTGGTGGTTTGCACCTGTAGTCTCAGCTACTCAGGAGGCTGAGGCGGGAGGATCACTTGAGCCTGGGAGGTTGAGGCTGCAGTGAGCTGAGATGGTGCACTGCATTCCAGCCTGGGCGACAGAGTAAGACTCTAAGACTCTCTGTCTCTTTGTTTCTCTGTCTCTGTCTCTGATATATATATTCAAAAGGAGTTTGTGATGGACGACTGCATAGGTTTTGAGATACCATAATCTATGGAACCCTGAAGATAAGTGTAATAAAACAAAGACCATCTCATTGAATTCATTTTAAAGAAACTGAATGAAAGCTTTAGAAAATAAACTTTTTGTAGTCTGATACTTGTTGCAAAAGATGTTTTTGTTTTTTACAGTGGTGTGATATGTTGGAGACTGCTGTGGTAACACATATTATTTTAATGTGATAAGAATAGATGAACTATAAAATGTATGACATAAGGACACCAATTTCTATTTTTAGTGAATGACATTAAATACTGTCCCTTGATAACACAGATCTTTCAACACAACACACTTTTGAAATACTGAAGATGAAATAAATAAACATTATATTTTGCATATGATAGTATGATAGTCCTGGGGGCAAAGATCAAATCTATTTGTCAAGTATACAGGACTTAGTATTCATTCCCAATCCTATCATTGCAGGGGAATCACCTGGGACTTTTAAAATCCAGATTCCAGAGCATCACCCTGGTTCACTGAAGCAGTGTGTCTCATGATCCAAGAATCTGTATTTTAAAAATCTCCTCAGATAATTCCCAGGCATTTGATCACCAGACTGGTTTGGGAACTACTGAACTTGTTAAAAAATACATTTTTACGGTGGTGCAAGTCTCATTATAGATACAAGTTGCCCAAGGGCAGGAATCGAGCTTATAAATTTTTACAAGCCCAGCACTAGTTGTGAGCATTACATATATTAATATGTAGGTATTCAATATATGTCTGTGAAAGAATTTTGACTTCAAATTTTATTGGTCACCAGAGGAGTCTTATTATTAGTTTGTACAGGAGATATAAACCTTGATTAGTGATATCATACATTTATATGACTCGGAACACATTGCATAGCATCCTGAAAAACAATACTGAATTGATGGACAGATTTCTAATGTAGAATATAGCTGTGTTTGGTTATGACCTTGAATTCTGCTAACTTACTCTATACTCTTGGAAATGAAGAAGGAGCTAGATGCGGTGGCTCACGCCTGTAATCCAAGCATTATGGGAGGCTGAGGCGGGTGGATCACGAGGTCAGGAGTTCGAGACCAGCCTGGCCAAAATGGTGAAACCCCATCTCTACTAAAAACACAAAAATTAGCCAGGCATGGTGGCGCATGCCTGTAATCCCAGCTACTCAGGAGGCTGAGGCAGGAGAATCACTTGAACCTGGGAGGTGGAGGTTGCAGTGAGCCAAGATTGTGCCACTGCACTCTAGCCTGGGTGACACAGCAAGACTCCGTCTCAAAAAAAGAAAAAAAAAAAGAAATGAAGAAAGAATACTCACATCTCATATTTATTTGTATAAGATTGGCCTAGTCTGTAAATTGTCTCTGTCTTGTTCTCCTTTCCATTAAATGTTCTACTTGATGCCAAAATGACTAGACAAAATATACAATAGCATTTAACATTTGTATGGTTTAAAACAGTGGTTCTCAAAGTGTGGTCAAAGACCACTGGAGGTTTCCTGAAACCCTTTCTAGTAATCTGTAAGGTCAAGACTGTTTTCTTACTAATACACTGTTATTTGCCTTATCGCTCTAATTCTTTCTTGAGTATATAGTAGAGTTTGCCAGAGGCTACATGAAGTGTAAGAGTGCAAACATTTAATGCAGAAAAGATACAAGAATCTGTCTTCTATTAAGCCAGACATTAAAGAAATTTGCAGCCGGGCACAGTGGCTCATGCCTGTAATCCCAGTACTTTGGGAGGACGATGTGGGCGGATCACGAGGTCAGGGGTTTGAGACCGGCCTGATCAACATGGTGAAACCCCGTCTCTACTAAAAATACAAAAAAATTAGCCGGGCGTGGTGGCATGCGCCTGTAATCCCAGCTACTCAGGAGGCTGAGGCAGGAGAATCACTTGAAACCGGGAAGCAGAGGTTGCAGTGAGCCGAGATCGTGCCACTGCACTCCAGCCTGGGCGACACAGTGAGACTCTGTCTCAAAAAAAAAGAAAAGAAATTTGCAATAATGTAAAACCATGCTACTCTTTTTTTTTGAAGTTGTTTTTCTTAAGAATACATTATTTATGTCAACATATAATGGATCTATTATTTTTAAATGACTAAGTACACATTAAAATAATTTCAATTTTAATTTTCTTTCTTTTCTCTTTTTTTTTTTTGAGACTGAGTCTTGCTCTGTCACTGAGGCCTAGGCTGGAGTGCAGTGGCATGATCCTGGCTCACTGCAACCTCTGTCTACCGGATTCAGGCGATTCTCCTACCTCAGCCTCCTGAGTAGCTGGGATTACAGGCGTGTGCCACCATGCCTGGCTAATTTTTGTATTTTTAGTAGAGATAGGGTTTCACCATGTTGGCCAAGATGGTCTCGAACTCATGACCTCAGGTGATCTGCCGCCTCTGCCTCCCAAAGTGCTGGGTGCCATTGTACCCGGCCTCAATTTTAAGTCCTCATATGCTAAATTAAAAAAAGTTTATAGAGACAGGTTCTTGCGCTGTTGCGCAGGCTGGAGTGCAGTGGCATGATCATAGCTCACTGTAGCCTCAAAGTCCTAGCCTCACGTGATCATCCCATCTCAGTCTCTCAAAATGCTGAGATTATAGGTATTAGCCTCTGCCTGGCCGAATATGGTAAATATCGATAGGTATAACACACATAAATAAAAGTTATTTTGAGTCCTCAATAATTTTTAAGTGTATAGGGGTCCTAAGACCAAAACGTTTGAGAAACAATGATTTATGTTTTTAAATGTTATTTAACAGTTAGTTTGACTGATTAGTTTTATATAGACAAATGTTGCCTAAAATTAGAATTGAATTTCAGCAAATCTTTCTTTCTTTTTTTGAGACGGAGTCTCGCTTTGTCGCCCAGGCTGGAGTGCAGTGGCACGATCTTGGCTTACTGCAAGCTCTGCCTCCCGGGTTCCTGCCATTCTCCTGTCTCAGCCTCCCGAGTAGCTGGGACTACAGGCGCCCGCCACCACGCCTGGCTAATTTTTTGTATTTTTAGTAGAGACAGGGTTTCACCGTGTTAGCCAGGATGGTCTCGATCTCCTGACCCGCCCGCCTCAGCCTCCCAAAGTGCTGGGATTACAGGCGTGAGCCACCGCGCCCGGCCTGAATTACATCATTTAAGAGTGGAAGCCTCAGAGGCCTTCAGGTCAGGTCTATGTCCCGCTACTGCATGTACTGCATTACCTAGGGGTGTCAGCCTGCTTCCCTATCTGCAAATGAATAAAACAGTATCCATCCTAGAGTGGTTGTAGACAAGCACTGGGTTGTATGTAAAGCGCTAGCACAGAGCCATGAACACAATCATCTATTGTACTTAGGTTAGTTGGGTCTGAGAAGAAATGGAGAAAACAGAGTTGATTCTGCTTACTTCACAATTTACCCCAGGGATGGTTTTGTTGGCTTTGTTTCCATGGTTGTTGCCTTTTCCACAGCTCTGCTACGTAAATTCTTGGGAAAAAAAAATTATTTGAAAGTTCTCTGGGACCAGCGAGGTGGCTCGCACTTGTTAATCCCAGCACTTTGGGAAGCCGAGACGGGAGGATCGCCCGAGGTCAGGAGTTTGAGACTAGCCTGCCCAACATGGCGAAACCCCGTCTGTACTAAAAATACAAAAATTAGCCGGGCGTGGTGGGGCGTGCCTGTAATCTCAGCTACTCGGGAGGCTGAGGCAGAAGAATCACTTGAACCTGGGAGGAGGATGTTGCAGTGAGCATCACTGCACTCCAACCTGGGCGACAGTGCGAGACTCCGTCTCAAAACAAACGAACAAACAACCAACCAACACCCCGCTGCCCCCCCCCCAAAAAAATTCTCTGGTATTATAGTCATATTTCCATCCTATTTCCACAGCAGGGGTGAGGATCCTTTGCCATCCCATTTTTCTGATAAAAACACCTTCTTCAGCCGGGCGCAGTGGCTCACGCCTGTAATCCTCGCACTTTGGGAGGCCGAGGTGGGCGGATCACCTGAGGTCGGGCGTTCCAGACCAGCCTGACCAACATGGAAAAACCCCGTCTCTACCAAAAATACAAATTAGTAGGGCGTGGTGGCGCATGCCTGTAATCCCAGCTACTTGGGAGGCTGAGGCAGGAGAATCGCTTGAACCCAGGAGGCAGAGATTGCAGAGAGCCGAGATCGCTCCACTGCACTCCAGCCTGGGCATCAAGAGTGAAACTCTATCTCAAAACAAACAAACAAACAAACAAACAAAAAACACATTCTTCAAGGGAAAACATGTTTTTAAGTGGCTTCTAGAGATTATAAACTCTGCAATAATATTAGTCTGCAAATAAAACACCTGACAAAATCATCCACCAGAGGAAGTGGTGAGGGTTTCTAAATCCAAAAAAGTCTCAAGGTTATGAAACAGGAACATTTAATCTCTGAGAAAACCTAAACGGAGTTGGAAAGAAACAATTTCCAACTCACTGTGGTCCAGTTTTCTTTTCACGAACTCCTTTTTGCTTAGCCAACATAGCCAACACGAAAACGGGTACCGAGGAGGTGTTACAAGCCACAGTAAATTTCTCAACAGATTCCTATGACCCTTGTGGAGGGGAAAAAAACCAGAAGAAATGCCCGAGAGCTTCTGGGAGCTCTCCAGCTTTCCCGCCTAAACGCTGAGGGGAGTAAGGGGGAGTGACGGGGCTAGGGCGGGGCCCGAGGCTGGGGCGTGGCGCGTTGATTTCCCCGCCCCTCCCCGTTCCTTTTCCTCTGTGCCCCTCCCACACGCCTGTCTCCACGATCCCGACAGGCCCAGCGGCTAGGAGAGTCACGTGAGAGTGGGCGGAGGGGGTGGAGGTTTGTCTCCGCTGTTTCATCTCTATGGCTGTCAGAGGTGGGCGGCTTTGACCGAGAGGCTGCTGGAGCTCGTGTTTGGACGCGTGAGTCTTGGACTCTGGAGGGTATAAGGAGACAGCAATTTAGGGAAGGCGAAGGGGAAGGGGGTTGGCGAGACAGCCTTAGGGAACTGGGCTTCGTGGCTGGCCGTTTGTCCGCCCCGGGCATCCGGCTACTTCTCGGGTCTGGCGGGATACCTGTCTCTCCCTGATGCGCTCAGCTTTTGGAGAGGAGTCCGTAGTCTTGCTTGCCTCCCGTCCTCCACTTTCCTTCACCCCAACCCGTCCCTTCTCCCGTCCCGGGAGAACTTCTCCCAGTGCCGGGTTCGCAACTTGGCGCCGACGCCCCCCTCCTCACAGGCGACTGGGACACTCTGGTAGCCTTGACTGGCTCTCCTGGAATTTGTGGATGTGGTTAGAAGTGGGTGCGGGAGTTCACAGATGGATTTCTAATACGGAGAAATATTAACCACTGAATCGAAATAAGTGGAAAATCAGTGAGGACTCAAAGGAGAAATACAAAGTGCAGGCTACTCGGACTGTTCAGTTTTTATCTTTTCCAGCGCCTTCCCGTTTTCATTACGTTCTCCCTGTTTTGTTTTCACCGTCGCATTCTGGCCGGCCATAGGCTGTTTTGAGAAAGAGCTAGATGTTATTGACTCTATGTGAATGTTGGGAGAACAGTTTAAAACAAACTGTTCTTCAAGTTGCCTTCTCTGTAATCTTATGGTTGATGGTTTCTTTACCTTCCAATTTTCCATGTCTTAAAAAATACGGTGGCCATTAGTAAATATAAGTAGAATAAATATCTTATAGCTAAGGGACTAGAGTAAAATATTTTATTTTTCCTGTGGTACCTTAGAAACGCCCATTTTCTTCCTATTTATCAATAAATGTTTCTATCTCACTTGTTTGGGTGGCTTCTTTGATATGCCTTTGTTTATATTAGAACATCCCTTTGGGGCACGTAGGGAAGTGATCGAGCAGTATAAGAAAGGAGTTTGCATTTCATGAGGTGAAACAAGTTCGGTGTGGATAGCTGTAGGAGAGTTTAGGTTTCATTGGACCATATGACAAATAATAAACGTCAGTATCTTGAGACAAAGGTGTTGGCCAGAATGACCCACCTACTGTGTTTCTGGTGTGGACCAGGTAATGAGCTTTTTGAATATTGCCTTATCCTAAAAACTTTAGAACCCATTGCCACTTGTCTGTAGGAAGGTGGCTTTTGCCTCCAGCTACTCTTTGTCCCAATCCTTGGTTTGTCCCTGATTGTCTCTTCCACTTAAGAACATCACTCTGGCTACCTAATATATCAAGCAAGTGTCTCTGACATCTTCTGAGTGTCCTTACTGAGAGCCATAAAACATAATATTAACAAAAAGTGAATATTCTGGAGTGGCTTGTGTGCCTGAGGAGAAAGGGAAAGAATGATAGAAACTAATAGAAGCTAATAAATGCAAGAGAACAAAAGTGTTTATTGCTGTCTTCCTTTATATTTACTATATTCAGTAGATTGTTTACATTCCTAAGAAGTGCATCTTGAGACTAACTTTCCTGTGTTTAAGAATAAAACAGGCTGGGTGTGGTGTCTCAGGCCCATAATCCCAGCAATTTGGGAGGCCGGGTGGATCCCTTGAATCTAGGAGTTTGAGACCAGCCTGGGCAATATGGCAAGACCATCTCTACAAAACACAAAAATTAGCTGGGCGCATGCCTGTAGTCCTGGCTACTTGGGAGGCTGAGACAGGAGGATGGCTTGAGCCCTCGAGGTTGAGGCTGCAGTGAGCTGTGATCGTACCATTGCACTCCAGCTTGGGCGACAGAGCGATACCCTGTCTCTTAAAACAACAACAAAAGAATAAAACGATATGAAATTTCTCCATAATGCAATATTATGCAAAATAATTATAATTGAAATATTTAACTGACCAACTCCTTCAGATCTTATGCTATTCAGAGTTATAGGACTAATATAATTGATAAAGCTTTTTTAAACCCAATTTTGCCACCTTCAGTCTTTAAAGTTAGCTTTATCTCTTGAGCCATTTTTACAATGGCTGCAGCACTTGCTGAACATTAACCATTTTTTCCATATGCAGTTGTTTAGTGTATCCCTTTTAAAATAAGAACCAGTTTTTAATTAATTAATTAATTAATTAAATGGAGATGGGGTTCAGCCATTTTGCCGAGGCTGGTCCTTTTGTTGAGGGGTGGGGACGGAGTCTCATTCTGTTGCCCAGGCTGGAGTGCAGTGGTGTGATCTCGGCTCACTGCAACCTCTGCCTCCTGGGTTCAAGCAATTCTCCTGCTTCAGCCTCCGAAGTAGCTGGAACTACAGGCGCGGCACCACATCTGGCTAATTTTTGTATTTTTAGTAGAGATGGGGTTTTACATGTTGGCCAGGCTAGTCTCGAACTCCTGACGACCTCAGGTGATCCACCTGCCTCGGCCTCCCAAAATGCTGGGATTACAGGCCTGAGCCACCACACCTGGCCTACCCAGGCTAGTCTTGGAACTCCCAGACTCAAGCGATCCTCCCGCCTTGGCCTCCCAAAGTTCTGGGATTGCAGGTACAAGCCACCATGCCTAGCCACTAGAACCAGTTTTTTTAAAAAGGTTTACTCAACTGTTTTTTCCACACATATTTTCTTTTTCTTTCTTTTCTTTTCTTTTTTTCTTTCTTCTCCCTTTCTTTCTCCCTCCCCTCCCCTTCCCTTTTCTTTTCTTGTCTTTTTTTTTTTTTTTTTTTTTGAGACGGAGTCTCGCTCTGTCTTGTCTTTTTGACAGAGTTTCACTCTCGTTGCCAAGGCTACAGTGCAATGGCGCGATTTTGGCTCACTGCAACCTCTGCCTCCGGGGTTCAAGTGATTCTTCTGCCTCATCCTCGTAAGTAGCTGGGATTACAGGAGCGTGCGCCACCACGCCCGGCTAATTTTTGTATTGTTAGTAAAGATGGGGTTTTACTATGTTGGCCAGGCTGGTCTCGAACCCCTGACCTCAAGTGATCCGCCCGCCTCAGCCTCCCAAATTGCTGGGATTAGAGGTGTGAGCCACTGTACCTGGCCTCCCACTCATAATTTAAAAATGAAAATATTGTAATAGCTTTATTTTGTGCCAGGAGAAGAAGGTGATTGTTTTTAGATGGATATTCTATGTGCTTTGGTAAATTATGAGAAAATTGTTAATACTTTTAAGATATTGAAATATGAATAAGCATGTTTGAGAAGAAAACACGGGCAATATTTTTAAACATTTTAAATTTCCTATTATTGAAGTAATATGCTTATTTTTGGAAAATGGAAACATTATCGAAAATACAATATTGAAAGTCAAAGTCCTAATTTATCTTTTCTCTTACTACCAGGTAACCACTAGTTCCCTTTGCATATTTGGGATTCAGTGTGGAAAAGTAAGGCTTTGGAGTCAGATTCCCTGGGAAAGATTGTAATACCAGCACTAGGCTTACTTCCTTCAACCTCAGAAACCCAAGAAGAAAGAGAATTTCCCTTTCTCTACAGTTCCAGCGCACCACTGTATGGTAGTTTCATTGACCTGACTTGGGTCTTTGCCCATCCTAGAGGCAGTCCCTGTGGCCAGAGTGATGGAATGCTTTGTGTGGCTAGGCTTGGAATTTGTCCCTATCCTGGAGTGGGAAGGAGAGGAATATAGTTTGAAACCATTTGAGTTAAGGGTGGGTGACAGTTCCTAAAGAAAAATTGAGGTGATGCTTTCTGGAGAAGAGCAATTGGTTGCTGGACAGGCAAAAACAACAGATGTTCACTAAAATAATTTTCATGTTTTTTTTTTTTTTTTAATTAAGAGAACTTGGGGCCGGGCGCGGTGGCTCACGCTTGTAATCCCAGCACTTTGGGAGGCTGAGGCCGGCAGATCACGAGGTCAGGAGATCGAGACCATCCTGGCTAACATGGTGAAACCCCGTTTCTACTAAAAAAACAAACATACAAAAAATTAGCCGAGTGTGGTGGCAGGCGCCTGTAGTCCCAGCTACTCCGGGGAGGCTGAGGCAGGAGAATGGCGTGAACCTGGGAGGCAGAGCTTGCAGTGAGCTGAGATCGTGCCACTGCACTCCAGCCTGGGCGACAGAGCAAGATTCTGGCTCAATAAATAAATAAATAAATAAGAGAACTTGGTTTCCTTTTGCAATATAAAAAATTGTATTTACAGTTTATGTGTTGATTTTTTTCTATTTTTAATGCCTATTATAATCACTTAAAGAACTTGAAAAAATTTACACTCTTCCAGTGTGTGTATCTGTACTGTTATTACATGTTTAGTACCCCTGCTCTGGAATATTCAGGTTTTATAACTTTAAATATATTATGTATTAGCCAGCTTGTTAAAATAAATTCTTGATATTTTTATTGCTTTGGGTGAACTTGATTAGTAACTGCAGTTAATAAATAGTAAATAAAAATGTTTTAAATATTTAAATACATGTTGTGGATATGATTAAATACTTGGTTCTTTTCATTGTTTTATGTTTAAAAATCTGTTAGTATAGAAACCACTTTATTTTTTTATTATTATTATTATTTTTTGAGACGGAGTTTTACACTTGTCGCCCAGGCTGGAGTGCAATGGCGCGTTCTTGGCTCACTGCAACCTCCGCCTCTTGGGTTCAAGCAATTCTCCTGCCTCAGCCTCCCAAGTAGCTGGGATTACAGGCACCTACCACCACGGCTGGCTATTTTTTTTTTGTATTTTAAGTAGAGATGGGGTTTCACCATGTTGGTCAGTCTGGTCTCGAACTCCTGACCTCAGGTGATCTGCTAGCCAAAGTGCTGGGATTATAGGCGTGAGCCACTGCGCCCATCCAAAACCACTTTATTTTGAACGTGGTATGTAAAATAAATTACCATAATTATAACTAATTGCTATTACTGGGTGTTAACTTTAAAATTATAATTAACACTAGTTTTGTATCTTTATGCCTTATTCTGGTGGTTCATCATTAAAACAATTTTTTTTTCTGTAGAAACGGGGTCTCACTATGTTGCCCAGGGTGGTCTCAATCTCCTGGGTTCAAGCATTCCGCCTGCCTTGGCTTCCCAAAATATGGGGATTACAGGCATGAGCCACCATGCCTGGCCAATCATGCTTTAAGAGCACGATAGAGTGGATACCTGTAGATAAGATACCTGTGGGTAAAACAGGTAACAGAATGTCAGTTGAAAAAGCAAAAAAAGGTAGCTGTGGAATTGGACAACTGTGAGAAGTGATTGACATTAAATATAATTAATAACCTGTCGTTGAAAAGTTAAATATTGCCACATCGTGGGAGAGGTGTTTTAGTTCTGTTTATGAGGCAAGAAATGGCTAGAAGTAGACTCAGCTTTTTTCCCCCAAACTAACAGGGTGATCAATTTTTTGCAGATCATAAATGTTTCCTAGACTAATATTAAGTTCAAGATGGGTTTTACTATGAGAAAATTGAAACTTTAGTGTAATATTTGAAAAAGATATCCTCAACAGTTAAGGATACAAATAATGCTTGCATTTCTCTTCAAAGTGATTTAATGTTGCTTATTTAAAACTTGAAGTGCTTGGCCAGGTGCAGTGGCTCATGCCTGTAATCCCAGTACTTTGGGAGGCTGAGGCAGGAGAATCACTTGAGGTCAGGAGTTCGAAACCAGCCTGGGCAACGTGGTGAAACCCTGTCTCTACTAAAAATACAAAAAATTAGCCAGGCATGGTAGCACACTCCTGTAATCCCAGCTGCTTGGGAGGCTGAGGCATGAGAATTGCCTGAACCCGGGAGGCGGAGGTTGCAGTGAGCCAAGATGGCACTACTGTACACCAGCCTGGGCGACAGAGTGAGACTCCATCTCAAAAACAACAAAAACTTCAAGTGCCTATTCTAATAACCTTGCTTGGACAGTTAATTTGGATTTGGTGTCTGTTATAAGCAAAAATTTATAATTTAGATTTTGCTTTTTAAAGTTTGTTCTTTGAGTATGGGAATTAGCAAGCTGTTTTTTTCCTTTTTTTTAAAAAAAGTAAACATGAATACTTTGCCTACCATCCTAATAAGATTGAATCAGCACTGTAATATAGCACAAAAGGGTATTAGAATCTAGCTCTAATGTATCCTCCTCCCCTTTTTATTCGTTTTCACATGTTCTAGTCAGAATGAGACACTTTTTCCTCCCCATGTTCACCATGTGTTTTTGTGTCTTTATGCCTTTACATGGCTATTTGTTGTACCTGGAATGCCTCTCCACCGTTCTGCCATCTCCCAACTGGTGAGCTGCCGTTCATCGTTAAACTAGATTAATGAATTATTGTTCAGTATGTAGAACCTCCCTCTACCCTCAGGTGGTTATTTTCCTTCTTGGTTCTCGTAATTTACTTTCCTTGTTGGTTCTCATAATTTATCTGTTTAAAGTAGTCTTCTCACTTTGTGGAGCAATTGTATGTATTGTCTTAGATTGAGTGATTCTTGATGCCAGAAACTGGGTCTTATTCATCATCATATCCTGAGTACATAACAGAGTCTTTGTCACAAATATGTAAGCTCAGAGCATGTTTGGTGAATAAATGAGTAAATAAGATATTTTATCTGTTTTATTTATTTATTTAGTTTTTTGAGACGGAGTCTTGACCTGTTGCCCAGGCTGGAGTGCAGTGGCACAATCTCGGCTCACTGCAAACCCCGCCTCCTGGGTTCACACCGTTCTCCTGCCTCAGCCTCCCGAGTAGCTGGGACTACAGGTGCCTGCCACCATGCCTGGCTAATTTTTTTGTATTTTTAGTAGAGACAGGGTTTCACCGTGTTAGCCAGGATGGTCTCAATCTCCTGACCTTGTGATCCACCTGCCTCAGCCTCCCAAAGTGCTGGGATTACAGGTGTGAGCCACCGGGCCTGGCTAATATTTCATTTGTTTTAAAAGTCAGAATAGAAAAAAGATATAATCCAATAAAGTAAGTCTGTACTTTGTAACCTTTATCAGTCTGATATATTTAGAGAATTTATCTGGACACATCTAGAAAATTCCATCCACATATTCTACCACATATCAACAAACAGGTTTCTAATATGTATCAAGACATTGAAAGGAGAGATGAAAATACATTCTGTTCTTCAAGGACCTTACAGCCTAGTGGGGAAAACAGACAGATGAACTGATAATTACAATTTAAATTTAAGCTCATTAAAAATAAAGAAAACAAAAAATTCAGTTTCTCTTAGTTTTTTTAGACATATTTCAGATGCCCAGTACTCACATATGGGTAGTGGCTATTGTATTGAACAGCACAGATACAAAATATTTCTGTCATCACAACATGTTCTACTTGACAAGAGCTGTGATAGAACATTATAATTAAATGAATCTGCATTCTCTAGTTTGAGATGATAGTTTCATTTCAACCAAGTTTCTTGTGCTTTTTCTATTAAAATTCTCTTTTAGATTCGAAAGTTGTATTTCTTAAAATTTTAAGCAGATTTTATTGTAATATATTTCAAATAAAGTAGCATTATTATTTTTTTCAGGTCTTTGACCTGTAATAGCATTTAAATTAAGCAATCTTCGAATTTGATTTTCAATTTAAGCATTGATATTATCTGATATTTTATGCTAATAAGTTGTGAGATGGTATTGAAGCATAATGGTTAAGTGCAATGCCATTGGGAGCTAGGGGCAGTGGCACACACCTGTCATGTCAGCTATTCTGGAGGCTGAGGTGGGAGGATTGCTTGACCCCAGGAATTCAAGACCAGCCTGGGCCACATAGTGAGACCTCATTTCAAAAAAATAATAAAGGTATGCAATTATTTTTAGAAAACAATGTGTTTGTGATCAGAGAAACCTGCCTCTGCCATGCTATAACCTTAGGCAAACTGGTAGTTTTTTTTTTTTTTTTTGAGACAGAGTCTGGCTCTGTTGACCAGGCTGGAGTGCAGTGGCATGATCTCGGCTCACTGCAGCCTCCACCTCCCAGGCTCAAGCGAATCTCCTGCCTCAGCCTCCCTAGTAGCTGGGATTTACAGGCATGCGCCACCACTCCTGGCTAATTTTTATATTTTTAGTAGAGATGGGGTTTTACCATGTTGGCCAGGCTGGTCTCTAACTCCTGACCTCAAGTAATCTGCCCACCTTGGCCTCCCAAAGTGCAAGGATTACAGGCGTAAGCCACTGCGGCCAGCCTAGGCAAACATTTTAACAGATTCTAGCTTTGCTGGTTTTTTGTTGTTGTTTTGAGTTGGGGTCTCGTGCTGTCACCCAGGCTGGAGTGCAGTAGTGTGACCACAGCTTACTGCACCTTCAAACTCCTGGGCTCAAGCAATCCTTCCATCTCAACCTCCTGAGCAGCTAGGACTATAGGTGTGTGCCACCACACTTGGCTAATTTTTAACTTTTTTGTAGAGACATGGTCTTGATATGTTGCACAGGCTGGTTTCAAACTCCTGGCCTTAAGTGACCCTGCCGCCTCGGCCTCCCAAAATTCTGGGATTTTATTTTTAGTAGAGACAGGGTTTCTACATTACAGGTGTCAGCCCCCATGCCCAGCAAGCTTTGGTGTTCTTATCAGTGAAATGGGAGTAATAATAATATTTACCCCAAAGGATTACTGAGGACTAAATAAGGTAATGGATATCAGGTACTTAGCATAGTACCCCTCACAGAGTAGTGTTTATTAAATGCTAGCATTAAAAAGAGTTTAAACTATCAGTTCAATTTTTTTTAAATTGAGGAAATTGGAGTATGGACTGGTGTTAGATCATACTAAGGGATGGTTAAATTTGTTGAGTACAACTGACATGATTATGTGGGAAAAAAGTCCATATTTTTGGAGAGACATACCAAAATATATAGCAGTGAAATGATATAATATTTGAGTTGCCTTAAAATAATTCAGAGAAAGAGATGAATAAAAGGGACAAAAAAAACTGGTCTTCTATTTCTGGTGAAGAAGTAGTAACAGGGTTACCTTCTTGCCTGAAACAGCTAAAAAAGCAGACAAAAATGTGTAAAACAGTGGTTGTCTAGATTTTGAACATTGTGCAGCAAAGGAGAGTAATCCCTGAAAGATAGGAAAGAAATGAGATGAGGTCTATGATTGCTCTGGCTTGCTGCCTAGACAGTTTTCCAGCTGCAGAACAGGGACAGGGAACCCAGACAGAGCACAATAGTTTCCCTTAATTGAGGGAGTCTGGGGAGGCCAAAGCATCTGGAGTTTGCAGGGCAGAAAACTGGAAATAGCTGCAGAGAGGGAGAACTTCAGAGAACTACAGAGGATCCGTCTCAAGTATTCTGCTGAGAACTGATCAGTGGATGTATGTGAGGAAACTTTCTGAGGCTAGGAAGATAATCACTTGAAAAGATCAGATAAAACAATACTTGCCGAATTAGGAATAGTGTGTTTTTTTTTTTTTTTTCCCACCAACCAGAGTGGAAACCATCTTTATAGGTCATTATGTAGAGTCTTTTTTTTTTTTTTTTTAGATGGAGTTTCGCTCTTGTTGCCCAGGCTGGAGTGCAATGGTGTGACCTCGGCTCACCACAACCTCTGCCTCCCAGGTTCAAGTGATTCTCCTGCCTCAGCCTCCCAAGTAGCTGGGATTACAGGCGTGCACCACCATGCCTGGCTAATTTTGTATTTTTAGTAGAGACGGAGTTTCTGTGTAGAGTCTCTTAAGGGTTTTGCCCTAACAGTGGGTAAATTAGCCTTGAACTAAATGCTTCTCCAGCCCAGGCTGACAAAGCTTAAAAGCAAGACCTGAAAGGGCCAAAACTGTTCCCTACTAATTTAATCATGGCCCAGAAGAAAGCTCAAAAATAATTATAGGAATACAAGAAAGCACACAAGGTAAAATTCACAATGTCTGGCATCCAATCAGAAATTACTAGGCATGCAAAGAAGTAGGAAAACGTGACTCATACTGATGAGAAGAAAATTAGAAACCAAAACAGAAGTGACACAGATGATAGAATTAGTAAAGAGGGATTTAAAACAGTTTTCATAAGCATATTCTATATGCTCAAGAAACTAGTAGAAAGATTGAACATGTTTTTTTTTGTTTTTTGTTTTTTGTTTTTTTGAGACGGAGTCTCGCTCTGTCGCCCAGGCTGGAGTGCAGTGGCACAATCTCGGCTCACTGCCAGCTCCGCCTCCCGGGTTCACGCCATTCTCCTGCCTCAGCCTTCCAAGTAGCTGGGACTACAGGTGCATGCCGCACGCCCGGCTAATTTTTTGTATTTTTAGTAGAGACAGGGTTTCACTGTGTTAGCCAGGATGGTCTCGATCTCCTGACCTTGTGATCCACCCTCCTCGGCCTCCCAAAGTGCTGGGATTACAGGCGTGATGAGCCACCGCGCCTGGCCAAGACTGAACATGTTAAATAGAGACATGGAAGGTATAAAAAAACTCAAACTGAACTTTCGGAGATGGAAACTATAATGTCTGAGATGAAAAATACATTTAATGGGATTAATGGCAGATTAGACATCAGAGAAAAAAGCCTAAGACAAGACTCATGAAATATAGAAAATAATCTATGCAGAATTCTTGCCAAAAATACTTAATTTGACTGTGATCTAACCTTTAGATGTAACTTCCAGTTTACAGGAAAAAAAAGGAATAGAGAAAGATTTAATACCACAGCACAGTGTGCTGTGGTGCTGTTGCTCACACCTGTAATCCCAGCACTTTGGGAGGCCAAGGCGGGAAGATTGCTTGAGGTCAGGAGTTCAAGACTAGCCTGGCCAAAGTGGTGAAACCCTGTCTGTAGTAAAAATACAAAAATTAGCTGGGCATGGTGGCACATGTCTGTAATTCCAATTACTGGGGAGGCTGAGGCACAAGTATCACTTGAGCCCAGGAGGCAGAGGTTGCGGTGAGCCAAGATCATGCCACTGCACTCTAGCCTAGGCAACAGAGTGAGACTGAGACTCCATCTCAAAACAAACAAACAAACAAACAAACAAACACAAAACCACACCACAAGGAAGCAATCAGACAAATCCGCAGTATGAAAAATGCTGCAATATATTTGCCCTTTTCAGAAATTAAGGTTGTGCTGTGATTGTACAACATGGTGAATGTATATGCCACTGAATTGTATGCTTAAAAGTGGTCAAAATCGTCAATTTTCTGTTATGTATATTTTAGCACAGCTTAAATATTTACCATTTTAATAATTTTTAATGTACAGTGGCATTAAGTACATTCACATTGTTACACAACCATCACTAGCATTCATTTCCAAAACTACTTCCCAAACTGAAACCCCATACTCATTAAATGCTCATTCCTCATTTCCCTCTCCCTGAAACCTCTGGCATCCATCATTCTACTTTCTGTCTCTATGATTTGACTATGCTAGGTGCCTCATGTAAGTGAAATCACAAAGTATTTGCCTTTTTTGGATTGGCTTGTTTCCCTTAGCATAGTATCCTTCAGGTTCATCCATGTTGTAGCATATGCTAGAATTTCCTTCCTTTTGAAGGTGAAATGACATGATGAAATTTTGCCATGATTAAGAAAAAATAAAGGCTGAATAATATTCCTTGTATGTATGTGTCACATTTTATCCATTCATCCATCAGTGGACACTTGGGTTGCTTCCACCATTTGGCTGTTGTGCACAATGCTGCTTTGAGCATGGCTGTACAAATATCTATTCAGGTTCCTCCTTTAAATTCCTTTGGAAATACACCTAGAAGTGGAATTGCTGGATCATATGGTAATTCTATGTTTAATTTTTTGAGGAGCTGCCATACTTTTTCTGTAGTGCCTGCACTATTTTATATTCCTATCAGCAGTGTACAAGGGTTTCATTTTCTACACATCCTTGTCAACACTTGTTTTTTTTTTAAAATTTAAGTAATAGCCATTTGAATGAGTATGGGTACATTTTATATTATGTGTTTTTGTTTTATTTTTGGGGATGGAGTTTTGTTCTTGTTGCCCAGGCTGGAGTGCAATGGTGTAATCTCAGCTCACTGCAACCTCTGCCTCCTGGTTCAAGCAATTCTTCTGCCTCAGCCTCCTAAATAGCTGGGACAGGCGCCCGCCACCACGCCCAGCTAATTTTTTTGTATTTTTAATTGAGACGGGGTTTCGCCACATTGGCCAGGCTGGTCTTGAACTCGTGACCTCAGGTGATCCCCCCACCTCAGCCTCCCAAAGTGCTGGGATTACAGGTGTGAGCCACTGCACCCAGCCTATTATGTATATTGTAACACAACAAAAACTAGAGTTGTAAGGGGAGAAAAAGGTTATGTATGAGGAACTCTTCTAGATTAAGAGAGACTGTTTAGAGAAAACCAAAGATAGTCTTATTTGTAGGGATCCTGGTTTGAAAAATCAGCTGTAAATTTTGGGGGAGTTTGTATGTGTTCTAGTATTAGAAGATATTAGGTAATTATTAATTTGAATAAATTTGATAATGTAGTTATGTAGGAGAAAATATTGTAGTTGTGTAGGAGAATATTAAAATATGTAGGGGTATAGCCAGGTGTGGTGGCTCATGCTCATAATCCCAGAGCTTTAGGAAGCTGAGGTGGGAGGACTGCTTGAGGCCAGGAGTTGGAGACCAGCCTGAACAACATAATGGGACCTGGGCTCTACAAAAAATAAAAAAAAATCAGCCAGGCGTGGTGGCACATCCCTGTAGTTCCTAGCCACTCAGGAGGCTGAGGCAGGAGGACTACTTAAACCTAGGCGTTTGAGGCTGCAGAGTGCTATGCTCATGCCACTGCACTACAGCCTGGGTGACAGAGCAAAACCCTGTCTCTAAAAAAAAAAAAAAAAAAAAATTAGGGGTAAAGTGTTTCTCCTAATAATGTCTGTAATTTACTTTGAAATGATTCAACATAAAAAATAGTTTGATGAGTAGCCATATAGATAAGTAGATGAAGCAAGTATATCAAAATGTTAATTGTTGAATTTAAGTAATGCACATATGGTGTTGATAATAGTAGTCTTTGAAATTTCCTGCATGTTTGAAAGTTTTAAAATAAGCTATAAAGGTTTGATGTTAATTTTTTTTCTGAAAAAGAGGCCATTTAAACAACTTGCTTTTATTTTTATAAATAATTACTTTTAATCTTTAATATTTCTAGTTTTTCTTTATATTATGGATTTTGTCTTACAGATACTGCATCTTTTCTCTCTCTTTTTTATTCTTTGTATGTCATTTGTATGCATTTTAGGAAGTGAATTTTGTGTTGTCTTTACCAGTGGAGTATGCATTCTTCCTATGCATCCCAACTTTTTTTTTTTTTTGAGACAGGGTCTCACTCTGTCACCCAGGCTAGAGTACAATGGTGCAATCATAGTTCACTGCAGCTTCAAACTCCTAGGCTCAAAGGGTCCTCCTGCCTCAGCCGCCTGAATAGCTATGACTACATGCATGTGCCACCTTGCCTGGCTAATTTTTTAAAATTGTTTTTTGTGAGACAGGGTCTTGCTATCTTGCCCAGAGTGGTTAGGAACTTCTGGCCTCAAGTGATCCTCCTGCTTCAGCCACCCAAAGCTCTGGGATTATAGGCAGGAGCCACTAAGCCTGGCTATATTCCAACCTTTTGAAGGAGCAATTTGACTGTCAAAGCCTTGGCATGACTCCCATTACTCTTTTAGCCTAGAGGTTTTAATTTCATGCTCTATAGGAAAATGGCTCCTAAGTCATTAATAACTTCCTTTTCGACTGCATGTTTTCTTTAGGCTCAGATTAAAGTCTGGTCAGCTCCTGAAATACTTTGTGTACTGTGTTAAGATTCACGAAGTGTCATTTTTTTTTTTTGGTTAAGAAAACAGATGGCAGACTCTAGTGTTATTGTGGGAAATCTGGAGTTCTACTATAAGAAATTAAACATTTTAGCCTAATGAGTCTGGGATTTTATTTATTTCTTTAAGCCTGTTTACTAGTTGATTTTCCCAATATTAAGCACATACACAGATTTCTTTCCGTAGCGTAGTTTGATAGGAAGACAATTAGGAAAGGAGTTACCAAATCTGGTTTCAGTTTCCAATTTCACTATTATCTAGCTTTGTGATTTTTTTTTTTTTTTTTTTGGTTGGTTGGTTTTTAAGAGATAAGGTCTCACTGTGTTGCTCAGGCAGGAGTGCAGTGGCTATTCACAGTCACTGTGTAGCACTGTAGCTTCAAACTCTTGGCCTCAAGCGATCCATCTGCCTCATTTTCCCAAGCAGCCGAGACTATAGGGACACACCACAGTGCCCAGATAGCGTTGTGACAGTGATGGAGTTGCTTATCACCTCCCTGGCCTGTTCCCTCTCATACTGAAATTTTGAAAAATGTTAAGGTCTCTTTCAGCTCTAATATTCTAGTATATTACTCCTTTAGTCTGTTATTCTCAGTGTTTGAGAGTATTGGGGCAGACCATGTACCTCTCGTCAAAACTGGGTTTTTTTCTTTCTTTCTTTTCACTTTTATCTTAATTCTTAACACAGGGCTTTCTTTTTAGGGTTTTTTCTTTTTCTTTTTTTTGAGATGGAGTCACTGCAATCTCTGCCGCCCGGGTTCAAGCAATTCTCCTGCCTCAGCCTTTCGAGTAGCTGGGATTACAGGCACGCACCACCACACCCAGCTAATTTTTGTAATTTTTGTATTTTTAGTAGAGACGGGGTTTCGCCATGTTGGCCAGGCTGGTCTCCAAGTCCTGACCTCAGGTGATCCGCCCGCCTCGGCCTCCCAAAGTGCTGGGATTACAGATGTGAGCAACTGCTCCCGGCCTTTTTTCTTTCTTTCTTTTTTTTTTTTTAAAGGGAGTCTCGCTGTGTCTCCCAGGCTGGAGTGCAGTGGAGCGATCTCTGCTCACTGCAAACTCCGCCTCTCGGGTTCCCGCCATTCTCCTGCCTCAGCCTCCCGAGTAGCTGGGACTACAGGCGCCCGCTACAGCGCCCGGCTAATTTTTTTGTATTTAGTAGACACGGGGTTTCACCGTGTTAGCCAGGATAGTCTCCATCGCCTGACCTCGTGATCCGCCCGCCTCGGCCTCCCAAAGTGCTGGGATTACAGGCGTGAGCCACCGCGCCTGGCCTTGTTTTTTTTTAAACAACAAAAATCTTAGAATTTTAATCCAGTTACTTGCCTACTTTTTTGTGGCAGCAGGAAGTTTTTCTTTGTACTGATAAATATATTTATTACAGTTTTTCCTTTGGCTAGTAAAATAGAAATACAAGGTAAAGTAATGTATCATGTTGTACTACATAGTGTCCATTTGCCCCTCTGTATTCACCCTCTAACCTCCTCCACTCAGCTTTATGCTCCAAGAGGCTGCCTTTTGTAAGCTACATCCATAAGCTCTTTTCCTTTTGTTATCCAATAGGGTTTGGCAAAGACAGAAGGTGGGAGGACAGTGATGTCTGTGTGTTTATTTCCCTGGCTCCCTCCTTGTCAGTTGGTAATAGTTGTATTCCTCTGCTGAAGGCCACACAACTTCTGTCAGCTGTTTCCCAAAGCTGTAGCTACAGTTGACTGAGTTCTGGTAATTCCAGTACTACCTTCCCTGGCCCACTAAGGCCTACTGTCTTCCCACTGTTTCTTATGTTCAGAGTGCTTTACTATCTCTTGTTCGTTTTTGTTAACTCTGCTTGTGTCTTTGCAAACAGTCTTTTTAGTAAATTCTCTCTAATTAACCATCCTTGGCAGTTTTTGTCTCTTAAAATTTTAAATCTCAGATAAATGATGAATCAGTTGCCATATTCCACATAATTTGGACTAGATATATTTTTTCTTTAAAAAAAGTGTCGTAAAATATATATAACATAAAATTTACTTTTTTACTATTTTTTTTTTTTTTTGGAGAGTATGTCACTCTGTCACTTATGCTGGAGTACAGTGGTGTGATCATAGCTCACTGTAGCCTCAAACTCCTGGACTCAAGTGATCCCCCTGCCTCAGCTTCCTGAGTAGCTGGGACTACAGGTGTGTACCACCATGCCAAACCAATTTTTAAAAAATTTTTGTAGGGATGGGGTCTTGCTGTGTTGCCCAAGCTGGTCTTTTTTCTTTTTCTTTTTTTTTTTAGATGGAGTCTCGCTCTGTCGCTCAGGCTTGGAGTGCAGTGGTGCCATCTCGGCTCACTGCAACCTCCGCCCCTCCAGGTTTAAGCAACTCTCTGCCTCAGCTTCCGGACTAGCTAGGATTACAGGCACGCACCACCACACCCAGCTAATTTTTTGTATTTTTAGTAGAGATGGGGTTTCACCATCTTAGCCAGGCTGGTCTTGAACTCCTGACCTCGTGATCCACCCACCTAGGCCTCCCAAAGTGCTGGAATTACAGACGTGAGCCACCACGCCCGGCCACCATTTTTTTTTTTTTTTTGAGACGGGGTCTGGCTCTGTTGCCCAGGCTGGAGTGCAGTGGCGCGATCTCGGCTCACTACAAGCTCCGCCTTCTGGGTTCACACCATTCTCCTGCCTCAGCCTCCCGAGTAGCTGGGACTACAGGTGCCTGCCACCACACCCAGCTAATTTTTTGTATTTTTAGTAGAGACGGGGTTTCACCGTGTTAGCCAGGATGGTCTCGATCTCCTGACCTCGTGATCTGCCCGCCTCGGCCTCCCAAAGTGTTGAGATTGCAGGCGTGAGTCTCCGTGCCTGGCCTTCAAGCTAGTCTTAAACTCCTGGCCTCAAGTGATCCTTCCCACCTTGGCCTCCCAAAGCGTGGAGATTATAGATGTGCACCATCATGCCTGGCATGACCACTTTTTAATGTATACTTCATTGTCATTAAGTACATTCAACATGTCATGCAGCTATTGCCACTATTCATTTTCAGAACTTTGTCATCTTCTCAAACAGAAACCCTGAACCCATTAAACAATAAATTCCCATTTTCCCTCTTCCAAGCTCTTGATAACCATTAGTCTACTTTCTGTCTCTGAACTTTTACTATTTTAGGTACCTCATATAAGTGGAATCATATGGTATTTGTTGTTTTGAATCTATCCATATTGTAGCATATGCCAGAATTTCCTTCCTTTTAAATGGCTGAATAATATTCCATTGTGTATATATACTGTTAAAACACTTTACACAAATTAAATTTAACAGAGCTTAATTGAGCAAAGAATGATTTGTAAATTGGCCAGCCCTCAGAACCAGCATGGATTCAGAGCAACTCTAGGGCTGCTTCATGGTCAGATGACATTGATAGAAAACAGGAGTGAGGTCCAGAAATGGCTGGATTGGTTACAGCCAGGAGTTTGCCTTATTTGAACTTGGTTTGAACAGTTGGGTGCCTGTGGTTGGATGAGACTTGGGTACTTGTTACAAGAGTAGGTGTATTTATACATCGTTAGGTTACAGTTAAGTATGGAGAAACATTTAGGCCGATCTTAAAATATGTACGGAGGCAGTTTTAGGCCAAACTTAATTCGACTAACAATAGCTGCATTATTTTACATTCCCACCAACAATGCACAAAGGTCCCAATTTCTCCACATTTTCTCTGGAAAATATTCTAGTTTTTTATAATAGATACTCTGTTTTGTGTGTGAATAGTACCTCATTATGGTTTTAATTGGTTTTAATTTGCTTTTACCTAATGATTGATGATGTTGAGCATCTTTTCATGTGCTTATTGGCCATTTGTACATCTTTGGAGAAATGTCTATTCAAGTCCTTTCCTCATTTTTTGAAAAGGATTCAAATGGTATTTAGGTTAGACAAAAAGAAGCATTTCGGCCAGGAGAGGTGGCTCACACCTGTAATCCCAGCACTTCGGGCTGCCGAGGTGGGTGGATCACTTGAGGCTAGGAGTTTGAGACCAGCCTGGCCAATATGGCAAAACTTTGTCTCTACTAAAAAAAATACAAAAATTAGCGGGGCTTGGTGGCACATGCCTGTAATCGCAGCTACTCAGGAGGCTGAAGCAGGAGAATCGCTTGAATCCAGGAGGTTGAGGTTGCAGTGAGCTGAGATCACACCACTGCACTCCAGCTTGGGTGACACAGTGAGACACCCTGTCTCAAAAAAAAAATTATTTGATTAGAACAGTATAAAGGAAAAAACAATCTGTGTAAGAAAAACAAAATTTTCTTCCTCTCTTTACTCTCACTCATAACACGCAGTCACTCAGCACTTCACTGCCTACACCAGATGTGTGGATTGTTTCCCACCCTAACCAATGTCTGATACTAGTTGAATGTCCTACAATTCAGTTCAATTCTGGTACTAACTAGAGTTAGTGTAGACCCCCCCCACAGGTTAATGGTTGGGTCTCAGTAAACTGTTCCCCCTTAGATGCTAATCACATGCAGTAGGCTCCCAAGTTACCCAGTTCTGTCCAACCTCACTGCGAATTGGAGGTTCCCACAACCTCCTTCTTGGGTTTGGTCATTTGCTACAGCAGCTCACAGGACTCAAGAAGGCACTTTACTTACTATAACTTGCTTATCTTTTTTTTTTTTTTTTTTTGAGATGGAGTTTCGCTCTTGTTGCCCAGGTTGGAGTGCAATGGTGCGATCTTGGCTCACCTCAACCTCTGCCTCCCAGGTTCAAGCGATTCCCCTGCCTCAGCCTCCTGAGGAGCTGAGACTACAGGCGCACCACCATGCCCACATAATTTTTTGTATTTTAGTAGAGACAGGGTTTCACCATGTTGGCCAGGAAGGTCTCGATCTCCTGGCCTCATGATCCACCTGCCTCAGCCTCCCCAAGTGGTGGGATTACAGGCGTGAGCCACTGCGCCCAGCTCCCTTTTTTTTTTTTTTGAAACAGAGTTTCACTCTTGTTGCCCAGGCTGGAGTGTAATGGTGCGATCTCGGCTCACTCCAACCTCCGCCTACCGGGTTCAAGCTATTCTCATGACTCAGCCTCCCGAGTAGCTGGGATTACAGGTTTGCGCCATGACGCCCGGCTAATTTTTGTATTTTTAGAAGAGACAGGGTTTCACCATGTTGGCCAGGCTGGTCTTGAACTCCTGACCTCCTGTGAGCCACCCACCTTGGCCTCCCAAACTATTGGGATTACAGGCGTGAGCCACCGTGACTGGCCTATAACTTGCATATCTTAAAAGGATAAAACTAAGAAACAGCCAGATGTAAGAGTTGCGTAGGGCAAGGTATAGGGGAAAGGACCTGCCAGGCTCCTTATGCCTTCATGAGTTCACCAGCCTGGAAGCTGTTGGAATGGTCCTTTTAGGTTTTTATGGAGACTTCATTATGTAGGCATGATTGATTAAGTCGTTGGCAAGGATAATGTGCTCAATCTTCAGTCTCCCTCCTTTCCCTGGAGGCCAGGGCTGAAATCCCACCCAGACTGAAAGTACCAACTTTCTAATCACATGGTTGGTTGCACAGGAAACCAGCCCTCTCATTCTGGGACTATTTAGAAGCCCCCAACCCTACCATCAGTCATCTCATTAGGATAGAAAAAGTCACATCACTTCAGAGGTTTCAAAGTTCTTAGGTGCTGCCAGGAAATGGGATGAAGACCAACATATATATATATATATTTCTTATTATAAATCACAGTATTACAAATAGCAAGGATAGATAAGTTCATGATTAAGTCTTACTTAAAAAAAAATTTTTTTTTTTGAGACATCATTTCGCTCTTGTTGCCCAGGCTGGAGTATAATGGCGGGATCTCAGCTCACTGCAACCTCTGCCTCCTGGGTTCAAGAGATTCTCCTGCCTCAGTTCCCGAGTAGCTGGAATTACAGACGTCCACCACCATGCCCGGCTAATTTTTTTGTATTTTCAGTAGAGACGGGGTTTCACTGTGTTGGCCGGGCTGGTCTCGAACTCCTGACCTCAGGTGATCCACCCACCTCAGCCTCCCAGAGTGCTGGGATTACAGGCATGAGCCACCGTGCCCAGCCTTACTTTTTAATTTTAATTAAATATTTGCATTGAAGGGAAGAGATTTAGGTTTACATAGTTATGTAACATTTTAGTGAAATTTCTTTTTTTTTTTTTTTGAGATGGAGTCTCACTCTGTCGTCTAGGCTGGAGTGCAGTGGTGCAATCTTGGCTCACTGCAACCTCCACCTCCCAGGTTCAAGTGATTCTCCTGTCTCAGCCTCCTGAGTAGCTGGGACTACAGGCATGCGCCACCACGCCCAGCCAATTTTTTTATTTTTAGTAGAGATAGGGTTTCACCATGTTGACCAGGCTGGTCTTGAACTCCTGACCTCAGGTGATCCACCCACCTTGGCCTCCTAAAGTTCTGGGATTATAGGCGTGAGTCACCACGCCCAGCCAGTGAAAATTATATTACTTAAATTATACAGTAGTTCCATGATATCTGTGAGGATTGGTTCCAGGACCCCCTCGGATACCAAAATCCACAGATGCTCAAGTCATTTAGATAAAATTGTGTACTATTTGCGTATAACCTATGCACATCCTCCTGTATACTTTAAATCATCTCTAAACTACTCATATCTACTACAGTGTAACTGTTAGGTAAATAATTTAAATTATTATCACCATCAGCAGCATTCTATTATATTACCTTTCAAACTATCACAGGGCAAACCCCACAGTTGGGATTCAACCCAGGAGGCCATGTGGATTCTTGGCTTTGCCCAAGAAAGAATTCAAGAGCAAGCATAGAGTAAAGTGAGCAAGTTTATTAAGAAAGTAAGGGGATAAATGGGTGACTACTTCATAGGCAGAGCAGCCCTCATGGGCTGCTGGCTGGCTTTATTCATGATTATTTCTTGATTATATGCTAAATATGGAGTGGATTATTTATGAGTTTTCTAGGGAACTGGGTGGGAAATTCCTGGAATTGAGAGTTCTTCCCCATTTCTGACCATATAGGGTAACTTCCAGACATTGTTGTGGCATTCTTAAACTGTCCTGGCGCTGGTGGGAGTTCCTTTTAGCATGCTAATGCGTTATAATTAGTGTATAATAAGCAGTGAGGATGACAGTAGGTTGTTTTCGTTGTCATCTTGGTTTTGGTGGGGTTTGGCTGGCTTCTTTACTGCACCCTGTTTTATTAGCGGGGTCTTTGTGATCTGTATCTTATGAAACCAGTCCTGCCAAACTTCTCAAAACAAGTATTTATTCATAATTTGCTGCATGTTAGGCATTGTACTCAGCATTTTACAAGTATTATTACATTTAATTCTCATTATGGTCATTTGTGATAGTGTTTTCATCTGTTTATGGAAGCACAGAGTTGCCATGTCAGGAATAAAACACACTTCTGATTGACTGCAAAATTGATGGCCAATAAGAGGTCAAGCTGGTTACGATCTGGTATCTAGAAATGATTAGCTAGGTTACCTAGAGTAATACACTTAACTTTCTGAGCCTCAGCTTATTGAAACAGAACAAAACAAAATCTAACAACAGCAACACATATTTACCTATATGTTCAGTAGCACTTTCATTTGTGATCTTCTAATTTTGCTTTAAGTCCCAAAGTTTAAGACAACATCTTCAAGTAAGAAAGGGAGATTCTTTTTAAAAAGTACTTGAGCAATTAGAAATTGGAGTAAGGGTTAAAAAAAAAAAAAGGCAGAAGGCCGGGCACGCTGGCTCATGCCTGTAATCCCAACACTTTGGGAGGCCAAGGTGGGCGGATTGCCTGAGGTCGGGAGTTTGAGACCAGCCTGACCAACGTGGAGAAACCCCATCTCTACTAAAAATACAAAATTAGCTGGGCATGGTGGTGCATACCTGTAATCCCAGCTACTCAGAAGGCTGAGGCAGGAGAATTGCTTGAACCCAGGAGGGGGAGGTTGCAGTGAGCCGAGATCACAACATTGCGCTGCAGCCTGGACAATAAGAGCAAAACTCCGTCTCAAAAAAAAAAAAAAAAAAAGGGCAGGAAAGTATCCTGTGAAATACCTAATATTGTTATCAAGCCATGAACCTAGGTTTGTTTCTAGAGAGAATATAAATATAGAGAGATTGTTATAAAAGAGTATCTATAAAGATGTCTGTTGCTTTGAATGCTAAAAAAGTTCCATGGAATTTTTATGTATATAGGAAGAGACTTCCGTTAGCAGATGTGTGTGTGTGTGTGTGTCTTTGTGTAAAATCCTTACAGATTGGCCCATACTACTAATTAGTTATTTGCTGTTAAATGAGACTATAACATGTCATCAACTCAGAGTGTTGAATTTCTGCCACAGAACTTAACTCTTTCAACCAATTGCCAATCAGAAAAATTTTAAATCTACCTATAACCTGGAAGCCCCTGCTTTGAGTTGTCCTGCCTTTCCAGATCAAACCAGTGTACACCTTACAGGTGTTTTTTTGTTTGTTTGTTTGTTTTGTTTTGTTTTTGAGACAGAGTTTCATTCTTGTTGCCCAGACTGGAGTGCAATGGCATGATTTCAGCTCACCACAACCTCTGCCTCCCAGGTTCAAGTGATTCTTCTGCCTCAGCCTCCCGAGTAGTTGGAATTACAGGCATGTGCCACCACACCCGGCTAATTTTGTATTTTTGGTAGAGACGGGGTTTCTCTATGTTGGTCAGGCTGGTGTCGAACTCCTGACCTCAGGTGATCCATCCAAAGTGCTGGGATTATAGGTGTGAGCTACTGTGCCTGGGCGACTTACATGTATTGACTGATGTATTATGTCTCCCTAAAAAGTATAAAAGTGAGCTGTACCCTGATTACCTTGGGCACATATTGTCCAGGCCGCATCCTTAACTTTGGCAAAATAAACTTATTTATTTATGTATTTTTTTTTTTTTTTTGAGACAGAGTCTTGCTCTGTTGCCCAGGCTGGATTGCAGTGGCATGATCTCAGCTCACTGCAACCTCCATCTCCCAGGTTCAGGCTATTCTTGTGTCTCAGCCTCCCGAGTAGCTGGGATTACAGGTGTGCAACACCATGCCTGGCTAATTTTTGTGTTTTCAGTAGAGATGGGGTTTTGCCATGTTGACCAGGCTGGTCTCGAACTCCTGACCTCAGGTGATCACCCGCCTTGGCCTTCCAAAGTGCTGGGGATTACAGGCGTGAGCCACTGTTCCCAGCCGGGAACAGAGTCAGTGGCATGATCTCGGCTCACTGCAAGACAGGATCTCATTTGCTCTGACTTCTGGGTTCACGCCATTCTCCTGCCTCAGCCTCCGAGTAGCTGGGACTACAGGCACCCGCCACCACGCCCGGCTAATTTTTTGTATTTTTTGTATTTTTAGCAGAGGCGGTGTTTCACCATGTTAGCCAGGATGGTCTCAATCTCCTGACCTCGTGATCCGCCTGCCTCGGCCTCCCGAAGTGCTGGGATTACAGGTGTGAGCCACCGCGCCTGGCTGCAAAGTGGCATTCTTAAGTATTGATTCTTTCATTCTGTCTTCATATTTTTATTTCTAAATTACAGTAGGATTTAGAGCTCTTATTTAAAAAAGGAAGTCCATAAGATATGCTGCATGTTCAATGGTATTTATAATGTATTATTGTTGATTACTATTTTATATTTACCTTATTTCTTTAAAATTTTCTCTTAGAGTCAATCTCAGTCTTTGAAGAGCTTGGCTTAGTCAAAACTTTTATTTCCTGTACATTCTTAGGTTAAAGCTTTACAGACAAAGCGTATTGTATCCTAAACAGACATGATTAGCAAATCATAAATGAAGATATTTACATAGGCCATTTAGGTTTATTCGGTTGTATGAATTTTTTTTTTTTTGAGACAGAATCTCGCTTTGTTGCCCAGGCTGGAGTACAGTGGTATGATGTTGTCTCACTGCAACCTCCCCATCCTGGGTTCAAGCGATTCTTCTGCCTCAGCCTCCCGAGTAGCTGGGATTACAGGCGTGTGCCACCACACTCGGCTAATTTTTGTATTTTTAGTAGAGATGGGGTTTCACCATATTGGCCAGGCTGGTCTTGAACTCCTGACCTGAAGTGATCCACCCACCTCAGCCTCCCAAATTGCTAGGATTTGGGAGAGAGCCACCGTGCCTGGCCTGTTGTATGATTAACTCATCCTAATAACAGCTTTTGTATGGTGGTGTGTCATTAAAGAAATTTAAAATATTACTCCAGGCATGGTGGCTCATGCCTGTAATCCCAGCACTTTGGGAGGCCAAGGTGGGTTGATCACGAGGTCAGGAGTTCGAGACCAGCCTGGCCAATATGGTGAAACCTCATCTCTACCAAAAATACAAAAATTAGCCAGGCATGGTGGCACTCTCCTGTAGTCCCATCTACTCAGGAGGCTGAGGCAGAAGAATCGCTTGAACCTGGGAGGCGGAGGTTGCAGTGAGCTGAGATCATGCTACTGCACTCCACCCTGGGTGACAGAGCAAGACTCTGCCTCAAAAAAAAAAAAAAAGAAAAAGAAAAAAAGAAATTTAAAATATTTTATATATTGTATACAATTATATTCCTCCACAACTGTCCACTCTTCATCAAATTTGAGCATATTAATACACACGCTTTCTTGTTTCTTCAGCTCCTCATTTCCTTATGAGGACTCCTGTATCACAGAAAAATTACATTAAATAAATTTATATGCTCTTTTGTTGTTAATCTGTCTTTTGTTGTAGGGGCCTCAGCCATGAACCTGGGATAGATGGGGAAAAGATAATTTCTTTTCCTACACATGCAGAGGGAAGACTACATCAAACATATATATACACTTTTTACTTTTTTCTTTCTTTTTTCATTAATTCTTTCTTTTCTTTCCTTTTTTTTTTTTTTTTTTTTAAAGACAGGGTCTCATTTGCTCTGACTCTTAAGCTGGAGAGTAGTGGCGCAAGCATGGTTCACTGAAACCTTGACCTCCTGGACTCAAGTGATCGTCCCACCTCAGCCTCTTGAGTAGCTGAGACCACAAATGCACACCACTGCACCTGGCTAATTTATTTTTAGTTTTTGTAGATACAGGGTCTCCTTATTTTGCCCAGGCTGGTCTTGAATGCATGGGCTCAAGCAAGGTACCCAACCTGGCCTCTCAAAATGTTGGGATTACAGGTCTGAACCACTGCACTCAGCCTGTATGTACACTTAAGGAATAATTATAAAAGTGAACTTTATAGCTACCCATCATCCAGGTCCAAAAAGAACATTTTCTTCACACCAGAAGTCCCCTGTGTACCCTTTCCTGATCACAACTTCTTCTTCCCCTGAGGAGATAAATTACCATCCTGACTTTTGGTAATAATCATTATCTGTTATCACCAAACATAATTTAGTTTTGTGTGTTTTTGAACTTGAATAGATGAAATTATGCTGTTTACAGTAGTTCCCCCTTATCTACGGGGGGATATGTTCTAAGACCCTCAGTGGATGCCTGAAACAGCAGATAGTACTGAACCTGATTGCTGTCAATGGAAACATGTTTCTGTTTATGTCTTCTACTCACAAATTTAATGCTTTTCACATTTTAACTAAGCACTTATCATGCATAGTGGCCATAACGTTTGCAGTTTAAGGTGTGACAGCAAAACTAGCATGAATTTCTTTTTCTTTTTTTTTTTTTTTTTTGAGACGGAGTCTCTCTCTGTCACCCAGGCTGGAGTGCAATGGCATGATCTTGGCTCACTGAAACCTCCACCTCCTGGGTTCAAGCAATTCTCCTGCCTCAGCCTCCTGAGTAGCTGGGATTACAGATGTGCATCACCGTGCCCAGCTAATTTTTATATTTTCAGTAGAGATGGGGTTTCATCATGTTGGCCAGGCTGGTCTCGAACTCCCAACCTCAGGTGATCCACTCACCTCGGCCTCCCAAAGTGCTGGGATTACAGGTGTGAGGCACTGTGCCTGGCCATAAATTTTTCTTTCCTCACAATTCCACAGAAAGAAGACTCATTTTTATTGTAGATCTTTTTTTTTTTTTTTTTGAGATGGAGTTTCACTCTTGTCACCCAGGCTGGAGTGCAATGGCACAGTCTTGGCCCACTGCAACCTCCCCATCCCGGATTCAAGCAGTTCTCCTGCCTCAACCCCCAGAGTAGCTGGGACTACAGACGCCCACCATCATGTCCCGCTAATTTTTGTATTTTTGGTAGAGACGGGGTTTCACCATGTTGGCCAGACTGGTCTTGAACTCCTGACCTCAGGTGATCCACCGGCCTCAGCCTCCCAAAGTGGTGGGATTACAGGCGTGAGCCACCATGCCTGGCCATGACTTTCTTTTTCTTTCCTCACAATTCCAGAGGGAGAAGATTCATTTTATTGTAGATCTTAGCAGCCTTGGCATATGATTCTTTTCTTCTTATGAAGTCAAAAACTTTTATCTTTCCACTTAAAAGAAGCACTTTAATAAAGTCTAATGAAGTCTACCAGGGTATTGTCACTTTGAGAGTGTGTGTTTGTGTGCATAGGCGGGTGATAAACTTGGAGAATGAATTTCATACATTGGTATTGTGGTACATAATAGAAGTTGCCAATGTAAGTAAGAAAGAGGAAGGAAGGAAGAAAGAAGGCAGGAAGTAAGGAAGGAAGAAAGAAGGGAGGGAAGGATGGAGGCAGGTTTTGGGTGATGCTGGCTTTACTGTTTCTCTTTAACAAATCTGAATTGCTAGCATCACTACTCTTGGGCTTTAGGGCCTTTATTAAGTAAAATAACATAAGCACTGTGATGCTGAACAGTTGATCTGATAAGCCAGAGGGCTCCTAAGTGACTCTAAGGGGTGTGTAGTGTGTAGAGCATGGATATGCTGGGTAAAGGGATGATTCATGTTCCAGGTGGGATGGAGTTGCATGGTTCAGGGTTTCATCTTGCTACTCAGAACAGCGCCTGATGTAAAACTTATCAATTGTTTATTTCTAGGAATTCACATTTAATATTTTAAATATTAATATTTAAATGTTTGCATTTAATACTTTTTAAATTCTGCATTTAATAATTTGAATTTAAGACTTGTAAGTCCATTGTACTTCATTGTTATACACATTATTGTTCTCTTCTCTCTTTTGGTGTTTAGGAATGCTTTGTGTTAACACAAAGGCCAGGGTGAGAGCTGCAAGCCAGGGAAAGATGAACCGAGGCATTTAGATTACCACCTACATTGGCTTGCCAGACAGAAGCTCTGCCTGGGGATAAAGATGAGGATAAACATAAGGCATTTGGTGTTTCCTTTGTGTCCTGACTTAGAAATCTGACCATGGACGATGGAACGGGAAACTCACATTTTAGGGTGTATTAATAGCTCTCTTTAGTCTTGAGAAATATCAGTGAGGCTGAAAGTGCCTTGGAATGACTTTGCAGGTTTAAGATATGAATGGGAAAAAAAAGAAAAAGGGAAGAAAAGGAGTAAGGAGAAAAGAAAAGGAGGGATTAGGGTTACATTTCATGGGGCTGGTAGAATGCTCTGAAATAGTTTTTTCCAGACCCTAATATTTAGGAATAAATTTTAAGGTAGTATTATTTTAATATTTCATTTTTTGGGGTTATTCTTCATTTAGGATCTAGTAAAAATAATCCGGACCTTTTCACATAACCATTGTCAGGATTTCCTCTTGTAAGTGATTATATGCATCTCAGGAAAACATTAATGGTTATTCTCTTTTTATGGGTATATTTGATTGAGCTAATCTGTAGGGGTTAGCAGAGACAGCTTAAGAATATATTTTGAGGCCCGGCACGGTGGCTGACACCTGTAATCCTAGCACTTTGGAAGGCTGAGGCGGGTGGATCACTTGAGGTCAGGAGTTCAAGACCAGCCTGGCCAACATGGTGAAACCCTGTTTCTACTAAAAATACAAAAATCAGCCAGACGTGGTGGCGGGCGCCTGTAGTCTCAGCTACTTGGGAGGCTGAGGCAAGGGAATTGCTTGAATCCAGGAGGCAGAGGTTGCAGTGAGCCGAGATCATGCCACTGCAATCCAACCTGGGCGACAGGGCAAGGGTCCCATCTCAAAAAAAAAAAGAATATATTTTGAAAGATGAAGTTTAAGTAGCTCCTCTACCTCTCTTACCTCAGTGATAGATATATTATTTTTGTTTTGTTAATTCCTCTATTCTCTACACAAAATAGGGATGTGATGACTAATAGCATTAGCTACTTTTAATGCTTTTAGTTCTGGTTAGTTTTTCATATCTCTAATACTAATTCTCAACTGGGGTTTCATGTCTGAACCACAGAATGCAGAGAATGATTTCAGTGGTTATTTTCACATTTCTCCTCAGATTGGTACATAACTACAGATTGAGCATCCTTAATCCAAAAACTTGAAATCTGAAATGCTCCCAAATCTGAAACTTTTTGACCACTGACATGATGCTACAAGTGGAAAATGCCACACCTAACCTCATGTGACTGGCTGCAGTCATAACACAGGCGCACAACACACAGTTTATTCAGTGGCCCCAAGGGAAAGGAGACCAATCCAGCCTCCTTCAGCTGCAATATATCTTTTGTGCACAATGTACGCAAACTTTGTTTCATGCAAAAATTACAAAAAATGTTGTATAAAATAACCTTCAGGCTATATGTATAAGGTATATATGAAGCATAAATGAATTTCATGTTTAGACGTGAAATTTTATGACTGTACACTTCTGAACCATACACTTAAAAATGATTAACACAATAAATTTAATGATACACATTTCATGTTCTATTCCTAAGATATCTCATTATGTATTTACATATATTCCAAAATGCAAAAAAACCCTAAAAGTCCAAAACACTTATGATCTCAAGCATTTCAGATGAGGGATACTCAGCCTGTAGTACCGTTCTAGATGCATAAGCCCAAGAATGTCTTAAGTCTCTCATGGAACTCCTGTTGAGAAAGGCTACAAGATGTCAGTAGCCATTCTTTGCAGTTGACTCTCCACCATAGCTACGTAGGGATGACATATACTGAAACAGATGAAAGATTTCAAGTAGGAAGGATTATGGGAATTTTTACCTATTTCGTACTGTTTTGGAGAATAGTGTGAGCAATTGTGGGTGTAATTGAGTATTCCTCAAGGAATATGAAATATGTATATTCATTGTGATAGAATCTGGATAAATGATGTTTATAAACGGAAAATGCCATATAGTGTGAAATAAAATTTTTTTAAATTAATAGACTTTTGGGGGAGCAGTTCTAGGTTTACAGAAAAAACTGAGCAAAAAGTACAGAGTTCCCACATATGCCTTCATCTCGCCCCCCAATTTCCCCTATTTTTATCTTGCATTAGTGTGATACATTTATTAAAATTGATGAGCCAATATTGAAACATTATTATTAACTAAAGTCCATAGTTTACATCAGGGTTTACTCTTTTTGTTGTTTGTTCTTCATGTTGGTTTTTTTTTTTTTTTGAGACGGGGTCTTCCTCTGTCACCCAGGCTGGAGTGCAGTGGCGCCATCTCGGCTCATTGCAACCTCTGCCTCCTGGGTTCAAGCAATTCTCCTGCCTCAGCCTCCCGAGTAGCTGGGATTACAGGTGCCCACCACCATGCCTGGCTAATTTTTGTATTTTTAGTAGAGATAGGGTTTCACCATGTTGGCCAGGGTGGTCCCGAACTCCTGACCTCAAGTTGGTCCACCCACCTCGGCCTCCCAAAGTGCTGGGGATTACAGGTGTGAGCCACTGTACCTGGCCCTGTGTTGGATTTTTGTTTGTTTTTGAATTCTTATTGTGATAAACATATAACATCAAATTTGTTGTCTTAATCATTTTTAAGTGTATGGTTCAGAAGTGTTAAGTATAGCCACATCTTACAGCAGATTTCTAGAACTTAAAAAATCTTTTTTTGAGACAGGGTCTCTCTGTCACTCAGGCTGGAGCACAGTGGCATGATCAGGAGTCCCTGTAGCCTTGACCTCCCGGGCTCAAGCAATCCTCCTGTCTCAGTCTCCTGAGTAGCTGGGATTACAGGTATGTACTACCATGCCTGGCTAATTAAAAAATGTTTCAGCGGGGCACAGTGGCTCACGCCTGTAATCCCAGCACTTTGGGAGGCTGAGGCGGGCAGACCATGAGGTCAGGAGTTCGAGACCAACACAGTGAAACCCCATCTCTACTAAAAATACAAAAATTAGCTGGGCGTGGTGGTGGGCGCCTGTAATCCCAGCTACTGGGGAGGCTGAGGCGGGAGAATCACTTGAACCTGGGAGGCAGAGGTTGCAGTGAGCCAAGATTGTGCCACTGCACTCCGGCCTGGGCAGCAGAGCAAGACTCTGTCTCAAAAAAAAAAAAAAAAAAGAAAAAAATTTTTTTATTGTGGAGACAGTCTCCTCACTGTGTTGCCCAGACTAGTTTTGAACAACTGGGCTCAAGCCATCCTTCCTCCTCAGCTTCCCCAAGTGTTGGGATTATAGGTGAGAGCCACTGCACCTGGCCTAGAATGTTTTCATCCAAAATTTTTTAAAAAGCCTCTATGGGAAAGGGAGCTAACCAGTGGTAGCGTGTGAGAAGATAAATCTTTTCTAGAAATTGAGATATCTTCCTTTAGCTTGTCCAGACCTTTGTGGCATGCTTCACAGGTTTACTTAAAGATAGCAAAAAGTTATTTCCTACAATTAGCAGGACCAAGAGCTTTGTTTTTGTGAGGAAAGTAGTCAGAAGTGTGGAAGAAGTGGTTGTTTAGATTGGCATGAATGAAATAGCTATGTTAGCCATTTTTCCAGATTCTGCCTGTATTTCTGCTTATCATTTTGGCATTATTCCTCCAAATACTGCTCTTATCTTTGATGTATATGGTCTTTTTTTTTTTTCTTTTTTTCTTTTTTTTTTTTTTTTTGAGACAGAGTCTCTGTCACCCAGGTTGGAGTGCAGTGATGCGATCTTGGCTCACTGCAACCTCCGTCTCCTGAGTTCAAGCGATTCTCCTGGTTCGGTCTCCAGAGTAGCTGGGACTTCGGGCATGTGCCACCCTGCCCGGCTAATTTTTGTATTTGTAGTAGAGACGGGGTTTCTCCATGTTGGCCAGGCTGGTCTCAGACTCCTAACCTTAAGTGATCTGCCTGCCTTGGCCTCCCCGAAGTGCTAAGATTACAGATGTGAGCCACCGCGCCCAGCCTGATATATGGTCTTATGTACAGGCATGATCATTTCTCCCACTAGGTCTCTATTCTTGGATTTACACATGGAAAAATACGGAATTTCAGCTCGTTTCTTTATAAGGACAGTGTTCATAAATTTATATGGATCTTCTTGTTGATACTTCAATATGCTTATATAAATGTATCATACCTAAGTCTTGTATTCGATTTTCTTTTTGATGTTTTCTCATTTTTCATTGGTTCATCTTTTTTTTTTTTTTGGATTGTACTTTTTTTGAGACAGGGTCTCACTTTGTCATCCAGGCTGGAATGCAGTAGCACAGTCTTGGCTTACTGCAGCCTCAACCTCCTGGGCTCAAGTGATCGTCCTTCCTCAGCCTCCCCAGTAGCTGGGACTACAGGTGCACCATCATGTCCAGCTAATTAAAGAAAACATTCTAAACATTTTTTGTAGAGACAGGGTCTTGCTATGTTGACCAGGCTGGACTTGAACTCTGGGCCTCAAGCAGTCCTCCTACCTCGGTCCCTGAAAGTGCTGGGATTGCAGATGTGAGCCACCACACCTGGCTATCTTTTTACTCCATTGATAGTGTCTTTTGATGGATAAATTTTTAAATTTTCATGAAGTCTAATTTGTCTATTTTTTTCTTTTGTTGCCTTTGCCTTTGGAATCATATCCAAAGAAATCATTGCCAAATCTAGTGTCATGAAGCTTTTTCCCTATCTAGGTTTTCTAGGAGTTTTATGATTTTAGGTGTTACATTTAGGCCTTTCATCTATTTTGAGTTAATTTTTGTATGTGGTGTTAAGTAAGGGTTCAACTTTCTCTTTTGCATCTAGATACCCAGTTTGTCCAGCACCATTTATAGTGCTTTCTTTTTATGTGGATCTTCTTGTTGATACTTCAGTATGCTTATATTTGTCCTTTCCCTCATTGAATGATCTTGACACTCTTGTCAGAAATCATGTGACCACGTATGTGAGGGCTTGTTTCTGGACTTTATTCCATTGGTCTATATGTTTGCCCTTCTGCTAGTACTACACTGTTTTGGATTGCTCAAGCTTTGTAATAAGTTCTGAAATCAGGAAGTGTGAGATCCCCTTATTGTTTCTCTTTTTCAAGCTTATTTTGGCTATTCAGTCTCTTGAGATTCTGTATGAATTTTAACATGGGTTTTTCTATTTCTTCAAACAATGTCATTGGGATTTTGATGGGATTGCATTGAATCTGTAGATCACTTTGACTAGTATTGTATCTTAACAGTATTAAGTCTTCCAATCCACGAGCTTGGGGTATGTTTCTACTTATTCCTATCTTTAATTTCTTTCAACAGTGTTTTGTAGTTTTCATTGTACAAGTTTTTTTACTTCCTTGGTTAATACCTAAAGATTTTATTATTTTTGGTGCCATTGTAAACGGAATTGTTTTTGTAATTTCCTTTTCCAATTGTTTATCACTAGTGTATAGAAATGCAGTTCAGTTTTGCATATTGACTTTGTATCCTGCAAAACATCTTGCTGAATTCATTTATTAGTTCTAACAGTTTTTTGGTGCAATCTTTAGGATTTTCTACATATAAGATCATGTCGTCTGTGAAGAGATAATTTGATAATTTTACTTCTTCCTTTCCAATTTAGATGCTTTTTGGTTTTTTTTTTTTTTGGAGACAGAGTCCGACTGTCGCCCAGACTGTAGTACAGTAGCACGATCTTGGCTCACTACAACCTCCATCTCCCAGGTTCAAGCGATTAGAGCCAGGGTTTCGCCATGTTGGCCAGGCTGGTCTTGAACTCCTGACCTCAAGTGATCCGCCTGCCTAAGCCTCCCAAAGTGCTGGGATTACAGGTGTGTGCCACCACGCCTGGCTGCTTTTTGTTTCTTTATTGCCTCCCTAATTGGTCTTGCTAGAACTTAGTACTATGTTGAATAAAAGCAGTGAAAGTAGACATCCTTGCCTTGTTCTTGATCTTAAAGGAAAAGCTTTCAGTTTTTTACCATTGAGTGCAATGTGTGCTCTGGGTTTTCCATATATGGCTTATTTTGAGATAGTTTCCTTCTCTTCCTAGTTAAGTGTTTTTATTATGAAAGAGTATGGAATTGGGTGGGCATGGTGTCTCATGCCTGTAATCTCAGCACTTTGGGAGGGCGAAGTGGGTGGATCACCTGAGGTCAGGAGTTCAAGACCAGCCTGGCCAACAAGGTGAAACCCCGTCTCTACTAAAAATACAAAAGGAATTAGCCAGGCATGGTGTCAGGTGCCTGTAATTTCAGGTACTTGGGAGGCTGAGGCAGGAGAATCGCTTGAACCCGGGAGGCAGAGGTTGCAGTGAGCCGAGATTGCGCCATTGCTCTCCAGCCTGGGCAACAAGAGTGAAACTCCATCTCAAAAAAAAAAAAAAAAGAAAGAAAAGTGTGTGGAATTTTGGGAAATGCTCTTTCTGCATGAATTGAGATGACCATGTAGATTTTTCTTCATTCTGTTAATGTTGTATATTGCATTAATTAGTTTTCATCTGTTGAACCATCCTTGGATTCTAGGAATAAATCCCACTTTGTCATGGTGTCTAAGTGTTTTTTTATGCTGCTGCATTTGGTTTGCCGGTATTTTGTTTAGGATTTTTACACCAGTATTCATAAGGGATATTGGTCTATAGTTTTCTTGTAGTGTCTTTGTCTGGCTTTGATATTAGTGTAATATTGGCCTCAAAGAATGAGTTAGGAAGTGTTTCCTCTTCTTCAATCTTGTGGAAATGTTCTTAGTAGGATTGGTGTTAGTTTTTCTTTAAATGTTTAGTAGAATTCACCAGTGAAACCATCTGGACCAGGAATTTTCTTTGTTGGGAGAATTCTTTTTTTTTTCCTTGAAACAGGGTCTCAGGCTGGGCATGGTGGCTCCACACCTGTAATCCCAGCACTTTGGGAGGCTGTGGCAGGCAGATCACGAGGTCAGGAGTTTGAGACCAGCCTGACCAACATGTGAAACCCCGTTTGCACTAAAAATACAAAAATTAGCCAGGCATGATGGCAGGTGCCTGTAATCCCAGCTACTCAGGAGGCTGAGGCAGGAGAATCGCTTGAACCTGGGAGGTGGAGGTTGCAGTGAGCCAGGATCGGGCCACTGCATTCCGGCCTGGATGACAGAGCGAGGCTCTGTCTCAAAAAAAAAAAAACAAAAAAACCAGGGCCTCACTTTGTCGCCCAGGCTGGAGTCCAGTGTTGAATGTTGGCTCACTGCAACCTCTGCCTCTTGGGTTCAAGCAATCCTCCTGCCTCAGCCTCTCGAGTAGCTGAGATTCCAGGCGCACACACCACGCCTGGCTAATGTTTGTATTTTTGGTAGAGATGGGGTTTAGCCATGTTGCTCGGTCTGGTGTGCTCAAGTGATCTGCCTGCCTTGACCTCCCAAAGTGCTGGGATTACAAGCGTGAGCCACCGCACCTGGCCTTTACTGGGAGAATTCTGACTACTGATTTAATCTACTAATTAGAGACCCTTTCATTCTAATTTGGGGTGATTTAATCATGGTAGTTTCTGTGTTTCTAGGAATTGGTCCATCTTATCTAGGTTTCCCAATTTGTTGGTATACAGTTGTTCATAGTACTGTCTTATAATCCCTTTTATTTCTGTAAAATCTGTAGTAATATCCCCACTTTCATTTCTGATTTTGGTCAGCCAAGGCTTCTCTCTTTCTTGTTAGTACATCTAGCTAAAGGTGTGTTGATTTTTTTTATTTTTTTCAAATAACCAGCTTTTGGTTTTACTGATTTTTCTCTA
Organism: Homo sapiens; assembly: GCF_000001405.40. NCBI lineage: Eukaryota > Metazoa > Chordata > Mammalia > Primates > Hominidae > Homo > Homo sapiens. The sequence continues at coordinate 72,591,410 of NC_000010.11, read as the reverse complement.
TTTTTTTCTCTTTTTCATTCATTTCTGCTCTAATCATTATTATTATCTTCCTTATGCTAACTTTAGATTTAGTTTGTTCTTCTTTTTCTAGTTCCATGAGTTGTAAAGTTAGGTTGTTCAGCTGTGATCTTTCTTGTGCTTTTAATGTACTCATTTTGTACCTTTAAATTTCCCCCTTAGCACTGCTTTTGCTGCATCCCACATGTTTTGTTTTTGTTTCATTCATCTCTAAGTATGTTCTAATTTCTTTTGTGAGTGCTTCTTTGATTCATTGGTTAAGAGTGTATTGTTAATTTTCACAAATTTATGAATTTTCCAGTTTTACTTTTGTTACTGATTTCTAACTTTATCGTGTTGTGGTCAGAAAAGATAATTTATAAGTAATCTATGTTTCAAAATCTATTGAGACTTAATTTGTGGCCTAACTTTTAGCTCATTCTGGTAAATGTTCCACGTACCCTCGAGAAGAATGTGTATGCTGTTGTTGGGTAGAGTGTTCTGTAGGTGTCCATTGTATCTGGTTGGTTTACTTGTGTTGTTTGTCTTCTGTTTTTTTTTTTTTTAATTTTTATTTATTTATTTATTTATTTTATTTTTTGAGACCGTGTCTCACTCTGTCTCCCAGGCTGGAATGCAGTGGCGCGATCTCAGCTCACTGCAACCTCCGCCTCCCGGGTTCAAGCAATTCTCCTGCCTCAGCCTCCTGAGTAGCTGGGATTACAGGCACACCCCACCATGCATGGCTAATTTTTTGTATTTTTAGTAGAGACGGGGTTTCACCACACTGGCCAGGAGGCTGGTCTCGAACTCCTGACCTCGTGATCCGCCCACCTCGGCCTCCCAAAGTGCTGGGATTACAGGTGTGAGCCACTGCACCCGACCTGTCTTCTGTTTTCTTACTTATCTTCTACGTGGTTGTTCTATCCATTATCGAGAGCAAGGTTTGCAGTCTCTACCTATTATTCTAGAACTGTCTATTTCTACCTTCATTTTTGTCAGTTTTGCTTCATATTTTGATGGCCTGTCATTAAGTGTATAAATGTTGATAATTATTATATCTTTTTGCTGTTTTGAACCTTTTATTGATATATAATGTGCTTTTTTGTCTCTTGTAAACTTTTTTGATTTAAAGTCTATTTGTTTGATATTAGTATAGCCACGCCTGCTCTCTTTTGGTTACCATTTGCATGGAATATCTTTTTCCATCTTTTTATGTTCAGCTTCCTTGTGTCTTTGGATCTAAAGTGAGTCTGTTATAGACAGTACGTAGTTAAGTCATGTTTAAAAAAAAATCTGTTTTGCCAGTATGTCTTTTGATTGGAGAGCTTGATCCATTTATATTTAAAGTAATTACTGATAAGGAGAGACTTATATGCTGGTAGATTTTTTTTTTTCTTTCTGACAGTATCTCACTATGTTGCACAGGCTTGAATGAGGGGCTGTTCACAGGCGTTTTAGTGTATTGCAGCCTGAAACCCAAATACAGTGTGATAAACTAATAATTTTTTGGAATGCATTAGTCTTTTAAATTGTGTAGGAAACAAAATATGGCGTTAATAAACCAAAATTACAAAAGCACTAGCTTTTAGTCTAATGATCGTTTAAAAATATTAGTTATTAAAAAATCTATCTTTGCTCCTATGGTTTTATCATTTATCAAATTTCTTTATGTATTTCAGTCTATTTCTGGTCTTTCTATTCAGTTCCATTGACCTATTTTTGTATTCATTAATACCATAGTTCCCTACTCTTAATTAGAAGGGCTTTATTATATGTTTTAATGTCTTATAGGGCTATTCCCCACCCCCATTCTCTAAGGGTTTTTTTTTCCTTCAGTATTTTTCTGGCTATTTTTCCATGTTTGTTTTTCGTATGCACTTGTTTAACTCCATAACAAATAAAGCATATTGGTATTTTTACTGAGACTACATTAAATCTATACATTTGCTTAGCAAAAAGGGTTTATGATGTTGAGTTACCTTGTCTAAGTAAAATGTACCCTCCATTTGAGTCTTCAGAAGAAGCATTTCCTCAGTTAGAATTGTTTATTCCTATTTGGTCTAATGTGTTGCTGTTGTAACTGAGATTTCCACTACCATTATGTCCTTTTTTTTTTTTCCCTGAGACGGAGTTTCAGTCAGTCGCCCAGGCTGGAGTGCAGTGACGCAATCTCGGCCCACTGCAACCTCCGCCTCCTGGGTTCAAGCAATTCTCCTGCCTTGGCCTCCTGAGTAGCTGGGATTACAGGCGCCTGCCACCACGCCCAGCTAATTTTTTGTATTTTTAGTAGAGACGGGGTTTTACCATGTTGGCCAGGGTGGTCTCAAACTCCTGACCTCAGGTGATCCACCCACCTCGGCCTCCCAAAGTGCTGGGATTACAGGCGTGAGTCACCGTGCCCAGCCCATTATGTCCTGTAACAGGTTATTGTTTTTATACATGAAGGCTATTGATTTCTCTATGTTAATTTCATTACTTGCCACCTTAGTGGGATTTTTTGTTGTTTGAGTTAGTTTTACAATGAATTCTTCAAGGCATTGGCTCAACCTGGACTGATTTTTCCCCCAAGGGGAGCTTGTTAATGTCTAAAGACATTTTTGGTTGTCATAACTGGGTGGAGATGGTGCTGCCGGCATCTAGCATGTGAAAGCCAGAGGTGGTGCTAAACATCCTACGATGCATAGGACAGCCCCCCACAGCCAAGCATTATCTCGTCAAAATGCCAATAGTGCCATGGTTTGGGAAACTGTGTTTTCCAGGTTTACTATCGTATCATTTTCGAATAGAAATAGTTTTACTTCCTCTTTACCAATTTTTATGTCTAACTGAGTTTTGTTGTCTAACTACACTAACCAATTCCTATTATACTATGTTGAACAGTGGTGGAAATAGTGACCATACTTGCATTGTTCCTATTCTTAGTGGAAATGCCTTTGGTATTTCTTCATTCAAGAAGGTACTGGCTTTAGAGCTAAAGTATGTGTAATTGGGCAGAAAATGTAAGTTGTTTTTTTTCCTTTCCCTCATAGATTCTTAGTTGAGACACTCTATTAGTCCATTCTTGCACTGCTATAAAAAAAAAAACCTCAGACTGGGTAATTTATGAAGAAAAGAGGTTTAATTGACTCACGGTTCTGCAGGCTGTACAGGTAGCATGGCTGGGGAGTTCTCAGGAAACTTTCAATTATGGCAGAAGGTAAAGGGGAAGCAGGCTCGTCTTCACATGGCCAGAGCAGGAGAGAGAGAAGAGGGGGAAGTACTACACACTTTTAAACAGCCAGATCTCATGAGAACTCACTCACTGTCACAGAACAGCGAGGGGAAAATCTGCCCCCCGTGATCCAGTCACCTCCCATGAGGCAACTCCTCCAACACTGGCAATTACAATTAAACATGAGATTTAGGTGGGGACATAAATCCAAACCATGTCACTCTCCAAAACAAAAATCAGATTAACAAGAAAAAGACAGAAGTTTATTGACCCACGCTCTACCCATCACACAGGAGAAGCCTCAGTTTAAAAGTGTTTTTCTCTCAAAGAAGTGGCTTAGAGACCTTGCTTAAATAGTATTTTATTAAATTAAAATTTTATTTATTTATTTATTTGTTTTATTTATTTATTTATTTATGATAGAGTCTCACTCTGTCACCTAGGCTGGAGTGCAGTGGTGCGATCTCAGCTCACTGCAACCTCCGCCTCCCAGGCTCAAGCCATTCTCATGCCTCAGACACCCAGGTAGCTAGGATTACAGACGTGCACCACCATGTCCAGCTAATTTTGTTGTTGTTGTCGTTGTATATTTAGTAGAGACAGGGTTTCACCATGTTGCTCAGGCTGATCTTGAACTCCTGGCTTCAAGTGATCTGTGTGCTTTGGCCTTCCAAAGTGCTGTGATTACTGGTGTGAGCCACTGCGCCTGGCCTATTTTTTTTTTTTTTTTTTTTTGAGACATGCTGCCACTCTTGTTGTCCAGGCTGGGGTGTAGTGGCATGATTCCTCACTATAACCTCAAACTCCTGGGCTCAAGAAATCCTCTCACCTTAGCCTCCTGAGTAGCTAGGACTACAGGCACACACCACCATGCTTGGCTAATTTTTTATTTTTTGTAAATGTGGGGTCTTGCTGTATTGGCTAGTCTTATACTCCTGGACTCAAGCAATCCTCTTACCTCAGTCTCCCAAGGCACTGGGATTATAGACACTTTTGATAAAGAGTATTTTCAGAGTTAATGTAGACTTACTTTTACTTGTGATACTTTTCTATTAACCTTAGGCTCTATTGCTAGTTCTCTTCTTTATTCTTCATGACATTTTTCTCAGTCTGCCTTTGCTCACTGCCTTTGCTCAAAGAGCCTTTAGGTGAAAGGTGTAGGGGAGGAGCATGAGAAGTCATGCCCTGAGATTTGGTGCTTTTTCTCTTTCTGCTTAGTATTATTTTGAAGTTTAGGCATCCTGTCTTCAAAACATGCTAGGGATGCGGTTTTCACACAGTGTTATTTTCCCCTTATGGTTTTTGCATTGTTTTTGGAGAAAATAATGGAAGAGAGAGATATAGGCATGTGCCATAGTCTTCAACTACACCTGTTGTCTTTAAAACACACAAATTTCGTAGAAAAACCTCAACCAAACAAACTGATTTCATATTTTGGTTTGATGATTAAGATTTAAATTAGTATTCCAGGAGCCTTTAGGTCTAGGAAATCCCAAGTGAATAATCAAATACAGTCAGCTATTCATATCTATGGGTTTTTTTTTTTTTGAGATGGAGTCTCGCTCTGTTGCCCAGGCCGGAGTACAGTGGCACGATCTTGGCTCCCTGCAACCTCCATCTCCTGAGTTCAAGTGATTCTCCTGCCTCAGCCTCCCGAGTAGCTGGGATTACAGGCATGCACCACCATGCCCGGCTAAATTTTTGTATTTTTAGTAGAGATGGGGTTTCACCATGTTGGTCAGGGTGGTCTTGAACTCCTGACCTGAGGTGATCCACCCGCCTTGGCCTCCCAAAGTGCTGGAATTACAGGTGTGAGCCACAGTGCCTGGCCTTTATCCATGGGTTCTTTATTCATGGATTCAACCAACCATGGATTAAAAATATTTGATGCTGGGCATGGTGGCTCACAACCGTAATTCCAGAACTTTGGGAGGCTAAGGTGGGAGTGTGGCTTGAGCTCAGGAGTTCGAGACTAGCTTAAGCAACATAGCAAGACCTCATCTCTACTAAAAATAAAAATTAGCTGGGTGTGGTGGTGTGCACCTGTAGTCCAAGCTACTTGGAGGCTGAGTCAGGAGAACTGCTTGAGCCTGGAAGAGAGAGGCTGCAGTGAGCTATGACCATGCCATTGCACTCCAGCCCAGGCAACAGAGCGATACCCTGTCTCAAAAAAAAAAAAAAAAAAAGAAAAAAAAAAAGAAAAAATAAAAACAATACAATGAAAAGTTATACAAATTAAAAATACAATGTATAATAACTATTTACGTAGTATTTACATTGTATTAAGTATTATAAGTTATCTAGGGATGGTTTAGAGTATATGACAGGATGTGCATAGTTTGAATGCAAATATTATACCATTTTACATAAGATACTTGAGCATCTGGGATTTTGGTGTCTATGAGGGTCCTGGAACCTATCCCTTGCAGATACTGAGGGATTACTATATTGGTTAACTGGTTAACAGCACCTTATTGGATTAACCCTATAGTAAGAATTGTTTAAACAGAAACATTTAAAATGAATTTTTTTTTTTTTTTTGAGAAAGAGTCTTGCTCTGTCGCCCAGGCTGGAGTGCACTGGTTCAAGTGATTCTCCTGCCTCAGTCTCCCAAGTAGCTGGGATTACAGGCACACGCCACCATGCCTGGCTAATTTTTGTATTTTTAGTAGAGACAGGGTTTCACCATGTTGGCTAGGCTGGTGTCGAGCTCCTGACCTCAGGTGATCTGCCTGCCTCGGCCTCCCAAAGTGCTGGGATTACAGGCGTGAGCCACCGCGCCTGGCCTAAAATGAAATTTTATGTTATATACTAAGATTCTGTCACTGCTGATGTTGCTACAAGGTATACAAAGTGAGGATAAAATGTTTGAACTCTAAAACAGGGTTTGAAGTTGAAATGTATCTTAGCTTTAGATAAAAAATGAACTTACTAAAAATACAAAAATTAGCTGGGCATGGTGGTGGGCACCTGTAATCCCAGCTGCTCGGGAGGCTGAGGGGTGAGAATCGCTTGAACCGGGAGGTGGAGGTTGCAGTGAGTGAAGATTGCACCACTGCACGCCAGCCTGGGGGACAGAGGGAAACTCTGTCTCAAAAAAAAAAACAAAAAAAAAAACCTAAAACCAAAGATGTTTGAGAGAGGTGGAGAGTAAAAAATGGTTTTCCACAAATGCTTTCTTCCAGACTATTCCTCTGTCCTTTTGCTTCTACCCACCCTGACCTTTTCCTTGTGCAAGTCAATACTTTCTTGGCTGTAATTTCCTTTGGAGCAGTGTTTAAACTTTCCTTATTGATAGCTCATTTTTTCATCCTGTAGTTTTTTAATGGCTCTTAGGTACATTAAAAAGTATTTATTAGGTCCAGAATGGTGGCTCACACGTATAATCCCAGCACTTTGGGAGGCTGAGGTAGGCAGATCACTTGAGCTCAGCAGTTCAAGACCACCCTGGGCAACATAGTGAAACCCCAGCGCTTCAAAAAATGGCCAGGTGTGTGGCATGTGCCTGTAGTCCCAGCTACTCAGAGGCTGAAGTGGGAACATTGCTTGAGCCCAGGAGGTGGAGGCTGCAGTGAGCCATCATTGCACCACTGCACTCCAGCTTGGGCAACAGAGCGAGACCCTGTCTCCAAAAAAAAAAAGTATGTATTAACTATTAAAGCTCTATAGCTACTTAATTTCCGAGACTTGAAAATCAAATTGGAGATGATATTTTATGGAAATTTTACATATTGAAACCTTATTTATGATCTGAACACATTAATACATTATAGAGGTTTTAGACATCATTGTTTCTGTAATTACCTGAATGGTTGGTTTTTGCTTTAAATAAGTGTATCTTTGGTTATTTTTTCTTTTTCTTTTCCATATTTTGTTTTTCTGTGCAGTTATTTGGAAGGGCAGATTTTCACCCTTTACTACTTCTTCCTTCACCAGACGTTAAGTTTCAGGTTTTATTGTTGCAGTAAAAAGGCTGTATGGTGTTTTAAGAAGGTGAACCATGGAGGTTCTTGGTGGATAAAGGACTGTTTCAGAGAGTATCAGAAGGTGAAGTACTGTGGAATGTTGACCTGCTTTTTGATAGCATCTTTCCTTAACAGAACATGTGCAAAGCTTCTGTCTCAAATCTAACATTTCTGTGAGATGATACTTGTTTCTACAATTATCATTTTATACTGTAGAGACTTGTGTAACTTAAATTAACTTTACATTCTCATCCAGATCATTTAAAATAGCTTTCTCTGCTATTGGAAGATACTCACTTCTCAGAACAGGCTTAGCTGAAGTGTGAGCTTTTCTCATTTATTGTGTCACTAATGTCACTTTAAGCTATGAAATGTATCTTTTCTGGACATGAACATTAATCTCTACTGTATTTTGGCAGTCATTCTAGTGTCTTCAATGAAGAACTTGAAATATTCATTTCATCTAAAAAAGCTATAGAGATGTTTAAAAAATGATTTGGCATAATTAAAATCTAATATAGTGTTATGTTTTGAGCAGTATCTTAGTTGTACAGTACACATTGTATTTCTAGTAGCTTATCCCATTCCTCGAATAATTTCATGTATGTATTATCATCTAGCAATAAAATGTTAGAGGGCTCTAAGATAATGCATTCAGGCCAGGCGAGGTGGCTCACACCTGTAATCATGCCTTGGGAGGCCAAGGCAGGGGGATCACCTGAGGTCAGGAGTTCAAGACCAGCCTGGCCAACATGGTGAAACCCCATCTCTACTAAAAATACAAAAATTAGCCAGGTGTGGTGGTACACAGCTGTAGTCCCAGCTACTTGGGAGACTGAGGCAGGAGAATCGCTTGAACCTGCGAGGCGGAAGTTGCAGTGAGGTAAGATGGCACCACTGCACTCCAGCCTGGGCAACAGAGGAAGACTCTGTCTCAAAAAAAAAAAAAAAATGCATTCAGCCAAACTATTTTGTGAAGAATAGTTAGCGCTTTCCTACCCTAAGTAAATCTTCCTTGAAGCCTATGTTGAGCCCTTTCCACTTCCCAACCTAATGTAATTGAATCCCTGTTAATATGTTCTTGTAGCCCTTGCTTTTTTTTTTTTCTGCCTTGTATTATGGCTATTTTTGTTTTTTCTTTTTTGTTAACAGGCAGGGTCTCGCTACATTGCCCAGCATGGACTGCAGTGCTGTTCACAGGCCCAGTCCCACTACTGGTCAGCATGGGAGTTTTGGCCTGCTCTGTTTCTAACCTGGCCTGGTTCACCCCTCCTTAGGCAACCTGTTGGTGTTACCATATTGATATTGAACTTATTGTGGACACTCGATGGTCATGTAGCACACTATAGCCCAGAACTCCTGGGCTCAGATGATCCTCCTGCCTCAGCTTCCTGAGTAGCTGGGACTACAGGCACGTGCCACAATGCCCAGTGGTTCTTTTTTTTTTTTTTGAGACAAGGTCTTGCTCTATCATCTAGGCTGGTGTGCAGTGGCATGATCATGGCTCGCTCACTGTAGCTTTGACCTCCTGGGCACAAGTGATCTTCCCACCTCAGACTCCTGACTAGTGGAGAATACAGGCTTGTGCCACCATGCCCAAGTAATTTTTTTAAATTTAATTTTAAAAAACTAAATTTTTTGTAGAGACAAAATTTTGCCATATTGTCCAGGTTGGTCTTGAACCTGACAAGGTTCAAGATTGCTTGAGCTCAAGCAATTCACCCACCTTGGCCTCCCAAAATGCTGGGATTTCAGGCATGAGCCATTGCTCCCAGCCACATTATGGTTATTTGAATAGTTGTTTTATCTTCATTACTAAATTATAAGGTGTTAGTGGGCAAAGACTATGTCTTGTTCATCTTTGTGCCTCTTGCTGTGTCCTCGCAAAATACTTTGCTCAATAAATAATGATCTGAATGAAATAATGACAATTGGACATTTTAGATTATGATTTGCTTAAATGAATGAGACTAATATAGGATACTGTCTCATTAAAAACCACTCAGGGCTGGGCATGGTGGCTCACACCTGTAATCTCAGCACTTTGGGAGGCTGAGGCAGGCGGGTCATCTGACGTCAGTAGTTCAAGACCAGCCTGACCAACATGGTGAAATCCCATCTCTACTGAAAGTACAAAATTACCCAGGCGTGGTGGCACATGCCTGTAATCCCAGCTACTAGGGAGGCTGAGGCAGGAGAATCACTTGAACCTGCGAGGCAGAGGTTGCAGTGAGCTGAGATCGCGCCATTGCTCTCCAGCCTGGGTAACAAGAGTGAAAACTCCATCTGAAAAACAAAAACCAAAAAACAAAAACACTCAGGATGACCTTGTTTCTCCAAAATGTACAAAGTACCTTTATATTTTATTTTTCTGAAATGAACTCTTAGAACCGGAAAAGGACTTAGAAAGTCTTTTTCTAAGACAAAATAAAAAGATGCACCAGTGCCCTGCATCTTCCAGAATATAGTCTCAGTGAAGAAGGCTTTTACTGGTCAATGGGTGGCTGGTAGTAGAACTAGAATGATAAGCTAAGTTTTTTGTATTTACTCTAGTTTAATTGAGCAGTAACTCTTGTTAGTTCTGTTGGTAGTAACTTCAAATGCATTAATTGACAGTCTTGCTCTGTCACCCAGGCTGGAGTGCAGTGGTGTGATCTCGGCTCACTGCAACCTCCACCTTCCAAGTTCAAGCGATTCTCCTGCCTCAGCCCCCTGAGTAGCTGGGATTACCGGCAGGCACCACCATGCCCAGCTAATTTTTGTACTTCAGTAGAGACAGGGTTTCACCATGTTGGCCAGACTGGTCTCAAACTTCTGACCTCAAGTGATCGCCTGCCTTGGTCTTTCAAAGTGCTGGGATTACAGGTGTGAGCCATTGTGCCTGGCCTCATTAAGTCTTAAATACAGGCATAACAGATGCTAACTTTTTTCACTTTTCTCCTAGGTTCATGGCAGCTATTGTTATCATAGATGGCAAATGTTTTGTGATAATATACGCCCTTTGCAAAAAAGCAGCATTGCACGTATCAGTGAAATAAATGCATTTGTTTATGTTTGCACTATTGCCTAGTGTGTATTTAATAAGTTGTTCTAGGTTGCAGTTTTAATAAAATAGATTAAGAAAAAGTGCATCCATCTGTGTTGTGGAGCACTAAGGTAATTATGTCACTACTCCTCAGTTGAATTGGGCATACTGTAATTTTTAGTGTGGAGTTTGGCATCTTGTTTGCTATTATAATTCATTCAGATTTTCTGTTGTCTTTTTTTTTCTGTTTTCAAAGGTAAATGTGGCAGAATAATAATTATGTTTTCCAGTAATTTGTGAAGATGAAACTTCTGGAATATTTTTGAGAACCTTGTTGCTGTTTAGATTAAATCATTGTTTTCCATAGGGAAATGAATGGATAATTTATTCAAGTATTTTGAAAGTATAATCAGCCATTAGAAAGCAAAAGCTTGGCCGGGCACAGTGGTTCACGCCTGTAATCCCAGCACTTTGGGAGGCTGAGGTGGGTGGATCACCTGAGGTCAGGAGTTCAAGACCAACCTGGCCAACATGGTGAAACCCCATCTCTACAAAAAATACGAAAGTTAGCCAGGTGTGGTGGCGCATGCCTGTAGTCCCAGCTACTCAGGAGGCTGAGGCAGGAGAATCACTTGAACCCAGGAGGTGGAGGTTGTGGTGAGCCAAGATCGTGCCTTTGCACTCCAGCCTGGGTGACAATGTGAGACTCTGTCTCAAAATAAATAAATAAATAAATTAATTAATTAAATAAATAAATAAATCAGCAAAAGCTTGGATGAAAATCTTTCCAGTCAGTAGTGGTACAGCTGAGATTGAATTGGAAAAGTATTGAAATGGTTTAAGTTGAGAATGTTTTAACCTTTTTTGGGTGAGTAGAGTGGGGTGGGGTTGTTTAATAAAAATAACATTCCACTAAAAAATAACATTGGATGGAATAGTGGGTATTAATTACATCATACCTAGACATATTATTTTACATTGAAAACAATGTCCCACTTTTTACAATGAAGAAAAGATGATGCCTCAGGGCTGGGAATAGACTGGAATTAAGTAAAATAAATATAACTTAATATTCCAGTAGCTCTCACAACAACAGTGATAAACTCTTGAAAAATAAAGATTATAAAATTCTCTTACTAAAGCAAATATACAAATTAATTTAGATGGCATTTTTTAAATCTGTCATATAAATGAAAAAGATTGATGACACAGGTTGATTATCTTTTATTTGAAATGCTTGGGACCAGAAACATTTAGATTTTTTTTTTTTTGATTTTTGAATATTTGGATATACATAATGAGATGTCTTGGGGATAGGACCCAAGTCTAAACACAAAATTCATTTATGTTTCATATGCACCTTATACATATAGCCTGCAGGTAATTTTATACCATATTTTTAATAATTTTTTTGCATGAGACAAAGTTTATATACACTGAGCCATCAGAAGCATAGGTGTCACCTTGTTATCATGAGATTGCATCCACCTATGTGGACATTCTGTGGTTGTTTGGCATAACCATTGTTGCTGACTCTGAATTTATATGCTACCAATTAGCAATCATCTTATGCCTATTCACACATATGTACTTAATGGTAAAAAAAAACATACTATTAATAAAATGAAAAAAATGTGTCAGGTATGAAATTTTCTGCTTGTAACACCATGGCAGCACTCAAAAAGTTTTGGATTTTAGGGCATTTCAGATTTGTGGATTAGGGTTGCTTAACTTGTATCTAATACAGGAACAGGAGTTCACTGATACACTGGTGGAAAGGGTAAATTGTAATGTTGGTATTGAAGGAGATTAGTGCTCTTTAAGAGGTCAAAGGGCGCTGCCTTACCTCTCCCACCAAGTGAGGAAGCCATGAGAAGCCTGTGTCTATGCGGAACAGGCCCTTACTAGACACAGAATCTGCTGGTGCCTTGATCTTGGACTCCCCGGCCTCCAGAACTATAAGCAATAATTTTTTGTTGTTTATGAATTACCCAGTATAAGGTGTATTGTCACAGCAGCCAGAACAGACTAAGACAATGTACAATATTATTTATATGTAAATACATAGAAAAATTTCAGGAAAGATGTTTACTAAACTGCTTTCTGAGGTTACTTCTAGGGAGAGTGATGGTATTTTAGGTATAGGTGTGCCTCATGGCAGGTTTGGTTCCAGACCACTGCCATAAAGCTAATGTCGCAAAATAGCAAGTCATATGAATTTTTTGGTTTCCCAGTGCATATAAAAGTTATGTTTATACTATAGTGTAGTCTATGAAGTGTGCAGTAACATTATATCTAAAAAACAGGCTGGGCGCGGTGACTCACACCTGTAATCCCAGCACTTTGGGAGGCCAAGGCGGATGGATCACAAGGTCAGGAGTTCAAGACCAGCCTGGCCAATATGGTGAAACCCCGTCCCACTAAAAATGCAAAAATTAGCCGGGTGTGGTGGCAGGTGCCTGTAGTCCCAGCTACTCGGGAGACTGAGGCAGGAGAGTCGCTTGAACCTGGGAGGTGGAGGCTGTAGTGAGCCAAGATTGCACCACTGTACTCCAGCCTGGGTGACAAAGCGAGACTCTGTCTCAAAACAACAACAACAACAGCAAAAAAAATGTGTACATGCCTTAATTAAAAATACTTTATTGGGCCAGGCATGGTGGCTCACACCTGTAATCTCAGTACTTTGGGAAGCTGAGGCAGGCAGATCAACTGAGGTCAGGAATTCGAGGCCCGCCTGGCCAACATGGTGAAACCCCACCTCTACTAAAAATACAAAAAAAAAAAAAAAGCCAGGCATGGTGGCACATGCCTGTAATCCCTGCTACTCTGGAGGCTGAGGCAGCAGAATCACTTGAACCCCAGAGGCAGAGTTTGCTGTGAGCCAAGATCATGCCACTGCACTCCAACTTGGGTGATAGAGTGAGACTCCATCTCAAAAAAAAAATCTTTATTGCTAAAAAATGGTAACAATCATCTGAGCCTTTAGCAAGTGACAGTCCTTTTGCTGATAGAGGGTCTTGCCTCCATGTTGATGGCTAATCAGGTGTAGTGGTTGCTGAAGACTGGGGTGGCTGTGGCAATTTCTTAAAAAAAGACAACAATGACGTTTGCAGCATCAATAGACTTTTTCTTTCACAAAAGATTTCTCTGTAACATAGGACGCCGATTGATAGTGTTTTACCCAGGTAATTTCTTTCAAAATTTTTTCAAAACTTGAGTCAGTTCTCCCAAACCCTGCTGCTGCCTTATCAACAAAGTTTATGGAATATTGTAAATCCTTTATGGTCATTTCAGCAATGTTCACAGCATCTTCACTGGGAGTAGGTTTCATCTCAAGAAACCGCTTTATTTGTTCATCCAGAAGAACAAAGTTCATCCATGTTGATGGCTGCTGTATGAACATGGATGAACTCTTCATCCATTCAAGTTTTGCCATGAGATCATAGCAATCCAGTCACATTTTCAGGCTTTACTTTAAAAAAAATTTTTTTAATTGAAATTTACAAAAACAATTTTTTTGACGCTAGCAGGACTGAAACTTGCAACTTTTGAATTAGAATTCCAGTGTGCTATTCAGGCTCCACTTCTAATTCTAGTTCTCTTGCTGTTTCCTCCGCATATGCAATGACTTCTTCTACTGATCAGATGAGATTGGGTGCTTTCAGGGTGGTATGGCTGTATACTTTTTTTTTTTTTTTTTGAGACGGAGTTTAGCTCTTGTCACCCAGGCTGGAGTGCAGTGATGCAATCTCAGCTCATCACAACCTCCGCCTCCCGGGTTCAAGCAATTCTCCTGCCTCAGCCTTCCGAGTAGCTGGGATTACAGGCATGTGCCACCATGCCTGGCTAATTTTGTATTTTTAGTAGAGACGGAGTTTCTCCATGTTGGTCAGGCTGGTCTCGAACTTCTGACCTCAGGTGATCTGCCTGCCTCGGCCTCCCAAAGTGCTGGGATTACAGACATGAGCCACCATGCCCAGGCTTCAATATGTAGTCTTTTATCCCTCACTGCCCTCCCACCTGTCCCCCCAGAGCCCCCAGAGTCCATTATATCATTATTATGCCTTTGTGCCCTCATAGCTTAGCTCCCACTTATTAGTGAGAACATAGAATATTTGGTTTTCCATTCCAGAGATACTTCACTTAGAAGAATGGCCTCCAGCTCCATCCAAGTTGCTGCAAAAGCCATTATTTCATTTTGTTTTATGGCTAAGTAATATTCCATGGTGTATATACACCACATTTTCTTTATCCACTTGTTGGTTGATGGGCATTTAGGTCAGTTCCATATTTTTTTTGCAATTGCAAATTGTGAGATATAGCATAATTCTTATGGATCCTAAGGATTTTCAGAATGATGAATGAGCGTTGCCTTCAACTTAAAGTCACTAGGTACATTAGCCCCTAACAAGAGAGTCAGCCTGTCCTTTGAAGCTTTGAAGTCAGGCATTGACTTCTCTCTAGCTGTGAAAGTCCTAGATGGCATCTTCTTCCTAGTAAGGCTGTTTTGTCTACACTGAAAATCTCTTGTTTAGTGTAGCCACCTTCATCAAATGATCTTAGCTAGATCTGGATAACTTGCTGCTTCACCTTGCACCTTTTATGTTATGAGGACAACTTCTTTCCTTATACCTCATAAACCTGTGCTAGCTTCAAACTTTTCTTCTGCAGCTTCCTCACTGCTCAGCTTTCATATAATTGAAGAGAGTTAAGGTCTTTCTCTGGATTAGGCCTTGGCTTAAGGGAATGTTGTGGCTGATTTGATCTTCTGTCTAGACCACTAAAATCTGCCTCACATCAGCAGTAAGCCTGATTCACTCTTTTATTCTTATGTTCATTGGAGTAGCACTTTTAATTTTTTTCAAGAACTTTTCCTCTGCATTTGCAGCTTGGCTAACTTTTGGCCTATCTTGGCCTTTGGCTTTTGACATGCCTTCCTCATAAGCTTAATCATTCCTAGCTTTTTTTTTTTTTTTTTTTTTTTGGTGTTTTTTTGAGACGGAGTTTGACTTGTGTTGCCCAGGCTGGAGTGCAGTGGCACGATCTCAGCTCACTGCAACCTCTGCCTCCCAAGTTCAAGAGATTCTACTGTTTCAGCCTCCCGAATAGCTGGGATTACAGGCTCCCACCACCATGCCCAGCTAATTTTTGTATTTTTAGTAGAGATGGGGTTTTGCCATGTTGGTCAGGCTGATCTCGAACTCCTGACTTCAGGTGATCCACCCGCCTCAGCCTCCCAAAGTGCTGGGATTACAGGCGTGAGCCACCGCGCCCGGCCCACTTCTAGCTTTTGATTGAAAGTGAGATGTGTGAAATTTGTCCTTTCACTTGAACGTTCATTTAGAGGCCCTTGTAAGGTTGGTTGTTAACTGGTCTAATTTTAATATTACTGTGTCTCAGGGAATGGGAAGGCTTGAGGAAAGGGAGAGAGACGGGGAAATGACGGGTGAGTGAAGCAGAACACACACAACAGTTACCAATTACGTTTGCCATCTTTGGGCATGGTTTTTGGTGCCTCAGAACAATTAAAATAGTAACACCAAAGGTCACTGATCCTAGATCATGATAACAAATACAGTAATAATGAAAAAGTTGGAAATATTGCAAGAATTACCAAGATGTGACACAGAAACACAAAGTATGTGTATGCTGTTGGGAAAATGGCACCAATGGACTTGTTTGAAACAGGGTTGCCACAAACCTTCAATTTGTGAAAAATGCAATCTCCATGAAGTGTATCATAAAGTGAGGCACAATAGAATGAGGTATGCCTTTATTTGAAGAAGACTTACTCTTTTTTTGTGCTTCTGTGTAACATTTTAGACAATGAAAATTTATTTTTATATTATTTGTACAATTAAAGCTATTAAAAATGTAAAAAAATACAAATATTTGTGAAAGTTACAGATATTAGGATGAATCACTTTTGTTAGATCCAAACAAAATAGGGCCAGGAAGGCCACAGACAGAGGAGACTGCTGCTTACATGTGTGAGATGAGTGTTTCCAAAAAGTTGGGCATGGTGGCTCACACCTGTAATCCCATGGACTTGGAATGCTGAGGCAGGATGATTGCTTGAGACAAGGAGTTCAAAACTAGCCTTAGCAATACAGCAAGACCCCATCTCCGTAAAAATTGAGAGAGAGAGAAAAGACAGAACCATTTTCAGGAACTTTCTAAAAATCCCACAAGAAACTCTTTGACATCATCCGGGCATCTCCTATTTTGAGAAGGTTTATTACTAGACATTCTTTACAACTAGTAATAAACCTAGTCCTTTTTTTGAGCGCACTTGTCCAGTGCTCTCAAAAGAACACTTGCCCAGTAATGGCATCTCCACCAGTGAACTAACAACAGCAATGGCTTTGGGCCTCTGGAACAAGTGAACTCTGTTTCTAAGCAGCTTAAGTGAATCTCTGCCTGTTTCCTAATAAAGCTTCCCTTTATCCTTTCCTCACTGGATACGCTGGTGACTTGCCATCCCATGCATTCTAGATTATAATTCTCATTTCTCATTCCCGAATAAATTCAACATATTTGGGGATAATTTTCCTTAGTATCTTTTTTTTAGACTGACATACTCTTCTTGCTTGTGCCACACAAAAACCTGCATAATGTCCAATAAATCATTATTATCATTATTATCTCATTATTTCCCCATCTTTATTTTTTATTTTATTTTATTTTTTTGAGATGGAGTTTCACTCTTGCTGCCCAGGCTGGAGTGCAATGGTGCAATCTCAGCTCACTGCAACCTCCACCTCCTGGGTTCAAGCGATTCTCCTGCCTCAGCCTCCCGAGTAGCTGGGATTACAGGCATGTGCTACCATGTTTGTATTTTTAGGAGAGATGGGATTTCACCATGTTGGTCAGGCTGGTCTTGAACTCCTGAATTCAGGTGATCCACCTACCTCAGCCTCCCAAAGTACTTGAGATTACAGGCGTGAGCCACCACGCCCGGCTGACATTTTATTTAACTGAGTTCTCACTTTAATTGGTGGCCAGATCTGGGTAGATCTCAGATATGTTTCTTGGCCACAGAGTTAGCAGGTGCTGCTTTCAACAACAGTGTCGGGTAATAGTTGGTTAATAGTACAGGAGAGGTTTATTTAGGCCAGTGCAAGGATTGGAAGAGCCAAGTAGTCATTCTCTAAATGTGCAGTTGTCAGGGGTCAGAAATATAAGGGGGTAAATCAAATATAAAAAGGCAAGCAGAAATTTTAAGTCAGGATAAGGATATGGTCTGGAATTGTAATAGTTTGCTAATTTGTGTAAGAATGTGCCAGTACTCAAAATAAAAGGATATGAGCTTGATTTACATAAAGTTTATCTCACTAGGGAAGCTTGCCATAATGTGCCTTGATTGTTGAGACATTATTGGGCCTGAGCTCAGTGGTGGGGCTGGTAAGTGACAGTTCCTGGCTGAGGGGAATGCAACAACTGCCTTCTGGGCCTGCCTTTATTTTTACTTAAATGAAAAAGTTTAAATAAAATCCCTAGGGGAGCATTAAATTTTATTTGCCTAATTTAAATTTTATTTATAAATAAAAAATTAACCATGTGATTATATATTTTACAAAGTTTAATTGGCATGTGCATATTACCTTATATTCTTCCTTTAAACTTAAATGAAAATGCTAATATGAAATACTGTACATTTGTTTGCATGGATAAATACATAAATTTTGTTTCAAATGAAATAGCATATCATAAAAATCTCTCTGTATGTTATCTTATTTCCAACTCCCACCAGCACCACTACTATTACTTTTTGTGAGTGTGTTGTTACTTAATAAGTACATATGCGTTCTTATTTTCTCCTTTTTTATATGAAAGGTGGCATACTGTATGTGGTATTCCATATGTTGCCTTAGTTTTTTTTTTTTTTTTTTTTTTTTTTTTGTAGTGATGGGGGTCTCATTATGTTTCCCAGGCTGGTCTCAAACTCCTGGACTCAAGTGACCCTCCCATATTGGCCTTCCAAACTGCTGGGATTACAGGCATGAGCTACTGCGGCTGGCCTATTGCTTTTAAAAAGATAACACTATGAACTTTTTTCATGTTTTTACATAAAGTTTTCTCATTCTCTTTATTGCTATGTGGTATTGCTTTATATAGATTTATCATACTTTAACCAATCTCTCTTGGTGAACATTGGGGTAGTTCTTAGTGTTTTGCTATTATAAACTATGATATAATAATTATGCACCATATACATGTGCATAATTTCACAAGTGTGCAAGTACATCAGTAGGGTATATTATTAGAAGTGGAATTTCTAGGCCAGTATATGCAGATTATATGAGTAATTTTAATGCAAATTACCAAATTGCCCACCATAAATTGTACAGATTTGCATGTTCATCAGTAGTGCCATTCTGCAACATTGTCAACAAATGTGTTTTCAAACTTTTTGATTTTTGCCCGTTTGATGGGTGAAAAGTATCTGAGTATAGGTTTAATTTGCATTATTTTATTATGAGTGAGATTAAGTATCTTTTCACAGTTTTCGGAGCCATTTTTCTTTTCCAACTGTCTTTTTATATCTTTACCCAACTTTCTGTTGGTTTGTGAAGTAATATTTTAATAATATTTTATTATTATCATTTTTAATATTTACATTCCATTCCATTATGTTATTATAGCATCATTTATTTTTCTGTAGTTGGGCATTTGATCTACTTTTAGAGTGTGGCTGTTATATTTTTTCTGCTGAGAACAGTTATTAAACAGGTTTTTCTCATTAAGTTTATTTGGGAGTCAAAAATGCAAGGATCTGTTATAGGTTTTTGTACTAATTAGCTATGAGGAAATCACATAACTTATCTGGGTCTGAGTTGGTAAAACTCAGAACTTTCAAAGTTTGAAATCCCCTAGAGCCATAGCATATAGAAATGGATTGCCCAAACTAATAAATCTTGAATACTTTATATGATCTTAGTCTTTTCTCCTAAATGAAATTAATTAAATTTTGTTATAGTGTTTTCTACCAAAGATATGAGAGTGCTAAAGAGATAAAAGGAACCCTAAGCTCACCTACGCAATTCTTTCATTTTACCAGTGAGTGAGCTTTTTTCCCAAGGAGGAGGGATGAGCTTCTTTAGTATATACAGCTAGCTGTTGAGTAGTACAGTTGAGACCAGATCTTGGATCATTGGATTTCTGCCATACTACTTAGTGTTTGTTTTTTTTTTTTTACCATAGTACCTAGTGTTGTTGTTATTGTTTTAATTTATTTCTCCTTTTTATCTTCCATATCTCCTGTGCAATTAGATATTAATATGTGTTTGATACCAATGTCTTTATCATTATTTTTTTTTTAGAGGTGGGGTTTTACCATGTTGCCCATGTTGGACTTAAACTCCTGGGCTCAAGCTATCCTCCCACCTCAGCCTCTTTAAGTAGCTGACGTGTGCCACCATGCCCAACTACATTTTGTTTTTCTTTGGAAATTTTTTGTTTGATTCTGTTTTTTATTTCTACACTTATAATCTAGGCACTCATCACCCAATACCTAGGTTATTAATGCCTTCTGGCTGTACTCATCACTTTCCTGTCAGCTCTCTCTGCCTTTGCTTCTTTGCAGTTTATTCCATGCACTGCTAATAGATAGACTGATAATGCTTTAACCCGTTTTTACCATGATCTCTTCCTATTAAAGAACTTGAGTGGCTTCCTATTTTACATATGCTCTAAATTCTTGGTCTGGCATTCAAAGGTCCTTCTCAAGTGATTGTGGCTTACTTAGTTGATCATATGTCTAGCTGTTCTCTACATCTGATCAGATGTTGTAAATTTATCTTCCAGGCTTATATACCCCTTGCCTGTTAGAACTTTTGGCTTTTTGAGGTAGGGTCTTACTCTGTCAACCAAGCTGGAGTGCAGTGGTACAATCTCGGCTCACTACAACCTCCGCCTCCTCGGTTCAAGTGATTCTTTTCCCTCAGCCTCCTGAATAGCTGGAATAACAGGCGCCTGCCACCAGGCCCAGCTAATTTTTGTATTTTTAGTAGAGACAGGGTTTCACCATGTTGGCCAGGCTGGTCTCGAACTCCTGACCTCAAGTGATTTGCCCGCCGTGGCCTCCCAAAGTGCTGGGATTACAGGTGTGAGCCACTGCACTCATCCTGTTCCAACTTTTGAATTGGCTGTTATTTATTTTAAACATTGAAAACTTCCAAGTGTCTGTTCTTTCTGTTGTCAGTGATGAATAATGTTTCCTCCAGATATGCATGTTTTAGTTTAGTGCTCATTTTTGCTGTAGCGAAGAGCAGTGCTATTTATGTGAGTGTACATGTGGATTTGAGAAATGTTAATTTTGAAATGAACCAAAAAAAAAAAAATCAGAAGTTGCCAGACAGGAAGAAAATATAATGGACAGCCTCCTGGGTGCTGGATTTTGCTAGAGTATGTGCAATAAAATGAGATGATTTCTGGGATTGGGGAAGGATATAAGAATTGTGTTATTAAAGCTTAGGTCATGGAAAATAGGAGAAAAGATTAACAGTTTTTCCATTTTGTCTATATGAGGGCAAGATTTAGGTCCAATTTCAAAATTGGACCTAGATTGGATGAAGGGAGCTAGGAGCAAAGTTTACATAAGAGATTATAGGTATAGGTCCCAGGGAAGAGTTAATAGTAACCAGCTCATTGATTTTAGGAGATGCCTAAGTAGTCTAACCTGACTTGAATCCAAATAATAGAAGACAGTTTTCTAAGTAAATTAGGAACTTAGAGTATACTTAAATGTTAGGAGCAAGTACCTGTATAGTTTGTACACAGACATGTGAAAGTAAAATGGTTAAGTATTTTAAGCACTAATAATGTAACAAGTCCTGTGCTAGACTATGTGTTTACAACTTGAAAAAAAAAATAATTTGGGCCTTGAGGCAAGGGGAGAAAAAATTACGTATGCCATAGGAAGATATGTACAAAGTGCAAAGTAGTTTAAATTAGGAATCAGTGGGCTGGGCATGGTGGCTCACACCTGTAATCCCAGCACTTTGGGAGGCCAAGGCGGGCAGATCACTTGAGGTCAGGAGTTCGAGACCAGCCTGGCCAATATGGTAAGACCCCGTCTTTACTAAAAATATAAAATTAGCTGGGCATGGTAGCACACTTCTGTAATCCCAGCAACTTGGGAGGCTGACGCAGGAGAATTGGTTGAACCCAGGAGGTAGAGGTTGCAGTGAGCCAAGATCATGCCACTGTACTCCAGCCTTGGCGACAGAGCAAGACTCCATCTCAAAACACACACACAAAAATTTAGGAATCAGTGAACTGTGCTTTGAGAAAAATCAAAGGGGGCATGGATTCTTTGTATAATTTGAATGAATTACCTCTACAAAAAAGTGGGACTGTAAAGAAATGCCTCTTCTTCCATCAGCCCATCTGGTGCATTAAAACAGTGAGGTACTATACTGAGCCCTGAAGGTCATAATCTAGAGGGAAAAAAATCATTTACATTAATTCTCTGGATGGAGGTGCCCGAAATGATCCTATGGTTTTGGGGGTGTCTCAACATTTCTCTGACTTAATCAAAATTTTACACCATTCTGAGGCTTAAGACTAAACAAAAGCTTTTGCTGACTAACCCAGTCTCAACTTTATCTTTTTTATTTGTAGTTTTCTGTCATTTCTATCATAATATTTCTATACTTCAAGATATAATTTTAGGCCGGGTGTGGTGGCTCACGCCTGTAATCTCAGCACTTTGGGAAGCCGAGGCAGGTAGATCACCTGAGGTCAGGAGTTTGGGACCAGCCTGACCAACATGATGAAACCCCATCTCTATTAAAAATGCAAAAATTAGCCAGGCATCATGGTATGTGCCTGTAGTCCCAGCTACTCAAGAGGCTGAGACAGGAGAATTGCTTGAATCCGAGAGGCAGAGGTTGCAGTGAACTGAGATCATGCCACCACACTCCAGCTTGGGCAACAGAGTGAGACGCCATCTCAAAAAAAAAAAAAAATATATATATATATATATATATATATATATATGCATATATATGATTTTAGAAATGTATTGTTTTAAAAGTGTTTTGTATTTATCTTGTTTAATTAGAATGTAGATAGTTTTTGGCTTTCTGGGTCTCACATAGGGATGTATATACAGTATGAATTTAATAAATTTTTGTTGAATAAGAACTTCCCAGCCAGGCGCGGTGGCTCATGCCTGTAATCCCGGCACTTTGGGAGGCCGAGGCGGATGGATCACTTGAGGTCAAGAGTTCGAGACCAGCCTTGCCAACATGGTGAAACCCTGTCTCTACTAAAAAAACAAAAATTAGCCAGGTGTGGTTGTCGTGTGCCTGTAATCCCAGCTACCCAGGAGGCTGAGACAGGAGAATCGCTTGAACCCGGGAGGTGGAGGTTGCAGTGAGCCGAGATTGCGCCACTGTACTCCAGCCTGGGTGATAGGGCAAGACTCAGTCTCAAAAAAAAAAAAAAAAAAAAAAAGAATAAGAACTTCCCAGTAATTATCTTGGATGCTGAATTAGTTGGCTATTGATGGGGCAACAAACAACACCCAAATCTTTGCAGCTTACAGTTACACACATTTATTTCTCACCAGCATTCTACAGGTCAGCTGTGCTCAGCTGGCTCAGCTGGGCTTGACAGTGGTTTATTCCAGGCTGAAGTCTGTTCATTATGGATGCCAGTTTGAAGGATCAGTGTCTCTTTGGGACATGGTCTTCCCTCGATGGAGTGCAGGAACACAAGAAAACTAACAGCAGCACCTCCTAAAAGCACTTCATGGAACTGGTCCACATTCCATTGGTTAGAGCAAGACATATGGCAAGACATACGCCAAAAACTTAAAGAGAAGGAAATTTATGACCTGGCATTCATATGCAGAAGGGGAAGAAAAAAGTAGAAAAGTAATTTTGCCTAAGGGATGGGGGATGGAAGAGTAAGTATTTATTGAACAGTAATATGCACTAATACAGATGTTTCAGATTTAAAACAAAACATTAAAAGAATTTTTTTTTAAGTGAAGTTTGAACTATAGAGAATCTGGTAGGGAGGAGGGCTTCCAAGGACCTGGGTGTGAAAAATATTTAATAAAAACTTCAAAGCAGTGTCAGCATTATAAGGTAGGGGGCAGCAAAGTCTCCCCTCCTAGGTTGAAGTCTCCCTACCTAACTCCGAGACATTGAAGTATGGAATTAGTCCTCCCTAGGTTCAAATTCTAGATCTATCACTTCCTACCTTTGTACTCTTGAGCAAGTTATATTTTAGATCTGTAAAATATGGGTACCAGTTATCTTTTTTCATTTCAGCTCTAAACACATCTTTCATTGTCCCGTTTGTGATACTGGAAGTTTTTCCCTTGCCAGTTACTGTTAAACTTTGTCAGTAGAGAGACTAGAAGGACCCTGGAGGAGGGGTGTTTCTTGCTGAGTCTAGTGTGCCCTTTGTGGCTTGCTTCTATAGCATGCAGGAACTAGTGGGACACTCAATGGCACCCAGCTCCTAAGGAGTTTTAGCAGCAACTCTCATATGCAATTTCCTAGTGAAACTGCCTCCCCATGGGTGGCTTCCCCTGGCATCGCGAAGGTCAGCTTCCCAACAAATTCCGCTGGCATGAGTTGTCCAGTAGATGACTTGTTCTGGCATCACAGAGAGTGGCTTTCTAGTGCATTTTGCTGGCATGGCACCTTAGTAAGTTTCTCTGACATACATAGCTGTGCCCTCTCCACACAGTCTGATCTCTGCCCTGTGAGTGAGAGTAGACCTTTTATAGACTGGTCTTTTCTTGGTGCTCTGTGTCAGATCTAGAATAGTAACTGCTCCCTATATCTGCTATTTCTTTAACTTCTGAGTAGTAAATTTCCTGTTGTAACTAATAATTTTTTATTTTTTATTTATTTTATTCATTTTTTTGAGACAGCATCTTGCTCTGTTGATCATAGCTCACTGTCACCTCAACATCCTGGGCTTAAGTAGTGCTCTCACCTCAGCCCCCTGAATAGCTGGGACTACAAGTGCATGTCACCATGCTTGGCTGATTTTTTTTGGTAGAGATGGGGTCCTACTATGTTGTCCAGGCCGTTCTTCAACTCCTGGGCTCAAATGATCCTCTCTCTTTGGCCTCCCAAAGTGCTAAGATTACAGGCATGAGCCACATACCTGGCCTTAATAATGTTTTATATTAAAAGTTTCATACTCAAATTATCATGTGGTTTCTGTCTTCTAATTGTACTTTGACTAATATATCAGTTTTATAAGTAGTACTTTGCTCATAAGATTATTCTGAGGATTAAATGGGATAATATAAGCAAATTGTTTAGAATAGTGCCTGTCATAGAGCAATTACTTTAGTGTTTATTAGAAATGTTGGTAGGATCATCATCATCATCATCATAACTACCACTAGCTAAGAGTGACATTTCTACTTATTGTCCACAGGATGTTTCGTCTGAACTCACTTTCTGCTTTGGCAGAACTGGCTGTGGGTTCTCGATGGTACCATGGAGGATCACAGCCCATCCAGATCCGGCGAAGACTAATGATGGTGGCTTTCCTGGGAGCATCTGCAGTAACTGCAAGTACTGGTCTTTTGTGGAAGAGGTGAGTGTTATCCAACCATCTTGTTCTTGCGTATACTTTTATTCTTCCAGTCATCTCTGTTGTCAGAAAGGAGTTGATTTCTGGCTTAACTCTGTATCAGAATTTCTTGCTCGGATCATTTGGTATTGTTAATATTCGTCTATGAAATAAGATGTTTCAAAGAATTCAACATGCTAAGGCAATACTTAGGAAACACTGTGCTTCAAGGTCTGCCTGTCTCCTCTGCTGAACATTTTAAATAATGGGATAGGGATAGCAATAGCAGCTTTAGAAAATGAAGGCTTTCTGGCCAGGCGCGGTGGCTTACACCTGTAATCCCAGCACTTTGGGAGCCCAAGGTGGTTGGATCACTTGAAGTCAGGAGTTTGAGACCAGCTTGGCCAACATGGCAAAAACCCATCTCTACAAAAATACAAAAAATAGCCAGACACAGGGCGTGAGCCTGTAGTCCCTGCTACTTGGGAGGCTGAGGCAGGAGAATTGTTTGAACCTGGGAGGCAGGTGGAGGTTGCAGTGAGCCAAGATTGTGCCATTGTACTCCAGCCTGGGTGACAGAGAAAAACTGTCTCCAAAAAAAAAAAAAAAAAAAAAAAGAAAATGAATGCTTTCTGAGACTTCACAATTTGGTGACCCTGTGAAATT
Source organism: Homo sapiens (assembly GCF_000001405.40). Lineage (NCBI taxonomy): Eukaryota > Metazoa > Chordata > Mammalia > Primates > Hominidae > Homo > Homo sapiens. The sequence goes on along the minus strand of NC_000010.11, from coordinate 72,565,990 downwards.
AACAAAGGAACCTTGGTACTTTAGTGTCCCTGATAATTTTTTTCACTAGTTATGGAAACTTCCTTGGAAAGAAGAGAAAATGTAGTGAGCCACAGTCTTCTCTTTCTTAAAATACATAGTTACTGTTTTTCTGACTCTGTCACTCTCTGTTTTTTATTTTTGTTTGTTTGTTTTTTTGAGATGGAGTCTTGCTCTGTCGCCCAGGCTGGAGTGTAGTGGCATGATCTCAGCTTACTGCAACCTCTGCCTCTGGGTTCAAGCAATTCTCAAGTAGCTGGGATTATAGGTGTGCACCACCATGCCCGGCTGGGATTACAGGTGTGCACCACCATGGCTAATTTTTTTTTTTTTATTATACTTTAAGTTTTAGGGTACATGTGCACAACGTGCAGGTTAGTTACATATGTATACATGTGCCATGTTGGTGTGCTGCACCTAGTAACTCATCATTTAACATTAGGTATATCTCCTAATGCTATCCCTCCCCCCTCCCCCCACCCCACAACAGGCCCCGGCGTGTGATGTTCCCCTTCCTGTGTCCATGTGTTCTCATTGTTTAATTCCCACCTGTGAGTGAGAACATGCAGTGTTTGGTTTTTTGTCCTTGCGATAGTTTGCTGAGAATGATGGTTTCCAGCTTCATCCATGTCCCTACAAAAGACACGAACTCATCATGTTTTATGGCTGCATAGTATTCCATGGTGTATATGTGCCACATTTTCTTAATCCAGTCTATCATTGTTGGACATTTGGGTTGGTTCCAAGTCTTTGCTATTGTGAATAGTGCCGCAATAAACATACGTGTGCGTGTGTCTTTATAGCAGCATGATGTATGATCCTTTGGGTAATTTTTTTTTTTTTTTTGTATTTTTAGTAGAGATAGGGTTTCACCATGTTGGTCAAGCTGGTCTTGAACTCCTGGGGTCAAGTGACTTGCCCACCTCAGCCTCCTAAAGTGTTGGGATTACAGGCATGAGCCACCATGCCCAGCCTCTAGAGCTATCTTAGCCCTATTAATATAGCATGATCTTTCTGGGATGTTACTAAATGCCTTGGGTGTTCAGTGAGGTTCCTCTAGTCTGACTTGGTAGAGCTTGATTGTTTCCTGCTTGTGAGCTCTGGAAATTGACTGGCCTGTGGCTCCTTGGCAACTACTTTGTGTAGTTTCATCCTAAGAATGCACTGCTGAGTGTTGACTCAATACTCGAGAGTGTTCTGTGTACATTTTTGGAGCTCTTTCTCTGTGTGACTTTTTCCTTTTGAGTCCTCTGCCTCACCAATTCCAGGCACCTCAGGTTTTCCAAACTTTGATCTCTGTCACTTTAGTTTAGCAAGATCACTGTATTTGGCTTGGGATCCTCTTTGTGGTCTAGAAAATGTTTCCAGACAGAAATTCTGGGCAATTATAGGCCTCCATTTTTCTTTTCTTTTTTTTTTTTTTTTTTTCTTTTTGAGATGGAGTCTCACTCTGTCACCCAGGCTGGAGTACATTGGTACAATCTCGGCTCACTGCAACCTCTGCCTCCTGGGTTCAAGACATTCTCCTGCCTCAGCTTCTCAAGTAGCTGGGACCAGGCAAGCACCACCACACCCGGCTAACTTTTGTATTTTTAGTAGAGATGGTTTTTTGCCATGTTGGCTAGGCAGGTCTCGAACTCCTGACCTCAAGTGATCCACCCACCTCGGCCTCCCGAAGTGCTGGGATTACAGGTGTGAGTCACCACGCCTGGCCAGGCCACCATTTTCTTAGAGAGTTGCATACTGTGCAGTGTCTGAAAGCAGTCATTTGATATATTTTGTTCAATTTTCTGTATTTTTGCCCTGGTAGGAAGTCAGATCTATTATCGTTTGCTCCATTATGGCTGTAAGCAAAAGTCTTCTTTTTGTATTTCATCAGTTCTGTAATATTTAATTAATTTTAGTATTATATCATTGCAGCAATGGCTTCAACTACCAGAAATACTTATATTATTTTTTAAAAAAGAAATACTTATATTATTTTGGTCCCCTATTTCTTCTTTATTTATGTTCCTTTTTATTGTAGTGAAAGGTGCATAACATAAAACTTACATCTTAACCATTTTTTTCTAAAGACCTTGATATTCCACCCTTTCAGTTACAGTTGGGACAAGGGGAGAATGAGAATGGGAAGAGTTGGAGTGAGATGAAGAACAAGGAGGCGCTCTATGGCTGGAAGTCTAGTACATTTAGTTTTTGTACTGGAAGGGCTCATCGTCTCTGGTTTCAATGGGAAGACGTGTGGATGAGGGCTTCTGTCACATGTCTTCACCATTTTAAAATATGCAGTTCAGTAGTTTAAAGGGTATTCACATCATTGTGAAACAGATCTCCAGAACGTTTTCATCTTGCAAAACTGAAACTCTACTTATTCAAGAGCAACTTCCTTGCTTCCCCTTCCCTCAGCCCCTGGTAACCCCCATTCTACTTTCTGTTTCTGTAAATCTAAATATTCCAGGTAACTCATGTAAGTGAAGTCATACAATATTTGTGGTTTTGTGACTGGTTTATTTCACTTAGCATAACGCCCTCAAGATTCATCCACGTTGTAGCTTGTGACAGGATTTCCTTTCCTTTTAAAGCTGAAAAATATTCCATTATCTGTATATACCACATTTTGTTTATTCATCTGCCAATGGACTTTTGAGTTGTTTCCACCTTTCAGCTATTGTGCATAGTGCTGCTGTGAACATGGATGTGCAAATATTTATTTGAGACCCTTTCATTTCTTTGGGATATATAACCAGAGATCATGTGGAAGTTCTATTTTATATTTTTTGAGGAACTTCTTCATGTAGAATATTTGACAAATTTCATTGCTGTTGCTCTGCTAAGCTGTATCTGTTTGCTTATTTGTCTAGTATGATGGACGTTCAAGATTAATCTAGATTTCTTTTTTGCATATCCAGGGCCCATGCAGAATCTCCACCATGTGTAGACAACCTAAAAAGTGACATCGGTGATAAAGGGAAGAATAAAGATGAAGGGGATGTTTGTAACCATGAGAAAAAGACTGCAGATCTTGCCCCTCACCCAGAAGAGAAAAAGAAGAAACGTTCTGGATTCAGAGACAGAAAAGTATGAAACATAGTCTTATAAGTTGATCAGAAGTATATCTTAAAGTAGAATAATGCAGTTCAATCTTTTTAATCATATGTTTCAGATGGTTCATCTTCACTTTCAAGTTATCACTTCTTTGCTATTTTCTATCATGTTCTAAGCCAAAAGTACTCTTGGAATGTGAGGTTAAAGGAGGTAGTTAAAAGGATCTAGGACCAATAACCATGATTAGCATATTTTTTCTTAGTTCTTTCAGTTCAACTGCCTAAGGTGATTCTTTTTTTCTGGATCTTCCTGATGCTAAATGTTATCATATATGTTAAGTTGAGTCTTTGTGGTATTTCTGATATCGGGTTGTAGAGACAGAATAAAATCTCTTTGGAAACATAACTTCTAGAAGACCAAGTAACTTTGAGGACAGCACAAACTTCAAATGACTATCAAGATTTTATGTAATTAGGCCCCGCATGGTGGCTCATGCCTATAATCCCAGCACTCTGGGAGGCGGAGGTGGGTGGATCACCTGAGGTCAGAAGTTCAAGACCAACCTGGCCAATGTGATGAAACCCTGTCTCTACTAAAAATACAAAAACTAGCCTGGCATGGTGGCATGCACCTGTAGTCCCAGCTACTCAGGAGGCTGAGTCAGGAGAATTGCTTGAACCCGGGAGGTGGAGGTTGCAGTGAGCTGAGATTGTGCCACTGCACTTCAGCCTGGGCGGCAAAGCAAGACTGAGTCTCAAAAAAAAAAAAAAAAAAAAAAAAGATTTTATGTAATTAACACAACCTGCTGTTATGTAGCTTTGCCTCAGCGAAGTTTCAGTTCCACTACAGCAGTTCCTATGATATCAGGTATTTGAGTTCAGCAAACATGAGTGATGAACAATGAAAAGGATGGATTTCTTAGACATTTTGCATGTCAAGGTTAAAATTCAGGGAGTTGCGTTCAGTTGCTAAACTATAGCTAATAATGCAACAAGATAATTTGAGTTATTTCTGCGTTTTGTGTGTTTGTGGTTTGTGTTTGCAAGAAGAGTTCTTTGTAAAATCTGGATCTTCTGTCTGGTTTCATATGTTAGATGAAGTAATTTTTTTATTTTTGGAGACAGAGTCTCCCTCTGTTGCCCAGGCTAGAGTGCAATGGCATGATCTTGGCTCACTGTAACCTCCGCTTCCTGGGTTCAAGCGATTCTCCTGCCTCAGCTTCCCAATAGCTGGGATTACAGGCATGCACCACCATGCCCCGCTAATTTTTGTATTTGTAGGAGAGATGGAGTTTCACCATGTTGGCTAGGCTGGCCTCGAACTCCTGACTTCAGGTGATCCGTCTGCCTCGGCCTGCCAAAGTGCTGGGTTTATAGGCATGAGCCGCCATGCCCAGCCTAGATGAAATTATTAAATGTGTTTTCTCTATACCCAAATCCATTTCTGATAGAGGTGAATTGAACAAAAGTCATGCATCACAAGTCAATTATCAAGTGTCCTTGTTTTTCTGTCAGGATACATTTATTTATTGTTTTGCCCTGAGTGAATTCAAAGAAAGCACAACTTTACTCTGTGCCAGCAGTTTCATCTACAGGCCAGTCACACTTTCCATTTCGTAAAATACAGCTAAAATGTCCCAAATAAACATTTATTTTGAACCTACTTCCATTTTCTACTCCTGCCTTCTGCTCAGCAGATGAGCATATCTCATACTTCATAGAAAAAATTAAAGCTATCTGTGTGATTTACTCAAATTCCAACCCTTATAGTTACAAAATCTATCTAATCTGTATTTGAAATAATTCTTATTTCTTTCACTGAAGTTTCAGAGGAAGAGCTATCTTTTCCCTGTTCAAGGATAATTGTTTTAATGTCTTTCTGTATCTCTAATAATCTATTTCAACACTTATTCTGTCTTCATTCTGTTTTTTTCAGTCATTCTTTGTATATTCATTCTTTTACATAATCTATATAGACATGTTAAGAATTTATCTATAATTTAAGAAATAATAAACCACATTTTTATGCCATAAGTTTTGTGTTTTGTTTGTTTGTTTTGAGATGGAGTCTCGGTCTGTCGCCCAGGCTGGAGTGTAGTGGTGTGATCTAGGCTCACTGCAACCTCTGCCTCCTGGATTCAAACGATTCTCATGCCTCAGCCTCCTGAGTAGCTGGAATTACAGATGCCTGCCACCATGTCTGGCTAACTTTTGCATTTTCAGTAGAAACGGGGTTTCACCATGTTAGCCAGACTGGTCTCGAACTCCTGAGCTCAGGTGATCCGCCCACCTTGGCCTCCCAAAGTGTTGGGATTATAGGCATGAGCCACTGTGCCTGGCTTATGTCATAAGTTTATTTAAAACATATCTATTATCCTATGTAAATTCAAGGGTTTGATTTATTTTTCAGAGATTGCACCTCTTAAAATGCTCTTCATATCTGTTTCATGGATGAATTAAACATCCTTGTTTCTTAAGCAGTTGGTGTCTTACTATAAAGAAATGTGCATAAAATCCAGATCCAAAGTGCAAAGTCATTATAATTAGTAACCACCACTTATTTTCTACTGAAAATAGCATGTTCTTCCCTTAGCCCTCTTTATAGTGCCTCATGCCTCCTGTAGACCACAGAGGTTGTGAACCTCTGGATGCCCTGTTCCAACATGGTGCTATTGGAAGTTCAGTGAGAGGTGCATAGACTGAAGGCAGGAGAGATGGCAGCACCACACCAAGTCCTCCTTAAACTGCATTTTTTAATCCCCTTTTTCTTCTCCATTTTGATCATGTATTTTTCTCTTGCTACTTTCCCATTCATTTTTTTCCCTCTGGTCTGGTCCTGTGATGTCTACATCAGCAGTCCCCAACCTTTTTGGCACCAGGGACTGGTTTTGTGGAAGACAGTTTTCCTGCAGACCAGAGTGGGAGGGGATGGTTTGAGGAGAAACCGTTCCACCGCAGATCATCAGGCATTAGATTCTCATAACGCACACAACCTAAATCCCTTGCATGTGCAGTTCACAATCGGGTTCATGCTCCTATGAGAATCTAATGTTGCCGCAGATCTGACAGGAGGCAGAGCTTAGTCGGTCATGTTCCACTGCTGCTTACCTCCTGCTATGCAGCCTGGTTCCTAACAGGCCCCGGACCAGTACCAGTCCACGGCCCAGGGCTGGGGTCCCTTGCTCTACATGTTGTCCTTCACATTCTCACTTTTCTTTTTCCTTTAACTTTTTTCTTTTTAAAAATTTTATTTAAAAAAAAGTTTATTCATTGTAGAGGTCTCAATATTTGCCCAGGATGGTTTCAAACTTGTGAGCTCAAGCAATCCTCCCACCTTGGCCTCCCAAAGTGCTAGGATTACAGGCATGAGCCACTGTGCCCGGCCCTCTCATTTTTCATTTATATTTTTGTTTTTTTATGTTCTCTTAATTTTTATGTAATATTTCAAATATTCAGAGAAAAAATAGAGTAATATGTTTTTATATTTTATAAAATTATATAGTCTGTAGTTTATAAAATTATATAAATTTTATAATTTTATAAACACCCAACACTCAGTTTTGTCAAGTTTTAATATTGCATTTACTTCAGATTGTTTTTTAAAAAAGAAATGAGTATTAAAAATACATTGCTTTTATACTCCCCTTCAGTCCCTTTCCTCCCCCATCTTCCATCTTCTTCAGAGGTAAACTGGTATCCTAAATTTGCTTTTTTGTTTTTTATGGGTTTTTCTCTTTTTTGGAGAGAGAGTCTTGCTCTGTCACATAGGCTGGAGTGCAGTGGTGCAATCATAGCTCACTGCAGCCTTGCACTCACAGATTTAAGCAATTCTGCTGTCTCAGCCTCTGGAATAGAGAGGACTACAGGTGTGTGCCACCATGCCCAGCTCATTTGAAAAAATAAAATTTGTAGAGTCAGAGTCTTGCTCTGTCACCCAGGCTGGAATGCAATGGCATGATGAAAGCTCACCGCAGTCTCGAACTTCTGGGCTCAGGTAGTTCTCCTGCCTCAGCCCTATTAGCCAGGACTACAGGCATGCATCTCCATAACCAGCTAATTTTTTAAAAGATTTTTTATAGAATGTGGTTTTGCCCAGGCTAGTCTCAAACTCCTGGCTTCAAGAGTTCTTCCTGCTGCTGCCCCTTTTTGTTTTAATTTGTTTGTTTTGCTTACTTTTTCCTATTTAGTGCTTGAGTGGCTGCTTTCTCTCACTTGCTAGGTTTTTTTGTTCAGAAGTAGGCCTTATATTCATAGCTCTGTGCTTCATTGTATTGAAGATCCAGTCACTGAACCCAACAACAGTTTGGCAAAGGTTCTGGGGCAAAGCTGCGGAAAATGCTCTAAATGAGCATTTTCTCTAGGTAGCAGCTTACTAAAACTTTACCCTCCTTTCATGGTCAAGAGAAGCCCTGCCGTAGCTTCTTCTGGTTTTATTCAATGAATTTAGCTCTGGTTCATGCCTCCTTTTCTGCACACTTACTGCCGTTCATATCCCATATACTATGAGCCCCTAATTGCTTTGCCTGTTTTCAGACTGAAGCCCAGAAGCCTACAACTTCATTTCTTCCTACCACAGTATGTTTCTATGCAGTCTCTGATCCACAGAGATGGTGTTTTGTTTTTTGAACTGGTTATGCCTTTTAAATTTTTCTCAGCTTTAGGTTTATCAATGATTTCTGTATTTTTAGAGCACAGGCTCAAAAACCAGAAAATTCTAAGTTTATTGAAATCCCACTGTCGTTTCTGTACTTTTCAGATATAAAATTGCTCTTTGAATTGTGAGATCCGTTTACAGAAAGCGTTGCTGCTTTTTAGACTCTTGCTCAGTAAAGATATGGTTTGTTATTTTTATATTTCTGATAGCTTTGCCTGCATTGTTGTTTCTGAGCTATTTGTTTGATTGAGACTATGTTTAGTAGCATCTTCATTTTAAAAAGCCAAATTATTTAGTTCAATTTGTTGTAATTTTAAACTGATTGATAGGAAAACACGAATATTAAAAGATGTAAAATGTGCTATATATGCCAAACAAGATGCGAAAGAAAGTAGTCTGCTGCTGGACACTCGACTCAGTTTACTTATTTACAAACAACAGAATGAATAGAAAAATGGAAGGAAACTATTGAGCATTTTCTGTGTGCCATAGTATATATTTATATGCATGCATCTATATATGTATGTATATATATATTTGTGTGAGTGTGTATGTAGACATTCACTTATATACATATATAGTTTATTGTGTGAAGGAGTTTAGTAGCTTGCCTAAAATCATACAACTAGTTACTCATAGAGGCAGGAATAAAATTTAAGTCTGTCTGACGTAAAAACTCTTGCTCCTTATACTGCATTCTTTTAACATTATGTCTTCTGGTCACAAGACTTTGTTCATGGTTTAACCTTGGTCAGTTATTGTGTCATTTCAGTGATCTTAAGATTTCTAAATGTGATCTTGAGCCTTGATTTTTCACTGTATCCACTGTGGTGGAGATTGCTAGTTGTCCAGTGAATGGGAGTAATTTGAACCATGTCTAGGCCTGGCTCCTAAAGCCCCCACAGGGTTTTTCAATGCGCTTTCCCCTTTTCCTGAGAGCTGGAATGGTGATGAACTGAACTGACCTTGGAAGCCATATATGTTGGCTGCCTTGAACTTGAGTACATGAAGGAACTTATCAATTCCTGTCAACTAGGAAGGTGCACTGTGGGTTGTATCTTAGTGAGAAAGACAATTTCATTTTATTGGAGATAGTGTATTTTGAGGTGTATTTGTAATAGCATTTTAACCTACCCTAACTAATATGCTTGTTTTAAAAGAAAGGCCAAGAATCAAGGCCATAGAGATTTTTCTTTTTCTTTTTTTTTTGGGATGAAGTCTTGCTCTGTCACCCAGGCTAGAGTGCAGTGGCGTGATCTCTGCTCACTGCATCCTCCGCCTCCTGGGTTCAAGTGATTCTCCCTGCCTCAGCCACCCAAGTAGCTGGAATTACAGACACCCGACACTACGCCTGGCTAATTTTTGTATTTTTAGTAGATACTGGGTTTCACCATTTTGGCCAGGCTGGTCTCGAACTCCTGACCTCAGGTGATCCACCTACCTTGCCTCCCAAAGTGCTGGGATTACAGGCGAGAGCTACCCACCTGGCCAGATTTTTTCAACATGGGCAAAATATGTTGGAGAAGAAATTTTTACAGATATGCTTTTACCATCAATAAGATACAGCAAATGAAAAAATATATTATTTATTAATTTGGGGACTTATTTTGACCAACAGTTAAGAACGTTACTATGGGGCTGGATGCAGTGGCTCACACGTGTAATCCCAGCACTATGGGAGGCCGAGGTGGGTGGATCACCTGAGCTCAGGAGTTTGAGACCAGCCTGACCAACCTGTGAAATCCCATCTCTACTAAAAATACAAAATTAGCTGGGCATGGTAGCACATGCCTGTAATCCTAGCTACTTGGGTGGCTGAGGCATGAGAATCACTTGAACCTGGGAGGCGGAGGTTGCAGTGAGCTGAGATTGTGCCATTATACTGCAGCCTGGGCAACAAGAGTGAAACTCTGTCTCAAAAGAAAAAAAAAGAATGTTAATATTGGAATTTATGTATATTATTACTATTACTGCCAAAAATTAATTTACTTTATGAGACTAGTGTCATAGAACTTGGAATTGCATAGAACCTTAAGAGATCATCCTATGACAGATGCTCATTATTATGGATGGCCAAAAATTGACTAGCAAAAGGAGAGGGAGTCTCGAAAATGGAGGACAACTGTTAGGTTACAGATTAGGTTATGTCACCTCTTGAGAGAGAGTGTGCCGGCCACATGATACATTTACAAAACCTTTCTGCCTGCTACTTTTTCCAGGTGTGGCCTCAGTCTGTATCCCATGCCTATGCATTATTTCTGACATCAGGGTCCACAGGGATTTACTGTCACTTGCATTATCTTGGGCTCAAGACATTATATCCATGGTTTTCCTTGGGCATTCTACCAAAATTAAGCCATAAAACTGGTATCAGGACCAAGGGAAAATATGTCCCTTTTAACAATAGAAAGAGCCCATTCTTCCCCTATCCTCTCCTCTTATTTAATTTGTAACCCAACTGAAACAGACAATTAAATATAGGCCTTTGAAACAGAGGCCTGTGGTGGTGATATGGACTACCATGCAAGTAGAGGCATCAGTTGCTCATCTCATCTAATCTTCCATCCATGGTCAAAAGATAGGTAATCCTTTGCAGGAATGTGGTTGGTGATGGGAGCAGTGTAACTCCTCTTGAACCATCTATTAACTGTGTGTGGTGTCATTCAAAGAGCAAGCCCAGGAGTAGTTTTAAAGCATTGTTTGAGTGAGTGAGGTACTCATCACAGTCAGTACTACCAACTTGGGTAGACTCATTCTTTTTATATTCTTTTCCCCTTGCTTCTGCCGTTAAAAATGGAGGAGTGGTGATGTTCACCACTGTCCATATCACTTAAAGTTGTCAAATCACAGAAAAAATTAACATTTTTCTTCCTTAAGTTTTTTTTTTATAGTTATAACAATGTACTTTTCCTTTCTAAAACTCAAGTCTCAAGCTGGGGCTTACTTTTTATTGGTTGGTCTGCTTTTTTGTTTTGTTTGGTGAAGTTAAGTAACAGTAAACTAAAAGATGATAGCATTTTGTAAACACAAGATTTTAAAATGATCCTCATAGCCCCTCTTTCTTAGGGGAAATAATTATGATAATGATCTTCATGTTCTTCTTCATCTTCCCCTTGCTGGGGAATTTTTTGCTTCATTTTGAAATACTCTTACTATTCAGAGTTCTTCCTCACGAGTCTAGTTTTATTGTTCAACGTCACATAGAATGTCTGTTTTTTGTTTGTTTGTTTTGGGTTTTTTTGTATGTTTTGTTTTGTTTTGAGATAGAGTCTCTCTCTATCACCCAGGCTGGAGTGCAGTGGCACGATCTTGGCTCACTGCAACCTCTGCCTCCCAGGCTCAAGAGATTCTCCTGCCTCAGCCTCCCCAGTAGCTGGGACTACAGGTGTGTACCACCACAACTACCTAATTTTTGTATTTTTAGTAGAGATGGGGTTTCACCATGTTGGCCAGGCTGGTCTCGAACTCCTGACCTCAAGTGATCCACCCGCCTTGGCTTCCCAAAGTGCTGGGATTACAGGCATGAGCCACGGCGCCTGGCCAATGTCTGTATTTGAAAAAAATAATTGTTTTACTGTTGTTTTATACAGATATAGGAAACCTAAAATGATTTTTGTAGTAACCATTTCTTTTTGTTCTTCATAGTTTTTTACTCCAATGTTTATTCCTAGACATATAGTTTAATTTTGCTTATTTTGTTTGGTGATATATCTTTAAAGCCTCTTAATCTACAAGTGACAGAATGCAGGCCATTTAGCCCATAAAGTTTCCTAGAGCCTAGGTTTTACTGATGCTTATTCTCAGTGCAATTCAGCGTGTTTCTCTTTTCTCTATATTACCTAAATATTGGCATCTGGATTCTGAGGCTCGATCAGACTCAGGTTTGATCCCTGCAGCAAGATTAGTGGTGGTATTATGTTATTTTATCATAAGACACCTAATGTCTAGTTGCTTTTCTTTTGCAGTATTAACAGCTATTGATGTTCATTGCCTATATCTGTTAATTCATTGAAGTTGCAAAATGATATTCTAATTTTATCAAATCTTTTTCATTTATTAATTGGAATATTTTATAAACAGACACTGTCCCTCATCTGCTATTTGGTTATAAATTCTCTTTGGCTACTCCTTGATGCAGTTCATATAGGAAAAATAATGCCCAAATTTTGATCCAATTAAGTCTAGCAGTGTTATTGAAGACAGATGTCTCAATAATGCTCAAGAAAGTCTTATAAGGTATATGACTGAATGAACCATCGTAATTATCTTAGTATATCTTTTCTCAGGCTAAACATCCCAAAATCCTTCAACAGATTTCTATTTATCTCTGCTTCCAAGCCTTTGTTATCTTGGATGCTATATTCTGAACTCTTTACATGATAGTTTGTTGTTCCTTTTAACCAGGCTAAGGTACAATGCTAAGTGGAAAAAAAGCAAAATATATACCATATAATAGGTCTATACTAAATTCTACCAATGTGGGAGTATACTAAGTCTGTTACTTTCTTTGACCTATTATTTCAAAAACGAATCTGATTTTGTCTTAAATTCTTGATTTTTAAGTTCTTATTTTTTTACCTTTATGTATATGATTGACTTAACTTTTTTATTCACAAAGTCACAAAGTCCTCATTGCTAGTAACTGCTGCTCATATACCCCAAACATTCCGAATGGTTTCTTTTTTGTTGTTGTTGTTCAGAGGAAGAATAAAAATACAGATGGCCTAAAGAAAGGTATTTCTGGCTGGGCGCAGTGGCTCACGCCTGTAATCCCAGCACTTTGGGAGGCCAAGGCAGGCGGATCATGAGGTCTGGAGATCAAGACCATCCTGGCTAACACGGTGAAACCCCACCTCTACTAAAAATACAAAAAATTAGCCGGGCGTGGTGGCGGGCACCTGTAGTCCCAGCTACTAGGGAGGCTGAGGCAGGAGAATGGCGTGAACCCGGGAGGTAGAGCTTGCAGTGAGCCAAGATTGTGCCAGTGCACTCCAGCCTGGGCAACAGAGCGAGACTCTGTCTCAAAAAAAAAAAAAAAAAGAAGAAAGGTATTTCTTCTGTAGCCATTATTTCCCAGCAGACAGTTGTTGTGTAATATAAAATGCCTTCAAAACTTGTAGCTATGTCTCAAGGCTGCTGAGAGGTTGCAAAACTCTTTACTGTGTTTGCCACATGCTCAATCTTTTGATAAAGTCTCCTGTGAAATCTATTCAGATTGTATTACAAGTTAGCATTGAAAAAATTCCTGTCATATGTGGTCACAAATTTGCAGTCTTTTCTCAGTTGCTAAAAGCACATGTGGTAGTGGAATTAAGAGCCTTGTTAAACAGCTGCTGCCAGTGACTTCAAAGTGACATCTAGCCAGGACTGACAGTTATAGTAATTTCTATGTTAATGTGGCAAATTTAAAATATCAATAAAGGCTGGGCGTGGTGGCTCACGCCTGTAATCCCAGCACTTTGGGAGGCCCAGGCAGGTGGATCACTTGAGGTCAGGCGTTCGAGACCAGCCTGGCTAACATGGTGAAACCATCTCTAGTAAAAATACAAAACATTAGCCGGGCGTGATGGCCGGCACCTGTAATCCAAGCTACTTGGGAGGCTGAGGCAGGAGAATTGATTGAACCCGGAGGCGAAGGTTGCAGTGAGCCGAGATCACAGCATTGCACTCCAGCCTGGGCAACAAGAACAAAACTCCATCTCAAAAAAATAAATAAATAAATAAAATAAAATAAAACATCAATAAAGTTTTTCTTAACATTGGTAAATTGCTTTATGGACATGGAACTGATGAGATTATAGGTTTTATTGCCTTGACACATTTTCTAGCCAGTTATTTATAAGATATTTATTGTTGACTATTTCAACTGTAAAATTCAGGTATGAGATAAATTTTTTTCACTAAAATATTATGTGGCTGGTGTAGTATTTTGTATGTTCCATGTGCAGAATGGGGGCTTGTATACCAGATAAGGGAATGAACTTTCATATTAACTAGACAGCCTTTTAGTTAAATATATGCCATACTTGATTTTGTTGCTATTCCAACATTTGCTTGTGTGATTCCCAACTTTGCTTTCTAAATATGCCATACGTAAAGGATCTCTAGCAGTTTGTTTAATTTTATAATCAAAAATCTGTTGCTTCAGACCTGTTAATAATTGAGTTTCCATGATACGTAATTTTATTTTTCTATGCCATCATTGAATGTACTTTGACTTTGAAGACCTACTAGCTTTTGAAACCTATGAAATCTAAAGTCTGTTTTGTTTTAGGAATTAGGAAATTACATAGAAGTAGAAACTGTAAAATCAATCCCTTTATAAAAACTTGGTATTTAGGCCAGGTGCAATGGCTACTTCCTGTAATCCCAGCACTTTTGGAGGCCATGGCGGAAGGATCATTTGAGCCCAGGAGTTTGAGGCCAGCCTGGACAATGTGGTGAGACCCTCTCACTACAAAAATAAAGATAATTTTTAAAAAAGAGAATGTTAAAAAAATTCTTCTGGGAAGGATTGTAAAAAATAGAAAAAAAGACTTGGTATTTAAGAAGCTATAGGTTGGCATATATATGGCATTGTACCCTATTACTGAAATCTTCTGAAATTTCTTATGACATTTAAAAATTTTGCTAGCCTTCAGTGATTTAAAACATTAGAAAATTCTTCAAAAAAAGTTTTAAACAAAAGTTACATGAGCATTGCCTCAACTGGAATATGAATGGTATATTGCAAGAAATAAAAAATTCCAAGAATATTAACAATTTTTGGTATTCATTTGTAATATTAAAAAACTAAGTATAGAAAAAAATGATAGAATTTCTTCCCAAAATAGGATGGAAAATATATGAGAATTGATGAGCAGTGATGATAAGAATATATGAGCATATGAGCATTGCTTAATATAGTAACACTTTCTAAATTTCTAACTTTAGGTGATGGAATATGAGAATAGGATTCGAGCCTACTCCACGCCAGACAAAATCTTCCGATATTTTGCCACCTTGAAAGTCATCAGTGAGCCTGGTGAAGCAGAAGTGTTTATGACACCAGAAGATTTTGTGCGATCCATAACACCCAATGAAAAACAACCAGAACGTAAGTTGCTAAAGTGAAATATAAGACTGTGATATTTATTTTGTTATAGGCTACTTTGTCTCTTTCTACATAGTACTGAAATCTTACAGGTCCTTGTAATGATGATATGAACAGTGTGTCTATTGAATATCAGGCATTGTGCTAGGCTTTAGGAGTACAAAAGAGAAGCCTGCAGTCTAATGTGGCAATCTGCAACCAGGGTAAGAGGTTGAGGAGATTGTCCCCCTCTGGTTGAGATTCACTACCTGTAATTAGAATGTTCTCGAAGGCAATACATTACACATACAACTGCTATCAAGTCACTCTTTAGTGAGGAAAACTAGAAAACTTATAAAGTATGAAATTAACACACTTTTAAAGTGGGATCAAATATATAATCACAAAGGAAATTAGAAAATGCTTTCAGTTGAATGAAAAGGAATACAGAACCTCCCAAAACTTATGCAGTACCACAAAAGCAGTGCTCAGAGGGAAATTTATAGTTATAAACACCTATGTTTAAAAAGAAGAATGATCTAATCAATATTCTAACTTTCACACACATAAAACAAAGTTATATATTGATTGGTTATGAAAATGTTGTGACCATAGTCTCAAAGGAGCTTAACCCTGAATTTCCCCAAGAGCAATAGGTTGATATTCACTAATTCATTGTCCACAGTGACTGTATAGAACATAACCACAAATAACAAGAATTGATTGTACCGTCACGGGCCACTTAATGATGAGGATATGTTCTGAGTAATGTGTCCTTAGGTGATTTCATTATTGTGCAAACATCATGGAGTACTTAATGCAAATCTAGATGGTATAACCTACTACACATCTAGACTATATAGTATAGCCTATTGTTCCTAGACTATAAACCTGTATGGCATGTTACTGTACTGAATACAGTAGGCAATTGTAAGACAATGGTAAGTAATTGTATATCCAAACATATCTAAACATAGAAAAGATATAGTAAAAATATGGTATAAAAGATGGAAAATAGTGCACCTGTAGATTTTATAAACGTTGTATACTTAGACTACACTAAATTTATTTTAAAAATAAAATAGTTGTACTATGATGTTATTATTGGTACAAAGTCACTAGGCAATAGGAATTTTTAGCTCAATTATAATCTTATGGGACCGCCACTGTATATTCAGTCCTTTGTTGACCAAAACGTCATTAAGCAGCACATGACTGTATATGGTATAGGAGTAGGATATGAAGAAACTAATTCTCTTTTTTTTTTTTTTTGAGATGGAGTTTCATTCTTGTCACCCAGGCTGGAATACAATGGCGCAATCTCAGCTCACTGCAATCTCCACCTCCTGGGTTCAAGCGATTCTCCAGCCTTGCCTCCTGAGTAGCTGGCATTACAGGCATGTGCCACCATGCCCAGCTAATTTTGTATTTTTTAGTAGAGATGGGGTCTGGCCATGTTGGCCAGGCTGATCTCACACCCCTGACCTCAGGTGATCCACCTGCCTCAGCCTCCCAAAGTGATGAGATTACAGGCGTGACCCACTGCACCCGGCTAAGAAACCAATTCTTTAGAGAGTATATAGGAAGACATTCTAAATGGAGTGCTATTTGAGTTGGGTTTTGAAAAATGAATAATAGCTCATTATATAGAGGAGAAAGAAAAGGCATCATTCAGAGTGAGTAAATTGTGTGGTCAAAAATACAAACAGATGGGCCAGGCGCTGTGGCTCATGCCTCTAATCCCAACACTTTGGGAAGCTGATGCAGACAGATTATTTGAGCTCAGGAGTTGAGGACCAGCCTGGGCAACATGGCGAAACCCCATCTCTACAAAAAATAAAAAAATTAGCCAGGCACGGTGGTGCGTGCCTGTAGTCCCAGCTACTTGGGAGGCGGAGGTGGGAGGATGGCTTGAGCCTGGGAGGTGGATGTTACAGTGTGCCAAGATGACACCACTGCACCCCAGCCTGGACAATAGAGCCAGACCCTGTTTCAAAAAAAAAAAAAAAAACCAAAAAAAACAGACACATGAAACAACAAAGTGAGCTTAGGGAACCAAAAACATTTATGTCATTTTCTAACCAGAAAGTTCGTAATATTTTGCCCACATTATTAAATTCACATATCTCTAGGTCAAATAAAAACTATATAGAACCATCACCCCTCCAAAATGTATGAAATTTGCTATTTAAAATTTTTGGTTGTTGGCCAGGTGCGGTAGCTCATGTCTGTAATCCCAGCACTTTGGGAGGCTGAGGCAGGCAGATCTCTTGAGGTTAGGCATTAGAGACCAGCCTGGCCAACATGGCAAAACCCTGTCTCTAATAAAAATACAAAAATTAGCTGGGTGTGGTGGTGCACACCTGTAATCCCAGCTACTCAGGAGGCTGAGGCAGGAGAATCACTTGAACCCAGGAGGCGGAGGTTGCAGTGAGCCAAGATTGTGCCACTGCACTCTAGCCTGGGTGACAGAGGGAGACTCTGTCTCAGAAAGAGAGAGAGAGATAGAAATACAATTTTTGGTTGTGGAAATTTTCAAACATGAAAAGTAGAAAATATAATCAACCCATATGTTTACATCACTTAGCTTCAACAATTATAACACATGGCCAATCTTGTTTCATCTATAACCTCTCTTACTTCCTTTCCTCACCCCAGATTGTTTTAAAGCCAATTCAAGACATGTAGTGCAACCTGTAAATACTTTTGCATGTGTCTCTAAAATATAAGAACTTTAAAAACAATAATACTTTTTAAATATTGCAATTAAAAACAGCAGTTATTCCTTAATAGCAAATATCCAGGCACTGTTCAAATTTTCCTATCTAAAAAATAACTGTTACAGTTGGTTTGTTTAAATCAACCTCTACACTGCATTTGATTGATATGTCTCTTCAGTCTTTACTGTTTTTTTCGCTTTCATTTTTTTTATTGCCATTTATGTGAGACATATTTTATGCCTTGTCTCACATTTCTCAGCCCACCTTTTTGCTCAGGTTGCTGCTGCAGCAGTTAGTTGTACAGTGTTGCAGCCTGACAGGATGAAACCTCAGCTATGTTGTGTATCTGTTGCTTTCTCCTATAGAGCATCTCTGCTGCTATAGCATGGGACACCTGTAGGAACATACTCAACCATGTTGGCACATGCACACATTTGGAGATATAAAGGCATTAACACTTACTGCTGAGAATTGGTGGATACCCTCTTCTCCATTGTCTTGGATGATCAATTCTGATATACAGACTACATGGTTTCTCAGATGGGCTAAGGGGAGTTGAGCTCTGGTTGTCTAGAGTGGTAGTCAACTTAATAACATACCCTTGAATTGGCTTTTTCTGCTGACCTGTTTCACTTTTCTTAGTCCTTCCACACTGGTACCTTGCTTTTAAGGAAACCAAACTAGACACCATTTATTTGTGGAAGAATGTAGGTCATTTGTATTATAGAATTTCCCACATTCTGGATTTTACTGATTGCATCCATAAGGTGTTGTTTAACATGTTTCTCTATCCTTTGTGCTTCACCCATATATAAAATACATAGAAAGTGACTTAAAAATGAATATACCAAAGTATTAACTCTGTGAATGTTGAAATTATCAGAAATCATTTTATTCTTCTTTGTACGTTTCTTTATTTTCTAATAGACTTTATATATATATATATATACATATGTGTATATATTCATTCAACATGTATTGATTGATAGTGATGAGTTAGAGAACATTCTAGATGCAAGAAATACAGTAATTAATAAAATGGACAAAAAGTCCTGCCCTCTTAAATAATCTTTTATAATTAGAAAGAAATGAAAGGTATATAAAACTTCTCATTAATTGCATTGAGCTTTTAATTTAGAGCATTGGCTGGGTACTGTGGCTCAAGCCTGCAATCCTAGCACTTTGGGAGGCTATGGCAGGAGGACCGCTTGAGGCCAGGAGTTCAAAACCAGCTTGAGTAACATAGCGAGACCCTGTCTCTATAAAAATAAAAGTAAAAAAATTAGCAGAGGCCGGGCGTGGTGGCTCACACCTGTAATCCCAGCACTTTGGGAGGCCGACATGGACAGATCACGAGGTCAGGAGATCGAGACCATCCTGGCTAACATGGTGAAACCTCGTCTGTACTAAAAATACAAAAAAAATTAGCTGGACATGGTGGCGAGCGCCTGTAGTCCCAGCTACTCGGGAGGCTGAGGCAGGAGACTGGCGTGAACCCAGGAGGTGGAGCTTGCAGTGAGCTGAGATTGCACCACTGCAGTCCAGCCTGGGCGACAGAGCGAGACTCCATCTCAAAAAAAAAAAAAAAAATTAGACGAGCGTGGTGGCTTGTGCCTGTAGTCTCAGCTACTTGGGAGGCTGAGGTGGAGGGATCACTTGAACCCAGGAGTTTGAGGTTACAGTGGGCTGTGGTCATGCCACTGTACTCCAGCCTGGGCAACAGTGTGAGACCCTGTCTCAATAATAGTAATAATAATAAATTTAGATCCCTTTAAATTAGCTTCAGCACCTTGTTTTGTGATATTGAAGGAAGAAAGTAAAGAAAGCTTGCATGTAGATAAAATCTTGTTTGCGTTAAGAGAAAAACTTTAGATAAATTTAACTGAGTTTAATTGAGCAAAGAGTAATTGGCAAATTAGGCAGTCCCCAAATCAGAATAGGTTCAGAGAGGCTCCAGTGTAGCCACATGGTGGAAGATTTATGGACAGAAAAAGGTAAGTGATGGACAGAAAATGGAAGTAAGATACAGAAGCGGCCAGATTTGTTACAGCTTGGAGTGTCCCTTATTT
Organism: Homo sapiens; assembly: GCF_000001405.40. Taxonomy (NCBI): domain Eukaryota; kingdom Metazoa; phylum Chordata; class Mammalia; order Primates; family Hominidae; genus Homo; species Homo sapiens. The sequence continues at coordinate 72,546,413 of NC_000010.11, read as the reverse complement.
GAACATCATTTGAATAATTGGCTACAACTTGATGATTGGCACAAGAGTATGTTACACATACGCAGTTAGGTTACAGTTCACTATGTACAGAGGAAGCTTTAGGCTGAACTTAAAATATATAAGGAGGCAGCTTTAGTCTAAACTTAATTTAACAATTCCCCTCTTTTGGTCATCTCAATGGAGAGATTGACCGAAACTTTAGTCATTGATGTCACTCTGTCATCATTTGCTCAGACAAAGGAAAAAATGGTATAAGTGAAGTTCAGTTAAGACAAGAAAAGTGCACCAGCACTCTGGGAGGCCTAGGCAGGTGATTGAATGGACCCCTCCCCTTAGCCAAAGGGATTCCAAAGATACATGAGAAACTGGTTCAGGCCATGTTGGGAAGGGGGTTTGGACATGCCTCATTATACTCTTTGTTGGAACTCAGGCTTAACTAACTAGCACTAACATTAAAACAGATATTTAAGATTGACAAAACAGACTGTTTGTAGCAAGAAGATACCACATTCCAGCCTGACTAGTATAGCATCACATGACAGAGAGCAGGCCCTGAAAGAAATCAAAGTATTTTACTGCAAAATATGTTTCTTTGACACATTTTGAAATGGCCCTGCAAACCTGTCTCTTCTGGGGGAAATTTACATTCTGTAGAGAATCGCCTTCCCTTTTTCTGGTCTTTGTCTGATCCTGAGGAGATAGCTGAGAGTCTAACACCTTTTAGAGGCTTGAGTAGGAAATTATTTGCCATCTTTTGTCCCTAAGGGCAGCCACCTATGAGACTTTATTTACATAATAAGAACCTTGGTTCTCCCCAACCCCTATCTTAACCCACTCCTTTCTGTTGACTCCAGATCTTACATAATAATTTAACTCTTTCAACCAATTGCTAGTCAGAAAATCTTTGAATCTGCCTGTAAGCCCTTTCCCTGCTTCAGATTGTCCTGCCTTTCTGGACCAAACCAGTGTATACCTTACATGTGTTAACTGATGTCTTATATCTTCCTAAAATACGTAAAACCAAGTTGTAACCAAACCACCTTTGGTATATATTCTCTGGACCTCCTGAGGCCGTGTCACTGGTTATGGTCCTCACATTTGGCTCAGAATAATCTCTTCAAATATTTTATGGAGTTTGTTTTTTTCATCAACAGTAATCATGAGGAAAGTCTGATATATTGAAATGAGATTCAGTGGGAAATTTGGCTTCGTTTTCATTTGCTCATGAACAGGAATTTCCAGAAATGTTGATGCAGCAGAAGTAAAAGATATATTATTCCTATATGGGTTGAGATAAGGAAAAAAATGAGGCTGTAGATTTTTTGTAGTTTGAATTTCTATCAGAAATGGCTGGACTCTAGCCAGTAGCTCATATTTCAACTTTATTTTGTTGTATTTTTCACACATACTGTATCCCAGGATACCCAACAGATCTAAATTTGTGAGTTTTACTTTTAGAACAGTTCAAAAATAATCATGAAGCACAGACTACATGAAGCCCTAAAATTAAGCAGTTTTAAAATGAATAGGGGAGCAGATGAACTTTAGAGTGCAAGATGAATAAGAATTCTTCTGTACCAAATGTCAAGAAAGTTTGGAGTAATCATACTTGAGTAGGACAGACATTAAAAGGAAAAAAATATTCTGTACGATTTGAATATGTCCCATCTCCCTCTCTATGAAGTCTGAATGTCATTGCCCTCCTTAGGTATAATGAGATAGATAGTTGCTTCAGGCTCTGGGCTTTGAGTGGTGCTTGCTATTGCAGTAACCAGCTCTGCATAGCTGGCCAATTATTTGAGGAAACAGTGGCATGGGGAGAATTTTTAAAGTTCTATATAGAAAAACATGAGCTTTCTTTAGAGCAAAGCATAGCCTATTGCAAAGAGGATCTCTATTTTCTTTCCACCATATCCAACTGGCTGACCTTATTATCTTGATGTGATTTCATCTTCATTGGAGATGAAAAGGGTGTAAAAGAGGGAAACACAGATCATATTGTGATTTACTTCTCCTGGACTCCATATTATCTCTAGGATGACCCCTTGTAGCAGGACAGGCCGCAGACAAAACCCCTCAGACACCGGGTTAAAGAAGGAAGAGCTTTATTCGGCCGGGAGCTTCGGCAAGACTCACGTCTCCAAAAACCGAGCTCCCTGAGTGAGCAATTCCTGTCCCTTTTAAGGGCTTACAACTCTAAGGGGGTCTGTGTGAGAGGGTCATGATCAATTGAGCAAGCAGCGGGTACGTGACTGGGGGCTGCATGCACCGGTAATCAGAACAGAACAGAACAGAACAGGACAGGGATTTTCACAGTGCTTTTCCATACAATGCCTGGAATCTATAGATAACATAACCGTTTAGGTCAGGGGTTGATCTTTAACTACCAGGCCCAGGGCACAGCGCCGAGCTGTCTGCCTGTGGATTTCATTTCTGCCTTTTAGTTTTTACTTCTTCTTTCTTTGGAGGCAGAAATTAGGCATAAGACAATATGAGGGGTGGTCAGCATAAGACAATATGAAGAGTGGTCTCCTCCCTTACCCTAAGTATCCTTTTTTTTTTTTGAGACAGGGTCTCGCTATGTCACCCAGGCTGGAGTGCACTGGTGCGATCTCAGCTCACTGCAAGCTCTGCCTCCCGGGTTCATGCCATTCTCTTGCCTCAGCCTCCAGCTGGGACTACAGGCGCCTGCCACCATGCCCAGCCAATTTTTTGTATTTTTGGTAGAGATGGGGTTTCACCGTGTTAGCCAGGATGGTCTCGATCTCCTGACCTCGTGATCTGCCCACCTCAGCCTCCCAAAGGACTGGGATTACAGGCGTGAGCCACCACGTTCGTCCCTAAGTATCCTTAATAATAATCTTACATACAGTACTTTATTGATTGATGGATTGATTTGATTGATTGAGATGGGGTCTCGCTATGTTGCCCAGGCTGATCTGGAACTCCTGGGCTCACGTGATCCTCTTTCTGGGCCTCCCAAAGTGCCAGGATTATAGGTGTGAGCCTATAGGCCCTATAGCCTATTATAGGTGTGAGCCATGCCTGGCCCCTTAGAGCACTTTTAATTTGGTTAATAATTTTTCACATGGTTATATACATGGAATGTATTTTAAAAACATTTTTGCACTAATGTTTTTTTCCAAACAAGATAAGTTCCTTCAGTAAAGGTCCTCGTGTTCTACTGATAGCAACAAGAGGCAGAAAAATTCTAGGCAGACAGGGCAGGTCCCTGACAAAACCCCACCTTCAAGCCAAAAAGCCTGAAACCTGCAGCCCAAAGTGAGAACTTCTATTCCAGTGGCCTGCTCAAATGTTGCCTTTCCTAAACTACCCATGGCCCACCCCCGTCCTGTGCCTATAAAGACCCCAGACTCAGTCAGAGAAGCAGCTGAACATTGGAGAGAAGTGACTTGACTTCAAGCGAGAGCTTGATGGCTTGACTTTTTGGTGAAGAGTCCAGCCAGAGACAGCTGGACTTGAGAGGAAGATTACCTGCCCATCCCATCCCTTTTCCAGCTCGCCTTCCTGCTGAGAGCCACTTTCATTGTTCAGTAAAATCCTCTGCATTCACCATCTTTCAATTTGTTCGTGCGACCTCAATTTTCCTGGACACCAGACAGGAGCTTGGGAGCCAACAAATGCAGATACCGAAAAAAGGCTGTCACACTGGCCCTTTGCCCTTGCTGGCGGAGGGCAGCTGTCCCACATAATGAGGCAGAGGGCCCGCTGAGCTGTTAACACTTAAGCCATCTGTGGATGGCAGAGCTAAAGGAGCACTGTAACCACCCTCTGGGGCTTCAGGAATTGCAGGCACCCCCATCCAGATGCTGCTGCGTGGCCCGTACGGCGTTTGCTCCTGCTGGCACCCAAAAGCAGTTGGCTGGTTCCTGCACTTGCTTGCTCTGGTTCCTGCACTTGTTTGCTTGCACACTCCCTCCCGCAACAGGTAGACAGGGGCAGGCTAAGCAAACAAGGCACCCCTGTCATGAGTCCTGTGAAAAAGTCAAGATAATATCCTGCTCACTCCTTTTGTTTTTAATCCTCTGTAGTGCTGCTTAGTACAGAGCAGGGATTGGCCATCTACAGCCAACTGCCTATTTCTGTATGGCCCATGAGCAGAGAATGGTTTTTACATTTTTTAAATGGGTGAAAAAAAATCACAAGAAGCAGCTTTGTGAAACTTGAAAGTGACATGAAATTAAAATTTCAGTGTCCATAAAAAGAGTTATCTGCAATCCCATTTCACTCCCATTCTTATTAGAGATAACCACTGTTATTAATTTGGTGTTTATCATTTTTGTTGAAGACTATAACATCATGTATATTCATTGTCTTTCCCTAGGGGATGATTATATTTATTACTGCAGCATGATTACTACATTTCCCTTACTTTTGTATAAGTTTTATAAGTTTCCCTTACTTTTATGTAAAGAACAGGTAGCCGTTCTTTTATTTTCACTGCTATAAGTTGTGGATATTATTTGTATACATTTATACAAATATGCCAGTATATGATTTATTAGTCAGTTATTGCTATGTAACAACCAACCAGAAAATGTCAGTGGCATAACAAACATTTATTTAGCTCATGCTTCTCTGTAATTGCCTGACAAGTTCTTGTTGCCCACTGCACAGATAGAGCTGATTAACTGATACAGCTGTATTGCAGTAAAGAGAGTTTAATTAATGCAAGGCCAGCCAAGTAGAAGGACAGGAGTTTATTATTCATAAAGTCAGCCTCCCTAAGGACTGAGAAGCTAGGGTTTTTATGGATAGTTTGGTGGGCAGGGGACTAGGGAATGGGTGCTGCAGATTGGTTGAGGATGAAATCACAGGGGTGTGGAAAACAGTCCTCATGCACTGAGGCTGCCTCTATGTTTGGGCCACAGGACAGGTTCAGTCATGAGTCATGGGTCTGGGTGGGGTCATTCAGTTGCCAGAATGCAAAAGTCTGAAAAATATCTCAAAAGATCAATCTTAGATTCTATAATAGTGATGCTATTTATAGAAGCAGTTGGGGAAGTCACAAGTCTTGTGACCTCTGGGCACATGCCACCTGAGTTGTAAGGGATTAGAGAAACTAAGCCTACATTTTAATGGAATTCAGGCCTCTTCCATAATCCTAATCTTGTGGCCTTTTACTAGTTTTACAAAGGTTGCTTTGGTCGCTGAGCAAGGAGTTTTAGGGAGGGACTATTAGCATTCTTGCTTTCAAGTTAAACTATAGTCTAAATTCCTCCAATTCCCGGGCTCTTGCCCGGGAATGAGTAAGGACAGCTAGCCTATGAGACTAGAAGCAAGATGGAGTCAGCCATGCTAGACTTCTCTTTCTGTCATAATCTTTGCAAAGGCACTTTCATCTGCAGATCCCATGAAGTGCTCTCTGCTGCTCTCAGCTGAGCTCTGTAGATAGGCTAGAGGTTGTCTAATTAAGCTAGGATAGCTCTGAAAGTTTGTCAGCAGATTTGTCAGCCTGCTTTATGTGTTTATAACTTTTTAGACCACTGGCCCATCCAGGATATATTTTTCTTATAGATGGCCAAGATATAAGAAAGAAAGCCAACCTCAGAAGTCCATTTTAAGGATGCTTATGTCCCATCTGCTAATATCCCATTGGCTAAAACAAGTTACACAACAAAGCCCAATGGCTTTTCCATAGAGGTCAGTGGGAAGGAAGTAAATATTTGAGATCAGTAATCTAATCTACCATGCCAGTTTTTTGTTTTGTTTTATTTTAGAGACAGGGTCTTGCTCTGTTGCCCAGGCTAGAATGCAGTGGCATGTTCATAGTTCATGTAACCTTGAACTCCTGGGCTCAAGTTATCCCCCACTTTCACTTCCTGAGTAGCTAGGACTACAGGTGTGTACCGTCACACCAAGCTAATTAAATTTTTTTTTTGTAGAGACAAGTGTCTCACTGTGTTTCCCAGGTTGCTCTCAAACTCTTGGCCTCAAGTGATCTTCCCACCTCAGACTTCCAAACTGCTGGGATTATAAGTGTAAGATACCACATCTGGCTCCATGCCAGTTTTTTTTTTTAATCATTACAAACCATACTGCAGTGAATATTCTCCTATATGTGCCCTGGTGCATATTTGCAGTAAGTTATTTTCTTTCTCTTTTCTTTTTTTTTTTTTTTTTTTGAGATGGAGTTTCACTCTGGTTGCCCAGGCTGGAGTGCAGTGGCACAATCTCGGCTCACTGCAACCTCCATCTCCTGGGTTCAAGTGATTCCCCTGCCTCAGCCTCCCAAGTAGCTGGGATTACAGGCATGCGCCACCATGCCTAGCTAATTTTGTATTTTTAGTAGAGATGGGGTTTCACCCTGTTGGTCAGATTGGTCTTGAACTCCTGACCTCAGGTGATTCACCTGTCTCGGCCTCCCAAAGTGCTGGGATTACAGGCATGAGCCACCACGCACAGCCAAGAAGTTATTTTCAGCATATACCTGGAACTGGACTTGCTAGCCCATAGAGTACATTCCTCTTCACATTTGGTAGACGTTGCCAAATTGATTTCCAGAGTTGATAGAATAATTTATCTTCTCTCCAAGAATATATGAGTTTCTTCCTCTGCACTGCTGCCAACACTTGGTATTATCAGATTTAAATTTTAACAAACTTATGAAAGTAAATTATTGTCTCTTTGTGCTTTTTCTACTCTCTATCTGCTTGATCTTTATTATTTCCTTCCTCCTACTAATATTTAGTTGAGTTTGTTCTTGTTTTTCTAGTTCCCTAAGATGCAATATTAGGTTGTTTATTTGAGGGCTTTCTTCTTTTTCAGTGTAGTGTTTATTGTTATCAACTTCCCTCTTAGAATTGTTTTTGGTATATTCCATAGCAAAAACATATTGCGTTTCCATTTTTGTTTGTCTCAATAAATGTTTAAAATTTTCTTTTTAATTTCTTCATTGACCCATTATTCAGGAGCATATTGCTTGATTTCCACATCTTTGTAAAGTTTCCAAAGTTCCTCCTGTTATTTATTTCTAGTTATATATCATTGTGGTCAGAAAAGATATTTGATACAGTTTCAGTCTTCTTAAATTTGTTAAGACTTGTTTTGTGGGCTAACATATGATCTGTCCTGGAGAAGTGTTCATGTACAGGTGAGAAGAATGTGTATTCTGTAGCAGTTGGATGGAATGTTCTGTAAATCTGTCTTAAGTCCATTTGGTCCAGAGTACAGTTTAAATCTGATGTTTCTTTATTGATTTTCTATCTAGATGATCTGCCCGTTACTGAAAGTGGGATGTTGAAGCCCCCTAATATTATTGTATTGCAATCTCTCTCTCTGTTTAGATCTATTAATATTTGCTTTATATTTAGGTGCACTGAGATTGGGTTCATATATATTTACAATTGTCATATCTTCTTAATGAATTGACTCCTTTATTACTAAATAATACCTTCTTTGTCTCTTTTTACAGTTTTTGACTTATACTCTATTTTATCTGGGTATAGCTACTCCTGCTCTCTTTTGGTTTCTATTTCCAAATATCTTTTTCCCTTTACTTACTTTCAGTCTGTTTGTGTCCTTACTGGTGAAATGAGTCTCTTATAGGCATCATATAGTTGGGTCTTTTTAAAAAAAATTTATTCAGCCATTCTATGTTTTTTAATTGGAGAATTTAGACCATTTATAGTCACTGTTATTATTGATATGTAAGGACTTTATTATAGCCATTTTGTTCCTCATTTTCTGGTTGTTTTGTAACCCCTCTCTTCCTTTTTTTCCTTTGTTACTGTCTTCTTTGTCTTCCTTTGTGGTTATTTTCTCTGGTAGTATATTTTAATTCCTTGCCTTTTATTTTTAGAGTATCTATTACAGGATTTTTCTTTGTGGCTACCGTGAGGCTTACAAAAAACATAATTATAACAGATTATTTCAAGCTGATAACAGCTTAACTTTGATCACAGACACACAAAAACTCTACACTTTAAAGTGTTTTAAATATTTTTCTGGTTTTATTTTGCATTTCACTAATGACAAGTGAGGCTTATCATCTCTGCATGTTATTGACTACTTACATTGCCTTTTCTATGAATTGCCTGTTTATAGTCTCTGTTCATTTTTCCATTTGATTATCCTTTTTAGTAAAAGTAGTTTATATATTCTCACTAAAATCTGTGATATACATTGCAGATCTCCTGTCCTAGTCTGGGGCCTGTCTTTTTATTTTGTTTGTGTTGATTTTTAATGCACAGAAGTTGTCAATATTGATATTTTCAAATGTTTCAGTCTTCTCCTTGATAGTTTGTACTGTTATTTTTAACTGATAATCTGATTATTGTAATACTGTGGGCATAGTGAGGTAAGGGCCTGAACTAGTGACAACTGAAAGAAAAGAACTGAATAATTATGCAAGAAAATAAGTGTAACTGAGTACTAATTTCTCCACCCTCAGAACTCCCACAGCACCCTTTTATTGAACTAATTGTATGCTCCCTTGTAATGTTAATTATTATTCTAATTTGTAGATCTTGAAATGACATATTTGATTCAGTTGCCCTTGTGTCTTTTGACAAAATGAGTTTGACAAAGTCAGTTGCCATTGTCTTTAAACAAGTCTTTTAAATGTTCACTCTGAGGCTTAAACTGAGACTATTCTTAACAGTATGTGTGTACCTTTACACATACTCTACTTTTACATATACTCTACTTTTACACACATATTTATAGTATTTTGGGTGTGGATTCAAGAAAAGAGGCAACTGCCATAATTAGAAGATTATTAGAGTTAAAATAAAAAAACAGTCATTTAACCTTCTGAGCCTTGGCTTTCTTATCAATAAAAAGGCAAAGGTAGTGTTTATATCACACTATGAGCATTAAATTAAATGACTGAAAGTTCTTTGAATAAAAGTTTAAAAACCATAGGAAACATCTCAGTGAAAACAACATAGCTATAGTCTGGTGTTTCTAAGCTGGGACCAAAAGGTTTGGGTAGCAAACTGAAAGGGAAATGTCATATGGAAGTCACCTAAGTATTGTTTTTAAACTACACATGCTATTTTTTCTCCTTTCATTCTCCATGCTCTCCCTGCCCCCAGTAATTGGGCCTATTAGATTTTCTAGAGGAGTAGTTAGGGACAATAGCTTGAATTACTTCATCCATCCACATTCCCCACACTCCACTTCCAAACATTTTAAGAACTGATCTAATCCAACCATCTCCTTCATTTGGCAGGTAAATAAATCAAAACATAACAAGGTGAAATAATCATTTCTTTCAACTTGAAATAATGAAAGTCTTGGCCTACTTCATGTCAGTATTTGCTTATAAAATGACAATAATTCTCAGTGAGTGCCAGGTTGTCCTCCCATGCCCCTTCCCCCTCACCATTTTTTTAATATAATGAAGAGCATAAAATATAAAACATAAATGTGTTCCATCTTCTCCATCTTCACAGTTCATGTCACAGAAGTAACCACCTTTAAAATTTTAAGTTACATTTTGAGTTATTCTGGGTATTGCCCTGATAACCTAAAACCTGTGCTGTCTAATACAGTAGCCAGTAGCCATATTTGGCTACTGAGCACTTGAAATGTGGCAAGTCTGAGTTGAGATGTATTATAATTACAAGATACACCCCGATTTTGAAAATGTAGTATTAAAAAATGTAAAATATCTCATTAATATTTTCTCTTGATTACTACTTAAAATGATACTATTTGGATATATTCAGTTAAATAAAGTATTAAAATTAATTTCACTTGTTTCTTTTTGCCCTTTTAAAATTTTAACGTTATTTTTGTCTGGGCACGGTGGCTCACGCCTTTTATCCCAGCACTTTGGGAGGCTGAGGCGGGCGGATCATGAGGTCAGGAGATCAAGACCATCCTGACTAACACGGTGAAACCCTGTCTCTACTAAAAATACAAAAAAAAAAATTAGCCGGGCATGGTGGCACGCACCTGTAGTCCCAGCTACTCAGGAGGCTAAGGCAGGAGAATCGCTTGAACCCAGGAGGTGGAGGTTGCAGTGAGCCGAGATCATGCCACTGCACTCCAGCCTGGGGGACAAAGCGAGACTCCATCTCAAAAAATAATTAATTAATTAATTAACCTTATTTTTAAATTGACATAATAATTGTACATATTTATGGGGTACATAGTGCTGTTTTGATACATATAATTTATATAGTGATTAGATAAGGGTAATTAGCATATCACCATCAAACATTTGTCATTTCTTTGTGTCAGTGCCTTCCTTCTAGATATTTGAAACTGTATAAATATTGTTGTTAACTCTACAATGCTATAGAACACTAGAACTTGTTCTTCCTATCTAGGTGTAATTTTGTATCCTTTAACAAATCTTTTCTAGTCCCTCCCATTTCCCCTATCCTTCCCAGCCTGTGGTACACCCTGTTCTACTTTCTACTTATATGAGATCGACTTTTTCTGGCTTCCACGTAGGGATGAGAACATGCGGTGTTTAACTTTCTGTTCCTGCCTTATTTCATTTAACATAATGTCAGCCAGTTGCATCCATGTTGCCTCAAATGACAGAATTTCTTCCTTTCTACCTTTTTAAAGATGGCTGTTAGAAAATTTTAAATTACACATGTGACTTGCATTTGTTATTCACACTATATTTCTGTTGGACAGTGCTGATGCAATTAGTAAGCATACATCTGCCTTAGTTGATGTACCAAGTTTTACTTGTGAGACATCTGATTCTATTCTGATTCTCCTGCCTTTGTAAGGGACCAGGAAGATTTTTTCCTGAAAATCTTTAGGATTTTTTTATCCTTGGTATTCTGAAATTTCACAAGGATACACTGAAGTGTGGGTAGTTTTTTTTGTTCAATATGCTTAGAACACTTGGTAAGGTCTTTTAGTCTGTCTCTCTATAGTTATGAGAAAGTTTCTGCTAGTATTTTTTGGATTATTTTCTCCCTGTTTCTGAATGAGAAAGGTCCTGTAGGATACTAAACCTCTTGGATTGAGTCTCTGTTTTCTATAATTCTATCTTATATTTTCTATTTTCTATCCCGCTGTCCTTTGGCAGTAGTTTGGGAGGTTACCTTATCCTCATCTTTTGACAGTACATTAAAAAATAGGGCTGGATGCAGTGGCTTATGCCTGTAATCCCAGCACTTTGGGAGGCTGAGGCGGGTGGATCACCTGAGGTTAGGAGTTCTAGACCTGACCTAGTAGCCTGGCCAACCTGGCAAAACCCCATCTTTACTAAAAATACAAAAATCAGACAGGTATCGTGGCACACACCTGTAATCCCAGCTACTTGGGAGGCCGAGGCAGGAGAATCACTTGAACCCAGGAGGTGGAGGTTGCAGTGAGCCAAGATCATGCCACTGCACTCCAGCTTGGGTGACAGAGCAAGACTCTGTTTCAAAATAAATAAATAAAATAAAATAAAATAAAATAAAATAAAAAATAGAGGGAGATAGGCAATCAAAGTTTTAATTGTCTAGAACTCTTTCTTGTTCTCTGTTCTTTTATCAGAAGCCTGTTCTGATAAATATCAGCCTTTATGACTTACACTCTCTTAAATATCTGTCAGGTTGCAAATTAAAATTGTTTCTAACATTTCTTTCTGTGTCTTAAATTATCTGTTTCTTTTACAGTCAGTGGTTCAGTTTGTTTAGGGCTGGCTTCTGGAAGATGAGGCACATTTCAGATAAGAAGAATGTATAACCAAATGTTTAAATTAGAAATGCAAAAAGCTTTTTCTGGGAGCAATGATAATCTGATGATTGTAATACTGTGGGCATAGTGAGGTAAGGGCCTGAACTAGTGACAACTGAAAGAAAATAACTGAATAATTATGCAAGAAAATAAGTGTAACTGAGTACTAATTTCTCCACCCTCAAAACTCCCACAGCACCCTTTTATTGAACTAATTGTATGCTCCCTTGTAATGTTAATTATTATATCCGTATGTCTTTCTAACTAAATTGTGACTTTTCAAGGCAAGGACTGTTTCTTATTCATTCATTCTTTTACAGATATTTATTGATCAAGCACTGTTCTAAATGCTGGGGATAAAGCTATGTGTAAAGACAAAACTATCCCTGCCCTCAATGCCACCGAATATAGTCACTTAATTTTTCACAGTGCACAGAATCCAAAGCTAGGTATTCCCAAGTAAATTTTTAAATTTAACCTAATTTTAAAAGGTAATGTTAAGATGGTCTGTTTGTGTCTGTTTAGGTGTACTGCAATAGTTTTTTTTTTTTTTTTTTGGTGTTTAATTATTTTCTTTGAACTTGATAGAAAAAATTATTATGCATTCAGATTAAACTAATATTCCTTACCTAAATGAAAAGTAATATAGCACCTTGATATAATGAAAAGAGCACCACCTTGGGAGGAGTCCAGAGTTCTAACTGGACTCTACTGTTGAATAGGTTTGCACATTTTTACCTTCTTAGAGCCTTACTTTTCTGATATGTAAAATAAAAGGGTTGGTATCTCTTAGCACTCACACTTTAAATCTGAAAGTGGGGCAAAATATTCATTCCTGTGGCCTTTGAATAAATGTTTTGTACTTTTAACTGAATGACTGGAAACAAAACCAAGAGCTGTCATTTTATAAATTTCACTTGAGTTATTATCAGTAGCTAAATGTTTTTTCCTTTTCTTTTACAGACTTGGGTCTGGATCAATATATAATAAAACGCTTTGATGGAAAGGTGAGCAAACTATGACACTTCTATACATATATCCTATCATTTACTAAGAAGATTTTTAAGTTCCTCTATAGTTATGTTTGAGAAATCACTGAATACCTGTTTATCTTACCAAAAGAGCATGCTTAGGTTAGGGGGTCTGTGCCTCTACATACCTCTACAGAAAGAGGCAGAAGGTTCTATATTTTTCCATGTAAGGTAACTCTCATGTATTGCCTCCTGTTTATATTAAGGGCTAATTCAGTGTTTGTTGACTTTTGAATGTTAACTCAATAGTCATCATAAAGATTAATAAGCCCCCCAATACTGTATTGGCATTTATTACAAAACGCTTCCCTGATTTGACCTTTCTCAGACTTTATGATAGTGTCTAGCAATAATCTTAACTAGAAAATTACAAAGGTCCTTGTAGTGCTTTTGTAATAATTATGAAGACTGCTCCAGATTTGCCTATAAGTTTGCACTATACTTATTTTTAATTATTTATACCTGAATAAATAATATAACAAATTATTCTTAGGTATAGAAAATGAGACTTTCAGTTTTATTGTCTCATAAAGCAGTCAAACATGTTTTTTCCTTTCAGGCCAGATTCTCCAAAAAGAAAATATTACACAGGGTCAGAAAGAAAAGTAAAGGGTCAATTTTACAGAGGAGGAAGAAAGCACTTCAGAAAGAAGAAAGAACCAGGCATGGTTCTACAAAGCACAATGAACAGGAAGTCAGAAGGACAATCATGGAGTGGCTGGAAAAGGCAGGATCACAAAAGAGGGTCTAGATGGGGAGAGGTCAGGGTTAGTAAAAACTGATTTTGCAGAAATGTGCCAATTCCTGCATTATTACATAAAAGTCCATATCCTGGTAAGGTGGAGAGATAAGTGTTGAGCTCTTTTATACAAGTGAAAAGAATGAGTAGCTGCCTTAAGATTTGGGAGAGATCTCAGCTAAGGCCACCTGCCTAAAAGTTACCTTTCCTATTAAGGTGGCACAGTGCCTTAAAATGCCTCCATCTGTGAATATCCTCTTTTTAAAGTCACATATTCTAAAAGAATGATCAAAAAGGAAGAGTGCTGAACTAGATGTTAGGAGACCTCGGCTCAAGGTCCTAACTCTGCTTTGGGACAGCTTCATCTTTTCTCTGATCCTTGGTGTCTCTGCTTTATCTATGGTAAAGTACCCTATCCAATGTGAGGACTTACTGCAACACTTCTGATTTCAGAGTCTTTGGAGGGTCAGGTCCCTATCTTACCTGTTTTTGTGTCACTCAGAGTCCAGCATGGGCCTGGCACACAGGAGGCAACAATAAATGTTTAATGACTTGCAAAAAATTAACTACAGTAGTCAATCACATATTCCTTGGTGGAGGTCTGACTCATTAAGTCAGTAATAACTTATAGCAAATTCATTTTAATAAATAACTTTTTTTTTTTTGAGATGGAGTCTCGCTCTGTCGCCTGGGCTGGAGTGCAGTGGAGCAATCTCGGCTCACTGCAAGCTCCACCTCCCGGGTTTGCACCATTCTCCTGCCTCAGCCTCTCGAGTAGCTAGGACTACAGGCTCCCGCCACCATGCCCAGCTACTTTTTTTGTATTTTTAGTACAGATGGGGTTTCACTGTGTTAGCCAGGATGGTCTCAATCTCCTGACCTCGTGATCTGCCTGCCTCGGCCTCCCAAAGTGCTGTGATTACAGGCGTGAGCCACCACACCAAGCAATAAATAACTTTTTTTGGTTATTTGGAGAATCACTTGAACCCAGGAGGCAGAGGTTGCAGTGAGCCAAGATTGTGCCATTGCGCTCCAGCCTGGGCAACAGAGCGAGACTCCGTCTCAAAAAAAAAAGATAAAGGACTAAAAAAAAAAAAAATAAAACCTTATGTAATGAATAAATTCATTTATTGTTTGATCAGTTTAAAAGTTTTCCATGTTTTTTTGTTATGTATGAAGTCTTTCGCTTGATAATTGTAACTGTCAGTACTTTCTCAACTGTCAGTCTTTTCATTTTTCTTTCTTTTTTTATTTTTTATTTTTTTTGAGATGGAATCTCGCTCTGTCGCCAGGCTGGAGTGCAGTGGCACCATCTCAGCTCACTGCAACCTCCGACTCCCTGGTTCAAGCGATTCTTCTGCCTCAGCCTCTTAAGTAGCTGGGATTACAGGCACACACCACCATGCCCAGCTAATTTTTTTATTTTTAGTAGAGACAGGGTTTCACCATGTTGGCCAGGATGGTCTCGATATCCTGACCTCATGATCCGCCCGCCTTGGCTTCGCAAAGTGCTGGGATTACAGGTATGAGCCACCATCATTTTTCTTTAGATCTTCATGACTCTTTTGTTCTCTCATCCAGAAAATCTTAATTCTTAAGTAACTGCTTCTAGAATATATGAATTCTAAGACAATTTTCTGTTAAAAAAACAGATTTGTGTGTAATGATATTATAGTAATTTTATGCATTATAGCCAGAAATGTAGTTAGAAAGCTAAACACCTAAGAGGAATTTCCTTTTAGACTTGCTTTGATTTTTAAATGGATAATTTTTTTCCCTCTCCCTCTGTTTTTTTTAATTTGGAAGATAAACTATTAAATCTTAGAGAAAGAATTATTTACTCCTATTGTCTTAGCCCCCATTATCTTAACTTTTAGCACACCATTTAACAAAGTCCAAAATTTGACCAGTAACAAACACTAGCTTATTTTATTGCCTTCTAATTGAATTAAACTTCAGCCTTTTTGTCATTGAAAGTAAGAACAAATATAAAAATAATATTTTCCTGGGATGTTTTAAATTTCTACCTGAATAATGGAACCTCCAGATGCAAAATAGGAAAGAGTGGTGCAACTGATATTGACAAATAATTGGATAGTTATTTCTTGTTTTGCTAAAATATTTTTTTCCTGATCTGTTTAATTAACTAGAAGGTTCCCTGTAAGAAGTAAATAAGACATTACTATTTCAACTGATAGTCAGTGAGAACTGAATTTAATTAAGCAGCTTTTGAATTTGTAGTTGAATCTTTTTCCAGAGCCCATTATTACTTTATGTTAATGGACACTAATACTTTTAGAATACTAGAAATTTCCCTTGTAGAAAAGTTATGAAATACATTATTATTGGCACTTGCATAGTCTATTGCATTTCCAAACCATCTACTATCATAGGTCTCGTATAAAGAATGGTAACAGCTATGGTTACCACTGGTTTTAAGAATATGTTTCGTAGATAAGTGATATTATTTTGAAAATATGAGACTAGGTTTAAAAGTTTAAAACTTCAAATCTTGAAAGAGTTCGGATTTTCTCTTAGAAGACATTTGAAAATTATTATAAATAGCTTATTAGCATTATAGAGATGGTAATACAAAATATATTCTGGCATTATTATTATTATTATTATTATTATTATTATTATTATTTTGATATGGAGTTTCGCTCCTGTCACCCAGGCTGGAGTGCAATGTCGTGATCTCGGCCCACTGCAACCTCTGCCTCCTGGGTTCCCAAGCGATTCTCCTGCCTCAGCCTTCTGAGTAGCTGGGATTACAGGCATCCACCACCACACCCGGCTAAATTTTTTTGTATTTTTAGTAGAGACGGGGTTTTACCATGTTGGCCAGGCTGGTCTTGAACTCCTGACCTCAGGTAATCTGCCCACCTTGGCCTCCCGAAGTGTTGCGATTACAGGCGTGAGCCACCATGTCCTGCCAGCTTTTGTTTTAATGTAATATGTCATAGATTCTTTCTAAATGCACCTTCCTGTGTTGAATCCTTCTTGTGAAAAGAAAAAAAAAAAAAAAAAAAAAAAGCACCTTCCCCTAGTATCCATGTATTCTGCTAACAATTTGTCAATACAGTCATTTCATGAATTTGGATTATTTATTTAATGAAAACTATATTTTTTCTTTGTTTCATTTATCATCTTTTATGATTTTACCATCTAGTTGGCATATAAAACAAAGCAATTATTTCTAAGTGGAGGCTTTATTTTACATTATTGTTAAATATTTCTTTCATGTAATCATTTAGTTGCTCTCTTTTATTTGCATGATTTATTTCAAGTGGTTTGTAGCCTTCTTTATTTTCCCATTTTCTCTTACCCCTTTTTTCCTTCAGCAAACCAAAGATAGAAATTATATTTTGTATTTCCTGTTTCTATTGCATGTAATAGACAACTTTCTCCACATCAAACATCACCATGTTTTTTTATAAAGTCACAGAATAAAATTTCTTGGTATAGATGAAATTGTTCCTTAAGCAAGGAATACCAATTTCCGCAACGTTGGATTCAGTCCCCTTATGTCTTCTAAAAGCTATAGTTTATACACTATTTTCAAGCAATAAAATTGTCTATTGAAACCAATTGTTCATTATCATCATACCACCATGTATTTCTTTTTTAGAGAATAGATTTGTTATTCTTTCCTACCTATTGATTCCCCTTTCCCCCAACCTCTCCCTGAACGTTTCAGAAATACTGCCTCTGAATTGAGTTTTTCCATTATTTGTAACTACAGTCCCCTCAGAACCTTGACAGTCTCTCAAACTTGGAAGAAAAAATTTATGTGTATTTTATTTCCACCTCCTTTATGTTATCTACAAGAATATTTGTTTACATGGAACAAGAAAACATTTTACATCAAATAAAAATGAAATATTATCCACATTTATCTGTAAAGAGATAAAAGTATAGTCAAAACCAAGAAAGGGAAGTATTGATTATAGTGTTTATAACAGACAATATGATTAGTAGAGGAACAGATGGAAGTCATAGTTGAAAATCAAAGCTTTAATATTACTACATTCTCTTTTACTAGGTGAAAGTTCTTTTTGAAAATATTAACAAATTAACTTTAAAATACCATTCCTTTTGGGGGAAATTGTTGGTTCTTCTAAAGAGAATATGAACACATTTTTTCCTATAATGTAATACTTCTTCGTGCTTTATTCGAGTTCTAATTATTTACTTTATTTCTCAGATAAAATAAGACCCTAGAATAAGGTCAAGTGTAGTTTTACTCCTTGACATATATAGTAAGTTGTTAAGAAATTTTCTGTCTTTTAAGAGTTAAATGTTTTGAAGATTGAGGAAATGTAAATTACGACATAGGGTACTAAAAGTCTCATGGGACAGGGTTTGATGAATTCTCCACATTTATTTGAACTACTCTAGTCAAATTTAGATAACAGGTTAATATGACATGTAATTCTGCATTGTTAATTAGCCATGTCTTTCCCTCTCTCTCTTGGCTTCCAGAGACCTGAAACCACTCAAGTGGAAATTCTTGGTTAATTAATATATTTATTCAGGTTTTTGGCTAAATATGAATATGTAAATATAATTTTATTAGTCTTTCTTGTTATCTGTGTTTTCATTTGCCCTATCCCATTTTTAAAGTAGGGTATATCATTTCTGCTTTCTTTTTCTTTATATAGGGAAATTCTTGCTTTAAAAACACTGTAACAGATGCCAAGAGAATAAAAGTATTTCCTTGAAGCCAGAAGTTCCTCACAGATATTTCAAAGTCACATGTTACTTTGGGCATGATGACTGGGCCCTTTTTTAAAACCTCATTTTCACTCATTGGTTGTCAGTGGTTTATTTTTTTGGTTTGAAGTGAAATTTCTGGGCTAGGCCCAGAGGCTCAGGCCTGTAATCGCGGCACTTTGGGAGGCCGAGGCAGGTGGATCACTTGAGGTCAGGAGTTCAAGACCAACCTGGCCAATATGGTGAAACCCCATCTCCACTAAAAATCTAAAAATTAGCTGGGTATGGTGGTGCACACCTGTAATCCCAGCTACCTGGGAGGCTGAGACAGAGAATAGCTTGAACCTGAGAGGCGGAGGTTGCAGTGAGTTGGATTGGCATCACTGCACTCCAGCCGGGCAATAGAGCAAGATTCCGTCTCAAGAAAGAAAAGAAAAGTGAAATTTCTAAATGAAAAATGCTTGACTATATTTGTCTTGTGGGAATTATCGTCAATAATAAGAAGCTTTTTGAGTGCTTATTATGTTCCAGGCTTATACATAATTACTCATTTAGTGCACACAACCACTATCTTAAGCTGTCTATTTTTATCATCATTTTACGGATTGAGAAAATAGGGGCTGGGCACGGTGGCTCATGCCTGTAATCCCAGTGCTTTAGGAGGCTACTTGAGCTCAGGAGTTCCAGACCACCCTGGGCAACATAGCAATAGCCCTTCTCTACAAAAAATACAAAAGGTTGCCAGGTGTGGTGATGCATGCCTATAGTTTCAGCTACTCAGGAGGATAAGGTCGGGGGACTGCTTGAGCCCAGCAGGGAGAGGCTGCAGATTGCACTACTGCACTTCAGCCTGGGCGACAGAGTGAGACCCTGTCTCAAAAAAACAAAACAAAACAAAACAAAAACAAAAGAAAAAGTACAGAAAAGATAAGTAGCTAGCTTAAAATCATATAGCTAGGATTCCAAATTCTCTTGAACACTATGTGATACCACCTTCTGAATGTCTAATCCAGTTGTCTGTATGACCTTTTATTAAAATTTTACTGCCTTAATACTGTTTGCTCAAAAAAAAACCTTGATGTTTGTTTCTTTTTGCTAAGAGTTGAAGTTAATCTTTTCTGCTTTGATAAAGTACAGCTAGAAATTCATACTAACCTGAGAAACCACATAACACTTCATTTTATAGAAAGAAAATATGGGATATATACATTTTAATACCTGAATTTAAAAATCAGAATATCAATTTTACTGTTACTGGCTCCATTATTGTTTCATATACCATGAGTACCACTTGACATCTTCAGAAGTGCTTTCTTTTTTTTTTTTTTTTTTTTGAAGCCATTACTCTTAAAGTAAGCACTGTCACCTGTATTTGAAAACTTGGATCTTTGCTGATTATAATCAAGGTTTTTTTTTGAGCAAACAGTATTAGGTAAGGTAGTAAAATTTTTAAGAGGTCGTATACACAACTGGATTAGACATAGGAAAGGTGGTATCATGTAGTATTTAAGATAATTTGGAATCCTGTCTCTACAATTTACTATTATAAACTAAACAATTTATTAACTCTTTCAAATATTGATTAATTATATGTTAAATATAGCATCATTTGAATGGAGCTGCTCATTATAGTCTTTAGACAAGCAAAATTTAGGATGTAATTAATTTACTGGCTGGGCGCAGTGGCTCATGCCTGTAATCCCAGCACTTTGGGAGGCCGAGGCAGGCAGATCACTTGAGGTCAGGAGTTCGAGACCAGCCTGACCAACATGGTGAAACCCTAACTCTACTAAAGATACAAAAATTAGCTGGGCTTGGTGGCAGGCGCCTGTAATCCCAGCTACTTGGGAGGCTGAGGCAGGAGATTCACTTGAACCCGGGAGGCGGAGGTGCAGTGAGCCAAGATTGTGCCACTGCACTCCAGCCTGGTCAACAGAGTGAGACTCTGTCTTAAAAAAAAAAGAATGTAATTAATTTGCAAAAGTGAATTGAGGAACAAATTCAACATTTCATATCCTTTCACACCTGCTGGAATTTTGTTTTATTTTTAGTTACAGATTTTGCCATCTTCCTTCTTTCCCATCCAAAGTTCTTTAAATTATTTTTAAAACATTTACTCAGTTTTAGCTCCTCTTTCAAATTAGCAACTTTAGTTCTTTTTTATATACCATAACCCTAAAAAAAAAAATCTGGCTTTGGTATCTGAAATATTTTCCAAGGCATTTCCATTTTGAGTATCTCAGTACTCTGTTTGGCAGCTGTGTGTAAATGGTTAGTAGATGTTATAAAGTATGCTGAATTGGTATGAAAAACATAGTCTTGTGGATTGCTGAACTTCTTTATGTGTAATAGAGTGGGATGAAGAGTGTGGACTTTGGATATAGACAGTCCTGTATTTAAATATAGGCTCTCCCACATAACTGATGGGTAACCTTGAGCAAGAGACCAGTTAACCTCTCTGTCAGTTACATTCTCAGTAAAATTGGGACAATAGGTAAAGTATCTAGCTCTACAAATTATAGCTGTTTTGCATGACTTTGAGCCCTTTACTCAGTTTAAGAAAGGAGTTCTCTGCTATCATATATATGATTTTCTTTCTTCGTTTACTTGAAAAGCTGCAGACTAGTATACCCTCTGCGTAATTGTTCTCTCCACAGTCCTTTCCTTCCCAGTTTAATTAGCTATAAAAATCTCCTGTGCTATCTCTGTAATGAGCAACTAGCCCGGGTTAAATACCGAGTCCATTAACTAAAGAGAGGCCCCCAGTTTGATTTCACATGTCTCAGTTGTCCTGTGTTCACAGTGATTCATCTCATTCCTGTGCCGTAAAATCCCTTGGGCTCTGTCACATAAGTTCCAGCTGTAGGCTTGTGAATTGTTAATAGCATCCATTTTTCAGTCAAGAAATTTTACAATGCTATTCAGTGTGGTTAGAATAGGATGGTAAATATAGGTCAAATTTTATTTCCTGGTCAGTGAAGTTTATTTATTGAAAAAAATCTTTAAAACCATTTGATATTTGAAAATAGTTTGGAGTGGTACCCAGCTAAATTAGCTAACAACAACTGCTTGTCCAAATGCCAGCCTTCAGGATGACTGCTTTTTTTTTTTTAATACCAATGTGGGTATCACTTTATTTAATGCAGCATAATTTTGGAGGAGACCTTTTTCTAAGGAGCCATTATGTACTCTTTCTTAGAGTAGTTACTAATTATCTGAACTCATCCATATTTGATTGCCTATATTAATATGAGTGGCAAAGCAACTATTTGCCATGAAGTTAAAAAAATATTATATATAGAAACAGTAATGAGACATCCTTGTTTTGTTTTGTGCCTAGCAGATAATATCTAAAACATTTCTATGTATTCCTCATTTCCTACTTCCAGGTGTTCAGTGATATTATTACAGGTTTTAACTGTTTCTTTGTATATTATGTTTTGTGATATGTATATTTGATTAGTTTGTTCATATAATCAAACAATGTCAATGTTTTTTCTTTTTCTCATCTTCTGATTAGGATTTCTGGCAGGTACTGACTCAGCAGCATGTGCTTTAAATTACTTAATGCTCCAAAATCCATAGTAATGCTTCAGGAACAAAGGTTCAGCGCATGATGCATATGTCCTTGCCCTGCTCCCTTCAGAATGATTTCGTTCCTGTCACTTTAAATTAACATACTTTATCTTTAATATGACAATCCAAGCACTGCACAAGTCCCAGAGAATTTGATACCCAGCATGATTTAAAAGGAAGTTTTAACATTATGTGTTACACAAAAGGTTAAGAAATTTTGTTGTAATCACTCTTGTTAAGCATAAGAGATACTTAATTAATTGAGTCACTTAAATAGTCTTACTTGGAGGCCGGGTCTGGTGGCTCATGCTTGTAATCCCAGCACTTTGAGAGGCAGAGGCAGGAGGATCACTTGAGCAACCGGGAG
Source organism: Homo sapiens (assembly GCF_000001405.40). NCBI lineage: Eukaryota > Metazoa > Chordata > Mammalia > Primates > Hominidae > Homo > Homo sapiens. Next base: position 72,524,323 of record NC_000010.11, on the reverse strand, counting down.
TTCAAGACCAGCCTGAGCAACATAGCAAGACCTCATCTCTATGAAAACATTTAAAAGCAGTAGTAGTCCTAGCTACTCAGGAGACTGACGTGGGAAGATCGCTTGATCCCAGGAGTTGGAGGTTGTAGTGAGCTAAGATTGTGACACTACTCCAGCCTGGGTGACAGAGTGAGACCCTGTCTCTAAAACAAAAACAAAAAAGTCTTATTTGGGATATTATGTTCCTACTTGAACTGTAACAGGACTGATGAGACAACAGTAACTTCAAGTTAAAAATTAATCTTTTTTTCTTTTGAAATTTCTTACATAATAAATACAAATAAGCAGTTGCTTGGTTGCACTTTGCTCAGTAAAATGGCTTAAGGGGAAACAAATGGGACACCTAGAAAGACTTTATTATTTTGCTTTTCTGAGCTAATCAATGACTTTAATTTGGAAAAGCAACTAAATATTTGGAGAAAACCATGAAAAGAATATATACTTACAGACGGGCCAAGGAGATCTTCAAGGACACTCCTAAAGGTACTTTTTAAATTGATCTTTGAAGGCTTGGGCTCTTTAATGGTAGTTTATAAATTATTAAAATTTATTCATTAAAATATTACTCTCACATTTCTGGTGGCTGGCAGTCTTAAAAATATAAATTAAACTGAGTTGTAGTAATTAAATATAAATTAAGCTGAATTATAAACATCTTTTGGTTTAAAATAACTAATATAACTAACGAAGACCACAGGGTGCTCTTTATTTTTACAGTACATTTTTTCTATACTTCCTTTGTTTGAAAAATGGGGTGTAATTTTTGGTAGTCCCTCTTACCAAACCCTCAAATTAGGTATCTTATTATTAGTACAATGGATTATCTTCCTAAATACCTTTGTCTTTAACTGCATTCTGAACCAAACCAACAAATACATTAAAAATTATGTCAGAATAACGTATAGACGATTCCATTATCAATGTTTCTAATCCTGGGAATTCTATTTTAGAACAGCCATGGCACAAACATCATACAGAGTACCGAATAGATCAGATGAGATACTAACACCTGTGATTGAGGCCAGCCACTTCCGGTTCTCTGATTATGGTAGGACAGTTTGTAGAGGGTAGCTAAAAACTCTTCCTCTCCTTTAATAATTGTATGGCTTACGGCTGGAAGATTTACAATGGCTGGACTTGGATAGGTGTCCTTACTAATTAGGAATAGATAAGAGAGGCAGCAGTTGGTAAGTGCTTAAAAGTCTCTGGAATCTGCAGCATTAAGTAGTCAACCACACTAGGTGACAAAACAGCACCAGTCTTCTTTAAACTTTCACTGTTTAAGGTAGTGTCCTTGGTTGATCAGGGATTCAAAATCAAGCTTTTCTGCATTCTTAAGTCTATCTTATGAATAAACTTTTTACATTAAAGAATAATAATAAACCTTTTTCTTAGGTAGTGGGAGAATTGTTTACCTACATTGTGTTCTATGAGTATCACTCATTTTGGTGACACTAGTATGAATCCTTTAAGCTTCCAAAGGTCAATGAACAGTTACTTTGTAGAAGAGGCATTTCTTGCTTGCTTCTTTGCAGTGACTTGTTCTTTGCATGCTAAGTTTCTATTGCCTGTGGAAAGTCTGGGATTGTTTTGTTTTCCTGGTAGCATAGAATGCTGTTCTTCAGATGCAGTTTATTAATGCTGTGAAATACTTAGACTGCTGTGAGGAGTATCCATAATGTCTCTTTCCAGTCTCTGAGTTCCACCACTACTAAAGTTTGTTAATCTAACCCATGTGTTTGATTATTCAAGTTGAGAAAATAAATAATAATGTAATCATTAAGTGTGCCAAAGGAGGGTGTAGTTTACTTAGTTGTCTCAAATATTCAGACTCCTATTAAAATATCTTTACATCCATTTTTATTTTAGATTATGTTGTGTTTGAATTTGGGATCAATGAACCCATTTGATTTATCATTGTTGATTTGAAAACATAAACATGACTAACCATTGCATTTCTTACACCTTCATCTTTAGCTTTTTCATCATAAAACAAGATTCAAAAATCACTTTGCTATCAGAGAACTTTCTTCAGTTCCAGGCCAACTTCTTTTTTCTTATATTTTAGCACATTCTAGCATGCTTAAGGTCACATAAATAAAGTTCTATAAGAGTATACTAAACAAGTTATTTCTCCTTCTCTTCTGGTAAAATGAGTTCTCAACTTAGCCTGACCATCTATTTATAATCTTTGGTTGTAGAGAATGTGTGAGGATAGTCCTTTATTTGCATATTTGTTTTTGGCATGATGTATTTTTTAAAATTCTAAACTTGAATGAAAAACTTCACCAATTACAGATTAATCTAACATTTATTAATTAAAAATTATAAAGAACATTACACTCTTGAAGTGATGCACATTTCAAAATGATTGAAATATGCATTTGAGTAAGTGAAAGCCTTAAAAAAAAAGTGCACCTGTATCATTGGCTTGGACTTTCCTCTTCAACTTCAAGTTAACTTAGTGGATACAAGCTAAGCCCCAAGGTAAATATTTTATGGTAGTGAACTACTTCAAAAATATTCAGTCCTGATTAACATTTTCCAGAAATTGTGAACAATATAGATACCCAGTGTGTTCCTGTGCAGTTGATACAATGTAACATATAATGATTCATGACATGGGCTCTGGAGTCTCCTGCCACTTAATAGTATTGTCACCTTTGGCTACTTATGTGACTTCTCTAACCCTGAGTGTTCTTATCCATAAAGTGCAGATAATAGTATGCAATAAGGACTTAAAGAGATAATGCAAATATAAAGTACCTAGCACAGTGCCTGGCATTTACTAAAGAGAATAAATCAAATGAGATGCTGACACCTGTAATTGAGGTCAGCCACTTCCAATTCATATACTTGCAGAATATGCGAAGTATAATGCTTAAGTTTTTCATGGTCTTTAATGTTGTCTTTAATGGTCATTGGTGCTTAAGGGATACCTATAAATGTTTGTTTGCTTTCAAAATTGCTTTTAAAGTCCTTCATCAACACGGTTTCTTGGGAGGTGATAGTTACTAAAGCAGTTTAGATCAAGGTTGTGAACGGTGATCCTCAGAGTGAAACTTTAATTTTTGTTCTTATGATACATTTTTTTCTTATACAAATTTTTTTCCAAGTGAAAGAAGGTGAAATCACTATATTGACTTATTTTTCAAGATTTTTACTTGAGATTGTTTTTACATTAAGTGATAGAGAAACTTTTTATAACCCAAGTGACTAAAAACAACACTGCTGCTGATCTCAGGACTTTCTTTTTAGCATTGATCCATTTGAGTGGCCAAAGTTCAAAATTAAATTCTTAGATTTAGGTAGCAGATAATCAAGTCATAAAACATAGATTCCCCTGCTCAAAGCTGCTTTGAAGCTAGTATGCAGAAATAACATGGTAGAGTTGAAGATTTTCTCCTTCTAGAGTTTTGATAATACCTCGTTCAGATACTGAGGATTAAAACAAACCTTTGCAGTAAAGTTGTATCGTTTCCTTAAAGTTAATGCCATTCCAGTAGACTTTTAAAATGTTTTATTATTGCTTTTTAATCAAATCATCTGCCACTGTTTTTTAAAAACATCTTCATTTGTACCATCTTTGAAGCCATCTAGTTAATGAGATAAGAAAACCTTTGCATTCCAGGTATTTGGAATTGTTCTCACAGCTGAGGTGGTTAGAATTGGGACTGAAAAGAGAATTGCTTTCTGGCATAGTGAAGTTTACAGTATCTTAAGCATTCACCTTCCAGTTTGTTGCACAGTAATTTATGTGTGTTTGCCTCAAATGCGATATTACCTTTGAAAAGCTTAGAAGAAAATTTGAGTCAGAAGGAGGAATCATAAACTACTTCAAATTAGAAACATTTTGATTTCATTGTTATCTGATATATCCCCAAATTCTACCCTTCTGCAAGTTCAGAGATGGGGTGGGGAATAAGAAAAACATATTTTAGCTGTGCAACATTTTTAATTTGATTGGAAATAGTGTGATTGTTTAAGATTGATGTTTTACCAAGGCTTTGGCATCAATCCATGCACCAACTAGATAATGAAGTGTAAGCATTAATTGCATGGGAAAATTGCTGAATTTTCTCTTTCTTTCTAACACCCCACCGCATACCTTGACCCCAACCTTAGATAGAAATACTATTTGTCATTTGGAAATGATATGCCAAAATTGTATTTTCCAGAAGAAGCATATTATCATTAATTTGTTTTTGATGTACAACCTCAAATATTACTCAAGGGATTTAGATAGACTTTGAATGTATTTCAGCAATGTAGCAAAATATTAATACTAAAATAACCCAAGGATTTCATCCCCATAAAGGATGACACTTTAATTTAAATAGTAAAGCTGTGTTCTTCATCACATTTTCTATATGCCAAAGATGTTTTGAATTTCTGGATGATATGTAAGCATTGATTTTGCAGACATAGTCCATCAACTTCTTTAACTAGAAAAAGTTTTTTTAACTTTATAACTTGAAAATTAGATCTTAACTAGAAGAAATAAGTTTCTAGATATGTTTTCTCTCTTTGGCTTCATATACTTGAGTCCCAGAAGGCAAAATTACCAACCCTATTTTGATCAACCCTGTAACTAGTTAGGATTTACTGTTTGAGCACACTTAGCGCTCATGAGTCTGGAAATCCCAGTTCCAGTGCCCCTCATGGCACCAGCAACTTTAACCATGTATTTTATAAGTTTATGTGATTGGTCAGAAACTAAAGTGTGAGTGCTTCAGCATAAAGTCATCTGGTACAAAAATCTAGGTTTTTGACTTACTGTGAAGTGTAACAGTTACACATGTGTAGTGTATAATTTGCTATATAATAAGTTTACTTTCAAGTCTTTCTGCTTATCTAAAAAATGAAAATATCCAGGATATGGTGCAGTTGAGATCAATACCAGAAACCTGTAATAATGTCCATTTGCCTTTACTTGAGATCAGTAATTTGAATGGGTTGGTGATACTGTACCTATAACTACACTTTAAGTTTTGAAATAAGTAAGATCTAAGACTAGGTCATATCAGTGAATAGTAAAACAGTTATATTTTGTTCATTTAAGTTAGCACATTGCTTTAAAACATTTTGCATAATTTTCTTCTCTAAGAAGAGGTAACATTGGTCAGTAAATTGAATAGAAATGCTATTCTTGTCATTTGACCTGCATTCTGCTTCCATATCCTTAATTTCAGAGATTCAAGTGATTGGAATCAAGTTTGAAATGTAACTTCTAAGCCACATAAAACAACATAATGCTCTGTAAGGTATCTGCAATTACAATCTCTTTTAAGAATATCCAATTCTGGCTGGGAGCAGTGGCTCACGCCTGTAATCCCAACACTTTGGGAGGACGAGACGGGCAGATCACTTGAGGTCAGGAGTTCAAGACCAGCCTGGCCAATATGGTGAAACCCTGTCTTTACTAAAAATACAAAACTTAGCCAGGCATGGTGGCACATGCCTGTAATCCCAGCTACTCGGGAGACTGAAGCAAGAGAATCGCTTGAACCCAGGAGGCAGTTTGCCATGAGCCGAGATCATTCCACTGCACTTCAGCCTGGGCAACAGAGCGAGGCTCCATCTCAAAGAGAAAAAAAAGAATATCCAGTTCTATTTAAATAATTTTCAGCATGTATACTGAAGGATTGGTAGAGTCTTACCTCAGGAACTTGAAGATGAAACAAATTTCTCATAGACCCTTACTAAAATTTTTTTAACTGAACTGATAATTTATTACCTAATCTCACATTATATACCCTTACAATAGAATTGAAGTGTGTTCTATTTCTTTCAACTTTTATATTAAAAAATTTCTTTCTTATAGTTTACTATATTTGAATTTACTACATATATTGAATTAAATATAAATCCTTAGGTTATACTTTCTAGTAAAAATTACATATTAATATAAATGTGTATTAATAACACAAATTTTTTTAAAAAAGAAAACAGGCCAGGTGCAGTGGCTCACGCCTGTAATCCCAGCAGTTTGGGAGGCCAAGGCAGGAGGATCACTTGAGGTCAGGAGTTTGAGACCAGCCTGGCCAACATGGTGAAACCCTGTCTCTACAAAAAAATACAAAAATTAGCTGGGTGTGGTAGCACATGCTTGTAATCCCAGCTACTCAGGAGGCTGAGGCAGGAGAATCGCTTGAACCTGGGAGGCAGACGTTGTAGTGAGCTGAGATCTCACCATTGCACCCAAGCCTGGCGGACAGAGCAACACTCCATCTCAGGAAAAAAAAAAAAAGAAGAAAAGAAAACAACACAATAAAATAACAAAAAATGTAAATAACTACTTCTGGGGCAGTGAGAGAACATTACTACCAGTCTGATAAGATTATATTCTCCTTGGAATATGCCTCCATATCACCCCTGAAGTGTATAAGTGGTGTTTGCTTAGGGGAAAGAATGACTTAAAATTTAGTAAAAGATTAAACACCATCTAAAAGATTAAATGAAGGATCATTTTACTTGACATTTTCTTTAAAAAAAAAAAAAAAGTTTTATTTCCATAGGTTTTTGGGGAACAGGTGGTATTTGGTTCCATGAGTAAGTTCTTTAGTGGTGATTTGTGAGATTTTGGTGCACCCATCACCGAGCAGTGTACACTGAACCCAATTTGTAGACTTTTATCCCTCACCCCCTCACCCTTCCCCACACCCCCGAGTCGCCAAAGTCCATTGTATCATTCTTATGCGTTTGCATCTTCATAGCTTAGCTCCCACTTATGAATGAGAACATACAATGTTTAGTTTTCCATTCTTGAGTTACTTCGTTTATAATAATAGTTTCCAGTCCTATCCAAGTTGCTGCGAATGCCATTAATTCGTTCCTTTTTATGGCTGAGTAGTATTCCATCGTATGCATATTCCACAGTTTGTTTATCCACTTGTTTATTGATGGGCATTTGGGCTGGTTCCACGTATTTGCAGTTGTGAATTGTGCTGCTATAAATATGCATATGCAAGTATCTTTTTTGTATAATGACTCCTTTTCCTTTGAGTAAATACCCAGTAGTGGGATTGCTGGATCAAATGGTAGAATCAGGTCTTTGGTTTTAAAACACCAGCTAAGAAGCAGCCATAGGCACAGAATAATCTAAAAGTTTGTTTTCTAGTAACTCCCATTTCCTCCCAAATTTTGACGTATTTATTTGATGTTCTTCCTAGCTTTGAGTAACTTGAGAGATCAAATTTGATGGTTTTATGATAATTTTTGTGTCTGTAATTACTATGTCATGAATTTTTTAAGAATCTTCCTCAGAGTTTTGGATACTCTATAAATTCACTTATGAATTCTTAAGAGTTGGTAAATAGATACATAATCCTAAATTTGCCTGAACCACTCTTTAACAAGAGCATGCCTCTGAAAACATACAAGTAACTTCTCTCCCTCTCTACTTCTTTACCACCCCAACTGCAAAAGCATGGAAGAACAATGTAGACCTTTTTACTAAAGAATTAGAAACAGCACATCACAAAACGACATATAGACCAATGGAACAGAACAGAGACCTCAGAAATAACACTACACATCTACAACCATCTGATCTTTGCAAAACCTGACAAAAACAAGCAATGGGGAAAGGATTCCCTATTTAATAAATGGTGCTGGGAAACCTGACTAGCCATATGCAGAAAACTGAAATTGGACCCCTTCCTTACACTGTATACAAAAATTAACTCGAGATGGATTAAAGACTTAAATGTAAGACCTAAAACCATAAAAACCCTAGAAGAAAACCTAGGCAATACCATTCAGGACATAGGCATGGACAAAGACTTCATGACTAAAACACCAGAAGCAATGGCAGCAAAAGCCAAAATTGACAAATAGGATCCAATTAAACTAAAGAGCTTCCACACAGCAAAAGAAACTATCATCAGAGTGAACAGGAAACCTACAGAATGGAAGAAAATGTTTGCAATGTATCCATCTGACAAAGGGCTAACATCCAGAATTTACAAGGAACTTAAATAAATTTACAAGAAAAAAATAACCCCAACAAAAAGTAGATGAACGATATGAACAGACACTTCTCAAAAGAAGGCATTTCTGTGGCCAACAAACATATGAAAAAAGCTCGTCATCACTGGTCATTAGAGAAATGCAAATCAAAACCGCAATGAGATACCATCTCGTGCCAGTTAGAATGGCAATCATTAAAAAGTCAGGAAACAACAGATGCTGGAGAGGATGTGGAGAAATAGGAACACTTTTACATTTATTATATATTTTAATTTTGTAATGATCAGAATAAAATACTACTAAGCAATAAAAGTGAACTACTGATGATTACAGTGTGGATGAATCTTCCCCACATTATGCTGAGCCAAAGAAGCAGGACACCAAAGTATATACTAGTGATACCATTTATATCAATTTCTAGAACAGGCAAAACTCATCTATGGTGAAAATATGGTAGGAATTTATTATGGAGGGGCATAAAAGAACTTTCGGAAGTGATGGAAATGTTCCATATCTTGATAAAGACGTCTATTATACATTAGATTTTTGCTTTTCAACATATGTAGATTTTCCTTAAAAAAGTAACAAATGTTGGACTCTAGATGACATAGATATGTTTGTTTTCTGCAGAGATGGGATTAGCAGTTGTGAAACTACTTTTTGTGTATTCTAAGCTTGAATAAATATATTGATGATAATGGGAACCAGGTTTCTCATTTTTGGAGAAGGTAGTAACAAGTGTGTGAGGGATAAGACCAAATTGTTTCCTAGAAAGGAATTATAGGTATCAACATGAATTCATAGTTTGTGATAGCTAGATATGAATCTAATCACAAAGAAACATCAGCCTAATTCAAAATGAGAGATATTCTACAATATAACTCACCTGTGCCTTTTAAAACTGTCAAGGTTAAGAAGTACAAAGAGAGAAAAAATGACACAGCGGGGAACTCCAAAACCACATCCCGCCATTAAACCAAAAATTAAGCTGCCAAAAATTGTCAGTCAACTTGTTCAGATCTCTAGAATCTAACGAAAGACTTAAAACAACCAGGAGAACGCTTTAAAAGAAAGAAGCTGCTAAAATTTGTTCACAGAACATTGTATTTTAACTTACCTGGTGACCACCCCAAGTCCCCAGTGCAATGGCAGCTGTAAGGATGGCGGCCCATGTTCCTGACAGAGTTTGCTTGTGTCAGAACGAGCAATGTGGATCATGTTCTTGGATGACTCTGGATGTGGGCATCAACCTGTCTGGTGGCTCCCTAAGGAATCAGCTTTGAGGCTTGCCTTTGTTTCACCTGCTTCAGAGCTTTTAGGGGACTGGGGCAGCATTTGTCAGAAAGATTTAAAGGTAAATAATACTGTAGCAGCTGGGACAAGCAGACAAACCAAATAGCCTGGGAAGGAAGAGGCTTTGTAAGGAGATACATGGGAGAACAAGTGATTTGAAATGCTTCACCATATACAGGGGAGTGTAGAAGGCTTAGGGTTGAATGAATGTTCAGAAGAAACCTTAGAAGATCCTGAGCTTTCATGTCTGGCTGACATTTAAGCCCCATGCAAGCCGGAATCTTAAGGCTAAGAGAGAGTTGTAAATGGTCTTGCTAAGTAAGCATTGAAGAAATGCCCAATACAGAGCCAGTCTGAAAAGATCCGGAGAGTATTTTTACCCCTTTCGCTCCAGGCATTTAAGGAAACCTGTCAAATCACTAGTTGCTCACTAAGGTGAACAGAGACTTGAGTGACGACCTATGACAAAGGTCACAGGTCTTTACAAGAAGAGTTTAATAAAGTCATTAAACAAACAACTACAACCCACAGTAAGTAGCAACAACAAACCCTGAGGAAGGGGAAGAATGCGATTTCGAGAGTTACCACATTATAATATACAAAATGTCCAGTTTCAACAAGAAATTATGCATACATAGAAACAATAAATTACAGCCCAATCACAGAAAGAAAAAAAAAAGAAATAGGGAGTATCCTTGAGGAGGCACGGACATTATATGTACTACTCAAAGACTTTAGATCAACTGCCTAAAGTATAGTTAAGTAGCTAAAAGGATGATGTATGAACTAACAGAAAATTTCAATAGATACATAGAAATTGTTTAAAAGATACCAAATAGAAGTTCTGGAACTGAAAAGTACAAGAGCTGAGTTGAAAAATTGACTAGAGGGATTCAACCAGCAAACTTGAGCAGGCAGAAGAAAGAATTAGTGAACTTGAAGATATAGGTCAATTGATATTATCTAGTCTGAGGCAGAGAGGAAAAAGAATGAAAAAAAAAATGCACAGAGCTGAAGAGACTTATACTTTAAAATGTTTATAGTGGTAAATTTTGTTATATGCATTTTACTGCAATTTTTTTAAATTACAAAAATGTAAATGATGTGGTACTGGCATAAACACAGACAATGGAAGAAAATTGAGAGTTCAGAAATAAACCCACACATCTATGGTTAATTGAATTTCAACAAGCATGTAAGACAGTGGTAAAAGGTCATACCATTTCAACAAATGGTATAAGGTCCACTAGATATTCACGTACAAAAGAATGAAGGTGAACCCCCTACTTCACATTATATACAAAATTTAACTCAAAATGGATCAATAACCTAAAAAAAAAGAGCAAATGCTGTAAAACCCTTAGTAGAAAAGTAGGGGTAAATCTTCATGACCTTGGATTGGTAATGAAATATTAAATATAACATCAAAAGCACAAATAATAAAATAGATAAATGGGACTTCAATATTTAAAACTTTTCTGCTTCATAGGACATTATCAAGAGTGAAGGGGCAACACACAGAATAGGAGAAAATATTTGCAGATATGTCTATGATAAGGATCTAATATCCAGAATATATAAAGAACTTCGATTAGAACTCAACAGCCAAATGAGAAATAACAAATTCAAAAATGAGCAAAGGATTTGGATAGACATTTCTCCAAAGAAGATATACAGATGGTCAAAAAGCACATGAAAAGATGCTGAGCATCATTAGGTATTAGGGGAATGTAAATCAAAATCACAGTGAGATACCATGTCATATCCATGAGGATGGTTATAATTTTTTAAAGAAGAAGAGGAAGAAGTATTGGTGAGGGTGTGGAGAATGTGGAATCCTCTTACATTGCTTATGGGAATGTAAATGGTGCTGTAATCGCAGTACTTTGGGAGGCTGAGGTGGAAGGATTGCTTAAAGCCCAGGAGATCAAGGATGCAGCCCAGATCCATGATTGTGCCACTGCATTTCATCCTGTGCGACAGAGCAACCTCCTCCTGTCTTAAACAAAAAACAACCAGCTGAGTGTGGTGGCTCATGCCTGTAACCCCAGCACTCTGGAGGCTGAGGCACGCAGATTGCTTAACTCCAGGAGTTCAAGACCAACCTGGGCAACATGGCAAAACCCCATCTCTACAAAAAATACAAAAATTACCCGAGCATGGTGACATGTACCTGTAGTCCCAGCTACTGGGGAGGCTGAGATGGGAGGATCACCTGAGCTGAGCCCCAGAGGTCAAGGCTGCGGTGATCCAAGATCATATCACTGCACTCCAGCCTGGGTGTCAGAGTGAGACACTGTCTCAAAACAAAACAAAACAAAACAAAACAAAACAAAAACCAAAAACATAGAGCTGCCATATGACCCAGCAGTTCCTCTCCTTAGTACATACCAAAAGAATTGACAACAGGTACTCAAACAGATACTCATACATGAATAACCAAAAGGTGGAAATAACCTAAATGTCTTTGAGCATATGAATAGATAAACTGTGGCATATACATACAGTGGGGTTTGGATCATAATCTGGAAAGATACAATCCCAAAAAATCAAAATTCCTTACCTTGTTATCTTTATTTGGGAGTTAAGTATGGCTTAAGGAGCTGTGTATGGGGGCCAGGCATGGTGGCTCACGCCTGTAATCCCAGCACTTTGAGAGGCCAAGGTGGGCAGATCATGAGATTAGGAGATCGAGACCATCTGGCCAATATGGTGAAACCCATCTCTACTAAAATACAAAAAATTAGCCAGACGTGGTGGCGGGCACCTGTAATCCCGCTACTTGGGAGGCTGAGGCAGGGGAATTGCTTGAACCTGGGAGGCAGAGATTGCAGTAAGCAGAGATTGTGCCACTGTACTCCAGCCTGGCGACAAAACGAGACTCCGTCTCAAAAAAAAAAAAAAAAAAAAAAACAAAAAACAACTGTGTATGGATGCCAGATTGATAAGGGATGAACTTGTGGACTTCATTTTAGGTATCAGTAATTTTAAATGTCAACTTGACTAGATTAAGGAATACCTAGAAACCTGGTAAAGCATTATTTTGGGTGTTAGGGTGAGGAGACTAGTGTGTGAATCTGAGTGGATTTAGATGGGGACGGTCTGCCCTCAATGTTGATGGGCACCACCCAATCAGCTAGGGATCTGGAGACAGCAAATGGTTCTCTCTGAGAGCTGGGGCAGACTTTTCTGCTGCTGCTTTGGATATCAGAAATTCGACTTCAGAAAAGTGTATTATCACAGCATTTATTGTGTGTAAGCATTGTGCGTTTATGTTAAAACGTTGAAACTTCCTCAATAAATGAAGAAATGACCTTTTTTGTACTGCATTTGTGAAAGATAAAATTTCTCAAGATCTCAGCTCTTTGGGCAACTGTGTATGCAATAATGACCCATTGTGGTTTTTAACTTATCTCATGAAAAGACTTAGGTTTGTTCTCAGGGTATTTCAGATGACTGCCTTTATAACTGGGGCACATACGATTACTAACTATAGTGATAGGCGTTTATACATTTCCCCTTTGAGCCATTTCTTTATGAACAGTGGTTCTTCTGCTCAAAGTGTTCTGTCTCATTCTTATGTTTCTCAAATCTTCTTTAAAAATGTAAGCAAATATTTTTAAAGAATTTTTATGTTTTCCAAAATTAGGATTTTAGACTTTAGGGATTTTGATCTTTGGGGATTTCAACATTCGGGATTATGGTGTTCAGTGTGTATTTTGGGGGGATTATGATCAGCATCCCATACAGTGGAATATCATTTGGCAATAAAAAGGAATTAAATATTGATTCATGCTACAACATGGTGAACCTAAAAAACATTATGTTCAGTGAAAGAAGCCAAACCTAAAAGGCCTACGTACTGTGTGGTTAAATGGTAAAAATGGTGAATTTATCACAATCAAAACCAATAAACCTCTACAGGAAAAAATAAGGACAAAGAAAGGCTGTTCCCTATTAATGGAGACTAAAGAGACATGACAACTAAATGCAGTTTATGATTGTGGATTACATCCTTGATCAGGGTGAAAATAGCTATAAAGGAAATTATTGGGACAATTTGCTAAAATTTGAAAATGGACTGGATTTGGCTGGTCGCAGTGGCTTACATCTGTAATCCCAGAACTTTGGGAGGCCAAGGTGGGTGGATTACCTGAGGCCAGGAGTTCAAGACCAGCCTGGCCAACATGGCAAAACCCGTCTCTACTAAAAATACAAAAATTAGATGGGCGTGGTGGTGTGCATCTGTAATCTCAGCTACTCGGGAGGCTGAGGCTTGAACCCGGGAGGCAGAGGTTGCAGTGAGCTGAGATCACGCCACTGCATTCCAGCCTGGGTGACAGAGCGAGACTCCATCTCAAAAAAAAAATAAAAAAGGACTGAATTAGATAATAGTATGTGTATCAATACTAAATTTCCTGGTTTTATTAAATATACACTGTGCTATAAATTATGTATCAGAATTACATTTTGGGGATTTTAGGCTTTAGAAATTTTGATCTTTGGGGATTTCAACGTTTGGGATTATGGCATTTGGGATTGTGACCATTAGAGAATGTCTTTGTTCCCAGGAAATCTATGCTGAGGTACTTAAGCATAAAGTGGCATGATGTCTCCAATTTACTTTCAAAGTGGCATGTTGAAAAAATACAAGGCAAATTGTGTAATATGTAAACTGTTGGTGAATTGGTAAAAAATATATAATAGTACTTTATACTAATCTTTCAACTTTTCTGTGAGTTTGAAGTTATGTCAAACTCAAATTTTGTTACCAACAAAATTAGATTTGCCCTTATGTTACCTTCTCAGCATCAGCATGGCCCGGATGATTGTTAGAAAAATAATGTTAGGTTTGCTTCTTTGGCTTAACTTCCTCATTTCACTCTATCCTTAGACTTTTGTCTGTTTCTCAACCTGTGGCTTCCACTATGTTATTTATTTTAATTATAGCAATTTCCCCATAAGCTTATTACATCATTATTATTAAATATTAGCTTCTATACACATTTATTGTTATGGCTGGTAATGGTCAGCCTTTGGGGACCTATTCTCATTTTGTGTATTTTTTCCTGTTCACATAGTTTACCTTTGCAGTATCTTGGGTAACGTAAAAAATGCAAATTTTTTTCTTTTATTTTGAGAAATTTAAATATTAACTTCCTGGTGGAGGGCTTTGCTGTTCTAGTTCTCATCCAGTAGCTTTTTTTGTCTGAAATTTCTGTTCAGTCTCTTGGTAGAAGATCAAGTGTAGTATGAGATCTAACCTTAATAACATACTGGACTATACTCATTTTTGTTGTCAACTCAAAGAAGTAATCTCTAAATGCTATCAAGCAGGACTATGCCTTCTGTGAGCCGCAAAAGAAGTCAGCAAAGTTCTTCTAAGTAGAAGCGCCATCAAAACCTACTACTGTGTAATTGTTATTCACCTGTGGACTTTAACCTGTCCATAGCTACTGTTTCTTATGAACAAGTAAATATCTAGTAGAGGCTATTTTGAATGAGTTTATTGAGAAGATCATACAAACTGACTTCACGATGATTCGTGTGGTACTTGTATTTTCAGTTGGTTAACCAGTTTTCTTTCCTTTGTGGTTTATGATGGGATCTCCACTAGACAGAGGTAACCCATTGGATAGTTGTGTAACTGGATGCTGGTGTGATGGTGCTTGTTGGTTTAGTTTTCATCATACTCCTCTTGAAGTTATGCCTGCAATGCTGCCTCTTACTTTATGCTTGCATGACATTATTACTTTGATTGTGCTTTATTGGTTTGGGTTTTTAAAATCTATTTTTTATACTCAAAATAATTCCTTAAATATTTTTGGTGGTCTAGAACTTGTGGAAATTAGTTTCAAGTCTAACTTTTTGGTGGATCCTTTTCAGTTTTTGAAAATATATTCAATGTCACAACTAAGTTTATGCTTTGGCTAAGAATTCAGAAAACAGAGTAAGTTTGTTTAAACACCCAGGAAGAGACCACTTGCCAGGCAGACAATTACCAAAGCTGAGAACTAACTTTCTTTGTGAGATTTATAGATTAAAGAAGAGAAATATATATTTAGAGTAAAAACTAAGTTGTAGGAGACAGTTTCATCAAATAGCTGACATCTAGGAGCCTCCATTAAAGTAACAGTAGATATGATTAAATTGCCGAAAGTGTGTACGACTGATTTGGCATTATATTTCAGAGATGCTATTCACTCTGCATACTGGTCTGTATTCTGAAGCTAAGATTCTTGGGGCTATCAAGTAAAATTAGTTTTTCAAAAATTGGTTTTCTGAGCATTTGTATAGGCCTTGGAAATAGTTGCTCACTTCTTTCTTTCTAATCACTATCAGTCTAGTTTTTCTTGGACAAAACTGATTTCCTTTTAGTTTTTTCATGTGTTTGTTTATTTGTTTACTACCACGTATACCTCTGTAGGAGAAGGTGGATTGTTTTTCAAACTAAGAAACAAAACCTGTTCTGAAGTGGGCCTGTATATGTGCAATGGCAGAGGGTTCTAACATTGAAATTATTTTCTAATGTTCATATTGAACTAGTGTTGAAATGAAAACATAATTTTTGTCTTAAAATTTTCATCATCTTGAAAACTGTAAAGGATCCATTGATTTTGAATGGCCATGAGAGAAATGCTTATGATAAATAGCATAAAACTGTCAGATAAATGGTGATTCATCTCTTACTATTTATATTCTAATTCACTTATATATTTTTGTCTTTTGGTGGGACCCATACATTCTATAGAAAATTTCCCAGGAACGAGAAAAATTTGCTGATGAAGGCAGTATATTTTACACCCTTGGAGAATGTGGGCTCATATCCTTTTCAGACTACATTTTCCTCACAACTGTTCTTTCCAGTAAGTATAAACGTTTTCTTTTTCCATTTGTAGAGCAGATACAGGACTATAAACATAATTGTTTATATGTTTATAAAACAAGACATATTGGTAGAGTTAATGAATTATAATGAATTATAAGTTACATAAAATTTCATTTGCTTTTAATTTACTGTAACTTGGGTATAGAACCACCTGAGAGAGGCAGAAAGAAGAGAAAACTAAAGTATCAAAGTAAAGTTAAAAACAAAACAAAACGGCTGGGCACAGTGGCTCACACTTGTAATTCCAGAACTTTGGGAGATCAAGGTGGGCAGATCACTTGAACTCAGGAGTTCAAGACCAGCCTGGGCAACATGGTGAAACCCCATCTCTACAAAAGCATACGTGTAGTCCTAGCTACTTAGGAGGCTGAAGTGGGAGGATAGCCTGAGCCTGGGAGGCGGAGGTTGCAGTGAGCTGAGATGAGGCCACCACCCTCCAGCCTGGGCAACAGAGTGACACCCTGTCTCAAAAACAACAGCAGCAAAAAAACTAAGAAGTGACATCTACCTTTAACTGTCTGTCACTCTGTATTCTGTCAAGGTGAGTCATGTATTGCTTACTACTATATCCTTCATTAACTTACTGCTTCTCCAATAACACATATTTTGATCTATCATTTCCTCCACTAAAGAAGAAAATTGGCTTGGTTGACCTAATTGAGTTGAATATTTGTTTTTTAACCTTGGAGGAATACTTCTGAAGACACAAAACTCAATTTTGACTCACTTAGAGCATTGAGGAGTTTCTGATTTTTTAAAACTATCAATAGCTTTGTTGATTAGTATGCTACTCTAAGTGATTTTAAATTTTATTACTTTTTGATGTGACTTTTTTTAACCATTCAGAAAAACTAAACAAAATGTTATGTTCATAGCTCTCCATGTGTAGTCTATTAAAATCTACCTAAGGTGAACCAGAGTTCAGATTTGTATGTTTGAAATAAGTGATTTGCAATTTTTTTTTTTTTTGGTCTGGGACATATCAAACAAAAATAACCCTCTCTTTTTCACCTTCTCCAAGCCAGCCATCTGTAAACATAAAGCTACTAGAAGATAGTTTTTAATAAGTGGCATATACATGTCCTGCCATGACTGTGACCACTTTCGTTCTTATTCCTCTGTGTAAGTGTGTAAGGATTGACAAGGAAATTATATATATATATGTATATGCCTTGCCACAGCTGACTTTGGGACACCAAAGTGTCTGAATAAATTCATACGGTGGAGCAGTACCCTGGCAATGAAAATACACATTGATTTGTTATGAAAATCCAAAATAACTCCAGCAGCATACAACTTAAGATCATAATGTACTTTTAAAAGCATCTCTAGTTCAGATCCCAGCCCCACCATTTCTTAGCTTGTGATTTGGGGGAAGACAATAGATTTGTTCTTCTGTTGTGTCTGTAAAATGAAGGGGGCAGTAATATCAAACCCAAATTATTTATTTGAGAATGATGACATCATGAATATAAAGTAGCTATTAATAGTTTAGTGCCTAATATTTAGTGGAAATCTGTCTTGGTTTTTATTTTTTTATTCTGTCACAACATGTTACTTTGTGTCTGATTTTTAAAGATCCATAAACCTTATCTTTTTTAAAAAATGACCCAAATTGGTGGGAATTTTTAAAACATTTTTGTGACTTTGGACAGAATTTATTATACAGCAAATAGCCATGATGTAGCAGAAAGACTATGGCATTAAATGAAGAGACCTGCATTGGTATAAAATGTATACTTGTAAGTAGTTGTAGCAAATGTTTGTTGAGCTGAAATAAGCTTTGAACTTGTGTCCACTGCTTAGTCCTGTTAACTTCATATCTTTCCAAATGTCAGAAGGAACACAGAACAGAACCTTCAGAGTACCTGGTACATCGCATAGCTCCCTTAACCACTTAAAAGCTTGTTTTTAAAAAGTCACAATGACCCTTGGGTTCTAGAAACCCCTCCAAGTAGCTCTGCCATTCCCAGCACATTTACTTTATGGTGCTCAACTCCTAGTTTGAATGTGGTGAGTGATTTACAATGAAGTGCTTACTTTGTAAGTTACTTTCTATGTTTGTCAGGAATGAAGAAAATAGAATCAGGGTATGATTTTAAGAGTCTCTTTATCACTAGTTTTTTTTTTTTTTTGCTTGCTTGTTTTTTGTTTTTATAATTTCAACTTTTATTTTAGATTCAGAGAGGACACGTACAAGTTTGTTATATGATATTGGGTGATGCTGACGTTTGGGTATGAATGATTTCATCTCCCAGATAGTGAGCATAGTACCCAATAGGTAGGTTTTCAGCCCTTGTCCCCCTCCCGCTCTACCCTCTGTAGTAGTCCCTAGTGTCAGTTGTTCCCATCTTTATGTCCACATGTACCCAGTGTTTAGCTCCCACTTATAAATGAGAACGTGCGGTATTTGGTTTTCTGTTCCTGTGTTAATTTACTTAGGATGATGGCCTCTGGCTACATCCATGTTGCTGCAGAGGGCATTATTTCATTCTTGTTCATGACCGTGTAGTATTCCATAGTGTTGTGTACCACATTTTCTCTATCCAGTCCACCACTGATGGGCACCTAGGTTGATTCTGTGTCTTTGCTATTATGAATAAATCTGCGATGAACATACAAGTGCATGTGTCTTTTTGGTAGAACGATTTATTTTCCTTTGGGTATGTATCCAGTAATGGGATTACTGGGTTGAATGGTAGTTCTGTTTGTAGTTCTTAGAGAAATCGTCAAACTGGTTTCCACAGTGGCTGAAGTGATTTACATTCCCACCAACAGTGTATGAGGATTCCCTTTTCTCTGCAGCCTCGTCAGCATCTCTTATCTTTTGTGTTTTTAATAATAGCCATTCTAGGCTGGGCATGGTAGCTCATGCCTATAATCCCAGCACTTTGGGAGGCCAAGGCAGGCAGATCACTTGAGGTCAGGAGTTCAAGATCAGCCTGGCCAACATGGTGAAACCCCATCTCTACTAAAAAAAAAATACAAAAATTAGCCAGGTGTGGTGGTGGGTGCCTGTAATCCCAGCTACTCAGGAGGCTAAGGCAGGAGAATCACTTGAACCCGGGAGGTGGAGGTTGCAGTGAGCCGAGATCACACTCCACTGCACTCCAGCCTGAGAGACAGTGCAAAACTCCATCTCGAAAATAATAATAATAATAATAATAATGATAATAATAGCCATTCTGACCGGTGTGAGATGGCATCTCATTGTAGCTTTGATTTGCATTTCTCTGATGATTAGTGATACTGAGCATTTTTTCATGTTTGTTGGCTGCTTATGTGTCTTCTTTTGAGAAGGATCTATCCATGTCCTTTGCCCACTTTTAATGAGGTTATTTGCTTTTTTGCTTGTTGAGTTATTTAAGCTCCTTATAGATTCTGGATGTTAGACCATTGTCAGATGCATAGTTTGTGAATATTTTCCCCCATTCTGTAGTTTGTCTGTTTACTTTGTTGATGGTTTCTTTTGCTTTGCAGAGACTCTTTAGTTTAATTAGGTCTCACTTGTCAATTTTTGCCTTTGTTGAAATTGCTTTTGGGGAATAACTCATAAATTTCGCCCCAAAGTTGATGTCTAGAATGGTATTTCCTAGGTTTTCTTCTAGGATTTTTATAGTTTGAGGTCCTACATTTCAATCTTTAATCCATCTTGAGTTAATTTTTGTATATGATGCAAGGTAAGGGTCCAGTTTCATTCTTCTGCATATGGCTAGCTAGTTATCTCTGCACCATTTATTAAATAGGGAGTCCTTTCTCCATTGTTTATTTTTGTCAGCTTAGTTGAAAATAAGATGGTTGTAAGTGTACAGCTTTATTTCCGGGTTTTCTGTTCTATTCCATTGGTCTATGTGTCTGTTTTTGTACCAGGACCATGCTGTTTTGGTTACTGTAGCTTTATAGTATAGTTTGTAATGTGATACCTCTGGGTTTCCTCTTTTCGCTTAGGATTGCTTTGGCTATTCAGGCTCTTTTTTGATTCCATATGAACTTTAGAATAGTTTTTTTCTGATTTTGTGAAAAATGACATTGGTAATTTATTAGTAATAGCATTGAATCTGTAGATTCCTTTGGGCAGTATGGTCATTTTAACAATATTAATTCTGCCAACCCATGAGTATGGCATGTTTTTCCATTTGGTTGTATCATTTCTGATTTCTTTCAGCAGTGTTTTGTGGTTCTCCTTGTAGAGATCTTTCACCTTCTTGGTCACGTATATTCCTAGGGTGTATGTGTGTGTGTGTGTGTGTGTGTGTGTGTGTGTGTCTATTGTAAATGGAATTGAGTTCTTGATTTGGCTCTCAGCTTGAAAGTTATTGGTGTGTAAAAATGCTACTGATTTTTGTACATTGATTTTGTATCCTGAAACTTCAGTAAAGTCATTTTTCAGGTCTAGGAGCCTTTTGGCAGAGTATTTTGGGTTTTCTAGGTATAGAATCATATTGTCAGTGAAGAGATAATGTGGCTTCTTATTTCCCTATTTGGATGCCTTTTATTTTTTTCTCTTGCCTGATATTACTACTGGTTTTAAACATTTGATTATAACATGCCTTTAGGATTTCTCACTCTTAGCACTGTTGATATTTTGGGCAGGATAATTCATTATTGTGAGGGCTGTCCAGTTCACTTTAGGATATTTAGCAACATTCCTGACCTCTGCTTGCTAGATGCCAGCAGCACAGCCTACACCCTCCCCCAGCTATGACAAGCAAAACTGTCTCCAGATATTGCTAAATGTCGTCTATGTGCTGGGGGTGGGGAAGAATCATCCCTGTCTGAGAACCACTTGTTTATTTTTGGCACATGTTCTTTTTAATTATGATGTGCCTTGATGCAGTTTTCTTCATGTTTCTTGTCTTTGGGTTCATTGAGCTTTT
Source organism: Homo sapiens (assembly GCF_000001405.40). Classification (NCBI taxonomy): domain Eukaryota; kingdom Metazoa; phylum Chordata; class Mammalia; order Primates; family Hominidae; genus Homo; species Homo sapiens. Next base: position 72,503,254 of record NC_000010.11, on the reverse strand, counting down.
TAGACCTGTGCCTTTATATGTTTCTTCAAATACTTTTTCTATGATCTCCCTTCCTCTCCCGCTGAGACTCCAGTGACATATTTTCCTCAAATCAACCCTATAAGTTTATACTATTGTTACTTTCATTTTACAAATGAGGAAATTGAGGCATACAGAGGGTTAAAGAACCTGTCCCTAGACCCACAGTGAGTAAGGAGACAGTTTAGGATTCGAACCCAGGCCAACCCCAGCATCTGGGCTCCTGTCACTTGACATTACTGCTGTGGTCACATATTCAGCAGTGTTAAGCTGTAACTTCAGTGCTGCTTCTTTGTCTAAGGCTGAACTACGGAAAGGCTGGTCATAAACTCTCCTATAGATAGTGGGCAGTTCAAGCATCCTTGCAATCTGAGTTTTGCACACTGCATTGTCTACTTTATCTATTATAACAAGATGGGGAGAAATATGAGAAATGACATTGAGATCAGTTCTTTCCCATGTTCAGATTGCCGCTAGGATGACAGGAAATGAGGCACTCAGTGACTCTCCTTTCTTGTGGGTAACAAGGGATCATTACAGTCTAAATACACTAAATGGTTCCCAAGTCATCTGCGAGAGGGCACCCAATACCCTAGGGAAAATCTTTGCCAGGGAGTGGCTTGGGAATAGGGAAAGTACATTAGCATATGCATTCATCTGTTACTCTGATGGATAGCAGGGCCACAGAAAACCAGCTAGAACAGTGCAAAGGGCATCAGCCAGATGCTGTGGGACCGCCATATTTCTGAGGAGCTGTTTTCATTCAAAGTTAACGGAATAAGGCTGGGCGCGGTGGCTCACACCTGTAATCTCGGCACTTTGGGAGGCTGAGGTGGGTGGATAACTTGAGGTCAGGAGTTCGAGACCAGCCTGGCCAACATGGCGAAACCCCATCTCCACTAAAAAATACAAAAATTAGCCGGGCATGGTGGTACATACCTGTAGTCCCAGCTACTCAGGAGGCTGAGGCAGGAAAATTGCTTAAACCTGGGAAGCAGAGGTTGCAGTGAGCTGAGGTTGCGCCACTGCACTCCAGCCTGGAAGACAGAGCGAGACTGACTCAAAAAAAAAAAAAAAACAAAAAAAAAAACAGCAAAACAAAGTTAATGAACTCACAGGTGTTCAAGAAATCGCCATCATTTTGAAGAATATGAACACTGTGCTCTAATGGATTGAAACTTGAATCCTCAAAGTAGCTTATGAACTACTATGTGGTCTAAAATAAAAGTCAACAACTACATATAGGAAATCATGTGGGTTTTTTTCTTGACTTAAAAATAAAATTAAGAAAGCTGTTTTTCTAAAGAAAGCATGTTATGCAATATAATTTCTTCCATTAGAGTTAATTCTTCTTATTTAAACTTTTTGGAAGTTTGGTTTTTCTAAATAAGAGTTTCTAGGACACGTATCCAGAATAACAATCAATCTGGCAGAAATATCTCGTGCTTACAATAAGCAGTGGCATGAATTTCTTACTCTTCTCTGTATGTGATTCGGGTAATGGGCCTTCCTTGGCCAACCTACACGTTTAAACACCTTTTATTCCATTTCACTCATACAACACACATCTCCTAAACCTCTTTCTTTATTTTTTCTCCTTGGCACATATCACTATTTAACATTTCATATAATTTATTTTTTATACTGTTATTGTCCATTTTCCAATCTAGAATATAAGCTGCATGACTGATTATAAATTTGTAATGATATTCACTACAGACATATCTATATTAAGCATGGTGGCAAGGTAACAGAGCAAGAATATAACATATGTTGTTTTTTTCATTTTATTAAAAAAAAAAAACCTTTAGCAAACTTAAGACTCTACTTTGCTGTTGATATCCTAAATTTAGAATAGTCCTTGTAGCTGTTGATGTCTTCAGTCTGTACCCAGTACCAGTGAAATGAGGAAAATGTGTATTTTAATTAATCTATTCCCAAACAAGCTTGGTTTCTTATAATTCAGAATTCATATATTTGTATCCCCTCTTTACTCCTAACTCATACATTCTATTGCTTTAAACCTTATCTCTCTAATCAGCTTTGATGGATTAACTTGAAGAATTTTCAGCATGAGCCATAGCATCCATATTAAATAGAATATTAAGTATTTACTAGATAACTACTCATTAATAAAATGAATTCAGATTCATTCTAGGCAAGATGAAGAGACTGTTAATAATTATTATTAAATAATTTCCAAGGACTGCTGATTCTTAAAGTAAGTTAATAAGAATTGAGTGGGAATAAACAAGCATGGTTATTAGTAGCTTACTTCTCTGCACTAACCAACTGGAACATTAGCTGATGGTCTTAAATTTTATACACAGAAGTCAGAGATTTTTCTGCATAACTAGATATAGAGAAGGGTTATCAGAATTTCTTTGGAATGCTAAATATTATTTATTGACTTGGATCATTCTTACTAATGCTAAGATTCACTAGGTAATGGTAATATAACTTAGAATTTGGCCCTTGGCCATTGACAATTATGAAATATTATTGTGTGTTCTTTGTCTTCATATATGTTCAATCTAAAGTTATTAACCCTGTGGGCTAATAACATGAAAACAATTCTAGATAGCTTGATGGGGAGGCAATAATAAAACATTTATAATTGGGCACAGTGGCTCATGCTTGTAATCCCAGCACTTTGGGAGGCTGAGGCAGGAAGATCATTCGAGGTCAGGAGTTGGAGACCAGCCTGGCCAACATGGTGAAACCTTGTCTCTACTAAAAATACAAAAATTACCTGGGTATGGTGGTGAGTACCTGTAATCCCAGCTATTAGGGAGCTGAGAAACAAGAATCGCTTGAACCTGGGAGGCAGAGGTTAGTGATCCGGCAGTGAGCTGAGATCACGCCACTGCACCCTAGCCTGGGCAACAAAGCAAGACTGTCTCAAAAAAAAAAAAAAAAAAAAAAAAAAAAAAATATATATATATATATATATATATATATATATATATATATATGTATGTATGTATGTATATAATAGTTTATCATTAAGCAACTTCCTTACTTTTTACTATTAATCTTTGAAAAGCTACCAGAAAAATCAAAGCAAAAATGTTTGGTACCCAGGGCTTTAAAATTTGGAGGCAGACTTAATGAAAATCTGGCATAATTCATTATATTCTCATTTTGATTATCTCTTTAGATTTTAGAGAATCAGTGGAGAAATTGAATTAAGTGTTTTCACAGTAGCCAGATTTGATTTACTGAAAATTAAGCTACATCCTCATTATGATGCATCTTTCTCACAAATATACAAGCCTTTTGAGATATTACAATAGCATTCAAGTGAAGTTGTGTAATATCTTATTTCTCTTGCCATGCTGAAGTCAAGAGCAGATCACAAAGTGTATGTGACTTGGAAAGTGTGGTGCTGATCAGTGCCATTCCATCTAATGAAAATGTTATAAAAGTTTTAGATGAAAATAAGTTTTTCAGGTCGAGTGATGTATTGAAAAATATGGGCAAGGCCTAACAGATGAGATGTATCAACAGGTATAAAGCAGTTACAAATCCTTCTTACTGGGACATCAGAGTTGGGGAAGTTACACAGAAAATTTGGTTTAGCTATTATCTTCATAATTTCTATGTCTGGAAATTATCTGCCATTGCTAAATTGATGTTATGAAGAATAAGATTAAGAAGGTAAAAGGCTAATCTTTTTCAGTGTTATTTTAGCCTATGAGAGGTGCTTAGAATTTCTGAAATACTCATTTGCATATTGTAAGGCCAAAAGTATCACAATGTGTTATTTACCAATAACTTCCTTTTCTGGCATAACCTGTTTTTGTGGTTAATTCATTGGTTTTATGATAATGCAGCTTCTGTCAAAACATTAAAATAATGCTTTGAAATATATCAAGTTATTTATAGATGATGTTGAATTCATTCAAGCAAGAAAGAAGTGGCAGTTGTGTTTAATCTCTCAAATCTGCTTGTGACTATTCTAGAATATTAAAATATTTTTTAATCTGAAAAAGGAAATTTATCCTTTGGGAATAATTGCTTGTGATTTGTTCAAGGCTAAGCAGAGAACAGAGAGGGCAAAGAAGCAAATTGTGGCTTATAAGAAAAATAAGATCTAAATGTATTTTGACTGTATCTTGAGGGCGATTTTATAATTTTTTACCCTTGAGGTTCTCCTTATTAGCCTTTCATACTTGTATTTTATTTGAATCAGTCCAGCCTCATTGTTTTGAAAATAATAATATTCTTATAATGTAATAAAATTCTAATATTCATTTAAAATGTTGTGGAAATATAGTTACAGACACGTGATTTCTGGAGCCCTACCCTTTTAATACAAATAGTCAAGATGGGGCTATGCTCTAAAAAGAAAGGAGTATGGAACGAGGTGGTCAGGAGTATGCTATATGGGCTGATACTGCCACCAGAATTATGTCTGCATAAATTTTGTCCTCTCTTGAATAGCATATGTCGCCCTGTAAAGCTTTCTGTGACTTTTCCATGGAATCAATTCCTTGTGGTATCTGAGGATCAAATGGGAGATATTGAAGAGAGGAGGTTTGCCCTTGGTTCTCCTTCTCTGCTCCTTAGGCTCTCAGAAAGGAAAGCCTAACAGGAAAGCAGGGAGTAAATCCGAAGGCTTCTTTTTTTCTTTCTTTCTTTCTTTTTTGATACAGAGTCTTATTCTGTCACCGAGGCTGGAGTGCAATGGCGCTATCTCAAGTCACTGCAACCTCCGCCTCCTGGGTTCAAGCCATTCTCCTTCCTCAACCTCCCAAGTAGCTGGGACTACAGGCACGCATCACCACACCTGGCTAATTTTTGTACTTTTAATAGAGACGGGGTTTCACCGTGTTGGCCAGGCTGGTCTCGACCTCCTGACCTCAGGTGATCCGCCCACCTTGGCCTCCCAAAGTGCTGGGATTACAGGTGTGAGCCACTGTGCCCGGCCCAGGCTTCCTTCTTTCTTAGGCCTCATTTATCAGTGGGAGAAAGTAGATGGAGCAGGAAAAGTAAAACTTCAAAACAGGCTAAATTTTCTGCCTTCTAGAAACTGACCTAACATGTAAAAGTATTCCTTCTTCTCATCTGACTTGTCCAATCAAAATTATCCTTCTCCTAGGATATCTCAACTAGAATTTTATTTTTTGTCATAATTTAAAAGCAATGTTCACATTAAATCATGAATGAATGATGGTGTCCCATAACAGCTACAGAAATATTTACATGAAAGTCCTTGTTAATTCAAAAGAATCTCTAAGTAAGAAGAAAACTTAGGCAGTGGATAGGACATCATTAAATAATATCTTGAAGTGGGAACTATGTCATATGGCTTTGTATTTCCAGAGCACCTGATATTGTATTTAGCTAGTGGTAATTCTAAAAATATTTGAATGAAAGCATATTTGAGATGTGGCTTCTTTGAGTTCTTTCTAGGTAGAAAGGAGACCCAGGCACCCATCTATCACTATACCATTGATTACAGTGTCAAGTGGACCTCAGTGGGCCTTTCTGCCATAGTCTCCCCTTCATTACCCTAGAGCAAACTGTGGAGACTTGCCCTGATCCCAGTTCCTTAGAACTCTTCTCACTTATCCTATCTTCCTCAGCCTCTGCTCTGTCCTGTTTTTCTTCTACTGATGGTTGGGATGGCTCTGAAGAAATTTAGCCCTCAATAATTGATGATATTTAAAGATGATGTTTGCTTTTGGTCTGCGAGCCCCACATTTTCACATTGTCTGCCTCTTAGAAGCGAGACCGGAATCAAATGTATTGGTCCATCTGTATAGCTGGACCTTTCATTTAAACCCTCGGCTTAATAGTGTTTGATTATGCTTACGTCTTATCATGGTGTTGCTTAACCTGCTTCTGGAACAACTTATAAAGATGCTTATTTGGGCTGGGCGTGGTGGCTCACACCTGTAATCCCAGCACTTTAGGAGGCTGAGGTGGGTGGATCACGAGGTCAGGAGTTCAAGACAAGCCTGGCCAAGATGGTGAAACGCCATCTCTACTAAAAATACAAAAATTAGCCGGATGCAGTGGCATGTGCCTGTAATCCCAGCTACTCAGGAGGCTGAGGCAGGAGAATTGCTTGAACCCAGGAGGCAGAGGTAGCAGTGAGCTGAGATGGCGCCACCACACTCCAGCCTGGGCGACGGAGTGAGACTCCATCTCAAAAAAAAAAAAGAAAACTCTTATTTGTTTTGTTGGGGAATTTAAAGGGTACACAAAGGGAATCAAGGCAGGAAATAGTGGTTGTCATTGAATGGTTTGCCTGATACTGCCTGTTTTGGAGAAGATATTGATACAGCACATTGTCTGGCATATAGTAAGAATTCCATATATATTTGTTGGCTAAATAAATATCTGAGAATTTTTCTGGCCGGGCACAGTGGCTCACTCCTGTAATCCCAGCACTTTGAGAGGCCAAAGCAGGTGGATCACTTGAACCCAAGAGATCGAGACCAGGCTTGGCAACATAGTGAAACTCTGTCTCTATTAAACATACAAAAATTAGGCCAGGCACGGTGGCTCACGCCTGTAATCCCAGCACTTTGGGAGGCCAAGGTGGGTGGATCACCTGAGGTCAAGTGTTTGAGGCCAGCCTGGCTAACATGGTGAAACCCAGTCTCTACAAAAATTAGCTGGGCAGTCAGGCACGGTGGCCCATGCCTATAATCTCAGCACTTTGGGAGGTGAAGGCAGGTGGATCACTTGAGGTGAGGAGTTCAAGACCAGCCTGGCCAACATAATGAAACCCCATCTCTACTAAAAATACAAAAATTAACCAGGTGTGGTGGCGCATGCCTGTAATCCCAGCTATTCAGGAGGCTGAGGCAGGAGAATCGCTTGAACCCAGGAGGTGGAGGTTGCAGTGAGCCAAGATCATGCCATTGCACTCCAGCCTGGGCGTCAGAACAAGACTCTGTCTCGGAAAAAAAAAAAAAAAAAGGAATTAGCCAGGCGTGGTGGCACATGCCTATATTATCCCAGCTGCTCAGGAGGCTGAGGCAGAATAATTGCTTGAACCTGGGAGGTGGCAGTTGCAGTGAACCGAGATTGTGCCACTGCACTCCAGCCTAGGCGACAGAGCAAAACTCCAACTCAAAATAAATAAATAAGCCTGGTGTGGTGTTGTGTGCCTGTGGTTCCAGCTAATTGCGAGGCTGAGGTGGGAGGATCGCTTGAGACCAGGAGACAGAGGTTGCAGTGAGCTGAGATCACACCACTGCACTCTAGCCTGGGTGACAGAGCAGGACCTTGTCTCAAAAAAAAAAAAAATTCCAAATGATGACTTAGTATGAATACCATAATTTACCATAATTTTATATTGCTCCAGGCATCCTCAGTATCCCGTCTAGCATTTTTAAATGTCTTAAGGGACCAGTTATTTTCTATGTATGTATACATGATAAAAGCTAGAAAATTAGTTAGACTGTCTAAATTTTTCTGTTTGAACACTAAATTGAAAACAGTTTTTGGGTGAATGCCAAACTTAGTCACATCTAAAGAGTGTCATTAGCATAGGTTAAGTCACAAAAATCTAATTTCTTTATTACGGTAGCTAGTTGTCTTTTTTTTTTTTTTTTTTTTTTTGAGACAGAGGTTCACTCTTGTTGCCCAGGCTGGAGTACAATGGTACAATCTTGGCTCACTGCAACCTCTGCCTCCCAGGTTCAAGTGATTCTCCTGCCTCAGCTTCCAAGTAGCTGAAATTACAGGCACCCGCCACCACGCTCAGCTAATTTTTGTACTTTTAGTAGAGAGCAGGTTTCACCATGTTGGCCGTGCTAGTCTTGAACTCCTGTCTTCAGGTGATCCATCCGCCTTGGGCTCCCAAAGTGCTGGGATTACAGGCGTGAGCCACTGCACCCAGCCTAAAGTAGCTAGTTCTAAGCATCTATGCAATAAATTGCATCTTGGCATAAGCCGTCACTTTGGCTATTATTGAGCACATGGTATGGAATAAAAAACCACATGAAATGAAATTCAAGCAGATGATTTTTTTTTTTTTTTTTAGATCTCTGAAGTTAGGGATGGGGGTCTATTATGCAGACATGTAATTTGGGCATAAAATAGTAACATGAATTTGAAGAAAATATATTCCTAAAGTAGAAAAGCACTGGCTTGCCTTCTAGAATCTGTCACCCAGGAACTCTTGGGAAATCCAAGCTTTTTGACATCACTGATATTGAATAATCTTTCTATAACACAACTGTCAAATAACAGTGTAAGGAAAACCAGTTTAAATAAAAGACTATTTCTGGCAGCTCTCTGAAAGTCATCTAATAACTGAGGCTGAGATAAAGCTCATAGATAGGCTGTACACTGTGAAGTAGAAACATCAGCTATTTCTTTTCTTTAGATGTGAAATTATACATGGTTTTTTGTTTTGTTTTTTTTTTTTTTAGAATCAGGGCTGAAGTGTATTTTTTGGAAAAAATGTAAATGAAAGAAAAACAGTTGTTAGAAGGAATAAATGCCTGTATAGCCGAAGCCTTGCTGGAGGAATTCAAGAAAAGTCTCACAATCTTCTTATGAAATTTTAAAACCCTTTTGTTGTTGTTGTTCTTTTTTTTTTTAATTTTATTTTCGGGTTCTTAACATGTAGTATTTCATATTATTTAGGAAAACTTGCCGATTGCCATTAAGTAGATCACACTGATAACGAATAAAGAGCTCTTTTTAGCCATTGCAGAGATAATATGTAATGATAATAAGCTTATAGTAACCATCCTATGTAATTTCATTGTCTTAGGATTTTCAAACACTAGCAAGACTGAGTTCAATATGAATTTTAAGTCTGTTTGGAGAATATACATTACATTTCTAAGTGTTTTTTCTTTATGTTCAGAATTTATTCGAGTAGAAACATGGGTCGCCTGACTAGATTGTCCCTAGAAGTCTGCCAGAAACTGCAGCTTAACTGCCTCCCTCCTATTTTAATGGAGACTAACTACCCTTTGACTGTCTATGGACCAGAAATTCCCAGGGCATGGGCTTGTCTAAGAACTATGCGAAATGCCAGCATTCTGGCTCTACCTTATGTCTTAGGCAGCTTTACCCCCAGGTCGGCCCTAAGGTTAAATTGTCCTAGAGTTGTGCACATTCCCCAAAACTGTATGAGGTAAAGTCTTTCCTAAGCTTAGACCACTCCCAGAGGTCTAAAGAACTCCAAGAAACTGAAATAAAGATTAGGGTTGATTACCTCTTTGAAGAGGCAATTTTCCTCCTCTCGTTTCACTACCAAATTCATAGTGTTCCCAAAACCATTTGTATGCCAGGATTAACTATTGGAATTGACCCTTAAATTTAATTGACTATATAGTATTGGTGAGAGCATAAATTATTGGCAAAACCTTTTCAGCGTCTTGATGGTGTTTACCAGACACTTTCAAATTTTGGTCCAGCAATTCCTTTTCTACATGTTTAGGCTAATAAAATAATCACATGTATAATGATGTTGACGGTCAAAAAATAAACTAGAAAGAACTCAGGCCAGGCATGGTGACTCACACCTGTAATCCTAGCACTTCGGAGACCAAGGCGGGCAGAACGCTTGAGCCCAGTAGTTCAATCAAGACCAGCCTGGGCAACATGGCGAAACCATGTCTCTACAAAAAATACACAAATTAGTCAGGCATGGTGATGGGCACCCATAGTCCTAGCTACTCAGGAGGCTGAGGTGGGAGAATCACCTGAGCCCAGCAGGTCAAGGCTTTGATAAGCTGTGATTGTGCTACTGCACTCCATCCTGGGTGACAGAGTGATACCCTGTTTCAATAAAATAATAAAATAAAGTAAAATAATTAAAAAACAAATACACACATAAAAATAAACGAGAAAGAACTCAAATATCAAACAATGGCTAAACCAGTTAAAATAAATCTGTGCAATGACATTTTATATAGTTCTTAATATAATGTATGTAATGCAGAGATTTATTAGCATAGAAAAATATTCATAATGATGACTCAAAACATACCTATTATTCTGTTTTGGAAAGTGGGGGAAAAATTGTGTGTGTATGTGTGTGTGGGTGTGTGTGTGTGTGTATACACATGTACATGCATACATATACATCTTATTATTTTTTGAAATGGAGTTTTGCTAATTACTGCTATTTCACAATACTAGTTAAGGATGTTTGGGGGGTAAGCAGGCTGGAGTGCAATGGCACAATTTTGGCTCACTGCCACCTCTGCCTCCTAGGTTCAAGTCATTCTCCTGCCTCAGCCTCCCGAGTAGCTGGGATTACAGGCATGCACCACCATGCCCGGCTAATTTTTGTATTTTTAGTAGAGATGGGGTTTCACCATGTTGGCCAGACTGGTCTTGAACTCCTGACCTCAAGTGATCCACTCGCCTCGGCCTCCCAAAGTGTTGGGATTACAGGCGTGAGCCACCACACCTGGCCCATATACATTTTATTTTATTTTATTTTATTTTATTTTATTTTATTCTATTCTATTTTTATTTTATTTATTTTGAGACAGAGTCTTGCTCTGTCGCCCAGGCTGGAGTGCAGTGGCATGATCTCTGCTCACTGAAGCCTCCACCTCCCGGGTTCAAGCAATTCTCCTGCCTCAGCCTCCCGAGTAGCTGGGATTACAGGCATATGCCACCACACCCAGCTAATTTTTGTATTTTTATTAGAGACAGAGTTTCACCATGTTGGTCAGGCTGGTCTTGAACTCCTGACCTCAGGTGATCCATCCGCCTCAACCTCCCAACGTGCTGGGATTACAGGCAGGAGCCACCACGCCCAGCCCATATGCATTTTAAAAATAATCTTAATAATTGTATTTCCAATCTGTCAGCAAAATTGTCAATTCTACCATGAAGTAATCCAGAACCCCACCATTTTTCACTACACTCGCTACTACTACCCATGTCTAAGACATTCTCATATCTCTCGGATTATTTCCGTACCCTCCCGATTGGTTACCGCTTTTTCCCCCTTGCTTTTCTAGTCTACTTGCAATACAGCAGCGAGAATGATCTTGTTAAATTTAAATAAGATCATTCCACTGCCCAAAAATCCCCCAAAGACTTCCAGTCCGTCTCAGAGTAAAGCCAAAGTCTTTATTTACAGTGGCCTACAAGGACCCGTCTGTTAGTCTAACCACCATTCCTTTTAAGAAAAATCATATACTGGCGGGCACTAGAATTTACTATGCTGTTTTTCTTTTTTCACTTAAGCACAGTGAAAAGAATAGCTACTCTAATTACTGCTAATTCACAATACTAGTTAGGGATGTTTGGAGGGGGATAAGCATAGTTTATTAAGCCCTCTAATGGTTTTTTAAACTTTTATATCTATTTTTAACACCTCATAAAGTTAATTATTTTTTAGTGTTTGCAAAGCCTATCTTGTAGTCACGCCTGTGTTTATGGTACTGTAGAATTCCAAAAGTTCATTTTACTAGTATCTCTGTACGCAGAAATTAAAAAAAAAGGAAAGAATATTAGATTCTTATAATGAAGAAACATAGTGATTTAGAGTTACACTTGAATGTATGTATGTACCTAGAGTACCTCCATGGGCTAAATACTTTGAATGTCTGATCTGTTATATAGGACCAGATTAGTTACATTAACTCTCGAACTCCGGGCCTGAAGTGATCCACCTGCATCAGCATCCCAAAGTGCTGGAATTACAGGTGTGAGCGACCACACCTGACCCAAGTTACATTAACTCTCTAAGGCCCCTAGACAATTACATAATTAATGTTAGTCTTTCTGTGCTCACTTGTCTGTCACAGAGTTGCTTTTAAGCTGGGTGAATATGAATCCATGGGAGAGAGGATTTTGAGTGCCTCCTTTTAAGAAAAGCAATGGTCCCAAATCCAGATATATGAAGCAGGTAAACTAAAGGGTAATTATTTTTCCACAGATGGAGTCACTGCAGTGTTTTCTTAAATAGTTTCTTTCCAACTCTAGGCTATGTGTAAAGTAATATTAATATTTAACTGTATTTGATTCTAATGAAAAGAAATTGGCTTACAGACTTAGGAGAATAACAAATTATCTATTGGGGCTTATTGCAAAATAAGTGAATCATCCAACTTGTCTCAGCACCCAGAGACGGAACTGTTTAAAGCATTAAGCATTGTTTCATCTTGACCACATTGGTCTCACAGACAGGGTCATCGGTCTTCTTGTTCTATGGTAAATTGATCAGGAAATCCTCCTTTGGCCTTTTATGGGACTGTCCCGGTTCATAATTCTGTTTGGTGTTTGGCTCCTTAGGCTTTCCAGTGGTGGAACGTCAGTGAAAAACACAGGCTTCCTTTGGGCTCTTTCCACTAGTAGGAGGAAGCCCTCAGATCTGGACGAAGACAAATTGAGGGGAAAAAACGGGTCCTTGGTGAAATGTCAAAGGAGATTAAACTCGCTGCCTCCTAGGCAGTTCTTCATCCAACAAAATTACTTTTTCCCCTTTGTTGTGCAAAGGGCACATGGACACACATACCATTGGTGCTATATAGTGTAAACACAATCTAAAATAAGGTCTAGAGGGGAACTCACAGGCAGAAGAGCAGCAAAATTGCCCAACCCCCATCCTCTTGCCATTGTGCAGAAAAGTATGCTTAGTTGGGTCAGACAAGCTAGAACACATCATGGAAAGGACCCCCATAACTCTCTCTGTAATTACAAGGACAGGAGGCAGGAAACATCCAGGAGTCTGTGGAACAAAGGGAACTTCGTGGGTGACAATGTGGTCTTGTTAGAAAAAGGGACCCTCCAAAGCTCCACAGGTAGTATCAGCCTCTTCTTCCATTGAGCTAATTCAGATCTACAGTGCGAACTTTTTGCTGAGGTACCAAAGATACATCTGTATTTATCTCTTCTCACTCTTCCTTCCAGATATTTTTCTTAGTATTATGTGTTATTTGACATCAAAATCTTGTGTCTAAAGGGAAAGTTTTGGAATAAAACTGATTTGTTTTTCCCTTGGTTCTTTCACCTACATCTTGTTCAGCAAGTAATAAATATATGCATACATACATATACATACATACATAGACATATATATATGTAGAGCAGCTACAGTCTAATGGAGGGAGGAGGCATATAAAATAATGATTGATAGATTTTAAAAGTGCGTCTTAAGTCCTGTGTGTAAATGAATATTGTCCTTCTCAAAGTAATTTCTTCCTTTCCCACTATTTGGTCCCTCCCTGCAAACACAAGGCATTTAGTCAAGGGCTTAAAGGCAGCTTTACATACTAAAAAATACCAACATTCTTCAACTTCCAAAACTGTCTGAACCAATCATTGGTTTCATGTGGTGTTTTTTGTTTCCAAGAAATTTCGGAAAGATGACTTCCCAGTTGTATTTATATACACCGTATCTCCCAGATGTGGCTTAAATTTCTCAGTGATTTATCTTCCTATTCTTCAAGCTAATCATTCAAGTATATCTTTTGTGTTGATTGTGGTCATGGCAGTAATCATTTAATTTAACAAGTCCTGGCTTTTTTCTGTTGTTGAGGATTTCACATTTAATTCTGATTATTAGAAAAACATACAGGGTGGAGACCAAATGAAAAATGTACCTGAAAGCAGAACTAGAAATGAGGGGTGGACTGATGGGTTTTAAATATAAAAATGAGTTTTATATTCCAGAGACTTAAGTTTGCAAAGTTGTAAACTATCTAGCCTTATTGTACCCTTTTGTAGCAAAGAATATCCCTTTCTAGTTAATTCAGCCTGTTATGTATGTGTTTCATCCTGGCAGCCATTCATCAGGGCTCTGGATCCATACCACCAAGGTTCATATCCCAGCTCTACCATTTATTGGCCACGTAAATAAACCTCAATTTCCTCATCTGTAGTATTACTACAACTATCTACCTTATAGAGTTGTTATGAGGATTAAATGGATTAAGATATATAAGTTAGTTCCTTTTTTTTTTATTTTTGTGTGTGTGTGTGTGTGTGTGTGTGTGTGTGTGACAGAGTCTCGCTCTGTCACCCAGGCTAGAGTGGTGCAGTGGCACCATCTCAGCTTACTGCAACCTCTGCCTCCCAGGTTTTAAGCGATTCTCGTGCCTCAGCCTCCCAAGTAGCTGGGATTACCCGCATGTGCCACTATGCCCAGCTAGTTTTTGTATCTTTTAGTAGAGATGGGGTTGGGGTTTGTTGGCCACGCTGGTCTTGAACGCCTAACCTCAAGTGATCCACCTGCCTCAGCCTCCCAAAGTGCTGGGATTACAGGCATGAGCTACAGTGCCCGGCCTTGTAAGCTACATCTAAGTAACAGTGCCTGACCCACATGGTGAGCCCTAAGTAATCGTTAGTTATTATTTTTAAATTAATGTAATATTTCTAAGAACCCTAAATGGTTATTGCATGAGGAGAATAGATATTTTGTCTGGTATAGTCTTGGGCTTGAACCCATTTCAAATCCTAATTCCTCCATACTTTCTCAATAACTCCAGACTTACCTTGATCTTGCCTCAAAAAACATTTCATTTTGTCAATAGAAACTATAGGCCAAGAGGGAAGAGGAGTAATTAGGAAGATGCTGGTGCAGCTTGTCAAGTATTTTAGTTTCCCAGTTTAAAATCTGTTAAATCTCCCTTGACTGGAGCAGTGGGGAAAAAAAAAATCTGTTACATATGCATTTTATAACTGAACCTGTTATTGCTAGTAGCAATTCTGAAAGCTTTGGTTCATTTCCTTGGATTTTTTAGGAAGACATTTATAGTATCTGCAAATAATGATAATATAATATTTTTCTCTTTTCTAACTTGTGTACTTCATTATATGTTGCTTTGGCTAGAACTTTCAATATAGTAGCAGTAGTAATGACCATACTGACGTGTTAAAATAAATGTGTCTGGCATTTTTCAATTAAGCATATGGTAAATCTTAGTTTCAGATAAATATTCTTTGCCATATTACAGAAGTACTTTTTCAAAAAATATTCTTTTCCATATTACAGAAGTACTTTTTCAAGTTTTTATTAAACTTTTTAATAAAAAGATATACAAGTAGGAACTTATATATATTCAATTTTTTTTTAATTTTTTTTTCTTTTTTTTTTTTTGAGATGGAGTTTTGCTCTTGTTGCCCAGGCTGGAGTGCAATGGTGCAATCTCAGCTCACCGCAACCTCTGCCTCCTGGGTTCAAGCAATTCTGCCTCAGCCTCCCGAGTAGCTGGGATTACAGGCATGTGCCACCACGCCTGGCTAATTTTGTATTTTTAGTAGAGACGGGGTTTCTCCATGTTGGGCAGGCTGGTCTCGAACTCCTGACCTCATGTGATCCACCTGCCTTGGCCTCCCAAAGTGCTAGGATTACAGGTGTGAGCCACCACATCCAGACTTTTTTACATTATTAACTGAAGAAAAATAGATGCCCTTTACAGATTTTTTTAAGATTAAGAAACAAAAAGAAGTCAGAAGGAGTAGATCAGGACTGTAAAGTGGACGTCTAATGACTTCCCATTGAAGCTCTCACAAAGTTGCCCTTGTTTGTTGAGGAATAAGCAGGACATTGTTGTGGTAGAGAAGAAATCTGGTGAAGCTTTCCAAAAGGGTATTTTTCTGCTAAAGCTTTGGCTTTCTCAAAACATTCTCACGAGGAGATATTATCATTCTCCTTCAGAAGAGATAACATCTCCTTTGGCCCTTCAGAAAGTCAGCAAGCAAAATGCCTTGAGCATCCCAAAAACTCCTGCCATGACCTTTGCTCTTGACTGACCCACTGGTCTTCGGCTTGACCACTTCCACCTCTTGGTAGCCATTGCTTTGTGCTTTGTCGTCAGGACACGCTGGTAAAGCCATGTTTCATCTGTGGTTACAGTTATTTGAAGAAATGCTTTAAGAACTTGATCCTGCTTGTTTAAAACTTCCATTGAAACTCTGCTCTTGTCTGTAGCTGATCTGGTTGCAACGGTTTGGCACTCATCAAATGGAAAGTTGGTCAACTTTAATTTTTCTGTCAGAATTGTATGTGCTAAACCAATTGAGATGTCTGTGGTGTTGGCTGTTGTTTGTGCTGTTAATCATCATTCCTCTTCAGTCAGGGCACCAACAAGATGAATTTTTTTCCTTGCAAATTGATATGGATGGTCTGCCACACTGTGGGCTTCATCTTCAACATCGTCTCATCCCTTCCTAAAACAAGTTTTCCCTTTGTAAACTGCTGATTTCCTTGGGGCATTGTCCCCATAAACTTTTCATAAAGCATCAGTGATTTCACCCAAGCTTCACCATAAATTTAATGTTTGTTCTTGCTTCGATTTTAGCAGAATTTATGTTGCTCTGATAGGGGCTTTTTTCTAACTGATGTCTTACCCTTCTTAGTGCTTCAAATTAGATCCTGTTCAGACATGTTACAAGTTAGTATGAGTTTATTTTGGTGCAAATTTTTTTTTAAATCCACGCATAGGTTTTTCATAATATGCATTTTCCATAAACTTTTTGAAGACCCTTTGTGCACGTGTGTATGTGTATATGAAAAATTAGGCTGTGCTCAGTGGCTCATGCCTGTAATCCCAGCACTTTGGGAGGCCAAGGCGGGCAGATCACTGAGATCAAGAGTTTGGGACCAGCCTGGCCAATATGGCAAAACCCCGTCTCTATTAAAAATACAAAAATTAGCCAGATGTGGTGGCTCACGCCTGCAATCTCAGCTACTTGAGAGGCTGACTCAGGAGAATCTCTTGAACCCAGGAGGCAGAAGTTTCAGTAAGCCATGATTGCACCACTGCACTCCAGCCTGGGCGACAGAATGAAACTCTGTCTCAAAACAAAACAAAACAAAAAAACAAATTGAACTGTGGTCAGTATTTATAAACTCTCCATGGTCTCATTAAATTTTCTACAAAATACGTCAAAAACTGAGATAGTAATGTTAGTCAGTTTGTCCTTTATATCTAACTAATGTTTTGTTGCATATTTTGATGTATTGTGCTAGTCCTAAAGATACATATTTGTTCTATTGCCATATTCCTATTGGCAACCAACAATACTGAAAATGGCCTTTGTTCTTATTAATCCTTATGCCTTTAGTTCCTTTCCACTTGATGCTTATATTACCACCCTGCTTTCTTTATGTTTTAGTTTTCTTGTATTTCCCTTATTATCTTCTTGCATTTTATTTTTGATATGTTTATTATAAATAACATAATTTGAGCAACTTAGTTTACTTAAATTTGGGGAGATGTATTTGGTCTTCTTTTACCTTATTTTATGTTTTTCATGCTTTCTTGTCACTTTTTTTTTAGGTCTTTTGCATAATTTATTTATTGGGTTTTTCTCCCTGGTAATTTCAACACTCTATTAATGGTGACCTTTGAATTAAATTCACACATAGGGGGTGTGTGTGTGTGTGTGCGTGTGTGTGTGTGTGTGACTGACCTTTTTACCTCGGATGAAGCCGTCCATATCTTTGGATGTCTCCTATTGGAAGTTGAAAATTTTAACTTCCTTTCACTTTCTTCTCCCCACTCAGTTTTTACAATGTCTCAATCTGGCATTTTTTATTCCAAGTTCTCTTTATTTTTAAATAATTTTATATTATATGTGTTCACTTTTAAGAAGTATTTTCCGTACTTTATTATTTTATAACCATTTTGGTATAATAGCTAAGAGTGGCTGCTCTAGTGGACTATTTGGATTTGAATTCCAGCTCTATGACCCTGGACATACTCTCTACTTTAGTCTTCTCTTTTTTTTTTTTAACTGGAAACGGACATTAATAGTACCGACGTCACAGAATGGTTGGGAGGATTAAGGGTTATATATATAATCCTGGTTATATATATAATAACAGGTTAATTATATAATCCTGATTTATAATAAGCATGTCATAAATGTCAGGTGCCATTATTATTATTGTATTAATAATGATTATTTGGCCAGGCAAGATGGCTCACACCTGCAATCCCAGCACTTTGGGAGGTCGAGGAAGGAGGATCACTTGAGCCCAGGAAATCGAGACCAGCCCGGGCAACATAGCAAGCCCCTGTTTAAAACAAAACAAAACAAAACAAAACAAAACGATTATTTAAACTTAAGACTTTTATTGATTTTATTGATTTTATTTTATTAGCTAATTTATTGCTCACATCTTAATTTACCTCATTTTCCTGTCTTTATTTCTTTATTTTGGTTAATTTTTCTTCTTGTTGGCTGAATAATTTTCTCAGTAGGATTGGCAGACTTTTTCTTAAAGGGCCAGATAGCAAATATTTTAGGCTTGTGGGTGATAATGTCTCTGTCACAACTACTCAATTCTGCCCTTGTAACTCAAAGGCAGCTATAGACAATACATAAACAAATAGCTAGCTAGCAGGTTACCAACCATAGTTTACCAACCCTTGTTCCAGACTTTTGTTACTGTTTCTTGTGGAATTTTTATTAGGAAGGTTATGTGGATTATACAATTTCAAAGTCCTTGCATGTCTGAGAATATCTTCTGTTGCTAATGTAGGTAAATGATGACTTCACTTTCGAGGCTGGGACTGGAAGTGGGGAGGTAGAGAGGGTCTCGCTATGTTGCCCAGGCCGGAGCACAGTGACATGATCACAGCTCACCACAGCCTCAACCTCCCCAGGTTCAGGTGATCCTCTGATCTCCTGAGCTCAAGCAGTCTGCTTACCTCAGCCTCCCAAAGTGCTAGGATTGCAGGCATGAGCCACTGCACCTAGCCTGACTTCTCTTTTATGGAATTCTTAGATTACAGTTGTTTTCCCTTAAGACTCTTTGGAACTTGCTCTGTAGTTTTCAAGTGTTGTGGAGAATCATGATACAACGTAATACTTTCTTCTTCCTGATAACTAATTTCTTTTCCTCCTGGATGACTGAGGATTTTTTTTTTTTGTCCTTGGTATTCATCATTTCACCAGGAGAATTTTTTTTTTAATTCTGTGTTAAAGGAGCAGAGCTAAGAAGAACTAGATTAATGCATTTACATATCATTAATTTTAGCTACTTTAGATTGCCTTATTGTCTTGTTCTCCCACTAAGGAAATTTCTGGATATTGTATTCTGAAAGTTAGCCATGTAAACTTCTTGCCATTTTATCATTTCAAATTGCACATCATATGGGAAACTAGATATTTTAAATGGCAGAATGCTGTTTTACACTATGTAGTCTGGTCCCCCTGTAGTACAGTTTCATGGGAGTATACAGCTGCACAACCACAGAAAACACATTTAGGAAGTAGTCTAATTTACTCTTGTTTAAGCATATTAAATCACTAAATGGTTTGAAACTAAAACTTATGGTATAATCAAAACATTGTTAACAGTGTTTTAAATTATAATTCTAGCACAACCAGAAGAAAGAAACTTGACTTTAATTTTATTGAATAACACAGTGTCTTTTGTAATCAATTACAGTCTATGTGGTTTTTTTGTTTTTTGTTGTTTTTCTGAAGCAACAAATCCATAATAGGTGACCTCAGTACTGGGGCTGTGCACAGCAGGATGTGGGGCAATAGCCGAGCAGTAAGCCTCCCAGGGTTCAACTGTACTGCTCCGCTTCCCTGCAGTGGCCTTCTTTGCCTAAATATAGCTCTGCAGGTGACAACCACAGAATCAGAATCCTCTGGGCGAGCGCATGACTGTCCCACCATGCCCATCCTCCTCCTAAGCTCCTGAGCCAGCCCTTTCATGGCCGCCATGCTTCCTCCATGCTTTCTCAGTGGCTGGCTTACTAAGCAATATCAGAATTACACAAAGTCCTGAGTAATCATCTGGATAATGTGGTTGATCTCGTGTTCCAGCTGCTTTTCTGCCTCAGGGCTTGGAGAGCAAGCAGCATTGGGATGAAGCATTCTAGGTGCAGTTGACCTGCAGCCCCCAGACAGTGGCACAGTGGCACCACTAGCAACACAGACAGAAGGCACAGAAGCCACACATTGACCAGAAGCTGGACAACCAGGAGCCAGCCAAGCAAGATGCCCTCCAGCCATCTGGTTCTGGCTATTCAATGGGTTATTGAGGCTATTGCTAGACCCAGCTGGGGTCTCCTGGAAGTGGGGTAGTTTCCTTGTCTTCATGGCTAAAAGGACCCAGTGGCTCCCCGAGATGATTGCCCTTTTTCTGTTTTATTTTAGAATTAGAGAAAAGGGGCCAGGCGTGGTGGTTCATGCCTGTAATCCCAGCACTGTGGGAGGCCAAGGCGGGTGGATCACTTGAGGTCAGGAGTTCGAGACCAGCCTGGGCAACATGGTGAAACCCCGTCTCTACTAAAAATACAAAAATTAGCCAGGCATGGTGGCGCATGCCTGTAATCCCAGCTACTCAGGAGGCTGAGGCAGGAGAATCGCTTGAACACGGGAGGTGGAGGTTGCAGTGAGCCAAAATCACGCCACTGCACTTCAACCTGGGCGACAGAGCAAGACTCTGTAAAAAAATAAAATAAAATAAATAAATATATATATATATATGTATATATATATAGTGCATTTATGGGGGCATTGACCATTTAAAGTACCCCCCAGACGAGGGCTATTATGATGTTGAGGTTTTGGAAGCAAGTTCTAAGAAGCCTTTTTAGAGACATGATAATAGTTTATATGTATTCAGAGGGCCATCATATAAATGAAGAAGCAGATTTATTTCTCTAGAAGATTAAACTATGACAGTTTTTAGGAGCTACACAGGGTAGATTTGGACTGTGCATGAGGAAAAAAAACAGCTCATTTAATATGGTCAACAATGTTTACACCTCAGAAGTGGTGACCTCTCCCTCAGAAATAATCAGAGGCTGTGTGATCATCCTTACAAATTCAGTGGAAAGCTCATCATTGAATAGAGGAACATTCTGGAAGTTTTTTTCAAAACTCAGACTTCTCTGACATTGCATATCAATTACCTCATTTATCCTCTAGCATTCTAAAACAGGAATGGGACAGGTAAGAATTCTTTGATAGGAGAATCAAACCAATAGAAAATAAGAAACTTGTTTAGAATCTAACCTATTCATTTTTTCATCATTCCATCAGTGCTACCAAAAAATAATGTAAGGCAGCAAATGACTCATTAGGTTATTGGAAAAGCCAGAATTAGAACTTTAGTTCAACCATTCCTACCCGTACCATTCCTTATGCATTTTCTATTAAAGAACAGTGAGAGAAATAGCCATGAAATCAACCAGTGAAAGTCTCAGGACAGCTAGTGTTTATCTGATTATGTGACTCAATACACATAGAAAAAGATGGTTTTTTCTCTTTACTAAAACAAAACAGAAAAAATGTGCTTCAGGAAACAGTGTAGAGTTGTCATTATTATTATCATGATTGTCAATGGTGGAATGATATTATAGAAACAGACTTGTAACCAGAACAGACCTAATGTAGCTCTGTATCCTAGTAGCAAAGATTATTAAGGAAATCTAAGTGAAAGGTGTATAGTAACAAACTTTGTGTAGGGTCTTATTGTTCTAATCAGTTTCAACACTTGCTGAGACCATTTTGGAAATCGTGTAGAAAGTAAATTATGCTGTTTTAGCAGGGGGGAAAGCCTCACTCTTCACTCTAAGTAGCCTAGCATTCAAAAGAATTCCTTTTTCAGGGTGGGCGCTGTGGCTCACGCCTGTAATCCCGACACTTTGGGAGGCCAAGGCGGGTGCATCACTTGAGGCCAGGAGTTCTAGAACAGCCTGGCCAATATGGTGAAACCCCGTCTCTACTAAAAATACAAAAATTAGCCGGGGGTGGTGGTGTGCTCCTGTAATCCCAGCTACTTGGGAGACTGAGGCACGAGAATCACTTAAACCTGGGAGGCAAAGGCTGCAGTGAGCCAAGATCATGCCACTGCACTCCAGCCTGGGCAATAGAGCAAGATTCAGTCTCAAAAAAACAAAAAACAAAAAACAAAACAAAAACCAAAATTCCTCTTTCAGAACCTTTCTATGGAAACAGATTATGAGTTAGAATAAACACAGGATGCCATAAGCTTTCCAAAACAACTAGATTTAAAAATTGCCCTGAAGGCTACATTTGAGAGGAGACAAATAAGTTTACAAGAGAATCGCTTGACATCATATACTGTGTAGCATGTTTCACTTAAAGCAAGCTTGTTTTTGGCTTGTTTGTCCCATATGCTTTGACATGATCAGCCAATGAAATTGAATAGGCTGAGAGCTCTTTCTAGAAAGACTGGCCCTGAGAGGCTGGTGAGGCCCAAGTGAGCATGTCCAAGGCTGCAGCCCAGCTTGCCTCAGCAGTGGCCCAAGCACAGGTTCATGGCCTCTGTGGTGTCAGCGCATGTACTTTAACAAGCACTCTCAGTTGCTCCACATAAAGCCAGTACTTTGAAAGGAACTATACCAGGATAAAAAGACAGAGAAACCTCAAGCATTACAGGGTATACTTTGTTTGGTAAAGTGTATTTAACCTTAGTTGTAGGAGGTGATATTAACCATAATATGCTAGAATAACTCATTCAGTCATTTAAATGATCTGGGCACATGCCTTCATGGAACTCACAAGACAGTAAGACTACAAGATCCTGATAAAGCTGAAGTTGTAAGCAGTCTGTGTCACCTCTGTAATTGTGGAGAGAGGGAATGGGGATACTGCTTTAATTCATGTATGGGAGCATATTGACTTCGCTCTTATCAAATGTTTTCCTATTTCTATTAATTTGGGCTGTATTCCTCTGGATATTGTGATGCCGCTTCCTCTGTCACTGCCTCCTTTCCTTTTCGTTGCACTTTAAACATTGGCTTCCACCTGCAATCTACCCTTTTCTTGACCTTCTCCTCACTCCTCAGTTTTGCATGGGCAACTTCCTTTCAGGTTCTTTGCAGCTAGCCACTTGTATGCCCATAAATCCCAGCTTAAACCTCTCTCACTGAGCTTTAGACCCATATTTCCAACTGTCTCCTGAACATCTTCATCTGCATAAGCTGAGACCCCTTAAATTTAGCAGATCCCGTCTGAAATCATTTTATTTCTCAAACATTTTACATCTATTTGCTCTCTTTCTTCATGCCATGCAAGCTACACAGTAGTCTAAGCCAGTCATGCTGTCATTCCTTTTCACTCTCAACTCATCACAGCTAACTAATCATTAAGTTCTATAATTTCTGCCTTCTTTGGGTATCTCAAATGTGTCCCTCCTCTCCATTACCACTGCCATCACTGCAGTTTGCATTTTCAACATTTAAAAGAGCTTCTGATCTTCTTTAAAGCTGGCCTTTCTTTTCCAACTCATTCTTCACACAGTAGCTGGAGAAGTCCTTTATAATTGCTTGATTGTGTCACTCTCCTACTTAAAACCTTCAGTGGCTTCATATTTTCTGCCATTGTTACATTCTCAAGTATCTACAGGAATTAGGCAAATAACATATAGGAGTGAAGTGGGCCAAGTGTGACAAAATAAGGAAGAATAAGAGAGAACATTTCCACCTGAAGAGATTTATAATCAGAAGTTTAAAAAACATGACAAACCAGCCGGGTGCTGTGGCTCACACCTATAATCCTAGCACCTTGGGGAGCTGAGGCAGGAGGATCATTTGAGGCCAGGAGGTTTAAGACCAGCCTGGGCAATGTAGTGAGACCACATCTCCACAAAACATAGAAAAATTATCCAGGCTTGGTGGCACGCACCTGTAGTCCTAGCTACTCCAGAGGCTGAGGCAGGATTGCTTGAGCCCAGAAGTCTGAGGTTGCATTGAGCTATGACTGTGCCACTGCATTCTAGCCTAGATGACAGAACAAGACCCTGTCCCAAAAAACAAAAACACATGACAAACCTATCTGAGAGTTTAATGTTGCCTGTGGATCTTCCATTTACTACGGTCAAGCCTAAACTCCTGAGCATAACACAGGCAGTGTTTCTGTGATATTGGTTATCTCCTTGAGATGATCAACTTGGAATGTTCAGCTTTTGCAGAGACTGACATAACCACTGTGTCATGTTTTGTTGCTTAGTTTTTAGGTCAAATCGTGTCAGCATGAAGAGTGTGTGTTTATCATTTTAAGTACCTCTATGTTCACATTAGAGGCCTTGGAACATAAGGAAAGTTTGTAGGCTTTGGAGTCAGTGTTGACTTAAGTTCAATTCCCACTTCTGCCAAAAAGGAGCTGTGTGATTTTTGAGCTAGCCATTTAACTGCTTTGAGCCCCAATATCCTCCTCTGTTTAAACAATAAAGAAATGAAAGTTTTCAAGATTGAGAGTATGAAGTCAAATAATAAACACCTCCAATTATCTAGCTCAATGCCTGCCACATAGTAACTCCTCAGTAAAATGTAACATTCAGACAGGTAGCAAAAATTTGAGAAGTGACAACAAATATACAAAACTAATTCCCCCAGCTGCATCCTTCCCAGCAATTGAAGGCTGGGTCATGGTGGCTCACACCTGTAATCCCAGGACTTTGAGAGGCCAAGGTGGGAGGATCACTTGAGGTCAGGAGTTCAAGACCAGCCTAGCTGACATGTTGAAACCCTGTCTCTGGCCTAAAGGAAAGCAAACCTATTGGAAGTCAATATCAAGTGAAGCAGACAATTGGAAGCTGACACACACATGATTCACCCAGGCAACTAAAAACCAGGAGTTTCCAGCCTAGCTGCCTAACTACCTGAAAATGGAATTTGAGCCCAGAAAGTGTTTCTGTTGACAAATTCATGAGCAGGATGGGAATATGGCCTCTCTAACAATTATACATAATATACAAAGTTCATTTTACTTTTTTCTCTGCATAAAATCTTAACTTTTTTCATGTAAATGATGTTAACTGAAATTTTAATTCACTAGTATAAGGACACATAGAATATTTATTTTGGTTTATTCTCTAGAGCTGTATAAATTTGAAGCACCAAAGGAAGGAAGTAAACAACTTAGTTTTCTTTACCAGAACATTTAGTATGGGAAGGGAGGAGGGCTGTTGAGTTTATATTTTATTCCAATGCACAGAGTATATTAATGATATTATGACTGATCTAGGAACACTAAAGAAGCCTTGAAAAGCTTTCATCATTAAGGGAAAGTTTTGTCAAGCTTTGCATTTTTTCATTTTGTTATTTAAACTTCAGCTTAATTTTACCATTTAAGTATATTTAGTAATTTGTGTATGCAGCTGACATGATCGAAATAGGGGGCTGAGGCCAGACGCCGTGGCTCACACCTGTAATCCCAGCACTTTGGGAGGCCAAGGCGAGTGGATCACTTGAGGTCAGGAGTTCAAGACCAGCCTGGTCAACATGGTGAAACCCCGTCTCTGCTAAAAATACAAAAATTAGCCAGGCATGGTTGTACATGCCTGTAATCCCAATTACTCGGGTGGCTGAGGCATGAGCATCACTTCAACCCTGGAGGCGGAGGTTGCAGTGAGCCAAGATGGCACTACTGCACTCCAGCTTGGGCAACAGAGTGAAACTGTCTCAAAAAAAAAAAGAAAAAAAAATAGGGGGCTGAGTACCTTACAGTGTACTTTTCTGCCTTACCATAGAGCTGTAGTGATAATGAATAAACTAATAAAAGAAACCAACTTGAAATTATCCATGTTGGCAGGGTGACATGCCCAGAACTCCTGACTGCACTTACAACAAAGAGACTAGAAAGAACAAAGTAGAAAGCTGGCTTGTTGTGAGGGTAAGACTAAGATGTAGTGTTTCAACTTCTTACTTTGCAGCAATATGTCTCACCCTAGACATACTTTCTTGCCCAGATAAGTAATACCATATTGAAGCAACAGAACGTTAATATTACTAAGCTAAGAAGATGGTGTCTCTGAAAGCAAAGCTAAATCATTTAAGGCAAAGCATGTTGAAACAAAAAGGTAGACAAGTGCTGTCTTTACTGGCCGTAGTACTACTCTTTTTTGGTTTCAAGGAGTATTCCTAAAAGGGTGATCTCAATAAATGCAGTTTCATTTTCCATTTATTGAGACTTTGACTCAGTCACTTTTATGGTGACTTTGATATTACATTTTAGTGTTTAGCCTTTTGTTTTTCTTTAAAAAGGGATTTATTTTTGGTCAATGCCTTCTAAATATTTTTTTTCTCTCCTCTGCAGCTCCTCAGAGAAATTTTGAAATTGCCTTCAAGATGTTTGATTTGAATGGAGATGGAGAAGTAGATATGGAAGAATTTGAACAGGCAAGTTGTCCTGGAGAGTTCCTCTAAATACATTAATATTTAAAATACATTTTCATGTGCCTTGGAGTTACCTTAGCCTTGGTCAGTATACTCAGAGGCTATTCCAATTTTTGAAGTACCTAAAATGTCATTTCTCAAAATTATTCTTTGAACAGGTGGGTTGGTTTTATTTGTTTGTTTTCACTCTAAATGTAATGAATTATTTGAACATACCGTTAAGGTCACGGTTGCTCCGATTCTCCAACATAAATTGGGTTATAATGCCTCTAGCTGGGAAGCTAAATTATGGCAATTCAACATTTACCAAAAAGCTGCTATGTGCTAGGCAGTTCCAGAATACAAGGACTACATATTTTCTTAAAGGATTTCTATAAGAGAAGGAAAAATGGTGCCATACCATTTTTGACTATAGTAGGTGACAATTTCAAAATCCTAGGAATAGGTTACATTTCCATAGAACTACTGCCATTGGAGAACCATGGTGCTTCTCCAGATACAGTTATTATGATTGCCAGAAGTGGTCTCAAAACAGAAAAACTGTATGTATAGGAAAAAGCATTTTTTGTATTCTCAAAATGAGGAAAGGGGCAAATATTCCAGGAAGTGGGAGAAAGTATCAGGTACATTATATAAGGTAAGAAACTGGGCTGAACACGATCACTCATGCTTATAATCCCAGCACTTTGGGAGGCAGAGGCGGTTGGGGGACCACTTGAGGCTAGTTTGAAACCAGCCTGGGCAACATAGTGAGACCCTATCTCTACAGGGGGAAAAAAAATTAGCTGGGATTGGTAGTATGTGCCTGTAGTCCTAGCTACTCCGGAGGCTGTGGTGGGAGGATCACCTGAGCACAGGATTTTGAAGTTGCAGTGAGCTATGATCGTGCCATTGCACCCCAGCCTGTATGACAGGCAAGACCCTGTCTCTTTTTTTTTTTTTTTTTTTTTGAGATGGAGTCTCGCTCTGTCACCCAGGTTGGAGTATAGTGGCACAATCTTGGCTCACTGCAACCTCCACCTCCTGGGTTCAAGTGATTCTCCTGCCTCAGCCTCCTGAGCAGCTGGGATTATAGGCACCCACCACCACACCCGGCTAATTTTTGTGTTTTTAGTAGAGATGGGGTTTCACCATCTTGGCCAGGCTGGTCTCGAACTCCTGACCGCAGGTGATCCACCCACCTCAGCTTCCCAAAGTGCTGGGATTATAGGCATGAGCCACCACACCTGGTCATGAGAGAGTTTTTGAGTCTCCAAAACAAATGTTCATCCTTTCCTGAACAGAGATTTTCTAAGAGGATCCCAATTATAAAGTTGTCAGGCTGTCTGTGTTAGAACCCTAATTCTGCTACTTACCAGCCACTTGACCTTGAGCAAGTTATTTAATTCCGTGTGCTTCAATCTTATTTATAAAATAAGGATAATAATAGCACCTATAAGATTATTGTAGGCTGGGCGCGGTGGCTCACTCCTGCAATCCCAGAACTTTGGGAGGCCAAGGTGGGAGGATCACTTGAGGTCCGGAGTTCAAGACCAGCCTGGCCGACCTGGTGAAACCCTGTCTCTATTAAAATACAAAAAATTAGCCAGGCATGATGGTGTGTACCTATAGTCCCAGCTACTCAGGAGGCTGAGGCATGAGAATTGCTTGAACCCGGGAGGTGGAGGTTGCAGTGAGCTGATTTTGTACCACTGCACTCCAGACTGGGTGACAGAGAGAGACTCTGTCTCAAAAAAAAAAAATTGTTGTAAGCATTAAAAGAGATAATTATAATACAGAGTAGGCAAATAGTAAACAATAGTTATGATTCTTGCTTTTCTATGTTTATGTTTTCTCACTTCCTAATATTTTTCTGGATGTGGGTTTGATTCTGTATTAGGTTCAGAGCATCATTCGCTCCCAAACCAGTATGGGTATGCGCCACAGAGATCGTCCAACTACTGGCAACACCCTCAAGTCTGGCTTGTGTTCAGCCCTCACAACCTACTTTTTTGGAGCTGATCTGAAGGGAAAGCTGACAATCAAAAACTTCCTCGAATTTCAGCGTAAACTGCAGCATGATGTTCTGAAGCTTGAGGTAGGTCTTCCTTAGACTCAGTAGATCCATCACATGTGGAACTGATGGGCAGGAGGGCCTGTACTATAGGCATTCTTTCCATTTACCTCCAGCTGTGAGAACTGATTGATTTGAAGCTTATCAGTGCTTTATAAACTGACAGCAGATAGGAAACAACATGTTCTGTGAAAATGTCATGAAGTGAAGTATTTCTGTAATCTAAAACCAAAAACCTCTAAATTGAAAAATCTTAGCTGTCTTTGTATGTTCCGTTTGTGGAGAAAGAAACTCAGGGGTCACAGCAGTTCTCAATCTGAGCATATATTCCTGCTTTTTTGTTTATTGTGTGGAAGACACCAGAAGATGGAGATGAAGAAGGATGGATAATTGCAAAGGTAGTAAGAGCTGGAAACACAAAATGTCAGAATAAAAATATGTGTGCTTAATATAAAATATATGTGCTTAACCAGGCACAGTGGCATACACCCATAGTCCCAGCTACCCGGGAGGCTAAGGTGGGAGAATCGCTTGAGCCCAGGAGTTTGAGAGCAGCCTGGGCAACACGGTGAGATCCTGTCTCTTTAATTGTTTAAGGCAATGTTGCTGAGAGTTGCAAAGGTATCTTACTGTGTTTGGGGATTTACAAGTTTACTTTTCCATTTAAAGTTTAGACCATCATGCTATTCTAGCTATTTATTCTGTTCCATTCAAAACATTGATCAAATGCCTTCTATATGTATTTTTGTCTGGAGACAAAAATCTAGTCTCTAATTTCTTGACATTTTTAAAAATTCTCTTACACTGGTGTTTCCCAACCTCTTTTCTTTTTCTTCTTTTTTTTTTTTTTTTTTTTTTTTTTTTTGAGACAGTCCTACTCCATCAGCCAGGGTGGAGTGCAGTGGCATGATATGATCTTGGCTCACTGCAACCTCCACCTCCCAGGTTCAAGCGATTCTCCTGCCTCAGCCTCTCGAGTAGCTGGAATTACAGGCATGTGCCACCACACCCGGCTAATTTTGTATTTTTATTAGAGACGCAGTTTCACCATGTTGGCCAGACTGGTCTTGAACTCCTGACCTCATGTGATCCTCCTGCCTCGGCCTCCCATAGTGCTGGGATTATAGGTGTGAGCCACCGCACCCGGCCTCTCTTTTTCTTTTAACACACGCCCTACCTTAATATTATTTGGAATTTCAAAACATTAACTACTATAACTAAAACAGGTGAAAATACTGGAGAAAGGTGCTATGTTGTTTTTAAACTATGTATGTTACTTCTGTATCTGCTTTCCCTGTTTCCCCAAGATTCTTATATATGATTTCACCTTTTCCACCCACTTGTCTCAATTGTGTTGTTTTGTTCAATGTCGTTTTGTTGTAACACTGATGAGCGGGAACAAATTGATTTCCCCCTAGAGCCACTTTCTGTGCGGAGTCCCCTGTCTGTTTGAGTTTTCCCTGAGTACTCCGGTTTCCTCTCATATCCCAAAGATGTACATGTTCGGTGCACTGGAGTGTCTAAATGGTCCCAGTCTAAGTGAGTGGGTGTGTGTGAGTGTGCCCTGAGATGGAGCGGCATCTTGTCTGGGGTGGGTTCCTGCTTTGCACCCAGAGCAGCCAGGATAGTCTCTGATCATCCTCCATCCTGAACTGGAATAAGCATGTTAGAAAATGAAAGAATGCAAATTATTGTGAAATAAACTCATAAAGTAGATGATAAACAATGCAGTGCAAAAGCTCTCAGTGAGACTGCCATATTGGTTATTGTTTATGTTTGAACTTCATGGTAGGAGGAGGTACTTATTACAATTTTCACTTTGCAAACATTTATTTCTTGATTTAACCCACCACCACTATGACCACCGACATCTAATCACTAAAAATTGGGTAAATGACTATCTTACTTGTTTTTATCAATCTTTCTTAGATCTATATATATAGCTCACATTTATTTCAGTGTTTACTATTAGAAGTGTTTTGGGTCTTTATTTAGAAATTTGGTGATGCTTTTGTTTTCATTTTGAGATGGAGTCTTGCTCTGTCTCCTGAGCTGGAGTGCAGTGGCGCGATCTCCACTCACTGCAGCCTCCACCTCCCAGGTTCAAGCGATTCTCCTGCCTCAGCCTCCTGAATAGCTGGGATGACAGGCGTGCCCCACCACGCCCAGCTAATTTTTGTGTTTTTAGTACAGTCAGGGCTTTACCATGTTGGCCAGGCTGGTCTCGAACTCCCAACCTCAGGTGATCTGCCCACCTCGGCCTCCCAAACTGCTGGGATTACAGGTGTGAGCCACCACTCCCAGCCATGCTGATGTTTTTGTGACCAGAAATATGCCATAGGAAATTAACTCTCATCTTTATCAATTAGCCTATGGTAACATTGGTTTTGTTAAGCATTGTTTCACTTAAAGTCTCAGTTTCCTAGAACCTAGTGAAGACTTACTGTATACTAAAAGGTCAGTAAGTGTTTGCCATGTTGAAAAGTTTTACAGCTTCCCTACTCCTTTTTTCTTTTTTTTTCTTAACTAAATACTGTATAGGATTTTTTTTTCAATACCTTTACATGAAGCAAACACAGCTTCCCTATTCTAACTTCCTTGCACAGCTGGATAGATAACTTCTCTGTCTAGTGAAAAGCTCAAGGCTAAGTAAGTATCAGGAAAGGTTAAGTGCTTAGACTTCAAAGGGTTTTTTCTTCATCGCATACAGAGGAATGTGACACATCAGCCTAGAAAATCACTTGAAAAGATTTCAACAATAATAGAAGCAAAAGACATTATCTGGTCAGCTCTCAATAAACCAGAAAATTAGTCATAAATTAATCGTAATACCTCAGTTTCTAAATATTCTAGTTAGCGACGTTTTCCTTTTGTCTAGTTGTACGTAGAGGGCTCTATCTTCAGAATAACCACAGTACTCTTGTTTTTTGCCAGTTACCTTGCCACAGTAAACTGTAGCAGATCATGGAGTTCAAAATATAACTTCACAGAATGAAGAAAATGTATGTCCAATAGCATTTAAGTATTATGCTTCCAGAGCTTTATTTGGAAATGGTAACATTACTATTTTTACCCTATGGAAAACAGATACTTCTGAGGCAGTGAATTTTATTTTGTTCACTGATTTATATTGGGTATTTTTATATGTAAAATATACTAGATATGTTACAACAAATACACACACACACACACAAAGGCATAGTGCTTACCTTTGTGAAGTTTGCATTCTTATAGGAATGTTCCAATATACTCCTCAGAGTATAGAAGAAAGAAGTAGACCTCATCTAACAATGTTTGTGTGAGAGTTAGTATGTACCAGGGTTCAAGTCATATGCCTTGCCTTCCTAGTATGCATATATACCCAGACTGGTCTTCTTTGGGAGTATTTGTAACATAATCTGGGAATGTAAGTGATTTACCTTATTAATTATGTAATTACAATTAAACAGAGTGTAGGTCCAAAAAATGTAGTTAAAGAAGCACAAACTAGGGTAATACTTTTAGCAAAAACAAAAACAAACAAAGAAATTTAAAAAAAACAATAAAAACAAACAAAAAAACTTTTAGCAAAAACATACAGGGTCAACCAGAGCACTGAGCAGGTGCCAGCCTGACCACAATCTAAACCAACACTTGTTCCTAGAAACACAAATGAGAGCCTAGAGAAACAGAGCATAGGACTTTTGTCTTGCATACTGAGATGCTATAGAGTTGAAAGCCCACTAACATACTGCGTAGAAGGCCGGGCATGGTGGCTCATGCCTGTAATCCCAGCACTTTGGGAGTCCAAGGCGGGCAGATCACGAAGTCAGGAGATTGAGACCATCCTGTCCAACATGGTGAAACCCCATCTCTACTAACAATACAAAAAACTAGCTGGGCATGGTGGCGCGTGCCTGTAGTCCCAGCTACTTGGGAGGCTGAGGCAGGGGAATCGCTTGAACCGGGGAGGTGGAGGTTGCAGTAAGCCAAGATTGCGCCACTGCACTCCAGCCTGGTGACAGAGTGAGATTCTGTCTCAAAAAAAAACATATTGTGTAGCATGCCCATGAGGGAAAATATTATAAAGCAGATTAGGGGTTTCATGCATGTGTTCCTACACATAGCCTACACCCAAATGCAGAAGAAAAGAGATGTAAAAGACAGTTGTATCTAAGATACTTACTCTAGAAGGCTCTCTTTTGTTTGACATTCATGTGGAACTATCTGTAGGCTTTGGACCAAGATGTGCTAAGACTGTTCCTTTTGCCAGTCAGCAGTTCCTCATGTGAGGAGACCAATAGACTCTTGTGAAAGAATGCAGCCTAACATGTAGTAAGTGTTCTGTAAGTGGCTAGTAATACTGAATCCATTCTTCCCATATCATGGCATAAGTCTAGTGCTATGGTTTCATTATACACCACCTCACCCCCCCCGATCAAAGTTCATGTATTGGAAATTTAATTGCTGTTGTATCACTGTTAAGAGGCAGGGGCTTTAAGGGGTGATTAGGTCATGAGGGGTCTGCTATCATAAATGCATTAATGTCATTTTCATGGAAGTGGCTATTGCTGTGGTAGTGGGCTCCTGATTAAAGAGTAAGTTTGGCCCCCATTTACCCTCTGTCTTACATGTTTGCTTGCCCATCCACCATGAAAGGACCCCTGCCAGATATTGGTGCCATGCTCTTGGACTTCCCAGCCTCCAAAACCATGAGCCAAATAAACTTCTGTTCTTTATCAATTATCCAATCTGTGGTATTCTTTTATACCAGCAGAAAATGGACGAAGACGTCCAGTAGAATAAGTACCTTCTTATTGATGACATCCTTACATAAAATTTCATCAGTCAGTACTGTGTCTTCCCAACTACATTTGTCCTTCTTTGAGGAAGCGTGACTAGCAGCAAGAGTATAGGCTTTAGTGCTAATGAGGCCTTGGTTAAAATTTTGGTCCCACCACTTACTGGCTATGTGATATTTGATTAGTTAGTTATTCTCTCAGAGCCTGGCTCCTCATTTGTAAAACAGGGCAATGGTTAAGTGAGATGATGTTTGTAGTGGGATGAATTGTGTCCCATCAAAATTCCAAAATTCCTACGTTGATGTCCCAACCCCCAGTATCTCAGAATATGACTTTACTTGGAGATAAGGTCTTTAAAGAGGTGATTGCATTAAATGAGGGGTAAGAGTGGGCTCTAATCCAACCTGTCTGGTGTCCATATAAGAAGAAGAGATTTAGGCACAACAAAAAGACCCAAGAGATAATCATGTGAAGAGGCAGCCAGAAGGCAGTCATCTGTAAGCCAAGGAGAGAAGCCTCAGAGGAAACCAACCCTGCTGACCCCTTGAAC
Source organism: Homo sapiens (assembly GCF_000001405.40). Taxonomy (NCBI): domain Eukaryota; kingdom Metazoa; phylum Chordata; class Mammalia; order Primates; family Hominidae; genus Homo; species Homo sapiens. Next base: position 72,469,792 of record NC_000010.11, on the reverse strand, counting down.
TTACACTCGTATAGCCTCCAGAACTATGAGAAAAAGTCCTAGTCTGTAGTATTTTGCTATGGGAGCCTTAGCAAACTAATAAAATATTTCATACCTAACACCACTGGGCATGCACTGTGCCTTTAATAAGTGTGTTCACCTTCCCATTTATACCCACTGCCACCTAGTATGGCAACAGGCATATAAATAGGTCATCTCACTTGGATGATTGAAAGGCCTTACTTTCATTTTGAAATAGTTTTCTGATAAAACATCTGGAAAATGGCAGCAATTTTTGTTTTATGAAACACTTTTAATTTCACTTTTCTAAGTTTGGGTAATTTCTCCTTTCATTGAGTATGAAATATAATCTCATCATCACAGCCAAGAGGAAAATAGAAAAGATTAGTAGTATCTTAATAACTTTTGTATGGGTTTTATAATTCCACCATTCTTTGTATCCATCTCTCACTAGCTTCATTTCATTATTTACCTACTTTAAAACTTCAGATCCAGGAGATTTATTGTTCCATTTAGTTATTTCTGTCTTTTTCTCATCACAGTAGCTTTGAAAGTGAAGAGAGTGCTATTTATCTGTCAAACTTAATTTCCAGAGGGGTCAGAGAAAAGGGATAAGTTCATGATCATTTATTGAGTACCTACTATGAGCCAGGCACTTTATATACATTACATGCCTTCTTTATTTTAATTCTCAACAACCCTGTCAGGTTTAGTGATGTTTTACCCATGTTCTGGATGTAGAAACTGAAACACAAAGAGGTAAAAGTCACAGGACTATTATATGGTAGAACTAGGATTCCAACTCGGGTCTACTTCACACTGTCTTTCAGACTGAACTATTTCTGTTCTTTGTCTGATTAAGTTATTACTTTTAGTCTGAAATGGCATTTCTGTACCTGATTTATTTGGGACTCTAAAGAAAAATAAAATTGTCTGAATTTTAGAGACAGAAAAAGACCAAATTTCTGGAATATGTACAGTCTACCTTCTTCAGAATCTTTTACCAATTTCTTTGCCACTCAAGTCTTATGACTGTGGAGAAATACACTGTTCTTTTGTGCTTGCAAGATACTACCTAAACTAGCCATTTAATTATATTTAATCACAAGAATTATTAGCTGCTGGATTTTACAGCTATTTTAATGCTCTTAATTCTGATCTCTTTTTTTTTTCATTCTACCCTTTTTTCTTTATTTGGGAACTCACAAAAAAAACAGGTCTAAAAGAATGACTTAAGAATATAAGGTTGGTTTTTAAAATTCTCTTTTAAGGTTATTAAAAATTTCGTCTAAGGCTACTGAGAACTATTGAGTTCCTTGGAGATAGGTGCCAAATCTAATTCCAGTTAATATATTCATTGATTTCTTAATGACTGTAGCAAGTAGGATGTCAGTCAAAACTGAAAGGTATTAGAAAATTATTTGAAAGGTTATGGTTAATTTTAATTTGAGAGGGGTAAGGGGGGAAAGGAGCTGTCATATCAAAAAAAAAAAAAAAAGCAAAAACTAATTTGTAGAAGAAAGAAGCAACCAACTCCAGAATATAAGACAAGGACACTGAAAAGGTATTATCTAATAGAATTCCAGTCTGTAGCATGATCTTGCTTATAAGCTGGGATTCACGTGCTTAGCAAATAACCAATAAAATTGTTACATTTTGGCCCGGCACGATGGCTCATGCCTGTAATCCCAGCACTTTAAGAGGCCAAGGCAGGCAGATAACCTGAGGTCAGGAGTTTGAGACCAGCCTGGTCAACATGGCAATACCCCGTCTCTACTAAAAATACAAAATTAGCCGAATGTAGAGGCCCATGCCTATAATCCCAGCTACTTGGGAGGCTGAGGCAGGAGAATCACTTGAACCCAGGAGGCAGAGGTTGCAGTGAGCCGAGATCATGCCATTGCACTCCAGTCTCATGCCATTGCACTCCAGGGCGACAAGAGCGAAACTCTGTCTCAAAAAAAAAAAAAAAAATTGTTACGTTTTAAGAAGCACGAGTGTCAATTATCTAAAGGTAAATTAGGTATGATTCAGAGGATAACAGTAACTGATTTATATTTCAGTCTTCAAGAAAAAATATTGAGGTTAAACTAGATTTGTTCAATCAGAAAGAAAAAGAGAGATATAAAGAACTATGTTAATTATTCTCATCTGTCAATAAGAATAGAGACAAGGCCGGGTGCAGTGGCTCACATCTGTAATCCCAGCACTTTGGGAGGATGAGGCAGGCGGATCACCTGAGGTCAGGAGTTCGAAACCAGCCTGGCCAACATGGCGAATCCCCGTTTCTATTAAAAATACAGAAAATTAGGCCGGGAGTGGTGGCTCATGCCTATAATCCCAGCACTTTGGGAGGAAGAGTGGGTGGATCACCTGAGGTCAGGAGTATGAGACTAGGCTGACCAAGATGGCAAAACCCCATCTATACTAAAAATACAGAAATCAGCCGGGTGTGGTGGCATGTCCCTGTAATCCCAGCTGCTTGGGAAGCTGAGGCATGAGAATTGCTTGAGCCCGGGAGGCGGAAGTTGCAGTGAGCCAAGATTGCACCATTGTACTCCAGTCTGGGCAACAGGGCAAGACTCTGTCTCAAAAAACAAAACAAAACAAAACAAAAAACCAGAAAATTAGTCAGACGTGGTGGCATACTCCTGTAATCCCAGCTACTCGGGAGGCTGAGGCACAAGAATCGCCTGGACCCAGGAGGTGGAGGTCGGAGTGAGACAAGATTGCACTACTGCACTCCAGCCTGGGCAACAGAGTGAGACTTCGTCTCAAAAAAAGAAAAAGAGTAGAGATGAAAAAAAAAAATGAAGGTATTAAGTTAAATATCAAGGAGCTTTTTAAAAAGATTATAACTACAACTAAATGATTAAAAGTACCTAAAGAGATTCTAGAATCACCCACCCTTTAAATCATCAAGTTGACATCTTTCTACCCATCTTTTTAAAGTGCTAAGGTAGAATTAAATCTGTCTGATGCAACAAATGACCGTATCAAGGGACATGCCTCAACTCCTTTCCTGGCCAAAATATTATAGAAAAGGAGACCAGAAGGCAAGAAGGCTTTCAATCCAACACTTGTTGGAACTAGAACACTCTTTGGCAAAGTAGGTTTCTTTTTGCACTGATAGCCCAGTTTTGTTGGTTTTGTTCTCTGGGGAAGTGTAAACTAAATGATGAGACCTGACTCTTGATTTAATTAAATCCAAGAAACAAAATGATATGTTCAATGACATTTCCTTTAGTTTTGTACTTCCGCTTTGCCTCTACAAAGCAGAATGTGGGTAGTTTCTTATTCCATCCTTAGAGGTTTCCAGTTTGACTTTTCCAAAAATTGGAAGAGTTTGTTAAAGAGTACAGTAGTCCTCCCTTATCTGCAATTTCTCTTTCTAAGATTTCAGTTACCTGCCGTCAACTGTAGTTCAAAAATATCAAATGGAAAATTCCAGAAATAAACAGTTCATAAGTTTCAGATTGCATGCCTTTCTGAGTAGTGTGATAAAATCTCATGAGGTCCCACTTGTTCCGCGGGGACATGAATGACCTCTTTGTCAGCATATAGAGGCTGTCTGCACTGCCCACCCCTTAGTCACTTAGTAGTCATTTCTGTTACCAGATCGACTGTTGCAGTGTTGGAGTGCTTGTGTTTAAGTAACCTTTATTTTATTTACTAATGGCCCCAAAGCACAAGAGTAGTGATGCTGGTAATGTAGATGTGCCAGAGAGAAGCTGTAAAGTACTTCCTAAAAGGTTGAAAGTTCTCAACTTAATAAGGAATGGAAAAAAATTGTATGGTGAGGTTGCTAAGATCTATGGTAAGAAAGAATCTCCTAGCTGGGAAATTATGAAGTAGGAAAAAAAATTATGCTAATTTTGCTGTTATATCTCAAACTGCAAAAGTTATAGACACAGTGTGTGATAAGTGCTTAGTTAAGATGGAAAAGGCTTTAAATGTAGGAGTGAAAGACCTGAACAAGGGCCAGGCATGGTGGCTCATGTCTGTAATCCCAGTACTTTGGGAGGCCGAGGCAGGCAGATCACCTGAGGTCAGGAGTTTGAGACCAGCATGGCCAACATGGTGTAACCCTGTCTTTACTAAGAATACAAAAATTAGCCAGGTGTGGTGGCAGGTACCTGTAATTCCAGCTGGTAGGGAGGCTGAGACAGGAGAATCACTTGAACCCGGGAGACAGAGGTTGCAGTGAGCCAAGATTGTGCCACTGCACTCCAGCCTGGGTGACAGAGTGAGACTCTATTTCAAAAAAAAAAAAAAAAAAAAAAAAAAAAGACCTGAACAGAAACATGTTCCATGTGACGGCAAATGGGTTCAGTACTATTCTTGGTTACAGGCTTCCACTGGGTATCTCAGAATGCATCTCCCAGGGATAAGAATGACAGCCATACTTGTTTCTTTTGGGTATTTATAACTTCAGTGAGCCAAGTATATGTTTAAGGGTTTTTACCAAAAAAAAAAAAAAAAACAAAAAACTATGGGCTGGGCATGGTGGCTCATGCCTATAATCCCAGCACTTTTGGAGGCCAGGGCAGGAGGATCACTTGAGGCCAGGAGTTCAAGCCTGGCCAACATGGCAAAACCCTGTCTCTACTAAAAATACAAAAAAATTAGCCAGGCGTAGTGGTGCACACCTGTAATTCCAGCTACTCGGGAGGCTGAGGCATGAGAATCATTTGAACCCAGGAGGTGGAGGTTGCGGGGAGCCAAGATCACACCATTGCACTCCAGCCTGGGCGACAGAGCAAGACTCCATCTCAAAAAAATTTTTTTTTCCTCAGGAGCTTTTATGTCAATCACCCATGTCTTGATATCAACATTCTTTGAAACTAATTCTATTTTCTCTATATATACACTTCATGGGGTAGGTCCAATATCTTGCCCTGATGAGATCAGGTTAGCTCTCAGGGTGAGCCAGTTTAATGAGAAAATGTATAAAATCCAAAGCCAAACTCTGATTTAATTTCTTGCAATTCCCTTTATTCTCTCCAGCTCAAGTTTGCTATCATTTCTGGCTTATAGGTTCTCTGGTTGTAAAGTCAAACTGAAAATACTATATAGTTATGTATTGCTTAATGATAAATTCTGAGAAATGCATTGTTAGATGATCTCATCATTGTGCAAACATCGTAGAGTGCATTTACACAAACCTGGATGGTATAGCTATATGGTATATAGGTATACCATAGGCTATATGGTATAGCCTATTGCTTCTACGCTACAAACCTATACAGCATGTTACTGTACTGAAATAATTACTGTATTTTACTAGTACAGTATTTTTAGAAAAACATAAAGCATTTAGTCAACATGTACTGCTTTCTCCTTGCAAAAATCTGGTGAGGAAATGCCACAGCAAGCATTATTTAACCTAATGTGTATACGTATGTGTGTATGTATACGTGTGTGCGCGTGCGAGCACACGTGCATGTGTGTAAAAGAACTATAACAGTTCTTTTTTTTTTTTTTTTTTTTTTTTTTTGAGACAGAATCTCACTCTGTCACCCCGGCTAGAGTGCAGTGGTACAATCTCGGCTCACTGCAACCTCTGCCTCTTGGGTTCAAGTGATTCTCCTGCATTAGCCTCCTTAGTAGCTGGGATTACAGGCATGTGCCACCACACTTGGCTAATTTTTGTATTTTTAGTAGAGACGAGGTTTCACTATGTTGGCCAGGCTGGTCTTGAACTCCTGACCTCAGGTGATCCACTCGCCCCAGCCTCCCAAAGTGCTGGGATAACAGGCATAAGCCACTGTGCCTGGCCAACAATTCTTTACAAAACAAGGCAATTGTAAAACAATGGTAAGTATTTGTGTAAGTAAACATATCTAAGCATAGAAAAAGCAGAGTAAAAATATGGTATAAAAGATTTTAAAAAATGGTACATCTGTAAAGGCACTTAACCATGAATGGGGCTTGCAGGACTGGAAATTGGTTTGGTTGAGTCAGTGAATGAATGATGATGCGTGTGGTCTAAGACATTGCTGTACCTTACTGCAGACTTTATATACACTGTACACTTAGGGTATACTAAATTTATAAAACAAAGTAACTGCATTGCAACCTCACAACATCACTAGGTGATAGGAATTTTTCAGTTCCATGATAATCTTATGGGAACGCCATTATATATGCAGTCTCTCATTGACTGAAATGTCCTTATGCAGCACATGACTGTATATGGTAGAATCTCCATGGTTATGTAAAGCTCCTTTGTAAATGCAACCTTGATAATATCTTGATAATTATTCAGTAAAAGTGTGCCAAAAAGTGCTTTTTTGTTTCATACCTTTTGGAGAATGGAGGAAAAATTTTAAGAGTGACACTTTGTAGCTTAAATATATTATGTGGGCAAAGTTTTTTAAAGGCATTATCACTTCTGAATCTGACCTTTCAGATGGATCATTAAAAGTGCGGCCGGGCGCCATGGCTCATGCCTGTAATCCCAGCACTTTTGGAGGCCAAGGTGGGCAGATCACCTGATGTTGGGAGTTCGAGACCAGCCTGACCAACATGGAGAAACCGCGTCTCTACTAAAAATACAAAATTAGCCAGGTGTGGTAGCACATACCTGTAATCCCAGCTACTCGGGAGGCTGAGGCAGGACAATCGCTTGAACCCGGAAGGCGGAGGTTGCAGTGAGCCGAGATCGTGCCATTGCACTCCAGCCTGGGCAAGAGCGAAACTCCGTCTCAAAAAAAAAAAAAAGTGCAGAAGACTCATAGAGATTGATATTTTTCTTTGATTTGCAGATAGCTTTGCAATTCCAAAGTCAATGATATGTTAGTGATGCCTTTGTAATATTTGTCAATCCCCAGGATTTTCCTGTTATCAGATATCTTTAATGTTACATTTTAAGTTCATTTGAAACTGGCCACAAGATAAAAGGAGCTCATAAATAAGTCATGAAGCTTTGATTTTTCTCCATGGAAACTTTTCCTCAATCAGTCTTTCAAATAGTCTTAGCAACATCTTTTTAGTAGAACCCAGGTGCTTCTCAACTTATGAATAAGCTCTATACCAGTGTATAAAAAGTTCTTAGGTCATTTATTTGGAATTCAGAATGCAGGAATAAATTTTTAGTCTCACATACAACAGAATATTCAAGGTACCACAGAAAGGTAATACAGTAAAATGAAAAATAGTATAGAAGAAGGTGATTATGAATTTATAGTTCAGTGTTTCATCTATATATACACTTCTAGCTACAACAGTCCGTGGCTACAGACTTCTGTCAGTCTCGAGCATATGTGTAGTATATATTCAAACAAAAGTTTGAGTACATACTACATAATAAAAATACTAGCTAGCACTTCCTGAGAGCTTACCATGAGTCAGACACTATTCTAAGTGCTTTATGTACAGGTGCTCCTTGACTTATGATGATGTTTCAGTAAATCCATCATAAGTCAGAAATGCCCTTAACCAGCTACTTGGGAGGATAAGGTGGAAGTATTACCTGAGTCCGAGGAGGTCAAGGCTACAGTGAGCTGTGATTGCCCCACTGCACTCCAGCCTGGGTGACAGAGTAAGACCCTGGCTCAAAAAAAAAAAAAAAGAAAAGAAAAGAAATACATTTAATACCCCAATAAACCCACCATAAAGTTCAAAAATTGTTAAGTGGGACCATTGTAAGTTGGGGGCTGTCTGTACGTTGTTTCATTTGATCTTCTCAGTGCTATGAGGTTAGTATTTAATAAATGAGGAAATTGAGGCAATAAGAGGCTAAATAACTTGCTCAAAGTCTCACACATGATAAAGGTGGAGCTGAGATTTGATTCCAGGCAGTCTGGCTCCAGAGTCTTTTTGTTGTTGTTGTTTGTTTGAGATGGAGTGTTTCACTCTTGTTGCCCAGGCTGGAGTGCAGTGACATGATCTCGGCTCACTGCAACCTCCGCCTCCCTGATTCAAGCACTTCTCCTGCCTCAGCCTCCCGAGTAACTGAACTACAGGTGCCCACCACCACACCTGGCTAATTTCATGTATTGTTAGTAGAGACAAGGTTTCACCATGGTGGCCAGGCTGGTCTCAAACTCCTGACCTCAGGTGATCATCCTGCCTTGGCCTCCCAAAGTGCTGGGATTACAGGCATGAGCCACTGTGCCCGGCTCAGAGTCTTTTCTTAACTACTAATAATTTACACTAGTTTTCCAGGAACTGTGCTAAATGCTTAAGATACAAAGATGAGAAAAACATTGTTCTGCTTTCAAGAAGCTTATAAAGGTAGGATAAATGAACAAGAAATACTTGCACAGTACATAAGTACAGTACAGTTGTAGAGATATGTATATGGTACAATGAGAACATAAATTGGGACATATGAATCAGTCTGTGAAGTAAGAGAGCAGGGGACTGCTCAGTTTTCTCAGAGGTGGCATTATTTGAGTCAATTCTAACTCTGAAATTCATTCTGTCTAAAGATCAGGTAGTGGATTTTCATTTGCTCTTTGTTACAGTTGTGGAATACCCAAGAAGAGGCATTAGAGCACTCGGTAAACTCTGGGACTGGAGCCAAGAGACTGTGAGAAATGACCTTTCTCATCAAGTTTGTCCCAAGCCAGGCTTAAATTGATAGATCGTCTAGGTTTTCTGATGCTGGTAAAGAGACTCTGTGCCTCAGGGACAGGTCTGCAAAGATCATTAAGAAACAGATTAAAATTAGGGAGCAAGACAAGACAAGAGAAAGTTTCTTTACGTTCTCCCAGACCTCTCTGGGCCTATAGGCAGATCAAATTTGGCCTCTAGATCAGCTTGGACAAAATGATGTCCACGGTGTCTGAGTAGGTCTTTTCATTTTTATCCCTCTTATAGCCATCTTTAGCTGCAGGTGCCTTTTAGAGTTATGGTTTTTGGAACTTAGGGACATTTTAAAATAAAGAATGATTATTGCTCATGATGACTGTGCTAATGAGTGGAAAGAAGCTTGCTTTTTTTTCTTCTTTTAACTAACTTAGCCTCAGTTAACTAGTAAATGTAATTTTTTTTCTTTCTTAGAAGAAAAATATTTAAAAAAAAATAGATCTGGCCTCTGGCTTGCTACCCAGCCTTGGAGGAGTCTGGGAAGTCTAGACAATGTCCTAGGAGCCAGAGCCAGCTCTGCAGTCATTTGTGAATGAATTATGTATCATATGCAGCCTTTTGAATTCATACTTTGAGCAAATACCACTTTAAAGGGTCATAAATTACATCAGATTATTATCCTCTAAATTCATTTAACAGCACAGAAATGAATATTTGTCAAGTCTCTTTTATTTCTCATTATTTTTCTTATTATTGGATGCCTTTTCTCCCTCCCCACCCATAATCTCTGTATCTGTTTTGTATCAATCTACCACACATTAACATGAATGTGTTTTTTTATTAAAGCTACATGACTAATGAAATATAAACTAGTTCAGTCATTTCTAAGCATGAGAGAGTGGGAGAGAGAGAGAGAGCTGTGCAAAATAAAAACAAAAGTACATTCTAGGTTACAAGCTATCTTTTTAAATAAATAAAAGTGCATTCTAGGGAAATAGAGCAACCAATGCAAAGAAGGAAGGAAAAAGATGGTGCTTTTGGGAAACAAAAACAAAATGCAGTAGCCAGGTCATGAAGTATTTTGAATGGTGCACCACGGATATTTGGACACTTTATCCTAAAACCTGTAGGGAACCATTGAAAGGTATAAAGTGAGAAGTGGCATAATCAGATTTGGATTTTTAGAAAGATCACTCTAGCAACACTGTAAAGTATGGATTAACAAAGAGGGAAAATAGGTAGTTATTGCAGTTGTCTAAGGAGAAAATCATAAGGTAGTCTTAGGAAAGGGGAGAGAGAAAAGGGAGTCGATTTGGCAATTGGCAGTTTGGCAATTGGTATGAAAGAGTAGAATTCAGTTAATCCCATTCACTGAGATAGAGAACACAGGAGGAGAAGTAGGTTTGCTTAAAGAAATGCTGAGTTCTCTCTTGGACATTTTGGGTTTGAAGTATTCATGAGACACCTCAATAGCTTTCTCTACAGGCAATTGGATATATGAATTTGGCAATCAGTGATGTGGGTGGAATTAGAGATACGGTATTATTAGCATATAGGAGTTGGTTGATACATTGGGAATTGATGAGCTCACTCAAGGACAGTGTATAATTTACTTGAAGCAAAAAAGAAAGTGAGGGACAGAGTGCTATCCTTATATTTAAGTTGTACAGAATAAAGTAAATGAGCCAAGATGGGCCAGAGATCAGAAGGATGGGTCTCAGCCAGATCACCCTCATATCCAGCTAAGGACGTGAAGCACAAGGGTAAAAAAACAGGAAACTGCTGGTATTGGTGAGATAAGGTTGTAAAGAGACAGCTGTAAAAAATGTTTTCAGGAGTAAGTGCACAATAAGTATTTGTCAAAAAACTAATCAATATACAATAAGGTTATTTGGTTTTTTGGTTTTTTGGTTTTGTTTTTGTTTTTGAGATGGAGTCTCGCTCTGCCGCCCAGGCTGGAGTGCAGTGGTGTGATCTCGGCTCACTGCAACCTCCGCCTCCTGGGTTCAAGCAATGCTCCTGCCTCAGCCTCCCAAGTAGTTGAGACTATAGACATGCGCCACCACACCCAGCTAATTTTCATATTTTTAGTAGAGATGGGGTTTCACCATGTTGGCCAAGCTGGTCTTGAACTCTTGACCTCAAGAGATCCACCTGCCTTGGCTTCCCAAAGTGTTGGGATTACAAGCGTGAGCCACCACACCCAGTCTAGGTTTCTTTTTTAATGAAGGCTAGGTGCAGTGGCTCATGCCTGTAATCCCAGCACTTTGGAAGACCAAGGCGGACAAATCACTTGAGTTCAGGAGTTTGAGACCAGCCTGGGCAACATAGGAAGATAATGTCTCTACAAAAAAAAATACAAAAAAAAAAAAAAAAAATGGTAGCTGGGTGTAGTGGCATGCACCTGTGGTCCCAGCTACTTGGGAGGCTGAGGTGGTTGGATCAATTGAGTCCGGGAGGTCTGAGGCTGCAGTGAGCCGTGATCGTGACACTGGACTCCAGCCTGGGCAACAGAGTGAGACCCTGTATTTATTTAAAAAAAAAAAAAAAAAACAGGAACCGCATTTGAATTCTTCTGTGACCCTGGGAGCCTTATTAGAAGAGGAGTTAAGAAAGAATCATTGACCTATACTTCCTGGCATCTCTGTCCAGTCTTAATACTGTTTGCAGCTTTCTACCCTTTAAAGTTTGAAAGCCTTCCAGAAAATTGCCAACTTCACAATCATCATGTTGATCAGAGTTTTAATCCCAAAGCAGTGATTTCCAGTATACGCAACTGGAAAAATAAATGCGGTATATATATTAAATTCATTGTGCTGGATTATATTGATCAGTGAGATGTTTTGATAATATTTTCCAAGTTTCCATGTAGATATATTATGGAGCACATGTCAGAAATTAAGGAAGAACCTAAAGTAGTTTCCTTGAATATAGGATATTGGTCATGTTCTCTTTATTGGACATCATATAACATTAATACAGAGTGTTGCAGTCATCATTGCTAAGTGTTAATATGCTGTTATTAATATTATTATGCTATTATTTTCTTTCCAATATAGAAATGCTTTTCTTTTCTTTCTTTTTTTTTTTTGAGATGGATTTTTACTCTTGTTGCCCAGGCTGGAGTGCATGGCATGATCTTGGCTCACTGCAACCTCCGCCTCCCAGGTTCAAGCGACTCTCCTGCCTCAGCCTCCTGAGTAGCTGGGATTACAGGCACGTGCCACCACGCGTGGCTAATTTTTATTTTTAGTAGAGACAGGGTTTTACCATGTTGGCCAGGCTGGTCTCGAACTCCTGACCTCAGATGATCCACCCGCCTCGGCTTCCCAAAGTGCTGGGATTACAAGCATGAGCCACTGCGCCCAGCCTAGAAATACTTTTCATGGAATTTCTTTGCTATTAAGGTTGGTCAAACAGCAAACTGAGAAATTTTGGAAGCAGCTTATTTGCTGTAGTGGAATTACTGTACCCATTGGTGTTTTTTTGTTGTGGTGGTGGTGACTATCTCTCTCTCTGTCTCTCTCTCTGTCTCTCTCCCCACTCTTTCTCTCTCTCCCTCTCCCTCCCACCCCTTTTTCTCTGGTAAAATGCTATTTGGGATGAATTAAAGCTAATAGAGTTAATTGAACAGTTGTACTTGTTCAAGATAATGTGGCTCATTCTGTGACCCCAGCTTGGTGTTGGTGTTGCTCCTCCTGCTCAGGCACTAGTGGTTCTTAAAAGTAGGAAGTAAGCCCTGGTGTGATGGCTCATGCCTGTATTCCCAGCACTTTGGGAGGCCAGGGTGGGAGGATCACTTGAGTCTATAGAGTTCGAGACCAGCCTGGGCAACATAGTGAGACCCATCTCTACTACCAAAAAAAAAAAAAATGGGCCAAGCACGGTGGCATATAACTATAGTCCCAGCTACTTGGGAGGCTGAGGCAGGAGGATTGCTTAAGCCCAGGAGGTTGAGGCTGCAGTGAGCTGTGATTGCGCCCTGCACTCCACCCTGGGTAACAGAGTAAGTCCCTCTCTCTTTAAAAAAAAAAAAAAAAAAGTAGGAAGTAAGACAGTTTCTAACCCACTCCTTCTAAAATTAGAGCTCTACAACTGTATTAGCAACCTATTATTGCATAAGAAATTACCCTAGGATGGGCATGGTGGCTCAAGCCTATAATTCCGTCAATTTGGGAGGCTAAGGCAGAAGGATCGCTTGGGCCCAGGAGCTTGAGACCAACCTGGGCAATATAGTGAGATCTTGTTTCTACCAAAAACAAACAAACAAAACACACACACACACACACACACACACACACACACACACACCTGGGCAATATAGTGAGATCTCGTTTCTACCAAAAACAAACAAAACACACACACACACACACACACACACACACACACACACACACACACACACACAAAATGAGCCCGGCATGGTGGTGCATCCCAGCTACTTGGGAAGCTGGGGTGGAAGGATTGCTTGAACCTGGGAGGCTGAAACTGCAGTGAGTTGGGATTGTGCCACTGCATACCAGCCTGAGTGACAGAGCAAGACCCTGTCTCAAAAAAAAGAAAAAGAAAGAAATTACCCTAAAACATAGTTTAAAACAGCTAACATTTATTATATCACATAGTTTCTAAGGGACAAGAATCTACAAGCAGCTTAGCTGGGTAATTCTGGCTGTCTCTCATGAGATTTTAGTCGTCTAAAAGCTTGACTAGGCCTCTTCTAAGCTCACTCACATGGCTGTAGGCACTAGGCTCCAGTTCCTCCCTTAGTGAACCTCTTCATAGGGCTCTCATGACCTGGCAGCTGGCTTCCCACAGCACAGCCAACAGGGAATCCACACTGTCTTGTATAATCTGATCTTAGAAGTGGCATTCCATCACTTCTGCCTTATCCTTTTGGTCACAGCTTCTGGTCCATTGTGGAAGGGGATTACACAAGAGTGAATATTAGGAGTAGGGGAACATTGGGAACATTCATATACATACTCACCGCCTTCCCCAGATTATAGGATTAGCCTCAGGAGGGCTGTGTCAAAAACAGTTCCAGGATCATAGTGTTAGACTCATTGCAAAGACCATGCCAGCAGTTTATCTTGCTACCCAGTGGTAATTTTATTTCAGACCTCATTGCCTTTCTCAACCCACCGGTGCTGTTCATAGTTGCCACAGTCCTCCCCCACATGATTCATTAGCTTTGAGTCTAGTGAATAGAGAGTTGCAACCTCATTCCCTTCCTTCCCAGAAGACAGTTGCTTCCTAGTAGTATTCCAGCACTGTAGATCAGTAGTTTCTCCCTGTGTCACCAGTGCCCAGCTACATATTCTTATAATCCAGACTATCCAATACTTGCTGTTTTCCAGTCCCAGTCCCTTCCATCTCCAGAGAAATGTGTCCTATGCAGCTTTTGAATTGATGAGGAAGGCTCCTAGGATTGCTTTTTTTTTTTCAGGATATAGAGGTTTAGTCCCTATTATGCTATGCACCATGGTTTATTGTTGCCATTAGTAGCAGAAGTATTGGACGTTTTAAATGTCATTTTACAGCCAGAAAGATATGTTGTGTTTCATTTCCAGCTTGTAATTTGTTCCCTCAATTTGAGACAAATGTCTATTAATATCACTTGGAAATTTAGTATCCATCATGGCAGTATCTTGTAGCTTATTTTCTGTGATACTTTATAATAAACTTGGGAAATTCCCACTGTGATACATTGATAGTGTGTAAAAAACTTAATAGATTACTTTTTACTCCAGATTCAAGGATTATGTTCTCATGATACATAGAACACATGATAACATATAAAAACACCTGAATAATGTGTCACTTAATGAGAGCCCTCTGGGTGTCTGAAGTTTTTATTTCTTTGGTCTGATGAACTTTGATCTTTTTTTTTTTTTTTTTTTTTTTTTTGAGACAGAGTCTTGCTCTTGTTTCCCAGGCTGGAGTGCAGTGGCACCATCTCGGCTCACTGCAACCTCCACCTCCCGGGTTCAAGCTTTTCCTGCCTCAGCCTCCTGAGTAGCTGGGATTACAGGCGCCCACCACCACATCCGGCTAATTTTTGTACTTTATCAGTAGAAACGGGGTTTCGCCATGTTGGCCAGGCTGGTCTCCAACTCCTGACCTTAGGTGATCCACCTACCTCGGCCTCCCAAACTGCTGGATTACAGGCATGAGCCACTGCGCCTGGCCGAACTTCGATCTTTTAATCAGAAACTTGCTACTGTTTGGTTATCTTCTTAGCTAATTTCCAAGTATTCACTTAGGTTCAAACTCTGATCTTACTCATCTGTGATACTAACCAAAGTAATTGGAACAAACTCTGAGATCTATTAGGTATTCCCTTATCAGCTTGTACTGAACTAGGTTTTTCCCAAAACTCCTAGCATTTCTCAGTCAGTAGATGTGTATCAACTTGAATTTGATTGTGACTAGTTTTTGTTTTATATTTTTTGTTTTTTGTTTTTTTTTTTTTTTTGAGATGGAGTTTCGCTCTGTCACCCAGGCTGGAGTGCAGTGGTGTGATCTCAGCTCACTGCTACCTTTGCCTCCCAAGTTCAAGCAATTCTCCTGCCTCACCCTCCTGGATAGCTGGGACTACAGGGGCACACCACCACGCCTGGCTAATTTTTGTATTTTTAATAGAGACGTGGTTTCACCATGTTGGCCAGGCTGGTCTCAAACTCCTGACCTCAGGTGGTCTACCCGCCTTGGCCTCCCAAAGTGCTGGGATTACAGGCATGAGCCACCGTGCCTGGCCCATGACTACAGTTTTGTTTTTTTGTTTTTTTTGTTTTTTTAAATGTGAGACGGAGTTTCACTCTTGTTGCCCAGGCTGGAGTGCAATGGCATGATCTCAGCTCACCACAACCTCCATCTCCCCGGTTCAAGCAATTCTCCTGCCTCAGCCTCCCGAGTAGCTGGGATTACAGACATGTGCCACCACACCTGGCTAATTTTGTATTTTTAGTAGAGATGGGGTTTCTCCATGTTGATCAGGCTGGTCTCGAACTCCTGACCTCAGGTGATCCGCCCACCTTGGCCTCCCAAAGTGCTGGGATTACAGGCGTGAGCCACCACACCCAGTCAGCATGACTGCTTTTTAAATTTGAATCTAAAGGAATGTTGGGGCCCGGCGGGGTAGCTCACGCCTGTAATCCGAGCACTTTGGGAAGCAGCAGCAGATCACCTGATGTCAGAAGTTTGAGACCAGCCTGGCCAACATGGCGAAATCCCATCTCTACAAAAAATACAAACATTAGCTGGGCGTGGTGGTGTGCATCTGCAATCCCAGCTACTCAGGAGGCTGAGGCAAGAAAATCGCTTGAACCAGGGAGGTGGAGTTTGCGGTGAGCTGAGATCACGCCACTGCACTCCAGCCTGGGTGACAAGAACGAAACTCCATCTCAAAAAAGAATAAAAATAAAGTAGGCCAGGCGCGGTGGCTCACGCCTGTAATCCCAGCACTTTGGGAGGCTGAGGTGGGTGGATCACCTGAGGTTGAGAGTTGGAGACCAGTCTGACCAACATGGTGAAATCCTGTCTCTACTAAAAATACAAAAAATTAGCCCGGCGTGGTGGTGCAAGCCTGTAATCCCAGCTACTTGGGAGGCTGAGGCAGGAGAATCGCTTGAACCTGGGAGGCAGGGGTTGCGGTGAGCCAGGAATATGCCACTGCACTCCAGCCTGGGCAACAAGAGCAAAAGTTTGTTTCAAAAATAAATAAATAAATAAATAAATAAGTAAAATAAAGTAATGTTGGGATTTTTTCCAATGCTGTGGAAATTGTACTGCTTGGTTTACTGATCTTGTCTTATACTGGCTTCAAAGAGCCCGTGAGTCTTTTTTTCTCCACCTGGAAAGGTTAATTAAAACTCTGCTAGTATAATAGCTCCACAGCTTGTCATAAAGAATATCGTGGTATATTCTTGTGCTAACTGTGGATTTGAATTAAGTTTTATAGTTCACTTTTAATATATATCTATCATCCGACAGGGTTATGATAGCTGGGGGAACAATATCTTTGGTTTTCCTCACTTGTGGGTATGTATAACCTCAAAGGTGATGTTAATGTGGTTTTGCGTTCAATTTCTGCCAAAGAAAAATAATAAATTGTGGAGTTGCTTGATCTGGTGAGTAGACTAAACCCATTTATTTGCACATGTAATCATTTATTCCCTAAAGCTAATCACATTTTACACACACTTTGTCAACTGGGCCCAGGAGCCTCCTCTGCCTCGTGAAACATAATTAATTTCAAACTGGCATAATGGGACACACATCCTTCCAGTCTCCTCTAGATCTGCTTTATAGAGGTCATCTGAAAAAGACTCACCTTCCCAGTCAGGTTTTCAGCAGTCACTAGGTCCGTCTGTCAGAGGACTCGACGGGGCAGATCCTGAGAGGAGAGTAACAGTTATATGATTTTAGTAAATGAATACTGCCAGGCTATAATTAGTGTATGTCAAACCCTATTTATGAGATAGCTTCAAATACAGTATGCATTGCCTAGCGATGGGGATACATTCTGAGAAATGCATCATTAGGCGATTTCAGTGTGCAAACATCATAGAGTGAACTTACACAAACCTAGACAGCCTGTTGCTCCAAGGCTACAAACTTGTCAAGTATGTTACTGTACTGAATACCATAGAGGGCAGTTGCAACATAATGGTAGGTAATTGTGTATCTAAACATATACACCATCATCTGTGCAGTCTCAGTGATCAAAACATTGTTATGTGGCACATGACTGTATTTGAAATACCTGCCTCTCTCTGCTGGAATGTGACAGAAGAATATGTCATTTCCTCATTATATTACCATGGTGGCATCATTTTTAGTGTATTCAGTTAGGTAGCTCTGATTTAAAATACTGATTAACTTCCCTGCCTCCAGACTGAAAACAATTGATATATAATCTTGGCCTCATGTTTATGTGGCAGTCTTCTCTGGTATGGCAAGGCCATAGATAGCGTGTATCCTCCCTAGATGATTTGGGGCTTGTTATTGCCTCCCAGCTTCCTGACAGCTAGAGGAAGAAAAGTGAGTATTCGAAT
The DNA here is from genome assembly GCF_000001405.40 of Homo sapiens. NCBI lineage: Eukaryota > Metazoa > Chordata > Mammalia > Primates > Hominidae > Homo > Homo sapiens. Next base: position 72,452,201 of record NC_000010.11, on the reverse strand, counting down.
TGTAGTGAAGGGATAGAATTGAAAATAACTAACTGGCCAGGTGCGGTGGCTCATGCTGGTAATCCCAACACTTTGGGAGGCCGAGGTAGGCAGATCACCTGAGGTCAGGAGTTCAAGACCAGCCTGGCCAACATGGTGAAACCCTGTCTCTACTAAAAATACAGAAAAAATTAGCCAGGCATGGTGGCAGGTGCCTGTAATCCCAGATACTCAGGAGGCTGAGGCAAGAGAATGGCTTGAACCCAGGTGGCGGAGGTTTCAGTGAGCAGAGATCGTACCACTGCAGTCCAGCCTGGGTGACAGAGAGAGACTCCATCTCAAAAAAAGAAAGAAAATATCTAACTAATGTTAATATCTTCGGCCAGGCACAGTGGCTCATGTCTGTAGTCCCAGCACTTTAAGAGGCCAAAGCAGGAGGATTCCTTGAAGCCAGGAGTTTAAGACCAGCCTGGGCAACAAAGCGAGACCCTGTCTCTATAAAAAATTTTAAAATTAGCTGAGTACAGTGGCAAGTGCCTATAATCCCAACTACGTGGGAGGCTGAGGTGAGAGGATCCCTTGAGCCCAAGAGTTCAAGGCTGCAGTGAGCTATGATGGTACCATGGACTCCAGCCTGGGTGAGAGTGAGACCCTGTCTCTTAAAAAACAACAAAAAAGATTATCTTCATCTTCTGTGTTACATCTAGTTCTTCAAATCTGATACTCTTGAAGGTAGATCTCTGCTGCCTTTGAGAGCTATGGGAGATTTTGGGAACAGCTTCTTTAATAGTTGCCACTGCCTCTATTGTCTTATATTGGCCATTCACATTGATGCATCAGCTGTTGCAAGCCTATTAGGACCCCAAGAAGAGATGATATTAAAAACAATTTAAAGATTTAGGCCAGGCATGGTGGCTCACACCTGTAATCCCAGCACTTTGGGAGGCTGAGGCAGGCAGATCACAAGGTCAGGAGATCGAGACCATCCTGGCCAACATGGTGAAACCCCATTTCTACTAAAAATACAAAAATTAGCTGGGCATGGTGGCACATGCCCATAATCCCAGCTACTTGGGAGGCTGAGGCAGGAGAATCACTTGAACCAGAAAGGCGGAGGTTGCAGTGAGCTGAGATCATGACACTGTATTCCAGTCTGGCAACAGAGCAAGACTCTGTCTCAAAAAAAAAAAAAAAAAAAGATTTAAGGGACTGGGCGCAGTAGCTCACGCCTGTAATCCCAGCACTTTGGGAGGCCAAGGCAGGCAGATCACCTGAGGTCAGGAGTTCAAGACCAGCCTGGCCAACATGGTGAAATCCCATCTCTACAAAAATTAGCCAGATGTGGTGGTGCACAGCTGTAATCCCAGCTACTTGGGAGGCTGAAGCGGGAGAATCGCTTGAACCCGAGTGGTGGCGGTTGCAGTGAGCTGAGATTGCACCATTGCACTCCAGCCTGGATGAGAGAGTGAGATCCCATCTCAAAAAAAAAAAAAAAAGAATTAAAAAAATAAAGATTTAAGGAAGTATAATTTCAAACATGAGAATATTCTGCTAGCACCAGCAAGAGAAAGACCTGCAAGGCAGAAACAAAGCATGATCTGACTTTGTTTTAGTAAAGATTTAAGATTAGCAGTGAGAAAGCCATGCAACCACAGGCTTTGCAAGTTGTTAGAGTTAGTTCCCCGGAATGTGTATGAAGCAGAAAAGAACCTGTTTGGCACTGATACCTTCAGTCACCTCCATTCGCACAATCACTGTCAGAAACATCATCTCATCTGACCACCTGTCTCTGTCTCCACCACCATTCTTGTCTTTTGCTTGGGCTACTTCAGTTGCCGCCTAACTACGTGATTCATCTCATCAATCACTCTTAACTAAGAGCCTTTGCACCACTATTGATTTCCCTGGAGCTCTCTTCCTTCTCCTTCACCTAGTTACCTTGTTTTTATCGCTCAGAGCTCACTTAAACCTCACTCATATCTTTTCCTGCTTCACCACCTCTCCACCCCAAATTAGATCACATTTTTGTTACACATTTCCAAAGGACTCTGTACTTTTTTTTCAAATCACTTAATTACATAGTCATTTCATTGTTTGTTAAATACCTGTCTCTCTGCAAACACTCCCTGAGAACTTTCACGAGAGTGTTGGGCCCGCCATTATTTCCTTAGTGCTTCCCAGAGACAGAACACAAACCAGATTTTCAGGAAATAGTGTTGAATTAGTAAATATCAGATGTGGACGAAAGCCTGGCAAAGTACACATACATGTTGATGCCCACTCCCTCTCCAGCTCTCTGTGGCATCTATGGTCTAGTATATTAGGCACATTCTGGGGTATCAGCCCCGCTTTCAACAATTCTGTCTTCTCCAGGATTTTGCCCACTCCACTTCCCAAACATATGTGGGAACTCCTAAAAGCCATGTTTGTAAATGTGAAGTTCGATCTAGAGATAGACCAATATACTTAAGCATGAAACATTCCTCATTAGCTATTTTAAAAATGAAAAAGTACCACAAAATTGAGAAGTATCGTTTATGTTTCTTAAGTTGCTTTTAAAAAAAAACTAAAGAAAACCTTAATTAACTTGATGACCAGAAAGAAAAAAATAAAAAAACGCTTTACTGCTGCAGGATTTAAAACATAACCTGACTTAATGGTCTGTCTGTGGTACTCTAAGAAACTTACCAGGTGCAGTGGCTCATGCCTTTAATCCCAACACTTTGGGAGGCCAAGGTGGGAGGATTGCTTCAGCCTAGGAGGTCAAGACCAGCCTGGGCAACATAGTGAGACCCTGTCTTTACCAAAAAAAAATTTTTTTTTTTGAGACAGAGTCTTGCTCTGTCACCCAGGCCGGAGTGCAGTGGTGCAATCTAAGCTCAGTGCAGCCTCTGCCTCCTGGGTTCAAGCAATTATTGTACCTCAGCCTCCTGAGTGGCTGGGATTACAGGCACCTGCCACCATGCCTTGCTAATTTTTGTATTTTTGGTAGAGACAGGGTTTCACCATGTTGGCCACACTGGTCTCAAACTCCTGACCTCATGTGATCTGCCCGCCTCAGCCTCCCAAAGTGCTGGGATTTCAGGTATGAGTCACCATGCCCAGATTAAAAAATTTTTTAAATTAGCTGGTCATGGTGGCAAATGCCTGTAGTCCCAGCTCCCTGGAGGCTGAGGCAGGAAGATCGCTTGAGCCCAGGAGGTCGAGGCTACGTGAGCCATGATAACACCACTGCACTCCAGCCTGGGTGACGGAGTGAGACCCTATCTAAAACAACCAAAACAAAACGAACAAACAAAGCTTAATTGTCTAGCAAGGGACAGCTAAACTTATAATTAACCAATAGGTTACAGCACTGTAAAAGAAATCTTGCAAATTTTCTCCCTGGCTGTTTTTTACAATTGTTATCATTAAAGGACTTCATGGTTTTCCTGTTCTTAAGGGGGAAAATATTTTCTTTTTTTTTCCTTTATGAAAGGAGAATGACAGTGATACAGTGTGGCCCATTAGATCCTTTGCCATTCACCTGCCTGTGTTTGGACTGTTCTCACTTTGTGTATTAAAGCTTCCTTAAGCTACATGTTTCTGAGCCTCAGTCTCCCAATCTTTATTGCATTTTTCCTAATGCTTGTCAGTCAACTTAATCTGAATTCTAATTTCTATATATTGTGTTCCAATCTCTAGCTCTCCTTTTCTAAAAAATGGGCACTTTCCAATGTAATGTTTAGTGTATTAAAAAATATTAACTTGGCCAGGTGCGGTGGCTCACACCTGTAATTGCAGCACTTTGGGAGGCCAAGGTGGGCGGATGACTTGAGGTCAGGAGTTCCAGAACAGCCTGGCCAACATGGTGAAACCCTGTCTCTACTAAAAATACAGAAATTAGCTGGGCATGGTGGTGGGCACCTGTAATCCCAGCTACTCAGGAGGCTGAGTCAGGAGAATCACTTGAACCAGGAGGCGGAGGTTGCAGTGAGCCTCGGCAAGAGAGCAAGACTTTGTCTCAAAAAAAAAAAAAAAAAAAAAAAATATATATATATATATATATACACACACATATACACACACACAGACACACACACACACACACACACACACACATATATATAAACTTTTTCCATGGTGCCCAATGTGAATGAGCTCATCACCTATGCAATGGCTTTCTGAATGGTGAGAATTAAAATGGATGATAAGATTAAGCCAATCAAAGAAGGGGTGGGTCATCAGAAAAAGTGAGATCAACTGGGATTTGAGCTCTGGAGACTGAAGAATAATGTGTTACTAATTTTACAGATGGTGTCCTCAAAATGTAGGTTTTTAGTGTAGGCAGAAATTTGAGAATATGCAACTTCATAATTTAGCTCAGTTCATCCAGGTAAAAGCAGATATAACCTTAACTGTTTTATCGTTCTAATATAATAGACCTCTGTTCCTCTCAGTTAAACTCTCCAGCTTTTGTGGAGCATAGCAAGACTTTTCATGATAGATTCATTGAACATGGCCATTTTCCTAACTGAGGCACAATTGATTTTTTCATATCTTTTTTTTTAACTTCTGCCTGTACACCAATGATTTTTTCGTATATTGCATCTGTGAAATTGTTCCTATAGAAAACTTCAAGTAGTAACTATTTTTAACAGCATTGCCTCCTGGTTATAAACTAGCAGTTTAACATATAATTGCTTACCTAGGTTTTCTTTTTCTTCTTTTTATTAGGAATATATATGTATACTTACAGTCAGTCTGTAATTATGGGCTTGTTAAGTCATTCATAGAAACAGTAATATACAATTTTGTCATGACTATAATCATGCCAATAATATATATCTGTATAGAGTAATTTTAAAACCCTCTAGCCTATATTATGATCTTGGTGTTGTCCTATTATCTCTTCAAATCCCAGGTCCCTCTAGGCAGTAGCTATTATGCCTACTTCAAAGGTTATTATGAGACTCAAATGAGAGAGTGAATCGGAAGCATTTTGTACATTATTATCCCTCAACCTATTTGTGCCCCATACATAGTAACTTCAGGCCTTATAGTTTGTCCCTACTGCTCCTGTTTCCGTAAACCTTTGCAGAAATCTGGTTTTTACGGGCAAAAAGAGGTTATAATTCAACTTTCCATGCTCTAAGCATAGTTCCAGTCTTGCCCATCTCTTTTATTTCTCTTCTTATAAACATGCAAAATGTTCATGTGAAGAGTAGAAAGGAGAGGATTAAGAGAATTACTTACTTACAGTTTTTCTTTCCTTTCTCAATCTTATTTTTTGTTGTCTTTGTAGAAGACAGAAAGTTTATTTCTCTTTAAATAGAGCTAAAGTTAACAGAAGCAAGTGTGACCACAAACTTATTACTTGCAGCTTTTGTTCATTGTTCTTACTATCATTATTAATAGCAGCCAACATTTACTGAGCTCTTAGTATGTGCCAGGCATCCTACTGCCATATTTCATTGAATCTAAAAGAAACATTGGTTTGAGACACTATTATTTTATTAATCACTAAGAAAGAAAAAAATGCTGTTGTGCAAACCATGACAAAAATGCTCTACACTAAAAATATTTAGTTAATATCTATTAAAATACTCCATTAGGGCTGGGCCTGGTGGTTCACATCTGTAATCTCACCACTTTGGGAGGCTGAGGCGGGTGGATCACTTGAGGTCAGGAGTTCGAGAGCAGCCTAGCCCAAAAGGTGAAACCCTGTCTCTACTAAAAACAAAAATTAGCCAGGCATGGTAGCGGACACCTGTAATCCCAGCTACTAAGGAGGCTGAGGCAGGAAAATCACTGGAACCCGAGAGGTGGAGGTTGGAGTGAGCCGAGATCACACCACTGTGCTCCAGCCTGCTGGGCGACAGAGTGAGTGACACTCCATCTCAAAAAAACGAAACAAAAATACTCCATTAGGCTTAGATTTTTATTTTATGACATTCTTGTACATACATATAAAGAAAATAAATAAATTGGTCTAAAATTTCTTCATACTCAGGATCCAACTCTTCTGAATTTTTTTTGACTCTGAATCATGGAAGTCTATGTTTTTCCATACAATATTGTCCTCCGAGCCATCAAGAGCATCGGTGGTGCAGCGTTTCTGAAAAGAATAATCCATTTTTAGCTGAGATTTTCTTCCAAGCTACTGACACTCATTCTGCAAGCTCTGACATACTTGTACAGTCAGTGAAAACAGTGCCAACTGCTCCTTAGCCAATAGCAATTTTAAGAAGCATACAGATTTCAGAGATACTAAAATGTGAAGAAAAAAAAAAAGTAAATGCATCTTAGGAAAGATGAATTAGGACAACAGTTAGTCCTTAGTTCTTATCTCCTAAAACTGGGGCTTTTATATGGTTTCACATCTATTATCTAACTTTACCCTCACAGTAATCCCAAGAGGGAGGTACTGCTTTTATACTGATTTTATAGATGAGGGAACTGAGGCTTAGAAAGGTTAAAAATTGCCCAGAAGTACACAGTTGATACATAACCAAGGAAAAAACCAAACCCAAGTCTGCCTAACTGCAAATCTTGTATTTTTGCCACTGTACTAGCTTCATTTATATTCCCCAGATAATGAACAGCCTTGATATGGATGCAAGAAGAATCCCCCAATCTTTCCAGAGAGCCAAAACAGGGAATATGTCGTGCTGCAAAAAGTATTTCCCAGAAGCTACCAAGCTAGAATTTTAGTGAGTGAAGACTAAATGAAAGGATTCCTACAAATAATCAGCTGAGTATGGATCCTTCAATTCAGATTTCTAATTTAGATGAGTGGATCCCTCTGTGTTTTGATCAATATTCTCATTTTCATAATGGGCTAAAGTGTGACTATAATGATTTTCAGACATCTACCCTGATTTGAATTTTATGAAAATTGAAGATACAGTAGAGTTTTCTAAAATCAAGTGACAGAAGAAAGGCAACCTTACCGATAAGATTTTTTGGTTTTCACTTGAATAAATAAATGTACCTACCATTTTTACCTAATTTATCCTTCCAGCATAGTTTCAGACCCTGGGTACAAATTGTTTTGGCCTACAAAGTCTGACGTTGCCTATCCTGCCTGCATGCTTCCTGAGTTACTTACCTGCTTTTGTTTCTTTCAGTCTTTTAGATATGAGCTGAATATTATTGAGAACTTTATATATAACTGGACTCAGGCAAAGGAGCAAATGGAGCTTTGTAGCAGAGCCCACAGCCTATCATATCCTTGAAAGTTCAGGAGCAGCTTTAGGATTTTCTCCTCTGGGAATAATTACCAATTCTAATGAAGTATCACATTCTCTCCGTAGGTATTTAAGAGTGTAGACTGGAAAATGTGTCTTGTGCTCCTGTTAGATGATTAATACAGAATGGGTAGGTGACTTTCTAACGAAGCAGAGATTTAACCAGTCAACCACAATTATTTATTGAGCAAACGCAGTGTACCCCAGCTCTGTGTGCGACACAGGCACAGTAAACAATGCAAGGCTGCTGGGCATGGTGGCTCACGCCTGTAATCCCAACACTTTGGGAGGCCAAGTTAGGTGGATCACTGAGCACAGGAGTTCAAGACCAGCCTGGCCAACATGGCGAAACCCTGTCTCTATTAAAAATACAAAAATTAGCCAGGTGTGGTGGTGCACGCCTGTAATCCCAGCTACTGGAGAGGCTGAGACAGGAGAATCTCTTGAACCTGGGAGGCGGAGGTTGCAGTGAGCCAAGATTGCACCACTGCACTCCAGCCTGGGGGACAGAACAACACCCTGTCTCAAAAAAAAAAAAAAAAAAAAAAAGGCAAAGACTCTCACATAGAAGTATATAAGGTAAGAAAGAGAAAACTATTTTCTTTTTTTCTTCTTATTATTATTATACTTTAAGTTTTAGGGTACATGTGCACAATGTGCAGGTTAGTTAGATATGTATACATGTGACATGCTGGTACGCTGCACCCACTAACTCGTCATCTAGCATTAGGTATATCTCCCAGTGCTATCCCTCCCCCCTTCCCCCACCCCACAACAGTCCCCAGAGTGTGATGTTCCCCCTCCTGTGTCCATGTGTTCTCATTGTTCAATTCCCACCTATGAGTGAGAATATGCGGTGTTTGGTTTTTTGTTCTTGCGATAGTTTACTGAGAATGATGATTTCCAACTTCATCCATGTCCCTACAAAGGACATGAACTCATCATTTTTTATGGCTGCATAGTATTCCATGGTGTATATGTGCCACATTTTCTTAATCCAGTCTATCCTTGTTGGACATTTGGGTTGGTTCCAAGTCTTTGCTATTGTGAATAGTGCTGCAATAAACATACGTGTGCATGTGTCTTTATAGCAGCATGATTTATAGTCCTTTGGGTATATACCCAGTAATGGGATGGCTGGGTCAAATGGTATTTCTAGTTCTAGATCCCTGAGGAATCGCCACACTGACTTCCACAATGGTTGAACTAGTTTACAGTCCCACCAACAATGTAAAAGTGTTCCTATTTCTCCACATCCTCTCCAGCACCTGTTGTTTCCTGACTTTTTAATGATTACCATTCTAACTGGTGTGAGATGATATCTCATTGTGGTTTTGATTTGCAATCAAAGCAATGGGGAAAGGATTCCCTATTTAATAAATGGTGCTGGGAAAACTGGCTAGCCATATGTAGAAGGCTGAAACTGGATCCCTTCCTTATACCTTATACAAAAATCAATTCAAGATGGATTAAAGACTTAAACGTTAGACCTAAAACCATAAAAACCCTAGAAGAAAACCTAGGCATTACCATTCAGGACATAGGCACGGGCAAGGACTTCATGTCTAAAACACCAAAAACAATGGCAACAAAAGCCAAAATTGACAAATGGGATCTAATTAAACTCAAGAGCTTCTGCACAACAAAAGAAACTACCATCAGAGTGAACAGGCAACCCACAAAATGGGAGAAAATTTTCGCAACCTACTCATCTGACAAAGGGCTAATATCCAGAATCTACAATGAACTCAAACAAATTTACAAGGAAAAAACAAACAACCCCATCAAAAAGTGGGCGAAGGACATGAACAGACACTTCTCAAAAGAAGACATTTATGCAGCCAAAAAACACATGAAAAATGCTCACCATCACTGCCCATCAGAGAAATGCAAATCAAAACCACAATGAGAAAACTATTTTCAAAAAATAAAGGACAGACCAGGCACTGTGGCTGATGCCTGTAATCCCAGCACTTTGGGAGGCTGAGGCAGGCAGATCACCTGAGGTCAGTAGTTCGAGACCAGCCTGGCCAACATGACGAAACACCATCTCTACCAAAAATACAAAAATTAAACGGGTATGATAGCCCGTGCCTGTAGTCCCAGCTACTCAGGAGGCTGAGACAGGAGAATTACTTGAACCCAGGAGGCAGAGTCTGCAGTGAGCCAAGATCACACCACTGCACTCTAGCCTGGTGACAGAGCAAGACTCCGTCTCAAAAAAATAAAGGACAATATAATGCAAAGCATACTCTTCTGTTAGGTCTAGACCTTACCTACTGTAATAGCACTGAAGACTAAGGAAAGTTTAATATGTTTTGGAAAAATCAGTAAGTAGGGCATTTGTACAAATAGATGAAGGAGAACAACATGCCAGGCAAGGAAAATGGCATAAAGAAAAGCACAAACGCTTAGCATAAAACAAGTCGTCTTTTAGAGCCAAGTCTTGTCCAAACTGATGAAACTTTCCTTTGGAATACATGTATAAAATAGATTGGATTCTCCTTACTGTAGAAGGTCTCATGTTTACATTTTATCGCTATGAAAATTGGCCAGGCGTGGTGGCTCACGCTTGTAATCCTAGCACTTTGGGAGGCTGAGGCGGGTGGGTCACCTGAGGTCAGGAGTTCAAGACCAGCCTGTCCAACATGGTGAAACCCTATCTCTACTAAAAAATACAAAAATTAGCCAGGCATGGTGGTGTGCACCTGCAGTCCCAGCTACTCAGGAGGCTGAGGCACAAGAATTGCTTGAACCTGGGAGGAGGAGGTTGCAGTGAGCCAAGATTGCACCTGGGTGACAGAGTGAGACTCCGTCTCAAAAAAAGAAAAAGAAAAAGCATTAGGCACATGATTACAGTTTATATTGCATATTTTAGGGAGCTGATGACTAATTTGCTTCATGCTGGAGCCCACTGAAAATGGATACCCTCTTTGCCTCTATTAGACAGGTTTCGATATTCTAATCATTAGATTGTAGTCTACTGACTTAGAGAGTTTTCTGCTTTTACAAATAAAGGTGACAGATGAAGAAATATTTGCCTCTCTCAAGTTGCTTTTTAAAGATATTGACTTGAGACCGGGTGTGGTGGCTCACGCCTATAATCCTAGCATTCTGGGAGGCCAGGGTGGGCGGATCACTTGAGTACAGGAGTTCAAGTCCAGCCTGGCCAACATGGTGAAACCGCATCTCTACTAAAAATACAAAAAAATAGCTGGGCATAGTGGTGCATGCCTGTAGTCCCAGCTACTTGGGAGGCTGAGGCACAAGAATCACTTGAACCCAGAAGGCAGAGGTTGCAGTGAGCCTAGATCGTACCACTGCACTCCAGCCTGGGCAACAGAGTGAGGTTCTGCCTCAAAAAAAAAAAAAAAAAAAGAAAAATTAAAAATAAGTGAATAAATATATTGACTTGGTTTTTTATTTCTTTTTTTTTTTTTTTAAATAATTTAAGTTCTAGAGTACATGTGCACAATGCAGGTTTGATACACAGGTATACATGTGCCATGTTGGTTTGCTGCACCCATCAACTCATCATTTACATTAGGTATTTCTCCTAATGCTAACCCTTCCCCAGCCCCCCACCCCCCAACAGGCCCTGGTGTGTGATGTTCCCTGCCCTGTTCAAGTGACCTCATTGTTCAGTTCCTACCTATGAGTGACAAAAACCAAACATGTGGTGTTTGGTTTTCTGTCCCTGTGATAGTTTGCTGAGAATGATGGTTTCCAGCTTCATCCATGTCCCTGCAAAGGACATTAACTCATCCTTTTTGTGGCTGCATAGTATTCCATGGTGTATATGTGCCACATTTTCTTAATCCAGTCTATCATTGATGGACATTTGGGTTGGTTCCAAGTCTTTGCTATTGTGAGTAGTGCCGCGATAAACATACATGTGCATGTGTCTTTATAGTAGCATGATTTATAATCCTTTGGGTATATACCCAGTAATGGGATTGCTGGGTCAAATGGTAATTCTGGTTCTAGATCCTTGAGGAATCACCACACTGTCTTCCACAATGGTTGAACTAATTTACAATCCCACCAACAGTGTAAAAGTGTTCCTATTTCTCCACATCCTCTCCAGAATCTGTTGTTTCCTGACTTTTTAATGATCGCTATTCTAACTGGCATGAGATGGTATCTCATTGTGGTTTTGATTTGCATTTCTCTGATGACCAGTAATGATGAGCATTTTTTCATGTGTCTGCTGGCTGTATAGATGTCTTCTTTTGAGAAGTGTCTGTTCATATCCTTTGCCCACTTTTTGATGGGATTGTTTGTTTTCTTCTTGTAAATTTGTTTAAGTTCTTTGTAGATTCTGGATATTAGCCCTTTGTCAGATGAGTAGATTGCAAAAATTTTCTCCCATTCTGTAGGTTGCCTGTTCACTCTGATGGTAGTTTCTTTTGCCATGCAGAAGCTCTTTAGTTTAATTAGATCCCATTTGTGTATTTTGGCTTTTGTTGCCATTGCTTTTGGTGTTTTAGTCATGAAGTCCTTGCCCATGCCTATGTCCTGAATGGTATTGCCTAGGTTTTCTTCTAGAGTTTTTGTGGTTTTAGGTCTAACATTTAAGTCTTTAATCCATCTTGAATTAATTTTTGTATAAGGTATAAGGAAGGGATCCAGTTTCAGCCTTCTACATATGGCTAGCCAGTTTTCCCAGCACCATTTATTAAATAGGGAATCCTTTCCCATTTCTTGTTTTTGTCAGGTTTGTCAAAGATCAGATGATTGTAGATGTATGGTGTTATTTCTGAGGCCTCTGTTCTGTTCCATTAGTCTATATATCTGTTTTGGTACCAGTACCATGCTGCTTTGGTTACTGTAGCCTTGTAGTATAGTTTGAAGTCAGGTAGCGTGATGCCTCCAGCTTTGTTCTTTTGGCTTAGGATTGTCTCGGCTATGCAGGCTCTTTTTTTTGTTCCATGTGAACTTTAAAGTAGTTTTTTCCAGTTCTGTGAAGAAAGTCATTGGTAGCTTCATGGGGATGGCATTGAATCTATAAATTACCTTGGGCAGTATGGCCACTTTCAGGATATTGATTCTTCCTATCCATGAGCATGGAATGTTCTTCCATTTGTTTGTGTCCTCCTTTATTTCATTGAGCAGTGGTTTGCAGTTCTCTTTGAAGAGGTCCTTCACAATCCCTTGTAAGTTGGATTCCTAGGTATTTTATTCTCTTTGTAGCAATTGTGAATGGGAGTTCACTCATGATTTGGCTCTCTGTCTGTTATTGGTGGATAGGAATGCTTGTGATTTTTGCACATTGATTTTGTATCCTGAGACTTTGCTGAAGTTGCTTGTCAGCTTAAGGAGATTTTGGGGTGAGACAGTGGTGTTTTCTAAATATACAATTATGTCATCTGCAAACAGGGACAATTTGACTTCCTCATTTCCTAATTGAATACCCTTTATTTCTTTCTCTTGCTTGATTGCCCTGGCCAGAACTTCCAACACTGTGTTGAATAGGAGTGGTGAGAGAGGGCATCCTTGTCTTGTGCCAGTTTTCAAAGGGAATGCTTCCAGTCTTTGCCCATTCAATATGATATTGGCTATGGGTTTGTCATAAATAGCTCTTATTATTTTGAGATACGGTCCATCAGTACCTAGTTTATTGAGGGTTCTTAGCCTGAAGGGCTGTTGAATTTTGTCAAAGGCCTTTTCTGCATCTATTGAGATAATCATGTGGTTTTTGTCATTGGTTCTGTTTATGTGATGGATTATGTTTATTGATTTGTGTATGTTGAACCAGCCTTGCATCCCAGGGATGAAGCCAACTTGATCGTGGTGGATAAGCTTTTTGATGTGCTACTGGATTTGGTTTGCCAGTATTTTATTGAGGATTTTTGCATTGATGTTCATCAGCGATATTGGTCTAAAATTCTCTTTTTTTGTTGTGTCTCTGCCAGGCTTTCATATCAGGATGATGTTGGCCTTATAAAATGAGTTAGGGAGGATTCCCTCTTTTTCTATTGATTGGAATAGTTTCAGAAGGAATGGTACCAACTCCTTTTTGTACCTCTGGTAGAATTCACCTGTGAATCCGTCTGGTCCTGGACTTTTTTTGGTTGGTAGGCTATTAATTATTGCCTGAATTTCAGAGCCTGTTATTGGTCTATTCAGAGATTCAACTTCTTCCTTGTTTAGTCTTAGGAGGGTGTATGTGTCCAGGAATTTATCCATTTCTTCTAGATTTTCTAGTTTATTTGTGTAGAGGTGTTTATAGTATTCTCTGATGGTAGTTTGTATTTCTGTGGGATTGGTGGTGATCTCCCCTTTATCATTTTCTATTGTATCTATTTGATTCTTCTTTCTTTTCTTCTTTATTAGTCTTGCTAGCAGTCTATCAATTTTGTTGATCTTTTCAAAAAAACAGCTCCTGGATTCATTGATTTTTTTTGAAGGGTTTTTGTGTCTCTATCTCTTTCAGTTCTGCTCTGATCTTAGTTATTTCTTGCCTTCTGCTAGCTTTTGAATTTGTTTGCTCTTGCTTCTCTAGTTCTTTTAATTGTGATGTTAGGGTGTCGATTTTAGATCGTTCCTGCTTTCTCTTGTGGGCATTTAGTGCTATAAATTTCCCTCTACACGCTGCTTTAAATGTGTCCCAGAGATTCTGGTATGCTGTGTCTTTGTTCTCATTGGTTTCAAAGAACATCTTTATTTCTGCCTTCATTTCGTTATTTACCCAGTAGTCATTCAGGAGCAAGTTGTTCAGTTTCCATGTAGTTGTGCGGTTTTGAGTGAGTTTCTTAATCCTGAGTTCTAATTTGATTGCACTGTGGTCTGAGAGACAGTTTGTTGTGATTTCTGTTCTTTTACATTTGCTGAGGAGTACTTTACTTCCAATTATGTGGTCAGTTTTAGAATAAGTGTGATGTGGTGCTGAGAAGAATGTATATTCTGTTGATTTGGGGTGGAGAGTTCTGTAGATGTCTATTAGGTCCACTTGTTGCAGAGCTGAGTTCAAATCCTGGATATCCTTGTTAACTTTCTGTCTCGTTGATCTGTCTAATATTGACAGTGGGGTGTTAAAGTCTCCCATTATTATTGTGTGGGAGTCCAGGTCTCTTTGTAGGTCTCTAAGGACTTACTTTATGAATCTGGGTGCTCCTGTATTGGGTGCATATATATTTAGGATAGTTAGCTCTTCTTGTTGAATTGATCCCTTTACCATTATGTGATGGCCTTCTTTGTCTCTTTTGATCTTTGTTGGTTTAAAGTCTGTTTTATCAGAGACTAGGGTTGCAACCACTGCTTTTTTTTGTTTTCCGTTTCCTTGGTAGATCTTCCTCCATCCCTTTATTTTGAGCCCATGTGTGTCTTTGCACATGAGATGGGTCTCCTGAATACAGCACACTGGTGCGTCTTGACTCTTTATCCAATTTGCCAGTCTGTCTTTTAATTGGGACATTTAGCCCATTTACATTTAATAAGGTTAATATTGTTATGTGTGAATTTGATTCTGTCATTATGATGTTCACTGGTTATTTTGCCTATTAAATTATGCAGTTTCTTCATGCTAATCAATGGTCTTTACAATTTGGCAAGTTTTTGCAGTGGCTGGTACCGGTTGTTCCTTTCTATGTTGAGTGCTTCCTTCAGGAGCTCCTGTAAGTCAGGCCTGGTGGTGACAAAATCTCTTGGCATTTGCTTGTCTGTAAAGGATTTTATTTCTCCTTCACTTATGAAGCTTAGTTTGGCTGGATATGAAATTCTGGGTTAAATTCTTTTCTTTAAGAATGTTGAATATTGGCCCCCACTCTCTTCTGGCTTGTAGGGTTTCTGCCGAGAGATCTGCTGTTAGTCTGATGGGTCTCCCTTTGTGGGTAACTCAACCTTTCTCTCTGGCTGCCCTTAACGCTTTTTCCTTCATTTTAACCTTGGTGAATCTGACCATTATGAGTCTTGGAGCTGCTCTTCTCGAGGAGTATCTTTGTGGCATTCTCTGTATTTCCTGAATTTGAATGTTGGCCTGCCTTGCTAGGTTGGGGAAGTTCTCCTGGATAATATCCTGAAGAGTGTTTTTCAACTTGCTTCCATTCTCCCCATCACTTTTAGGTACACCAGACAAACGTAGATTTGGTCTTTGCACATAGTCCCATATTTCTTGGAGGCTTTGTTCGTTTTTTTACTCTTATCTTTTTGTTTTATTTCATTAATTTGATCTTCAATCACTGATACCCTTTCTTCCACTTGATCGAATCGGCTGCTGAAGCTTGTGCATACGTCACGAAGTTCTCATGCCATGGTTTTCAGCTCCATCAGTTCATTTAAGGTCTTCTCTGCACTGTTTATTCTAATTAGCTATTCATCTCATCTTTTTTCAAGGTTTTTAGCTTCATTGCGATGGGTTCGAACATGCTCCTTTATCTTGGAGAAGTTTGTTATTACCGACCTTCTGAAGCCTACTTCTGTCAACTCGTCAAAGTCATTCTCTGTCTAGCTTTGTTCTGTTGCTGGCAAGGAGCTGCGATCCTTTGGAGAAGATGCGCTCTGATTTTTAGAATTTTTAGCTTTTCTGCTCTGGTTTCTCCCCATCTTTGTGGTTTTATCTACCTTTGGTCTTTGATGTTGGTGATCTACAGATGGAGTTTTGGTGTGGACGTCCTTTTTGTTGATGTTGATGCTATTCCTTTCTGTTTGTTAGTTTTCCTTCTAACAGTCAGGTCCCTCAGCTGCAGGTCTGTTGGAGTTGGCTGGAGGTCCACTCCAGACCCTGTTTGCCTGGGTATCACCAGTGGAGGCTGCAGAACAGCAAATATTGCAGAACAGCAAATATTGCTGCCTGATCCTTCCTCTGGAAGTGTCGTTCCAGAGGGGCAGCCGCCTATATGAGGTGTCTGTCAGCCCCTACTGGGAGGTGTCTCCCAGTTAGGCTACATGGGGGTCAGGGACCCACTTGAAGAGGCATTCTGTCCATTTTCAGAGCTCAAACGCCGTGCTGGGAGAACCACTGCTCTCTTCAGAGCTGTCAGACGGGGACGTTTAAGTCTGAAGAAGTTGTCTGCTGGCTTTTGTTCAGCTATGCCCTGCCCACAGAGGTGTAGTCTAGAGGCAGTAGGCCTTGTTGAGCTGGGGTGGGCTTCGCCCAGTTCAAGCTTCCCGACCGCTTTGTTTACCTACTCAAGCCTGAGCAATGGTGGACACCTCTCCCCCTGCCCAGCTGCAGCCTTGCAGTTCGATCGCAGACTGCTGCGCTAGCAGTGAGCAAGGCTCCGTGGGCGTGGGACATGCTGAGCCAGGCACCGGAGAGAATCTCCTTGTCTGCCAGTTGCTAACACCTTGGGAAAAGCACAGTATTTGGGCAGGAGTGTCCCGTTTTTCCAGGCAGTCTGTCACGGCTTCCCTTGGCTAGGAAAGGGAAATCCCCCAACCCCTTGCACTTCCCAGGTGAGGTGACACCCCGCCCTGCTTCAGCTCGTCCTCCGTGGGCTGCCCCCACTATCCAACCAGTCCCAGTGAGATGAACCAGATACCTCAATTGGAAATGCAGAAATCACTCATCTTCTGCATCGATCATGCTGGTAGCTGCAGACCAGAGCTGTTCCTATTCAGCCATCTTGGAACGCCCCCCACTTTTTTTTTTTTTTTTTTTTTTTTTTGTAACAGGGTCTCACTCTGGCCCAGGGTGGAGTGCAGTGGCATGATCATAGCTCACCGCAGCCTTGAACTCCTGGACTCAAGTGATCCTCTCACTTCAGCCTCCCAAGTAGCTGGGACTACAGGCACATGGTACCATGCCCAGCTAATTTTTAAATTTTTGTAGAATCAGGTCTCACTGTGCTGCCCAGGCTGCTCTCGAACTCCTGGCCTCAAGCAGTACTCCCACCTTCCCTCCAAAAGTGCTGGGATCACAGGCATGAGCCACCATACCTGGCCTTTATTTCTTCATTTTTATTTTTATTTATTCAGTTACTCACAATGATGAGGAGATAATCAACTATGGATTACTAAGCCCAAAGTAAATCCTATATCTTAATTATTATCATTACTTCCTAACAGCTTTTCACATTTGTTACTGCTTTCCACAGTTTGCCACATCTTTAGGAAAAATCAGCATATCAAGCCTGGTATAGGGGTCTTTAGGTGTTGAGTATATGAACAAGCTAAATTTCCAACTCTCTTATGAATGCTGATAAGCTGTCAGCAATGCTAGGACAAAAGGAGTGTGGGAATGTGTTGTATTAATATTTTCATCTAAGCAGTAGATCCCAGAGTGCTCTTTGATGGAGTTAGAGGAAAGCAAACTGGCACTCAGGTGAGAGAAAATAGCAGTTTGCTTTTCTACTACAATTAGTCCTTGGTTCTTAACTCCTAAATTTGGAGCTGTTATATTTTGTTCTAACAGACAGTCTCTCTGTTTCCAAAACTCTTACAATCCCATATGAAAAGAAGAACATCTTTGAACTCTGAATAATGTTGGGCCTCCTAAATCTCAGAGAAGTATGTAACACAAGACTAGGGTTTTTCATGTTATTGAAAGCAGAAATTGGATATAAGATCTTCTGCTTGCTGAAGAGTCATCTAAAAGGAAAAATGGCATGAAATTTTTAGCAATTTCATGTGGAAACATGAACTGCATAGATTGGTTGGAATATTAAATAGCAGTTAATTCTGCCAGAGTTTAAGGCTTATTCATATTGATCAAGGTCTGAAGGAAAGATAACCAACAAGTTTTATGTAATTTAAAATGCTCTGCGAGTTGATGGAAAGCACTTAGTATAGGCTCTGGTACATAATAAGTGCTATGTAAATGTTTGCCGTTATAAATGTTAGAATATGGATTGTTCTTTAACCATCTAGAGAATTTTTCTAAGTAAGGAAGATGGCCCATTTAGGCCTTCTTTGTTTTGGAACTGAATTATTATTTCCCACTTTCTCCATCTCTCCATACCTAATGACATACATTTAAGCTGGTTAAAAAAAAAAAAGTTAAGTGAACTGGATTTACTCAAGATTATTCCTTCCACAAGGGGAATGTGATTAAATTAGAGGTAAATGCCCCCATTCTATTCCAAATTCCCAAGCACTCAGAGAAGTTAAAGTCAGTACTGGAGGACTTTTTAAAACAAACTGAGCTGATGATCTGCTGTTTTGTTCTAAGGATTTAATCATCGTCATTGATTGATATTGAGGAATATGTTTTAATATTTTATGTTTCCTTGTTTAAAATAAAGAAACTGTAGGTCAATATTTAATTACTTTCTTATCTAATGAGGAAAGATTCCCAAGAATATAAGCCAATGAAAGAAGTTGTAGGCTGGGCACGGTGCCTCACGCCTGTAATCCCAGCACTTTGGGAGGCTGAAGCGGGTGGATCACCTGATGTCAGGAGTTCGAGACCAGCCTGACCAACATGGTGAAACGCTGTCTTTACTAAAAATACAAAAAAATTAGCCAGGCGTGGTGGCAGGCGCCTGTAGTCCCAGCTACTCTGGAGGCTGAGGCAGGAGAATGGTGTGAACCTGGGAGGCGGAGCTTGCAGTGAACTGAGATTGCACCATTGCACTCCAGCCTGGGCGACAGAGCAAGACTCCATCTCAAAAAAAAAAAAAAAATACAAAAATACAAAAATTAGCTGGGCATGGTGGCATGCACCTGTAATCCCAGCTACTCGGGAGACTGAGGCAGGAGAATCACTTGAACCCAGGAGATAGAGGTTGCAGTGATGAGCTGAGATTGTGCCACTGCACTTCAGCCTGGGCAACAGAGCAAGACTCTGTCTCAAAAAAAAATTGCGAAGAAAAAGCCAGGCACCAGTGGCTCACGCCTGTAATCCCAACACATTGGGAAGCCAAGGCAGGAGGATGACCTGAGGTCAGGAGTTCAAGACCAGCCTGGCCAACATGGTGAACCCTCATCTCTACTAAAAAATACAAAACATTAGCTGGGCATGGTGGTGCAGACCTGTAATCCCAGCTACTCGGGAGGCTGAGGCAGGAGAATCACTTGAACCTGGGAGGCGGAGGTTGCAGTGAGCCGAGATCGTGTCACTGCACTCCAGCCCAGGTGAGACTCCGTCTCAAAAAAAACATAAAGGAAGAAGAAGATCCACGCATTTGCCTACAATAAAGATTTTAAATTTCCACACATAAAACAGACCTAAACAAAATTAACAGATGGGCAAACTGAGTGATGTGGTTTGGATATTCGTCCCCTACAAATCTCATGTTGAAATGTGACCCCCGCAATGTTGGAGGCTGTGCCTAGTGGAGGTGTTTGGGTCGTGGGAGTGGATCCCTCATGAATGGCCTGGTGCCGTCCCCATAGTAATGAATGAGTTCTTGCTCTCGTTCACATGAGAGCTGGTTTTTTAAAACAGCCTGGAACCTTCCCCCTCTCTTTTCCTCTTTACTCTTGCCATGTAATATGCCTGCTCCCACTTCAACTTCCACCATGTCTGTTAGCTCCCTGAAGCCTTCACCAGAAGCAGAGGCTGGCACCATCCTTCCCCTATAGCCTGCAGAACCAAAATAAACCTCTTTTCTTTATGAATTACCCAGCTTCAGGTATTCCTTTATAGCAACACAAATGGACTAATACACTGGGCAAAAAAATTGGCAGGCAGGGTGGCTCATGCCTGTAATCCCAGCACACTGGAAGGCCAAAGTGGGAGGATCACTTGAGGCCAGGAGTTTGAGACCATCCTGGGCAACAGAGGAAAACCCCGTCTCTACAAAAAGAAAATTTGGTTTTTATATTTATTTGTATTAAATTTTTTAGAAACATAGCTGGGCATGGTGGCACACGCCTGTAGTCCTAGCTACTCAGGGGGCTGAGGTGGGAGGATTGCTTGAGCCCAGGAAGTTGAGGCTGCATTAAGTGTTGATCACACCACTGTGCTGCAGCCTGGGTGACAGAGTGAGACCCTGCCTCAAATTAAAAAAAAAAAAAAAAAAAGGCAATACATTAACAAAAAGCAAATATTTTTAATCTTAAGCTAATGAGACAAGTATCAGCACTGCTATTTTTAAAAATAGACAACATAAAAAATTCACAGAGGAAGAAATATAAATGACCACTACATATGTTAGAAAAATGGTCAACCTAGTAATCAAAGAAATACTAATTAAAATGAGTTGTCACTTTTCCTCTAGCAAAGATTTTTTATTATGTTTGATTTTGTTAAGGATACTAAGAAATGCATATTCTCATATATACTAGTGGGATTGCAAATTGATACATTTTTCTGGAAATTAATTTGGCAGACTACATTGGGAGCATTAAATAGTTTATCTCTACCATTTTTAGACCGAAGAGAGTGGCAAAAAATAAAAACTGACAATACCAAGTGCTGGTGGTGATGCAAAGCAGTGGGCACTCTTATACATAGCTGATAAAAAGTGTTGGTGTGATTATTTTGCAGAATGATTGGGCATTATCTTGAAAGGCCGGCAGTTCCACTTCCAGATATATACCCTAGTCTCAGAACTCTTGTTTTTCTTTCATCAGCACAGTTATCTAAGAATGTTCATAACAGCATTGTTCCTAATAGCAAAAAACTGACAATAATTGAGATGTCCATTTAGAGGAAAGCTGATACGTAAATAGTGGTAGAAGCTGGGCACGATGGCTTACACCTGTTATCCCAGCATTTTGTGAGGCCAAGGTGGGAGGATCACTTGAGGCCAGGAGCTCGAGACCAGCCTGGGCAAGATGGCGAAACCCTGTCTCTACCAAAAATGCAAAAATTAGCTGGCGTGGTAGTGCTCGCCTGCAATCCCTGCTACTCAGGAGGCTGAGGCATGAGAATCACTTGAACCTGGGAGGCAGAGGTTGCAGCGAGCCAAGATCACACCACTGCACTCCAGCCTGGGTGACAGACCAAGACCCTATCTCAGAAAATAGATAGATAGATAGATAGATAGATAGATAGATAGATAGATAGATAGACAGACAGATAAAGGTATATTCAAAGCAGTAGAAATCTGTAACAGTAAAAATGAAAGAAGCACAGTTAAATGTTGTAACATGTAGGAATCCTTGAAATATAATGAGGATTAAAAAAAACAAATTGCAAAAGAATATATCCACTGTGATACCATTTTATAAAGTTAGGAAGCAAGTAAAAGTAAACAATATATTGTTTAGGAATACAAGCTTTTGTTTTAAACTATTGAAAATAATAGGCCAGGTGCAGTGGCTCACGCCTGTAATCCCAGCACTTTGGGAGGCTGAGGCTGGCGGATCACCTGAGGTCAGGAGTTCATGACCAGCCTGCCAATGGAGTGAAACCACGTCTCCACTAAAAATACAAAAATTAGCCAGGCGTGGTGGCGCATGCCTGTAGTCCCAGCTACTCAGGAGGCTGAGGCAGGAGAATTGCTTGAACCTGGAAGGTGGAGGTTGCAGTGAGCCAAGATCACGCCATTGCACTCCAGCCTGGGCAACAGAGCGAGACCCTATCTAAAAAATAATAATATTAATAATGTACTAGAAAAGGGAGGCAGGGCATGGGCTTCAAATGGAGTGCCGATGCTTCCTTTCTCAGGGTAAGTGGGAGGCTCGTGGTGTTTGTTTTATTATGCTTCATAACTTGTCTGTTATATGTATTATTATGTATATGTCAAATATTTCACAATAAAATTTTAAAGATCCCATAATTTATATTTCAGAATTTTGTTTCTAGGGATCAATTCCTAAAATAATGATGAAAAATTAAGTTCAGCAAAAGTTTATCAGAGTGGTACTTACCATAGACAAAAAATGAAACAGCCTAGATGTCCAATACCATTTTTTTAAATCTTGCCTTTTTCAAGAAGGGATTTCAGAAATTCATAAAAAGTACAGGCAGTGAGATAAAAGTAAAAACTTGCTGAAAATTAAAGTTAAAAGAAAGAAGAAAGTAAAAGAAAGCCTAACTTTCTTTTAAGAAAAGTTAAGTAAGGTTAGTATGAAAAGTGTAAGTCATAATGTCTCCTATTCTAGAAGAGGCCCACAAACTTGACTATAAGCTTTCCAGTAACCAGGATAAAAAGGCAAACATGATTCACGTTGACTTTAAAATAAGAACATATCAACTGTTCTGATACTGAGACCAGAGAGAAATTTCTCTCCACATTAACTGTGTGGGCAAGTTATTTCACTTTTCTCTGTTTTTGAAATAGAATAATACTATTACCTATTATATAGCATTGCGAGAATTAACAAAGGTTAGTTCCTAGGATGGCACCTGGCAAGTATAAGCACTCAGATATGTTACTGATTAGCCAAAATGAATGGCATTCTCAAGACTATCCTTATAGAAATCAGTATCATGGAGGTAGATATTAAGAGATAAACGTAGAGATATTCCTTGCCTTAGATAGGAAACCCTCCCAACAATAGGACAGAAGTGTTGTGAATTTTCTGGTGTTTTGTCTGTGTTCATTCAATACATATTTATTGAGCTCTTTCTTTATGCCAGGTTTTCTGTTTTATAATTATGGCCAGGGTACAGGTTATTAAGTTGGTGTTCTGCTTCAAGAAACTCTAAGTAGTTTAATCTTAAAGTCATTCTAATGTGTTGAATAATAAATAAAATTAATTGCTACATTTATTGAATTTTTTTTCTTTTTTTTTTTTTTTTGAGGCAGGATCTCGCTCTGTCACCCAGGCTGGAGTGCAGTGGCACGATCTTGGCTCACTGCAACCTCCACCTCCCAGGTTCAACTGATTCCCTTGCCTCAGCCTCCCAAGTAGCTGGGATTACAGGTGCACACCACCAGACCCGGCTAATTTTTATATTTTCAGTAGAGACAGGGTTTTACCATGTTGACCAGGCTGGTCTCAAACTCCTGACCTCAAGTGATCCTCCCACCTTGGCCTCCCAAAATGCTGGGATTACAGGTGTGACCCACCACACCCAGCCCATTTATTGAATGTTAACTGGGCCTCAAACTCTGTACTAATTTCTTTACATATATTATCCCATTTAATCTTTACAACAACACTTTGAGGTCACGAATATTATCTCTATTTTTTGGTAAGAAGATTTGAACCCTCGGAACGGGTAAGCCACTTCCTTGAAGTCACAGCCAGCAAGTATGGGTTCAGGCCAGAATTTGGATCCAGGCCTTCCTGATTGTAAAGTCCATATTCTTAGTCACTTCAGTATATTACCTTCTGTGGAATGAAAACAAAACATATCAAACCTTGAAACCTTTTGTTCCAAATCTAAAATATTTTTCCCTGACACCCTCAGTCAAATATTTCCTGATTGTTATTATCTTGTAATAAATTCATGCATTAATCTTATTATCTTCGTGGTTTTGGCTGTCAGGCTGGAGGGTTAACCTTTCCCTGGTCTGACTGTTGTGATTGGTACTCATCATTTAGTCAGTTGTTTTGATCACCAACCTGAAATTTTTTCTTAAAAACCATTTTTAAATGGAAGGAGGCCAGGTACAGTGTCTCACGCCTGTAATCCCAGCACTTGAGGCCGAGGCGGGTGGATCACCTGATGTCAGGAGTTCGAGACCAGCCTGGCCAACTTGGTGAAACCCCATCTCTACCAAAAATACAAAAAATTAACCAGGCATGGTGGTGAGCGCCTATAATCCCAGCCCACTTGGGAGGCTTAGGCAGGAGAATTGCTTGAACCTGGGAGGCAGAGGTTGCAGTGGAGATCGCGCCATTGCACTCCATCCTGGGCAACAAGAGCAAAACTCCATCTCAAAAATAAAATAAAATAGAAGGAATGTTTGGATTGGAAGTAGAAAGCTCTAGCAGTTGAGTTTGGTAATCTATAATCTTATGGACCAAGACTCTAATGACTTGTTTTGGCCCCTGCTGAAGGCACTAAACTGTGTTGCCTCTGTTCCAGATTGTGAACCTTCTTCCTCAGTTTGCCAGCTACTCAAAAGACAACCTTGTTAGTGTTTGCAATAAAGCTGCCTCTTTAAAGATCAAGAAAATTCAGACTCCTGGCAGTCTGACCTGGGCTCTTGAGTGTCCCTTGTCAATTGCAGTAACATAGATTTCAATTCAAACTATGAAATGTGTATGTCATGCTCACCGGGTAGGTTTACAGTCGAGAACTTTCCTTGTAATCATTTTCCTTTAGATGGGCATAACACAGTTATTCTGAGACTCCTGATAGTGGCAGTGGCATGGTTAGGACCTCAAAAGCCACATACTATCAGATTCAAAAACACAGATGTGTTCAGCTCAGTGGCTTGAGATCACTATGCAGTCTTGCATTGCACAGTTCAGAAGCCTATCAAGAAATTTATCATTCATATATATATATATATATATATATATATATATATATTTTAGAGATGGGGTCTATGATGCTGAAGCTGGTCTTGAACTCCTGGGCTCAAGCGATCCACCCATGTCAGCCTCCGAAAGTGCTGGGATTACAGGCATGAGGCACTACACCTGGTCCCCAAAATTTATCATTCTGAAAACTTGTATGAGGAGAGGATTTACTCTGGGGGATGGACAGAGTCTCTTGAAAGATAACTGTATGAAAGAGAAGGCTGAAGTTTACATTTGTTGGATACATTAACCTCAAAAGTCTTCAACAAATGAAGACCCACTTGCAGATACTGATTTCTTTTTCCTTTTACTGTGCTTCTATTCTTACTTTTGGCCTTTGTTCATAATATATGTTTTCTTCCTTTCCTGGCTTCTCATTCTTAAGTCATTTCATCCAGATACGTGTAGACCATCTGTCCTTCCAAAACGACAAGGGACGGATGGGAACAAGAGGCGCAGTGTGAACAGAAAGCCAGGAAAAACCTTGCAGTTTTTTGGCTCCTCCTTGCCTACCCTGCAGCCCCCTGGGGAACAACAGGGAAACAACAGCTTGTATCCATTTGAGAAAGTGGCAATGGCTGCAGAAGGGGAAATGTGAGGCTGTTAAGCTCTCTTCCTAGACACGGAAAAACAATGCAGATGGTGGGTGGCATGCTGGAATACACACATGCTGTGCCTCAGAATCAAACACAGTGGAGGCTTTTAATTTTCATTGAAGTAGAACATCAGAGGTTCCAACATTAGTGGAAAATAGCTTGGGTGAAGTAAAATATAAGCCTGTAATTTGAATTTCTTCCAAATATGCAATTAGAACTTTTCTACATTATGATAATTTTGTAATAACCTGTGTCTTTCCTCAAAAGATCCTCCCACAACCTTGGGGATTGATTACATGTATATGGCACTCCAGGAGTGCACCCACAGGATTGTCCCAGCTTAAGATAGCGGTTGAGTATCCCTTATCCAAAATGCTTGGGACCAGCAGTTTCAGATTTTGGAACATTTGTGTTATACTTACTGGTTGAGCATCACTAATCCAAAATTCAGGCCGGGTGCTGTGGCTCATGCCTGTAATCCCAGCACTTTGGGAGGCCTGAGGTGGGCAGATAGCTTGAGCTCAAGGGTTTGAGAACAGCCCAGGCAACATAGGGTACCCCCATCTCTACAAAAATGCAAAAATTAGCCAGGCATGGTGGTGCATGCCTATAGTCCCAGCTACTCAGAAGGCTAAGATGGGAAGATCACTTGAGCCTAGGAGGTCGTGGCTGCAGTGAGCCATGATTGTGCCACTGCACTCCAGCCTGGGTGACAGTGCAAGACCCTGTCTGAAAAAAAAAAAAAAAAATCCAGAATGCTCCAATAAGCATTTCCTTTTTGCATGATCTTTGAGCAACGTGTTGGTGCTCAAGAAATTTTGGATTTTGGGCCAGGTGCAGTGGCTCACGCCTGTAATCTCAGCACTTTGGGAGGCCAAGGCAGGCGGATCACCTGAGGTCAAGAGTTTGAGACCAGCCTGGCCAACATATAGTGAAACCTTGTCTCTACTAAAACTACAAAAATTATCTGGGCATGGTGGCACATGCCTGTAGTCCCAGCTACTTGGGAAGCTGAGGCAGGAGAATCACTTGAACCCAGAAGGCGGAAGTTGTAGGGAGCCAAGATCATGCCACTGTACTCCAGCCTGGACAACAACAACAAAAAAAGTTGCTCAACAACAAAAAAAGTTTTGGATTTTGATGCATTTCAGATTTGGGGTTTTTGGATTAGCAATGCTTAACCCTGCATACACTTGACCCCTGCAGCCACATGATGTCTAGCTATTGCCCTTGAAAATTTAACCCGAATGAAGGTCCTTGAGATACTGCCTTCAAAGTTCCCTAGCCTTAGCATAGTGGTCTTCAGTTAATAAATTTTGAACAAATAGGACATTAGTTCAAGTCTGTTTCCATTAGCAGTTTTGCGTGTAAAGAAAAACAGCTCTCCATGGCTCCCTCCAGCCATGTTTAAGACCTCAGAAATAAGGGGGTTCCTGCCTCAGAAAAGCCTAAAAACCTAAAAGGAGAGGTGCTGCCCAAAATCAAATTATAGAACTGAAGTAGTAAGCGTCGAAGTGGCCATACGACTTGGACAAGCAGAAGTTGATTGTTTTTAAGCCCTTTCAGATTCCAGTCACTTAAAAATAATCATAATAGAGCCCATTACCAAAAGACAAGTCTGAGTTTTCAAAGAACATTAGTAAAAATGCTAATCTTGGAATTGCTGCTTGGGCATCTGCACTGGAAATTGACCTTACTGTCTGAAACAAAACAGAGGCGAGGCCTTGTGCCCCTATGAAGAACAGAGAATAAAGGCCTTTTATAAGCCTTGAGCAAGCTGCAGCTGCTGCCAGTGTTACAAACAAGAAACTTTTCAACCATGAATCTATCTGGTGAGATAAAGCTGAAAATTCATCTAGTTCCAACATACGGGATTGCCCCACAGCTGTGAAACCTCCCAGATAAGGGTAGAATGAACACTTTAAATCATTAAAGTCGGCCCTGGAGAGCAGGGAGCACAGCCTTGTTTCACATGCCTTGAAGAAGCCCATAGGTGAACTTTTACCCAGGTTTCAGATTTCACTGAAAATCTGATTTAAACATTGCAAAAAGTATGCCCATTTAGAAAATTTTGTCAGTCCTTCACTTTGTTTCAGGATAGTAAATTGAGTCATAAATCACACTTAAATTGAATCCTGAAAACTTTTGGTATTGTCAAAAATTTATCAGCTCTATAGAAAGATGGTGTGACAAACATCAAAAATTGAGTGGCAGTGTTGAAAAAGAGGCTTTCACCTAATATTGATGATGTTGATTTCTTTAGACATAGTTTTGTGTCTCATTTAAATGTGACTAAGCCCCATGGCTGTATAAGTTTATCCAAAACAACACAGTGCTATTGTACAGGAAGCGAATGTGCCACTGCTCAGAAGTAGGAAATGGTGTGGTGTTGAGAGATAGTCTTTGGACCCAAATAAGGCTGAGTTCAAATCCCAGCTCTGTCACATGTAGCTGCATGTTACTTCAGTTTTCTCATCTGCAGAGTGGAGCTAATAGTAGCTGCTCTGTAGGCTGTTATAGTGACTATATGAGGCCAGGCACAGTGACTCACACCTGTAATCCCAGCACTTTAGGAGGCCAAGGCAGGCAGATTGCTTGATCCCAGAAGTTCAAGACCAGCCTGGCAACATAGCAAGACCCCCATCTCTATTTACAAAAAAAAAAGTAATTAAAAAAAAGAACATATTGGTGAAGTACCTGGCCCATAGTACATACTCAGTAAATGGTCACTGTTAGGCCAGCCATGGTGGTTCATGTCTGTAATACCAGCACTTTGGGAGGCCGAGGCCAGTGGATCACCTGAGGTCAGGAGTTCAAGACCAGCCTGGCCAACATGGTGAAACCCTATCTCTCCTAAAAATACAAAAATTAGCCAGGCGTGGTGGTGTGCACCTGTAATCCCATTTACTCGGGAGGCTGAGACAGGAGAATCGCTTGAACCTGGGAGGTAGAGGTTGCAGTAAACCAAGATCGCACCATTGCACTCCAGCCTGGATGATGAGTGAAACTCCGTCTTAAAAAAAAAGGTGGGGGGGAAATGGTCACTGTTATAGGTTGATACAAAAGTAATTGTATTAAAATACAGTTCTATGTTTTGCTCATTGACACAGTCCCACTACTAAGGAAACAAATTTAGGTCTCTGTCAACTTACTGAGCTAGCTGAAGAAATGAGAGCTGAAAGAGAAATTCACTCTTAACTTTCTTATTTCGTGTCTCATATGTAAGTCCTATCTCTATCAATGTCCTAACATTTTATTGCTATTTTGGGGAAACTTGAAAATATATTACTCTTCTTTAAAATTATGCTCTCAGACCTTTATGAATTTTTTAGAAGAGTAATCAATATTATTATCTTTAAAGCAAAATTAGGAATGCTTCCATTCATAAGATATCAGGATATCGGGATATTGCTGAGTCTGGGTCTGATCAGTAAATGTTATCCATCTGTTCCGTTAACCATAAACATCTAGAGGCTAGGAATACCTAACTTCCTGGGAATGCAGCCCAGCAAGTCCCAGCCTCATCTTTCCTAGACCTTACTCAAGATGCTGTTGCTCTGGCTTGACTGTCTCTGACAATAGTAAGTGGCAGATCTGGGATAAGAACCTATATCTTCTGTTTCTTAGTTTTTGCAGATCTTACTGAGAATTGTACCTCAAAAATATAGTCCCAGTCATCAGCTATTTTCTGCCATCAAACACAGCTGATCATTCCGTGTTCCACGTCAAAATACTTTCCATTGACCCTAGGAACATTCTTTCTGTTTCCCTCCCAGTTTGAACGCCATGACCCTGTGGATGGGAGAATTACTGAGAGGCAGTTTGGTGGCATGCTACTTGCCTACAGTGGGGTGCAGTCCAAGAAGCTGACCGCCATGCAGAGGCAGCTCAAGAAGCACTTCAAAGAAGGAAAGGTAGGTAGCTTTGGCTGGAGGAAGAAGAGAAACCGTGGTAATGTATGGTTATTATTTAATATGAAGGTATTAACATAATGATGAGAGTATTTCATGAACCAATGATTACACCTAATTCATTTCTGGTACCTGAGGTCCGTAGGGAGAAAAGAAATAAGCAATGGGTGAGGAAGAGGAGAGCGTCCAGAATCATCCCAGGTTTCTTGTTCAGGAAAGGGTGGCACCAACTGAAATTGAGAATTTTAAAGGAGAGACCGGTTTAGATGGGAAAATAAAGAATTCAGTCATGGGCTGGTCATGGTTCAAGACCAGCCTGGCCAACATGGTGAAACCCCATCTCTACTAAAAATACAAAAATTAGCTGGGCATGGTGGCGCGTGCCCATAATCCCAGCTACTCAGAGGCTGAGGCACAAGAATCACTTGAAACCAGGAGGCAGAGGTTGCAGTGAGCCAAGATTATGCCACTGAACTCCAGCCTGGGCAACAGAGTGAGACTTCATCTCAAAAAAAAAAAAGAATACCTAAAGAGAGTAGTGAAATCAAAGTCAAGGAAATAGAAGGTTCAAGAACTGAGGGGTCTACCATGTCACATATAACAGCGAGGATCCAGTAAGCTAAAGGTGGTAACATCCATTGGTTTTGGTGAAATGGCAGTAATTGGTGACCTTTGAGAGGGCTGTTTCATTAGAGTAGTCTAGTTGGAAGGCATCCCTATTCGATGAAAAGTACAGAAGCAGAGAAAGGAGAGAGGTGGAAGAGGAGGCTCTGGAAAGTGGGAAATCACATAGGCAAATTCCAAGGCAGTGTATTAGCCTACTGGGGCTTCTGTAACAACATACCACAGACTGGGTGGCTTTAACAGGAAAAATTTATTTTCTCACATTCCTGGAGGATAGAATCCTGTGATTAAGGTGCCAGCTGATTTGGTTTCTGATAAGAGCTCTCCTCCTGCCTTGCAGGTAGCTGCCTTTTCAATGTGTCCTCACACAGGCTTTCCTCAGTGTGTGTACATGAAGAGAGGGAGAAATCTCTTTGTGTTTCTTCTTATAAGAACACTAATCCTAGCAGATTAGGGCCCCACCCTTGTGACCTCATTTAGCCTTGTTATTTCCTCTAAGGCCCCATCTCCAAATACAACCACATTGGGCACAGTAGGGGTTAGGGAGGGCTTCAACATATGAATGGGGTAGGGGGTGGGGTCAGTCCATAACAAGCAGGAAAAACAAACCTGGTATGTGTGAAGAACTGAAAAGGGACTAGTTTGTATAGAAGGTTCTGAGCAAAAAGGAGAGTGGCCTGAGCTGAGCTCAGAGAGGGATATGAGGAACAGAACATGCAAGACTTCATAGGAATGGAGGGAGTTTGGAGTTCACTCACAGTGCAATGGAACGCCATTAAATAGTTGTGAGTAGTGAAATGACATGGTTGTATGTACGTTTAAAGAGACAACTCTGGCTGTTTTATGGAAGATAGTTTGGAGAAGAGCAAGCATAGAAACAAAAAGACTGATAATAAGCCTATTAGAATTTAGGAGATGAGTTAGAGTTTTTTGAGCAGCCTTGAGGTTGGAGAACATGGATTTGTGGAACACTAGCAACACTGCTCTCTGGTACCCTTCAACGCCAGCTGCCCCTGGTACAAGGAAAGAAAAGATGGTGGCTGCGCACGGTGGCTCACGCCTGTAATCCTAACGCTTTGGGAGGTCAAGACACGCAGATCACCTGAGGTCAGGAGTTCAAGACCAGCCTGGCCAACATGGCAAAACCCTGTCTCTACTAAAAATACAAAAATTAGCCAGGCGTGGTGGTGGGCGCCTATAATCTCAGCTACTCAGGAGGCTGAGGCAGGAGAATCGCTTGAACCCGGGGAAGGGAGGGTGCAGAGGGAGGCGGAGGTTGCAGTGAACCAAGATCACACCACTTCACTCCAGCGTGGGAGAAAGAACGAAACTCTATCTCAAAAAAAAAGATAAAGAAAAAAAGAAAGAAAGAAAAGATGATAGGACTGAATCAGCATCTGAGAGAGAGATGAACAAACAGAAGCAGAGACCAGTTAAAAGGTCAGTCCTCATCAGGCATGGTGGCACATACCTGTAATCCCAGCACTTTGGGAGGCCGAGGCAGGAGAATCAAAGTTCAAGACTTGCCGCAATGTAAGACGTGTCTTTTCTTTTTATTTTTCTTTTCTTTTTATTATTATTATTATTATTATTATTTTTTTTTTTTTTTTGAGACGGAGTTTCGCTCTTGTTGCCCAGGCTGGAATGCAATGGCGTGATCTCGGCTCATCGCAACCTCCGCCTCCTGGGTTCAAGTGATTCTCCTGCCCAGAAGTTCAAGACCAGCTTGGGCAAAGTGGCGAAACCTTGTCTCCACAAAAAATACAAAAACTAGCCAGGCATGGTGGCACGTGCATGTAGTCGCAGCTACTCAGGAGACTGAGGTGGGAGGATCACCTGAGCCTGGGGAGGTTGAAGCTGCAGTTAGCTATGATCATGCTACTGCACTCCAGCCTGGGTGACAGAGTGAGACCTTGTCTTAAAAAAAAAAAAAATCCAGGCCTCTAAGAGAACACACACACATAAACACACAAAGCAGTGCTAAGGCTAGAACCCAGATTTTCTCATTCCCAGCCCAGTACTCTTCCCACTGGACAATGGCTACCATCTGACCATGACCAAGAATCTAACCTGGCACTAAAAATGTTCCATGAGAGATTTCCAAGTGTATTAGTCCATTCTCATGCTGCTAATAAAGACATACCGAGACTGGTAATGTATAAAGGAAAGAGGTTTGATTTCACAGTTCCACATGGCTGAGGAGGCCTCACAATCACGGCGGAAGGCAAAGGAGAAGAAAAGACATGTCTTATGGCTGGGCGCAGTGGCTCATGCCTGTAATCCCAGCACTTTGGGAGGCCGAGGCAGGCAAATCACCTGAGGTTGGGAGTTGGAGACCAGCCTGACCAACATGGAGAAACCCCCTCTCTACTAAAAATACAAAAAGTTAGCCCGGCGTGGTGGTGCATGCCTGTAATCCTAGCTACTCAGGAGGCTGAGGCAGGAGAATGGCTTGAACCCAGGAGGCAGAGGTTGCGGTGAGCCGAGATCGCGCCATTGCACTCCAGCCTGGGTAACAAGAGCGAAACTCCGTCTTAAAAAAAAAGGAAAAGACACGTCTTACGTTGTGGCAGGCAAGAAAGAGAGCATGTGCAGGGGAACTCCTTTTTGTAAAACCATCAGATCTTGTGAGACTTACTATCAAAAGAACAGCACATTAAAGACCTACCCTCATGATTCAATTACCTTTCACCAGGTCCCTTCCACGACACATGTGCATTATGGGAGCTACAATTCGAGATTTGGGTGGGGACACAGCCAAACCATATCACCAAGATAGTGTGGCATGGTAGGCATGAAGATGGAAAACTTGAGACTAACTTCTGCCTCAGAGGTTCCCATAGTCATTAGACAAATCACTTAACCTTACTGGCCTCATGAATTGAGAGGCTTATCCTAGATGCTTGCTGTAAGGGCCCTTCTAGCTTTAAAGATTCAATAATTGAAAATAAGATAGAGGATTGCTAGTGCTTGTCCCAGTTTTCCTAGTTAGTCTTTGTGCAAGAAATGTTGCATGCATAGCATTGCCCTAACTTGGTGGAAAACCCTTCTTATCAGCCAGACTTTTTCCTCCTTGTCTTGGATATTGAAAAGTTGAAAGGACCTCTGAACCAGGCTGTGGGCTGCAAATGAGGGCAGGCTGGCTCTGAGAGGAAGTGTCAGCTTCTCTGAACTCAGTCCAGCCTTTTCCCACAGCAGGTGTTCTCTTGGCTGTGGGGAAGACTCATCATTAATGGAAAGTGACAGAGAAAAAACATTTATCTCCCATAGAGCACTTCTACAGTACCCAATACTTAGCTTATATCTGTTGGAAATCGTAATTTCAAAAAACTGATTACGAATGTATAGGTGGATTTTTTACCCCTATGCTGGAAGAATAGTGTTTACATTCAGACATGCTCGTTTATTTAGACCATGCTTATTTTTAAAGGTTGGTCCAGATATTGATTTGACTTTAATTATCTATCATGATAGGTGAATTCATATTTCATTGTGAGTTTACACTTAAAAGCAATAAGGGGCATTGGAGGCATCTCCCTTGAAGGAAGAGTATTTGAGCATTGGCAGGAGTTAATTTAGGATCTGAAGACCTTGCAAAAGAGCTCTAAAATGAAAGGACAAATTTTGTCAGATGATGAAAATCTGCGGTGTTAAATTACTTTTGGCCCAGAATTTCTAGCCTGTGTTAGCAACGAGATTAAGATTGATTGTCCTCTCATGTTGATTAAATAGTTTGTGAACATAGCAATTAACTAAAGTGAGTGTCAAGGAAGGGCCTTTGCTCCTAAGGTTACGAGTCCATCTCTCTAGGACCATTTCCTATAAAAGGGGAATCACCATCTGCTTTCTAATTGCTTCTTTTATTCCACTTTGGATTTGTTAACATGAAAATGTAAGTTTTCATTTGGCTGACATTAATCAGTTTCTGTGTGAGGTTCTGTATCAAGGTATCAAACAAGACCTAAGAGATTGAAGGTCCTAGTGGTGGTATTAAATTTTTGCATATAAATTAATGACCATGCAATGTTTCACAGCCATTTTTCTCTTCCTTTCTAACAGCCTTGTTAGATACTGTATTTTTGAGAATATAGAGACAGAAAGAGAAGTTAATAACCCATTCAGAGTCTGGTCTAAAATCCAAGGCTTCCTATTCCAGATCTTGTCTTTTCCTTAAGAAAGTGCTGTTTCTCCTAATCATACTCTTCCTGTAAAGCAGTGCTTCTCTACTATAGGATCACTTGAGGAATTTTTAAGGAATGTGGTTGTTTGGGCCCTCTTCAAATCAATTAAATCAGAGGCTCAGTAGGTGGGTCCAGGCATCAGTGTTCTGGGGTTTTCTTAACCCTCTGCATGAGAAATTCCAGAAGTGTTTCTTAAAGGGTGATATGGTTTGGCTGTGTCCCCACCCAGATCTCATGTTGAATTGTAGTTCCCATAATCCCCATATGTCCTGGGAGGGAACAGGTGGAGATAATTGAATCATGGGGCAGTTTCCCCCATCCTGTTCTCATGACAATGAGTTAGTTCTCATGAGATCTGATGGTTTCATAAAAGGCTTCCCCCTTCACCAGGCACTCATTCTTCTTCCTGCTGCCATGCGAAGAAGGATATGTTTGCTTCCCCTTCTGCCATGACTGTAAGTTTCCTGAGGTGTCCCTAGCCCTGCAAAACTGTGAGTCAATTAAACCTCTTTCCTTTGTAAATTACCTGGTCTCAGGTATGTCTTTATTAACAGCATAAGAACGAACTAATACAAAGGGTCCCCAGGTAAATCTAATGTGCAGCTAGGCTTATGAGCCACTGCTCGAGAGATGCAATGCTCCATCAGTGTCTCTAGCTGTTTTATCTCTAAGTAATAGTTTGAAGAACTGGGGAACCTGCCGTGCTTGACAAAAATTACTCTATTGATGCTCTGAAAAACCACCATGTTTTTATTTAACAAAGAGTTTTCTGAGACTTCATAAATGTAATTCACAGTGGTGATCCTCTATGTTTATGAATGCAGAAGCTACTAACTAGTAACTTCTTAAGGATGAAATTGAAAATTATAACTCAGTTCAATGGCAGACATTGCTGTGTGCAAGACACTAAGCCAGGTGCTGTGAAAAAGACCTTCCCTTATCCTTACAACTATATTTCTTTTTTTTTTTTTTTTTTTTGAGACGGAGTCTTGCTCTGTTGTCTAGGCTGGAGTGCAGTGGCCTGATCTCGGCTCACTGCAAGCTCCGCCTCCTGGGTTCATGCCATTCTCCTGCCTCAGCCTCCTGAGTAGCTGGGGCTACAGGTGCCCACTGCCACGCCTGGCTAATTTTTTGTGTGTTTTTAGTAGAGACAGGGTTTCACCATGTCAGCCAGGATGGTCTCGATCTCCTGACCTCGTGATCCACCCGCCTTGGCCTCCCAAAGTGCTGGGATTACAGGCGTGAGCCACCACACCCAGCACAACTATATATATTTCTTAAGTCTGTAATAGTCTAGTAAGAGAAAAATATGTATGCAAAGAACTCTGTAATTCTATATTCACATTTATATTCAATATTTATCGATCAGCCACTATGTGCCAAGCAGTCTTCTAAATACTGGGAATGCAGTAGTGAGCACACCAGTGTCTGCCTCATAGAACTTAGCATTCCTACTGGAACGAAACAGATTTTAAACAAATATAAAGCAAGGTAACTCACTTAGCTTTGAGCTTCTTGAGAGCAGTGCCTTATTCATCTTTGCATGTCCTCTGTATGGTGGCGGTAAATGCTTATCAAGTGCAATGATAAATATGTTGAGTACTCTATTAAAGGTATGAGATCTTTTTGAAGCACTAAGGAGGAAGATTAGAGCCAGCTGAAGAGACCGAGTAAGATTTCTTAGAGGAAGTACAATTCGAACTTGGCCTTAAACATGGAGTAGGATTTTGACAAGCAGAAGCTTATAAAGACATTTGCTTTTGCTAAGTGTTTCCTGTCGTAGCCCTATCCCCAACAGCCTTCTGTGTGTATGATTGCTTATTAATTCTGCTACTAGCCATTAAGCAGTTAGTACTTATCAAACAGTTCTAATAAAACCATTAGATTGTTAAGTTTTCATATCATCTGTGGATAATATATGCGAGCTCTCCTTTTTCACTTATTCTCAGATATTTGAACCACATTAGTCATTTGTGGAATATCAGATTCTAGAAATTGCTAGCATACCCCTTGAAAACTCATTAACTCCAAATATTAGGTGCCCACCAGTCACTATGTAGTATAGCGTGTGAAATGTGGCCATAAAACTAAAAAGACTAGAACTCTACTTTTTGTTGTTGTTGTTGTTACTAATTAGCTTTGAAACCTGTACTTCCCCCAAAGGAGTACTAAGCTATGAATTACTATAGGAGATTTAGTTTTATGAGTTTTCCCTCTATTATTTTCCTGTTTTTTCCCCACAATGAATTTCATTTACATCAACTTTTCCCCTATTCCCTATCCCTCAAGATCCTACACATTCCAGATAAGAGAGCCTACTTCAGAGCTTAGTAGAATAAATTAATTATCACTAGTTCTGTAGTAATGAGCCTGCCAAATTACTAAGGACTCATATCTACCACTTACTGAGTACTTTCTGTGTACTAGACATTTTACATATCTTGTGTATCTACCTGCTTGGTAGATACTAGGTAGAATTATCATATTTCAGATGAAAAATAGTCCTCTGAGCCTTAGTTATTAACCTGAGATCAACAATGTCTTAGGAAGGCGGCACCAGGGTTCAAAGCTTTATTCTTATTCCAGAGTCCATAGCCTTCTTACTAATCATCCTGTTTGTTGCCACTCCTTATTCTCCATGGTTTAAATAAGCACAAGTTTTTAGGGAAACAAAACCAGTGTTGCCAGATGCCAGCCTAAGATTCTTAGGAAGATAGCTAGAAAGGTTAAGTTATGGAAGCAGATGGTGGAAGACCGTAAATCCCAGGCTAAAAAGTTTGGAGGTTTATCCAATTGACAGTAGGAAATCATGGACATGTTGTGAGCGGAAGGGATAAAGATATGAAGAAAGTGATGTTTCAGAAAGATTAGATACCTGTGGAAATGTAAGTAACAGAAATGGTATAATTTCCCCTGCTGCCAGGCAACAGTTGAAGAGAAGTCTGGGGTTTGCAATAGGAAGATGCTTTATTAGAGCAAGACAGGCATAGTAATACCTCTGAAAGGTACCCAAGAAATAGGTAACATGGGCCACATGTAGCACAGGGTTCAGAAAGAATTGCCTTGTACCTGGTATAAAAATATTAATTAAAATTGTTTTAAAACTAAGCAGGAGAGGCTGGGCGCAGTGACTCACGCCTGTAATCCCAGCACTTTGGGAGGCCAAGGTAGTTGGATCACCTGAGGTCAGGAGTTCAAGACCAGCCTGGCCAACATGGCGAAAGCACATCTCTACAAAAATACAAAAAATTAGCTGGCCATGGTGACAGGTGTCTGTAATCCCAGCCACTTGGGAAGCTAAGGCAAGAGAATTGCTTGAACTTGGAAGGCGAAGGTTGCAGTGAGCCAAGATTGCTCCATTGCACTCCAGCCTAAGCAACAGAGTGAGACTCTGTCTCAAAAAAAAAAAAAAAAAAAACTAAGCAGGAGATTGAGCAGAGGATACATGACAAGAATGGTGAGAGGCATGGGATATAAGGAAGGAAGAAGACTGTTTTTTTCAGTGGGCCATAGACAGAACTTGGGCAATTAGATTGGCTTCTGGTAGACGGATTTGCTGTGACTGATTAAAAGGCAGGAAGAGGGAATCATCCATTACAGTGTTTGCACTCATCATGGCCTGTCAGCATTAGATATCTCGCTTTACAGCTGACTCCAAAGGAAGCTACATTTTCCTTGTCTCATCTACTCTGACTGCTTCATATTTTTTAACAACTTTTTTTGAGGTATAATTTATATACCATAAGTTATCCATTTTAACTGTACAATTCGGTGATTTTTATTAATTTTAGTGAATTTTAGTAAATTTGCAGTTATGCAATTATTACTGCCATTCAGTTTTAGAACATTTCCATCACCCCAAAAAGATCCCTCCTGCTAGCTTTCAGTCAATCCTCATTTCTACCCTAGCCCCAGGCAACTATAAAACAGCTTTCAGTCTCTATAGACTTGCATTTACTGGACATTTCATATAAATACAATAATAAGGTAGTCTTTTGTGTCTGGCTTCTTTTACTTAGCACAATATTTTTATGTAGATGCTTATATTAATAGTTTATTATTTTCTATTGCAGAAGAGTAAATAGTATTTTATTTACTACATTACATTTTTATGTAGATGCTTATATTAATAGTTTATTATTTTCTATTGCAGAAGAGTAAATAGTATTTTATTGCTTGGATATACTAAATTTTATTTATCCATTCACATTTGGATTGTTTCCAGTTTTGGGCTATTAGGAATAATGCTGCTGTGAACATTGCGTACAAGTCCTCCTGCAGACCTGTGTTTTCATTTTTGTTGAAGATTCCTAGGAGTGAAATACCTGGGTTGTATGGTAAATTTAATTTTTTGAGGAACTGCTAAACCGTTTTCCAAAGTGGTGGAACCATTTCACATCTCCATGTGAATATACGAGAGTTCCAGTTTCTCCACACCCTCATCAACACCTGTTATTGTCTGTCTTCTTTATTACAGTCATTCCAATAGGTGTGTAGTGGTATATCATTGTGATTTTAATTTGTATTTTCCTAATGATGCTAAGCATTGTTTCATGTACTTATTAGCCATTCACTTGTCTTGTTTGGTAAACTG
This sequence comes from Homo sapiens, assembly GCF_000001405.40. Taxonomy (NCBI): domain Eukaryota; kingdom Metazoa; phylum Chordata; class Mammalia; order Primates; family Hominidae; genus Homo; species Homo sapiens. The sequence goes on along the minus strand of NC_000010.11, from coordinate 72,413,837 downwards.
TCTATTCAAATCTTTTTTTAAATCAGGTTGTTGGTCTTCCCATATATTGAGTTATAATAGTTGTTTATATAATTCTGGATACAAGTCCTTTTTTTTTTATTTTTGAGACAGGGTCTCCCTCTGTCGCCCAGGCTGGAGTGCAGTGGCACAATCTCAGCTCACTTGAACCTCTGCCTCCCAGGTTCAAGCAGTTATCCTGCCTCAGCCTCCTGAGTCACTGGGATTACAGGTGCCCACCACCACAGCCTGGCTAATTTTTGTACTTTTAGTAAAGATGGGTTTTCACCATATTGGTCAGGCTGGTCTCGAACATCCAACCTCAGGTGATCCACCCGCCTTGGTGTCCCAAAGTGCTGGCATTACAGGTGTGAGCCACTGCGCCCGACCTGGATTCAAGTCTGTTACCAAATATATGATTTTCAAGCATTTTCTCCTAGCTTGTGATTTTTCTATTTTCTCATTATTTTGAAGCACAAATTTTTTAAATTTTGATGAAGTCTAACCAATCAGTTTTTTTTCCTTTATGGATTGTGCTTTGGGTGTCATCTAAGAACTCTTGCCTTAGTCAAGGTCATGAAGATTTGCTCCTATGTGGTTTTGTTTTGTTTTGTTTTGTTTTTGTTTTTGTTTTTTGTCTTTTTTTGAGACAGAGTTTCACTGCTGCCCAGGCTGGAGTGCAGTGGCACGATCTCGGCTCACTACAACCTCCACCTCCTGGGTTCATGCAATTCTCATTCCTCAGCCTCCCGAGTAGCTGGGATTACAAGCACATGCCACCATGCCTGGCTAATTTCTGTATTTTTAGTAGAGACAGGGTTTCACCATGTTGGCCAGGCTGGTCTCAAACTTCCAGGCTCAAGTGATCTGCCCGCCTTTGCCTCCCAAAGTGCTGGGATTACAGGCATGAGCCACTGTGCACTGTGCTCAGCCTCTCCTGTGTTTTCTTCTAAAAGTTTTATCCACTGCTTTTTTTTTTTTTTTTTCTGGAGACAGAGTTTTGCTCTTGTCGCCCAGGCTGGAGTGCAATGGCGCAATCTTGGCTCACTGCAACCTTTGCCTCCCAGGTTCAAGCAATTCCCCTGCCTCGGCCTCCTGAGTAGCTGGGATTACAGGCATGCGCCACCATGCCCAGATAATTTTGTATTTTTAGTAGAGACGGGGTTTCACCATGTTTGGCCAGGCTGGTCCCGAACTCCTGACCTCAGGTGATCGAGCCGCCTCGACCTCCCAAAGTGCTGGGATTACAGGCATGAGCCACCACACCTGGCCCTGCTTTTAGTTTTGAAAGACAATTCTATTTACTTGCTTAGCAACTTCCTAATGTTAAATTCATTTTTCAGCATCCTAAAGAAATAATCACTATTGTCTACAAACTATCATTAATCTTATCTTCTTTTTATAGTCACCTAGAGCCCGGTTTATATAAGTCCATCTTTCCAAAGGTAGATAGATAACCAGTTTGTTGAACAATTAGTCACAGTAACTCCTCTAAGAGACAGTTCCTTTTGATTATTATGTCTGCAGTTCTAGTCACCTGCCAATAGATTGTTTCATAAGTTGTAGCCTTCTTGTCCAAACAACTCAATTTGCAATAAGTATATCCTTTCTCTTTCCATCTTTCCAGCCACAAAGCTCATGTTATCATCTTACTCTAGCTTTTTTCTAATAGCCCTCTGGATTTTTACCATAGTAGTTACCAAAAAAATAAGAATTTTGGGACTGACATCATCTTCACTTTAAGGAGGCCTATCTAAATAGTAAGCTCCAAAAAATCAAGGCCTGTGTCCAATACAATTTCCCTCACTGTTCTTGGCATAATGATAAGTGATTAGTAAGTGCTCAATAAAATTTTTTATTATATCTTTGTGATAAAAGTATAGTGATGTATATTTAGATTTAATAGTTATATAATGTGATTTGCAGCCCACTGTTTTTCTGAATCACCAAATGAATAGCCATTCAGTTTAGATTGTTCTCTCTCTGTCCTCAGATAATTCTCAGCATAAGCACTCTGGTCTTGAGCTGTAGTATTTGATGTTTCAGAGTGTTAGTTAGAAACTAACAAACTTTAGAGGTTGTTTATCATCAGAGTGGGACACATTTCCTCTACCATGCCCTAACTGTTTTAGGAATTTTATGTTAACCTTTTAGCCTCAAATACCCTTTCAATAACTTAGTCCCCTAACTCTCTAACTCCTACAGGATTTTATACCTTAATAAGAAAAGTAACTGTAATCCCAGCACTTTGGGAGGCCGAGGCGGGTGGATCACGAGGTCAGGAGATCGAGACCATCCTGGCTAACACGGTGAAACCCCATCTCTACTAAAAAAAAATACAAAAAATTAGCCGGGTGCAGTGGTGGGCGCCTGTAGTCCCAGCTACCCGGGAGGCTGAGGTAGGAGAATGGCGTGAACCCGGGAGGCGGAACTTGCAGTGAGCCGAGATCGCGCCACTGCACTCCAGCCTGGGCGATAGAGCGAGACTCCGTCTCAAAAAAAAAAAAAAGAAAAGTAAAAGAGCTTTAGCATGTTATGTGTGTATGTGTGTTGTGTGTGGTAAAATACACATCTATTTCCAGAACCCGTTCACCTTCCCAAACCGGAACTCCTTACCATTAAATAATAGCTCCTCATTCTCCTCCTCCCAGCTCCTGACAACCACCATCTTTGACTACTCTCATTACCTCATTTAAGTGCAGTCATACAGTATTATCTTTTGTCCTTTTGTGGCTAGTTTATTTCACTTGGCATAATGTCTTCGAGGGCCATCATCCTGTAGCTTGTGTCAGAATCTTCTTCCTTTTAAAAGCTAAACAATATTCCATTGTGTGTATATGCCGCATTTTGTTTATCCATTCATCCATCAGTAGACTATTGGGTTGCCTCCACCTTTATGTGTCTTTTGATGGCAGGGAAAGGAAGATTATTAGTGTGTCCATCCACAAGCAATGATATTGTACAACCTGTACTTCTAATCCTATGGGATTCTCTTCTAAATTTGATTCTAGCTAGTGCCTACATTAAATAGCATACTATGGTATGCATAATGAGACCTAACTCTGGGTGCTCTAAGGCAAAGCCAAGAGACTGACCTCAAATTAGGGAAAAAGCATATAATATAGGCCTTCCAGTCCACTACCAAAAATTACAACACTTGGTACATAGTAGGTACTCTATAAATGTTTGTTTTTTGTTTTTTGGTTGTTTTGTTTTGTTTTGAGACAGAGTTTCCCTCTTGTTGCCCAGACTGGAGTGCAGTGGCGTGATCTCAGCTCACTGCAACCTCTGCCTCCCAGGCTCAAGCGATTCTCCTGCCTCAGCCTCCCAAGTAGCTGGGATTGCAGGCATTTGCCACCATGCCTGGCTAATATTTTTGTATTTTTAGTAGAGATGGGGTTTCTCCGTGTTAGTCAGGCTGGTCTGGAACTCTTGACCTCAGGTGATCTGCCCGCCTCGGCCACCCAAAGTGCTGGGATTACAGGCGTGAGCCACCGTGCCTGGCTAGTACTCTATAAATGTTTGAATAAATGCTAAGTACAGATGCATCACTGTTCATAATTGCCAAAAATTGGAAACAGCCCAAATAGAATGGATAAACAAATTGTGGTATATTCACACAATGAAATACTTTATAGCAATAAAAATGAATGAACTACAGATACACACAAAAACATGAACAAATCTTAAAGAGAGAAGCCATATATAACAGAATGCCTACTGCATAATTCCATTTCTACTGTTCCACAACAGATAAAATTAAGCAACGGTTTTTGTAAGTACGCTATTTACATATAAAAATGCTATTTTTAAAAAAAGCAAGGAAATGAATTCCCTAAAAGTCAGAATAGTGGTTATTGTCAGTAGGGGTTGGGCAGGGGCTGGAGTTTATGATTAGGAAGGGACATGTTGTGGGGAGAGAGGAGGCTTCTGAGATGATGATAATAGTCTGTTCCTTGACCTAAATGAAGGTTCTGTGGGTGTTCACTTTGCAAGAGTTTGATAAGTTGTACATTTATATTTTATGCACCTTTCTATATAGTCATCATATTCCACAATAAAGTTTTTTAAGTTCTATGATTCTAAGGAAAAAAATTATAAAAGATCATGTGATATAATCATACAGTCTTTTTTGTTGTGTTTTGTTTTTGAGACAGCGTCTAGCCCTGTCACCCAGGCTGGAGTGCTGTGGCATGATCTCAGCTCCCTGCAACCTCTGCCTCCCAGGCTCAAGCGATCCTCCCACCTCAGCCTCCCAAATAGCTGGTACTATAGGCACATGCCACCACACTCGGCTAACTTTTTAAATATTTTTTGTAGAGATGAGGTTTCACCATGTTGCCTAGGCTGGTCACTGAGCTCAAGTGATCCTCCTGCCTTGGCCTCCCAAAGTGCTGGGATTACAGGCATGAGTCACTGCACCCAGCCTAATACAGTCTTTTAGCTTTCAGTTTGATAAGGTGAGAAACATACAATTGACCCAGTTTGGAGAGTACCAGGAAAGAACTGTAGATTGTATTAGGATTTCCTTATTACTGAGTTCCTGATGTGAGTTCCTGGGCTCTGTAGTTTGGGAAAATGAAAATTGCAGGAGGAGCAGCACTAAGTAGAAGCCAGTCTACATCTGCAGCTCTTTAAGGACCTGATGCTTCATTAAAAGGCATTAACATCAGTGTCTGGGATATCTAGGACATTTCCCAGTGTTTTCCCTTCTTAGAAACTGCATTTATTTCCATCACAGCATGATGTGTGGGAAGCGGGGGAAAGGCAAATAGGACAAATCTTCCTCCCTATAAAGGAATTCCCAGTAGCCCCTATTTCTATAACTACTTTTTCTCGATGCATCATAGAAAGTGGAATTAGAGATCAGCAAATCTTTAAACCGTTTTTGAAAAAAAAATCTTCATTCACAGAATTTCATTAGATTAAAGTTAAGTGGCAAATTACTTTGTGGGTAGCTTTTAAATTGAGATAATGAACGGCTTCCCCATTACTTGGGTTTTGCTAAATACCGACACCGTTCCCCTGTATATCACTGACTTTGGTGATTCTTCAATTCGCTTAAGCCTCAAAAAGCTCAGCTGGCCTGTGAGCAGACTATTAAACTGGAAGTCCTGACTCTGATTTTACTTCTTAAGATGTATAACAAGTCAAGTAGCTATAGCCCAATTAGGAAGTGTCATCATTGATAGTGTGTCTAATTGGAGAGCACAGTTAGAAATATTTTCATTAGGCCAGGTGTAGTGGCTCAGACCTGTAATCCCAGCACGTTGGGAGGCTGAGGCAGGTGAATCACTTGAGGTCAGGAGTTCAAGGCCAGTCTGGCCAACATGATGAAACCCTGTTTCTACTAAAAATACAAAAATTAACCAGGCGTGATGGTGTGCACCTGTAATCCTAGCTACTCAGGAGGCTGAGGCAGGAGAATTGCTTGAACGTAGGAGGCGGAGGTTGCAGTCAGCTGAGATCATGCCATTACGCTCCAGCTTGGGTGACAGAGTGAAACTCCATCTCAAAAAAAAAGAAGAAATATTTTCATTAAGATATTCAGCCATCACTGTAAGCTTTCTCAGATTTTACGTGTGAGAGGGAAGCAACTAGCCAGTTTGCCTTTCTCAGGGTAGAATTCAAGAGTTTTGTTCCCCTGCTGTTTATGAATTTGATATTCCTTGACTAATGTATTCAGTTTCTGTTCTAGACATGAGCATGAATTTCTGATTTGCAGATGTGAATCACTGCCTATGCATATCGTGCTGCTTTTTGTTACAGGTCCTGCCTTACCTTGCTGTCTCTCCTCTTGCAGGGTCTGACATTTCAGGAGGTGGAGAACTTCTTTACTTTCCTAAAGAACATTAATGATGTGGACACTGCATTGAGTTTTTACCATATGGCTGGAGCATCTCTTGATAAAGGTAATGAAACTCAAAAAGTGTTTTTTTGAAGGTATGAACATTGGATCTGTAATCTCTTAGGTGACTGCCCCTCCTGAACAGTAAAAGATAAGTTTTTCTTGGCATCCTTGAAATGGTGTTTTGATTTGTTGACATTGTATGAGCCTTGCATTTCACCCTGAGATGCCAAGTTCAGTGAATATATTTTCTTGTGCTAAGGCCGTAGTCTGGGCAGGTGCCTATCTTTAAATGACTAACCTTGAAAATAAGCATCTAAGCTGAGGCACAGGGCATGAAGCTGCAGAACTTCCCCTATCTGAGCCAGAGTCATTATATATACAATGTGAAGCTAAAGTCACTATACAACTTAAGTTGCGTCTTTGATGAGAAGGAATGCTTTAGTTTATTTCTTATATTAAGACTTTTTTTAAGACAATATGACTCTGAGAATAACACCCCGCTCCTTTGGCTTACTTCATAGAAATTCAGTTACAGTTTGTACAAGCAACGTGAGAGCACGGAGGAATTGAAAGCACAATTTTTCCCTCAACATTTCATTATGAAAATTTTTAAACATTCAGAACAGTTGAAATAATTATTTAAATAACATCCACATATTCAGCTCAACTGACATTTTGCTATATTTGCTTGATCGTATGACTATGCATATTTTCACCTCTCTAAGTAATCATTGATCTTATTTGACATGTTCAAAGTAAGTTGCAGACGTAAGTATACTTCACTCCCAATTAGTTCAGTATGAATATTAACTAAAGTTCAAGATTCATTTAAAGTTCTTTCAGTCCCCTTCACAGTTTTTGCCCCCACTCACCAAGAGGCAACCTTTGTACTGTATATTTTTCCACCATAGATTAATTTTGCTTTTTCTAGAACTTCATACATTGGAATTATATAAATGTACACTCGTCTAAGGTTTCACTCAATGTTTTTGAGATCCATCTCCGTTGTGTGTCAGTAGTTTAATCCTTTTTTATGATGAGTAGTAACCCATTGTATGAATATAGTCAGGCATGGTGGTTCATGCCTGTAATCCGAACACTTTGGGAGGCTGAGGCAGGTAGATCACCTGAGGTCAGGAGTTTGAGACCAGCCTGGTCAACATGGCGAAACTCCATCTCTACTAAAATTGCAAAAATTAGCCAGGCGTGGTGGTGTATGCCTGTAGTCCCAGCTACTCGGAAGGCTGAGGCAGGAGAATTGCTTGAATCTGGGAGGCAGAGGTTGCAGTGAGCCAAGATTGTGCAGGATTGCTTGAGCCCAGGAGTTTGAGACCAGCCTGGGCAACATAGTGAGACCCCATCTCTCTCTTTTTTTTTTTTTAATAAGGAGTATATGAACATATATGAAAGTCCTGAAATGTCAGCTATTGTAAATGCTGCCAACTTGGTCTTCTTTTTCAAGATTACTTTGGATATTCTAGGTCATTTGTATTTCCATATAAATTTTAGAATCAGCTTGTCACTTTCTATGCCAAAAGAAGTGGAATTGTGATTACAGTAACATTGAGTATGTAGATCAATTTGGGAAGAATCAACACCTTAGTGTAATATAGCATCTTATAATTCACGAGCATAATATATCTCCCCATTTTTTAAGGTCTCATTTTCTCTCAGCAGTGGTCTTATAGTTTTATTAATACAGGTCTTGCACATATATTTTTAAAATTTGTGCTTAAGTATTTTATGGTTTTCGATCCCATTATAAATGGAATTGGTTTTATTTTATTTTCTAATTGTTTGCTGCTAATATTAAAATATAACTGATTTTTATATATTAACTTTATATTCTGTAATTTTGCTAAATTCACTTATTCTTCTAGTTGTTTTGTAGATTCCTCAGGTTTTTCTATGTAAATAATCCTATCATCTTCAAACAGAGATAGTTTCATCTCCTTTTTTAAAAAAAAATTTATGGCTTTTTTTTTCTTGCTTTATTGCACTTGCTTACCCCACCAATACAATATTGAATAGAAGTGGTGAGAGTGGACATCCTTGGCTTCTTTCTGAACTTTAGAGAAAAGTATTCAATATTGTACCATTAAATTGGATATTAGATTAGATTTTTCATAGTTGCTCGTTGTCAGATTAAGAAAATTATTTTCTGTTATTTGAAAAGGGTTTTTGTCATCAATGGCTCCTGTATTTTGTCAAATTTTTTTCTATATATATTGAAATGGTCATATGGCTTTTCTGCTTTATTCTTTTAATATGGTAGATGACATTGACTATTCCTTATCCTGAAATAAACCTAATTTGTAATGATGTATTAGCTTTTTTAATGTATTACTAGACTTGATTTCCTAACATTTTGTTAAATATTGACAGATATTGGTCTGTAATTTTTTTTTTTTTTGTAATGTCTTTTCGGGTTTTATGTCAGAGTATTTTATCCTCATAAAATGAGTTAGGGACTGGGCACAGTGGCTCACACCTGTTATCCCAGCACTTTGGGAGGCCGAGGCAGGTGGATCACCTGAGGTCAGGAGTTCAAGACCAGGCTGGCCAACATGGTGAAACTCTGTCTCTACTAGAAATACAAAAAATTAGCTGGGCATGGTGGTAGGTGTCTGTAATCCCAGCTACTCAGGAGGCTGAGGCAGGAGAATCACTGGAACCTGGGAGGTGGAGGTTGCAGTGAGCCGAGATTGCGCCATTGCACTCCATTCTGGGCGACAAGAGCGAAACTCTGTCTCTAAATTAATTAATTAATTAAATTAAATAGGCCAGGCATGGTGGCTCATGCCTGTAATCCTAACACTTTAGGAGGCTGAGACGGGCAGATCACCTGAGATCAGGAGTTCAAGACCAGCCTCGCCAACATGGTGAAACCCCATCTGTAACTAAAAATAACAAAAAGTAGCCGGGCTTGGTGGCACATGCCTGTAGTCCCAGCTACTTGGGAGGCTGAGGCAGGAGAATCACTTGAACCCGGGAGATGGATGTTGCAGTGAGCTGAGATCACGCCACTGCACTCCAGACTGGGTAGCAGAGCAAGACTCCATCTCAAAAATAATAATTAAATAAGTAAATAAATAAAATGAGGGATTTTTCCTTCTCTGTTTTCAGAAGTTTCTGTAAGATGAGTATTGTTTCTTTCTGAGCTGTATTTGATAGAATTCATCAGTGAAACTATCTGGACTTGCCAATTTCTTTCTGAAAAGGTTTTGATAATTTAATTTTTTAAGTAAATATGTAAGGTTTGTGTTTTATATGAATTTTAGGTTATATTTTTGAATAATTTGCCCATGTCATCTATGTTATTGAATTTATTGACATGAAGTTGTTCATAATATTCCATTATTATCCCTTTGATGTCTGTAGAATCTGAAATCCCCTTTTACTCCTACTGTTGGCAAATTATGAATTCTCTTTCTTTTTTAAAAAAATATTTCTTACTCAGTCTACCTAGGGGTTTAGCAATTTTGTTAATCTTTTCAAAGAACCAATTTTTGACTTTGTTAATTTTCTCTATGGTTTGTTGCCTATTGAGTTGATTTCTGCTCATACCTTTGTTACTTATTCCTTCACTTATTTTCAGTATATATTATTTTGTTTTTCTTTTTCTAAGCTTCTTAAGATGAAACCTTACTTACCTTTTCTAAGGTAAGCTTGTGAAGCTATAAATTTCCCTATAAACACTGCTTTAGTCTGGGCGTGGTGGCTCACGCCTGTAATTCCAGCACTTTGGAAGGTGGGTGGATCACTTGAGGCCAGGAGTTCAAGACCAGCCTGGCCAACAGGGTGAAACTCCATTTGTACTAAAAATACAAAAACTAGTCAGGCATGGTGGCACGCACCTGTAATCCCAGCTACTGGGGAGGCTGAGGCAGGAGAATTGCTAGAACCCAGGAGGCAGAGGTTACACTGAGCTGAGATCTCACCACTCTACTCCAGCTTGAGAGACAGAGGAAGACTCTGTCTCCAAAAAACAAACAAACAAAAAACACATAACCAAAAAATAAAACACACACACACTGCCGGGCGTGGTGGCTCACGCCTGTAATCCCAGCACTTTGGGAGGCTGAGGTGGGCGGATCACGAGGTCAGGAGATCGAGACCATCCTGGCTAACACAGTGAAACCCCGTCTCTACTAAAAATACAAAAAATTAGCTGGGTGTGGTGATGGGCGACTGTAGTCCCAACTACTTGGGAGGCTGAGGCAGGAGAATGGCGTGAACCCAGGAGGCAGAGGTTGCAGTGAGCCGAGATTGCACCACTGCACTCCAGCCTGGGCAACAGAGCGAGACTCCGTCTCAAAACACACACACACACACACACACACACACACACACACACACAATTTTGGTATGTAATATTTTTTACATCATCCTGTTCAAAATATTTTCTATTTATTAGGTAAATTTGTGGACTATTTAAAAGTATATTGTTTAACTTCCAAATATTTTGGTTTTAGCTGCATGTGGTGGCTTACACCTATAATCCCAACACTTTGGTAGGTCAAAGCAGGAGGATCACTTGAGGCCAGGAGTTCAAAGCCAGCCTGGGCAACATAGCAAGACCTTGTCTCTACAAAAAATTTAAAAATTCAAATTAAAAAAAAATTTTTTTTTTTGAGACAGAGTTTCTCTCTCGCCAAGGCTGGAGTGCAGTGGCGTGATCTCGGCTCACTGCAACCCCCACCTCCCAGATTCAAGCAGTTCTCTGCCTCAGCCTCCCAAAAGCTGGGATTACAGGCTCCCACCACCACACCCGGCTAATGGTGACCCGGGTCACTGTCTTGGCCTGGGTGGTCTTGAACTCCTGACCTCATGATCCACCCACCTCGGCCTCCCAAAGTGCTGGGATTACAGGCGTCAGCCACCGCGCCCGGCCCCAGCTCAAGTTTTTATGTAGTATCACTTACCATAAATCTGAAGAACTTCTTTATTTGTTTATTTATGAGACAGGCACCTCGGCTCAAAATGGTGCCATCTTGGCTCACTGCAGCCTCCATGTCCAAGGCTCAAGCAATCCTCTCACATCAGCCTCCTGGTTAGCTGGGACCACAGGCTCATGCCACCACGCCTGGCAAATTTTTTTTATTTTTTATAGATAGTTTCACCATGTTGCCCAGGTTGGTCTCGAATTCCTGGGCTCAAGCAATCTGCCTGTCTCAGCCTCCCACAGTGGCTAAGATTACAGGCATCAGCCACCATGCCGCCCAGCCGAACTTCCTTTATCATTTCCTGTAGTGCAGATCTGCTAGCAGTGAATTCTTTTACTTTTTGGGTTATCTAAAAATGTGTTTATTTCACTGTTGATGACCACAATGTTTGATTTTTCAGTCTCTCCAAAGCACTAAGATTTTATCGATCATTTTTTGTTTTTGTTTTTTGTTTGTTTTTTTGTTTTTTGTTTTTTTTAATATACCTAAAGTTTATTTGGGCCAAGTTTGAAGACGGCAACCCAGTAGCATGGATTCAAGTTGCCCTGAATATATACTCCAATTAGCAGCAGTTACAAGTGGGTTTTTAAAGGAAAATAAGAGATAGTTTCTAATTTGCTTACCAAGAATTTACATTAAAATAACATAAGCTATTGATTGTGTATACATTGTTCTTTGTATCACAGATTCCAGGAACATGAAACTAACAGGTAAGGCAGCTAGTCAGGAACAAAATGCCTTTAAACAATTGTGCCTGGCCATGGAATCGGGGACAGGGTTGTGACTGAAGTCCCATACTCCTGTCTCTGTGCTTGATAAATTGTGCACACCTCACATACCTCAGGCTGTTCTGAGTATGTTTCTTTTCTCATTCAGCCACTTTTTTTTTTTTTCTCAGAAATCTTCCAATGGAAGCATTGATCAATCTCAGCTTATGAGACTGATAGACATTCTTCATCCCTGGCACTGGGAAGGCTCATTGCCAGATGGTCCTGTCCTGCTAGGGGCTGGGGAAGATATAGAACAATCTTGCTTATTCAATTTTTTTTTAGCGGATTCCTTAAGATTTTCTAATACAAGATCATGGTTCTCACTTATATATGGAATCTAAGTGGAGTTGAACTCATAGAAGCAGAAAGTAGAATGGTGGTCCCCAGGGGCTACAGGAGGCAGGGAAATGGGGAGTTATTTTGTTCAAAGGGTGCAAAGCTTCAGTTAGGCAGGATGAAATAGTTCTAGAGAGCTAGTTTACACTCTGGTGACTGTAATTAGTAATCCTATCGTACACTTGAAATTTGCTGAGATCTTAAGTGTTCCTTACAATATACATACATAAAAAAGGTAACTATGTGAAGTGATGGAAATGTTTTGTTTTCGTTTTTGTTTTTTTGAGACAGGGTCTCACTCTGTTGCCCAGGCTGTAGTGCAGTGGTACAATGTCTGCTTACTGCAACCTTCGCCTTCCAGGTTCAAACGATTCTCCTGTCCCAGCCTCCCAAGTAGCTGGGACTATAGGTGCGTGCCACCACACCTGGCTAATTTTTGTATTTTTAGTAGAGATGAGATTTTGCCATGTTGGCCAGACAGGTCTCAAACTCCTGACCTCAAGTGATCTGCCCAACTCAGCCTCCCAAAGTGCTAGGATTACAGGCGTGAGCCACCGCACCTGGCCTGAAGTGATGGAAGTGTTAATTAGCTTGATTGTGGTAATTATTTCACAGTATATACATATGTCAAAACATCACATTGTATACTTTAAATATATACAGTTTGTATTTGTCAATTACACCTCAGTAAAGCCAGGAAAAAAATACAAGATCATTCCATCTGCAAATAGAGATCATTTTACTTCTTCCTTTCTCATCTCAATGCCTTTTATTTCATTTTATTAATCCATATAACTTCTTAAAATAGCGTCTGTTTGTTTAAATTAGTACTTCCAAGCTGGGCTCAGTGGCACACACCTGTAGTCCCAGCTACTCAGGAGGCTGAGGCAGGAGGATCTCTTGAGCCCAGGAGTAGTTTAAGGCCAGTCTGTGCAACCTAGCAAGACCTCATCTCTAATAATAATAATAATAATAGCATTTCCACTGATATTTGCAGAATCTTTTGAAAAACAAGTTAATGATATCATATAGGGTGTGTGTGTGTGTGTGTGTGTGTGTGTGTGTGTGTGTAGCACCACCAGATCATTTCTCTAGAATAGCTTTGGTTTTACTGCTCTTTCACAAAACAAAGTTTGACAGCATCTGCAAATCCAAAGATATAAGATTTGAAGTCTTTATTTATTTATTTTTTAGATGGAGTTTTGCTCTTGTTGCCCAGGTTGGAGTGCAATGGCATGATCTTGGCTCACTGCAACCTCCACCTCCTGGGTTCAAGCGATTCTCCTGCCCCAGCCTCCCAAGTAGCTGGGATTACAGGTGCCTGCCACCACTCCCAGCTACTTTTTGTATTTTTAGTAGAGTTGGGGTTTCACCATGTTGGCCAGGCTAGTCTCAAATTCCTAATCTCAGGTGATCCGCCTGCCTTAGCCTCCCAAAGTGCTGGGATTACAGTCATGAGCCACCACGCCCGGCCAGTCATCATTTACTATAAAAACAAAATTAATAAGTTCCTCTTTATTTTTGCATACCTTCTTTTTGAAAAGCCCAACTAAAGACAACGAAAGTTCATTAAAGAACAATTATATAGGATGAATCACTGTCTGTGTTAAAATTATAGGGCGTACAAAATAGAATGATTCAGGGTAGTGTTAGCAAAGGGAAATTGCAACCTAGTGATTAAAAAAAAGAAAGAAAAAATGTTTCTTTCAAATGACTTCAGGCCTTTTGCTGGGATTTGTAGTCTCCATATAGTTCATGTCTCATTATCCTTGCTAATAGAGGCAGTGGTACAAATTGCACAGCTATATCTGACATCCAAAAATACATGTGGCTTTGAGATGTATGTTTGGGGTTTGTTTTTTGTTTTGTTTTATTTTTGGTAAATACATACATACATTTAATTTTGTACTGAGTTGGAAGGGGGAAAAATCTGCCTGTCAATCTTTTTGTTCAATTTATTCTTTTTTGTTTGTTTGTTTTGAGATGGAGTTTTGCTTTGTTGCCCAGGCCGGAGTTCAGCGGCGCAGTTTCAGCTCACTGCAACCTCAGCCTCCTGGGCTCAAGCGATTCTCCTGCCTCAGCCTCCCAAGTAGCTGGGACTACAGGCACCCACCACCCAGCTAATTTTTGTATTTTTAGTAGAGATGGGGTTTTACCATGTTGGCCAGGCTGGTCTCAAACTCCTGACCTCAAGTGATCTGTCCGCCTTGGTCTCCCAAAGTGCTGGGATTACAGGCGTGAGCCACTGCACCCGGCCTCAAATTTATTCTTATTTTTTATTTTTTATTTTTTGAGATGGAGTTTCGCTTTGTCACCCAGGCTGGAGTACAGTGGCGCGATCTCAGCCCCCTGCAATCTCTGCCTCCTGGGTGCATGTGATTCTCCTGCCTCAGCTCCCCAAGTAGCTGGGATTACAGGCACGTGCCAACATGTCTGACTAATTTTTGTATTTTTATTTTATTTTATTTATTTATTTATTATACTTCAAGTTCTAGGGCACATGTGCACAACGTGCAGGTTTGAGACATAGGTATATATGTGCCATGGTGGTTTGCTGCACCCATCAACTCATCATTTACATTAGGTATATCTCCTAATGCTATCCCTCCCCCAGCCCCCGACCCTGCAACAGGCCCCAGTGTGTGATGTTCCCCTTCCTGTGTCCAAGTGATCTCATTGTTCAGTTCCCACCTATGAGTGAGAACATGCGGTGTTTGGTTTTCTGTCCTTGTGATAGTTTGCTCAGAATGATGGTTTCCATCTTTATCCATGTCCCTGCAAAGGACATGGTTTGCGTATGTTGAACCAGCCTTGCATCCTAGGGATGAAGCTGACTTGATCATGGTGGATAAGCTTTTTGATGTGCTGCTGGATTTGGTTTGCCAGTATTTTATTGAGGATTTTCCCATTGATGTTCATCAGGGATATTGGTCTAAAATTCTCTTTTTTTGTTGTGTCTCTGCCAGGCTTTGGTATCAGGGTGATGTTGGCCTCATAAAATGAGTTAGGGAGGATTCCCTCTTTTTCTATTGATTGGAATAGTTTCAGAAGGAATGGTACCAGCTCCTTTTTGTACCTCTGGTAGAATTTGGCTGTGAATCCATCTGGTCCTGGACTTTTTTTTGGTTGGTAGGCTATTAATTATTGCCTGAATTTCAGAGCCTGTTATTGGTCTATTCAGAGATTCAGCTTCTTCCTGGTTTAGTCTTGGGAGGGTGTATGTGTCCAGGAATTTATCCATTTCTTCTAGATTTTCTAGTTTATTTGTGTAGAGGTGTTTGTAGTATTCTCTGATGGTAGTTTGTATTTCTGTGGGATCAGTGGTATATCCCCGTTATCATTTCTTACTGTGTCTATTTGATTCTTCTCTCTTTTCTTCTTTATTAGTCTTGCTAGCTGTCTATCAATTTTGTTGATCTTTTCAAAAAACCGGCTCCTAGATTCATTGATCTTTTGAAGGGTTTTTTTTGTGTCTCTATCTCTTTCAGTTCTGCTCTGATCTTAGTTATTTCTTGCCTTCTGCTAGCTTTTGCATTTGTTTGCTCTTGCTTCTCTAGTTCTTTTAATTGTGATGTTAGAGTATCAATGTTAGATTTTTCCTACTTTCTCTTGAGGGCATTTAGTGCTATAAATTTCCCTCTATACACTGCTTTAAATGTGTCCCAGAGATTCTGGTATGCTGTGTCTTTGTTCTCATTGGTTTCAAAGAACATCTTTATTTCTGCCTTCATTTTGTTATTTACCCAGTAGTCATTCAGGAGCAGGTTGTTCAGTTTCCATGTAGTTGAGTGGTTTTGAGTGAGTTTCTTAATCCTGAGTTCTAATTTGATTGCACTGTGGTCAATCAAATGAGAGACAGTTTGTTGTGATTTCTGTTCTTTTACATTTGCTGAAGAGTACTTTACTTCCAATTATGTGGTCAATTTTAGAATAAGTGTGATGTGGTGCTGAGAAGAATGTATATTTTGTTGATTTGGGGTGGAGAGTTCTGTAGATGTCTATTAGGTCCACTTGGTGCAGAGCTGAGTTCAGGTCCTGGATATCCTTGTTAACATTCTGTCTCATTGATCTGTCTAGTATTGACAGTGGGGTGTTAAAGTCTCCCGTTATTATTGTGTGGGAGTCCAGGTCTCTTTGTAGGTCTCTAAGGACTTGCTTTATGAATCTGGGTGCTCCTGTATTGGGTGCATATATATTTAGGATAGTTAGCTCTTCTTGTTGAATTGATCCCTTTACCATTATGTGATGGCCTTCTTTGTCTCTTTTGATCTTTGTTGGTTTAAAGTCTGTTTTATCAGAGACTAGGGTTGCAACCACTGCTTTTTTTTGTTTTCCATTTCCTTGGTAGATCTTCCTCCATCCCTTTATTTTGAGCCCATGTGTGTCTTTGCACATGAGATGGGTCTCCTAAATACAGCACACTGATGCATCTTGATTCTTTATCCAATTTGCCAGTCTGTATCTTTTAATTGGGGCATTTAGCCCATTTACATTTAAGGTTAATATTGCTATGTGTGAATTTGATTCTGTCATTATGATGTTCGCTGGTTATTTTGCCCATTAATTGATGCAGTTTCTTCATAGCATCGATGGTCTTTGCAATTTGGCCTGTTTTTGCAGTGGCTGGTATCGGTTGTTTCTTTCCATGTTTAGTGCTTCCTTCAGGAGCTCTTATAAGGCAGGCTTGGTGGTGACAAAATCTCTCAGCATTTGCTTGTTTGTAAAGGATTTTATTTCTCCTTCACTTATGAAGCTTAGTTTGGCTGGATATGAAATTCTGGGTTGAAAATTATTTTCTTTAAGAATGTTGAATATTGGCTCCCACTCTCTTCTGGCTTGTAGGGTTTCTGCTGAGACATCTGCTGTTAGTCTGATGGGCTTCCCTTTGTGGGTAACTCGACCTTTCTCTCTGCTGCTCTTAACACTTTTTCCTTCATTTCAACCTTGGTGAATCTGACAACTGTGTCTTGGGGTCCCTCTTCTCAAGGAGTATCTTTGTGGTGTTCTCTGTATTTCCTGAATTTGAATGTTGGCCTGCCTTGCTAGGTTGGGGAAGTTCTCCTGGATAATATCCTGAAGAGTGTTTTCCAGCTTTGTTCCATTCTCCCCATCACTTTCAGGTACATCAATCAAATGTAGATTTGGTCTTTGCACATAGTCCCATATTTCTTGGAGGCTTTGTTCATTTCTTTTAACTCTGTTTTCTCTAACCTTGTCTTCTCGCTTTATTTCATTAATTTGATCTTCAATCACTGATACCCTTTCTTCCACTTGATCGAATCAGCTATTGAAGCTTGTGCATGCGTCATGAAGTTCTCATGCCATGGTTTTCAGCTCCATCAGGTTATTTAAGGTCTTCTCTACACTGTTTATTCTAATTAGCCATTCGTCTAATCTTTTTTCAAGGTTTTTAGCTTCCTCGCGATGGGTTTGGACATCCTTTAGCTCAGAGAAGTTTGTTATTACTGACCTTCTGAAGCCTACTTCTGTCAACTCATCAAAGTCATTCTCCGTCTAGCTTTGTTCCGTTGCTGGCGAGGAGCTGCGATCCTTTGGAGGAGAAGAGGCGCTCTGCTTTTTAGAATTTTCAGCTTTTCTGCTCTGGTTTCTCCCCATCTTTGTGGTTTCATCTACCTTTGGTCTTTGATGTTGGTGACCTACAGCTGGGGTTTTGGTGTGGACGTCCTTTTTGTTGATGTTGATGCTATTCCTTTCTGTTTGTTAGTTTTCCTTCTAACAGTCAGGTCCCTCAGCTGCAGGTCTGTTGGAGTTGGCTGGAGGTCCACTCCAGACCCTGTTTGCCTGGGTATCACCAGCAGAGGCTGCAGAACAGCAAATATTGCTGCTTGATCCTTCCTCTGGAAGCGTCCTCCCAGAGAGGCAGCCGCCTGTATGAGGTGTCTGTCGGCCCCTACTGGGAGTTGTCTCCCAGTTAGGCTACACAGGGGTCAGAGACCCACTTGAGGAGGCAGTCTGTCTGTTCTCAGAGCTCAGATGCCATCTTGGGAGAACAACTGCTCTCTTCAGAGCTGTCAGACAGGGACATTTAAGTCAGCAGAAATTTCTGCTGGCTTTTGTTCAGCTATGCCCTGCCCATAGAGGTGGAGTCTAGAGGCTGTAGGCCTGTTGAGCTGTGGTGGGCTCCACCCAGTTTGAGCTTCCCAGCTGCTTTGTTTACCTAATCAAGCCTCAGCAATGGCAGATGCCCCTCCCCCAGCCAGGCTGCTGGCTTGCAAATCAATCTCAGACTGCTGCGCTAGCAGTGAGCAAGGCTCCGTGGGCATGGGAACCTCCAAGCCAGGCACAGGAGAGAATCACCTTGCCTACCGGTTGCTAAGACCTTGGGAACAACACAGTATTTGGGTGGGAGTGTCCCATTTTTCCAGGTAGTCTGTCATGGCTTCCCTTGGCTAGGAAAGAGAAATCCCCTGACCCCTTGTGCTTCCCAGGTGAGGCGACGCCCCGCCCTGCTTCGACTCACTCTCCGTGGGCTGCACCCACTGTCCAACCAGTCCCAATGAGATGAACCAGATACCTCAATTGTAAATGCAGAAATCACCCATCTTCTGTGTCGATCACACTGGGAGCTGCAGACCGGAGCTGTTCCTATTTGGCCATCTTGGAACACCCCTCTCAATTTTTGTATTTTTTAGTAGAGATGGGGATTCACCATATTGGGCCGATCACAAGGTCAGGAGATCGAGACCATCCTGGCTAACAAGGTGAAACCCCGTCTCTACTGAAAATACAAAAATTTTTGAGATGGAGTCTCACTCTATTGCCCAGGCTGGAGTGTAGTGGTATGATCTTGGCTCACTGCAAGCACCGCCTCCTGGGTTCATGCCGTTCTCCTGCCTCAGCCTCCCAAGTAGCTGGGATTACAGGCACCCGCCACCACGCCCAGCTAAATTTTGTATTTTTAGTAGAGATGGGGTTTCACCATGTTAGCCAGGATGGTCTCAATCTCCTGACCTCGTGATCTGCCTGCCTCAGCCTCCCAAAGTGCTGGGATTACAGGCGTGAGCCACCATGTCTGGCCAGATAGTTAGGTTTCTAAAAGAAAAAAAATTAGGCTGTTAACAGATAGATACATTTAATTTTTCTTTTTTACATTTATTGTTTATTTTAAAAAACAGAGATGGGGTCTCACTGTTGACCACGCTGGTCTTGAGCTCCTGGTCTCACAGGATCCTTCTGCCTTGGCCTCCCAAAGTGCTAGGATTATAGTGGTTGGTATTGTAATAGTTAAATTCACATTTTTTGTTTGCTTTTGTTTTTGTAGACTACATATGGGTGGGTTTTTTTTTTTTCTTTTTGAGACAGAGTCTTTGTCA
Organism: Homo sapiens; assembly: GCF_000001405.40. Classification (NCBI taxonomy): domain Eukaryota; kingdom Metazoa; phylum Chordata; class Mammalia; order Primates; family Hominidae; genus Homo; species Homo sapiens. The sequence goes on along the minus strand of NC_000010.11, from coordinate 72,394,603 downwards.
CCTAGACTGGAGTGCAGTGATGTGATCTCAGCTCACTGAAACCTCTGCCTCCTGGGTTCCAGTGATTCTCCTGCCCCAGCCTCCCCAGTAGCTGGGATTACAGGCATGTGCCACGACACCTGGCTAATTTTTGTATATTTAGTAAAGACAGGGTTTTACCACATTGGCCAGGCTGGTTATGAACTCCTGACCTCAAGTGATCCACCTGCCTTAGCCTCCCAAAGTGCTGGGATTACAGGGGCCCAGCCTCATATGGGTAATTTTTAATTCTTGGTTGCTGTAGTGGGTTACGTGGTGGCCCCCAAAAGGATATGTCTACATCTTAGTCCTCAGAACCTGTGATTGTGACCTTGTTGGACACAGGGTCTTTGCAGATATAATTAAGTTAAGGTCCTTGAGATGAGATCATCCTAGATTATCCAGCTGGGCTCTAAGTCAGGCATGATTACAGGCATGAGCCACTATGCCCAGCCAATAGATGTTTATTAATTGAATTACTCTTCAAATATTCAGGAGCTCAAAAAAATAGGCACTATCAGCTGGGCTCTTTGGCTCACACCTGTAATCCCAGCACTTTGGGAGGCCAAGGTGGGCTGATCTTGAAGTCAGGAGATTGAGACCATCCTGGCCAACATGGTGAAACCCTGTCTCTACTAAAAATACAAAAATTAGCCGGGTGCAGTGGCAGCGGGCACCTGTAATCTCAGCTACTCAGGAGGCTGAGGCAGGAGAATCGCTTGAACCAGGGAGTCGGAGATTGCAGTGAGCCAAGATCACACCACTGCACTCCAGCCTGGTGACAGAGCAAGACTCCGTCTCAAAACAAACAAACAAACAAACAAAATAGGTACTTTCCTTGATTCCTTAGTCTCACTCACATATTTACTTCTTCAATAAATCCTTGAGTTTACCTCCAGAACGTACCCTGCATCTGCCTCCTTTTCTCGCTCTCCTACCACAGCCCTCGCCTCTTTACTGACTGTGGCTTTACACAGGGCTACCTATGCCATGGCCCCTGTATACTCTCTGAGTTCATAAAATATCGTTTTTTTCCCAGTTCACTCCACTCCACATTGTTCTTTTCACATTCCAAATACACCAAGCTTACTGAAGGCCTTAGCTATTGGAGTTAGTTAAGGCCTTTGTATCGGTTGTTTCTACCTCAAGCGCTCTTGCCTGGGATCTCCATGTATTTAGCTCCTTGTAACTTAGGTCTGGTATAAGTCATTTCCTCGGGAAGACCTTTTCATTCTAAAGTAGTTCCATCATCCTGTATCATATTATCCTATTTTTTATAGCATTTATCACTCCCTGATATTTTCTCAGGTTTATGTGTTTGCTTATTATTTGTTGCACCTTACTAGAATGCTTATCTGTCTTGCTCATGGATGTATTCCATGTGCCTAGAACAACACTTGGGATAGAGGAAGAACTCAATAATTATATAGTCAACAAATGAATGAGTGAATGAACATATTGATATATCTGAACAAGACATAAACCTCTACCCTTCTACCCTTCCCAGCAGCCCAGGGAACAAACTCATCATGTTCTTCTGTAACCCTCATCCTTGGACTTGACATATGTTTCACCTTCTTCCATGTAAAAGAGGTGATGATAGTAGTAATTTTAACTGTTCACCTGCTGAGGTGTGCACAGAAGACTAGCATGCACTCAGCTAGCCTTTCCAAATCCTTCCATGCTCCCAGATGTCCCTGTCTCTTACAAGCACTCCTTGGGCTCTGCCCAGGCCTTTGCTTTTAAACCTCCCTCCTCCTGACCCGGACTAGTGATTCTTTCCATTGGTTTGAGTTCTACATGAATGACAGGCCTCTCCTCCTTGCTCCACAGAACAAAGGAATTTTACTGCTGAGATGAATCTTAGAAAAGAGGAAGAAATGTGTAATGGTTAAGAGCAGAAGTTCTGAAGTCAGACTGCCTGAATTTGAATGTCTCCATCATTTACTAGCTGGGTAGCTTTGAGCAGTTTCTGAACTTAGTTTCTGTGTTTATTTTATTTTTTTAATTTTTTTGAGACAGGGTCTCACTCTGTCACCCAGACTGGAGTGCAGTGGTACAATCTTGGCTCACCGCAACCTCTGCTTCCCAGGGTCAAGAAATTCTCCTGCCTCAGCCTCCTGAGTAGCTGGGATTACAGGCACATGCCACCACACCTGGCTAATTTTTGTATTTTTAACAGAGATGGGGGTTTCACTATATTGGCCAGGCTGGTCTTGAACTCCTGACCTCAAATGATCGCCCACCTCAGCTTCCCAAAGTGCTAGGATTACAGGCATGAGCCACTGTGCCTGGCCCTCTGTGTTTTTTAAATAAAGATAAAAATAGTTGTCCCTTGGTATCTTCAGGGGTTTGGTTCCAGGACCGCCTCCACCCCCCGACCCCGCCACACACACACAGAGTTACAAAGTCTTTGGGTGCTCAAGTCCCATATGTGAAACGGTTGCATAGTATTTTTATATATAACCTACACATATCTTTCCATATACTTTATTTCTTTATTTTTAAATCATCATCAAAATATGGAACACTTCACGAATTTGTGTGTCATCCTTGCACAAGGGCCATGCTAATCTTCTCCAAATCATTCCAGTTTGAGTATATGTGCTGCCGGACGAGCACTAGATGCGGGTGACCCTTGAACAGTGAGGGATTAGCTGTTTTCACCCCACACAGTTGAAAATCCTAGGATAACTTTAGACTCCCCAAAAACTTAACTACTAATAGCCCACTGTTGACCAAAAAAGGCTTACTGATAACATACAGTCAGTTAACACATAAACTAGTATCTATATATTTTTTATGTATTCACTACATACATTTTTCCTAATTTTTTTGGTACGTCTATGCTGTGTGGTCCATCTATGAGGTTTTCCAAATAGTCATAAGCCTCCAAAAATTTTTCCAACGTAATTTATTGAAAAAAAAATCTGCACGTAAGTGGACCTATGCAGTTCAAGCCTGTGTTGTTCCAGGGCCAACTGTACTTTAAATTATCTCAAGATTACATATAATACCTATTACTATGTAAATGCTAAGTAAATAGTTGTTATGCTGTATTTTTAAATTTGTAATAGTTTATTGCTGTGTTGTTACTTTCTACTGGTTTTCTTTTCTTAAATTTTATTTTATTTATTTATTTTTTTTTTGAGATGGAGTTTTGCTCTGTCGACCAGGCTGGGCTGGAGTGCAGTGGCATGATCTCGACTCACTGCAACCTCCGCCTCCCAGATTCAAGCGATCCTCCTGCCTCAGCCTCCCAAGTAGCTGGGATTACAGGTGCCTGCCACCATGCCCAGCTAATTTTTGTATTTTTAGTAGAGAGAGGATTTCGCCATGTTGGCCAGGCTGGTCTTGAACTCCTGACCTCAGGTGATCCACCCGCCTTGGCCTCCCAGTGTTGGGATTACAGGCGTGAGCCACTGCACCCGACATTTTCTTAAATATTTTTGATCTGCAGCTGGTTGAATCCATGGGTGTGGAACCTACACATATGAAGGACCAACTGGACCCACCTCATAGGGTTGTGAGACTAAATCTACATAAAGCACTTAACTTTGTGGCTGTCATGTGGTGAACGATTAGTCAATGTCAGCTGCTTCTATTATGAAGTTGATAATTTAAACAAAATTTAGTGTGGCTCAAGTATTTATTCACCCAAAAGCAATAGGTACTGTGCTAGGCACAGGGTTCCACCCTCAAGAAGCTCAGAGTCTAATGGGGGAGAAAGATAAGTGTAGAAGCAGTTCCAGTTGGGTGTGATAAGTGCTAATTAGAATAAGAGGTTCTAGGAGCTTAAAAGTGGAGGCCCTAATTTATACCAGTGGTTGGGAAAGAGTGAGGCCAGAGTAGAGACAGGAATACTTTTTATCTGGCTTCTGCTGTGAGTCTCAGCTGTCTTCATTTTTTCCCAAAAGGTTAGAACCTTCAGAAATTGGCACCTTCTAGGCCCTGGCACTGTCTCTTCCTTGGCTATTTTAGAGGTTACAAACCAGTCTTTAGGCATAATTTAGCACAGAATTTTCCAAACAGCATTGTGAAGAACACTGTATACTGCAATATGATGATGGTTCTGTGGATTTAAAAAGAAAAAAAAAAGTATTCCATGGTTCAAATAAGTTTGGAAAATGCCAGAGTTATATAGAATTTCTTCTTGCAGCACTCCTGCTGCCAACTTTTTAATATATGAAGGTGCATTATTAATCTCTGGAAGAGGGATATAGTTTCCAAATTTGATTTACTCCAGACCATCTTTTAATAACTTACAGAGTTAATGTTCCTTGGAATAATTTGAAAGATCCAGGCAGGTGGCCACTGCAGATTTACTGTATTAGAACATAGTCCAGTTCCTCCAGAGTAAAAAATGTCACATTTCTTTTTTTTCTTTTTCTTTTTTTCATTTTTTCTGTTTGCCCCTCCTACCATTTGAAAAAAACATCAAATTTAATTAAGGCTATTTCTTTAGTTCTGCATGACCCATGTGAGAGTAACAACCATCAGGTAATAATGAAGTGTTTTCAAGAGTTCTAACCATCTGAAGAAAGAACCTTTCTCCATGAAATACTGTGTGTCTCCACTATCAGGCGTCTCTTCGTTTAGCACTTAAGAAGAACTGGTTCTATTGCTCATTCGTACGCACACTGGGCATAAAATTAGATCTATGACCTCTCAGCGGCTGGCTGATTGATTTAAGTGGTCTGCTGAAGAAGGTAATGGAAAATTGAACATGACTCCTTTCCCAATGGCTTTCTATGATGAAAAAGTTAGAAATTATTTGAGCTGGAGCTCTAGAGTGAGCTTCAGCCCATATAACTCAGAATATTCCAATTTCTGCCAGGAGAATATCCAGGTACAATAAAGCTCCACTGTAAAGCACCTCAGGATAGTACAGATGCAGTAAACCTGTGGGTTCAGTTACGTCCTCGGTGTACTTTGAACTATAAAATCAGAAAATAATCACACAAATATAGTCCCTGGTCTTTACTATTCACGCCCCTGCACAATTCTACTTACACTGAAAATTATAATTTATGGCATAGTTGGCCTTGATTCTTTGTAGTTATTCTATACGTGCAGTTTACCTTATTATCTGACAAGCCAAAAGAACAAATAATAAAATCTATGGCATAACTCCTACAGGAGCTTTCTGCAACCCCAAGTATTTTTTCTGAAGTTTTAGTCACATCTTCAAATGGTCTCAGTTTCTTTTGTCTCTGGAGGGACAAGGATGGCAGAGATGACCTCTGAGAACCTTTGCAGCTTTCAAATTCTTTGAGTCTAATAATTGGAATGAGTAAGGGAGCCTCAAGTCTTTTGTCATTTAGGCTCTAACTGGATTGTTGGGGAAGTCAGAAATTACTGATGGAGTCAGCAATTTCTAGCACACAACAAACTCTTATATTCTGAACAACTGTCTTTAACAGACAAGCTGCCACCCACTCCTGAACTGTAATAATCCGGTAGCACTGTCCTGTCCAGGACTGTGAGGCCATCACACATCTGGAACACTAACAGCAACTCTCATTTCATAGTAGTTTCTCTGTGCCAGGCACAATGCTTAGTGCTTTATGCATGTTATCGCTTTTAATCTTTAAAACCTGAATTATCCTCATTCATCTTCACTTTATGGATGAGGAAAATATCAAATGAAGCCACTTGATCGTGGTTATCCAGCTTAGTGGTGGAAAAGCCAGGATTCAAGCTCAGGTCTCTCTAATTCCCAGTCTGTGTTCTTTCCACATCGTCGTGTTGCCTCTCAGTATACTCCACAATTCTGTTAGAGTCTGAAAAGCTTTGCTGAAGCACAATCCAGAGGGGACTGTGGCTTTACCATTTCAAACCATGCTTCACAGTAGCATTGGGAAGACAGACTCTGGACTTTTTTTTCCCAGTTGCTTTTGGCTAAGAGTTGACCATTCTTAGGGTGAGAATGAAGTCCTTTTGATAAACTATGATGTTTTAGAGATAGTGCCCTTCTCTTGAATATGAAATGTGACCTTTTTTTCCCCTACAATTGTCTGTTCTGTTCAGGTATAGGTTCTACAGCTCAGACACAGACATCCATAGTCCTTACCTTACAATAACAGACTCTTGGAGTTGTCTAATCTAGCTTCTTGTCCTGCATAGGAACGCCTTAGTAGACACATCTGTGATCTTTACCTTTGGAACCATATTACTTTTCACTGAGGAAACCAATACACAAAAGCCTGAAGTTATTTAAATAAAGTCATGTAGCAAGAAAGTTGATATCCTTTTAAGGGATACCACAGACCAGAAAAAGGCATGTATGCTAAGCTGCGCTTTTCTCAACATCAAAATACAGGATATAGATACACCTTCCAATGACCAAGGTGTTCCTCACCACCTCCGCTCATTGGTATACCAGTGCTCTGTTGCACTTTTAGATACTGTTCTAACATCTAGCATTTATTGAGCGTTAACTATATGCAAGAAATTGTGCTGAATATAAATTTTGGTTTTAAGTTCAAACCTGAGTTTGAGTCCCCGCTATTCACTAGTTTTGTGACCTTGAACAAATTCCTTAAGTTCTCAAAGCCTCAGTTTCCAGATCTGTAGAATGGTGATAGTAGAATACTTGTTTCAGGGTTATTGTGAAAATAAAAAGAGATAATACTATATTAATATACTAGGTTGACATTAAAATTGTACCAAACTGCCTGTTCTGGTTTTCAACCCATAGGTGCTGGCTTTCTTCTGCCTGTTTATCTTATTAGGGGGCTGGAAACAACCTATACCAACATGGCAACATCATAAAAAGTGTTTTTTTTTTTAAATCATCCTTAAAAAAAAAAAAGCACCAGATAAGGCTCTTTGTTCTCTGAGGAAGTGGAATCTACTGCTTTTTTTTAGTCACTTTTGACATTTTTATTAGCTTAGAAGTTCTAAGTTGTTTATACTCATTAATGAGGATTGAAGCTTCTAGGTTCTCCTAAGTTTCATCATTCATCCAAAAATTATTGGTGTCTCTGCCTTCAGAAGCCTTTATTAAAAAAGTTCTCTGTTCCTAGGAATATCTAACCCCTATTGATATGTCTCATATCTTCAGCATTCAAGGGGGAATTCATTAGACTGTAAATTCTCAAAGACTTGAACCATGTTTTCTACAACTTTGTGTGCTATTCAGAGCCTAGAACAACTCTTTATATAAACAGATGTTCGTTTATGTTATGTAAATGAATTAATTCTAGACCTTTCCAGATCCTGCAAAGGATGATGAAATACTCTAGTAAGAGCGTAGGGTGAGGGGAAGAGTGTTAGGACTGTAGCACCTTCCCATGTCATTAATTTCCTTTGACTCCTTGAGCAGGTCACTACTCTGACCCTCAGGTTGGAGTTATAAGTATCTCTAAGGGTTCATGCAGATTTGAAATTGTATGATTATAACTAAATCCGCTTTTTACTGAATGAAGTAATGTTTTAAGTGACATGTCATAGCCTAAAATTATTTCCAAATCTATTGCCTCACAGGGACTGTTAGCCCAACTTGTTTATGTGAAATCTTTATGAAAGTGAACTGACTTATAATTGTCAGGTACATTTGAAGTAAGAGCAAGACTTGAATTCCCAAAAGAAGTGTGGCAGTTTTAATTTATTTCCTTGTTAGGAAATGTAAAACTTAATTAGACCTTGGCTAGTTTCCCTGTAAGATCTAATTTATGGAGTTTGGTATAGTAGGTAAAACAGAATGATGGTTCTGTAAAGTGCACTCTGTCAAAAAATGAGTGCAGGCCAGGGACAGTGGCACAACCTTGTAATCCCAGCACTTTGGGAGGCTGAGGAGTTCCAGACCAACCTAGGCAACACAGTGGGACTCTGTCTCTACAAAAAATACTTTAAAATTAGCCAGGCATGGTGGCACACACCTCTAGTCCCAACTACTTAGGAGGCGGAGGCAGGAGGATCTCTTGAGCCCAGGAGGTTGAGGGTACAGTGAGCTATGATCATGCTACTGCACTCCAGCCGGGGTGACAGAATGAGACACTGTATCAAAAAAAAAAAAAAAAAAAATAGGTGGCGGGGGATGAGGGATGAGTGCGGCTCTATATAACGTAGAAGTTGAGGAACTTCAAAAAGATAGTCCCTTGTCCGGGCACAGTGGCTCACGCCTGTAATCCCAGCACTTTAGGAGGCTAAAGCAGGCAGATCACCTGAGGTCAGGAGTTCAAGACGAGCCTGGCCAACATGGGGAAACCCCGTCTCTACTAAAAATACAAAAATTAGCCTGGTGTGGTGGTGGGCACCTGTAATCCCAGCTACTCAGAAGGCTAAGGTGGGATAATTGTTTGAACCCGGGAGGCAGAGGTTGTAGTGAGCCAAGATCACGCCACTGTACTCCAGCCTGGGCGACAGAGCGAGACTCCGTCCCCCTCCAAAAAAAAAAGACATTCCCAATCATAAATGCCTTCCCCACTGGCCAGTTTCTGTGATTCAGAGTGTTGGCACAGCATAGCTGGGTTCTCTGCTTAGGATCTTAACAAGGATGAAATCGCAGTGTTGTTGGGGGGCCTTCATTTTCATCCGGAGTTCAGGGTCCTCTTCAAAGTTCTTTCCTGCTGTTGGCAGAATTCAGGTCCTTTCAGTTGTAGGACCAAGGATTCCTTTTCCTTGCTGGCTGTTGGCCAGTCATTGCTCTCAGCAGGTGACTACAGCTCCTTGCCACCAGGCCCCTCACAGCATGGCAACTCACTTCTTCAGAGCCAGCAACAGAATCTCTCGCCTCAGTCTGCTAAGATGGATTCTTACATAACATAGTTATGGGACTGACTAGCCCATCACCTTTCTCATATACAGTAACCTCATCACAGGATTATCGTAGTCACAGGTTCTGCCCACCTGAGGAGAGGGGATTACACAGGATATGTGGACCAGAGGGTGGAAATACTGGGCGGGGGGCACGTCAGAATTCTGCTCAGCACACCAGCCATCATTTTAGAAACCTACACCTTTGGTTTTATTATTCTGAAGATAGGGACATTTAAACTGATTTAAATTTTAGGGCTGGAAGATAACTTAAAAATCATTTTGTTTAAACCCTTACTTTGTTTTTTGGTTTTTTGTTTGTTTGGTTGGTTTTTTTTGAGACAGTCTTGCTCTGTCACCTAGGCTAGAGTGCAGTGGCATGATCTCAGCTCACTACAACCTCCGCCTCCTGGGTTCTAGTGATTCTCCTGTCTCAGCCTCCCAGTTAGCTGGGATTACAGGCACACACCACCACGCCCAGCTAATTTATATATTTTTAGTAGAGACAGGGTTTTACCATGTTGGCCAGGCTGGTCTTGAACTCCTGACCTCAGGTGATCTGCCCAGCTCGGCCTCCCAAAGTGTTGGATTTATAGACGTGAGCCACTGTGCCCGGCCTGCTTGTTTTTAACATTCATAAAGGGAAATGACTTGCTGAAATCACAGACCAGAAGTTCAGGTTCAGCGACTTCCACACCAGGGTTCTCATTAGTACCCTGGCACCTACTGCTGCTAGAAGGACCTAGAGAATTACATCGAGGACTCAATGCTTTTATGTGATGCCGGAAAGTGGGGCAAATTCACAGCAAGAATGTAGGGAGAGCATCCCCCAGACAGCCAAGACATGGCAGGAAGGCAGGAGTGTCACAAAGACATGTAAGGAAGAGATTACAACAGGAAAAAAGCTCCTATTTTATAAATTCTTTTAAAGTTTGTGGGAGGCAAGCTCTTGCACTTCAGTTCATCATTACATTTGGTAAAAACATTTATATGTGAAGAGGAGTGTTGGCCAGGATTCCATTCATTTAAGACAGAGTCATCAATTTTTAAAGTAAAATTATTCATGATGTAGGCAAGGAAGCTCAAATTCTGAAATAAATGTTTGCTTTATGAGGCATTTTCTCTGCAGAGGCCTGGTTTATTTTCCCAAATTTAAAGTCACTTAGCAATTCTAAAGATTGATTCTGGCTTATGATCACTTTGAATATATTATGATTTAGTAAAATTAGGTAAGTGCCCTAAGGAGGAGGAGAGCTGCTTTAGGGATTCATGATTACCATCATGAATTACATCACAAAGAGAAGAGATGGGGGTAGGATAAACTGTTAAAGCATCCACATAAATAGATAAGGAAAGACAAAATCAGCCAACATTACATCCCACTGAGAAAAAGATCAGAAAAAGAATGATTACTAGAATTACATCAATATCGGGAAAGTGTAGAGGGAGTATTTATTATAAGCATTGCTTCTTTGGGGGTTTCAAGGTTTACTACCTTGAGAAGCCTCGGAAGGTTTAATAAGACACTGTGGCTGGGCCCAGTGGCTCATAGCCTATAATCCCAGCACTTTGGGAGGCCAAGGTGGGTGGTTCGCTTGAGCCCAGGAGTTCAAGACCAGCCTGGGCAACATGGTGAAACCCCATCTCTACAAAAAAATACAAAAATTAGCCAGGCATGGTGGCGCGAGCCTGTAGTCCTAGCTACTTCCGAGGCTGAGGCGGGAGGATCATTTGAGCCCAGGATGTTGAGGCTGTGGTGAGCTGTGCCCTCACTACTGCACTCCAGCCTGAGCAACAGAGCAAGACCCTGTCTCAATTAAAAAAAAATTTTTTTTTAATAAAATTGTTTAAAAATGCAAAACCTAGCCAGGTGTGGTAATCCACACCTGTAGTCCCAGTTACTAGGGAGGCTGAGGCGGGAGAATCAGGAGCCCAGGAGGCAGAGGTTGCAGTGAGCCATGATCTTGCCACAGCACTCTAGCCTGAGCAACAGAACCAAGACCCTGTCTCAAAAAAACAAACAAAAAAGACACTTGTAAAGGTGACTATTTAGTCTTTAATTTCAACAAACTGAATTTAAATATATCAGTTACTCTCAGTTTAGCCATCAGAGATTCAGACTCTGTTATAGCTGACCCCCACAGACCACAAAGGAAATAATTTTTTAAAGAGAAGGGGAAAAGGTACCTTCTTCTCAAGATTGAGATAAGAATAAATAAGGAACTGGTTAAATAAACAAGGAAATTATGATCCATCCTGTCAGTGGAATACTATGCAGCTATTGAAGGAAGCTGCTCATGTCCATCTGGAATTATTTCTAAGATATGTTGTTAAGTGAGTAAAGCAAAACAATATTTAGTACACCACCATTTTGTGGGAAAAGGGAAGAAGCGAAGAGTACATATTTGATTTTATATCTACAAAATATTTCTGGGGAAACTAGTGACATTGATTGTCTCTGAATGACTGGGTGACTGGGGTATAAGGTTGGGAGAGAGACTTCACCCCTTTTGTACCATTCAAATTTTGAAGCAGATGACTATATTAGCGAATCAAAAACATCTTTTTTTTTTTTTTTTTGAGACAGGGTCTTGCTCTGTTGCCTAGGTTGGAGTACAGTTGTGCAGTCATAGCTCACTGCAGACTTGAACTCCTGGGCTCAGGTAATCCTCCCACCTCAGTTTCCCAAGTAGCTAGGACTGCAGGAGCGCACCATCGTGCCCAACTAATGTTTTTTAAAATTTTTCGTAGAGATGAGGTCTTCCTCTATTGCCCAGGCTGGTCTCATTCTTGGCCTCCCAAACCACTAGGATTATAAGCATGAGCCACTGCACCTGTCCTAATTAAAAACAACTTTTAAAATAAAGCTAACAGAATGAATATTTAAACAATGTGAGAGGGAAAAGCAAGTTACTATTGGACGGAGGCTTGCTCTGTCGCCCAGGCTGGAGTGCAGTGGCGTGATCTTGGCTCACTGCAGCCTCCGCCTCCCGGGTTCAAGTGATTCCCTTGCCTCAGCCTCCTGAGTAGCTGGGATTACAGGCATGTGCCACCACGCCTGGCTAATTTTTGTATTTTTAGTAGAGACGGGGTTTCGCCATGTTGGCCAGTCTGGTCTTGAATTCCTAAGCTCGGGTGATCTGCCTGCCTTGGCCTCATAAAGTGCTGGGATTACAGGCGTGAGCCACCACACTTGGCCTGTTTTAAAGACTTTCTTGCAAGGAGACTTGACTAGTCCTCTGTAAGATTTCTCCTAATGTACTCACCCCCTGCACCTTCTGTTCTAACTCTCTAATCAGGCCTTAGCACTCCTTCCTGCTTTTAATACTGTATTCAAACAGAAACCCCCAACCCACATCACTCACTACCATACATGCGCAGTTGGTCTCTTTTCTCCCTTAGAATTCAGATACAGGCCAGGCGCGGTGGCTCATGCCTGTAATCCCAGCACTTTGGGAGGTCAAGGCGGGTGGATCACCTGAGGTCAGGAGTTCGAGACCAGCCTAGCCAACATGGCGAAACCCTGTCTCTACTAAAAAAAAAAAAAAATTAGCCGGACGTGGTGGCAGGCACCTGTAATCCCAGCTACTAGGGAGGCTGAGGCAGGAGAATCACTTAAACCCGGGAGGCGAGGTTGCAATGAGCCGAGATCGCACCACTGCACTCCAGCCTGGGCGACAGAGCAAGACTGTCTCAAAAAAAAAAAAGAATTCAGATCCAAAATGTAACTCGTACCAAATACACACTATTCCATTATTTCCCATATGTGTGTATTAATATATCTGATATCTGTCTCTTCTACGTGTTTCTCCATCTTAATGTGTGTGTGTGTGTGTGTGTGTGTGTGTGTGTGTGTGTGTGTATAGATATATATATACACAGTCTCCTCCACCAAACTGTGATTGTCCCATGGGTGTGTCAGCTGAAATCATTGACTACCTAATGATGCTTGCAGAAATGCTAGCCCTTTGTGGAAAAGATGTGATGGGGATTTTTAATAAACCCAGATACAATACTAGACAATGGCAATAAATCTTACTGCCAAGTTAGTTTGTACCAAATTAAGCGTGTAAGCCCATTGAAGCCATCATCTGGGATGATGCGCTCAGGCTCAGAAAACAGATCTTCTCCGTGGTGTGTCCTGGAAGTTAGGAGCTAGGATTAGCAGCATCACCTCTGACAGTCAGGCAGCCTGAGTACACAGGGGGTCAGCGGGCATAGGGCCTAAGAGCACCGTACAGAACAAGGAATTGTTATCATTTCCATTACTTGTAGGCTGCATTGCTCTTGGCTCCTTAAATTGCTAGTTCTCCTAAATGTTGTCGTTTCCCCTCCCCTCACCCCAGAACTAGGTTAAAATGTGCATTTGTATTAACAAAAGCTCATGGAAGGAGATACAAAAGACAGGACACATGCTCTTTAAGGAAATATCCTCCCCCTTGTTCCACCCAAAGCCATCTAGGGATGGACTTAAGAAAACAAGACATCTGCATCAGCCTTTCCAGGGCTGAAGCAGAACCATCTCCCCTCACTTAACCTTGGCCATCACCAGTCAGCTTTTGATTTTCTCCACTGCAGTCCGGTAAGGCAGGAATAGTACATGGCCACACAGCTTAGAGACTGTCAGCCCAACTTGTCATACCACCTTTCCAAACACTTTTGCATTAGGAAGAGGCAGGTAGCTCCTAACTGGGTCATGCTGCCTAAAGCTGTATCTGTGCATCAGAGGCAGCTGTGGAGAAAAACTCCCAGGGCCACATTCGTTACATGTGCTTTTCGTTGGATTGCTGTTGAATACACTTTTTAAGTTGTCCCTAAAATTGTCGGTATGAGTTCCTAGGGAATACTCAGTGTCTTCCACTGTAGGGGGTAGTCAGATCCACGGCCAACCTATAATTAATGCTGGTGCCTCACAACTCCCAGTTATTCAATTATTCATTCATCCCTCACCAAAAGGACTTGAGTATTTCCCATGTGACTTTTCTTTAATCTAAACCCTTTCTCCTCAGGGTGACAGATTCATGTCATGGAGGAATTGATATTGTCCATATATGGAAGGGATCATGTGGACCCAGTGTGTATAGGGAAAGGGCACCAGCCAAAATTCGAGACCCAGCTCTGTTACCATCTAGCATTGTGACCCTGGGCAAATTATTTAACGTCACATTTCCTCTGAGGTATCTTCCAGTTCTAAGATTCTCTGATTCCAAGTGGACATTTGGGCTCTCATCACTTCAGAGCTCTTCTGTTTAACTATTGTGGTGAATAGATTTATGTATGTAGTTTCTGATATTATATCACACAAACTCAGGGTTTCTTTTTACTGTTGAAACAGCCAGTCATGAATCATGCTGGAGAGTAAATTGGGGACCTGACACAACTCGGATTCTGCCTGGACTTTGCAAAAAGCCAGATGGTGCCAGATTTTTGAGTACTAGTTGAGCCCACTTCTACAAATTCTCTCCCATCCCAATCTAATAGGAATCACCCAATCGCACTTAAACCCTTTGTTCAGGCAGCTGGGCCAGATTTGTACAAAAATACGTAGTATTTAGAAAGCTAGGCCTTCGCTGGGGTGCCTTCATGCTCCCTGTAGACATCTTTCAGATTGGGAGCTGGAATCCCAACCATCAGTCAGCATCATCAAATAGGGAGGCCAGAATTCCAGTACCAACAACTGGTCTGCATAAAAAAGTTGAGATCTGGGAGGAAAACTTGTTCTGCTTGCTGTGATTATGACTGGATTCAGAGATATTGGAAGCAAATATGAATGAACCAACTCTCAGGACCAGCTGTCAAGCACTTGGCTTGTAATCTGCCGTCATCCCACTCATCCCAGGTGCTCCTAGTTTGACAGCTCACCAGCTATTAAATGTTGGCTTCCTGCACGACTCTGATTCATACCCCAGGGGCCTATAATGAGGATCTTGTACCAGGAAAGGGGACCCCAGCTAGGCTGTTTGCTGGCTAACATCCCAGTGGTTTGGGCTACAATAACTTAGCAGCCCTAGTTCTTCCTCCTATGGTAGGAAGGACACCAGAGCCCTCTCCATGTGAGATGGAACATAATCTATAACTTTCTGTGAAGAGATGGCATCTGTAATGAGGCATTCTTGCTGGAGGCCTCCAGAAGTCCCTATTCTACAACCACTTAATACCAATTTAATGAGCCTCTCATTAGAAATTGTCAAGAGCTCTCACTGACATCCTTGAGTATTATTTAATTAATGGTTTATTTACAGGAAAGGGCACCATCTTCATGGGGAGAAGATGAGTACTTGAAATATCAAGACAATTGCAGAAGGCTGTGCCCTGAGAGAATGGAAGAACTGGGAAAGAGAAAAGGAAGTCAGAAGCTTAAGGTTGATGTGAAATGCAGAAAAAGGAATGGTTAACAGAAAGTGTTCATGTTTATCTAATACAGAACAGGTTCCGATCCCCTTCTCAGGACACATTTCTGTGGCAGCAAAGAGTAAAGCTGTAGGCAATCACAGTTTAAGCGCTTCCAGTTCCTTCTGATCTCATTCTGTTTTCACTGAGTAATCTTTTGAGGTTAATCTTCTGAGGTGAATGGGGTTTCCTTAGTAGCTTTCCTACTGAGAAGTATAATGACCAGCTGTCATCATTGTAGTTCTCTTAACAGTTACTATTCTTATTGCAAATTGGCCTGATTTCTGTTCCTTCTGTGGACAGTTTAGTTAGCAGGAATAAGTTTTTCCTGAGCCAAATCAAGTATCTAGATTTGTGAGGCTAAATTTCTAAACTCTAGAGCGCTATAGTCTTGTAGATTTCCCAACACACATCTCATGAATATCCACCACAATATCTTATACTTCAGTCTTTTAGTACCAAAGAATGTTAATTTCCTCTTCACCCTAACTCAGATCCTGGGAGAAAAGATGGGATATTTCCACCCCAACCTCACCCTCAGATTCTAGATGACACCAATAAACCCTTCTTTGTGCTAGTAAGCCGCCTCAGCAGTTGTCTGGTGGCATCCCTCCACTTGAACATGAGAAAATTAAATCTAAAGAGATCAAGTGACTCCATCCGGGTCACACAGCACGTTGGTGGTGGGGCCAGAACTGGAGCCCAGGTCCCGTTACTCCAAGCCTTGTTTTCTACCGCATTACCTTGCTCCTCTGCATTGCTCCAGTGTTTGCATCTGCTGATGTTGGGGGCACTGTGGTGATGTATTAATTAATTCTTGCATTGCTATAAAGAACTACCTGAGACTGGGTAATTTATAAAGAAAAGAGGCTTAATTGGCTCACAGTTCCACAGGCTGTAAAGGAAGCATGGCTGAGGAGGCCTCAGGAAACTTACAATCCTGGTGAAAGGCGAAGAGGAAGGAGGCACGTCTCACATGGCCAGAGCAGGAGGAAGAGAGAGAGGTGGGAGGTGCCACACACTTAACCAGATCTCATGAGAACTCGCTTACTATCATGAGAACAGCAAGGGGGAAATCTGCCCCCATGATCCAGTAACCTCCTACCAGGCCCCTCCTCCAACACTGGGGATTACCATTTGTTTTTGGATTTTCAGGGTTTTTTTGTTTTTGTTTTGCTTTTGTGAGACAGAGTCCCGCTCTGTAACCGAGGCTGGAGTGCAGTGGCACAGTCTTGGCTCACTGCAACCTCCGCCTCCCAGGTTCAAGTGATTCTCATGTCTCAGCCTCCTGAGTAGCTTGGACTATAGGTGCGCACCACCACGCCCAGCTAATTTTTGTATTTATTTTAGTAGAGACAGGGTTTCACCATGTTGGCCAGGCTGGTCTCGAACTCCTGACCTCAGGTGATCCATCAGCCTTGGCCTCCCAAAGTGCTGGGATTACAGGTGTAAGCCACCACGCCTGGCCTGGGAATTACAATTTGACATGAGATTTGGGTGGGGGCACAAATCTAAACCGTATCGGGTAAATATATGGAGGTGATAGAGGCAAAGTGAAAGATCAAATGCAAAAAATGACAAGATGGGCTGATAATAGGAACTGAAATTATAGGAATGCGATAAACAAGGCACAGTGGTTCTAGTTTAAGTTCACTTGGCTTCTGGATGAATCTAATGTGATGATTATAGAGAGCTCTTCATTACCAGCATAAATGGAAATTAATCCTTTTCTTTCCCTCATATTTTACCTCACTTAAGAATGTGTCCAGAAGCAATAACATGATTTATAGGTGTAGCTAGACCAGGTTTGAGGATAAATGAGAGAGAAGGCAGTGGAAATTGCCTCGTCCTTCCTGTCTTGTCTTTCATGAGAACCCAATTCTAACATAATTGCTAGTGTTTGACGGTGAATGTCTGGGAAAGAGAAAACGGCAAGAGAAAAGTGATTTTTTGCTGAGGTCTAAAAATATATATTTTTTAAAAGAAAGATATGCATCCTGAACTATTGGCCGGGCCCGCTGAGTGTGGTGGCTCACCCCTGTAATCCCAGCACTTTGAGAGGCCGAGGTGGGCAGATCACCTGAGGTCAGGAGTTCAAGACCACCCTGGCCAACATGGTGAAACCCCATCTCTACTAAAAATATAAAAATTAGCCAGGCGTGATGGCAGGCACCAGTAGTCCCAGCTACTTGGGAGGCTGAAGCAGGAGAATTGTTTGAACCCGGAAGGCAGTGGTTGCAGTGAGCCGAGATCGTGCCACTGCACTCCAGTCTGGCGGACAGAGTAAGACTCTGTCTCAAAAAAAAAAAGAAAGATACGCATCCTGAACTGTTAAGACAAGGGCCAGTGCATATACCAATGGGCTCAGTTGGAAGAAGTCTGGTGCAAAACCAGTAGGGAGGAGGGACAGAGTTGGGCAGGGAGGGCTCACTGTGCAGGCACTTAGCTGTCATTCACCCACCAAGGCGTGAAGCCTTAGTGTACTCACACCACAGACAAGCCTCCTTGTTCCCACCACCCATTTATATATTTCTATAAATATATATATAAATATAAAAATATATATGGCATAAAATGTGCCATTATAACCATTTTTAAATATACAAGTCAGTGGAATTACATTAATTACATTCACAATGTTGTACAACCATCATCACTATTTTCAAAATTTTTCCATCACCCCAGACAGAAATTCTGTATACATAAAGCAGTAACTCCCCATTCCCCTCAGCCCACAATAACCTCTAATCTACTTTCTGTCTATAAATTGAATATCAGGCACTTTTTATTTTTTGAGACAGTGTCTCACTCTGTTACATAGAGTGTTACTCCAGTACAGTGGCGCCATCTCAGCTCATTGAAACCTCTGCCTCCTGGGCTCAAGCTATCCTCTCACCTCAGCCTCCCAAGTAGCTGGTGCACACCACCATGCCGGGCTAATTTTTTGTATTTTTTGTAGAGACAGGGTTTCGCCATGTTGCCTCGGAATCCCAAAGTGCTGGGATTACAGGTATGAGCCACCGCGCCTGGCCAGCCTAGGCATTCTTAATTAACTATATATACCTCCTAAACTGTAGCAGCAGTAGAAAAGAACAGAACTTGAGGTGAAAAGGAGGGAGCTTATGAATAAAAACTCAATTATCATTTTTTCTTTTTTTTTTTGAAACGGAGTCTCACTCTCCCAGGCTGGAGAGCAGTGGCGTGATCTCAGCTCACTGCAACCTCCGCCTCTCGGGTTCAAGCAATTCTCTGCCTCAGCCTCCCAAGTAGCTGGGATTACAGGCACCGGCTAATTTTTTGTATTTTTAGTAGAGACAGGGTTTCACCATCTTGGCCAGGCTGGTCTTGAAGTTCTGGCCTCAGGTGATCCACCCTCCTCGGCCTCCCAAAGTGCTGGAATTACAGGCATGAGCCACTGTGGCCAGCCTAACTTATCATTTTCTTAAATGTGACTTAAATGCAGTTGAAAACTTGTATTATGACTGAGTCGTTTTATCCCCTGAATCAGAGAAAGCAAAATGAAAATCCCTCTGCTGTGCTAATGCACCTCTTTCTTTTTTCAGTGACCATGCAGCAGGTGGCCAGGACAGTGGCTAAAGTGGAGCTCTCAGACCACGTGTGTGATGTGGTGTTTGCACTCTTTGACTGTGATGGTGAGTGGGGCCCTCTGGAGCCCGGAGGGGAAACAGCCTAGCTGCCCTTAGAGGCCCTTGTGTATAATGGAGCCTTGCGGACAGCATCTGTGTACCAGCCCATCCTCTTCAAGCTACCCACCTTTCTCACATTAGCACCTCAGCCCTTGGCATGATGATACTGAGAAATCGAACCCCTGGCCCTGGCTTCTGTTTTCCATTTCTTCTTCTTATAATTCCAATATGCCTATAGGCCTAAATTAATTTATGACCATAAGCATCTTAAAAATGGAAACAAAAATGTCAGACTCAACTTGCTACTTAGCGGATACGGAGCACTCAGGTATCTGAGTGTCTTTAGAAAGAAGGCAGTACTGATCTCTCCACCACCCAGGGCACATTCCAGCCAGTTGCATTCCATCTCCATAGCATTCCAGCTCCACACAGTGGTCTGTTGTGTCTGTGGCCACTCTGCTCTGTCATTTAGCCCATTCAAGAGATCTGGTTCTGGTTTGACCTTGGCATTATTTTTTAGGTATGGTAGCTGATATACTAATAACAACAATAACAACGGATGCTTACACTTTTTCAATGCTTACTATGAGCCAGAAAGTTAATCTGCTCATTTAATCTTCTGACCTAGGTATTGTTATTGACCACTTTTTACTGATGAGAAAGCTGAGACTCAGAGAGGTTAAGTAGATTTCCTAAGGTCACAAAGATAATAGTATTTGGGAGGCTGAGGCAGGCGGATCACCTGAGGTCAGGAGCTCAAGACCAGCCTGGCCAACATGGTGAAACCCCGTCTCTATTAAAAATACAAAAATTAGCCAGGCACAGTGGTGCGTGCCTGAAATCCCAGCTACTCGAGAGGCTGAGGCAAGAGAATCACTTGAACCCGGGAGGCAGCAGGGAGCAGAGATCGTGCCACAACACTCCAGCCTGGGCGACAGAGCGAGACTCTATCTCAAAAAAAAAAAAAAAAAAAAAAAAAAGATAATAGTAGATGGCAAAACCAGGATTTGAACTAAAACTGTACTGCCCCCTCTGTTTTATTTACTATATTACCACCCTCTCTTACCCCACAGCCAGTATTTGTTGTTCATCATCCTCCAGAAAGCTGGGCTAATGGAATTCAAGAGCCTGCTCAAAAGCTCCAGCCTATGGAGCTTCCCTTTTGGTCCCAGCATAAGAATCACTTCTGGGCTTTTTTATTCCTTAACATGGTTCCCTGAGCTTTTTAAGGGTAGTTGCAAGTCCTTTTCACCTTCCTACCCCCCATAGGACCTTGGATAGTACTTCTCACATAATAGGTGTTCATTAACTTGAATTATTTATGTTATTAAGTTGAACTTGAGTTATTTAAATCTCTAGCCTTGGCCTGGCGTGGTGGCTCATACCTGTAATCCCAGCACTTTAGGAGGCTAAGGCAGGAAGATGGTTTGAGCCCAGGAGTTTGAGACCAGCCTGGGCAATATAGTAAGACCATGTCTCTACAAAAAATTTTAAAAATTAGCCAGGCATGGTAGCACATGTGTGCCTATAGTCCCAGCTACTCAGGAGGCTGAAGTGAGAGGATCGCTTGAAGCGGGGAAGTCAAGACTGCAGTGAGCCATGATCACACCACTGCACTACAGCCTGGGTGACAGAGTGAGACCCTGTCTCAAAAAGTACAATTAAATAAATAAAATAAATCTCCAGCCTATACCTACAAAACCAAGGTTGAACTCAAAGGAAGCCCTAGGGCTAGGTTAAAGAGATGGCCTCACTCTCAGGTAGGGGTGGGTTTATTCTCTAGAGCTGCCCTGTCCACAGTATGATACCACCAAGGCACATGTGGCTATTAGCTACATTTAAATTTAAACTAGCTAGTGGCTACTGTATTGAATAGCACAAATATAAAACATTTCCCACATCGCAGAGAGTTCTAATGCACAGCAGTGCTGTAGACATATATTAACTTTCTCCAGATTTTTGTTTTCACTCCAATCACTTCTAGGTGGTTTAAATTTTTTCCAAAAAACATTTATTTTTATTATTTTTATAATTTTTGAAGCCAATATCCAAGACCTGGTCTGTGAAGTAAATATGGGAATAAATGCAACTAGCTTCTCAAGTCCCCCCTTTTCCCTAGAAGTCCTGGAAAATGATGTTTGATTTTCTAGCTTTTTAGAAAGAGGTTCTGTCATTATCTACTTAAATCACCTTTGGAAAATTATTTAACATCTCTGAGATTTATTTTCTTAATCTAGAAAGAAAAAGTATACTTAACAAAAAGCCGTTGTTATTTTTACCACTGCAAGATCTTAGGTCAAAATGCCAAAGGAAAGCCTGTAGAGTGGCTCACAACTGTAATCCCAGCAACTTGGGAGGCTGAGATGGGAAGATCACTTGAGGCCAGGAGTTCAAGACCAGCTTAGGCAACATAGCGAGATCCCATCGCTACAAAAAATAAGTTTAGCCAAGGTGTGGTAGTGTGTGCATGTAGTTCTAGCTACTGGAAAGCTGAGGTGTGAGGATCACTTGAGCCCAGGAGTTTGAGACTGTAGTGAGGTATGATCCTAGCGCTGCACTCCAGCTTGGGCAACAGAGCAAGACCTCATCTCAAAAAAAAAAAAAAAAATGAACAAACAAAATAAAGTGCCAGGGGATGGAGAATTCGATTTTCAAATAGACTTCTTCATCACAGATTTTAGAATTGAACTCACAAATCACACATGCATGCAAATAACATACAGTTATAGACCTGGTTCACAGTAACAAAATCCACTCATAGTGGTCATGTGGTCCTTACGGAAGCAGAAGGTAAACCCATAGTAGTTTGAATGAAGTGACTTCATATTTTTTCATTTTCAAGCTTCTTTTTCTTTTTTCTTTTTTTTTTTTTTTTGAGGCTCACTCTTGTTGCCCAGGCTGGAGTGCAACAGCAACAGCACGATCTTGGTTCACTGCACCCTCTGCCTCCTGGGGTCAAGCTCTTGTTGCCCAGGCTGGAGTGCAATGGCATGATCTCGGCTCACTGCAGCCTCTGCCTCCTGGGTTCAAGTGATTCTCCTGCCTCAGCCTCCCGAGTAGCTGGGATCACAGGCGCCCACCATCACACCCGGTTAATTTTTTTTGTATTTTTAGTAGAGACAGGGTTTCACCCTGTTGGCCAGGCTGGTCTTGAACTCCTGACCTCAGGTGATCCACCTGCCTCAGCCTCCCAAAGTGCTGGGATTACAGGCATGAGCCACCACACCTGGCCTCAAGCTTCTTTTTATACAAAGTGTAAGAATCCTGTTTAGAACTTTCTGTTCTCTTAATTACATTTTTTTTTAAATTTGTTTTTGTTTTTTTAGAGAGAGGTCTCACTATGTTTTCTAGGCTGGCCTCAAACTCCTGACTCAAGTAGTCCTCCCTTCTTGGCCTCCCAAAATGGTGGGGTTATAGGCGTGAGCCACCACACCCGCTCTGTCACCAGGCAGGAGTGTGGTGGTGCGATCATAGCTCACTGTAACCTCAAACTCCTGAGTTCAAGTGATCCCCTCACCTCAACCTCTTGAGTAGCTTCAGAGGCACATGCCACCACACCTAGCTAATTTTTTTGAATTTTTTCGTAGAGAAAGAGTCTTGCGATGTTGCCCAGGCTCGTCTCAAACTTCTGGCCTAAAGCTGTCCTCTTGCTTTGACCTCCTGAGTTGCTGAGATTACAAGCATGAGCCACCACACCTGGCCTACATTTATTTTTTTCTTTTTTTTTTTTTTCGAGACAGCATCTTGCTCTGTTGCCCAGGCTGGAGTGCGGGGGCATAATGTTGGCTCACTGCAACTCCCGCCTTTCAGACTCAAGCAATTCTCCCACTTCAGCCTCCAAAGTAGCTGGGCCTACAGGCAGGCACCACCATGCTCAGCTTATTTTTTAACTTTTTGTAGAGACAGGGTCTCACTATATTGCTCATGCTGGTCTTGAACTCCTGGGCTCAAATGATACTCCCACCTCAACCTCCCAAAGTGCTGAGATTACAGGTGTGAGCCACTATGCCCCACCTTGGCCTATATATATATATTTTTTTCTTTGAGATGGAGTTTCACTCTTGTTGCTCAGGCTGGAGTGCAATGGCACAGTCATGGTTCACGGCAACCTCTGCCTCCCGGGGTCAAGCAATTCTCCTGCTTCAGCCTCCCAAGTAGGTGGGATTACAGGTGCCCACCACCACGCCTGGCTAATTTTTCATATTTTTAGTAGAGATGGGGTTTCACCATGTTGGCCAGGCTGGTCTCGAACTTCTGACCTCAGGTTCTCCACCCGTCTTGGCCTCCCAAAGTGCTGGGATTACAGGCGTGAGGCACCGTGCCTGGCCTCGGCCTACATTCTTGATAAGCCAAATTATTCATTACTTTTCAGCCAAGCAAGGCTTTTTTTTTTTTTTTTTTTGAGACGGAGTCTCGCTGTGTTGCCCAGGCTGGAGTGCAGTGGTGCGATCTCGGCTCACTGCAAGCTCCACCTCCCAAGTTCACGCCATTCTCCTGCCTCAGCCTCCCGAGTAGCTGGGACTACAGGCACCCGCCACCACGCCCAGCTATTTTTTTTTGTATTTTTAGTAGAGACGAGGTTTCACCGTGTTAGCCAGGATGGTCTCAATCTCCGGACCTCATGATCCGCCCGTCTCGGCCTCCCAAAGTGCTGGGATTATAGGCGTGAGCCACTGCACCCAGCCCAAGCAAGGCTATTTTTTAACTTTTTATTATATTGCAATATAATATATGGAAAAGTACAATTTCTTTTTTTTTGAGACAGAGTCTGACTCTGTCACCCAGGCTGGAGTGCAGTGACGCCATCTCTGCTCACTGCAACCTCCATCTCCCAGATTCAAATGATTCTCATGCCTCAACCTCCCAAGTAGCTGGAATTACAGGCGCCCACCACCATGCCCAGCTAATTTTTTGTATTTTTAGTAGAGACAGGGTTTACCACGTTGGCCAGGCTGGTCTTGAACTCCGGGCCTTAAGCAATCTGCCCGCCTCGGCCTCCCAAAGTGCTGTGATTACAAGCGTGACTCACTGTGCCCAGCCTAAAGTACAAATATCTTAAGTGTACAGCTTGGTAAATTTTTAAAAAGCTGAACACACTTGTATAACCAGCATTATTTAGAAACATCACATTACCAGGACTATAGAGCCCTACTTGGTACCTCCAGTCACTTCCTTCCCCAAGAGTCACCACTTTTCTGACTTCTAGTAACACAGTTTTACCTTTGTACTTTATATAAATAAGCCAAGTGTTTTTTTGTTTTGGTTTTGGGTTTTGTTTTGTTGGGTTTGGTTTTGGGTTTTGTCTTGCTGTGGGGGGTTTCCTGTCTCTGAGGATGCCCATACTCTCTTCAGCCAGAAAACATGAGCCAGTTTAGGTTTTGGGTACTCTACAGAAGTAAACCATTTATTCCTTCTTACCACACTCTTCCCAGACCAATCATGAGTAGAGGTAGGTTTGTGGGTTTCCTGCTATCTTATCACCACCAGTAATGGGTGTCATTATTTTAATCAACAGGCCCCTGGGTGTCTTGCAAAGGGTGACTGTACCTCTGCTATTACAGTGGTTACTGTTCTGTGTGGCTTGGGTGGTTTCTAATTAAAACAGATGCTCTTGGCCAGGCGCAGTGTCTCACGCCTGTAATCCAGCACTTTGGGAGGCCAAGGTGGGCGGATCATGAGGTCAGGAGATTGAGACCATCCTGGCTAACACGGTGAAACCCATCTCTACTAAAAATACAAAAAAAATTAGCTGGGCATGATGGCGGGTGCCTGTGGTCCCAGCTACTTGGGAGGCTGAGCAGAGAATGGCATGAACCTGGAGGGGTACTTGCAGTGATCCGAGATCGCACCACTGCACTCCAGCCTGGGTGACAGAGTGAGACTCCGTCTCAAAAAAATATATATGTACAAAAATTAGCCGGGCATGGTGGCATGCGCCTCTAGTTGCAGCTACTCAGGAGGCTGAGGCAGGAGAATCGCTTGAACCTGGGAGGCGGAGGTTGCAGTGAGCTGAGATCGCGCCACTGCACTCCAGCCTGGGCAACAGAGCAAGACTCCGTCTCAAAACAAACAAACAACAACAACAACAAAAAAAAAAACAGATGCTCTCCAAAGTTTCTTCCAGCCCTCTGACACTGAAGAGGGTGGATTAGGAAACCATGAGAAAATGGGCTCAATCCAAAGCCAAAGTTTGATTTTGGTTTTCACCACGAAACCCCCTCACCATCTCTCCATTACAGCAGAGAGACTATTGCAGCAGTCTCCTAACTGACCCCAATATTCCAGGTGTGCCGCCTTCCAATCCATCCTCACACAACCAGCCAGAAAAATCTGTCCAAAATGGAAATCTGCCTGCTTCTTACTCCCCTGCTTCCAGTTTTTTTCTGATGTTCCATTGCCTGGAAGAGAAAGTGCCAGACCTTTAGGAGCAATACAGACCCTGGGGGGACCTGTCTCCTGCCCACCTCTTTTTTTTTTTTTTTTTTCCAAGAGACATGGTCTCACTGTGTCACCCAGGCTGGAGTGCAGTGGTCATCATAGCACACTGCAGCCTTGAGCTCCTGGTGATTGCCGCAATCACCGGGTGGTAATCAAGCGATCTTCCTGCCTTAGCCTCCCAAGTAGCTGGGACTACAGGTGTCCACCACCATGCCCAGTTAATTTGAAAAAAATTTTTAGAGACAGGGTCTCGCTATATTGTCTAGGCTGGTCTTAAACTCTTGACCTCAAGAGATCCTCCTGCCTCAGCCTCCCAAGTAGCTAGGAAATCAAGCACAAGCCACCACACTCAGCTCCCTGCCTTCCTCCTTAGTTTACTTCCCATGCACCTGCTTCTTTAGTGTCCAGCAATACCTAACTGCCTACTTGCAGTTCCCTGGCAGCCACGCTGTATCCTGCCTGTACTCATGCTTATGCTGCTTCTCCTCCCTGGAATGCCTCCCTCATCTCCCCTTAACTTGGCCAATTGCTGCTAATCCTGTGAGATTCTACTCAGGAGTCACTTCCAGGAAGCCTTTACTATCTGTATTTGCATTACCCTCAGCCAGGGTGGGAGATTCTTCCTCTGTGCCCCCCATAGCATCCTCCGTTTACCCCACACTGTGGTATAATAATTTGTCTCTCCTACAGCCTGGAAGTATTTCCAGGGACAAAGCACAAAGCTCATTTATCTCCTTGTTCTAAACACCTGGCACAAGACCTGGCATATACTGTATTTTCATTCAACTTTTGTCACACTACACTGAACTGTCACTGAGTTGCAGTTGGAAATATCGAGGAAGGAATAAACTAATGAATTCTAGGATAAGAGAATTGAGTTTGGCTGTGGAGAATGTCTGGGCTTTGAAATCCACTTTGTGTGGACAATGGAATTATATCAGTGGTGTTGTTCCAAGGCCAACACTTATCCCTGTTGTTTTTGCCTCTTCCTCTAGGCAATGGCGAACTGAGCAATAAGGAATTTGTTTCCATCATGAAGCAACGGCTGATGAGAGGCCTGGAAAAGCCCAAAGACATGGGTTTCACTCGCCTCATGCAGGCCATGTGGAAATGTGCACAGGAAACTGCCTGGGACTTCGCTTTACCCAAACAGTAACCCCACACTGCAAGAGGGGACCCCTCCACCCCCAGTACCCTGGACCCCCTCCGCAGAGTCTCGGCAGAGCCCTTTGTGCTGCTGCTTCTGGAAGTAGTCCCCCTTCCTCCCGGGATGACCTCAGGACTCTGTCGGTTTCCCCTCTTTACCCTTCCCCGTCCCCGTGTTCTGCTGGGCTCTGATTCTGCCCAATGAGTATCCCCATAGGTTCTCAAAAACATGAACAAGTCTGTAAAGCTCAGACATTTGTCAGCCTCAACAGCACCACCCATTCAAGCATCCTGTGGATAAAGAATTCAGGGAACCATCCACACACCTGCCAACCCTGGGAAGCATCCAGTTCTCAAATCGTTTTTGCTATGGATTTATACTAACAAGAACATTCCTTGACTTCCCTCCTGCTGGTGTTTTAAAGCCACAAGTAGGGAAGATATCTGGCAGGCAGAAAGAAGTCTGTGATGATAAACAATGATGAGGATGACCTAGGCACCCTACGCTAGTGTGAGAAGCCTGCGCCCCAGGAAGGATCTGTGTTAGTCCCTGGGATGGCTCCAAGGCCTGCTCTAGGAAGGCAGCATGCTCAGTGGGAACACAGCAAGATTCAGAATTTAAAGTAGTTGCTTCATGGCTCTGTGCACTCCCTTTTCTTCCTCGCAGCCTCCCTAAGATGACTCCAGTGTGACCCTGTGCTTAGTGAGCAATAGTGATTGAGCTCATGTTCCCTGCAAGTGCCATTTCCTCTCCAGGATGGGCCTCTAAAGCTGAGGCCTGGCTCAGAGCCTGTTTGCCCTCTGTCTTAAACAATTGTAAATATCACTTAAATTATAACCATTTGCAATAAACATCCCCAAAGTTCCCTGTCTCCTTTATTTTAGGGTCCTCTAGGCCCTTTTCATTTTATGTCCCCACTGGATTTGAGATCTTGCTGGAAGCAGACCTGTTTTCTTTCTACCAGAGTCTGGTTCTTTCTGATGAAGAGCAGCTTTAGGCACAGACAAAAAGTGAGGGCTTTTGGAGGTTAGTGGTGGCATTGTCCCCGCACAGTTTGGTTAGCATTTCATTCTGGGCCAAGGTACACAGTCCTTGCTTATTCATGCCCCACAGTAAAGAACTAAGATGGGGAGTATGTGAGGAATCATCTAGTATGGTGGACCTAAGTTGTGTGGGGTTTTTTGGTTTTGCTTTTGTTTTGAGACAGGGTCTCGCTCTGCAACCCAGGCTGGAATGCAGTGGCGCAATCCTGGCTCACCACAACCTCTGCCTCCCAGGCTCAAGCCATCCTCCCACCTCGGCCTCCTGAGCAGCTGGGACTATAGGTGCACGCGACCACACCTGGCTAATTTTTGTATTTTTTGTAGAGACGAGTTTTGCCACGTTACCCTATGCATTTCACCATAAGGACCTAAGTTTTAAGAACCATAACAACCGGCCTGGCACAGTGGCTCATGCCTGTAATCCCAGCACTTGGGGAGGCTGAGGCTGGCAGATCATGAGGTCAGGAGTTTAAGACCAGCCTGACCAACATGGTAAAACCCTGTCTCTACTAAAAAGCCAGGCATGGTGGCATGTGCCTGTAATCCCAGCTACTCAGGAGGCTGAGGCAGGAGAATCACTTGGACCTGGGAGGCGGAGGTTGCAGTGAGCCAAGATCGCGCCATTGCACTCCAGCCTGGCGACAGAGTGAGACTCTGCCTCAAAAAAAAAAAAAAAAAAAAAAAGAACCATAACAACCAGTGTTGTATGGTGGACCCAATTTTGCCACTAACTCAGTGTGGTCTTGAGCAAGTCATTTCCCACCTGTTTCCTCATCTATAAAATGACAGCTAGGGATGGGCTAAAGGAGCCTTGAGGTTTCTTCCAGGTCCCAAAGCCTCTGCTTCAGCTTTCCTCCAAAATGCCTGCAGCCCCCAGAACCTCCAGGTAGCGCTTCCTGGCATGTCTCCTTGGCACGGCCAACATCATAGAACCACCATACCGAAAACTCGGCCCTTCCTGTGAGGCGGCTGCTCTGAATGTGTTAGTAGGGAGTGCTTGTCAGCCAGAGAAGAACAGAGGCCTGGCTCTGCACCTGTGGCTCCACTGGGAAGGTACTAACCCCAGCATTTACAGAGCAGTTTAAGAACCTCCTTTTTTTTTTTTTTTTTTTTTTTTGAGACAGAGTCTTGCTCACTCTGTTACCAAGGCACGATCTTGACTCACTCACTGCAACCTCTGCCTCCTAAATTCAAGTGATTCTCCTGCCTCGGCCTCCTGAGTAGCTAGGACTACCACTGTGCACCACCACACCCGGCTAACTTTTGTATTTTTAGGAGAGATAGGGTTTCACCATGTTGGCCAAGCTGGTCTCAAAACTCCTGACCTCAAGTGTTCTGCCCACCTCGGCCTCCCAAAGTGCTGGGATTACACGTGTGAGCCACCACACCAGGCCACAACCTCACTTTTAACATCCTTTCTGGGATATCAGATTATCTCTCAAAGGAGTTGGCCACTCTCCTATCTTATCATCTGTCTGCCACCTTTCCCCTCTTGGGGTGTCCCTGGTATCAAAGCAAAGGCTTTGCTCTTCTCATTGCTCCAGGCCTGGGGCATAAGCAAAATGTGAGCTTTTCTTAAATTTGTCCCCGAATCCTAAAATCACTCTTTCCTTTGACCCTCCTTTCTCCAGCCTGAAAGAGGAGTCTCATTCACGGCCTTTGTGGGACATTCATTTCCCTACAAGAGATCTGCTGATTGGCCTGGGCTCGCTAAAGCTGAAAGCTGGAGCATGGCAGGAGAGGGTCAGGATCTCACATGCAACATCTTGAAACCCAGGGTCAAGGGTACCTATCACAGGTACATGGAATTCCAAATGAACTCCACCAGCTCCTAGGAGTGCCTGAGGAAGCAGAGGGTGGTCCAGGTGCTCAAGAAGACATGACAGCCGCACTTTGGCACAATAGGTTAAATGTGCAGGTGAGAGGTACAAGCTAAGACCCAGAAGAGACCAAGGTCCCCCAAGGAAAAAGTCCTCAGGCAAGGTGACATGTGAGCAGCCTGAGACGATTTTAGTAGGCAGAGTTTTTGATGAGCTGGGGAGCATATGGGAACACACAGGGTTGATTTCTGCTTCGGTTTTTATTCAGATTGTTTCTTCTAACCTAGATAGAATAAGCCTCCCCTCCTCCAAGACTCAGCTCATCCAGCATGGTGGCTCACATCTGTAATCCCAGCACTATAGGAGGCCGAGGTGGGAGGATCGCTTGAGCCCAGGAATTTGAGGCGACACAGCAAAACCCCATCTCTACTAAAGATTATAAAAATTGGCCGAGTGTGGTGGCACACACCTGTAGTCCCAGCGGCTGAGGTGGGAGGATCACTTGAACCTGGAGGCAGAAGTTGCAGTGAGCTGAAATCACACCACTGCACTCCAGCTTGGGCGACAGAGTGAGACCCTGTCTCAAAAACAAAGAATGTGAGTACACAATCGTTAAGTGCCCCACCTAGTTTTAGTTCTGGCTAGAGCATATGCTCTATAACCCTGTTGGACTCTTAAGGCAAAGGAGAGGTCCAGGCAATGACTGCATCCAGGCAAGGAAGCAGGCACGGCAGCTTGGGAGCCAGGAGTCAAGCCCCGTGGCGAGGGCATCTGACTGCAAGCCTTAGCACAGCCCAAGCAGGGTTATGTGCTCTCTCAAGAAACGGAACAGGAAGGAGGAGGAGACAGGGTCTGGTTTAGCTTTCAGGCTTCAAGTGCCACCTGCTGGCAAGAAGGCTCCGTGCAAGGGCTCATTGGCCCAGAGCCAGAGAAGGGGAGGCTGCGCGATTCCAGCCTAGACCCAGCCCTACTCCAGAAAATAGGCCTCCCCAGGGACCTGAGTCGCATGGAGTGGAGTGGAATGAACGGCCAGAGACGGATCATAACCATAAAGAGTGACACTGTTGGGAGGCCGAGGTGGGCAAATCACAAGGTCAGGAGATCGGGACCATCCTGGCTAGCACAGATTAGCACAGACTCTACTAAACTCTACTAAAAATACAACAAAAATTTGCCGGGCATGGTGGCACATGCCTGTAATCCCAGCTACTCGGGAGGCTGAGTCAGGAGAATTGCTTGAACCCGGGAGGTGGAGGTTGCAGTGAACCGAGATCACGCCACTGCATTCCAGCCTGGCGACAGAGCAATCTCAAAAAAAGAAAAAAGAGTGATACTAGGGATCTGAATGTAATTGCGCAAAGGAAAAGAGCTATTTATGCCCATGATGTATTGTTTGTTCTCTGTGTCCTAAGAATGGGAATTCTTCCTAGGAATTAAGAAGGTATAATTCACTCTCTTCATTCTACAACTCTACTGATCGCCTACCATGGACCCAAGCACTAAGCAAGGTTTTCAAGGAGTTTGCATTCTAGTGAGGAAAACAGAAAATAAGCCATAAAGTTAAGTACAGGCTGCTACAAGAACACTTAGAAGAGCAGGAGCCAGGCGCAGTGGCTCACACCTATAACCCCAGCACTTTGGGAGGCCAAGGCGGGCAGATCACCTGAGGTCAGGAATTCAAGACCAGCCTGGGCAACACAGTGAGACCCCTGTCTCTAAACAAAAAAAAAAAAAAAAATTAGCCAGGCATGGTGGCACACGCCTGTAGTCCCAGCTACTCAGGAGGCTAAGACAGGAAGATTGCTTGAGCCAAGGAGGTTGAGGCTGCAGTGAGCCAAGATTACACCACTGCACACCAGCCAGGGTGACAGAGCAAGACCCTGTCTCAAAGGCCATCTAATGCAGACTTGGGAGTTCAAGGCAGGCTTGCAGAGGAAGTGGCTTGGTTTTGTTTATTTAAAAAAGTGGACGGGCGCGGTGGCTCACGCCTGTAATCCCAGCACTTTGGGAGGCTGAGGCGGGCAGATCACAAGGTCAAGAGATCGAGACCATCCTGGCCAACATGGTGAAACCCCGTCTGTACTAAAAATTAGCCAGGTATGGTGGCATGCGCCTGTAGTCTCAGCTACTCAGGAGGCTGAGGCAGGAGAAGTGCTTGAACCTGGGAGGCAGAGGTTGCAGTGAGCCAAGATTGTGCCACTGCACTCCAGCCTGGCGACAGAGTGAGACTCCATCTCAAAAAAAAAAAAAAAGTAATAATACTATGAACTTTATACCAATAAATTTGAAATTGATTGTTTCCTAGAAAATATAATTTACCAAAAAAACACAAGGCAACAAAATCTAAACAGACTTAATAAATTGAATCAGTAGTTAGAAATCTACTTACAACAAAAAGTACCAAACCCAGATGGCTTTATATGAGGGAGAAAAAAAAAAAAACGGATCAGATTCTGTAGGGCCCTATAATCCCCAATGAGGAGTTTGGACTTTTATCTTAATGATAATTAGAAGCCACCGAAGGGCTTTAAGCAGGAAAATGACATAATGAGCTTTGATTTTTAAAATGATGGCTTTGCCTGCATCCAGGTTGGCATGTGATCCAGGCTGGAGATTTATAATCAGTTTTAAAATGCTGAAAGCGGCTAGGTTTGGTGGCTCATGTCTGTAATCCCAGCACTTTGGGAGGCTAAGGCGGGCGGATCACCTGAGGTCAGGAGTTCAAAACCAGCCTGGCCAACATAGCGAAACCCCGTCTCTACTAAAAATACAAAAATTAGCCAGGCATCGTGGCGGGAGCCTGTAATCCCAGCTACTTGGGAGGGTGAGACAGAAGAATTGCTTGAACTCGGAAGGCGGAGATTGCAGTGAGCCGAGATTGCGCCACTGCACTCCAGCCTGGGTGACAGAGCGAGACTCCATCTCAAAAAGAAACCCCAAAACCTGGGTTCCTTCAATTTCAAGGTCAACTGACCATGAACACATGAAATATCCAGATCATTTTCCCAACTGTAAAATATTAATACCAGCTCCATCTCTTCCCCCAAGGGAAACTGGAAATAGAAATCATCAAAGTGCAAGGACTTTAACCAAAAAGCCTGTACTTGATGGGATATCCAGGAGACAGACCAGGGTCAGTACAGAGGGCTGTGGTTGGCCTGTGCCCTTATCTCTCCAGTGTCCAGCCTCTGGCTCTCCCTAGGTGTAGAAGGCTTCTCCAGGGAGGAGGAGAGAGCAAGGGACTAAAGTGGGGGTCCAGAGGTGCAGTGGGGGAATATTCACATGTTCATTCAACAAATAATTTATTGAAGCTCAAAGTGAAAATCCAATTACCTATCAGTTATTCAGTCTTGGGTGAATTATTTTCATCATCTTCAATGTGAGGTTTACCTTGGTTGTTTTTTTGTTTACAGTTTTTAATACAGTTTTTAAACAGGTAAACATCCACATAGTTCCAGAATCAAATATTGGGAATCCACCGGTATTTGATTCCAGAATCATCCACTGAGTGCGGAGGCTCATGTCTGTTATCCCAGCATTTCTGGAGATCAAGGAGGAAGGATCGCTTGAGCTCACGAGTTCAAGACCAGCCTGGGCAACATGACAAAACCCCATCTCTACTAAAAATACGAAAAAATAACTGGGCATGGTAGCATGTGCCTGTGATCCCAGCTACTTCGGAGGCTGAGGTGGGAGGATCGCTTGAGCCTGGGGAGGTTGAGGCTTTA
This sequence comes from Homo sapiens, assembly GCF_000001405.40. Lineage (NCBI taxonomy): Eukaryota > Metazoa > Chordata > Mammalia > Primates > Hominidae > Homo > Homo sapiens. Next base: position 72,361,612 of record NC_000010.11, on the reverse strand, counting down.
GTGAGCCTTGATTGTGCTACTGCACTCCAGCGTGGACAACAGAATGAGACCCTGTCTCAAAAAAAAAGGTGTCTACGTTGAGGTCTCATTCTCAGCCATCCCCACAGCTGCATGGTATTCCATTATATACCATAGCTTAGTCAAAAGGGTAGTTTATTGAGGGAGAGATTTTGGAGCCTGGAGTTGTTTTTTTTTTTTTATAAAGAGGCCTTGCAGGGTCACATTTGGAGGCAGAAAGAGACACTGGGGAGCCAGGGAGTAAAAGAGCAAAGGCCATGAAGTGGGGCATATTCCACGACTTGGCCATTCTTCCTGAAGCCTTAGGAAGGAATCTAGCCCCCTGACTTGCTCAGGGAAGCTCTGGATAAAATATGTGAGGAGAGAAAAACCTGTCTGTGGGATTAACTTATTCTATTCATTTAACAAATATGTATGAGCCTCTATTAGGTATCAGGGCCCTGTGCTCAGACCATGGGGAACACGGGCAAGATCTCCAAATTGGTTTAGCTGGAGACAGAATGTAAGTAAACTTGCAAGCAAAGGCAGTGAAAGTGGGAGTCCATGGAGGGTCTGGGCTTAATAAGTGCTATGGGAGTTCAAAGCAGGGGGAGTTCCTGAAGAAGCCCCTTTCTCAGCCTCAGACCCTGGCTCAGATGTCATCTCCCACAGGAAACCTTCCCAGTGCTACACACATAACTGATAACTGTGTCTTCTGAGCTGCTGGAGTTTACACAGTCCCATTGTCCTTACCATAGTACCCTGTCATTCTTTCCAATCTGTTTCCCTTACTAGACTGTGAGCTCCCTGATGGCAGGTTCTGTCCTTATTCATGGTGCATCTCTGAATCCCTAAATCTCTGCACAGTGCCTGGCTTTCCATGTAGACATATGACCATTAAATTCTCTCTCACACAGAGGAGATAGGGTTTAAGCCAAGCCCTAAAGAATAAATTAGATTTGGACAGATAGGAAAGAATTAAAGCCAACAGGCATATAGATACGAGTGAGGTGAAGCATTGGCTCAGTAAAGATGGGGAAGGTACAATGGGAAATACAAGCATGTTAAAGGCAGATTGTGAATTCTTGGTATCCCCAGAGGAGAGAAATCTAGAGGCTGGTGGTCACCCAATACAAAGGTGGTTTTAGGTCTAGGAGCAAAATGAGGAGATGCTGAGATTCATTGGTAGATTCCTTTTTCCAGTGACTTCTGGATATCTGTGAAGGTGGCAATGAAAAGTTTTGGTTTTTTGTTTTGTTTTGTTTTGTTTTGTTTTGGAGACTGTCTCTTCCATTTGTTGCCGAGGCTTGAAAGCAGTGGTGCCACCTCGGCTCAATGCAACCTCTGCCTCCCAGGTTCAAGCAATTCTCGTGCCTCAGTCTCTCAAGTAGCTGGGATTACAGGGTTGAACCACCATGCCCAGCTAATTTTTGTAGTTTTAGTAGAGACAGTGTTTCACCATGTTGGCCAGGGTGGTCTTGAACTCCTGATCTCAAGTGATTTGCCCACCTTTGCCTCCCAACGTGCTAAGATTACAAGCATAAGCCACGGCGCCCAGGCTTTGTCTCTCTTTTTAAGCCCCATCCACCCACAGATACAATGATCCCAGCTAGTCAGAATGGATGTTTCCAGTTTTTTCCCTTAGATCAAAATCATGACATCTTGATTTCAAAGATCATCAAGGAGAGAGTGTTCCCAAGTCATCCCTAGCATACCAGCTCCAAGACCAGGGACTATAATGTTTAACATGACCTGAGCAAGGCGGGGTGTCTCTCTTTCCTGGCCTTTGGACTGAGAGGGACAAATAAAAAGTCAAATTAGCCTCAGGACCAAAAGCAAGACATCCAGTGTGACTCAGATTTGTAAGAAAGGCAGGGGCTCCTTAGACCAGCCTTCAGGGTCAGTTCATAATCCCTTCTGAAACAGCACAGCCTTTCTGAAAACAAACAGCTTAGGGAGGCCCTGTGTGGCGGCTCACACCTATAATCCCAGCACTTTGGGAGGCTGAGCTGGGCATATTACTGGAAGTTAGGAGTTCGAGACCAGCCTGGCCAACATGGTAAAACCCCTACTTTTTGCATTTTGTTAATCTCCACTTTTTGTATTTTGTGAAAATACAAAAATTATCCAGGCATGGAGATGCATGCCTATAATCTGAGCTACTCAGGAGGCTGAGGCATGAGAATCGCTTGAACCTGGGAGGCAGAGGTTGCAGTGAGCTGAGATCATGCCACTGCACTTCAGTCTGGGCAACAGAGTGAGAATCCATCTCAAAAAAAAAAAAAAAAAAAAAAGCAAAAGGAAACAGTGGCCGGGCACGGTGGCTTATGCTTGTAATCCCAGCAATTTGGGAGGCCGAGGCGGGCAGATCACCTGAGGTCAGGAGTTCCAGACCAGCCTGACCAACAAGGTGAAACCCCATCTCTACTAAAAATACAAAAATTAGCCAGGCTTGGTGGCATGTGGCTGTAGTCCCAGCTACTCGGGAGGCTGAGACAGGAGAATTGCTTGAACCTGGGAGGCAGAGGTTGCAGTGAGCCAAGATCGCGCCACTGCACTCCAGCCTGGGCGATGGAGCAAGACTTTGTCTCAAAAAAAAAAAAAAAGAAAAAGAAAGAAACAGCTTAGGGACCAAGATGAGCAGCAGAGGGGGGCAAGGAGAAGAATGCAAAAATAAGGCATAAAGGGCCCCTACCACAAGCAGCCCGCTTCTCCACATCGTTACTGATCTGGACCCTGCCAATCAAGCCAAAGCACTGACCCACAATTTAAATAGGACTTTGTCATTTTATATGAATTGTAGGAAAAGAGAAGGGCTCACCCGTCAGTAGTTGGCCAGTCACAATCCAGTTCCCTAACACAAGAAAATGACAGACTTTCTTTTCTACTTGATTGCCTTCTTCACAGTGTGAAGTAGAGTCATGCACCACATCATAACATTTTGGCCAACTACAGACAGCATATATGACAATGGTCCCTTAAGATTATAATGGAGCTGAAAAAGTCCTATTGCCTAGTGACATTCATAGCCATCATAAGGTCATAGCACAATGCATTACCTTTTCTATGTTTAGATACACAAATACTTCCCATTGTATTCGGTATGGTAATGTTCTGTACAGGTATGTAACCTAGAAGCAACAGGTCATACCTTAAACCCTAGGTGTGTAGCAGGCTATACCAACTTAGGTTTGTATAAGGACTCTATGATGTTCGCACAGTGATAAAATCACCTAACAACACTTTTCTCAGAACATATCCCTGTCATTAAGTGACACATGACTGTATCTTGTAGTCAGCAGGAGAAGACAGGCCTCATGATAGGAAATGGAAGAGGATACTTCATGATTCTTAGCAGGAGACAGGAAGATGGAAATTGTCGTGCTAGGTCAACAAACCTCAGAGAGGCTGTTTGAAAAGGATCCCAGCATTTATCCATGGACACATTAGGGACCTATCAATTTGTAGAGAACTTAAATTTCTCCAAGTGTAGGACTGTCTTATCAAGGAGGGTCTGTACCAGGCCAGCATGGAGTCGTAAGGGTTTGCATTGGAAAGGGAAAAATGGGAATGGAAAGGAAGGTTGGATGTGAAAGAATTTTCCAAGGAGCATGTATAGCTGAGGAGGCCATGACCTTGCTTCTTTCTTATGTGTGTATTTATTTATTGAGACAGGGTCTGACTCTGTGCCCAGGCTAGAGTGTAGTGGGGCAACCATGGCTCCCTGCAGCCTCGACCTCCCAGGCTCATAATCCTCCTGGGTAGCTGGGAGTACAGGCGCATGCCACCACACCTGGCTAATTTTTGTAATTTTTTTTAGTAGAGATAGGGTTTCACCATGTTGGCCAGGCTGGTCTTGAACTCCTGACCTCAGGTGATCCACCCACCTCACCCTCCCAAAGTGCTGAGATTACAGGTTTGAGCCACTGCGCCCAGCCACCTTTACTCTCTTGAATCCATTCCTGTTGGGTTTTCACCCCTACCACACACTAAAAGCCATTTTATGGTCAGGCACAGTGGCTCACACCTGTAATCCCAGCACTTTGGGAGGTTGAGGTGAGAGGATCACTTGAGCCTAGAAGTTTGAGACCAGCCTAGGCAACACAGTGAGACCCCATCTCTAAAAAAAAACTTAAAAAAAAAACTAGCCAGGTGTGGTGGAGCACTCCTGTAGTCCCAGCTATTCAGGAGGCGGAGGTGGGAGGATTGCTTGAGCCCAGAAAGTTGAGGCTGCAGTGAGCCATAACTGTGCCACTGCACTCCAGTCTGGGTAACAGTGAGACCCTGTCTCAAAAAAATAAAATGAAATAGATAAAAGCAATTTTGTCAAAGTCAACACTGCCCTCTACACTGCCAAATCCATTGGTCATTTCTCAGGCCTCACATTGCTTGGCCTCTCCACAGGATATGACGTTTGACCCCCCCTCCCTCCTTTTCTAAAAAAACTGTTTGTAGAGACCGTGAGGGGGGGCGGTCTCATTATGTTGCCCAGGCTGGTCTTGAACTCCTGGGCTAAAGCGAGCCTCCCACCTCAGCCTCCCCAAGTGCTGGGATTACAGGCATGAGCCACCATACCTGACCTACTCATTTCCTTACAACCTGCTTCTTCACATTCTCCTTTACTGGATTTTCTTCCTCTTCCAGATCTTTAAATGTTGGGATTTCGTGAGGCTCAGTAATCAGACTTCTCTGCTCTTCTCCATCTACACTCACTTCCTTGGTGCATATATATATATATATATATATATATATATATATATATATATATATATATATATATATATATCACAGCTCACTGCAGCCTTGACCTCCCATGCTCAAGTGATCCTCCCACCTCAGCCTCCTGAGTAGCTGGGACTACAGGCGTGTACTACCACACCCAGCTAATTTTTTATTTTTTTGTAGTGATGGGATCTCACTCTGTTGCCCAGGCTGGTCTCAAACTCCTTGCCTCAAGTGATCCTCCCACCCCTGGCCTCCCAAAATGTTGGGATTATAGGAGTGAGCCACTGTGCCTGGCCCCAAAGTTATATTTCCAGGTCCTTTTTGCCTAAACCCTACGTATGTACAACATCCTAGTCTGTATCTCTGCTTGATTCTAAAAAGCATCATAAACTGAATCAAACCCTTAATATTCCCCCACCAAACTGCTTTTGTAGTCTTTTCCATTTCCTTGTTTTAGTAAATAGAAATTCTCTTCTTCCAGTTATCAAGCCAAAAACATTGGAATCATCCTTGAATCTTCTTTCTCTCACAGCCCACATCCATTGCGTCATTCTGTCTTCAAAATATATCCAGAATTTTACTACTACTCACCACCTCCGCCATCACCCTTATCCAAGTTACCATTAATTTTCACCTGTATTATAATAGTAGCTTCCTGACTCTCATCCGGATTACTGTAGTAGCATCTTACCAAATCCTGCCTGAAAGGCCAAGCAATGTAAGGGCTGACAGATGACTCGGGGATTCGGCAACGTGGAGGTCACTGGCAACCTTCACAAGATTGCTTTCACTGGAGTGATAGCCCTCGAAGAACGGGATAATGATAGAACTGGATTACACTCTGTAGTAGAATCTTTTTTTTTTCTTCTTTTTTTTTAGATGGCGTTTCACTCTTGTTGCCCAGGCTGGAGTGCAATGGTGTGATCTTGGCTCACCGCAACCTCCACCTCCCAGGTTCAAGCGATTCTCCCGCCTCAGCCTCCCGAGTAGGTGGGATTACAGGCCATGTGCCACCATGCCCGGCTAATTTTGTATTTTTAGTAGAGACGGGGTTTCTCCATGTTGGTCAGGCTGGTCTCGAACTCCTGACCTCAAGTGATCCGCCCGCCTCGGCCTCTCAAAGTGCTGGGATTACAGGCGTGAGCCACCGCGCCCAGCCTGTAGTAGAATCTTTACGCTCCCTAGAATGTATTCGCCTTCCTGATCTGTTATAACTCACCAAGAGAATTCCCTTTTCAGAGCCTTTGCACTTGCTGTTCCTTCGGCCTGACCACCCTTCCTCCAGACAGTCACATCTACCTGTTATCGTTCCTGAATTCTGGTACCTGTTAATGACAGCTTCTGAGAGGTTTCTTTTATCGCGCTATTTAAAATAGCGCCTCCCACTCTCTATCCCTGTGTTTTCCATAATTTTTCTTCAGAGCTTTTATCACTATCTGAATCTATCTGGAGCTCCCCCAGCCTACACACACTGGAATGTAAGCTCCATGAGAGCAGGAGCTTTGTTTTGCTCACCCCTGTATCCCCATCATAAAACCATGCCTCACAAACAGTGGGCACTCAATATCTGTTCAGTGAATAAATAACCTTTGTCTGAAACGTATGTAGTTACATTACGTATATAGATCACCACTTAGTAAACCGTCTGGGAATAACAGGCACTCCGAAGGCCCCAGTCTCATCCCGACGGCTACCACGTGACCTTCCTGAGCTTGGGTTTCCTCCTCCGGAAGATTAGAGGGTTGGCGCATACTCAACTCTAAGACCTCCGGAACATGGAATCTGGGCGTGCACCATTATTGACACCTACACCAGCCGTCCCTTTCTTAGAAGACATACGGTAGCACTTCCACCCTCGCTCAAAACTCGGGAAAGGAGGGGCGGAGGGTGGATGTCATCACTCCGCGCCCGGCTGCCCGCGACGCGCCGGCGGGTGGCGCAGCCCTTCGCTCGCCCGGCCTCCCCCTCCCTGGTTCCGCGTTCTGGTTCCGCCATGGAATCCAACAAGGATGAAGCTGAGCGCTGTATCAGCATCGCCCTCAAGGCCATCCAGAGCAACCAGCCCGACCGGGCGCTCCGCTTCCTGGAGAAGGCACAGCGGCTGTATCCGACGCCGCGAGTTCGCGGTGAGTGTGAGGTGCCGGAGAGACTGGGGACATTAGAACTGATGGGGGGAACACGGGAACGGACCGACGGGAGCAGTTGGGGGAGGGGGAGGGGTGGCGAGGCGCGGCTACGCCTGCGCACTGAGGCGCGCGGTGGCTGCTGGGAGGCGTAGTTTTTCCCTCTTGTTCCTCTGCGGGATGCGAGCCGTCTGGAGACTCGGGCGGCCGGGACTTCAGCTTTCGGGGTGCTGGCGGAGCCCGCTGGGGTTTGAGGTCTCCGAGAATGAAACGCGCTGGCAGCCGGGACGAAGGGAACTTACCTGGAAGTGAACTCGAACTACTTTTCCCAAGGGGCCGTTCGGTAGCCCAGGCCAGTCGCCGGCCTGGGAAATATTACAGTTCAGGAAAATAAACATAACTCCTTTAAGGGAGAGAATGGGCGCTAGACAGGGAGACATTTCTGTTCTTCGGGCGCCAGGGAAAGGCGCTTCCGTATCTTCACTCCCTCTCACCTCTCGGGCTGAGGGTCAGGGACCACTCTCCCAAAATGCAAGCCGGCCTTTGCACCCACCCCAGTCCGCCGCCTCGGACTGTCCTGAAGCCGGGCCCCTCACTCCTCCCGATGATGAGATTCGGAGCGGGTGGCCTGGTGGGAGGTGCTGACCTCAGCCACCGCCAGTCCTCCATCGCCCGCAAGAGTCCAGCGGCGGTCAGCCATGTGGACGCCGAGGCTGCTGAGTTGCCCTGGACAGGAGCCTCCTGAGCCAGGGAGGGAAGAGTGAAGCTGGCTTTACAACTCATCACCTCGCTTCACCCGGGAACCCTTTCTTTTTTCTTTAACCTAAGTTTTCCAAGGAGTTTTTCTTAATCCACGCTAGAGGGGAGAGAGACACCGGGTGGTGCTTGTGATCACCACTCAGTAAACCGTCTGGGAATAACAGGCACTCCGAAGGGCCCAGTCTCATCCTGACGGCTACCACGTGACCTTCCTGAGCTTGGGTTTCCTCCTCGGGAAGATTAGAGGGTTGGCGCAGATAATGTGATTGGCAATAATACCCATAGGGCTTTGCAGTTTAGGAAGCTCCTTCACCTGTGCCTTCTCACTTGAGCCTGCCAGTCAGGGATGCAGAGCAAAGATCATTATCTTTATTCTATGGGTGAGGAAAATCTCTGAGGTAAGGGATGCCCAGGATGACACAGCTAGAAAGTAAAATGTTCTGTGACTCTGTAAATGTTTATGAAGGAAAAGAAATGAAATTGAGGAACAGCAGTCAGCCTCCTAACCGGCCCTGCCCGCCTGATGAGATTGAGAAAGCGGAACGCTGGTGGAAGAGGTAGCCTGGACTGCTGAACTTTCCTCCCTCCGGACTCTTGCAGGTTGATCTTTGGCCTGTTTGCCTCCCCTTGGAGAGGGTTTCGGGCTGTATTTGCCAGGACACCTGAGGTAACCTGCTCGAGGAGCCTCCCTGTGAATTAATTCATATTCTGTGGTGGGGTGGTATCCTCCAGCTGTCAGAATTCTGCCTGACACTGATGCTGCTGCGGGCTCAGGAGCAGGCAGCCAAGAAAGGATGGGCCACAGGGCCTCTGGGGATCTTTCTGTCAGCAGGCCCCTGCACCAGTTCAGGAGCTTGAAGGAGTGTCCTCTCTGGGGCTCAGGCTCTGGAATTTGCTGAGACAGAAGAACCACCTGCATGCATATTTGTCATATTTGTGCTTTTCTGGAAAGACTATGAGACTATACGCCTTATGCATCCGTGTAAACTTTACCATCTGCAGCCCTCCACTGAGCTGACAAAGACCTGGGATTAGTTTAGGTCTGGGACAGGGAAAGATCTTACTTCAAAAATAGAGGGCAGGGCTACCCACTGGGCTGGCTACCTGCCTCCCCAGGGGGAGTAATACAGATATATTAGGTGGCGGTCTATTGCTTTGGGTTTAGGCTCATCCCAGATGCTCATTCAATGCAGCAGACTTTTGTTGAAGATCATTTATGTTTTGTTTGCAAAGTCCTCTGCTTGGTGCTAGCAAGATTGGTAAAATGTGATCCCTCACCTCAAAAGAGCTTATAATCTAGTGAAAGAGACAAAACTTACAGAAACAAATATTACAAGACAGAACTGTAATTAAACAAAAAATAAACCCAAGGTTAGACGCTGAGGACTTAAGGACAGGCATGAAAAAATCAGGCCCCATCATCCATGGGTTCACAGTCTGATGGTGGGGAGGAGGTGCGGAGGACAATCTCCTGAACATTAAATTATCAGCAGTTTAGTGAGTGCTGTAGCAAGTGCATAAAAATAATGTTATCTCACAGTGAGGGAATGCTTTGGGGATGACAGGAGTTAACATTTGAATTGTGCTTTGGAGGACGGTGTGAGACTTGAGGAAAGGCATCCTGGAAGAAGACAAAGGAGCTGAAAGTTGTAACGTTTGGGGGAAGAGATCAAAGTGTAGCAAGATTTAGAGGCAGTGGAGGTGGTAATTCGTATACAGAGAGGATTAAGTTTGGGAAATAAAATGGGGCCAGATCATAGAAATCCTTTTCTACCAGGCCAAGATATTTTCACCTTATTCTGTAGTTAGTGAGGAAACCATTGAGGTTTTTGATAGCAGGAATAAAGTACGGGCACTGTTGTTAAAAGAGAACAGCATGAAAGGTTAATGAGAGGGAAGAGAGCTTCAGGGCAGGAAGCCAATAGGAGAGAATTGCCTTGAGCTGGTTGGATATTCTGAGGGCCTGGGACAAGGCAGTCATGGATAAGGCTAAGGTCCCTGGAAAAGAGGCACCAGGCCTGTGTGAGAGAGAGGTGCAGAGGAGAATCAGATGGGATGCTGGGGAATCAGAATTGAAGCCCCTGTGACCAGGAAGAAACCAGGCTGAAGAACTGAGATGGGAAGAGATGAGCAGAGTGGGAGGTGCCAGTGGGATAGTCCAAAGGAGCTGTCAGCCTGGAACTCAGGAGAGCGCTCCAGGTTACAGGTGAAAGTGTGGTATCGTCTGTTCCCTGGAGCTCACTGGAGTTGTGCATGGCTGAGGTCACTGTGGGAAAGTATAGACCATGGAGAGAAAGTTGCTGCAGGCACAATGGCAGGCAACACCTGCCCTGAGCCCACAGGCAAAGGCAGAGGAAGCAACAGATTGAGATGGAGCAACAGGAAAAGGCAGTCCCCGGAGAGGGCAGCGGCCAGGTAGCCATGGAGAGGTAATGGCAGCAGGTGGTGAGCAGCCCTGTGTGATGCCGCAGGCACTGCATGGGAAAAGGACAAGTTAAGAGTTGAAAAGGGAAGGATCGAGAGCATGGGCAGAGGATGGTCTTGGAGAGGTGGAAGGGCAGAGAGGGGAGAGTCACGAGAGAGGGGAGGCTCAGAGCAACCTTGAAAGGATGAGGGACCTCACACTGTTGGCCTTTGCAGCAAAAAGGGATGTGAGGGGGCTTGAAACTCCTGCTGCAGGAGGTGGGACAAGGAGGCACTGAGTTAAACTGCAAAGCAGTAGCTGGGCCCTAAGCTGGGAGGTCACAGACTAGAGATGGTGGAGCCAGTCAGTCCCTTTCTGGGAGTTTCTGTCCAGTAGCTGGCAGCCTGGTAAGCCATTGGCTTTGACTCAGGCTTTGTAACAAATGTGGAAGGTGCCAGATTTCCCAGGGAGCTCACGAGAGCATTTGTAGGCCTCAGTTTCCCCAGCATACAAAGAGAGGATTGGCTGGGATGATCCTGAGGTTCCTTGCAGCTCAGGCTATCCAATGTTCTGTGAAATGGTTGACTCTGGGCTAAGTCATGAAGGCCAAGCTGGGAAGGCCAGCCCACAGGAAAAGGAGACGGATTGCTGAGGGATTCTGCATTCAGAGTCCAGGAGTGAGAGATGTTCTGGTGCTGGCGAGGTCCGGGGTGGGGTTGTACCCTTCAAGTCAGTCAACCTTCATGAGCCCCACTGTGCACTTAGCCCCCTTCCATTCACTGTATTTCACAGAATCTTATTTACCCCTCAGAGCACTCCTATGAGAGCAGAGATCGTCTCTCCACTCAGGAACCAGCTAACCTGGCAAGGCCACATGGCTAGCCAGCAAAGACCCAGAGCTGTCCATCTCCAATCCCAGGCCCTTTTCTGACTCACTGTGAGCACCGTAGGTACACAGAGCCCAGAAACTCAGCTACTCACTTACTAACAAAGTCACGGTCAGAGACAACACTGTATATTTGCTGGGCATTGGGCTGAGTTTTTTGCTGGCATTCACTCATTTCCTCTTTTAGCCTGTATGATGGAGATAGAGTTTTGCACAGATGAGCTAAGTTACCTTGTCCAAGATGACCCTTCTAGCAAATGGCAGAGCTAGGTTTGAACCCATCGGGCAGTCTTTTTTTTTTTTTTTTTTTTTTTTTTTTTGAGACAGGGTCTCACTCTGTTGCCCAGGCTGGAGTGCAGTGGCACAATCACAGCTCACTGCAGCCTCAACCACCCAGGCCCAAGTGATCCTCCCACCTTAGCCTACCAAACAGCCGGGACCACAGGCATGTGCCACCACACCTGGCTAATTTTTTTATTTTCGTAGAGACAGGGTCTTCCTGTGTTGCCAAGGCTGGTCTCGAACTCCTGAGCTCAATCCATTCTCCTGCCTTGGCCTCCTAAAGTGCTGAGATGACAGGTGTGAGCCACTGCCCGGCCAAATCTAACTCTAGTCTGGGTTCAGTGGCTTTGGCCATAGAAATCCTCTCAGCTCTACCTCAGGTGCCTCTCCACCGCAGCTCTGTTCTCTTCTATCGAATTCCCTTCCTTTTCTAAGTCTGCCAGCTTTACTGAGAAGGTAACATTAAGCTGTTCTGTCTCTTTTTGTGACATTGCCTGTCAGCCTCTGTGCCATGAGGGATGTAAGCATGAAGCTGTCACATCCCCCAGGCCAGAAGAGAGACCCTACTTGCCAGCAACTGGAAATCTTTAATTTCCAACTCAAGCAGAAAGCTTCTATGTGACCCAGGGCACCCCCATTCTCCTTTGGGCTCTCTTTCTGTACTGTAGGGAAATTAGAGTGGCTGATTCCCTGTAACTGCCCTGAAAAGCTTCCAGAATCTTCTCTGAGAGGTACAAGAGAGAGCCTGTCCCATCTCCTGGCTAGTGCTCCTGCTCATCTCTGGTAGTTGAATAACTGGTTATTTTGCCCTTAGGATCTGCCAGGCTCAGCCTGGGCCACCAGAACTTCCAGAGGAACTGAAATAATAAAGAGCTTCTTGAAAAGCTCTAGGAAACAGCATACTGCCTCCTCCTCCTGCCCCGCCTTGACCAATATCTCTTCATCTTTCGGTTTCTCTTGCCATCCCCTTGGTAGCTGGCATGGACCTGGTATCTGGGATGGCCTGAAATCTCATGGTTACTACTGGTTCCAGAGTCTGCTGAGCGCTGAGTCTTTGCCTTCCTGAGCCTTGGAGCTCCCCCGCTACCCAGCCCTCCTCCTCCCCAGCCCCCACCACAGGTTCCCTCACTTCCCTGGCCAGCCCACTTCTGTGGCCAGACACTTCATCAGCCTTGAACCTTCACTCTCTGTCAGACTCGGCACAGGTGCTTACACACATTATCCCATTTCATCCTCCGCCACCGTGACGAAACCAGGGTTCAGAGAGATTTCATAGATCAGCCAGGGTCACACTGCTAGGAATGGCAGAGCTGAGATTTGAATCTGGGCCTTTCTGAATTTGATGTCTCTTCTATGCTTTTGCTTGCATCCCTGTCCCCGATCCCCACCCCATCAGACACGTGCAGCCCAGGATAGCAGCGTAGTTAAGAGCATGGACCCTGGAGCTGGACATCCTGGGGTTCGAAGGCCCCTCTGCCTCCTAACCAGCTGTGTGGTCATGGCAGCAGTCTGCCACAGTACCCTCTTCCTACAGTGGGGTGGGGTAGGTAATGAGACCTTCCTTCTAAGGCTGCTGTGACAATTAAATGAGCTAATGCAGATCACTGTGAAAGTACCCACCTGACACACATCACTGGGTAAGAAAAATGATTGTTGCTATTGTTCCTCCCCAAGCACCCTCTCAGGGTTTGCTACAGGAGCCCGCCTCCCTTACTCAGAGCAACCCCAGCTGTGAGCTCCTGTGTTTGGATTTCCCAGTTGAAGACTCAGCAAGATCACACAAGCTCGGAGTGCGGCAGCAGTGGCCCAGGGCACAGTGCTCCACTGGAGCCCCATACTCTGTTCCCAGTGAGACTGGCTCTCAGCCTGTTGGGTCAGACCTCAGTGGGTCGCACTGGTGGGTGTGGCACCCAGCATGGCGTCTTCAGGCCAGCAGGCACCTGGCGTGTTTGAAGGAATGTGCTGGGATGTGCTGCTGTCCTTCCTTAGCACAGAGGGATGCTGGGTCCCTGCAGTGATCCAGATGCCTGTTTTCCCAGCTGGTCAGCTTGTCAGAGGCTTTAGGATTTTACTACCCAGGGCGCTGGGGCCCAGGCCTGACTGAGGTTTCGTGCCTGGAATAAATGGACACAGGGACCTGCTGCCAGAGACTTGGGCCCTTCCTCATTTAATCTGCAGGAACCACAGGCTTGTTTTTGCTTGCTTTTGTTTTTTTGAGATGGAGTCTTGCTCTGTTGCCCAGGCTGGAGTGCAGTGGCACAATCTCAGTTCACTGCAACCTCTGCCTCCCGGGTTCAAGCGATTCTGTGCCTCAGCCTCCCGAGTAGCTGGGATTACAGGCGCCTGCCACCACGCCGGCTAATTTTTGTATTTTTAGTAGAGACGGGGTTTCACCATGCTGGCCAGGCTGGTCTCAAACTCCTGACCTCAGGCGATCTGCCCGCCTCAGCCTCCCAGAGTGCTGGGATTACAGGTGTGAGCCACCATGCCTGGTGGGCTTGGTTGTTTTTGTTTTTGTTTTTCTGAGACAGAGTCTCATTCTATTGCCCAGGCTGGAGTGCAATGGCATGATTTCGGCTCATTGCAACCTCCGCCTCCCAGATTCAAGCCATCCTGCTGCCTCAGCCTCCCTAGTAGCTGGGATTACAAGCGCCCACCACCATGTTCGGCTAATTTTTGTATTTTAGTAGAGACGGGGTTTCACCATGTTGGCCAGGCTGGTCTTGAACTCCTGACCTTGTGATTCGCCCGCCTCGGCCTCCCAAAGTGTTGGGATTACAGGCGTGAGCCACAGCGCCCAGCCGGGCTTGGTTTTCAATAGCCATGATGCTGCCGAGGGTGATAGTTAATGTCCTGTATAGACTCCAGACATTGAAGAGGACATTTGGCATGGCCAACCACTTGCATTAGAAAAATGTGAAAAATAGCAAGTTGTGAGCACAGCAGATACTTCTTTTGGTCTCCTACCATCTGTGTCCCCCTTGGGCAAACTCATTTCCCCCATTCCTCTTTACAGCTAAGCAAAGGCCTCCAGGAAGGCTTCCTGACTGATCCCACCTGAAACAGAGGGTCCTGCTAAGCGGGGTCCCCTTTGCAGGGTACTTTTCCCAGCTTGGCACTCAACATGCCAAGTCTGTTAAACTCACTACTTTGAGATCTTAAAAATCTGAAGGGTTGACTGGGCACAGTGGCTCATGCCTGTAATCCCAGCACTTTGGGAGGCCAAGGCAGGCGGATCACTTGAGGTCAGGAGTTCGAAACCAGCCTGGCCAACATGGTGAAACCTCATCTCTATTAAAAATACAATTAGCCGGCGTGGTGGTGTGCACCTGTAATTCCAGCTACTTAGGAGGCTGAGGCGGGAGAATCGCTTGAAACCGGGAGGCAGAGGTTGCAGTGAGCTGAGATCATGCCATTGCACTCCAGCCTGGGCAACAGAGTGAGACTCCGTCTCAAAAAAGAAAAAAAAAAAAAACCAATGGTAAAAATAGGGAGTAGTGCAGTGGACTGAATATTTTACTTATTCAAAATGTGGTGCAATGCAAACATATTTGCAGATTTGAATGAGTTCAGTAGAAAAAAATGGATTCATAAGTTGGATTCATAAAAGCAAAAAGCAGAGTAAAACCAAATACACTGAAAGAAATAGCAATTAAAGTAGTATTAAATGAACTCTAGCAAGGCACGGTGGCTCATGCCTGTAATCCCAGCACTTTGGGAACCCGAGGTGGGCAGATCACTTGAGGTCAGGAGTTCGAGACCAGCCTGGCCAACATGGTGAAACCCCATCTCTACTAAAAATACAAAAATTAGGCCGGGCACGGTGGCTCACACCTGTAATCCCAGCACTTCGGGAGGCCGAGATGGGTGGATTGCTTGAGGTCAGGAGTTCAAGACCAGTCTGGCCAACGTGTTGATATCCCATCTCTACTAAAATACAAAAATTAGCTGGGCATGGTGCTGGGCGCCTGTAATCCCAGCTACTAGGGAGGCTGAGGCGGGAGAATTGCTTGAACCCAGGAGGCGGAGGTTGCAGTGAGCTAAGATCATGCCACTGCACTCCAGCCTGGGCAACAGAGCAAGACTCCGTGTCAAAAAAAAAAAAATTAGCCAGGCGTGGTGGCACGTGCCTGTAGTACCAGCTACTCAGGAGGCTGAGGCATGAGAATCACTTGAACCTGGGAGGTAGAGGTTGTAGTGAGCTGAGATCGCACCACTGCACTCCAGCCTGGGCAACAGAGTGAGACTCTATCTCAAATAAACAAACAAATAAAAAAAAATAACTCTAAATAAAGTACTATAGGGTTTATTAATAAAACCAAGTGTGCTTTTGGAAGACTATCAGAATATCAGAATTCTGCCTAAATTTATTAAGAAAAGAGATATATGTATAAGTATACTATCTGAAAAATAAAGCAATTACTACAGATTTATCCATGAATTATGTAGAATTTTATGTCAATTTTTATTAACAAAATTAATTTTGTTCATGTAAAACGAAAAAGACCTCTATCCTGCCTACTTTTTTTTTTTTTTTTTTTTTGAGACAGATCCTTGCTCTGTCGCCCAGGCTGGAGTGCAGTGGCACAATCTTGCTAATCTCCACCTCCTGGGTTCAAGCAATTCTCATGCCTCAGCCTCTCAAGTCTCTCGAGTAGCTGGGATTACAGGCGCCCACCACTATCTCCAGCTAAATGTCTTTTGGGGTTTTTTTTTTTGTATTTTTAGTAGAGATGGAGTTTCACCATGTTGGCCGGGCTGGTCACAAACTCCTGATCTCAGGTGATCCGCCCGCCTCAGCCTCCCAAAGTGCTGGGATTACAGGCGTGAGCCACTGTGCCCGGATTTTTTTTTTTTTTTTTTTTTTGAGACAGGGTCTCACTCTGTCACCCAGGCTGGACTGCAGTGGCACCATCTTGGCTCACTGCAACCTCTGCCTCCCTAGTAGCTGGAATTACAGGCGCCCGCCACCACATCTGGCTAATTTTTTAATTTTTAGTACAGACGGGATTTCACCACATTGGCCAGGCTGGTCTCAAACTCCTGACCTCAGGTGATCTGCCTGCCTCAGCCTCCCAAAATGCTGGGATTACAGGTGTGAACCACCACGTCCGGCCTGTCCTGCCTACTCTTAAGGACTATGGCTTTCAAGAGAGCAGATGACTGTCCCCCCAGCACCCACAGGCCTAATCAGGGCAGGAGCTGGTGGCTTTGCTGGGAGGGGAAGTGAGTGGGAAGCAGCGGGCCGCTCGGCGAGGCACGCAGCCTGCTTGAGCAGGAGCTCTGAATGGTTTCCTTGCCTTGCACAGCCCTGATTGAGTCCCTCAACCAGAAACCACAGACTGCCGGTGACCAACCCCCACCCACAGACACAACCCATGCCACCCACAGGAAAGCAGGTGGGACCGATGCCCCCTCGGCCAACGGTGAAGCTGGAGGAGAGAGCACCAAAGGCTACACTGCAGAACAGGTTGCAGCTGTGAAAAGGTAGATGGGTGGGCAGGGGCTGGAGCCTGGGGAGACTGGGGAAATCTAGAGGCTTCCTGGAGCATGTCCTCCACCTCCCATCTGCCTGTGGGCAGCACAGGGCCCTGGGAGGGTCTTGGAGGATGGAGAAGGTCCAAGGGTCCAGGCTCACCAGGACCTCTCCTTATTTCCCTCAAGGCCCAGGAATACAGTGTGGGAACTGGGGCTCCACCACCCCTCCCGCCACGACCCACAGCAGAGGCTGGAAAAGCTGACACTGCCGGCTTCCTCTGCCGCTGGCCAGGCAGGCCCCAGGCCTCTTTACACAGCTCTGTTTGTCAATAGAGATGGAGCTTTGTCTCCCCCTCCAGATTCTACCCCAACCCACATCCCAGCACCCAACAAAGACCCTTTTAGATCAGAGCCTGTGTGGGGTAGAATGGAGACCAGAGGCAGAGTTATTGCCCCACGGCTGTGAGCAGGCCCCACGCAGAGTAGCTCGCTACCAGGCCAGAGACCACCCAGCCAAGGCTCCTCAGGCTTAGACGTTCCCAGCTCCCATTTCTCCCCAGGTCTCCCAGCAGCTGGCCTTGGGAATCCCCCAGGGTCATGCCACAGCTCCTGGCAAGCTTCAGGACCAAGGCCGCCTGTGTGAGACTGAGCATGACTGCTGTTTGCCATAAAAGTGTAGGCGAGATCTGTACTTCACTGAGTCGGCAAGGTCCATTGTAGGCAATAGAAACTGATGTATGAGGGATTGGGAAGGCCTAGAAACGGCCAAGAACCAGGAGGTCTCCAGGGACGCGGAGAGGAAGAATTGGTGAAAGAGAACCAGGGTCTCTTTAGGCCCTGTGCTTGCGGTGAACAGTCACCTGCCACTTCTGGCCTTCATGTTACCCACTCAAGACTCAGATTGGGCTGAGCATGGTGGCTCATGCCTGTCATCCTAGCACTTTGGGGGGCTGAGACAGGAGGATCCCTTGAGCCCAGGAGTTTGAGACCAGCCTGGGCAATTAGAAGACCCTGTCTCTATCTTTAAATATTTAACATTTTAAAAACTTTTAAAAATTAAAAAAAAAAAAAGACTCAGATTGCCAGGAGAGTCGGTTGGCTGAGCTTGGGACACCACCCTGGGTGATGGACACCGACAGTCCTCCTGAGCTCTTCCCATGGGGAAGATAGATACTGGCCTGGCGAACCCCACAGATGCCCTCCTAAATCCAAGAATCCAGACGGTGTTCTTCTGTTTCCCGTGGTCCTGCCCAGCTCTGCATCACATTTGGTGCCCACTTGGCTCCCTTGTCCCTGGTGTCACACAGCTGACCCAAGGAGCTGTCAGCCTTGCCCTGTTGGTCCCCCGCAGCCTGCCCAGAGCTGTGCGCCCCACACGGCCTGTTCATCGCCCCCCTCACACAGACCCATGTAGAGCACCCCGTACCATGGTCTCCTCCTTCCCCAGGGTCAAGCAATGTAAAGATTACTATGAGATCCTGGGGGTGAGCAGAGGGGCCTCGGATGAGGACCTGAAGAAGGCCTACCGCAGACTGGCCCTCAAATTCCACCCAGACAAGAACCACGCACCTGGTGCCACTGAAGCCTTCAAAGGTAAGCCAGCCCTGCTTTCCTAGCATTTTGGTGTGTTCATCTCCTGTCCATGGCAGGGAGTAAGGGACCAAGACAGCTTTCCCAGGAAGCAGGGAGCAGGAGGAAGTGGCCTTGGGCCCAAGTTGCCCAGGCTTGGGAGCTGCTTCTTGGGAAAAAGGTTCTAGTAGCCACCTCTAGCTATGTAGAGTTGGTCAGAGCTCAGATAGCACCATTCCTGCCCCTGCTTCCTCTGCATTTCCTGGGGTTACGTAGTAGAGCTGAGGCAGGAAAGTTCTAGTAGCTTCTCCAAGGATTCTCAGTGATTGAGTGACTCACCGTGTGCGCTTCCCTGTCTTAGAGTCTCATAGCTGCCCACTGGGGTAACTGTTTCCCTGCTGAGGGGCAGGGTAGCCCCAGGTCGGGGGCCTCAGGCCTGGTGGCCACCTCAATACCAGCAGCCACAGCCAGCTCCCCCGCCATACCTATACACCTGGGGCTTGCAGTGGGGACATGGCAGTCTCTGGCTTCAGGGCCCACTGGCTCAGGATGGGTGCTTCATTTCTGGCTGAAATCGTAAGCTGCCCTTTATTCATTACATTTTCATTTAACCTGTCAGGCGCTCATGTGTACTGACTCTGTGCACTGCAATTTCTCATTGCCCCAAACATTACTGCCTTCTCTCATTCCCACCATGTCTTCCTTCTCTCATTCCCACTTCATCCACCTCCTTGGGAAATAGCATGGTGACTAGCCCCCACTGGCCTGGGCGGGGTGTGTGCTGTGCTGCACCCACAACCATAGCCAGCTGGAGAGCCTGTGGCAGAGGAGACTCCGAGACCTGGTGTGCAGTGTCCCGGGGCCCTGGAGGAGGAGAGTGGGAGTGGGGGGAAGCAAGGTAGCCCTGTTGAATGTTTCTCCAGCCCCAGCCTCTGCCTGCAGCCTGCTCCGACTGTACCGAGAGGCCAGCTCTGGCCTTGAGGCCTATTCAGAATTGGCGGAGGAGACGATTCCGCGCTCCTTATTCCCGGGGGTTTCAGGATGGGAATCAGATGTGGCTTGGACCCACTCCTCGGAGTCAGTGGCAGCTTGAGGAGAGGGAGTGAGAGACTGAGGAGGTCAGAGCTGGGGTCCTTCAGGGCACAGCCGTCCCGGCTAGGGGGCCCTGGTGGGAGGCTCCAGGCCCAGATAGGAAATAACGGTTGGGGCCTGGACCCCAGAGAGTGGGGGACTCACCCCAGCTGCATCACCAGAAGTGGAGGAGTCTCCATAGAGCCCCGAGATTTGGCCCTTCCCCACAGCTCCTGCTGCTTTCCAGTTCACAATAAGGATATTGTGTGTCTGTCTGGCCTGCATGTCAGACTATGACTTCAGGTTTACAGAACCTCCAGAAAGGGATGCCCATCCTATTGGGCACGTCAAGAGAGAATGAGGAAAGAGGTTTTTGGTGGTTTTCATAAAGTCGGAGAGAGAACTTGAAGCAAGAGACACCTGCTTTTGTTTGACTCCCAGCTCTGTAACATATTAAAGCTGTGTAAGCTTAGGCAGTCACTTCTCTGAGCCTCAGTTTTCTCATTGGTGAAATGGAGATAGGGTTGCTCTTAGAGGTAAATGAGTTGACCTGGTGTGGTGGCTTATGTCTATAATCCCAGCACTTTGGGAGGCCAAGGTGGGAGGATCCCTTGAGCCCAGGAGTTTGAGACCAGCCTGGGCAACTTGGCAAGACCTCATCTCTACAAAAAATACAAAAAATTAGCTGAGTGTGGTGGTTCACGCCTGTAGTCCCAGCTACTCAGGAGGCTGAGGTGGGAGGATCGCTTGAGCAAAGGAAGTTGAGACTGCAGTGAGCCACGGTTGCTCCACTGCACTCAGCTTGGGTGACAGAGTGAGGCCCTGCCTCAAAAAATAAAATAAACAAACAAAAAGAAGTAAATGAGGCCACACTCCTAGGAGGCCTGGCACATTGACAAAGCTTGACCATTGTCTTGAGGAGAACAAGGAGCCTGTGTTACCCTCCACCCAGCCAGGCTGCCCAGATCCACTGAGGGGTCTTCCTGCATGCCCCCTCCTTACACTGGCCAAGCTTCCTGCCCACCCCAAGGACGTCTGCTTCCTAAAGCACTGCTTGAGTACCTGAGAAAAGTGAGCACTCGGCTGCCATGGGAGCCTCCCCCCGCACCCCAGGATCCTCAGGCCTGACCTTTCCTCCTCCTCTCCAGCCATTGGCACAGCATATGCGGTACTCAGCAACCCGGAGAAGAGGAAGCAGTATGACCAGTTCGGCGATGACAAGAGCCAGGCGGCCCGGCACGGCCATGGGCATGGGGATTTCCACCGTGGCTTTGAGGCCGACATCTCCCCTGAAGACCTCTTCAACATGTTCTTTGGCGGCGGCTTCCCTTCTAGTAAGTTCCCCACCCTCCCCACAGCCAGGTATCCCTGGGGTGATGGTGGGAATGGCATGCCAGCCTCTCCCTTTCCCAACAGACCTGGCTCCTGACTCAGCCCCTCTGACCCCCAGGTAACGTCCACGTCTACAGCAACGGCCGCATGCGCTATACCTACCAGCAAAGGCAGGACCGCAGGGACAACCAGGGTGATGTGAGTGAGGAGGGCGCCAGGGACAGCGCGGGAAGGGCACCAAATCCACCCCAGGGAGGGGGCTTGGAGGAGGGTGTTCCCTCCCACACTGTCCATTCTGGGACCAGCAGAGTCCCCATAACTCTCAGCCAAGGAGCCCTCTGGGCCTCCCTTGCCATTCTGCTGAGTGACACCAGAGGGCGCCACACGAGGGAGCCATGCTCCACATTGCCGGCGGGAGCGCGGCTTTGCTGGCCTGGCTGGGGAGTGGAACCAGAAACCCCACCCACAGCCAGGTTTGAGTGTGAGGCTCCCATGCAGACCGCTCGCTGGTAAGGCCAAAGTGACATCCTCTAAGCAATGGAAAGTTACACTTTGTGAGAGAATTTTATTTTATTTTTCATTTTTTTCATGGGTCTCAGCTATTTTCTCTCAACTTTGTGAGAGAAATTTCTTTTTTTTTAATTGAGATGGAGTCTTGCTCTCTCGCCCAGGCTGAGTGCAGTGGCGCGATCTCGGCTCACTGCAACCTCCGCCTCCCGGGTTCAAGCCATTCTCCTGCCTCAGCCTCCCGAGTAACTGGGATTACGGGTGCGTGCCACCACCCCCGGCTAATTTTGTATTTTTAGTAGAGATGGGGTTTCACCATGTTGGCCAGGCTGGCCTTGAACTCCTGACCTCTGGTGATTCACCCGCCTCAGCCTCCCAAAGTGCTGGGATTATGGGCGTGAGCCACTGCGCTCTGCCACTGAGAGAATTTTAAAGGATGACAACATAGGTGCCGACTCTTCTTGCTAAAAAGCCAAAAGATACTTTTAAAAAGATATTTACAAAAATTTGGGAGGCCAAGGTGGGTAGATCACCTGAGGTCAGGAGTTTGAGAGCAGTCTGGCCAACATGGTGAAACCCCGTCTCTACTAAACATACAAAAATTAGCTGGGCGTAGTGGCAGGCGCCTTTAATCCCTACTCGGGAAGCTGAGGCATGAGAATCACTTGAACCCAGGAGGCAGAGGTTGTGTTGAGCCGAGATCGTGCCACTGCACTCCATCCTAGGCAACAGAGCAAGACTCCGTCTCAAAAAAAAAAAAAAGTATAAAAATTATAACTAGACAGTGCTTCAAACACATTTTGTATGCCACAGATCAAAGAACAGCTAGCTGGCTAAAATTAAAATATTGTGGACAATTGCAAAACATTTTAAATTCTGGCCAGGCGGAAGGGGTTTCCTTTTGCTCTGACAATATTTATTCAATTTTTTTTTTTTTTAATTTTTTGAGATGGAGTCTCGCTCTGTTGCCCATGCCGGAGTGCAGTGGCACAATCTTGGCTCACTGCAACCTCTGCCTCCCAGGTTCAAGTGATTCTCCTGTCTCAGGCTCCTACGTAGCTGGGAGTACAGGCGCCCGCCACCACACCCAGCTAATTTTTGTATTTTTAGTAGAGACGGGGTTTCACCATGTTGGCCAGGCTGGTCTCGAACTCCTGACCTCGTGATCTGCCTGCCCCTTCCTCCCAAAGTGCTGGGATTACAGGCGTGAGCCACCATGCCGGCCTTTTTTTTTTTTTTTTGAGACAGGGTCTCGTTCTGTCACCCTGGCTAGAGTGCAGGAGCCTCCCCTCCCAGGCAAAGCTCCCACCTCAGGCTCCCCAGTAGCTGGGACCACAGGCCCACACCACCACACCCAGCTAATTTTTTGTATTTTTTGTAGAGATAGGGTCTTACTTTGCTGTTTGAGCACAGGCTGGTCTCAAACTCTTGGGCTCAAGTGGTCCTCCTGCCTCAGCCTCCCACAGTGCTGGGATTACAGGCATGAGCCATTGCCCCTGATCAAAATTTTTTTATTTTGTATCTAACAACAGAAGAGTTTAACATCACAGATTATCACACAGTGAATATATTTGTTAATTTTTATTTCTAATTCTTCTTTTTTTGTTTGTTTGCTTTTTCTGCACCCTAGAACCAGTGCTATTTCTAATTTTTATTTTGTTTTAATTATTATTTTTTGTAGAGATGGGGGTGTATGTTGGCCAGACTGGTCTTGAACTCCTGGCCTCACGTGTTCCTCTCATGTTGGTCTCCCAAAGTGTTGGGATTACAGGCATGAGCCGCCACACTGGCCATAATGTTTAAATTGGTAATATATTTGTGTGGTTCACATCTCAAAAACTTGTATATACTGCATGTCTCCTTCCAGCCCTGCCTTCCATTCTCCTGGAGGAAGCAACTTTTGCTGATTTTTTTTTTTTTTTGGCATTCTGTCAAAAGTAAATGCAGACACCTCACTTCCTCCTGTATTTCACACCAGTTGCTGCTTTGTTTTTATCTGGGAAAGCTGGCAGGTGAAGGAGCGTCTGTGTTTTGGAGCCTCGTGGAGGGAACGGCAGAGTGGTGTCATGTCTCCCCAGGCTCCACTATTCTAGGGGAGCTAGTGGTGATTATGGCTGACACCACACCCCACCCAGGTCCAGCAGAGTGACATTGGCTCTTCCCTCCAGGGCGGGCTAGGGGTGTTTGTGCAGCTGATGCCTATCCTCATCCTGATTCTCGTGTCAGCTCTCAGCCAGCTCATGGTCTCCAGTCCACCCTACAGTCTGAGTCCAAGACCGTGAGTACATGGGTGAGGCCGGGCCATGGGCAGACAAGGGGCTTTAAATTCTCAGCCCCATCAGGGGCCTTCTTTCCCATCCTGATCCAGCCAGTGTGCGATCATAATGCAGAAACCTGGCTTCGAATCAAGAAAATATACTTTCTCTATTCAACTAGGACTCTTAAGCTTTTTAGGATTATGGTCCCCTAAGAAATTGCAGCGAGAGCTACAGAACTTTTCCCTAAAACTATGCACACATGTGCACACACACATACACACACACGATACACATGTACACACACACACAATACATGCACACACATAATACACATGCACACATACACGCACACATATACACACAGAGTTTTGCATATAATTTCGGCGGCTTTGTGACTCTTCCCTGCCCATCTCCCCTGCCAACCCTGACGAAGAACCTCTGCTCCTCGGCTCTGGTTGGGCTTCCTGAGGCTGTGGAAAGAACAGGGCACTAGAGTCAGACAGAGCAAGCATGGCTTAGAATCCCAGCTTCTCCACTAAGAAGCTGTGTGACCCTAAACAAGTTATATAACCTTGGTTTCCTCATCTATAAAATGGGAATTATAACATCCACCTGCTGTGGAAATTAATGAGTAATGCATATAAAATGTCTGGCCCACTAGAAATGCTCAACAATATTAGTTTAATGAATGCTTAGTCTCGACTGCCAGGAGTGAACTTGAGGACATTTCATGAGCCGTTAGGGGGTCAGCTCCCCTCACTGATGTCCAGCACCTGGCCCAGGGTCAGCTACACAGTGGGTGCACATCTTCAGTGGGGTGGGTCCCCCTCTCCCAAAAGGTGGCCACCTCTGGCTGGGAGCTGGCAGGACCCTTCTCAGCCAGCAGGGGGCAGAGTCGGTCCACTGGACCCTGGCCGCCGGCTCAGGCTCCCTGTGGCCAGATGCCAGCCCTTTTCCCTGCAACTGGAGAGATGTGAGGAGCAGAGGACTAGGGCAGGGACTGTTGTCCCCAGAGCACTGGTCCTGTCTGGGTGTCAAGGCTCTTCCCACAGCTGACAGAGCCTGTGATTGGAGCTGGGAGGATAAGGCTCCCTGGAGCCCTTCCTGTCATTTTGTTCCTAAGCCTCTTAACCCTACACTGGGAACTCCTAGATAGGCAGGCAAGCACTCAGCAACAATTGGCTTAGGGGATGAATGGGGAGATGGAGGCACAGAGGCAGAGCCCAGATTCCCTCTCAGGTCTCCAGTTCCCTAGACCAGGCCTCTCCCCAAAGGCCCCAGGTCAGCAGTGTGGTAAGCAGGGATCTAAAGGCAGGGCGTCCTGCGGTCTGGGCCACGTGTGTGGGAGGACGCTGCCTTTTCCTCAGACTCTCCTTTCAGGGAGTGTGCGGGTCCCTGCTCT
Organism: Homo sapiens; assembly: GCF_000001405.40. Taxonomy (NCBI): domain Eukaryota; kingdom Metazoa; phylum Chordata; class Mammalia; order Primates; family Hominidae; genus Homo; species Homo sapiens. Next base: position 72,336,819 of record NC_000010.11, on the reverse strand, counting down.
GGTTTGAGAGGGAACCAACTACTCCTCTGGTCTGTGCGGCACCTCCTGTCTTGGGGCCCATACCCCTAGAGTGCCCTGGGCATGGGGACCCGCACCCACTTTGAACCTGGTATTTCTGGCCAGGTCCGTGGGCCACATCCACAGGCGAGTCACTGACCACCTGGGTGTCGTCTACTATGTGGGAGACACTTTCTCCGAAGAGTACACAGGCTCCAGCCTCAAAACAGTCGAGCGGAATGTGGAAGATGATTATATCGCCAACCTCCGGAACAACTGCTGGAAGGAGAAGCAGCAGAGTGAGTGTGGGGGGAAGGCGGGGGCTGTATTTGGGAGGTGGCTTGGGATGAAGCTGGAAAGCAGGGGAAGGAGAGAGCCCTGCTCACCCTGTGCTCTGAGGGCCCAGCCCCTGGCACTGCCCTGCACCAGCCACCTCCCAGACAAGAGCTGGTCTCCACTCCTGTGTTTCTCCGGGGCTGGGAGCCAGGGGCCACCTGGTAGTTTCCTCAGGTTCCCGTAAATCACTGCCATCAGCCCAGCATGTTGGCTGCCAGAGGTGAGTGTGTAGAGATGGACTGGAGCGGATGGATCCCTGGCCACCCCCTGACTGTGCTCCTGGATCTGTCTGTGGGACCCTGGGGAGGCCTGACCAGGATGACAGGGTCTCACCTTGGCTGGCCTCACTGCATTCTAGAGAAAGGCGCCTCTGTCACCCTCGCCCACATAAGGACTGTAGTCTCTGCTCCTCCATGGTCTTCCTAATGGGAGGCCAGCCCTGCCCAAGCCCCGGGCATGTACCAGCTTTCCTCCGCCCTCCACAGCCCTCGCAGGCTTCCTTGCAGGCTTCGGGAGGTACTGGGTGTGCACTAACCCTGTCCCATTGCTTTGCAGAGGAAGGCTTGCTGTACCGGGCACGCTACTTTGGCGACACAGATATGTACCACAGAGCACAGAAGATGGGCACCCCCAGCTGCAGCCGACTGTCAGAGGTGCAGGCCTCCCTGCATGGATAGTCCTGGGCCAGCCACACCACCGAGGTCCAAGTATGAGCCAGGGCTGCCTCCACCCTGCAACTCCTGGCAGCTTTGGCCCTGGTCATGAGCAGAGGAGGGAGGGGGAGAAAGGGAGGAAGCCTGGTGATTGTGGCAAAGACTCCTGTCCCCAGCCTGACCTCCAGCCTCCAGAGACCGAGCAGCTGTGGGGCCTGCTGGGAAACCAAGGTCGGTTTCCGCCCTCTAGCGATGCTGTCCTCCCCACTCCTCCGCTCTGCTCCCTGGCTCCAGGGGTGTGGGGGACCCCAGAACCAGGCAGAGTGGGAACTTGAAACTGTTGCTGAGGGCCACCCGGGGCTTCTTGGTCCACTCCAGCCATCAGTCAGCACGGCCCTTTCTCCAGCACAGCAGACTATTGTCCGTGCCCTGGTATTTAGGCCATCACATATGGTGGGGCCCAAGAGAGCCCCATATGCACACTGCCTGCCTGATACCAGGAAGAACCATGTGGGAATAGGTGGGCCAAGAGCCCTCCCCTTTCTCCATCCCTCCAGCTAGGAGGAAATGGAGCAAGATGAACAGGCAGCCACGAGGTGGGTGGGAGCTGGCAGTCTTGGTGGCGGCAGGGGCCGCGGGCCCTGACCACCCCCCTCTGGTGGGATCTGAGGCACTCTCTCGAATGCCGTCACACCTGGCAGCCTGGAAGCCACAGGCATCCGGCCTTGCCCAGGCATCTCGCCTGCGGTCTGAGGAAGGGAACAGAAGGTCATGAGTTCAGGGTCAGACGCAGCCGCTCAGCACAGGAGGGGTGGAGGGGAAATGAGAGTTGCTGGTAGCAGGCTCCCTCCTTCTGCAGCCCGGCGAATGGGGGCGCTGGGCTCTGTTCCCAGCGTTTGCCAGAGGTGGCCACTTCAGCCAAGCCCAGAGAAGTGTGGGCAGAAGCAGTGAAGGTTCTTCTCTGTGTGGGTGCCCTGCCCACCCCCTCCTTTGCCTGTGTCCTCCCGGCCTGGATCCATGGCTGACTCTGCCTGGAGGCCATTTGTGCCTGCCTCTGTGCTGCCGCAGGAGGGCAGGCCGCAAGTGGGGTTGGTGGGGGTCGAGCGGGCAGCACGGTGCAGCGGTGCAGTGGCAAGGGGGGCTACTTGTGTGGCATAAGCTAGAGGAGCCGGTGCCGCCTGAATGCCGAGCTAACTGTTGCCACTCTCCTCCCCAGACTATGAAATCCCTGGAGAATTTTTGGTGACATGCACTGAGCCAAGGTGATGGACTGTATATTTGAGGAAAGACAAACAAAGAAACAAAATTAAAATGGAATTGGAGGCCGAACGCTGCACAGCTGCCCTCTCTCTCACCCAGTAAATGCAGAAAGCTCTTAGGACAGACAGAAAACCTGCCATGGGGCTGCTTCCCTCCCTCGCAGGGCTGGCGGAGGCTCCGCATCGCCTCTCTCCTAGGATACAGAAACCATGGCAACGAAAGTAGAATGTAAAACTCGCAGCAGATATCAGTGGGAAGGGCTGGGGGAGGGGGCACCCAGCTGCCTTTCCTCCCTCACAGGAGCCACCACCAGCCACCTCTCAGGAGAAGCCAGAGGCCCTGGCCAAAGATAGGAGGAAGAAAGAGAACTCTCCATAGAATGTAATTTATAGATGCGTGTATATGTATATATATCTATTTATATGTAAATAGGCATATATGAAGATATATATATATATAGTCTACTTTTTAAACTCTGCAGGGATTTGGTTAAGTTGTTGAGCTGATTTCTTCCATGTTTTAGAAAATGAGGCCTGTTTGGGGAAGGTACCCTGGTGATGTTTTTGCTAGACATTAGCTGTAGCTGACAGCATAAGGAGAGTCGCATCAGAGCTTTTCACAGCCCCCCGAAACCCCAGCCTGGTTTTGATGGCAGCAGTAATCATGATAGTGTGAACCCGCGAAGGCCTCAGGATTATGGTTAACCTGGAGAGGAGCAGGCCATGGAGGCAGGTGCCAGGTCAGTATTGAGTCACAGTAGAGGCCCCACAAGGACCTGCTTGGGTGAGACCACCTCTCCCCTCTCAGCAGCGCTGGTGGGCTCTTTGTCCTGGTGCCCAGGAGCCCTCCAGCCCCCTGCCCACAGAAGGGAAGGCCTGCAGAGGGGGCCAGGATCTACCTAACCATTTCCCCACCCCTAAGTCCCTCAGTGGGCTTTGCCTTATAGGTGCCACAGGGCACAGCTCCATCATTGCCACTGGTTTTTCCTAAGTCATGCACCAAGGACTTCAGAAAGTTCTTCCTCCGAGTCAGTCAGTGGTGCCGGGACCCCAGGGCAGCCTCCTCGACTCCTGAAGAAAAGGCAGTGCCCGTGGCTGCCTCTGTCTTCACTCGCTGTTGATGTGACCGCCAGGCCTCCTCTCGTACCTTGGACAAAGGATACACCTGAACCAGAATAGTTTTCTTACCCTCACATTGAAATGAGGATTTTGCTTAAAACAGCACTTGCCGCCAGTGGGAGGAGGGAGGTTTTATTTATTCCCACAGTTTCTCCTGGGCCTTCTGGAATGACCATGTTTTCCTGTGGCGGTGGGTGTGTCATTGCGCCCGCCGTCTTCCAAAGCCTTACTTCCCCAAGCTGCCAGCCAGGAGGTGATAACCACCCTCCCAGAGTTTCTCTCGGCTCTTTTTTTAAAAGTCCCCCAACAAATAGGATTCTTGCTGGGAAAGGAAGTTCGGTAAGGAAATGTCAAATCTGGTTTTTAAACAAGGTCCAACCCTGCAATGAAGCAGCCACTTCAGCCCAGAGAGATTATAAGAACTGATGTGGCCAGAGTGCCTACCCACTGTGGCCCCGGTGCTCTGCCCCCACGCCCCGACCATCTGGTCTTGGTAGATGTCCCTAGACGGGCTGAGCCATGTGCAATAAGAACATAGATCCTAAAGGATCCTCTGGAAGCTGTATTTCTTGAATTAGAATTCTCAAATTGTACATCTGTTAATATATGTTTATTATGTGACTGGCCGTGGTGGGTCTGCATTGAGCAGGGAGGCCTAAGGGGTGGGGGGGAGGGGGCACAAGCCCCTGCTGCTGCTGACACTGTCCAGCCTGTGCCACAAGGAGCTCTAGATGATGAGCCTGAATTTCCCCCGACCCCTGGCCCTGGCTAACAGCCACTTAAGCCACACATGCTGTTCCAGAACTAACTCCATCCAGGCAGAGGGGTGCTCAGGTGACTGGGGGGCTGCAGGACCTGAGCAGTCTGGGTCCCTGGGGTCCCCAGCGCCAGTCCTGGCTGGGCATCTGGGCCACGACCATCACCCTCTGCTTTTCCCTCTCCCAATCCCTCCCCCCCACACCCTCAGGCCTGCCATGTGCCCGCAGAGCATTCGAAATTCCCGGCCCCAGCCTGGAGCTCGATCCCACTCAGGAGCCAGATCCTGGGAAAAGTGTTGCGAGTTTGTTTCCATCGTCCTTCCCACCATCCTCCCCCAAACCGCCCCCGCAGCCCGCCCTCCTCTCCAGGAGGTTGAAAAAGTTTAAAATGTGGCAGCCCAAGTCGGGTCGGGCTCCTGTGAATGGAGCGGCAGATCTGCCCAGGCCTCCCAGAGACAGGGCCCGGCAGCCCTGACTGGCGGACCCAGGCCCCTCCCGCGGCTGCACCAGCCAAAGACAGGCGGGCTGCCCAGTGGTGCCACCGTGGCCCGGGAGCTCATTGGCTGCCCCTGCCCAGGGTCACCACTGCCTGCCCTGGTGTGCAAGCCGCCACTTGTTAGCTGCGGTTGGCAGAGGCGTTGCAGGCACCCCCATTCACCCACCTCATCCCCCCTGCCCTCCCTGTGTGGCTTGGCCGTGAGCCAGAGGAGGTGGGATGCACGCTCTGACTGCAGCAAAAAAGGCTTTGACAAGTGTCCCCCACCCACTGTCAGGTGGCAGAACGCGCCACTGCATCCCAGCTCCCTGGCTCCACTAGCTTATAGCCTTGTCCCTTGCTGCTCCCAGGTCCAGAGAAAAAAAAACTGCTCCAGGGACAAGGAGCACACACCCGACCTGCCTGTAACCTCATCCCCACCCCACATTGCCCAGACAAAGTCACCTGGCGTCTGGAGCAGGCACACAGCCATGCCAAGAATCAGGTAAATAGACTGTTGACATGGTTCAGAAGCAACCCAGCGTCCCTACCAGACATCACGCCATGTGACATGAGCAAGTCAGCTCATTTCCCAGAGCAGGAAACAGGCTTGGGGGAGGAAAGTGGCGCCCAGGGTCTTGAAGAAACTGTGCCTGTCTCTGGGGTCCTTGTAGCAGAGTGGTCATTCTACAAACAGTTGCTGAGCCCAAATTTGCTGCACTCAGGGAAATCAAACCCACTGGTGTCAGGTAGAGTGGGCAGAAGACCCGAGTCCAGGAGGGTGGAAAAGGATGAAAAGGCCACACTGAGGATGGTGGCACTTCATCTGATGGGCTTGGCCTAGGGAGCAGCTGCCCATTCCAGTAGGTGTCTCCTGGCAGTGACACGGGCATCCATCTGGCTGCACCAGGAAACGTCATCCCCAGGAGGCAGCCTCGCAGCCCCCACGGGGGCTGAGGCTGGATCTTTGCCATTTACTGACTGGGTGACCTTGGGTGTCCCTGAAGGAGTTCAGGAAATGCCACCCCAAAATCTGCCATTTTGGTGTGCTGATTACTTCAAACTGGGGGCACTTGAGCAACAGCAAGTGCAGGAAGGGCTTTCTCTGAAGTTGCCTCATCTGCCTAAGTTGTCCTGAACTCCCTCCTGGAAATCTTACCTACCAAGGAGGATTGACTCATTGACAACAACTGCCTATTATTCTTGGGGCTGCTCAGACAACTGTTAAGACCTGAGAGACTGACTTTTTTTTTTTTTTTGAGATGGAATCTCGCTCTGTCACCCAGGCTGGAGTGCAGTGGCGCAATCTCGGCTCACTGCAAGCTCCGCTTCCCGGGTTCACGCCATTCTCCTGCCTCAGCCTCCCGAGTAGCTGGGACTACAGGTGCCTGCCACCACGCCCGGCTAATTTTTTTGTATTTTTAGTAGAGACAGGGTTTCACTGTGTTAGCCAGGATGGTCTCGATCTCCTGACCTCGTGATCCGCCCACCTCAGCCTCCCAAAGTGCTGAGATTACAGGCATGAGCCACCATGCCTGGCCGAGACTGACTTTTTATCTGCATAACGAGACAACTTTTGCTCACCATGCAGTTCCTCCCCTCACCCTCCCAAACTTGCATTGCCATCACCCACCAGAAGCTCCCAGCCCGTTTTTTTTTTTTTTTTTTTTTTGGTTTTTTTTTTAAGGTACAAAGGTTATCCTGGACCCCAGTTCCTTTTCTGTAGCTCAAGATGTGATCTTTCTTGAAATTGCATATTTTGTGGGGCTCCCATGCCTATGTACGTAATTAAATATGATTTTTCTCCTGTTAACCACTTTATCTGTCCATGTAATTCCTAGCACAGTCAAAGACCCTAGAAGGGTGGAGGGAGCCAGTTTTTGCTTTCCTGTGTCATTTGACTGCCCTTTGCCTCAGTGTCTTCATCTGCAAAATGGGAGTGATACAAACACCTACCTCATAGGATGGTTGTGAGGAGTAAACAAGTTACCACATATAAAGCACTTAGAACAGTGCCTGGTACATGGCGAGTGCCATTTGGGTGTTTCTTGTTTGTCCTTAGTGGACAAAGATTAGCTGAGCAATGACTGGGTGTCAAGTCCCATTCCAAGCAGTGAAAGCTCCAAGGTGACTGAGACGAGGACTGCCCTTGAGTAGAAACCCTGGGAGCGGAGCAGTTGTGAAGGCTCTAGCCAGGGACTCTTGATAGAGGAACTGGCGTTTGTGAAGGAGGTGGGTACAGGCAGTACTGGGGTGGGGGTGGAGTGGGTGCTCCAGCATGAGCAGAGGCCCGGAGGCCGGAGAGTGCAGAAGTGAGCGCATTTGGGAGCAATGCCCAGGCCAGGCCCCCAGTCTGTACCTGTCATCATGCCAGGCCCACCCAGTGGCCTTGGGCAGAGAACTTTCCCAGGCATGAATGAGAGACACTGAGCTTCTCCACTCCTGGCTGCACCCTGTCCACTCAGCAATTCACTCAGCAAGCATTTCTGAACCTTTCTTGGTGGCCTGCCTGCCCTTAGGGAGGCTGCAACTAACTCTATAAGCTGAGAGAAGGCCATGTGGTGGAGGGGGTAACAGGGCAGACAGGACTGTCACTCCCGCCCCAGACCCTTGTAAGGAGATATTTCCCTAGGGACAGGGCCTGGACCTCCTGTCACTCTCACAGCCACTTGGGCATGAAATAAAGGTCCAGGGCTCAGGCAGGAAGAGGGGCAGGCGGGCAGGCGCTCTCTAGGACCCCACGGCTAGTCTGCCCAGAGCCCGGGAGTTGGGGCTTTGCTTGGGGAGGGGAGGGCCTGCCACATTTTGTCCACCTTCCCCACCCTCCTACCAATTTGGTCTAAACAAAGTCCCTAGGGAGGGAGGGCAGGGCTGCTCCCTGGCTGGATTTTTCCTTGAGGAGGCAGGGTGCAGCTCCCCACTGGAGCCCGTGCTAGTCAGAGCAGGGATCAGGCTAGGGCCTGCAGGGACCCCAGCTGGCAGTCCCACTACCTCGACTGGATTATTCTCATTTTCCTGATGGACTCAGATGAGGAGGCCTGAGAGACAGGTGCCTGGCAGCACAGGAGGATGCAGCGGGCTCCTTCAGATGGAGAAAGTGGGGCCAGAATGGAGCTGGCCAGGCCCGGCCTCATTCCCCCACACTGACAGCCCAAAACCTCCCCTGCACTCCTCCTGGCCCCACATACTGTGCAGGGCCCTCCCACCCTGACTGCAGCCTGCGGAGCCCCTCCCTCCACCGTGGAGCCCTGCTACCCGGGTTCCCTTCTGCCTGAGGTTCCTCTCACCCCTCAGGGCCCAACCTCCTGCCACCTCCTCAGGGAGGTCTGGCCTGGCCCTTTTGGGCCTCTCACATCCTGTTCTGGAGGTATTTGTGTAGTTCTTAGGCAAAGGCTTCCCTGGAGAAGAGGTTCAGGGCTGCAGCCCCAGGGCCTGGGCACCACAACCTGGGGTCTCCATGGGAGGCTGAGTGAAGGAAGGGCCCATCAGCACTGAGGCACTGTCCCCACCTGCAGCATTCCCAGCCTCGCCTACTCCTCTGCCCAGGGTCACCCTAGGGAGCTGCTTTGCAGCCATAAACCCACACCCTGGCTGGGGGACACTTCTCCCAGATCTTAGAGGGCTTAGACCCAGGGCCATCAGCCACGGTGTGCATCCAGCTGGACGGTGGCTGGAGGCAGCAGTCGCTCATGGGACGGGCACTGGGCGGGGGCTTTTTCCTTTTCCTGCCTCCGGGGGGAAGCAGAGTCCTGCTGATCCTGCTGAAAAGGCCCCAGGTCTCCTCTCCCTGCGTAAGGACAAATGTAGCAGGGGCCAAAATGAGAATCACAAACATTGGTCATTGAGAGGAGTGCGGACTCCTGTCCGAAGAGGTCACCACCCCAAGGGGTAGAGGAGGAGGCTCTCTCCAGCACTCAGGCCAGCCACTCCTGGAGTCAGACCCAATTCTGTCCCCGGCCGCCCCAGTGCTGCCCTGGCCACAAGCCCTGGAATCACCTCTGGCAGGCTCTGCCATCTGCTGGCTGCCAGCCCATGGCCTGCGTGCAGAAGGTGGCATCGTGGGCCCTAATTTTGCTTCCAGCCACAAGTCAAACAAGCCAGCTACCACCACTGCAGGGGCCACATGGGCAGCAAGTGTGTCCATGGTGTTCAGGCTGTGAGTGACAGGCCTTGGGAGGCCACCGCAGGTGCTCAGAGCTGCTTCTCTGTGGATGTCTTTAGTCCTCAGTCTCTCTCTGGTCCCACCTTGGCATGGAAGCACTGAGCCCAAAGATCGGAGTTCCAGCCTCCGCCATGGACACGCTAGGCCAGGAGGCACTTTTCATCTGTATCATTTACTTATAAAATCTTATTATCGGCTGGGTGAGGTGGCTCACGCCTGTAATCCCAGCATTTTTCGAGGCCGAGGCGGGTGGACCAAGAGGTCAAGAGATCGAGATCATCCTGGCCAACATGGTGAAACCCCGTCTCTACTAAAAATACAAAAATTAGCTGGGTGTTGGTGGCACATGCTGGTAGTCCCAGCTACTCAGGAGGTTGAGGCAGGAGAATGGCTTGAACCCAGGAGGCGGAGGTTGCAGTGAGCCGAGATTGTGCCACTGTACTCCAGCCTGGCAACGGAGTGAGACTCCGTCTCAAAAAAAAAAAAATCTTATTATAGGCTAGGCGTGGTGACTCACGCCTATAATCCCAGCACTTTGGGAGGCTGAAGCAGGTGGATCACTTGCGGTCAAGAGTTCAAGACCACCCTGACCAACACAGCGAAACCTGTCTCTACTAAAAATACAAAATTACCAGGTGTGGTGGCGCACGCCTGTAATCCCAGCTACTCAGGAGGCTGATGCAAGAGAATCACTTGAACCCAGGAGGCGGAGGTTGCAGTGAGCCCACGCCCTTGCACTCCAGCCTGGGCAACAAGATCGAGACTCTGTCTCAAAAAAAAAATCTTATTATAATTATCATCCCACAGACCTCACTAGTTCAGTCACTAAGGATGTCAGCCTCTGTCAGCCACTGAGTTTATAGGTGTCAGCCCTGCTAGCCTTGTGTCCGGAATTGGTGGGTTCTTGGTCTCACCGACTTCAAGAATGAAGCCACGGACCCTCGCGGTGAGTGTTACAGCTCTTAAGGTAGCGCGTCTGGAGTTTGTTCCTTCTGATGTTTGGATGTGTCGCGAGTTTCTTCCTTTTGGTGTGTTCGTGGTCTCGCTGGCTCAGGAGTGAAGCTGCAGACCTTTGCGGTGAGTGTTACAGCTCTTAAAGCGGCACATCTGGAGTTGTTCGTCGCTGGCTTCAGGAGTAGAAGCTGCAGACCTTTACAGTGAGTGTTGCAGCTCATAAAAGCAGCGTGGACCCAAAGAGTGAGCAGTAGCAAGATATATTGCAAAGAGCGAAAGAACAAAGCGTCCACAGTGTGGAAGCAGACCCCAGCAGGTTGTCACTGCTGGCTCGGGCAGCGTGCTTTTATTCTCTTATCTGGCCCCACCCACATCCTGCTGATTGGTAGAGCCGACTGGTCTGTTTTGACAGGGCGCTGATTGGTGCATTTACAATCCCTGAGCTAGACACAAAGGTTCTCCACATCCCCACCAGATTAGTTAGATACAGAGTATGGACACAAAGGTTCTCCAAGGCCCCACCAGAGTAGCTAGATACAGAGTGTCGACTGGTGCATTCACAAACCCTGAGCTAGACACAGGGTGCTGATTGGTGTGTTCACAAACCTTGAGCTAGATACAGAGTGCCGATTGGTGTATTTACAATCCCTAAGCTAGACATAAAGGTTCTCCACGTCCCCACCAGACTCAGGAGCCCAGCTGGCTTCACTCAGTGGATCGTGCACCGGGGCTGCAGGTGGAGCTGCCTGCCAGTCCCGCGCTGTGGGCCCGCACTCCTCAGCCCTTGGGTGGTCGATGGGACTGGGCGCTGTGGAGCAGGGGGCGGCGCTCATCGGGGAGGCTCGGGCCGCACAGGAGCCCATGGAGGGGGTGGGAGGCTCAGGCATGGCGGGCTGCAGGTCCCGAGCCCTGCCCCTCAGGAAGGCAGCTAAGACCCGGTGAGAAATCGAGAGCAGCGCCGGTGGGCTGGCACTGCTGGGGGACCCAGTACACCCTCCGCAGCCGCTGGCCCGGGTGCTAAGCCCCTCATTCCCCGGGGCGGCAGGGCCGGCGGGCTGCTCCGAGTGCGGGGCCGCCAAGCCCACGCCCACCCGGAACTCTAGCTGGCCCGCAAGCGCCGCGCGCAGCCCGGGTTCCCGCTCGCGCCTCTCCCTCCACACCTCCCTGCAAGCTGAGGGAGCCGGCTCTGACCTTGGCTAGCCCAGAAAGGGGCTCCCACAGTGCAGCGGTGGGCTGCAGGGCTCCTCAAGTGCCACCAAAGTGGGAGCCCAGGCAGAGGAGGCGCCGAGAGCGAGCGAGGGCTGTGAGGACTGCCAGCACGCTGTCACCTCTCAGCTTGACCCATGTCAACTTTGTATAAACACCCCACTGGGGGGGCCGGGGCCCCTCCCGGACCCGGCCTCACCCCAGGATCCCAAGCCCAGGCCTCTGCTTTCAGGACCCTGGGCCCAACATCCGCCCACTCCCTGCCAGCCTGGCTGCGGTGGGGTGGTATTGGAGCCTGGAGGATCGAGTTTCATGTCCTGCAGCTGCCCATATTATTAGCTCTGGAGGGGCAGCCGGGGCTGTAACACAATTCAAGGAACTGTTGACTTGGCTCGAGTTTCCAGCTCAGCAGCTGGGAGGGACGCGTGGAGTGGGGAGCAGGGACCTCTGGCTCCTCCCAACCCCCAGTGCCTGTTGTGAGAGCTAGAGAAGACTGCTAGATGACCGACTGAGTCCCTCCGGGCGCCATTGATGTCAGTACGGGCACTGGGGACTCTCTCACGGCCCTTGGGCGACCCCAGCCAGCTGCCTGGCTGCTGGCCTCCTCCCATACCTGTTTGTGCAATCTCGGCCTCCTCCTCTACCCACTGCCCCTGGCCGGAAGGTGATGGGGAAATGGGTAGCCCTACTCCTCAGCCTGGAAAAGGACGCCCCAGACCCCCAGCAGAAGAAGGAAAGTCCCCCTCCTCTCCGCCTCCCTCATCGACTCCTGCCTCTTTCTGTTGCTGGTGTCTGCAGGTGCCAGCACCCCCGGAGTAAGCCAGGGAAAACCTGGGCCTGGGCCAGGGCCCCAGACTGTGGCTCCAGGAAAGGACCTGGGCTCCTGTCCAGGCACCCAGCCCTGCATCCACAGGGGTATCAGTAACCAGCCTCCTAAGACCCCTGAGCCCCTCCCTTGTCTGCCAGTGGGAGTCACACCTTCCTGCATGCTGTTGGGGACTGAACATCCTACACACACCTGGAAGTGCCCCACAGGGTTGGCCATTGCATAGAAAGTTTTGGCCCGGTCCCTTCCCTGAGAAGGGACAAGGGACCTGTGGCCCTACTGAACTCTGCATAACAGACCTCACTGTCAGCAGAAACCAGCGATTAAGAATTTGAAGATTTTGGCCGGGCTCGGTGACTCACGCCTGTAATCCCAGCACTTTGGCAGGCCGAGGCGGGTGGATCGCCTGAGGTCAGGAGTTCAAGACCAGCCTGGCCAACATGGCGAAACCCCATCTCTACTAAAAATACAAAAAAAAAAAAAAAAAAAAAAAAAATTAGCCAGGCGTGGTGGTGGGCGCCTGTAATCTCAGCTACTTGGGAGGCTGAGGCAGGAGAATTGCTTGAACCCAGGAGGCAGAGGTTGCAGTGAGCCAAGATTGTGCCACTGCACTCCAGCCTGGGCGACAGAGCAAGACTCTGTCTCAAAAAATAATAAGGAAGGAAGGAAAGAAAGAGAGAAAGAATTTGAAGATTTCAGCACGGAATGGATAGTACCAGAACATGCTGGGCTTGGGGTCTAATTACTGGGCTGCCTGGAGAAGGCAACAAGGACAACATCCTTGTCCTGAAGGCATAAATCACAGAGTGTTAGAGGCGGCAGGCTGTGAAGACGGGTTCTCAAACTGTGTCCCCAGAGCCCTGGGCCCCCAGGGGTGTGGGGTAAGAGTGGGAGGGCCCCCGGGGCTCCAGCCCACCCGTCTCAGTCACCCGCTGTTATCTCTTGTTTAGTGCAGGTGGAATTGTGACTGAAGAAGGGGTTCCATGGCCAAAATAAATATTTAAAAAACAGACCCCTAATCTACCCCCACGATCTCACCACTGAGGAAATCGAGCCCCAGAAAAGAGAAGTGACTTGCCAAGGTCGCCCAGCTCAGCGGTGTCGGAGCTGCTGCCTGGGACACAGACCATCCCCCCGCCCCAACCCTGGGCTGTGGACCGTGGATGAGGAGGACAAAGGTGGGCCGGGGGTGCAGGCTGTCCCCAGCAAGGTCTGGGCCTCAGCCACGGCTCCCCTGACCTAACCCCCTAGGGCAGGCCTCAGGGCCAGGAGCTGGGTTGTCCCTGAAGGCAGCCCCAGACCCTGATCTAGGAGGGCAGCGGAGTCCTCTGTCCACTTCTCTGAGCAGCCGAGAGTTCTCCAGGTTGTCACCCTGGCGAGGCCTCTCCAAGTAACCAACAAGCCCTGCCAGCCTGCCAGTTAGCCATCGCCACACTGTCTCCCATTCCTCCTTGCAAGTACCCGACAGTCTGCAGACCTGGGGCCAAGCTTACCTGAGGCACATCCTGGGCTCCTGTCATTATTTCCTGCTGTTCCTGGTTGCCTCCCCCTGCCCTGCCCTATGTGGGTAGGTGCCCTTCCTCTCCCAGCCCCAGCCTCTGCTAACCTGTCCACCCAACCCCATGTTGACAGGCCCCTATCCTCCCTGGCCAAAGTGGCTCACAGGTCTTCCAGCCTGCCCCGGGGCTCTGGGTTCTCACACAGCCCAGCCCAGCCTCTTTCCAGTTGAGATGGACAAGGTGATGCCCTGACCTGAGAGAGCAAGCTGGCCAGGGGCTGGGTCCTGCGGCCCTGACTAGGTGAGACTCCGTCAGGAAACCAAAACAAGCTCCCCACACCTGCCCTCTCGCTAGGATATACCTTGCAATGCAGCACCAGGGTGGCCAACCGTCCTGACTTGCCTAGGACTCTCCTGGTGAGCACTGAGAGTCCCGAGTCCCCAGAAACCCCTCAGATCTGGGCATTCTGGGACAGCTGGCCACTCCACTGGGACACACATCCCAAGGGTCATCACACCTTTCCTGTCCCCACTGAACCAGGTATTTTTTCTTTCCATAACACTGGTCACTCACAAAGACAGGGTGGGGCCACAGGCAGTCCCCTTCGCCTGTCTGGCTCCCTCAGACTGGGCTGAGGCCGGCCACAGGCCCACAGTGCAGTCCGAGGCCTGATGAGGTCTGCTGAGTTGAGCAGAGGCTCCACAGTCCATCAGAGACCCAGGCCTGTTAGGTCCTGTGAGATGGAGAATGGAGGAGCCCAAGAAAGGCCCTGGGCTCCATCCCAGCCCTGTGTTGTCCCCAGGTTGGGGCAGGCCTGAGGTGATCCCAGGAAGGCAACCCCAGCGTAGGAACCAGGCCTGCCCGGGGCCCACTGAGGCTGCCTCTACCTGTCTGGGCTTGAGGTGAGTCACTTCCTCCCTCAGCTGGTATGTGATGGGGAGGGGAGGGTTGGGGAGGGGACAGCATCTAAAAATAGCAGGGCCTAGACTGGTGGAAGATGCCCGAAGAGCTTCCCCTTGGACCAGGGAGGACCTGGCTTCCCATGGAACCGCCATCAGCCACAGCCCCCACCAGGCCCTGCGTTAGGCCAGGGAGGGAGATGGCCAAGACCTCCCCCACCCTTGCTTCTCAGGCTCAGAGCCCCCTTGAAGGCTGAGTCTCAGGAGCAGCGCCGGATGGGGTAGGAGCTTGGAGAGAGAAGGCCTCCAGCAGACAGTACTCGTTCATTCCCCTCCCTGTGCACGCACACAGATGCACGCACACAGAGACACAGGCACGTACCCTCGCCCAGCCCGGCTTCATGAGTCATCTCCCTCATGCCAGGACTCATCTCCCTGGTCAGCAGGGTGGACTGAGGACCCACTGTGTGCTTGAGCCACACCCTGGAAGACAAGGAAGCCATGCTCATGACCGTCCCTGGCCTCGGGGACTCCACATCATAAGAGGCCACTCAGGAAAGAGGAGAACACCCAGGGCAAAAGCAAGAGGCAGGCAGGGGGTGTGTGGTGGATGAGCTGGAGTCCGGAAGACCTGGTTTCAAATCCTGGCACTCACCCTTTCTAGCCATGTGACCAGACAAGCTATTTGACTTCTCCTGCCTCCGCTTCCATCTATATAATGGATGCCACGTATGGCCCTCGTCATATGTCAAATACAATCATGCATATAAAGTCCCCAAGCAAACAGAGCTCTTGCCATCAAAGCTTATGGTATCAGGCTAGAAACCTTGGGGGCGGGGGCACTTTGAATATGTCAGTAGACCTTTCTATCCCAAGGACTTACTGTGACATTCCACCTGGCCCCACCTGTGATAGGGAAAGGGGGAGGGGAGGGGAGGGAGAGGAGCTGCCGCTCACAACAGTGCTGGCCTCTACTGTGAACACTTGATATCGTTCTCATTTTCCCCCAGCCTCACAACAGCTTTACAAAGTAGGCATCGCTATCCCCATTTCACAAGTGGAAAAATGGAGACCCAAAAACATTCAATCACCTGCCCAAGGTCATGCAGCTGGCCTGGGGCAGACGCCAGACTGGGGCCCAGATCTGAGTGTGATCTCCTTGTGCACTGTGGGATGAGGCGGGGTCTGTCATGCCTGGGGTCGGCTGAGGGTGCAGGGGTCTCTGACTCTTTTGGGAGGAGCCCCTAGAACCCCCTGCCTGAGGTGACTATGGAATATGCTGAGCCTTTGGCCAGGGCTGCCTTCCTCCTGTCTGGTCCCACCTCCCCCACCCGGACCCCCCCGGCCAGCCCTCAGACCCCTCCCAGAAACACGGAAGGGCTCCACTCCCTCTGGGAGTTACCACCTTCACTTCCAACTTCAGCTAGGTGAGGGAGGTACTGCAACCCCTGAGTGACAGAAAAGGCAGCCGGATCAGAGGGGTCAGGAACCTGCTGTCATGCTCGCAGAGCTGGGGAAGCAGAGCCTGGACAGAGCCCCAGCTGCTCAGACTCCTAAGCTGCCAGTCTGGATCCCACACCCCGGCTGTCGGGTAGGGTTGGGGACTTCTCTGCTCCCCCTGCTCCTCACGCTTCCCGGAGCCATCCCTGTTTGTACCGGCTGGGGTTACATGCAAAGTGCAAGCCTTGCATCAGCCAGATGGGCCCCGCTCTAGTAAGAGCTGCTTTCTGCCTCTCTGCGCCTTCCCCACCGTTATCTGACTCATCCCCTGACAGTCCCAGGAGACTAGAGAGAAGCCAGGCCTCTTATCCCTATTGCACAGATGGAGGGACTGAGAGAGGAAGTGACCTACTCCAGTGACTCAGGGCAGCAACCCAGGCTGAGGAGGCCACAGGTGTAGCTGGTGTGGCCTGGGGAAAGTTCCCGGGTGCCACACAGCCAGATAAGCAGTTTTTAATGCCTCACAGCAGGCACAAATATCAACCGATGTGTGTCAAATGAACGAAGGAATATTGCAGGCCCTGGGTGAAAGATGAGGGGTGATATTGAGGAAAAAATAAATATGATACAGGGAAGGAAAAAAGAAGCCGGAAACCCAGACATGCCCCAGTTGCAGCCTGTGAGCCCAGCTGGCTTTGTAGCTCCCAGTTCCCTTCTCTTTAAGAATCTTCATGGCTATCACTTACTGGGTGAGTGCTAGTGACTCTGATATAACACTTTGTAGCCTTTTTTTTTTTTTTTTGAGACCAGGTCTCACACTGTCGCACAGGCTGGAGTGCAGTGGCGTGATCTTGGCTCACTGCAGCCTTGACTTCCTGGGCTCAAGGGATCCTCCCACCTTGGCCTCCCAAAGTGCTGGTATTACAGGAGTGAGCCACCACACCCGCCCCTATAGCCTCTATCTTATTTCATCCTGACAACAACCCAGTGATGCTATCATCCTCCCCATTTAACAGATGAGTTATCTGAGGCTCAGAGAGGTTACACAGTTCTTGCTCCAGCCGGCACGGGACCACATTCCAGGGGCTGACTTGCAACTGCTCTCCAAACCCGGCAGGGCAGATGTGCCCCTGCGCGTGCGATACCCACGTGGGGCTGCCCAGGTGTGTCTGCGGGTTGGCACCAGCTCCTGGTATCTGTCAGAGCAGTGAGGGGGTGGTGCGACAGGAGCGGAACCGAACGCCAGTGGCCGGGATGGATAATGAGCCAGGGCGCCTGGGCTGCAAGGGGGCTTGGGCACGCGGGCCTACCCGTGTGCGCAGGCCCTGGGCGCCCCCCGCACCGGGCGCCCTCCCCGAAACCCAGCCACGACTGCGGAACTGGGGGCGGGGCCAATGCTGGAGGCAGGGCCCGCCGGCGCCGGGCTCCCACCCCCCAGCGCCCGCTGACAACCCGCGGCGCGTTGCCAGCGATTGCCCCATCAGGCCGCATCCGCTTTCGCAGCCCTGCACGTTGTGCACACAGCGCGCCGGCCTGGGCGGGGCTGCTTGTCCCCGGCCCCCTGCCCCCCACCCGCGGCCCTCGCCCGGCTGCCTTCTGCCCCGGCTGAGACCCGGGCCAGACTGAGTCCCTAGCGGCCCATTACCCCGCCGGGCTCGTCCCAGACACCTTTGATGGCTGCCCTTTGCCCCGTCTGGTCTGAGCGGACAAACGAGGGAAATTGAGTAAGCCAGCTCAGCAAGACAGGAAACTCCTGGCCGCTTTGTTACTCATGATTTTCAGCAACTTGGGGAGTGGGGGGCAGGGGAGGGGAGTCCTAGGGGAATTTCTGTAGTTCAAGAAGTTTGGGGGCTCCAGGACTGGGAGTGCCCTCGGGGAGGTCTACCTCCCGGGGCAGGTCTATTTCCCAGGCCAGGTACCGTAGTTGGCACTAGTAAGTAAGTGCTCCACAAATTCGTGTTAACATGCATTTTCAAGAATGCAATTTATTTAATTTTCAAGTCTTCAGTCCCAGCTACTCCGTAGGCTGAGGCGGGAGGACCCCTTTAGCCCAGGAGGTCAAGGCTGCAGTGAGCTACGATCTTGCCACTGCATTCCAGCCTGGGTGACATAGCTAGACTGGTCTCAAAAAAAAAAAAAAAAAAAGGCATTTTCTCACCTACCTGCTTTGAGTGCCTGCCAGAAAGAATCTCCAGGTGAAAGGGGACAGGTTTAGGGCTGGAGCTGAAGGCTGGCATTTGGGGTTTGAGGTTCTGCGTTTGGCATTGGTTTGCTGTTTCACTTGGGCAAATCTCTTGGCCTCTCTGGGCTGCGTTTCTGTAGGGAATCAGTAATAAGGCAACCTGTCTGGCTCTAAGGCTCAGAGGCACGGGGCAGGCTTTGAATTTCCAGCAAGCAGGAGAAAGAGCCTTTGATTTGAAGCAGAGATTTCCTCTTGAACATTAATATTCTGGGCTTTTCCAGGCTGGAGCTTTAGAACCGCTGTTACTAAACTAAGTGACATGAGTAGCCCCCCGTTGCTTACAGAATTTCTTGGCTTGGCATTTGGGGTTTTCTCACGTTGATTCTACCCTGCCTGTATGGCTTAACCCCCAACTACACCCCTACACTGTAATTAGGAAGAGCCTCAGACTTCCCCACACACCCCACACAATGTTCAGACTTCTGTGCCCTCACTCATGCTGTTCCTTCTGCCCGGAATGCTTTTCCCTACACTCTTCAAATGATTGGCTCTTTCTCATATTGATCCCCACATAAATGTTACTTGAGTAGAGATCCT
This sequence comes from Homo sapiens, assembly GCF_000001405.40. Lineage (NCBI taxonomy): Eukaryota > Metazoa > Chordata > Mammalia > Primates > Hominidae > Homo > Homo sapiens. The sequence goes on along the minus strand of NC_000010.11, from coordinate 72,318,457 downwards.
GTTATTAACTCTCAGAGCTTCCTGTTTTCTCTCTTTAGCTCTTACTGCAGTTCAGAATTCGAAGTTGCTTTCTCCACCGGGCTGAAAGGTCGATGAGGGAGAGATCATGTCTGTTTTCCTCATCTCCACATACCCAGCACTTACCAAGGTGCCTGGCATACACTAAGAGATCAATAAATATATATGGAAAGGGGCCGGGCGCAGTGGCTTATGCCTGTAATCCCAGCACTTTGGGAGGTCGAGGCAGGCAGATCACCTGAGGTCAGGAGTTGGAGACTAGCCTGGCCAACGTGGTGAAACCCTGTCTCTACTAAAAATACAAAAATTAGCCGGTTGTGGTGACACGTGCCTGTAATCCCAGCTACTTGGGAGACTGAGGCAGGAGAATAGCTTGAATCCGGGAGGCGGAGGTTGCAGTGAGCCGAGATCATGCCATTGCACTCCAGCCTGGATGACGAGCAAAACTCCATCTCAAAAAATAATAATAATAAAGGCCAGGCACGGTGGCTCACACCTGTAATCCCAGCACTTTGGGAGGCCAAAGAGGGTGGATCACAAGGTCAGGAGATTGAGAGCATTCTGGCCAACATGATGAAACCCCGTCTCTACTAAAAATACAAAAATTAGCCAGGTGTGGTGGCGCATGCCTGTAATCCCAGCTACTCAGGAGGCTGAGGCAGGAGAATCTCTTGAACTCAGGAGGCGGAGGTTGCAGTGAGCCGAGATCACATCATTGCACTCCAGCCCAGGCAACAGAGTGAGACTCCATCTCAAAAAATAATAATAATAATAATTAAATAAATAAATAAATATGGAAAGGAGGAAAGAATGAATGATTGATTAGCAAAACATGAAAACATTTTCTAAAAAGATGGGTGGGCATGCATGTATGTAAATAAAGACATAGTTATGTCTGTAAACATAAGAAAAAGTCAAGACAGTATACAACAACCTAATTCCCCGCAAGGAGTAAGATGCAGATTTCTGATGGTTTATTGTATATTCAAGTCTTGCTTAAAGGTCATCTATTCTGTAGGTCTCTGGTCCTGCCTGTGTGCTGTGCTATATCTGAGCATGCTGCCAGGCACCCTGAAGCCAGGCCTGATGCTCCCTCCTGATCCAGTCCTAATGATCCTGCCTGAGGCCAGGCAGAGGGACAGATGGCAGCAGCCCCTCGTGTGCCTGAGTTTGTCCACTGGTGCAGGTGAAAGCAGAGATGGTAAGGACAATGACAGTGCAGGACTGACACCAGGCCACCCATCCCCACCCAGCAGGTGCCATCGCCGCACGTGGCCTTGGGCTATCAGCAGAGCTTCAATGTGACAGGAAGCCTGGCCTCCTGCAAGGCTGGGCCCAGCTGGCTCACTTCCAGGTTCAAGACAGAGCCTCGGCTGTGGGAGGCACAACAGGCAGCTTTTCACTGCTCTCGGGGTGCCTAGGTGAGGGGCAACCTTTTTTTCTTTTTTTTGAGATGGAGTCTCATTCTGTCACCCAGGCTAGAGTGCCATGGCGCAATCTCGGCTCACTGCAGCCTCCACCTTCCAGGTTCAAGCGATTCTCCCACCTCGGCCTCCCAAGTAGCTGGGATTACAGGCAAGCACCACCATGCCCAGCTAATTTTTGTATTTTTAATAGAGATGGGGTTTCACCAGGTTAGCCAGATTGGTCTTGAACTCCTGACCTCAGGTGATCCGCCTGCCTTGGCGTCCCAAAGTGCTGGGATTATAGGGGTGAGCCACTGCGCCTGGTCCTCCAGGAACAACCTTGTGTGAACAAAAATCCTCTTGCCCATTCTGTGTCCCACAGCAGCTCCCGTGAGACCTGGAACAACACGGTTCAGACCAACTGGGCCAGAGGAGAGGAAGGAAGAGTGGCAGAGGGCTCAGGGTCAGATGTCTGAGCTTCTGTTCCCATGGGTGCCTCTCATTATGCTTGTCAGGAAGCAGAAGAGAGTGCAACCTTTGACCTCATCTGAACTAACCCATCTCACCCTGGTTTCTCTTCCCTGACTGTCTCCGAACCTGTTACCCCACTTGGAAAATCAGGGGGTAGTGCAGGGGTGAACCCTCCATTCTGGAATCACCCAGCCTCCAGTGGTTTCAGGTCCACACCCACCAGTTGTGTGACACTGGACAACTGGCTTTGCTCCTGCTCTGCCTCAGTTTCCCCAAAAAATTAGTTAATGCATGGAAAGTGTTTAGAAGAGATCCTCATAGACAGTAAGTGTGTCTGTTCCCTGTAGTGTCAGCTACTAACTGTATGGCTAGGAAAATAACAGTAACTCCCTCATCAGCTGTGCTGAGGATTCCATCAGATCATGTATGTAAAGTGGTTGGCATAAGCACACTTAGTGTTCAGTGTTTACTTGTCTTACTAAAGATCACAAAATGGGGCTACAGATCTTGGTCCCTGAAATGCTGGGGCATGAGCACGGTAGCTGCTGGGGGCTTCCTGGGAAAGGAACACAGGCCTTCCATGTCCCTGGGAGCCACATTGGTCTGATGGTGTTACTGAGTGTTGTGTTGCTGAACTGTCTGCTTAGTCACCTGCCTGCTACCTCAAACACATTTAAACCAACTCCTTCTGGACTGGCTTTCCCAATATACTATCCTGGCACTGTCACAGGCCTAGAGCACTGGGCAAAGTGTCAGACCTGCTGCAAAATACAGTTGGAACTTTATCTGACCCTTGGCTCCTGTCCCAAGCAGAAATATATTGGCAGGAACTTGCAGCAAAGCTGAAGCAAGCCTGGGAGCTGGAGGAGGAAGGTGGCCTGGGATGGCCAACCACATACTCCCCCCACGCCCTCCATCCTTGTTGGCCCCCCTTTTTATTTATACAGTGTTGCTAATTAATGCCATTCTTAGTTATGAAGCCGTGTTACAAACCTAGGGCTTAACTGTGAGCCCTGGATTTGTAGAGAAGGGATGGAAAGAGGGGAAAGAGAACCATTCCCCAAAAACTCAGGGAAGTACACTGCAGAGATTTCCTCTTTCTTCCCTCAGTGTCATTTGGAGCCGACTTTCTGGAGGCCAGGACAATCTTTTGCACAGTGGTGCTGTCCGGAACTCCCCCGAAAGAGCCCATGACAATGGCAGCAGGGACAGCCATGCCAGATTGGAACTTGGCCAGCTATGGAGGGGAGAATGTCTCAGCCTGGGTGTCTCCACCCCAAACCAAGGCCAAGGGCAAAGGCAAACCTCTCTTCCCTCCCGGTTCCATTTGGCAACTCCTGCAGGGAGGTCCCAGGCAAGTCTAGGAGGTCCCAGGCCAGTCTTAACAGGTCTTCCTGCAGGTACTCCTGGAAGGCCATTGTCTTAGAATAAAAGGAATTCCAGGGGCACCTCACCACAAGCACACGTTTGAGCATTCAAAAGAGCTCGAGCTCGTGAGTGAAAGGAAATGAGGAAAAAGAAACAATGTGGCATGACCAGAAAGAGTTCTACATGTTAAGTTGCTTTTTCTTGCTTTCTTTTTTTTTTTTTTTGAGACGGAATTTCGCTCTTGTTGACAAGGCTGGAGTGCAGAGGCGTGATCTGTGCTCACTGCAACCTCCCCTTTCCTGGTTCAAGTGATTCTCCTGCCTCAGCCTCCCAAGTAGCTGGGATTACAGGCGACCACCACCACGCTCGGCTAATTTTTGTATTTTTAGTAGAGACAGGGTTTACCATGTTGGCCAGGCTGGTCTTGAACTCCTGACCTCAGGTGATCCACCCACTTCGGCCTCCTTAAGTGTTGGGATTATAGGCGTGAGCCACTGCGCCCGGCCAAATTGCATTTTCTTTTTTCGTTTTTTCTTAGAGACAGAGTCTCACTGTGTCACCAGGCTGGAATACACTGGTGTGATCAGAGCTCACTGCAGCCTTGATCTCTCACGCTTAAGCGATCCTCCTGCCTCAGCCTCCCTAGTAGCTGGGACTACAGGCATGTGCCACCATGCTCAGCTGATTGATTGATTGATTGATTGATTGAGACAGGGTCTCGGTCTATCGCCCAGGCTGGAGTGCAGTGGCACAGTCTCGCTTGCTGCAACCTTCGCTTCCTGGGCTCAAGTGATCCTCCCACTTCAGCCTCCCAAGTAGATGGGACTACAGGCACTCACCATCATGCTCAGTTAATTTTTAAATCTTTTGTAGAGACGGGGTCTCCCTATATTGCCCAGGGTGGTCTCAAACTCCTGGGCTCAAGTGATTCTCCTGCTTTGGCCTCCCAAAGTGCTGGGATTACAGATGTGAGCCACTGTGGCTGGCCCTAAATTACATTTTTTGAAGGTCCAAAATTCCCATAGCACAGGTAATACTGTCAAGGCCTTAAGCTTGGCTGGACGCGGTGGCTCACGCCTGTAATCCCAGCAATTTGGGAGGCCGAGGCAGGTGGATCATGAGTTCAGGAGATGGAGACCATCCTGGCGACATGGTTAAACCCCATCTCTACTAAAAATAAAAAATATTAGCTAGTTGTGGTGGTAGGTGCCTGTAGTCCCAGCCACTCCGAAGGCTGAGGCAGGAGAATCTCTTGAATCCAGGAAGGGGAGGTTGCAGTGGGCCGAGATTGCGCCACTGCACTCCAGCCTGGGGGACAGAGTGAGACTCCATCTCAGAAAAAAAATAAAAATAAATTAAATAAAAAATAAAAAATCTTAAGCTTTACAGATTTGGAATTCATTAGGTTCAGAATGTTTAAAAAATCAGCCTGGTCAAATTTGAGTATAAACTGGATATGAGATGATATTATGGAACCATTGTTAGTTTTCTCCCATGTGAGAATGGCAATGTGATTATGGAGAGCAGCCTATTCCTAGGAAATTCTCAAGTATGTGACTTCTCAAATGGCTCACCAGGAAAATTTTACACAGATCAAGCAAATGTGGCAAAAACTTAACCAGGCTGGGGCACGGTGGGTGGCTCACGCCTGTAATCCCAGCATTTTGGGAGGCTGAGGTGAGCAGATCACCTGAGGTTGGGAGTTCGAGACCAGCCTGACCAACATGGAGAAACCCCGTCTCTACTAAAAATACAAAATTAGCCGGGTGTGGTGGCACATGCCTGTAGTCCCAGCTACTTGGGAGGCTGAGGCAGGAGAACCGCTTGAACGGGGAGGCAGAGGTTGCGGTGAGCCAAGATCATGCCATTGCACTCCAGCCTGGGCAACAGGAGCCTGGGCAACAGGGCGAAACTCTGTCTCAAAAAAAAAAAAAAAAATCTTACATGGAGAGTAGCTATTTTTACAAAGTTTATTAAGTATTTGTCTGGAAATAATGCTGATCATTGAAAAATCCTTTAAGTTCATGGCCGGGAGAGGACTCGTCTTGGAAACTGGGAGATTTCTACCCTTTTAACTGCTTGGTATCAGATTTAAACACAAATTAAGAAACACATTTTGAAGACCTACTATGAGCAAAGTTACTCTGAGCAAAGCACTGAAACTTCACAGAATGTGTTTTCCCCGTGTCTGTAATCTGATAGCGAGTACAAGGTAGACACTTTTTTTTTTCATTGTGGTTGCTACAAGTTGGATAATGTTCCCTCAAAACTATTATGTTGAATACCTAATCTCCAATACCTCAGAATATGACCTGATTTGGAAATATTTAGATAGGGTCATTACAGATGTCATTAAGTTAAAACGAAGTCAGTAGGGTAGACCCTAACCCAGCGTAACCAGTGTCCTTAAAAAAAAGTGGGGGAATTGGGGGGCTGGGCGCGGTGGCTCATGCCTGTAATCTCAGCACTTTGGGAGGCCGAGGCAGGGGATCACGAGGTCAGGAGTTCAAGACCAGCCTGGCCAAGATGTTGAACCCTCATCTTTACTAAAAATACAAAAATCAGCTGGGTGCGGTGGCAGGTGCCTGTAATCCCAACTACTCAGGAGGCTAAGGCAGGAGAATTGCTTGAACCTGGAGGCAGAGGTTGCAGTGAGCCAAAATCGTGCCACTGCATTCCAGCCTGGGTGACAGAGTGAGACTCCATCTCAATAATAATAATAATAGAAGGAGGAACTTTGGACAGACAGAGAGACACACACACAGGGAGAGGGCCATGTGAAGATAAAGGCAGAGGCTGGGGTGATGCTTCCACCAGCCAAGTCATGCCAGTGATGGCCAGGAAACCTCCAGAGCCAGACCTAAGACATGGAACAGCTTCTCCCTCCCAGCCCTTGGAAGGAACCAATCCTGCTGACACCTTGATCTTGGACTTCTAGCCTCCAGAGCTGCAAGACAATATATTTCTGCTGGTTAAGCCCCCCAGTTTGCAGTAATTTGTTACAGCAGCCCTAGCAAATCAACACAATGGTATAATAACATATACATAACATGTACATTTTAACCATTCTTAAAGTGTAGCATTCACATTGTTGTACCATCATTTTTTTTTTCTTTTTCACTGGAGCAAAATCCAGGGCGGTGGGAAACTTGGAAGCCCTAGTTCCAGATCTGCTTCTGCTGAGCTGAGTGACCTGTTTCACGTGTGCAAGGAGGAGACAGGGCGACGGCTTCCTGCACCGAGGCAGTCACTGCCCATGTGTGGAGAACTTGTAATAGCAGTCATAGCTCTCAACTTACCGAGTGAGTACTGTGTTCCAGGACCATGCTAAGGGCTTTACGTGGCTTATCTCTTTGAGTAACCACAGTAACTTTATCAGGGAGGTATTACTAGTCCCATTTTACAGATGGGGAAATTGAGCCTCAAAGAAGTTAATTGATTTGCTCACTTTTGGCAGGGATTTGAATGCAGGTCTTTTTTTTTTTTTTTTTTTTTTTTTTGAGACAGTCTTGCTCTGTTGCCCAGGTTGGAGTGCAGTGGCGCGATCTCAGCTCACTGCAAGCTCCGCCTCCCGGGTTCACACCACTCTCCTGCCTCAGCCTCCCGAGTAGCTGGAACTACAGGCGCCCGCCACCACACCCAGCTAATTTGTTGTATTTTTAGTAGAGACAGGGTTTCACCATGTTAGCCAGGATGGTCTCGATCTCCTGACCTAGTAATCTGCCCACCTCGGCCTCCCAAGGTGCTGGGATTACAGGCGTGAGCCACCGCGCCCGGCCTTGAATGCAGGTCTTAATTAAGCTGCTCAACTGCCTTCTGGGTCTTTTGGCCACACGGGCCTAGGACAAAATAAAAAGCATAAAGTATTGATCAGATTGAAACGGTTTGTGTTTTCACCCAGTGAGCCAACTGCCTTAAAGCCCCACCATGCACGTCACACAACTAGGCCCCTCTGTCCCTTGCCCCAGAATTCCAGAGAGGGACTCTGAAGAGTCCAGGAATTCCAGATTCAAACCTGGCTTTCCAGGTTTTTCTGAAATTCAGAGGGGAGGTAGAAGATAGAATTTATTTTATATGACAGCTGATTAAGCTTGGCGTACACATTTTGAATATGTACACACCTGGTGTGTGGTTCTCCATTTGTACTCTTGCCTGGGATCCCAATGATTAGGGGCAACCCATTTACCATGGTGCTCCGGAGCCAGCAGCTCTCCAGTGGCTCCCAGCAGTGGGCAGAGCTTGAAAGTCTCTGCATGTAGGAAAAGGGGAAATCCACAGTTGCTCAGCACAGACCAGGCCAGGATCTGCCCACCACCCCTCTCACAGATTTCCACCAAGAGCAGGAAGTAAGGTGGTGCTGCTTAGGGCAATGTCACCCCAGGCACTGGCTCTCCAGCATGGCCTGACTTGGCGCTCCACCCATGCTGGCACTTGCTCCTCAGGGACAGCCAGGGCGCTCTTCCGCTCAGCCCAGATTTTTCTCAATCCTCAAATCACATTTGTGTTCTTTCCCTTCTGCATCCATCTCTCTGTTTCCCAGGATAAAAAAGACTGGAGCAGGTTTGCCGGCCAAGAAGGAGAGACTGAGTTGAAGAGGCAAGACAGAGAAGGGCTGCTGATGGCCAGGGGAAGACGGGGGAGGGCGAGCAAGGGGCAGAGCAGGAGGGGACCGGTTGTTATGCCCATTTCGCTGGTGAAACATGAGAAGCAGACAGGTGACATTCCGGGATCAGGGTCAGGCAGCCAGGATGCTGTGAACATGAGGTGAGGCTGACAGCCGGCCTCGGAGAGGAAAACCACGGGCCAGATTCCAGAAAGACTCCAACAATACTCACCCCACCCGCAAGGCTCCCGCTGATTCAGCACTTCCTGGGTGCCTGCTCTCTGTCCTAACCACAGACCCTATGGAAAAGCCCATATAGAATCTAGAAAGCCCTTAGAGAGGCTATGGATAATTATCTTCTATAGGTCATCATTATCCCCATTCTACAGTGAGGCATCTGATGCCCAGAGAGGTGAAGTCAATTGCCCAAGGTCACACAGTAGCAAGTGATAGATCCCCAGCCCAGGTCGGAGGGAAGAGTGTGTGCTGGCCTGGTTCACAAGTGTGTGCCTCCACCATGAGCACACACGTACATTGAGAAAAACCCACAGAGAACATGTGTGTCGTGCGGGATGAAGGGCCTGGTTCCAGGCAGCAGGGAACAGCTGTGCTGGCAGGAGCGGGTGAGAATGTGTGTGTGAGCAGGGCTTTGACAGCGGCAAACAGCACGTGGGAGTGTGTTGACGGCAGGGTGTGGGTAGCAGTGCCATCACCATGTGTGTTTCTGCTGGCAGCAAAATGTTCTGGTCTGTGTTGATAAACAACAGTTTGGGCAAGAGAGAGGCTACAGCAGGGACGGAAGGGAAGCAGAAGGGAAGCGGGAGGCACTGGGGGTGTTGAAGGTGGGGGTGGGGGCGTGTGCCCAGGGGTGACCGTGGCCCCAGCCTGTAGCTCCCAGAATGAGGGGGGAGCAGGGTGGTGGGCAAGCTGTTGTTTTCTCAGCTGACCTCACTGGACGCACATGTCTGGGTGTGGAGCACTCTGCAAACCACCTGATGCCATAAACATGAAAACAGGAGAGGAGACACCCTGTGAGGAAGAAAGTGTTCTTCCTGGATGCCGGTTGCGCGGATGAGGGTGTAATCAACAGCTGAGGGCAGTGCAAACATGGTGTGATTCCCGTGGCCAGGCGGATTCCTCAAAAGTCAGCTTCTTGGAAAAGGTGGCAACTGGGAGCCCATCATGGCTCCGGACTGTAATCAGAGCCCCCGTGTCTGGCACTCACCTCCTGGCAGACACAGTGCAAGCCTGCAAGGGCATCTGGACCTGGGAATCACCCCATATGAGATTTCCTGGGACTCGGTCCCCAAACCTCATTCCCCCAGCAGGATCTTCCACCAGAATGCCCCTTCCTGCCGCTTACTCTCCATTCACTGAACTCTATGCTACCTCCAAGACCCCCTGTATTTCTCAACTCCTCCTGTGGAAGCCCTCCAGATCACCTTGGAAGGGCCTCAAAACTGTGTTGTTCAGAACTCCGGCTGCTCTTGTTGTCGGTACCCCTCACATAAACCTCACGGTGTGGATGTTGCCTAAACATCTGCTCTGTGCACCGAATCGGACACAATGGGGAGATACAAAGACCCCTAGAGACCCAGGAGCTGCTCTCAAAGACTTTACAGCTCGGTTGGGGTCCATGGAGGGCAAAAACACGAATGAGTGTGTGCTAAGGGTTGAGTGAGGGCTACATCAATGTGGTGGGATGTCAGCGAGGAAGGGGATCACTCCTGGTTTGGAAGGAGGGATCCAGTTAACACAGTAGCGAAAGGGTGCCCCACCCAGTTAGTTTAAGCTCCTTGAGTTCAAGGTCCTTCTGAAGCCAGCACACAGTATCTGCTAAGCCGATGACTGTGGTTCATGACTCAGAGTCTCCTGACCACCCTCTGAAATCTTTGTTCGGGACCTGGAGGCTCTCCTTGGCCTCCCTTCCCTCTGTGGAGCTGGAGGAAGCAAAGCTTGCCTGAGCCAGGCTGATGGAGGAGGCTGGCCTCACTCTTTCCTGTCTGCTGGCAGCAGCTCCTGCCTTCCTGTCAAGGGCCTGTTCCTCCCCAGGCTGGTTATCTGTTCCTGGCTCACTGCCATGTCCTGGCTCTTTTTGTCCACCAGAGTTTGCAGCTCCTGCTCAACCCAAAGGCCAAGGCCAGAGAGAAACCCCTTAGACTGAGGATCCCGCCAGGAAAATCACAGACACCTCCCCCAGGAAGGGCTGGGGGATCTCTCTCATCTTCCTTGGCTAAGAGACAGATCTCTTGGAGAAGTTTAGCAAAACCATGGCCCTTGCTTCTCCTCTTGAAAGTCCTGTCACAAGACAGACCGGCCTTCCCTCATCCTTGGCCTTCATACATATATATATATAAAGTGATCTGCCCGCCTTGGCCTCCCAAAGTTCTGGGATTATAAGTGTGAGCTACAGCACATGGCCTGGGCTTCATATTTTATTTTTATTTTCTGGGACAGGGTCTTATTCTGTCACCCAGGTTGAAGTGCAGTGGCGTGTGATCACGGCGCTCTGCAGCCTCAAACTCCCAGGCTTAAGCAATCCTCCCACCTCAGTCTCCCAAGTAGCTGGAACTACAGGCACATGCCACCACACCTGGCTAATTTTTGTATTTTTTGTAGAGATGGGGTTTCACCATGTTGTCCAGGCTGGTCTCGAACTCCTGGCCTCAATTGATCTGCCTGCCTTGGCCTCCCAAAGTGCTGGGATTACAGGCTGAGCCACCGTGCCTGACCAGCCTTCATATTTTAACAGGACCAACCTTACCACCTCACACAGTGACTGGCTACCTCTGTGTTTTCATGTGAACAATGTCAGACAGGCCCTTACCTCAAAATTTTAGCCACCAGTCCGTCAAGGTGTCGAAATTGCACTAGTAGCCCTAGCTTCGGGAGGCATTTATAAAAATAGAATTTGTACACACTTAAAAATGGTTAAAATGATCAATTTTATGCTATGTATATTTTACCACAAAAAAATCTGGGGGGCCAGATGCAGTGGCTCACGCTTGCAATCCCAGCACTTTGGGAGGCTGGGGCAAGCAAATCACCCAAGGTCGGGAGTCCAAGACCAGCCTGGCTAATATGATGAAATCCCGTCTCTACTAAAAATACAAAAATTAGCCAAATGTTGTGGCAGGCACCTGTAATCCCAGCTACTCAGGAGGCTGAGGCAGGAGAATCACATAAACTCAAGAGGTGGAGGTTGCAGTGAGCCAAGATCATGCCATTGCACTCCAGCCTGGGCAACAAGGGTGAGACTCCATCTCAAAAAAAAAAAAATTTTTTTTTGAAAGGATGTGCTCCAGAAACAATGCTGTGTTTCCAGATGATAGAATTTGGGGTATTTTATATTTTACTTTCATTTTTATATTTTAAAAATATTATTTAATTTTTTAAAACAACTGGGACTATATTATTTGTTATAATCAGAGAGGAAAATGCCAGGCCGGGCATGATGGTCACGCCTGTAATCCCAGCACTTTGGGAGGCCGAGGCAGGCGGATCACTTGAGGTCAGGAGTTTAAGAGCAGCCTGGCCAACATGGCGAAACCCCGCCTCTACTAAAAATACAAAAACTAGGCCAGGCGCAGTGGCTCACACCTGTAATCCTAGCACTTTGGAAGGCCAAGGCTGGCGGATCACTTGAGGTCAGGAATTCAGGACCAGCCTGTCCAATATAGTAAAACTCTGTCTCTACTAAAAATAAAAAAATTAGCTGGGTGTGGTGGTGGGCACCTGTAATCCCAGCTACTCGGGAGGTTGAGGCAGGAGAATTGTTTAAACCCAGGAGGCAGAGGTTGCGGTGAGCAGAGATGGTGCCACTGCACTCCAGCCTGGGTGAGAGTGAGACTCCGTCTCAAAAAAATAAAAAATAAAAAAGGAAAGGAAAATTCCCTTTCTATTTTGAGAAATAAATGCTTTGACTTTTAAACTTTAAAAAAAAAACAAAAAAACCACAATTCAGCCCCCAGAGAGGCAACAACTGAAGTCAGCATCTACCTATCTTCCTAGCTCAGAATATTTTGAAAAGAGTCCCCTCGAGAATACTGAAGAAATGCAGGTTTCTCAGCCCAGATGGCCGAGCAGCCTCCAGTGATTCTGAGGGTAGGTAGGTCTTGGAACCCCAGCCTTGGAAACTCGGGGGCAGAGCTGCCAGAGGAGAGGGGAAGGGATGCTCTAGCCCCTCCAAACTGCTTCTGACCCCCCTCACCAGCCACCTGCATCTGTGGCTGTGGTCAACCACTCCCTCTCAGGGCCAGGGGCCAAGACAAGCTTTGTCCCAGTGTCTTTAAGTTGGAGCCTCCTTGCTTAATAGATGCTTTGGGGAGGCCAGGTGTGGCGGCTCATGCCTGTAATCCCAGGACTTTGGGAGGCCAAGGCAGGTGGATCACCTGAGGTCGGGAGTTCAAGACCAGCCTGACCAAACATGGAGAAACCCCGTCTCTACTAAAAATACAAAATTAGCCAGGCGTGGTGGCACATGCCTGTAATCCCAGCTACTTGGGAGGCTGACGCAGGAGAATTGCTTGAATCTGGGAGGTGGAGGTTGTGGTGAGCCAAGATCATGCCATTGCACTCCAGCCTGGGCAACAAGAGGGAAACTCCACCTCAAAAAAAAAAAAAAAAAAAAGATGCTTTGGGGAAATGGCAAGAATGGCCACCTTGATGGCAGGGTACACCAATCTTGGGGGCTGGAGCAGACCTCTGGAGGTCATTCAGTCCGTTCTCTTGCCTCCAGGCAGCACTGGAATCATCCCAGCTGGACAAGTCTTTATCTTGTTTTGAGCACTTCGGAAGCTGGGCTCTCCACGCCCTTCCTCGGACACTCATTCTGATGTCTAAACATTTCTTGCCAGGAAGTTCTTCTTCAGGTCTAATTCAAACTCCTGATGCTATGAGTTGCCACCCTGTGGCTCTTGTGGTTCTGGCAGGAGACAGGAAAGTACTGCGTGCTTCTTGCCTTCATCTAGGTCTGGAGTCATCAGTGCCTTGAATGTTGATTAAAATCTTAACTTGCTGTGTGATCCTAGGCAAGGCACGACTACCCTTTTAGTCTTAGTTTCCTTGTCTGTAAAGTGAGACCAATGATGCTCATAGTGCAGGAACTGAGAGGATCCAATGAAACCATGAATGTGTGGATGAGGCATAAAGCTCGCTGCTAACCTGAGACTATCATTACTATTCATAAATAAGCACCACCTTCTCCCTGAACCATCGTATAAGACAGTTTCCAATGTGGTGCTATGCAAGATAATTTTAGGTGATACAAGAGCAAGTATTTCTAATTAAAATTTAATGTGATGTGACTGGGCGCGGTGGCTCATGCCTGTAATCCCAGCACTTTGGGAGGCCGAGGTGGGCAGATTACTTGAGGTCAGGAGTTTGAAACCAGCCTGCCTAACTTAGTGAAATGCTGTCTCTACTCAAACAAACAAACAAAAAACATTAGCTGGTGGTGGTGACACGTGCCTGCAATCCCAGCTACTGAGGAGGCTGAAGCAGGATAATCACTTGAACATGGGGGTGCGGGTGGGCGGAGGTTGCAGTGAGCCTGGATCGCACCACTGCACTCCAGCCTGGGCGATAGAGTGAGACTCCATCTCCCCTCCCCCACAAAAAAGCAACCTAACATTGTTTTTTGTTTGTTTTTTTTGTTTTTCTTTTTTTTAAGACGGAGTGTCGCTCTGTCGCCCAGGCTGGAGTGCAGTGGTGCGATCTCAGCTCACTGCAAGCTCCGCCTCCCAGGTTCACGCCATTCTCCTGCCTCAGCCTCCCCAGCAGCTGGGACTACAGGCGCATGCCGCCACGCCCGGCTAATTTGTTGTATATTTTTAGTAGAGATGGGGTTTCATGGTGTTAGCCAGGATGGTCTCGATCTCCTGACCTTGTGGTCCGCCTGCCTCAGCCTCCCAAAGTGCTGGGATTACAGGCGTGAGCCACCGCGCCCGGCCTCCTAACATTGTTTTAAAGAAAAAATATTTGCCGGGTGCGGTGGCTCACGCCTGTAATCCCAGCACTTTGGGAGGCCGAGGCGGGTGGATCACGAGTTCAGGAGTTCGAGACCAGTCTGGCCAATATAGTGAAACCCCATCTCTACTAAAAATACAAAAAATTAGCTGGGCATGGTGACAGGCACCTGTAATCCCAGCTACTAGGGAGGCTGAGGCAGGAGAATTGCTTGAACCCAGGAGGCAGAGGTTGCAGTGAACCAATATCACACCATTGCACTCCAGCCTGGGCAACAGTGCAAGACTCCGTCTCAAAAAAAAGAAAAAATATTGAGTGCATAGCCCTCCAGGTAGCTCTGAGGCTGGGACAGGAATCATGAAGGTGGCTTGAGAAACGCAGGCAGAGTGGGGATGGCAAAGCTAAAAAACAGGAGGCTGCTTCCCAAGAGTGGGCAAGAGAGGCTGAGTAAGGAATGGGATGAGAGGCAAGGACCCTAGAGGAAGCAGGAAGACAACAGGGCAGTGTGGAGCAGGACTGTAGAGTGGCTGAGCAGGTGCAGCCCTCTCTGGGTTCTGGAACAGTCTGTTGTGTAGAGCTGGGCTGTCTCCAGCTCCAGCAAAGCCAGTGGGCACGCAGTGCTGGGCTTCCTGTTCATATTCATGGCCCCCAAGATTCAGCACCCCTGCTACACTCAGCTCTCCCATGCTGGGGGATTGGACAACTTTAACCCCACCTTGAATTCCCCCTGCCACGTCGCCCATTGGTGGTCTGTCAGCCCAGGTTGAGCAGCTCACCCAGTGACAGGAAACTCACAGAATCCCAAACAGAATCCCTTCTCCTCTCTCAGTGTGGGACTGGGCAAAGAGGCCTGGCAGAAAATGTTCTCTCAGATGCCCTGTGTGCCAAGACCCTTGCTGGACCCCAGGAATACAGGTGAGTGAAGGGGGCACCTGCTTAAGCAGCTCACAGCTGAGCCAGGGAGACCCACGGGGACTCGGGCCAGTCCCTCATGCAACCCTGCCTGTGCTGGAGCTGTGTCTAACACTCAGCGGGGCCCGGGGAAACGGTCACCTCTGCCTCCCAGGATCAGGGACTTCCACTGAGGTTTGTGCCCCAGGAAGAAGCTCCAGGCTCCTCATTTACCCACCAGACCACCCCAGCACTGAGCATTGTAATACTCCCCCTTGAGCCAGGGTGTCTCAAACCCTGAGGTCTAAGATGACGGCTTCTCTGAAGTCTGAAAGCTCTCTCTGATATTTTTAAATGTTTGTTTTCATTTTGGAATAGTCTTTTAAAAAATTAATATAGGCCGGGCACGGTGGCTCACACCTGTAATCTCAGCACTTTGGGAGGCCGAGGCGGGCGGATCAACTGAGGTCAGGAGTTCAAGACATTGGTCAGCATGGCCAATGTGGTCAAACCCCATCTCTACAAAAACACAAAATTAGCCGGGTGTGGTGGCACACCCCTGTAATCCCAGCTACTCGGGAGGTTGAGGCAGGAGAATTGTTTGAACCCTGGAGACGGATGTTGCAGTGAACTGAGGTCACGCCACTGCACTCCAGCCTAGACAACAGAGCAAAACTCCATCTCAAAAAAAAATTAATATAAACATATTCCACATCATCTGGATTCTTGGCTTATAGCTGATAATGTGATTGCAGAATTTTAGTGTCTACATATGCACAGATGTTTATGAGAAATAGTTAACTTTTTTTACAAAAATTGAAGCAGAAGCTACGTACAGAAAAACACATGCATCTTAAGTTACAGCTGGATAAATTTTCTTTTTATTTTCTTTTTTTTTGAGATGGAGTCTCAGTCTCACTCTTGCTCAGGCTGGAGTGCAGTGGCACGATCTCAGCTCACTGCAACCTCTGCCTCCTGAGTTTAAGCGAGTCTCCTGTCTCAGCCTCCCAAGTGGCTGGGATTACAGGCACCCACCACCACGACCAGCTAATTTTTGTATTCTTAGTAGAGACGGGGTTTCACCATGTTGGCCAGGCTGGTCTCGAACTCCTGACCTCAAGTGATCTGCCTGCCTCAGCCTTCCAAAGTACTGGGATTACAGGTGTGAACCACTACGCCCAGCAACAGCTGGATGAATTTTCACAAAGAGAATGCACCTGCTGGCTGGGAACCGTGGCTCACGCCTGTAATCCCAGGACTTTGGGACACTGAGGCAGGTGGAACATGAGGTCAGGAGTTTGACACCAGCCTGAACAACAAGGTAAAACCTTGTCTCTACTAAAAATACAAAAATCAGCCAGATGTGATGGCACGTGCCTGTAATCCCAGCTACTCAGGAGGCTGAGGCAGGAGAATCGCTTGAACCTGAGAGGCGGAGGTTGCAGTTGAGCTGAGATCACGCCACTGCACTCCAGCCTGGGTGACAGAGCGAGACTCTGTCTCAAAAAAAAAAAAAAAAAAAGAAGAGAATGCACCTGCAAAGCCAACACTCAGCTCAAGAAACAGACATTATTGCCCCCATCTCCCCGCCCGCCCCGGAGTCTCTCCTCCTGGCAACCTTCCAGTCACCACACTCCAGAAAGGTAACCAGTCCCCTGACCATAGATCACTTTGGCCCAGTTTTGAATTTCATATAACTAGACCATACAGAATTGTGTCCGGAATTGGTGGGTTCTTGGTCTCACTGACTTCAAGGAACGAAGCCGTGGATCCTCGCGGTGAGTGTTGCAGTTCTTAAAGGCGGTGTGTCCGGAGTTTGTTCCTTCTGATGTTCGGATGTGTTCGGAGTTTCTTTTTTCTAATGGGGTTCGTTGTCTCGCTGGCTCAGGAGTGAAGCTGCGGACCTTCACGGTGAGTGTTAACAACTCTTAAGGTGGGGCGCCTGGAGTTGTTCATTTCTCCCCGTGGGTTCCTGGTCTCGCTGGCTCAGGAGTGAAGCTGCAGATCTTCCCAGTGAGTTTTACAGCTCATAAAGGCAGTGTGGACCCAAAGAGTGAGCAGAAGCAAAAAATGTATTGCAAAGAGCAAACGAACAAAGCTTCCACAGTATGGAAGGGGACCCCAGCAGGTTGCCACGGCTGGCTCGGGCAGCCTGCTTTTATTCTCTTATCTGGCCCCACCCACATCCTGCTGATTGGTCCATTTTACAGAGAGCCGAGTGGTCTGTTTTGACAGGGCGCTGATTGGTGCGTTTACAATCCCTGAGCTAAACACAAAGGTTCTCCACCTCCCCACTAGATTAGCTAGATACAGAGTGTCCACACAGAGGTTCTCCAAGTCCCCACCAGAGTAGCTACAGTGTCCATTGGTGCATTCGCAAACCCTGAGCTAGACACAGCGTGCTGATTGGTGTGTTTACAAACCATGAGCTAGATACAGAGTGCCGATTGGTGTATTTACAATCCCTTAGCTAGACATACAGGTTCTCCAAGTCCCCACCAGAGTAGCTAGATACAGAGTGTCCATTGGTGCCTTCACAAACCTTGAGCTAGACACAGGGTGCTGATTGGTGTGCTTACAAACCTTGAGTTAGATACAGAGTGCTGATTTGGTGTATTTACAATCCCCTAGCTAGACATAAAGGTTCTCCAAGTCCCCACCAGACTCAGGAGCCCAGCTGGCTTCACCCAGTGGATCCCGCACCAGGGCCGCAGGTAGAGCTGCTTGCCAGTCCCGCGCCGTGCGCCCGCACTTCTCAGCCCTTGGGTGGTCGATGGGACTGGGCGCCGTGGAGCAGGGGGCGGCGCTCATCGGGGAGGCTCGGGCCGCACAGGAGCCCACGGAGAGGGGGGAGGCTCAGGCATGGCGGGATGCAGGTCCCGAGCCCTGCCCCGCGGGGAGGCAGCTAAGGCCCGGCAAGAAATCGAGCGCAGTGGGCCGGCACTGCTGGGTGGGCCGGCAGTGCTGGAGGACCGAGTACACCCTCCGCAGCCGCTGGCCCGGGTGCTAAGCCCCCCATTGCCCGAGGCCGCTCCTAATGCGGGGCCCGCCGAGCCCACGCCCACCGGGAACTCGCGCTGGCCCACAAGCACCGCGCGCAGACCCGGTTGCCACCGGCGCCTCTCCCTCCACACCTCCCTGCAAGCTGAGGGAGCCGGCTCTGGCCTTGGCCAGCCCAGAAAGGGGCTCCCACAGTGCAGCGGCAGGCTGAAGGGCTCAAGTGCCGCCAAAGTGGGAGCCCAGGCAGAGGAGGTGCCGAGAGCGAGCGAGGGCTGTGAGGACTGCCAGCATGCTGTCACCTCTCAGAATGACTCTCAGTGTCGGGCCTCATTCTCTCAACGTTACACCTGTGGGAATAATCCATGCAGTTATATGTAGGTGTACTTGACAGTGTTAACTTCCTTTTTTTTTTTTTTTTTTTTTTTGGAGACAGAGTCTCGCTCTGTCGCCCAGGCTGGAGTACAATGGTACGATCTCAACTCACTGCAACCTCTGCCTCCTGGGTTCAAGTGATTCTCTTGCCTCAGCCTCCCAAGTAGCTGGGATTACAGGCGCCCACCACCACGCTGGACTAAGTTTCATATTTTTAGTAGAGATGGGGTTTCACCACGTTGGCCAGGCTGGTCTCAAATTCCTGATCTCAAGTGATCCGCCTGCCTCAGCCTCCACAAGTGCGGGGATTACAGGCGCACACCACCACGGGCCCAGCTAATTTTTTTTTTTGTATTTTTAGTAGAGGCAGGGTTTCGCCACGTTGGCCACGCCGGTCTCGAACTGCTGACCTCGGGTGATCCACCCACCTCAGCCTCCCAAAGTGCTGGGATTACAGATGTAAGCCACTGTGCCCGGCCTTTTTTTTTTTTTTTTTTTTCAAGACAGAGTCTCACTCCATCAGCCAGGCTGGAGTGCAGTGGCGTGATCTTGGCCCACTGCAACTTCTGCCTAACAGTTGAAGCGATTCTCGTGCCTTGGCCTCCCGAGTAGCTGGGACTACAGGCGTGTGCCACAACACCCGGCTAATTTTTGGATTTTTAGTAGAGATGGGGTTTTACCATATTGGCCAGGCTGGTCTTGAACTCCTGACCTCAAGAGATCCGCCCTCCTCAGCCTCCCAAAGTGCTGGGATTACAGGCGTGAGCCACTGTGAGCCGGACAGTGTTAACTTCTAATCCAATACTTCTCAAAGTGGGGTCCTGAGAAAGGTTCTTGGGGTTCTGTGAATCTGCCAGTTAGAGAAAAGTGTATGTGGGTGCCTGCTGATTCAGAAGGGGGCTGAAAGCACCCAACTGTGGAGCACACAGCCCTGTCTTTGGTATTCACTTTGCAGCCTGGGCCTTGCCTAAAGTTGTAGTCCACACTCCTAGACTTGTTCTTCGGAGCCACTCTCAGGGATGCCTCTAGGCTTTGCAGACAGGTGGCCTCTAGGCCTTTGCTCCCTCTGCCTGGGATGGCGACCGTCCCCTTGCTTGGCTGCCTAGCAAGCACTCTGCATCTTGTGTTGGGGTTGCCTCCGCTGTGAGGCCTTCCCTGACTTCCCTGGGCCGACTCAGGCACCCCTTCTCCTGTGCTCCCCTGTGCTTTGTCCACGTCACCCCTGCAGCATTTCTCACATCATGTGGTCCCTGTAGGGTCTGTCTCCCCATTAGACTGTGGGCTTCTGGAGGCCACGAGCGTGGGGCAACACTGGACTCCCTCCCAGAGTGACTGAGGAGGGAGTTAGACACATCCCCACCCAGGGCCATCAGAGGCCAGGGCAGGGTTCTGACCCCAGCTCACCTGCCTCGTTAAACATGGGGCTCAGTTGCCCCTGACATCCCTGCACCATCAGCAAGGGTGGGCAACGTCAGAACTGCGGGCTGGGGCTTCCCTGGAAGGGCCCCGCTTGGGCCCAATGCCAGGCCCCACGGCCCAAGGGTGAGCTACTTTAGCAGGCAGGCATCAGTTTTCTCATTTATGAAATGGGGACAATGAACCTGGTCACCTTCCTCTTCCTGGGAAGAATACGAGGTTAATGAATGCTGAAGACCGGACATGACTGTACCTAAGGTGGAGTGCAGGCTGCCTGAGGCAGGGGAATGACCCTGGTGATCCTTAGCTCTCTCTTCCTGCGGGACACTGAAGGACAGTGTGAGACCCACAATTCAGCGCACCTGCTCACCTTGGTTCCCCATCCTGCCCTGGGTGGGTCTTGGCTTGGAAACCCTAATCCGCTTACTAAGCACCGACCCCACTCCGTGCCCTGCCCGTGCCATGTCCACTCCACTGCACTGAACTGGGTTTCTTTGTCCGTTTCAGCAGACCCTCCTCATCGTGTCCCTCTTCCAGGCAGCCTTCTCTTATAAATTTTGGGCATGCTGGGACTTGTCTACACTGTTGGCAATTGTCAAGGCTTTAGGTCCGAGTTGTTCCTCAACTTCTGACCCCCACCTCATGCTAACAGGACTGGGGCCACAGCGCGTGACTGCAATGTGGCCAGTCCTGGGAGAGCCGGCCTCGCCCCGCGGGGAAGCGGGCGGCCCCTCCGTTGCCATGGCAGCCGAGAGCACCCCCACGAGGCTCCTCATTGGCCACCAAGTCGAGGTCCCGCCTCCGCCATCAGAAGGGACCAACCAAGGCAGACCGGGTGCGACCCAGTTGAGGGATTAGCGGGTGACGCATCTCTCCCAGTCCCTCATGGAGACCCGCGCGCCCGCGATCCTACGGGCGCAGCCGTGGCCCTGGGTCGGGGTCACGCTCGCTGGGCGCGCCTCGGGCGGGGCTGGGGAGGTGCGGAGCTGGGGGGCGCCGCGGGAGGAGGCCACTCAGGCCGCTGGGGAGGGCCGGGCTGCGGCTGGGAGGTTTCCGAGGACGGTCAGGCGGAGGCGGAGGCCGTGCAGGAGGCGGAGGAGGAAAACTATTAAGGAAGGGGGTGGAAGGGCCCCGCTGGCTGAAGACCGCTGAGCTCAGGCGGTGGTAGGACCCTGGGCACGGAGTTGCATGGAACCCTGTTCGAATCCTGCTCTGCACCCGCTTGCGCTGTGGCCTCGCGCACGCGAGCCTTCCTGCCCGGGGGAGCGGGAAGGAGGGAGGGGAGCGGCGAACATCTACTTTGTGCCGATCCTTTTGCTGAAAACCCTAGTTTTCTCTCCAGGATTCCCTCAAAACGACCCTGAAATAGGTGGATGCTATCCTTAGCCCCATTTTACAGATGAGGAAACAGGTTCAAAGGAGGCTACGTGAGAAAAGCCTCGAGTGAGCTCAGTTCCCAGATGTGAGAATGATGTGGCCGGGTTGGTGGTTATCTGCGGGGGGAAGTAGGAGGTGCCCTGCCCACCCCCACGCTCAGGCATCCTGGCCGGCCCGGAAGGAAGAGTTCGTGCCAAGCCGTGAGACTCGGTGGTTTCCTGCAGCAAATCTGCGTCAGGCTCTCTCTGGGGGGTTAACCGCCGCAAACTGGTAACAGCGTCAGAAAGGGGAAACCGAGCTTTATCTGCGGAGGTCCCTGGGCCAGGGACAGCAGATTAAAGAACATGGAGGCAGGGCGCGGTGGCTCACGTCTTAAACCCAGCACTTTGGGAGGCCGAGGCCGGAGGATCGCTTGAGACCAGGAGTTTGAGACCAGCCTGGGCAAGATAGGGAGACCTCTTCTCTAAAAATAAAAAATAAAGAAGATGGAGCCCGCCCCTCGGGAAGGAGGGAAGGGAGAAAGTGTTTCTAACTCCTTATTGTCCTTTCTCTTCTTTTCTTTTCTTTTTTTGAGATGGAGTTTCGCTCTTGTTTCCCAGGCTGGAGTGCAATGGCGCGATCTCGGCTTACCGCAACCTCCGCCTCCCGGGTTCAAGCAATTCTCCTGCCTCAGCCTCCTGAGTAGCTGGGATTACAGGCATGCGCCACCACACCCGGCTAATTTTGTATTTTTAGTAGAGATGGGGTTTCTCCATGTTGGTCAGGCTGGTCTCAAACTACTGACCTCGTGATCCGCCCGCCTCAGCCTCCCAAAGTCCTGGGATTATAGGCGTGAGCCACCGTGCCTGGATCCTTGTTATTTCAAAACAGGCTGAGGTTCCCTCTGGAAGCCCCATTTAAGAACAGACCCATGGCCGGGCGCGGTGGCTCACGCCTGTAATCCCAGCACTTTAGGAGGCCGAGGCGGGCAGATCACCTGAGGTCCGGAGTTTGAGACCAGCCTGACCAACATGGAAAAAACCCCGTCTCTACTAAAAATACAAAAGTAGCCGGTCATGGTGGCGCATGCCTATAATCCCAGCTACTCAGGAGGCTGAGGCAGAAGAATCGCTTGAACCCAGGAGAAGGCAGAGGTTGCGGTGAGCCGAGATCGCACCATTGCACTCCAGCCTGGGCAACAAGAGCGAAACTCCATCTCAAAAAAAAAAAAAGAAAAAAAAGAAAAGAAAATTCACCATATGAATGTCAGACTCTTAATGATGCAAATGCCAGAAAACCTGACTCAAACTGATTTATGCTAAAAAGGGAATCTACTGGCTCAGGAAACTGAGAACCCCAGGCATGACTCGATCTGGCGACACCACGACGTCATGAAGACTCATTTCCCAGAGTCTTTGTACTTGTTTGTACTTTGCCTTTGCTGTCTTGGGAAGTGTTTGGGCTCCATGAGCACCTGCTGCAGCTGCAGGGGCACATCATCCCAAGTTCCAGTTGAGTAGAAAGAGGCTCTGTCCTTGGGAATTGTGACACATGTCCCGGGTTTCACTGTAACTGGACAGTTGGGGTCATGTGACCACACAGATACCAGGGGCAAGGCAGGAATAACCCTGTGTTGATTGGCAAATCTGTTCACAGGCCCCACACCTGCAGCCTCACCTGCTCCAATGGGCTGAAAAGGAAGGAGGGAAGAGGGTTTCTCCAAAGGAGGAACTGAAGAGATATTGAATGGGTGCCCATTGGTAACACCCCAATGCCAGGGCTTCAGAACCCACCTCCTGACCCCCTCTGCACCTTGTACTACAGGTGCCAGTCAGGGGGAAACGGATTGGAAAGTGAGGGTCTTGCCCTGGGAGAGTGCCCACCCCTTCCTCGCTGGTCCCATGTCAGTCGTCCCAAGTCAGTCCTCATCACATCCAGTGCCCATCCCCCTCCCCACCCCCTCACCCTGGCTCCTGTTGCTCCCTGGAGGGTCCTTGAAGCCCTTCTGGTTGCTGTAGCCCGGGCGACTGCCTGCCATGCCTCCGAAGGCCCTCCATGTTTAGCTGGAGTGATGCAGTATTGGGGGATCCAGTTGCCTCTCGTTTCTCCAGCAGAGGGGAGCTTCCTCAGGGACTGGCACTATGTTCTCCCTTCCTCTGTGTGTGGTCCCTCTCTGGGACCAGGCAGGATTTGTGCAGTGGGCAGCAGGCGTGATTTTGAGGGACCCTAGGAAGGACCTTACCTACCCCTGTATGCCTTACTTTTTAAAATCCCATAATTAGATGGGGTTTCACTCCTTTAATTCCTGTTACGATTCATATGCCTCTGAGAGAGAGTATAGTAGATCATTTCTTTTTTTTTTTGAGACAGAGTTTCACTCTTGTCGCCCAGGCCAGAATGAAGTGGCACAATCACGGCCCACTGCAACCTCCACCCCCTGGGTTCAAGCAGTTCTGCCTCAGCCTCCTGAATAGCTAGGATTACAGGCATGTGCCACCCCACCTGGCTAACTTTTGTATTTTAGTAGAGACAGAGTTTTGCCATGTTAGCCAGGCTGGTCTCGAACTCCTGACCTCAGGTGATCCACTTGCTTCGGCCTCCCAAAGTGCTAGGATTACAGGCATGAGTGGAGCATAGTAGATCTTATCATTCATTTACACTTTAGTGTGAAGTAGTTCACAGCATCCTTCCTGAGAGCAGGCACATATTAGGCACTTGATCATGGACATCATGCCTAATGTGTGCCCTGCTCTTATTGAAAAGCCTTTCATGCATTATCTCATTTAATCTTCACAACTCTGTGAGGTAGGAACTAGTATAATCCCTGTTTTACAGATGAGAAAACTGAGGTCCAGAGGAGTTAAGGACCTTGCCAAAGGTCTCCAAGCAGTGGAGCAGGGATGTGAACACAAGAAGTCTGGTTCCAGAGCCTGCACTGCCTATCCCTCCACTGAGATAATCCCTAACACTCTTTAGTTGACAAATGTATTCATATACATTTTTTGGGTCTCCCTACAATTCAGCGAGGTAGTTGCTATGGTCACTCCCATTTTATAGAGGAGAATATTTAAGTGGCTAAGTTCAGTCAATAGTGAGCAGCAGGTCCAGAGTTTAGACCAGTGCCCCATTTCAAATGGGCTCTTCTCCCTGGACCCCACACAGCACCTGGTAAGAGGAGAGCCTTGAGTCAGTTCCCTGGTGTCCTGGGGACAGAGGGAGAGTGTGGTGCGGATGGAAGCTGGGAGCTTCCAGAACAAACTCAACCCTTCCTTCATTCTTCCTCTTCTCCCTCCTGCCTTCTCTTCCTTCTTTCTACTCATTCATTCATCCACCTGACCACCTGGTAAGGGTCAAAGCTGTGGGTATGACCATAACAAGTGTCCCTCAAAGAGCTGACAGGCTAAAAACTGGCGGGGCAAGGTGGCTTATGCCTGTAATCCCAGCTCTTTGGGAGACTGAGGTGGGAGGATCACTTGAGCCCAGGAGATCAAGGCTGCAGTGATCCATGATTGCACTCTAGCCTGGGCTACAGAGTGAGACTGTCTCAAAACAAAAACTAACAACACATGCTGTTTGTTGAGTGTTAATGGTGAGTAAGGCTCTGTGCTGAGTGCTGAGCATGCCACACCCTCACAACCATCTTTTTTAGGTAGGAGACTGGGGCTTAGGAAGGACTGCCCCAGGCCGGGCGCGGTGGCTCAGGCCTGTACTCCCAGCACTTTGGGAGGCCAAGGCGGGCAGATCACCTGAGGTCAGGAGTTCGAGACCAGCCTGGCCAACATGGTGAAACCCCATCTCTACTAAAAATACAAAAATTAGCTGGGTGTGGTGGTGGGCGCCTGTAGTCCAAGCTACTTGGGAGGCTGAGGCAGGAGAATTGCTTGAACCGGGACCCGAGAGGCAGAGGTTGCAGTGAGCCAAGATCACGCCATTGCACTCCAGCCTGGGCTACAGAGCAAGACTACGTCTCAAAAAAAAAAAAAAAAAAAAAAAAAAAGGAAGGACTGCCCCAAGGCCAACTCCAGCCTGACTCCATAGTGGGAGCATCTCACCATCTCACCACTAGGCTGGACTGCCTCCCTCTTGGAGTATAGTGAGGGCCAAGTGGGTACTTATGGATAATGAACATACACACACACACACACACACACACACACACACACACCCCTCTGGCTCTTTGACTCCAGCTCCCAACACCAGAGGCAGCCATCTCTGCTGTCTTCTAGCACTTGCCTACCACCAGGAGCCAGGCCACCTCAAAGAGGAAGCAGAATGGGGAGGGCCACCTCACACAGCAGGGACAGGCCACACACTTCAGGACCTGTGGATGGTACCTCTCAGGGAGATTGAACGAGAGTGACTTAACCAGAGCTCCTAGAAGGGCTTGCAGGGTGTGGGGGAGGCCTTGACTGGTCTCCCTGGACAGACTTCTAAGCATGACTTCGTTGCGCCTCAGTTTCCTATTCTGTATTTGACCTGCTTACAAGCTGCATCTGAAGGATTAGCCATCGGAAACTTCCTAGAACTGGCTGGATGCTTCATCCGCCCTGCCTGCTGACCTGGTTCTTCCCTGTTCTTCATGGCGATGGTTTGCTACTTTACAGATGTGGAAACAGGGCTCAGAGGGGTGGGCCCAAGCCACCTAAGGAGTGTTAGAAATTTAATGTGAGAACCCACCCAGGTCTCAATTTTAATACCCCATCAAGTTTCTACTAAGCACTCACGTATGCCAGAGTCTGAGCTAAGCCCAGGAGATAGAGCAGTGAGCAGGGTAGGTTTTTCCCACCTCTGGGGCACCAATTCTAGGAGGGGTGCCAGACAAAGAAATGATGTAGGACAAAGTGACAAGAGTGAGAAGACTTGGCAGGGCAGAGGACAGTGGGCTGCTCAGGGCTGTGTCAGCTACCATACTTGGGAGGACCCAGCGGAGCAAAGGTTTGGGGACTGTGGAGTTGCTGTGGGGGAGGCTGGGGTCGCAGATCTCAGTATTTCTGTCTTAAGTGGGGTGCTGACTCAGAGGGAGAGAGTTGGAGCTACCTCAGCCTCAAAAATACCGAGACCAAGCCCACTTTCAGCCTCTGCCGCTGCTCTCAGGCCATACTCTGCTTACCTGGAATTTCAAACCCAACAATTTCCTTGTCTTGGGTGGTTTCCAGCCCCACCTGCTTTCCTGGAGCCTAGCTCATCCATCACTCCTGCCAGGCGTGTACTAGTGTCACTCTGAGTAACTCCAGGTACCCAGGGTGACCTCACCTGCTCCTGATTCAGTTTGAGTCATTCTCCCCATTTCTAGAAGATGGCTCTTGGCCATTCTTTTTTTTTCTTTTTTTAGACCGAGTCTTACTCTTGTTGCCCAGGCTGGAGTCCAAAGGCATGATCTCGGCTCACCGCAACCTCCGCCACTCGGGTTCAAGCGATTCTCCTGCCTCAGCCTCCTGAGTAGCTGGGATTACAGGCATGTGCCACCATTCCCGGCTAATTTTGTATTTTTAGCAGAGATGGGGTTTTTCCATGTTGGTCAGGCTGGTCTCAAACTCCCGACCTCAGGTGATCTGCCCACCTCGGCCTCCCAAAGTGCTGGGATTACAGGCGTGAGACACTGCGCCCAGCCAGCTCTTGGCCATTCTTACCTCGTGCTCCAGCACCTACGGCCTCTGGGAGCAGCAGGTCCCCCTCCCCAACCTGCTGATTAACCAAGTCTATGGCAGGGAAGGGTGGGGAAACAGAGGCAGGCCTGGGCCCACCTAAAAATGAGGCAGGATCCCCAGCAGGAGATGTGGGGGAGCCCTAGAAGGGAACCCTCAGCCATGGGAATTAACTCCCTCCCTCTTCAGCTCATCTCTGCTATCTCCTTTCCAATAATCACCAACATTCTCCAATCTACTTTCCTATTTTGAAATAATTTTTAAGTTTTTAATGTTTTTGTAGAGATGGGGTCTCGCTATATTGCCCAGGCTGGATTCAAACTCCTGGGCTCAAGTGATCCTCCTGCCTCAGTCTCCCAAATATTTATAGCTGGGATTATAGGTGCGGGCCATCACGCCAGGCTTACTTTCCTGTTTTTAACAGGAAAAGGACATTACGTGGGAAGAACAGCGATTGTTAATTGATCATTTGATTGATTGAGCTGGGCACTCTCTAGAAATTAGAGTCTTACAATATTTCATGATTTGTTTTCATTTTCCAGATGAGGAAACTGAGGCTCAGAGAGGATACTTGACTTATCCAAGGTCACACAGCAAGGAATTGGCTGAGCTGGGTTGGAACCCAGGTGTATCTGACTTCAGAGTTGTTTAACCAGGGCCATGTACTTAACCACCACACTCCCCAGCTGCCCACAGATGGGAGAGATAAGAGGAAGATCACTCCACCCACAGAGCTGGAGCCTGCTCAGATCCAGCCTCATGCACCACCCCCAGATCCCTTTGTAGTAGTATAGGAGGGGACAGGAGCTCTACCCAAGAGTTTGAGGGCCATCACTTCCTTAGTGGGAAGAGCCCACCACAGGGCACTCCCCTTGCGAGCGAGTGGGCCAGACCTGTGCAGCTTGGTAGGAGTCATGGCTGGGGATCCTGCCTCATTTGTAGGTGGGCCTAGGCCTGCCTGTCTGTTTCCCTAACCTTTCCTCCCATAGCTGGTCCCTAGTCCCCTACAGATTCCTCCCACCAGCCTCTTGGACTCCAGCCTCCCTCTCCCACCCATCCAACCCTCATGCCAGACGAGGCCGTGCAGCTAGGAGCTGTTCCTTCCAACATGGAGACCACTGCCATGTGTGGCTGTTGAGCCCTTGACATGTGCCTAATGCTGCTGAGGAGCTGCACTTTAAATTTTATTTAATTTGGCCGGGCGCAGTGGCTCAAGCCTGTAATCCCAGCACTTAGGGAGGCCGAGGCGGGCGGATCACGAGGTCAGGAGATCAAGACCATCCTGGTTAACACGGTGAAACCCTGTCTCTACTAAAAATACAAAAAAATTAGCCGGGCGTAGTGGCGGGCGCCTGTAGTCCCAGCTACTCGGGAGGCTGAGGCAGGAGAATGGCGTGAACCCAGGAGGCAGAGCTTGCAGTGAGCCGAGATCACGCCACTGCACTCCAGCCTGGGGGACAGAGTGAGACTCCGTCTCAAAAAAAATTTTTTTAAATTTAATTTTAATTAATGTACCTCTAAGTTTAAAAAGTGATACTCAGCCAGGCAAGGTGGCTCATGGCTCATGCCTGCAATCCTAGCACTTTGGGAGGCCAAGGCGGGCAGATCACGAGGTCAGGAGCTCAAGAGCAGCCTGGCCAACATGGTGAAACACTGTCTCTACTAAAAATACAAAAATTAGCTGGGCGTGGTGGCGGGTACCTGCAATCCCAGCTACTCAGGAGGCTGAGGCAGGAGAATCACTTGAACCCGGGAGGCGGAGGTTGCAGTGAGCCGAGATTGCACCGTTCCACTCCAGCCCAGGCGACAGAGCAAGACTCCCTCTCAAAAAAAAAAAAAAAAAAAAAGTGATACTCCATTCAGATATTGGAAAATGTTTAAGTATGTTTGGAACAACTTGTGTACATGAATCTAGTTTTTCAACTGCAAATTTTATGAAATCTAAATACAGATCATTTTTCTGATGAAAATTTAGCAAATGCTGCCGGGCGCGGTTGCTCATGCCTGTAATCCCAGCACTATGGGAGGCTCAGGCGGGGTATCACGAGGTCAGGAGATCAAGACCATCCTGGCTAACACGGTGAAACCCCGTCTCTACTAAAAATACACACACACACACACACACACACACACACACACACAAATTAGCCGGGCGGGGCGGTGGGCGCCTGTAGTCCCAGCTACTTGCGAGGCTGAGGCAGGAGAATGGCATGAACCCGGGAGGCGGAGCTTGCAGTGAGAGGAGATCGCGCCACTGCACTCCAGTCTGGGCAACAGAGCAAGACTCCATCTCAAAAAAAAAAAAAAAAAAAAAGAAAAGAAAAAAGAAAATTTAGCAATGCTGTAACTATAAACTAGGTACCAGATTTTGGAGACATAGTTAAAGAAAATGTAAAATACCTAATTCATATTTTTATATTGATTCATGTTTAATGATACCATTTTTATGTCAATGTTTGTTTGTTTGTTTGTTTGTTTGTTTTGAGACGGAGTTTCGCTCTTGTTGCCCAGGCTGGAGTGCAGTGGCGCGATCTCGGCTCACTGCAACCTCCGCCTCCCGGGTTCAAGCGATTCTCCTGCCTCAGCCTTCCTGAGTAGCTGGGATTACAGGCATGCAACACCACGCCTGGCTAATTTTGTATTTTTAGTAGAGACGGGATTTCTCCATGTTGGTCAGGCTGGTCTCAAACTCCGGACCTCAGATGATCCACCTGCTTTGGCCTCCCAAAGTGCTGGGATTACACGGGCATGAGCCACCAGGCCCGGCCTTTTATGTCAGATTAAATAAAATGTTATTAAAGTTAATGTCACCTGATTCTATATTTTAGTGAGGCTAATGGAAAATTTTAAATTACTTATGTGGCTCTTATTATATTTCTTTTTTTTTTTTTTGAGACAGAGTCTTGCTCTATCCCCCATGCTGGAGTGCAGTGGCGTGATCTCAGCTTACTGCAACCTCCACCTCCTGAGTTCAAGCGATTCTCATGCCTCAGCTTCCCGAGTAGCTGGGATTACAGGTGCCTGCTACCACGCCGAGCTAATTTTTGTATTTTTGGTAGAGATGGGGTTTCACCATGTTGGCCAGGCTGATCTTGAACTCCTGACTTCAGCGATCTGCCCGCCCTGGCCTCCCAAAGTTCTGGGATTACAGGCATGAGTCACCGCACCCAGCCCTGTATTATATTTCTATTGGACACTGCTAGCCCGGAGGTCAAATGTGGAGGTTCGCCGCGCACGGTGGTTCACGCCTGTAATCCCAGCACTTTGGGAAGCTGAGGTGGACAGATCACCTTAGGTCAGGAGTTCAAGACCAGCCTGGCCAATATGGTGAAACCCCATTTCTAATAAAAATACAAAAAAAATTAGCCGGATGTGGTGGTGTGCACCTGTAGTCCCAACTACTAGGGAGGCTGAGGCAGGAGAATTGCTTGAACCTGGGAGGTGGAGGTTGCAGTGAGCCAAGATCAGGCCACTGCACTCCAGCCTAGGCAGTAAAGTGAGACTCCGTCTTAAAAAAAAAAAAAAAACAGGCCGGGCGCGGTGGCTCACGCCTGTAATCCCAGCACTTTGGGAGGCCGAGGCGGGTGGATCATGAGGTCAGGAGATCGAGACCATCCTGGCTAACAAGGTGAAACCCCATCTCTACTAAAAATACAAAAAATTAGCCAGGCGCGGTGGCGGGCGCCTGTAGTCCCAGCTACTCGGGAGGCTGAGGCAGGACAATGGCGTGAACCCGGGAAGCGGAACTTGCAGTGAGCCGAGATTGCGCCACTGCAGTCCGCAGTCCGGCCTGGGCGACAGAGCGAGACTCCGTCTCAAAAAACAAACAAAAAAAACAAGTGGAGGTTCGAATCCTGTCTCTGTGTGTCCTTGAGCAACTTCACAAACCTCTCTTGGCCTCAGTTTCCTCACCTATAAAACAGGTGGCACCTTTCCCATACAGTTGCTCAGAGGAATGAATGAGATAATGTTTGTAAGGCACTTAGCACAGTGCCTGGCATATAGTAGGTGCTCAGAAAAAAAAAAAATATATATATATATATAGTTATTATAGACTTCCTTTCACCAAGACATTCCAAAGTACAGATCAGTGAATCTCAGCAATATTTACTGAGGCTGGATGCGGTGGCTCACACCTGCAATCCCAACACTTTGGGAAGCGAAGGTGAGAGGATTGCTTGAAACCAAGAGTTTGAGACCAGCCTGGGCAACAAAGTGAGACTCCCATCTCTACGAATAACAATAAGAACAATAAAACATTAGCTAGGTGTGGTGGTGCATGCCTGTGGTCCCAGCTACTTGGGAGGCTGAAGTGGGAGGATCACTTCAGCCTGGGAGGTTGAGGCTGCAGTGAGCTGTGTTTGTGCCACTGCACTACAGCTTGGGTGACAGAGCAAGAAAAAATAAAAACAAACAAACAAAAATGACTGAGCTAGCTGTGTGCCAGGCCCTTGAAACAAGCCCAGCAATACCTCTGCTCTCATGGAACTCCCATCCTGTAGAAGGGAGGTGGCCACTGAACAAAGACACAGGCTAACTTCTGGTGGTGTTAAGGGCTGTGGGGGAAAATGTATGCGGAGCTGTGCTAGAGGATGGTTGCTTTTGCAGGGGTGGCCAGGGCATGCTGCCTTGTGGAGCAGGGGACAGTGAGCTAAATCTGATCCTCTAGTAGCTGGCCAGGGGATGCTCTGAGGGAAGAGTGTTCCCTGCAGTGGGACAGGCAAGTGCAGAGGCCACAGCACCAGCCCCTGCAACGGCTGCCTGTTTTCTGTATTCCGCAATCGGCTTCACCATACTTTCCATTTCTTGGATCCAACTCTCTCCTGGCCACTGCACTGTCCCTGTGTGCATGACAACCTTTGTAAAGCTGGTCCACGTTATTTTCTTCCTCATCTGTTCTTTTTTTTTTTTTTTTTTCTGAGGTGGAGTCTTGCTCTGTCACCTCTGTCACCCAGGCTGGGGTGCAGTGATGCTATCTGGGCTCACTGCAACCTCTGCCTCCCGGGTTCAAGTGATTCTCCTGCGTCAGCCTCCCAAGTAGCCAGGATTACAGGTGTGCGCCACCACGCCTAATTTTTATATTCTCAGTAGAGACAGGGTTTCATCGTGTTGGCCAGGCTGGTCTTGAACTCCTGACCTCAGGTGATCCACCTGCCTCAGCCTCCCAAAGTGCTGGGATTACAAACGTGAGCCACCGCGCCCGGCCCTCGTCTGTTCTGCACTCTCCTGTCTGCCTAGCAAGTCTCCGCCCTTCTTTGCCCCTCCAACTCTGGTCCCTTATTCTAGGAAGTTGCCCCTGGTCGTTCCTGTTTCCCCTGGTCTCTCTCTGGGGCTCTTCTAGACTGAATGCTTGATTCAGCACCACCCTGCCTCCAGCCCCACTTCATCTTTCTAGATCAGTTGTGGCTCCTCAACAAACTTGCCCCTTTCCTAGGGCAAGAACCAGAACATTCCTCCTAGCACTGAGTTGAGCCATTCAATAAAACCTACGGATTGCCAGTGCTTGGCTCTGGGGAAACCGAGAGGCATGTCTGCCCAGGCAGAATGGAAAATCCCCCGATGGGGGAAGGGCCGTGGAAATTTCTTCTTAACGTTCTCCTTCCAGATTTGGACATGCCCCAGAAAGCAGTCAAGCATTTGCTCAGTGACCTGCAAGAAGGCTCTGTTCTTCCCACCCTGAGCCCCGTGCGCCGCCCCAGGCTTGAACCCAGGGAGGGCGACCGGGTGGGGCTGGAGGAAAACAGCAGCAGTGGCGGCTGGCAGCTGAGCTTTGCCTCATAGAATCTCTCTTAGGTGTCATCCAGTCCCATCCCCTCAGTTCAAAGATGAAGAAACAAGGTCAGTGGAAAAATGAGGCAAAACCACAGGTCTCACCGTTCCCAGTCCAAGCTCTCTCTGTTGCCCCATGTTGCTCGATTTCCTCATCTGTAAAATGGGAATAATAATAGTAGCTATTTTGTAGTCGGTGATAGGTAAAGTGAGTTGAAGATGCGAAAGAGTCCATAAATATGGGCTATTTATCCTCTCCAGTCCTGAGCCTGCCCTTTCTTGCAGCCCCATGGTACAATATGCAGTTCTCAACCCTCTCCTCTGACTTCCTAGAACATCCTAGAATACTAGAAATCCAGAGCTCTCATCTGGCCCCTCACCACTTACCACCTTGTAGGAGTGGGTGCAGCAGGACTTGCCTGTTGAGGTATTTGGAGTGGGACTGGGGTGTAACAGGGCATGAAAGTGCTTGGAAGTATTGTGCACTGGTGGTGGGAATGTAAAATGGTGCAACCGTTATGGAAAATAGTATGGCAGTTTCTCAAACGATGAAAAATCAAATTACCATATGATCTAACAATTCTACTTCTGAGTCTACACCTAAAAGAAGTGGCAGCAGGGACTTGGCGAGATAACTATACACCCATGTTCATAGCAGCACTCTTCACAATAGCCAAAGGATGGGAGCAACCCAGGTGTCTGTGACAGATGAATGGATAAGCAAAATGTGGTGTGTGCATACAACAGAGTACTATGCAGACCGAGAAAGGAAGGAAATGCTGTCACGTGCTACAACATGCATGAACCATAAGGATATTATGCAAAGTGAAATAGGTCAGTCACAAAAAGACAAATACTACATAGTGGCCAGGCACGGTGGCTCACACCTGTATTCCCAGCACTTTGGGAGGCCGAGGCGGGTGGATCACAAGGTCAGGAGTTCAAGACCAGCCTGGTCAACATAGTGAAACCCCATTTCTACTAAAAAAATACAAAAATTAGCTGGGCATGGTGGCATGTGCCTGTAATCTCAGCTACTCGAGAGGCTGAGGCAGTAGAATTGCTTGAACCCGGGAGGCAGAGGTTGCAGTGAGCCGAGATCATGCCACTGCACTCCAGCCTAGGCAACAGAGCAAGACTCCGTCTCAAAAAAAGAAAAAAAAAAAAAGTCACAGCCAGGCGCAGTGGCTCATGCCTGTAATCCCAGCAACTTTGGGAGGCCGAAGCCGGCGGATCACTTGAGATCAGGAGTTCAAGACCGGCCTGACCAACATGGTGACTCCTCATCTCTACTAAAAAATACAAAAATTAGCTGGGTGTGGTGGCGGGCGCCTGTAATCCCAGCTACTCGGGAGGCTGAGGCAGGAGAATTGCTTGAACCTGGGAGGCGGAGGTTGCGGTGAGCTAAGATTGTGCCATTGCACTCCAGCCTGGGCAACAAGAGTGAAACTCCATCTCAAAAAATAAAAAATAAAATAAAATAAAAAAGACCAATACTACATAGTTCCAGTTATATGAGGTACCTAGAGGAGTCAAATTTCTAGAGACAGAAATTAGAATGTTGGTTGCCACGGGAGGAGGAAATAAGTTGTTTAACGGGTACATAGTTTCAATTGTAGAAGAGGGAAAATGTTCTGGAGATTGGTTGTACAATGATGTAAATATACTTAACACTACTAAATCATATGCTCAAAATGGGTCAGATGGCAAAATTTTTATTATGTGTATTTTACCACAATAGTAGTAATAATAATAATAATAAAGTGCTTGGGCTGGGCGCAGTGGCTCACAACTGTAATTCCAGCACTTTGGGAGGCCGAGGAAGGCAGATCACCTGAGGTCAGGAGTTTGAGACCAGCCTGGCCAACATGGTGAAACCCCAACTCTACTAAAAATACAAAAATTAGCCTGGTGTGGTGGCGGGTGCCTGTAACCCCAGCTACTTGGGAGGCTGAGGCAGCAGAATCACTTGAACCCAGGAGGCGGAGGTTGCAGTGAGTCGAGATCATGCCACTGCACTCCAGCCTAGGAGACAAGAGTGAAATTCTGTCTCAAAAAATAATAATAATAATAATAAAATGCTTGAAAGTAGCCCAAATGGGCCTCTCCAGGAGATGTTGGACTTGAGCTATCATGGTCTTTCTTATCCTTCCCACCTTCCACAAGTGTTCTTTTAGCATTTTCTATAAGCCAGACACAAGGCTAGGCACACGAAAATTGACATTCTATTGGCCAAGACAGAGAATAAATAAAATTTGAGCCAAAGTGATCATAGCTTCTTTTTGCTTTCCTTTTCTTAGTGAAATTTTACCATATTTACACTAAACGAAACCATAATTATGGAGCTATAATTTACTTTTTAAACTTCCAGAGCTTTTTTTTTTTTTTTTTTTTTTGAGACAGAGTTTCACTCTTGTTGCCCAGGCTGCAGTGCAATGGCCCCATCTTGGCTCACTGCAACCTCTGCCTCCCAGGTTCAAGCAATTCTCCTGCCTCAGCCTCCCGAGTAGCTGGGATTACAGGTGCATGCCACCGTGCCTGGCTAATTTTTGTATTTTTAGTAGAGATGGGGTTTCATCGTATTGGTCAGGCTGGTCTCAAACTCCTGAACTCAGGTGATCCGCCCACCTTGGCCTCCCAAAGTGCTGGGATTACAGGCATGAGCCACTGTGCCCGGCCCAGAGCTTACTTTATATGCTTTTTTGGGAGTGTTAATTTTTTTTTAATTGAGGTATAATTTGCATGTAGCAAAATGCACCCTTTTTTAGATGTACAATTCCATGAATTTTGACAAATGTATATTTAAAAAACTTTATTGATATAATTTACGTATCACAAATTTCAGTGGATTTTAGTATGTTCAGACTTCTGCATCCATCACCACAATCTGTCTTAGAATATTTTCATCACCCCAAAAAGTAACTTGAGACCCATTAGCCGTCACCCACTCTTTTCCTCAAACTCCCAGCCCTAGGCAACCACTAACCTACTTTCTGTCTCTCTGGATTTTCATATTCTGGACATTTCATATAAATGGAAACATACAATATGTCATCTTTTGTGACATGCATCTTTCATTTAGCGTAATGTTTTGGAAGCTCATCCATGTTGTAGCATGTATCAGAACTGCGTTTCTTTTTATTGCCAAATAATGTTCCATTGTGTGGCTATGCTACACTTTGTTTTGTCTGTTGATGGACATTTGGGTTGTTTCCACTTTTTGGCTATTATGAATAATACTGCTATGAACATTTGTGTACAAGTTTTTTTGCATAGACATACATTTTCATTTATCTTGAATGTATACCTAGAAGTGAAATTGCTAGGTCCTACGGTAACTCTATGGTTAGCATTTTGAGGAACTGCCAAACTGTCTTTTTTTTTTTTTTTTTTTTTGAGATGGAGTCTCGCTTTGTCACCCAGGCTGGAGTACAATGGCAAGATCCCAGCTAACTGCAATCTCCACCTCCCTACAACTTCCACCTACCGGGTTCAAGAAATTATCTTGCCTCAGCTTCCTGAGTAGCTGGGATTACAGGTGCCTGCCTCCACACCGGGCTAATTTTTGTATTTGTATTAGAGACGGGGTTTCACCATGCTGGCCAGGCTGGTCTCCAACTCCCAACCTCAGGCAATCCACCTGCCTCAGCCTCCCAAAGTGCTGGGATTATAGGCGTGAGCCAGTGTGCCTGGTCGCCAAACTGTTTTTCAAAGTGGCTGCATCTGGCCGGTGCAGTGGCTCACGACTGTAATCACAGCACTTTGGGAGGCCAAGGTGGGCAGATCATCTGAGGTCGGGAGTTTGAGAACAACCTGGCCAACATGGTGAAACCCCATCTCTACTAAAAATACGAAAATTAGCCGGGCATAGTGGCTCACACCTGTAATCCCAGCCACTCAGGAGGCTGAGGCAGGAAAATCGCTTGAACCCAGGAGGCGGAGGTTGCAGTGAGCCGAGAACATGCCACTGCACTCCAGCCTGGAGACAGAGCAAGACTCCATCTAAAGTAATAATAATAATAATAATTGCCTAATCTGAGATCATGAAGATTTACTCCTATATGTCTTCTAAGAGTTTTATAGTTTAGCTCTTCCATTTAGACTTATGATTCACTTTCCACTTTGAGTTAATTTTTGTGCATATATATGTATTTTTTTAATTTTTATATTTTAGAGACTGGGTCTCCCCACATTGCCCAGACTGGCCTTGAACTTCTGGGCTCAAGCAATCCTCCTGCATCAGCCTCCCAAGTAGCTAGGCCTATAGGCACATACCACATACCCAGCTATGTATATATACTTAAAAAAAATCAGGTTTATTGATGTATAATTCACGTTAAAAAAATTTATTTTTGGCTGGGCGTGGTGGCTCACGCCTGTAATCCCTGCACTTTGGGAGGCTGAATCGGGCGGATCACAAGGTCATGAGTTCGAGACCATCCTGACCAACATGGAGAAACCCCGTCTCTACTAAAAATACAAAAACTAGCCAAGCATGGTGGCACACACCTATAATCCCAGCTACTCAGGAGGCTGAGGCAGAAGAACTGCTTGAAGCCGGGAGGTGGAGGTTGCAGTGAGCCGAGATTGCACCACTGCACCCCAGCCAGGGCGACAGAATGAGACTCTGTCTCAAAAAAAAAAAAAAAAAAAGAAATCTCAAAAATTAGCCGGGTGTGGCAGCATGTGCCTGTAATCCCAGCTACTCCGGAGGCTGAGGCAGGAGAATGGCTTGAACTCAGGAGGCAAGGTTGCAGTAAGCCAAGATCGCGCCACTGTACTCCAGCCTAGGCAACAGGGCTAGACTCTGTCTCAAAAAAAAAAAAAAAAATGTTTTTCCTGGGAAATTAGGGATAGGGAGATTTGAGTGTATGCCCATTTTCTCTTCTCCTTATGCCCCACGTTTTACTTATTAAAAGCGTGTGTGATTATGTAGGTGTGTGTGATTATGTATGTACATGTGTGTATGTGTGTGAGAGAACTTTTTTTTTTTTGAGATGGAGTTTCACTCTTGTTATCTGGGCTGGAGTGCAATGGCGCCACCTCGGCTCTCTGCAACCTCCGCCTCCTGGGTTCAAGCGATTCTCGTGCCTCAGCCTCCTGAATAGCTGGGATTACAGGCGCCCACCACCACACCAGCTAATTTTTTATATTTTTAGTAGAGACAGGGTTTCACTATGTTGGCCAGGCTGGTCTCGAACTCCTGACCTCAGACAATCCGCCTGCCTCAGCCTCCCAAAGTGCTGGGATTACAGGTGTGAGCCACTGCGCCTGGCTGAAAGAACATTTTTATATCAGCTTCTTAAGGGTTCCTACTTACTTTGACTTTCTCTTGCAGCCCACATGGACCTGTTAGTTATATAGTATATAGGGTGAATGAATAAATGAGTGACCGAGTGAATGCAGCCCACCAACCTCTACATTCAGAGCCGCCAGCTCCACATAGCCACAGGCTGCATCTGCTGCCCCAGAAGTTTCCATGAAGCTGCCCATGGCTGGGATCAAGATGGAAGCTTCTCAGCTGGGCCCCTGCATGGACACGTCTAGGTTTAATGGTTTTCTCTCTAATTTGTGAGTCCTTCTTAAAAAGCCCTTCCATTTCAGGATAATTACGGAGTCCTGTAATGGTCTATTAATTGGGCCTGGTTTTTGTGCCCACATTTCCTCAGCTTCCTCTGGGGTGCCCCAGCAGTACTTGGTTTCCTCCAGCAGCCAAAGTAGGATGTGGCTGACCCAGGCTGCACCTGAGCTGGGAAACTGGGAGGGCTTGTGGGGATTGAGCGGAAGGCCCTGGAGGTAGAAGACCACACACTGCTCATCTTAGTCCTGCAGATCCCTCACTGAGCTCCTCTGCCCCTTGGCATTTCCTCCTGATCCATGAGGTGGAATTAAAGGAATTTTTTTTTTTTAAACAGAGTCTCAATCTGTTGCCCAGTGGCGCAATCTTGGCTCACTGCCACCTCCGCCTCCTGGGTTCAAATGATTCTCCTCCCTCAGCCTCCCGAGTACCTGGGACTACAGGCACACACCATCACGCTTGGCAAATTTGTCTATTTTTAGTAGAGACGGGGTTTCACCACGTTGGCCAGGCTGGTCTCGAACTCCTGACCTCAGGTGATCCACCTATCTCAGCCTCCCAAAGTGCTGGGATTACAGGTGTGAGCCACCACGCCCAGCCTAAAGGAACCTTATATGTAATGCTTAATATGTACCAGAATTAGAATAATGCAACTTAGAAGTATAGCTGTCTGAACATATTTCCCCCAAGTGGAGGGTTTGTTTTTCTTTCATGCTTTTTTTTTTGACACCGAGTCTTGCTCTGTCTCCCAGGCTGGAGTGCGGTGGCGCGATCTCAGCTTACTGTAACCTCTGCCTCTGGGTTGAAGCAATTCTCCTGCCTCAGCCTCTCAAATAGCTGGGTCCACATGCATGTGCCATCACACCCAGCCAATTTTTGTATTTTTAGTAGAGACAGGGTTTCACCATGTTGGCCAGGCTGGTCTCGAATTCCTGACCTCAAGTGATCCACTTGCCTTGGCCTCCTAAAGTGCTGGGATTACAGGCGTGAAGCCACCGTACCCAGCCTTTTTGTTTGTTTGGTTTTTGTTTTTGTTTTTGTTTTTGGTCTTTTTGAGATGGAGTCTTGTTCTGTCACCCAGGCTGGAGTGAGAGCTGGGCTCACTGCAACCTCCGCCTCCCGGGTTCACACGATTCTCCTGCCTCAGCCTCCCAAAGTGCTAGGATTACAGGTGCCCACCCACATGCCCAGCCTTATTTTTCTTTTGAATTTGTTAAGGTCATATGTTGACATGGCTGTTAAATATTTATTTATTTATTTATTTATTTATAGAGTTCTCACTGTGTTGCTCAGGCTGGTCTTGAATTCTTGGGCTCAAGTGATCCTCCCACCTTGGCCTTCCAAAGTGCTGAGATTACAGGCATGAACCACCGGCACCCAGCCAACATGGCTGTTAAGATGGTAACTTTGAAAAGCTGTTAGAGGAACATAAGACCAGAGGGAACAGGAGTCAAAGGGTGGTCCCTATTAAAGGCACTTGCTGTGAAACCAGCCCTGCCATGCTTAGGCTGCCATCTCTATCCAGTCATGGGCGTCCTCTGCCCATAGGGGGCCTTAGTAATGTTGTTATATATATCATTTCCTCACTATCATTCCCACTTTACGGATGAGGAAACTGAAGCTTAGGAAGGTAAAGTTACTGGCCCCAGGTCATTGGCTAGGAAATGGCTGAGCTGGGATCTGAATCCAGATTTCACTAATGCAGGTGGCTTTAGCCACTAATGACACTACCTCCCTTCCAGGACCTTAGCCTTTAATATTCCTCTAAACTAGGTGGTAGGCTAATGAAAAAAACAAAAAACAAACAAACAAAAAAACAACAACAACTCTTTCTAACCCTGCCCTCCTCTCCTCGTAGCCTGAGAGTCTGAGGCTAGTGAGGGAATCTTATGTTCTCTGAGCTTAGAGAGAGGGCATGACCCAAGGCTCGGACAGCCAATGCTTAGTTAACCACTATGTGCCAGGCCTCAGGAGAACCTAGGGGTGTTCTATAGAGCTAGGGGGATATAAAACAAGTGCATACAATGAGATCA
This sequence comes from Homo sapiens, assembly GCF_000001405.40. Classification (NCBI taxonomy): domain Eukaryota; kingdom Metazoa; phylum Chordata; class Mammalia; order Primates; family Hominidae; genus Homo; species Homo sapiens. The sequence goes on along the minus strand of NC_000010.11, from coordinate 72,278,564 downwards.
TTGTATGCCATGTTTTCACACTGCAATTGTGAAAGATGGGGGGAGGGAAAGCAGAAAAGAGCCATAAAAAGGCTGGAACTTGCTCTAGGCCTTAAAGGAAGGACAGGGCTTGCCAGCAAAACTCAGGAAGATATCCTTGGTGGAAGGCACTAGAATGAGCGGAGTCTGCGGCTAGAGAAAAGGGCAGTCCAGATTGACTTGCCCCCAGTTAAGGGGAATGGTGGGAGGTAAGCCTCAGTAGGGAGTATAGGGCCCAACACCAAATGTCCTAAAAGACCAGCAGTGGAATCTGGCAATAGGGAACCATTGCAGGTTCTAGAGCATTGACCCGATGAGGTGGGAAATAGGAATAAGAGAGGGAATCCTGTAGGAAGGGAGGTAATCAGTACATATTTTCCAGGCCAAATAGGGCAATCTTTTTCCTTTCCTTTCCTTTTTCCTTTCCCCTTTCCTTTCCTTTCTTTTTTTTCTTTCCTTCCTTTCTTTATCAGATAGGGTCTCACTAAATAGGACAATTTCTGAAAGCATTTACCAAAGTTGATTTTATGTGTAGGTCTTTATAAGCTTTCTTAGCTTTCCTGCTTAGCAACAAAGAAGCCTGCCCCATTTTTTCTTAGCAAGTCCGGTACCTGGGGCAAAGCTCCCTGCCATGTCTTAGCAGACCTCAGGACCCAGAACTGTCTTGGGCCTCAGCAACCCTCTTCCCTTTACTGTGAGACTCAAGCTCAGGGCTCCCACTTGCGGACCCTTCTGTCCTGCTGCAGGAGGATTTTCAGGCCCTGTGAGAATGAGGGAAGCCAGTTTGGCTCTGGGAGAGGGCATCTCAGCTGAGCTAGCTTGGGAACCCAAGCTTTGATTTGGCCTCAGTCTGACTATCTAAGAAAAGGTACGGTGCTGGGCTCAGCTGCCTCCTTGGCTTGGAGAAGGGCTAATGCTGACCAATCCATCCAGCTCAGGCCCCCAAATACCAACAAGACTCTGTACTCTGAAGACAATTGTTTCCTTGCTTCTCTTTTGAGACTGGGGAGGCAGGGTCGTGAGCATTGGCACAGATCTCAGTTCCCGGGAAAGTGCCCTTCAGACTCAGCCCAGGTGTCAAGCTTGCTTTACTCCCAGCCCTGAATCTCAATAGGCTGGGAGTGGACAAAGTCAGCCCTTATCCAAGAAGATGACCATTCCAGGGCTTGGGCCTCCATTTACTAATCTGTAAAACATTAAAAACCCCTGCCGCCACCCACCCCTCACAGGGTGGCTATTAGGAGGATGTGCTAAGAAAATGGGTGTGAGGGCTTTCCTCACACTGGTCTGGGCACCTTCTTCACTGTTCTCACTATCCATTTCCAAATGCACTTCTAATCCAAGTTTATCCATTTTGGGGAACAAATCACTCAGTTCTACCAAAGAGAGATGGGTCTTCCAAGTCATCGTAAAGTTTAGGACCCTCTATTGGAATCCCTGATGTAAATGCAGATTCCTGGGGCCCTGGCCCGGATGCACTGAGAATCTCCAGGAGGGCCCATGTGATCTGATTACACACGCTCAAGTGCAAGAGCCACTGTTTTAGTCTTGAGCAAACAAGGCCTGTCTGGGACCAGGAAGAGAAACAAGGGAGATAAAAACTCTCCAAATGCCAGTTGGTGTGGGTGGATGTAATTCCAGGGAAGAAGGGGGAAAGGCCCTGGGCTTCATCTGGCCCAACTCCAATTTGCCAATTTTTCTGACAAGGAACTTAGGGCCCAGAATGCACAATGCATCTTTTGTTTTTAGAGACAGGGTCTTGCTGTCACCCAGGCTGCAGCCTTGAACTCCTGGACTCAAGCAATCCTCTGGCTTCAGCATCCCAAGTGGCTGGGACAACAGGTCACAGAGGACGTCTGGGTGACCCAAGGTATCGTTAAGGTAGGCCTGCTATTTCCTTGCTCTCTAAGCCCTTAGCACTCCTTCCCTCACCTGTGTGTGTGCAAGGAGTTCTGCACCTGCCTGGTCCAGACTTCCTTCCAGTGGCAGCTCATGCCCCTCTTGGTTCCTTGTCCAGTGAGAGGCATGAGCTAAGTAGCATTTTTCAAACTCCCCCTCTTAGTCTTTTTAAATCCAGAGATAAGATTTGTAATTTTCATGATGGTAGAACAACTGATTTTTTTCTCCCAGAAAGAAAAAAGGTATTTTCTAGTTCTTTCACTGTTTATTAAAGACCTTGGGCTCAGTGGGCCCTCCTGTCTGGGCCTTCTAACCGGGGCAGCCAGGTGAGCTCTCCCTCTGGAGACTCTGGCTCGGTGGGAGGTCTGACTCACCCCCTACCTTCAGGGGTTTCCAGTGTGTTCTCCTAGTAGCTTCAGCCAGCACAGGGCCAAGGGTTCTTGGCACAGATGGCACACGGTACACATACCTCTGTCACCAGGCTGGCAGGCAGTCCCGGAAAGGGATGGAGGAACACACAGGTGGACCCCAGGGCCTGATGAGACCTGCCTTTCACTAGCACCCATCTCCCTCCTTTTCACTTCATGGTACTGATGAGAGACTCAACCAACTGTTTTAACAAACATGTTTATTAGAAAAGTAAAAAATATTGCATAGGTCTTAATACTTGAACATCAAGTGTATTCATGAACAGTGAGTATCTTATCTTCATGTAAACAGTTCTAGATGGAAGACCCAGATGGCACTCCTCCCGGGGAGGGGTTCCAGCCCCCACCCTCTCAGCCCCTCCCCTGCCAGCTCAACTCTGCAGTACACGATGGGGGAAGGCTTAAACGCAGCTGCCAGGTGTAATTTTTCAAGTGTCAAAGATCCCAAGTGATCCCTGACACCCACCCCTTCCTACTCTTACATTCATGCGTCTGTAAGATAGCTGCCTACAACAGGTCAGTAGTGATGCTCCGATCAGAAAAACAAGATACAAAACAAACAACAAACACACTTGGTCCCTTCAGACCAGTAAGATACACAAACCACCTCCACGACCTCCGACCTCCCCCCTCCCTCCGGCTGCTCTGAGGAGCACGTGCCTCTTCCTTCACCCTGGGCCGGGCTGGGGCGGGAGCAGCCCAGCTGCTCTCTGGATGTCACACCACTGTTAACTGTCAGTAACAAAAATAATAAGGTACATGCTACACACACATCCAGCTGGAAGCCTTGTTGGCCCCTAAGCCTTTGTTTCATGCTACAGTACTGAGGGGTATGTGTCCCCAATGCACAGCCACCCGCACACAACTCAATGAGCTTCCTGGGAAACACTATTCCCCCACCTCCACCTTAGGTGGCTGCCTCAGTTTTCCAACCACAGGAATCAGTCCCTCAGCTCCTGCCTCTAGTCTCCACCCCAAAAGTTCAGTCGTCTCTGTCTTGGAGGGCACTGTCGGCCCCCTCAGGTTGAAGTTCAACACTCCTCAATGAGCAGCTGTTCCGAGCTGTACAGCTTCTTCTTGATGACTCGGAAGCCAGTGCTCAGCGTCAGGGACTGGCTGAAGCCAGGGAGGAAGGGAGAGTTGGCGGAGCTAAACAGCCCCTGGATCTTGGGCCAGAGTCGTGAGTCCAGGCGCAGCACGAGGGTCAGCTGGAAGGTGGGCACCAGGCTGGGGTCGAGTGCCAGCTGGCCCACGCTGTGGCAGCTCTTGCCCTGCTCCACGCAGACGTCCAGCAGCGCCCCCCGCAGGCCGCACGGCTCGCTGTAGGCCAGGCGCAGTAGTTCTTTGCCCACCTGGCTTACCAACTGGCTAGGCATCAGCAGGCGCGCAGGGCGTCGAGAGCCCAGCCGCGCCTGGGCCAGGCTCTCCTGCAGCAGCTGCATCAGGTTGGCACACAAGTGTTCATCCTCAGGGTCACTGAGCAGCTCGAAGTCGGGCAACGACACCCCATCCAGGTAAGCCGTGTCTGGAAAGGAGAGCACACAGGAAGGGGTATTAGAGCGGCTTCAAAACGAAACGCACAGGCGGGGGAGGTGCTGTTTCCTTAAGAAACCAACGCTCCTTCCCACTCCGTGCCTCAGTTTCCGCCTCACTCACCTTATACTCCAATTCCCCCTGCCCCCAAGCAATCTGGGTCCCGATGGGATAGGAAGCCAAGGCGGCTCTGACCCCTTCCAGCACCGGGGCTTCCCCACCTTCCCGGCCCCTCGAGTCGCGTCGGCACCCGCCCACCGCTCACCTTCCTCCGGCCCGAAGCCACTGTTGCTGCTGTCCAGGGACTCGCAGTCCGAGCTCTCCAGGCTCGTGGAGCGGTCAAACCCCTCCTCCCGGGTCGCCGACCCCCAGGCTGAGCGCGGCGGCCGATCTGGGGTGGGAGTTCGGGGCAAGGACGAGGGCGAAGAGGAGGTGGACGACGACGAGAAGCGGTCCCAAAGGCTAGGCATGGTGAGGACAGACGCCAGGGCGTTTGCTGATGAACTCAGAGTGCCGGAGCGTAGAAGCCGCTGTAAGACAAGAGGGGGACCGACCAGGCGTCAGTCTGGGGACCAGACCAGACCAGACCGCGAGCTCTAGGACCCACACACAGAAGGGACACTCACCAGCTAGCGCGGTCAGCGAGAACTGCTAAGACAAGTGCGTCCTGCCGCTTGAATGGGTGTGCGAACCCGTGCCAACCACCGAGAGCCGCCCAGACCCGTCCCAGGTCCACGCTCGCACCTCCCCCTTGGCCTGCTGCGCCCTAGCACCAGCGCGGAGCAGCCTATAAGGACTAGCGCGGCGAGGCCACGCCTTCTCTGCGCCACGACCCAATCCAGACCCGGGAGTGTGGCCCGCCTTGGCCAATGGACTCCGGGCGCACGTAAGCAACGTTCTCTCCTGCCCGGTGACAGCGGCCGGGCCCCGCCTCCATTGAGCCCCAGAAAGCTCGCAGTCGAACCCCGACCCACCGCCACGCCCCCTTTCTGGAAAGGATCCGCGGCGGCTGCAGCTGCCAAGGTCCCCGAGGGCGCTCGCGGCAGGGGAGGATCAAGGAAAGACTTGTTTATTATAGGGTTGCATTGCTGGAGGAGGGGACAGCCCGTGACCAGGCTAGGAGGAGAGGCAGGGAAGCGTGAGGGGGCGGCGGGCAAGGAAAATGGTTGCCCCCAGCGTCTTGGATCCTAAAGCTTCGGGAACAACTGGGCACACACGGGGGGGATGCCCGTGGGACGGCGGCGCAGGAGCAGACGTTAGCCCGGCCTGCCCTCGCGCCCTTACCCCCTCTATCCCTGCTTTGCAAAGGCTCGGGATATGGGGGTGGGGTCCACAGACTGGGAAGCTCCGGGCACCATGCTGCCCCTTCCCCAAGGCCCCACCTGCCCATCCTGGCTGTTACTCTACAGCCCAGGACATAGGTTAATGGGGATCCCTGCCTCCTCCCAAACCCTATCTGCTTCCACTTCCAACTGCTCCCAAGGAGAGGGCTTGAGGAGAGTGGTTAGAGGAGTGTGGATGGGCCCGGGTTCATAGCGCCCAGTGCAGGGATGGAAGCGAGGATTCACAGCAGTCGGACTCACAGACCCATCCGCCCTCCCCGCGGACTGCAGGCAGCGCAGCCGGACCTCCCTGCCCGGGCGCCCCCCGGGTCCTAGCACCCAGCGCTCGCCTAGCGCTTTGTGTAAAAGATCCAGACGGTTGCATCAGGACCGAGGACCGAGATCTCTGGAAAAGCCAGGGAGTGCAATGGCCATCCCGTGTTTCATCATTCAGGCGGGGCCACAGGAAATCTGGCCTGGCAGCAGTGCTCAGAGGCTAACAGTGGTTGCTGAGGGTGGGTGGAGGTTGAGACGGACTCGACCTTTATTGCTCTAAAGGTTTATCAGTCTGGGACAGGAGGACCCTGATGGAAGAGGGAGCCAAACTTACATCAGATGCCCAGGGCCCCGGGGGCGGGCAAGGAACCTAACCAGATAGGCGGGCCTTGCCTCGGGTCAGGCTTGCTTTCGCGTGACAAATGACACTTGCAGGAGATGTCAGGCCACTGCCCTCCGCAACCCCCATCCCCACCCCAACTTAGAAAAAAGAAAAAGCTGACACTTGGGCCAAGACTTAGAACCTGAAAGAACCAGAATCCAAGCTCTGCACCCTACTCTCATTTGACAGGTGGGAGACCCACTTATGGAGACAAATTTATGGATTAAAAAAAGAAATCAGGGGATCCAGGAGACATCTTAAAGACAGCTGCAGAATGGAATAGTTTGTGAGCCACTGGGACTTTCAAGGCCTTCTCTTCCCATTCTTCAAGCTCTGTCGCTTGTTGGAGCCTTAAAGACACCAGATTGCTTAACAATGGGGATATAAAAATTAAAAATAATAAAAGACACTGGATCAAGGCGGCTAGTTGTTCTTGGAGGGCTGGAGTAGATGACATACTCTTGAAATCACTCTTACAGAGGTGACCTGCATGGGTGTGTCTTCCTGCTGGCCAGAGAGAAGATCTGAATTAATCCATCAGGAACATTCACATTTCCTCCAGGCTGATTTGGGCGGGACACCTAAACACCCTAAGGAAACAAGAGTTACGATGTTTTTTCTTCTTCTTCTTCTTTTTTTTTTTTTTTTTGAGATGGGGTCTCACTCTTTCACCCAGGCTGGAGTGCAGTGGTGCGATCTTGGCTCACTGCAAGCTCCGCCTCCCGGGTTCACACCATTCTCCTACCTCAGCCTCCCGAGAAGCTGGAACTGCAGGTGCCCACCACCACGTCCGGCTAATCTTTTGTATTTTTAATAGAGAGAGGGTTTCACCGTGTTAGCCAGGATGGTCTCGATCTCCTGACCTCGTGATCCGCCTGCCTCGGCCTCCCAAAGTGCTAGGATTACAGGCGTGAGCCACCGCGCCCGGCCTAATTTTTGTATTTTTAGTAGAGAGACGGTTTCACCATGTTGGCCAAGCTGGTCTCAAATTCCTGAACTCAGGTGATCCACCAGCCTGGGCCTCCCAAAGTGCTGGGATTACAGGCGTGAGCCACCACGCCTGGCCTTTTTTTTTTTTTTTTTGGACAGAAAAAAAATTCAGGAAAATGTGGAACACTGACCTAAAGAAAGCACAGGCTTTTTTTTTTTTTCCTTTTAAGTAGATATTCATAAGGAAAAGAATCCGGGTCCGGTTTGGAAAGGTCAGTTATTAGGAATCATTTATTCATTCAACAAACACCATCAAGACTGCCCAACAGTGTTCCAAGCACCTTTTTTTCATTCACTGTCTCCTTCTGTTAATAAAACAACTTGTCTCAAATGGGAAGGGCTGGTTAATGCGCACTGAGTAATTTTGTTTCTTTTCAAAAGAAATCTATTAGTGTTATTGTCTCATTGTGTTTCTAAAAAGCGATTAAAAAAAAAAAAGAAGGCAGTCCTATTGTTGGAAGTGTTTCCTAAAGTAGGAGGGAGTGGGTTCCAGGGTAAAGTCTCCTGCAAGGAGGCCTGGCAGAGGCCTGGGGGAGTTGGGAGTGGTCAGTGTCTTCCCCTGTGACAACTGCTAAAACCCCTGATAGAGAAAAGGCCTGTATGCCAGGAGAATCTCAAAGGTCGGGAGGAGGGTAAAGTGGGGGTTCTTAACTGCTAGCCTCTCCCAGGAGCCAGAGTGCAGGGCCTTGGTCCATCCTGTCCTGAGGTGGAGGGTAGATTCCCTTCCATCTGGCTGGAGCTGGAAAGACTTTGTAACCACCCTCCCTACACCGAACACCCCCTCACTCCACAGCTCTGCAAATGGGGCCCTTCTGGTCAGGAGGACGCTCCATCTCCTGGCCTCTGAACCAGACCTCATTGGAGCTCTCACAAAACCTAGAAACCCTGCATTTGGTGTCCACCCACCCGCTCCTCCTCCCCTCAGGCCAAGGTGGGCTTGCCTAGACATGCTTCCACCAGCAGCCTTGGCCACCCAACTCTGGCATCCCTTCCTCCAGGAAGCCTCCCCTAGCACCCTCATCCCGACACTCCATCCCTTAGGTGCCTTCCTCAGGGCATCTTTCCAGCCAGTGCATATCTTTGTTGTTAATAATTCTTTCCACTTTGGTCTTCCCACTAGACAGTAAGCTACTTGAGGATGGCGTTCTACACATCCTAACTTCAAGTAGCCAGCACTGTGCCCAGTACATAGAAAAGGCTCAGCAAATGTTCCTTGGATAAATACATGAATGAATGGATGGATGAATGAATGGCTAGATGAGGCAAGAACGTGGCTTCTCTGGCTGTGGCAGCTCACACTTTTAACCCACACACTTTGGAGGTGAGAGGATTACTTGAAGCCAGGAGTTTAGGACCAGCCTAGGCAACATAGTGAGACCCCGTGTCTACAAAAAATTTAAAAATTAGCCAGGCATGGTGGCTGATGCCTGTAACCCCAGCACTTTGGGAGGCTGAGGTGGGCAGATCACCTGAGCTCAGGAGTTTGAGACCACCCTGGGCAACATGGTGAAACCCCGTCTCTACTAAAATACAGAAAATTGGCCAGATGCAGTGGTTCACGCCAGCGTTTTGGGAGGCTGAGGCAGGTGGATCACGAGGTCAAGAGATCCAGACGATCCTGGCCAACATGGTGAAACCCCATCTCTACTAAAAGTACAAAAATTAGCTGGGCGTGGTGTCGCGTGCCTGTAGTCCCAGCTAGTTGGGAGGCTGAGGCAGGAGAATTGCTTGAACCCGGGAGGCGGAGGTTGCAGTGAGCCGTGATCTTGCCACTGCACTCGAGCCTGGGTGACAGAGCGAGACTCTGTCTCAAATAAATAAATAAATAAATAAATAAATAATAAAAATTAACTGGGCATGGTAGCACACATCTTTAGTCCCAGGTACTCAGGAAGCTGAGGTAGGAGAATCGCTGGAGCCTGGCCAGGGTTACAGTGAGCTATGATGGTACCACTGCACTACAGCTTGGGTGACATAGTGAGACAAAAACAAAAAGCACATGGCTTTTTCCAGAATTGCAGACACCCGCATCTAGATTCCCAGGATCTAGTGGGGCCTATGGGGTGCCTTCAAGAGGACCCTGATGCTACCTTTCCATCCTCTTTATGGCAAGTGCTGCCAAGAGCCTTGGACAGATCTGACCATTTCCCTTCCTCCTCAGCTGGGGTCTGGGAATGGGGCTTCTAAGCCAATCCAGTTCTTCCTCTGGAATATAGTCAGCGACCTAGCCCAGGAAACTGGGGAGAGACGTGAAATCTTGCAGAGGGCTGATCTGTTGTAGGGAATTTTTTTTTTTTTTTTTTTTTGAGACGGAGTTTCGCTGTTTCGCTCTTGTTGCCCAGGCTGGAGTGCAATGGCACGATCTCGGCTCACTGCAACCTCTGCTTCCTGGGTTCAAGTGATTCTCCTGCCTCAGCCTCCTCAGTAGCTGGGATTACAGACATGCGCCACCATGCCCAGCTTATTTTGTATTTTGAGTAGAGACAGGGTTTCTCCATGTTGGTCAGGCTGGTCTTGAACTCCCAACCTCAGGTGATCCACCCGCCTAGGCCTCCCAAAGTGTTGGGATTATAGGCGTGAGCCACCGCACCTGGCCTTTTTTTTTTTTTTTTGGAAACAGAGTTTCACTCTTGTTGCCCAGGTCTCAGCCTCCTGAGTAGCTGGGATTACAGGAAGGAAGGAGGGAAGGAAGGAGGGAAGGAAGGAAAGAAGGAAGGAAGGAGGGAAGGAAGGAAGGAAGGAAGGAAGGAAGGAAGGAAGGGAGGGAGAGAAATTAACCATTTCAAAGTGAACAGTTAGTTCAGTGGCATTTAGTACACTCACAATGTTGTGCAACCACTACCTCTATCTGGTTCCAAAACACCTTTCCTAACTCCCATGGAGGTCCTTTACCCATGAAGCAGTCACTCCCCTCAAAATGCTTTGAAGTGTTCCCTTGTTGGTAGAAGTAGGGCTGGGTGTGGTGGCTCATGCCTGTAATCCTAGCACTTTGGGAGGACAATGTGGGAGGACTGACTGAAGCCAAGAGTTCAAGACCAACCTGGCCAACATAGTGAGACCCCCATCTCTATTTTTTTTTTTTGAGACGGAGTCTTGTTCTGTTGCCAAGCTGGAGTGATCTCAGCTCACTGCAACCTCCGCCTTCCAAGTAGCTGGGACTACAGGTGCACACCACCATGCCCAGATAATTTTTTCATATTTTAGTAGAGATGGGGTTTCACCATTTTGGCCAGGATGGTCTCGATCTCCTGACCTCATGATCCACCCGCCTTGGCCTCCCAAAGTGCTGGGATTACAGGTGTGAGCCACCACACCTGGCCTATTTTTTTTTAATTAAAAAAAAAAGAAGAAGAAGCAGGGCTGCCTCTTTGCACAACTCCAGAGGATGCTGCTACCATTAGAGTCTGCATGAACATGTGTCTTCTGGAGAGTAGTGCTCCAGGGAGCACTCATCACATAGACACAATGTGCAACACGGCAGCCGCAAGACAACCCTGGTGGGGAGACTGGCCGACCTCTGAGCAGGAGTGGGCTGGTGTCATGTCCCAGGTGACTCAGGCCTCTGGAGTTGGTGATCAGGCCCCATGTCCCAGTGTCTGTGGCCAGGGCCCTGACCGTGCATAAACCCTGCCTCTTCCAGGACTGCACTCCATCAGAATAGAGCGCAATGCCGCAACCTGCAATTTAAAGTCAATGAGCACTCACTCCCGGCCACCTGCCCCTCCCCGTTCAGGCGGTTCCGTCTGGAGCACCGGTTCCCAGGGCCTCGGTCTGGCAAGTCACCCTGGTCGGGTTTGGGAAGTTGAACCAGATCTTGGGGTGGGGGTATGATTCCAAGAACCCCAGAATTCAGGATGGAAACCCCTGAAGGCCAGCCAGCTCGCTCGCATGCCTCTGCTTGGGGCGCCTCTGCAGCCCTTTGGAAATTTCTCATTGCGGCTGGTGGAAGTAGCTGGTGGAGGAGCCCGTGGGTCGAGGCATGAAGGAGAAGGTGGAGCATTGGGAGGAGGTGGAGATGAGAAGCCAGCAGAAGCGTTCCCAGGATTCTGTGGCTTTCTTGAAAAACAACAAACAGCTTGGTCAAAATAGCACGATTATAAATGCACCTGGTTTAGGAGGCTTGTGAAAAGCTGAAGTGAGGGCCTCAAGGAGGATTTTGTCTATCCTACTGGAGGGAGAGTTAAAAACTCAGTGAGGAGTCTTTGCAAATAAGGCTGCTTTTTGAAATGGAAATACTAACAATACAATGTATTGAGCAGTCTTTTTTTTTTTTTTTTTGAGATGGAGTCTCACTCTGTCACCCAGATTAGAATGCAGTGGCACGATCTCTGCTCACTGCAACCTCTGCCTCCCAGGTTCAAGTGATTCTCCTGCCTCAGCCTCCTGAGTAGCTGGCACTGCAGGCACGTGCCACCACGCCTGGCTAATTTTTGTATTTTTAGTAGAGACGGGGTTTCACCATGTTGGCCAGGCTGGTCTTGAACTCCTAACATCAAGTGATCCGCCTGCCTCAGCCTCCCAAAGTGCTAGGATTACAGGCATGGGCCACCGGGCCTGGACGGTATTGAGCAGTCTTTCAAAGTAGCTTTTAAAAATCTGTTGTCCAGACCGGGCGCGGTGGCTCATGCCTGTAATCCCAGCACTTTGGGAGGCTGAGGCGGGCAGATCACCTGAGGTCGGGAGTTCGAGACCAGCCTGACCAACATGGAGAAACCCCCATCTCTACTAAAAATAGAAAATTAGCCGGGCGTGGTGGCACATGCCTGTAATCCCAGCTACTAGGGAGGCTGAGGCAGGAGAATCGCTTGAACCTGGGAGGCAGAGGTTGTGGTGAGCCGAGATTGTGCCATTGCACTCGAGCCTGGGCAACAAGAGTGAAACTCCATCTCAAAAAAAAAAAAAAAAAATCTGTTGTCCAAGTATGCCCCAAGGAACAAATATAGTGCCATTCTACAGATGTGGACATTGAGGCTCAAAGTGAGAGTCCCGTAATCCCTCCGTGAACCAGTGGCTTTCATTTCAAGTCTGATTAATAATTAGAATCAGGCTGGGTGTGGTGGCTCATGCCTATAATCCCAGCACTTTGGGAGGCCAAGGCGGTCGGATCACGAGGTCAGGAGTTCAAGACCAGCCTGGCCAACATGGTGAAACCTGATCTCTACTAAAAATACAAAAATTAGCTGGGTGTGGTGGGACACCCCTGTAGCCCCAGCTATTCAGGAGGCTGAGGCAGGAGAATCGCTTGAACCCAGGAAGCAGATATTGCAGTGAGCTGAGATCACGCCATTGCACTCCAGCCTGGGCAACAGAGTGTGACTCCATCTCAAAAAAAAAAAAATTAGAATCAGCTGAGGAGCTTGTAAAACCGAGATTCTCATCTCCTCAACCCCCATTCTGATTGGGTAGGTCTGGGTGGGGTCCTTAGGAGCAAAATTCTCCAGGCGATTCTGATGCTTATCTTTAGTTGGGGTGCTTATTGACCTCTAGGAAAGAAAGATAGGCCTGGTTGGGTTAGGGGTGGGTGAGAGCTTGCAGCTGTGTAGACAGGGCTCACACGTGACAAAGGTGAGCTCACAGACAACCAGTTCTGCCTGGTTCTGCCTGGGGTCCTAGGTTTCCCAAGAAGTCATTTCCTCTGGGGAGAGGGCAGGGCAGTGGGAACCCCACAAAGGGCTAGGTTGATAAACCACCCATGCCAAGGGATAAGGGTTTTGAGAGCTGAGAGAGTAGCCTGAGGATTCTGGCAGACCTCTGTATCCCAGCAGTAGCAAAGGCACAGACAGCCTACCAGACTTCATGCAGCCCACCCGTCTCCAGCCCGCGTGGTCAAATGAGTTGTCCTAGGGACCCAGCCAGGCCTGGAACCTCGTCCTTCTGACTCCGGCACTGTCTCTTTTCTCCTCACCTGTCCCACTGACTGTCAGTAAGGAATCCCATCCACTTAGAGGCCAGGTTTCTGCCAGCCATTACTAAGATCCCTCTCCAATCCTAGGTTCTGAATCCTTATGAGGAGAGAAAGCAATGAAGTGCAGGGAGGGCTAGGCAACCCCCTCTCTCTAGTGAGTCTCTTAAACCTCGGCTAGCTCAGGCCCTGTGGAGTGAGAGGATAGGAGTCAGCAGACCTTAGTTGCAGGCTGTTTGGCCACTAAGGATGGATCGGAGTCTGGGCTGTGGCCCAGAAGCAGCCCCCAGGAAGCATACCATGTCTTTGAAGCCCAGAATTTTTATTACAAATAACACAATTTTGCATTTTATTATATATTTTATCTGTGTTAATTTCAGTAGCAAATGTTTAGATTACTTACTAGTTAAATTACTTAATTTCTCCCTCCAAAAAAAGAAAAAAACTTTTTTTTTCTTTTTTGAGACAGAGTCTCGCTCTGTCCTCCTGGCTGGAGTGCAGTGCCGATATCTCAGCTCACTGCAACCTCTGCCTCCCAGGTTCAAGAGATTCTCCTGCCGCAGCCTCACGGGTAGCTGGGATTACAGGCATGCGCCACCACGCCTGGCTAATTTTTTTATTTTTAGTAGAGACGGGGTTTTGCCATGTTGGCCAGGCTGGTCTCTATCTCCTAGCCTCAAGTAATCTGCCTGCCTCGGCCTCCCAAAGTGCTGGGATTACAAGCGTGAGTAACCAAGCCCGGCCTTCATACCTCAGTTTTGAAAACACGGAACTAGAGAATCTCAAAGACCTCTTCAACCTCTACAAGGATCATAGCAAAGGAGAAAGATATAATACATTCCATGGAGCTGCTTTCCCCCAAACCCCAGTCCTAGCCCATAGGACTCTCTGCAGGAGGCCTGCCAGAGAAGGTAGAAATAGGCATTTCAGCCATTTCAGTGCTTTTGCCTTTTGAGGGCTTCCAATTGGTTTACAATATGGAAATATTGTTGATATCCATATAACAAAGGGGGAAGCAGGGATGGGGGTTTTTCCACCAGCCTAGGGAGTATATGACAGGGGATGACAGAGATGATCAGGACCTGCCACAGTTGGGAAAGCCCAAACCCAGGCTCATCATTTGTCTGGACAGCAAAATGAGCTCACTCTATTGTTGTTGTTTTTCCTTCTAGAGAAGAAAGGAGACCAGGAGGACCTGTCTAGCCTCTGCGTTTCCCAAAGGGCTGGGGTGAGTAGAGCTAGATCAGCAGAGAGAAGGGTCAGCCTTCTCACTGTCAGGATTCTTCTGTCAGTAGAATGAACCTTAAAATCTTTCTTTTTTTCTTTTCTTTTGAGATGGAGTTTCGCTCTTGTCGCCCAGGCTGGAGTGCAATGGCGCAATCTTGGCTCACCGCAACCTCCGCCTCCCAGGTTCAAGCGATTCTCCTGCCTCAGCCTCCTGAGTAGCTGGGATTACAGGCATGTGCCACCACACCTGGCTAACTTTTTTGTATTTTTAGTAGAGATGGGGTTTCTCCATGTTGGTCAGCCTGGTCTCAAACTCCCAACCTCAGGTGATCTGCCCGCCTCAGCCTCCCAAAGTGCTGGGATTACAGGCATGAGCTACCATGCCCGGCTAAAATCTTTTAATGTTAAGATAAGCAGGTCCTAAGAGAGTACTCCTTCCAGCCCCCAACCTCCCCCACTTTATGGACAAGGAACTGACAGGGCAGGGAGCCTTAGGAGGTTCCAGGATCTCCCTCTCTCCTGGCAGTTAGGCCCCACTCAATCCTCTGGAACTTTCTTCTCCCTGGCTTTGGTCTCCTTCATCACCCTTCTGCGATGCCTCTAACCTCACTCAGAAGTGCATTTTATCTCCAGTGGCCTTAATAGTCAAAGGCTTGGGAAACTCAAGTCTAGGCAAAAGGCAGCTGCCCAGGTCTGCATGCTGAGCCTTTCTCTGGAACACCTGGGCTGGCAGGAAATGGAAGCTGCCAGCCCACCTGGCAATTTGCCATCTCTTCACAAAGATCTTTTTTTTTTTTTGAGGTGGAGTCTCACTCTGTCACCCAGGCTGGAGTACAAGTGGTGCAATCTCAGCTTACTGCAACCTCTGCCTCCCGGCTTCAAGGGATTCACCTGCCTCAGCCTCCCGAGTAGCTGAGATTACAGGAATGCACTACCACGCCCGGTTTATTTTTGTATTTTCAACAGAGACAGGGTTTCACTACGTTGGCCAGGCTGGTCTCAAACTCTTGACCTCAGGTGATCTGCCCCCTTCAGCCTCCCAAAGTGCTGGGATTACAGGCGTGAACCACCGCACCAGCCTCCTCACAAAGATCATTGACCCTTATGGAGCGCTTCAGGATTCTAAAAACACTTGCACAGGCCTGGCACGGTGGCTCACGCCTGTAATCCCAGCACTTTGGGAGGCCAAGGCAGGCGGATCATGAGGTCAGGAGTTTGAGACCAGCCTGGCCAAAATAGTAAAACCCCATCTCTACTAAAAATAGAAAAAGTTAGCCGTGCGTGCTGGCGGGCGCCGGTAATCCCAGCTACTCGGGAGGCTGAGGCAGGAGAATCGCTTGAACCCGGGAGGTAGAGGTTGCAGTGAGCCTAGATCGCGCCACTAGACTCCAGCCTGGGCAACAGTGTGAAATTCCGTCTCAAAAAAACCAAAACAAACAAAAAAACACACTTCCATATTTTTTAGGGCTTTCATAACTTTTTTTTTTTTTAATTTTGAGATGGAGTCTTGTGTTGCCCAGGCTGGACACGATCGTGGCTCACTGCAACCTGTCTCCTGGATTTAAGCGATTCTCCTGCCTCCGCCTCCTAAGTAGCTGGGATTACAGGTGCCCGCCACCATGCCTGGCTAATATTTGTATTTTTAGTAAAGACAGGGTTTCACCATGTTGGCCAGGCTGGTCTTGAACTCCTGACCTCAGGCGATCTGCTCACCTCGGCCTCCCAAAGTGCTGGGATTACAGGTGTGAGGCACTGCACCCAGCCTTATAACTTTTTGTCTTTTTCCACATGTTCTAAAGGATTTTCATAACTTTGTTAATAAAAATAACAACTGGAGGCTGGGCATGGTGGCTCATGCCTGTAATCTCAGCACTTTGGGAGGCCAAGGTGGGCAGATCACTTGAGTCAAGGAGGTCAAGACCAGCCTGGCCAACATGGTGAAATCCCATCTCTACTAAAGAGACAAAAAGTTAGCTGGACATGGTAGAGTGTATCTGTATTCCCAGCTTCTTGGGAGGCTGAGGTGGGAAAATCACTTGAGCCCAGGGGGCTGAGGTTACAGTGAGCTGAGATTGTGCCACTGCACTCCAGCCTGGGTCAAAAAGCAAGACTCTGTCTCAAAAAAAAAAAAAAAAAAAAAAAAGACTTAGGCTGGGCAGTGGCTCACACCTGTAATTCCAGCACATGATTTGGGAAGCTGAGGCGAGTGGATCACTTGAGGCCAGGAGTTTGAGACCAGCATGGCCAACATAGTGAAACCCTGTCTCTACTAAAAATACAAAATTTACCCAGGTTTGGTGGCATGCACCTGTAATCCCAGCTACCTGGGAGGCTGAGGCAGGAGAATCACTTGAACCCGGGAAGCGGAGGTTGCGGTGAGCCAAGATCGTTCCACTGCACTCCAGCCTGGGTGATAGAGTGAGACGCTATCTCAAACAAAAACGAAACAAACCAACAAAACAAAAATAAAGGCCTGGTATGGTGGCTCACACCTGTAATCCCAGCATAATACTGGCCTGGTACACTGGCTCACACCTGTAATCCCAGCATTTGGGAGGTGGAGATGGGAGGATTGCTTGAATCCAGGAGTTCAAACCAGCCTGGGGCAAGTTGTGAGAACCCCATCTCTACTAAAAATTAAAAAACAACAACTAATATATGTGTGTAGAGTTTGTAGGCAGGACAGACCTCATCAATGTCACTGCACAGGTGAGAAAACTGAGATTCAGATAGGTGCAGTGAGTCACATAGTGTCAGCAAGGCTGGAGCCAGGACTCTACATCTAGGCTCATTTCCTGATCCCAGGCAACCCATACTCTTAGTTGTAAACTAAAAGGGACTGTAAATGCTGGAAAGCGGGGGGTCAATGTTGTAGGGTGGGGTGTAGAACAGTTGGAGTGATCTTCTGTTATCGCTAAGAATATGTTGACCCAAGAGACTTTCTCTAGGTCAGCCCTTGTTTTATCTGATCAGGTTCTTCCTCCCCCTGCAGAATTCAGCAGCACCTAGCAGTGCTGACTCAAATGGCAAGTCCGACTGACACTCGAGGGGTTTCCCTTTAGCTGCCACCCTCAATCCCAGAAGTGACAGTGATTCTGTTACCATATCCCCCTCTGGGATCCTCCCCCTGGGAGCTCTGGGGTCCCATAGGAAGGCCACTCTGGGAATTGCTGCCTGTGAAGAGGGGCCCTTCCCCACCCCAGTTGTCCCGTACGTAATCCACAAAGGGCCAGACGCTGACATAGGCACCCAGGAGCCACTGCTGAATTTTTTATACTTAAAAGTAGCCGCACAGAAACACAAAAACTTTCAGACTCTGCTCCGGGAACTGGTGCACGCAAGAGCTTAACTGATTTCGCCGCGGTCTGCGGTGGCTTGTCTGGGGCCAGCGGGATGGGGGAAGGGAAGACCCCCCACTCAGCTCGCTCTCGCCTCCCTCCACAGCGGAGGTGCGACCTCAAGGGAGCGCTGCCGCCGAGGTGACAGATGCAGAGCAGCTGACTGGGGGAAGGGTCCAATCTCCGTCGACCCCCTACTAGGGGAAGCGGGGGACGTGACTTGGAGAACGTGCGACTGAGGAACGGGAGGGGGATGGAGGGAGAGGGGGAACGGGGAGGAGGGCGGGGCTGGCCCTGGCCCCGCCCACCCTCGGGAGGAAGGAGGCTCCTCCCACTGCCCGGGAGGAGGGCAGCCAGGCCACAGAGATGCTGAGCTCAGCATTTGGGGCCCCGGCGGCTGGGTGGGGGCAGGGCGCAGGGTTGGCGCCTTTCTGGTGAGAGCCCTAGAGAGGAGAGAGGGGGAGGGAGGGAGAGGCCGAGGAGGCCCTCACACCCCTGAGGCTGTAACTCTTCTCCAACCGGGTGGGTCGTGCTAACAAAGCGGTCTCTGTTGGGGAGGGGAAGGCTTCCTGGGTGTGCGCAAACCCTAAGGGATGGGGGAAAGAATGTCTGTGACTCACTACCCTAAACCCTGACTTAGCCCCGAGAACTCACGTCAGAGAGGCCAAGCCTTTGTGCCCTCTGACCCCAGGATTGATTTGGTGGAGGGAGCGCAGGGCTGCCCCTGTAGGGCTGCAGTCCCTACTGCCCTGGCTACCCCAGCTAGTGCAGGAAGGAGTTGTATTTAAGGCAACCTTGAAAAGTGCAGGGGGCATCAGCTTGGGAAGGGAAGCAAGGAAAACCTTTCTACCCACTTGGCACAAAGGGCTACCCAGGCCAGGCGGGTGGGTGGCTATTTTTGAGCTGACCTACATACCTATTTGCCTCTTTATCTTTTTATTATCACACATGGTTATTATGGGAACTTTTCTTCAGCACTTAGTGCAGCTGATGCGTTCGATGAGGGCTGCACAATAAGGTGTGTTGCCTCCCTCGCCAGGAAGTTTTTAAGAGTGTCTGGGCCAGGAAAGAAGGTCATCAGTAGGCCTGCAGCAGCTTCCCCAAGCTCTTGCCACATGGAACAGGATCCTGACCCTGACACCCCCATCCAGAGCTGGTCGCCCTGGAGGCAGATGATGACATTCAGATTTGACAACAGGATCACTGGGTTTTGCTGGGGCCTGAAGCCCCTCAGCCTCTGAGCCTTGTTGCTTGCAGAGGCTGACTCCATAGTCCTACAGCCCCACACTATGGCTTTCCTGCATAGATGGAGCAAGGGATGCTCATCTGCATTTGAGTTGTGGGCAGAACTGGTTTGGGATTTACTGCTCTGATTTTTCTTAAGTAGAAGCAAGGAGAGCCTGGAACTTTCTGTTTATTTTACCTCTGTTCAGCCTCACTAGGACCTCCCTCTCCAAACCTTTTAATAGCTCCCCATTGCCTTTAGAGCCAGTCTGGCTGCTTAGTTCAGCCTCGCAAGCCTCGGGGGCAGGCTCTAGATTCATTTCCCACCCACAGCCCAGAAGGGGAAAAACACATATGGTTCTAATTATATCTGAAACGCTCTTAAATTTTCCATAAAGTACAGTATGCATGGCTTTGTGTATACAACTTTGCATAGTAATATGTATGTAGATATGCAAAATATATACAGCCACATAAGGTGGATCATAAAGAGAACATCAACAAAGGATAAGCATATAATTTACAGTATTTTAATCATGCTAAAGACAGACACATAGACCTGGAAGTGAGACTGGCAGAGGTCACAGCAGATTTTTCTCTTCTCTCATCTGGTGCTCCCACTGGGATAGGAAATCTTTGGCCCTGAGAAAAACGGATGCCTGTACTCCTTAACATGCTCTTTTAAAAAAAAAAAAAAAATTAATTTATTTTTTTGAGGCAGGGTCTTGCTCTGTCCCCCAAGCTGGAGTGCAGTAGTGTGATCTCAGCTCACTGCAACCTCTACCTCCTGGGTTCAAGTGATTCTCCTGTCCCAGCCTCCAAAGTAGCTGGGATTACAGGTGTGTGCCACCCACCTGGCTAATTTTTGTATTTTTAGTAGAGATGGGTTTCACCATGTTGGCCAGGCTGGTCTCAAACTCCTGGCCTCAAGTGATCTGTCTGCCTCAGTCTGCCAAAGTGCTGGGATTGCAGGCATGAGCCACCGTGCCCAGCCATAATTTACCTTTTCCAGATTCCCTGTGCCCGGTGAGATGCCATTTCTGTGGGGTCCCAAGTGGCTTCCCTTCCAGCTTGCTCCTACCTTCACACCAATTACTCTTCTTCAATGCACTTCCCACCTTATAGCTACAGCTCACACTCCCAGCTTGTGTTAAGCTCCAGGTCCTTTGAGAAGCCCTCCTTGAACAGGTTTGGGAACCCTCTTGTTCCCCTGCTGGAGAATTCAGGGTAGCGAGTCCAGGCCAGGCCTGGTGCCTTGGAAGCCTGTGCTCAATCACACAGCTGTGCATGAGTATGAGTTGCTCCCTTCTCCTTCAATAGCTTTTTTTTAGATGGAATCAAACTTTGTCGCCTAGGCTGGAGTGCAGTGGTGCAATCTTGACTTACTGCAGCATCCGCCTCCTGGGTTCAAGTGATTCTTGGTCCTCAACCTCCTGAGTAGCTGGGATTACAGGCACCCGCCACCATGCCCAGCTAATTTTTGTATTTTTAGTAGAGATGGGGTTTCACCATGTTGGCCAGGCTGGTTTCGAACTCCTGACCTCAGGTCATTTGCCCACCTTGGCTTCCCAAAGTGCTGGGATTACAGGCGTGAGCCACCGTGCCCAGCCCAGTAGCTAATATTGAAAGGATCCTATCCTGGGTCTGATGCTCCATCAGATTGTAAACTCTTTCAGAGGTCATATATTTCAAATCTTTTTTTTTTTTTTTTTTTTTTTTTAGACGGAGTTTCGCTCTTGATGCTGAGGTTGAAGTGCAGTGGCTGGATCTCGGCTCACTGCAAACTCCACCTCCTGGGTTCAAACGATTCTCCTGCCTCAGCCTCCGGAGTAGCTGGGATTACAGGCACACACCACCACGCCCAGCTAATTTTTTTGTATTTTTAGTAGAGATAGGGTTTCACCATGCTGGCCAGGCTGGTCTTGAACTCCTGATGTCAGATGATCTGCCTGCCTCAGCCTCCCAAAGTGCTGGGATTACAGGTGTGAGCCACCAAGCCTGGCACATATTTTAAATCTTAAAACAAAAAAAAAATTGTTTTTATTTTTAAAATGTTTGGTAGAGACAGGGTCTCACTATGCTGACCAGGCTGGTCTTGAACTCCTGGTCTCAAGCAATCCTCTTGCCTTGGCCTCCCAATATATGTATTGTAAGTCTTTTTTTTTTTTTTTTTTTGAGATGGAGTCTCACTCTATCACCGAGGCTTGAGTGTAGTGGCACAATCTTGACTCACCGCAACTTCCACCTCCCGGGTTCAAGTGATTCTCCTGTCTCAGCATCCCGAGTAGCTGGAATTACAGGCACGTGCCACCATGCCCATCTAATTTTTGTATTTTTAGTAGAGACAGGGGTTTCACCATGTTGGCCAAGCTGGTCTCAAGCTCCTGGTCCCTAATAATCCAACTACCTCAGCCTCCCAAAGTGCTGGGATTACAGTCATGAGCCACCGCACCCAGCTGTCTTATATAAATCTTTAAATACCCTCTGCCACCACCACTATAATTCCCCCCAACACACCCACACACACCCCTGTCCCAGTGTTGGGATATATACAGTATATACTCAACAAGTGTTTGACCCAGAATTGAATGGAACTGGAGCCCACATGTGACTCAAGGTCAGTGTGGAATCAGCAAGAAATCTCCCTGACCCCTCCCAGGCGGTGGGGAACTCTACTCCCTCTGAACTCAGCCAGCACTTATTATTGTCACAGAAAGTTAAAACTGAAAGGGGGATTCCCCTTCTTGTACATTTGAGGAGAATAAAGGGGAAGTGTCCAGAATCTGGTTCCAGTGTGGGAACCAGATCCCACAGTCTGCTGGTATCTCTCCACTGCAGCTTGTTACCTCTTCAGAGGGGGCTTCCCCGGTTGCCTGCAATCCCTTCTTCTCTCCTGCTGTTTCCTTTCAAACCACTAATTCCCTTTGTAATCATTCATTCATCTATCTCTGTGGATGTCCAATGCCTGACTTTCCCAATACACTGCAAGCTCTAAGAGGCCAGGGTTTGTATCTATTTTGTCCTGGATCTCCTGGTGCCCTGCACAAAAAGCCCAGCCCACAGAGTTTCCAATAATAATATATGAAAAAAAAAAAAAAGAATGAGGCCAGGCGTGGTGGCTCACACCTGTAATCCCAGCACTTTGGGAGGCAGAGGTGGGTGAATCACCTGAGGTCAGGAGTTCAAGACCAGCCTGGCCAACATGGCAAAACCCTGTCTCTACTAAAAAAATACAAAAATTATCTGGGCGTGGTGGTGCACACCTGTAATCCCAGTTACTTGGGAGGCTGAGGCAGGAGAATCGCTTCAACCTGGGAGGCAGAGGTTGCGGTGAGCCAAGATCGTTCCACTGCACTCCAGCCTGGGTGAGAGAGTGAGACTGTGTCTCAAAAAAAAAAAAAAAAAAAAAAGAATGAGTATCCGTATGGCCTGCGAACCTCCATACATTTCCCCAGGGCAGTGCTGAGACTGGCTCAGAAAGTGCTGAGTTGACGTGTCTGGAGAGTTCCTTGCCAGGAGCTCCAAGGCAACACCTGGTCTTGAGCAGCTTAAGGTATATGGGGGCAATAGACACCTAGTGAATAACCCTACCACCAGGAAGAGGTTTATACTGGGGATGACAAATCAGATTGGGGATTGGAATCTAGCAGTGGTGTGGAGGGCAGATTGGAGGTTGGAGACCTAAGGCAGGGAAACAATTAGGTCATGATTGCAAAAACTGAAAACCACCTAAGTGTCTCTGGTAGGAAAACAGTTAAATAAATTACAGTACATCCCAATCATGGGAAATTATGTGGGTGTTAAAAAGAGGGAGGTAGATTTTGGAAAGATGTCCAAGATCTGCTGTGAGGTGACAGGAACAGGTTGCAGAACAATTTGTACAGTATAATCCCAGGCTGAGGGGAGACAAAAGAGGACACTCCTCTGCAGATACACACTTTTAAACATGCTGAGAAAACATCTAGAAGGATGCTGGAGAAGCTGTTGAAGAGGGATAAAAAAGTTTTTTCTTTTTCTTTTTTTTCTTTTTTTTAAGACAGAGAGAGTCTCACTCTGTTGCCCAGGTTGGAGTGCAGTGGCGTGATCTCGGCTCACTGCAACCTCTGCCTCCTGGGTTCAAGCGATTCACCTGCCTCAGTCTCCCAAGTAGCTGGAATTACAGGCTTGTGCCACCACACCCGGCTAATTTTTGTATTTTTAGTAGAGATGGGGTTTTGCCATGTTGGCTAGGCTAGTCTCGAACCCCTGACCTCAGGTGATCTGCCCACCTCAGCCTCCCCAAGTGCTAGGATTATGGGCGTGAGACACCGTGCCCAGCCTACTTTTTCTTTCTACACCTTTTACACTGGTAGATTTTTACCATGAGCTTATATTCTTTTCACAAGAATTTTTTTTTTGCTATGGCAGGATTGGGGGTGATGGGTAAGGAGGTGGGGTGGGGGCTGGACAACTGAGACCCAGTGAGCAGTGCCAGGGAGGGAGGCCTATTGACAGATGGACAGGACTGGAACCAGGGAGGAGGCTACAGGGCCATGGCACCTGGGGGGTGGACCGGGGGAAGCACAGTGCCGTGTAGGGGGCCTCACTCAAGGTGATTGATCTCCACAGTGCCAGTGACCCTAGGCAAGGGACAACAAGCCCATGGCCAGGAAACCCTGAATTTGGGGAACAAGGGCAAGGAAAGGAAGTAGGTCGAACTTTAGGACCCTACGGATTCCTTGGCCGTTAGCACCATCCTTCGGGTACAGACCGTTCTGGCTGCAGCAGGGAAACAAACAGATGAAGGAGGGGCCAAACCCCAGCCTCCGCGGGAGGAGGTCGGCTTGCTACCAGCCCTGGTGTTCCTGGGAGCGTGCCCTGGTTCTCTGCTGGCTCTTTTGGGCTGCCCGCTAGCAGGCCAGGCTAACTTCCAGGCCTGGGGTGAGAGGCCAGGGCATCTGGCCCCTTCTGGAGGCCAAGCCCCTTCCCAGGACCCAGAGCAGAGGAAGCTAAAACAATGCTGTTCATGGAGAGATTGCAGGGGAGAGAGAGCTGGGTGGGGGCGGAGAAGGTTCTTGGCTCTTAGAAGCCAGTGAAAGCCTGCAGAAGGTCAAAGGTAGAGGAGTGCTCTGTGATTCTGAGACGGCACCTCATTTATCTCATAAACACTTGCTCTGAGCCCAAGTCCAGTGGTAATGCCCCTATGCAAAGCTGGATAAGTCGCTCAGAGGGACTCTGCCTGGGTCTTGTCTCCAGGGCCTCTCTGCAAAAGCCCCTGTGTGCCAGGAGCAGCTGAGGCCTTTTCACAGGTGTCTATTTATTATACACTAGAACCTTCTAGAAGAGGTATTCTGGTTTTTTTTTTTTTTTTTGACAGTCTTGCTCTGTCACCCACGCTGAAGTGCAGTGGCATGATCATAGCTCACTGCAGCCTCAAGCTCCTGGACTGAAGTGATCCTTTGCCTCAGCCTCCTGAGTAGCTGCGACTACAGGCATGTGCCACCATGCCTAGCTAAATTTTAAAATTTTTCTTTTGTACAGATGGGGTCTCTCTATGTTGACCAGGCTGGTTTTGAACTCCTCCTGCCTTGGTCTCCCAAACAGTTGGGATTACAGGCATGAGCCTCAATGCCTGGGCTAAAGGCGGTGTTTTTTTTTTTTTTGTTTTGTTTTTTTACAAAGCAAGAAACTGAGGCTGGTGCCTTGCGCATGATCACATCGTTAGGAAGTGATAATACTGGGATTCGAGGCCGGGTGCGGTGGCTCATGCCTGTAATTGCAGCACTTTGGGAGGCCAAGGCGGGCAGATCAACTGAGGTCAGGAGTTCGAGACCAGCCTGGCCAACATGGTGAAACCCTGTTTCTGCTAAAAATACTAAACCCTGTCTCTACTAAAAAAATACAAAAATTAGCTGGACATGGTGGCACACGCCTGTAATCCCAGCTACTTGAGAGGCTGAGGCAGGGAAATCGCTTGAACCCGGGAGACAGAGGTTGCAGTGAGCCAAATTTGCACCACTGCACTCCAACCTGGGTGACAAGAGTGAAACGCTATCTCAAAAACAAAACAAAACAAACGAACAAAAAAAACTGGGATTCGAGCCTGGGTGTGCCTATGTCCCGCTTATAATTTGGTTGCTTGGAGCTCAGAACACATTCTCCCATAGAAATTATGCTGTAAGTGGTGGTTTGGCTGCCATAATGGCCTAGCTCACCCAGGGTATAGCCGGAATTAATTCTATGTTTCAGTACGGTTGTGGATGAACCAGGCTTCTGCGGACTAGCCTGGAAACCCACGAGAGAGGGAAAATGTGTTGAGGGTTTGCCCAGCTGGGAACTCTTGCCCTTCCTATAGCCACCTGGCTCAGGGCAAGTAGGCAGTATGGTGGATCAGGGAGCATTTGCCCATTTCAGAGCTCTGCCAGCAGACCATGGTGAGTTTTAGTTGTTTACAGGAGTGGGACAGAACATCTGGCAGGTTTGACTTTGGGGAGACAGAAAGTGCAAAATGAGATATGTGTTAATTTTCAGATTGAAACTCTTAGTCTTTTTCTTTCTTGTACTACCTCTCAACTCCATACAGAGTCATCTTAGATCTTTTTCCTCTAGGATAGGGCACTAAAGGCATGAGCCAGGGTTTACCTTCATGAAACATGGCATCTGCCTTGGAGTGGGTGAGTGACAATAACTGCACAGGGTTAGGAGTGCTGGAGATCAGAGCAGCTGTTGAGAAAAGTAAGGAAGGATCACAGCTCTTATAGTGACTTCAGGGGAAACACTCATTCGTTCAACAAACATTTGCTGTGGGTGTGCTGGGCACTGTGCTGGTTCCTTTCATGGTGCTTCTGTTGCTCAAAGAGTCCTGGGCAGGCATGACTGTGGCTCTCAGATCCAGAATCTTAGCATTGCAAGGAATCTTTTTACAAATGGGAACTGCAGCTGTTCATTAATTCAAAAAAGCTGGAGTATTGGACGTTGTGCTAAATGCCGAGGATCCATGAAGCATGAAAATTGAGATCTAGAGAGAGGTGGGAAGTGATTTGCCCAGGGTCTTAATCCAGGATTCCAGCATCTGGACCAGAAGCTACCTTCTCAACCACACCCATGGCATTCTTGCCTCAGTGTGCCCCAGCCATTTTTGAGGATTCCTTCTGTTTCCCAGGACCGGGGTTTGGGGCCTGGGGAAAGGCCATAAAAAAGCAGTAGATTCCTTTCTATCTGGTAACAACAATGCCTGGGGTCTCCCCTAGAGTGAGGGTTGGAAGATCGTCCTGTTGGCTGGAGTTCAGAAGGCTTAGGAAACTTCTGTCAGTTCTTTCTTTTTTTTTTTTTTTTTTTGAGATGGAGTCTCGGTCTGTCACCCAGGCTGGAGTGCAATGGTGTGATCTCAGCTCACTGCAACCTCCGCCTCCTGGGTTCAAGTGAGTCTCCTGCCTCAGCCTCCCGAATAGCTGGGATTACAGGTGCCCGCCACTACGCCCAGCTAATTTTTGTATTTTTAGTAGATACTGGGTTTCACTATGTTAGTCAGGCTGGTCTCGAACTCCTGACCTCAGGTGATCTGCCTGCCTCGGCCTCCCAAAGTGTTGGGATTATAGGCATGAGCCACCTCACCTGGCCCTGTGAGTTCTTTAAATGAGCCACGTGCTCTCTAAATTCTGGGTCTTCACAAACACTGTTAGTTCTGCCCAAACCGCTTTTCCCAGTCTCCTTCATCTGGCAGATTTATCTCCCTCCCCTTTGGGTCTCAGCTTAAAAATCTGTCTCTTCTTCAAGGAAATGTTCCTGGACCCTCAGCCTTGGATCCCCCTGCTCTGCGGTCACCTATGGTACCTGGCATAAGCCTCCATGCCTGGCCTAAAGGAGGTGTTTATTTTACAAAGCAAGAAACTGAGGCTGGTGCCTTGCCCACGACCACATCGTTAGGAAGTGTTAGGAAGTGTTAAAACTGGGCACGTTGAGCCCAGGAGTTCAATACCAGCCTGGGCAACACAGTGAGACCCTATCTCTATAAAAAAAAAAAATAATAATAATAAGAAAATTGGCTGGGTACGGTGGCTCACGCCTGTAATCCCAACACTTTGGGAGGCTGAGGCGGGCAGATCACAAGGTCCCCTGAGATAATCGTGAGCCCTCAGGACTGCTCCTACTTACTATATGTCTTTGTTTCCACTGGACTGTGATCTCTACGAGGGGCAGAGACTCTGTGTATTTGTTTTTGGCAATTGTGTGCCCATTATCTCAGCCAGGGCTTAGTATACAGTAGGTGTTCATTGTGTAGTTATTGAGTGACCATGAGCTGTAGCTGGGGGAAAGGCCATCTAGTGAGTGGCTTTAATTCAAGTCATTCAATGACTGTGGATCAAGGACTCCACACACACAAGGCAAAGGTGTGACTGGACGGGATACAAAGATGACTTGGAAAAAGAGATTTGCAATCTGGTAGGGAGGGTATAATCTAGAACTTAGTTCAAAAATTGCAAAGATGGGCTGGGAGCAGTGGCTCATGCCTGTAATCCCAGCACCTTGGGAGGCCAAGGCAGGCAGATCACCTGAGGTCAGGAGTTTGAGACCAGCCTGGCCAACATGGCAAAACCCCATCTCCACTAAAAATACAAAAAAAATTAGCAGGGCGTGATGGCATGCACCTGTAATCCCAGCTACTCGGGAAGCTGAGGCAGGAGAATTGCTTGAACCCGGAAGGCAGAGGTTGTGGTGAGCCAAGATCGCACCACTGCACTCCAGCCTGGGCGACAGAGTGACTCCATCAAAAAAAAAAAAAATTTTTTTTCAAAGATGGCCAGGCACAGTGGCTCACGCATGTAATCCTAGCACTTTGGGAGGCCGAGGTGGGAGGATCACTTGAGCTTAGGAGTTTGAGACCAGCCTGGGCAACATAGTGAGATCTTGTCTTTATTATTAAAAAAAAAAAAAAAACAAAACAAAGAAAGAAACAAACAAAAAAACCCAAAGAATTGCAAAGATCTAACTGGAGAGCCTCCATCCCCCTCCTAAGTCCCCTCTCCTCTGCTGGCCCACTGATCCTTGGCTATGGGACCCAGCATATGCCTCTGAGTTCCAGGACCTTACACAGCACAGAAGAATCCAGAGGCTGATGTGGCTGCTGCATAGAGGCTTATGGCAGCAGATCAGCAGTTGAGGGAGTTCATGCAGAGGGCAGACTCTCCTGGCTCTGAGCAGGCCAGGGCGGGACTCAGGCTCAGGCTCCTCTGGACAGCTCTGGGCCCACCTGCCTGAGCTTTTATCTATTTCAGAGAATCATTAAGAAAGTACCAACCAGGTGTGGTGGCTCACACCTTGTAATCCCAGCACTTTGGGAGGCTGAGGTGGGAGGAAGGCTTGAGTCCAGGAGTTCAATACCAGCCTGGGCAACACAGTGAGATCTGTCTCTACAACAATAACAACAACAAAATAAGAGAATTGGCTGCGCATGGTGGCTTATGCCTGTAATCCTAACACTTTGGGAGGCTAAGGCGGGCAGATCACAAGGTGAGGAGTTCGAGACCAGCCTGGCCAATATGGTGAAACCCCCGTCTCTACTAAAAATACAAAAATTAGCCAGGCGTGGTGACGCATGCCTGTAGTCTCACCTACTCGGGAGGCTGAGGCAGAAGAACTGCTTGAGCCCGGGAGGTGGAGGTTGCAGTGAGCCGAGATTGCACCACTGCACTCCAGCCTGGGCGACAGAAAGAGACTCCGTCTCAAAAAAAAAAAAAAAAAAAAAATTAGCGGGGCTTGGTGGTGCAAACCTGTAGTCCCAGCTACTCAGGAGGATGAGGCAGGAGGATCAATTGATCCAGGGAGGTTGAAGCTGCAATGAGCCAAGATCACGCCACTGCACACTCCAGCCTGGGCGACAGAATGAGACCCTGTCTCAAGCAAACAAAAAATAAAAAAGAGAAAGCATCTATTCTCAAAATCACCTGGAGAGAAACTTTGAGAGAAAATGCTCACATTCATTGCAAGAGTTTGAAATAATGCCTCAAAATCAGTTATCCCGAAGTGACATGAGACCTGCATCCAAGAACCTTTAATAAATAGTGGCAGCCAGGCATGGTGGCTCACGCCTGTCATCTCAGCACTTTGGGAGGCTGAGGCAGGTGGATCACCTGAGGTCAGGTGTTCAAGATCAGCCTGGCCAACATGGTGAAACCCTGTCTCTACTAAAAATACAAAAATTAGCCCGGTGTGGTGGTGGGTGCCTATAATCCCAGCTACTCGGGAGGCTAAAGCAGGAGAACTGCTTAAACCCGGGAGGCAGAGGTTGCGGTGAGCCGAGATCATGCCACTGCACTCCAGCCTGGGCAACAAGAGCAAAACTCCATTTCAAAAATAAATAAATAAATAAATAAATAAATAAATAAATAAATAAATAAATAAATAAATACTGGCATAGGCCAGGCACATAGTGGCTTATGTCTTAATCCCAACATTTTGGGTAGCCGAGGCGGGAGGGTTGCTTGAGCCCAGGAGTTCGAGACCAGCCTGGGCAACATAATGAGACCCTGTCTCTACAAAAAATACAAAAATGAGCCAGGGGTGGTGGTGCGTGCCTGTAGTCCCAGCTGCTCAGGAGGCTGAGGTTCACTTGAGGCCCGGAGTTGGAAGCTGCAGTGAGCTATGAACGCACCACTGCATTCCAACCTGGGTGGAAGTGAAACCCCCCTTTCTAAAATAAATAAATAAAAATAAATACTGATGTTGGTTGTTCCTCTCAGTTTCCCTGAACCTCAGTTTTGTCATCTGAAGGATGTTTTGTTATGAGGGATATGAAACGCGACTGTGTGATGGCACCCGGCACGCTGAAGATGCTTTGGAAATGCGGGATGGGTCAGAATCTTAAGTGCTCGGAGTCTGGTGGCCGGGGGCCTCACCCAGCAGGAGGACACAATGGAGACAGCCTCCCTGGGTCATACAGTGGGCTGCACGCAGGTGCAGGCAGGGGAGCCAGGCCTGAGGCTAGGTAAGAGGCAGCACTAGGACCCAGGGGCCACGTATGCAGCAGGCTCCGCCGGATAAGTTCTCAGCCAGAACACAATGTTCTCAGTGTACCCACAGGAAACCCTGAAGAAGAGAACTGCACATGGCCTCTGCTGGGTGTGTTCTGGTCACAGCCTTTTATTCTTTTTCCTAACCTCAGTCCCCACTTTCACATCCTGTAACCTGCATTGCTGCCCCACCCCACCCTGCTGGGCTGGTCCCAGGTCCCAGGAGAGCAACCAATGCAGGAAGTCCAAGGCCTGGCCAGGTTTTACCATTTTCAAATAAGACCCGTTTGCCTCTAACCCTGGTTTCCTGAATCGCAACCCTTTGTGATGGAAACTTGCTTTTTACAGTGCAGAAGGCAGACACTGGGGACAAAGTTGTATTTCTGCCATGGCAAGGATCTTGGCCCACAGGCAAAGGAAACAGCTGATGCCTCATACCACCACCTCCCTTCCTCTCTGAAGGCCGGGTCCCACCTGGGACAGGGGAGGGCCTCCGTCGCTGCTGCCTGAATCAGAGGGAACTTGGAGCTGCCTGGGGGATCAGCGCCAAGTTTGGAGCAGAACATCCTATGATGTGGTTCCTAGTTTTTATTTCCACGAATGCTATAATATGTTGTCCCACCGAGCTATTTTTATTGAATGGAAAAAAAAAAAAAAGCAAACCTCTGCAAAACCAGCAGTCCTCTGTTAGACGGAAGGACAAGGTGAACTTTTCACTTCCTTCCCTGCAGCCTATCAACTCAGTCCGTGGTTTGGTGTCACCCACACTCTGTGCTATATTCAATCTCAATTTTTGCCTCCTTGTTTTTGAAGCTGCAGGAGCAAGGCTCTAAACCTATGTTTCTCCTGCTAGTTGCATGAGGCTTTTAGAAGTGCCTTTTTGGTGAATTCTCACAACAGCAAAATAGAGATCTATCAGCTGCTTGCCAGCTGCAGGCAAAGGTGGGTCTGAAGAGAGTGAACAAGGAGGGGAACCTTGAGAAACCCAGCACAATCCCAGCCAACTTCTGGCAAACTGCACTGTTGGGAGCTCCGCACAGGCTGCATTCCTGCCACGTTAATGAGAGGCCTGGCCATTGAAAATAAGACCCAAGCCGGAGGGGGTGGCTCATGCCTGTAATCCCAGCACTTTGGGAGGCTGAGGCAGACGGAGGACCTGATGTCGGGAGTTTGAGACCAGCCTGACCAACATAGAGAAACCCCATCTCTACTAAAAAAATGCAAAAATTAGCTGGGCATGGTGGTGCATGCCCGTAATCCCAGCTACTCGGGAGGCTGAGGCAGGAAAATCGCTTGAACCCGGGAGGCGGAGGTTGCAGTGAGCCGAGATCACACCACTGCCCTCCAGCCTGGGCAAGAAGAGTGAAACTCCGTCTCAAAGAAAATAAGACCCAGTGCCTCTATGAAGCTCCATGAATAAGGCTCCTTCTACCCTGGCATTGCAGAGTCCCTTTCCAGATGTTGGTTGGTAAAAGGGTTTTCATGTGTCCTAGGCCTGTAGATTCAACTGGGTGCTTCCTAGACTGGCCCAAGCTCAGGGATTCCCTTCTTGGAGAAGAGGTTTCCAAAAGCAGGCAATACTGCTACTCCTGGGGAAGTCTGCTGAAGGCTGGGGGCCCCAAAAGACCTGTGTTCCGATCTTGGTTTTGTCAACTTGATGGAGCCTGTGCAAATCACTTTCCCACTCAAATATTTTCATAACTTTGTCAATAAAAATAACAGCTGGAGGCTGAGCACGGTGGCTCACACCTGTAATCTCAGCATTTTGGTAGACTGAGGAGGGGGGATTACTTGAGGTCAGGAGTTCGAGACCAGTCTGGCCAACATGGTGAAACCCCATCTCTACTAACAACACAAAAATTAGCCAGGTGTGGTGACACATACCTGTAATCCCAGCTACTTGGGAGGCTGAGGCAGGAGAATTACTTGAACTTGGGAGGCAGAGGTTGCAGTGGGCTGAGGTAACGCCCCTGGACTCCAGCCTGGGCGACAGAGCGAGACTCCATCTCAAAAAATAAATAGCTGGGCGCAGTGGCTCACGCCTGTAATCCCAGCACTTTGGGAGGCCGAGGCGAGTGGATCACCTGAGGTTGGGAGTTGGAGCCCAGCCTGACCAACATGGTGAAACCCTGTCTCTACTAAAAATACAAAATTAGCTGGGCATGTTGGTGCATGCCTGTAATCCTAGCTACTCAGGAGGCTGAGGCAGGAGAATCACTTGAACCCAGGAGGTGGAGGTTGCGGTGAGCCAAGATTGCACCATTGCACTCAGCCTGGGCAACAAGAGCGAGACTCCATCTCAAAAAATAAATAAATAAATAAATAAAAATAAATAAATAAAATAAAGAGAGGGCTGGGTTAGAGATTGTTGTTGCACGTTGAATTGTGTTGTCCCCACTCCAATTTGTATTTTGAAGTCCTAACCCCAGTATCTCAGAATGTGACCTTATTTGGAGATGGGTCTTGAAAGAGGTCATCAAGCTGAAATGAGATCAGTAGGGTAGGCCCTAACCCAGTGGGACTGGTGTCCTTATAAAAAGGGGACATTTGGACAGAGACATGCATAGAGGAAAGACTAAGTAAAGAGACATTGGGAGAAGATGGCCAAAGAGACAAGCCTGGAACAGACTTTTTCCTTCACAGCCCTCAGAAGAAACCAATCTTGCCAGCAGCTTGATCTTGGACTTCTAGCTTCCAGAACTGCAAGACAATAAGCTTCTGTTGTTTAAGCCACTCAGTCTGTGGTATTTTGTTATGGCAGCCCTGTCAAATGAATATAATAGCCAAGGACCCTGTAGTCTTAGGCTGTAGGATTTTCTCCTGCCATCCCTGCCATAACTTGGTGGCTTCCTCCCATCCCACATGGTCTTTTCGTAAATGACATCGTGCGTGGGGAGTGCTTGGCACAATGCCCCACATATAGTAACCCTTCACTCACCATGTGTTAACCATGATGAATGTTCCCAGGGTTCCCAGTGCCTGGGTGCTACTTCTACCTACCCTGAGACACTGGGTACAGAATGAGAGGTGTGAATTCTGAGCCCAGGCCCTCCTGATCACTCCTACCTTTGTTATTGAAGACTTTCCATCCCCCTCAGCAGCTTCCAATTAGCCTCCTTCTAGGAGCCTACCTTTTTGTTTTGAGACGGAGTCTCACTCTGTCGCCCAGGCTGGAGTGCAGTGGTGTGATCTCAGCTCACTGCAACATCTGCTTCCTGGGTTCAAGCGATTCTTGTGCCTTAGACTCCTGAGTAGCTGGGACTATAGGCGCGTGCCACTATGCCCGTCTAATTTTTGTATTTTTAGTAGAAGCAGCCTTTCTTTTTTTTTCCTTTTTTTTTTTTTGAGACAGAGTCTCGCTCTGTCGCCCAGGCTGGAGTGCAATGGCGTGATCTCAGCTCACTGCAACCTCCGCCTCCCGGGTTCAAGCAATTCTCTGCCTCAGCCTCCCCAGTAGCTGGGATTACAGGCACCCACGACCACGCCCAGATAATTTTTTTGTATTTTTAGTAGAGACGGGGTTTCACCATATTGGCCAGGCTGGTCTTGAACTTCTGACCTCGTGATCTACCAGCCTCAGCCTCCCAAAGTGCTGGGTGTGAGCCACCGCACCCAGCAGAGGCAGGGTTTCACCATGTTGACCAGGCTGGTCTTGAACTTCTGACCTCAAGTGATCTGCCCGCCTCAGCCTCCCAAAGCGCTGGGATTATACACCTGGCCTGGCCTAACTCTTTTAAGTGGAAAGTGCACTGTGGCCACAGAGTCAGCAGGGTAGAAAAAGAGACTGCAATAACTCAGAATGGGAGATTGCTTATCTGCAAGAAATTCCCCTTTGCAGTTGGAGGAGGAGTTGATCCCCAGGGTCAAGTGAAGCTGCAGACTTTTGGGACTCAGCCTCTGTTTTCCTATTTGCCTAATGAGGACACTCCTTGGCTGGCAGGGTACCAGATAAGGCTTAACTACAGGTGGTGTCAGGGCCCTGTGCTTTCAGATAGCAAGGCTGCCTTTCTCCTTGATCCTTCATTCTCCTCTTCCAGAATCTTTTCTAGCCCTCGGGATGGATACCTCTGTGTTGAGAGATGCCTTGGGGACAATGTTCTGCCTTCTTCCCGGCTCCTGAGTCAGGTTTCTGGAGGCCATGGAGTCTTATACTCCAGCTGTGGTCTTGGGCTGCTCCTGAGAGTCTGATTTTCCTTTTCATTATCAGGAGTGCAGGCAAAAAGCATTCTCTAGCCTTGAGCATTGGAGCAGGATTACAGAATGAGCCCTGAGTCCTTTCTGGGGAATGACATTGGCCTGGGATGGCAAAGTCCTAGGTTGTCCTCCGATCATTGTGTGTTTATTTTGAAAGCTAAGTCACTCTGACTTTGTAAGATATTACAGATTGACTCTATTTTGGAGACTGCAGAAAGTTAAGTGGGTAGAGTATGACTTGAACAGCCCCCCAAACGTAACCTTTCGGTTTGCTAAACAAATGAAATGTCTGTGTTTGTTGGTTTATCTTCAAATATATGTCTGGAGATTTCTGAGAACAGAGAGGGAGAGAAAGAGTGTGGGAGTCTACTTCAGGCTTTCAGGGCCCAGGGCAAAAGGGAGGAGAAGCCATATGGGGGAAAAACATCTTTCCACAATGTCCATATACTTTAAATGTGATACTTCAGGCTGTCTGTTATCCTGGTTTTGGCTCAGAGCCCAGAAGGAAGGCTCCTTCGATAATTCTTTGCGTGTTTAGGACATATGCCTCTCCCTTAAAGTAAATAAATAACTAAAAATCTGTGAATGCTGTCTGCAGTCACAGCAAAAATACTGCTCACCACCTAGTGGTCTGCAAAAATCACATTTGCTGCATTATACCAGCCGATGGGTCTAACCCTTCCAGGCCCAGCCGAGCCTGCTTTCTAAGTTATTTATTGTGCAAGTTGGGATTCTTGGCCTCTTAGGCGTCCCTGGCTCTTTCTGAAGAATGTGCTTTGGATGGAAAGTGGAGTGTGGTGAACAAGGCTCAGACAATCTGGTTCTTGCTTCCTTCTCCTGAGACTTCTCACCACACCCCCGTTTACGTGCTGTGCTCCATCCACACCAAATGAGCTGCAGTTCCACATGTGTGTTCCAAGGGACCTGGAGTTCCTGACTTTGCACATGCTGTTCCCTGTGCGTGGAACGCTTCTTTGGCATCTTTCCCTTTGTGTGTGGCGCGCTGTCTCTCATCATCATGTTCAAGAGCAGGCTCGCCTTCTCTAGGAAAGGCTCCTTGTCATCTCCTCGGCATTCCCACTCCCAAGTCCTCTTGGCTTCCATGGCAGCCTGTACAGACCAGGGCCATGGCCTTATCCCACGGTATATATTGCACGCGTCTGTTTACTCCTCTGCCTCTTCTATGGGTCCAAGAGGCTTCCAGATCTGACTACATAACTGTCATGTGCAACCCCCCTTTCCCTTAGACCTACTAGACCCCAGGAATGAAGCCAGGATTCTGCATTTTTTATTTTTTTCAGCTTAATTCTGAAGAATGCCAGGTTTGGAAACTATTGCCCTTTTTTTTTTGAGACGGAGTCTCGCTCTTTCGCCCAGGCTGGAGTGCAACAGTGCGATCTCGGCTCATTACAACCTCCGCGTCCCGGGTTCAAGCAATTCTTCTGCCTCAGCCTCCCAAGTAGCTGGGACGACAAGCGTGCGTCACCATGCCCGGCTAATTTTTGTATTTTTAGTAGAGACGGGGTTTCACCATGTTGGCCAGGCTCATCTTGAACTCCTGACCTCGGGTGATCCATCCACCTCGGCCTCCCAAAGTGCTGGGATTACAGGCGTGAGCCACCGTGCCCGGCCTGCCATACCTTTTTATTTCTCTTTCCCTACACATTGCCTGTGTCATAGTAGACCCTCAATAAGTGGTTGACCCTGTTAGTTTCTCTCTGGGGGCCTCTTTTTGTTTTCACTTCCCTCCCTCTCCAGCCTGGTCCAACAATTTGCTTAGCCCCTTACCCCTACCATGCAAGACTTCAACCACCAACTGCTCATTTTTTCCATTCCTCCTGCCAGGCTGCTGGGAGCTGCTGGTGGACTTCCCCAAAGAGTGGTGCTACTGTAAATGCAAGGCCTCTCACTGCAACAGGCCCCTGAATAGGTTTGGCAAGCCTTCTGACCCTGGGACACAGGCAGTAGGCCAACTTGCCTCTCCTTTACTGAGAAAAGAGAGGCCACTGGATGGGAATGCCCCCTCTTCCTGCTGCCCCTCCTACACATTTACCCACAGCAGCACATCCTGTTCTCCCGCCTCACGCCAGCCAGGCTCTGGCTCTCACCTCCTCCCACTTCCTCAGGGATCCGTCCGTCAATTATCCCCTTTTTCTTTTCTTTCTTTCTTTTTTTTTTTTTGAGACGGAGTTTCACTCTTGTTGCCCAGGCTGGAGTGCAATGGCGCGATCTCAGCTCACCGCAACCTCCGCCTCCCAGGTTCAAGCGATTCTCCTGTCTCAGCCCCCCGAGTATCTGGGATTACAGGCACCTGCCACCATGCCTGGCTAATTTTTGTACTTTTAGTAGAGATGGGGTTTCGCCATGTTGGCCAGGCTGGTCTCGAACTCCTGACCTCAGGTGATCCACCTGCCTCGGCCTCCCAAAGTGCTTGGATTACAGGTGTAAGCCACCGTGCCTGGCCAATTATCCCCTTTTTCTTTGACCTCTCCCATTGTAAAAGAAAAAAACGAGCTCTTTGCTATGCATTCTCCTTTAACTGTCCCCCTCTCAGTCCCTCAGTTTTTGCTTCCCCTTCCCGTTGAACTTCTGGAAAGTGTTGCCTGGATTTAGCCCCACTTTCCCCTCCTCCCCTCACTCTTCCCCCACAGCATTCTGGCTCTGTCTCTGCTACCCAGAGATGGCTGCTCTTAAGACAAGGTCACCAGCCAGGCACGGTGACCTTGTAATCCCAGCACTTTGGGAGGCCAGGGCGGGAGGATTGCTTGAGCTCAGGAGTCTGAGACCAGCCTGGGCAACATGGCAAAACCGTGTCTCTACCAAAAACACAAAATTAGCCAGGTGTGGTGGCATGCATCTGTAGTCTCAGCTAATCAGGAGACTGAGATGGGAGGATTGCTTGAGCCTGGGAGGGCGAGGTTACAGTGAGCTGTGATCTCATGCCACTGCACTCCAACCTGGGTGGCAGAGTGAGATGTTGTCTCCAAAAAAAAAAAAAAAAAAAAGTCACCAACAGTCTCCATGGTAAGATCCCAACAGCAGGCAGGGAGTGGTGGCTCACATCTATAATCCTAGCACTTTGGGAAGCCAAGACGGGTGGATCACCCGAGGTAAGGAGTTAGAGACTAGCCTGGCCAACATGGCGAAACTCCGTCTCTACTAAAAACACAAAAATTAGCTGGGCATGGTGGCGGGCGCCTGTAGTCTCAGCTACTCAGGAGGCTGAAGCAGGAGAATTGCTTGAACCCAGGAGGCGGAGGTTGCAGTAAGCCTTCTCCATCCCTTGTCTCAATTGCTTGGCTGCACCATATACTGCTGTTTGCAGCCTTCTTCTCAAAATGTGCTTTCCCCTTGGTTTCTGTGACGCCGTATTCCTTGTTCCATGTCTCTCTGGGGACTTCCTGCCAGTTGCTTTCCTGGATCTTCCTACTTTGCCTGTCCCTTATATGTCTGCATGCCCTGAGGATCCCTCCCTGGTGTGATTCTCTCCTCACTCCATGGGCTGTCTCCCTGGACAATCTATCCACTCTCCACCTTTGTCTTAATAAACACCTCCAGGCTGCTGAGTCTCAAATCTAACTCCAGCCCAGCTCACTCTCCAGACTATAGACCGGTGGAGTCACTTGCCTTTTGAACAACTCTGTAGCCTGCTTCCCTCTCTGTACCCCATCTCAGTGAATGGTACCACTAGTCCCTCAGCTCCTGACACAAGAAAACTTGGGTGTCCTCTCTGAGTTATCCAAGTTCCACCAGTCACTGAATCCTGTATATGACTTTTTTTTTTTTTTTTTTTTGAGTCTCGCTCTGGCCCAGGCTGGAGTGCAATGGCGCAATCTCGGCTCACTGCAACCTCTGACTCCCGGGTTCAAGCGATTTTCCTGCCTCAGCCTCCTGAATAGCTGGGAGTATAGGTGCCCACCACCATGCCCGGCTAATTTTTCTCTTTTTTGTAGATATGGGGTTTCACCATGTTGGCCAGGCTGGTCTCGAACTTCCTGGTCTCATGTGATTTGCCCCCCTTCATCTCCCAAAGTGCTGGGATTACAGGCATGAGCCATCATGCCAGCCTTTTTTTTTTTTTGAGACAGGGTCTCGCTCTGTCACCCGGGCAATAGCACGATCATAACTTACCGCAGCCTTGAGCTCCTGGGCTCAAGCACTCCTCCTGCCTTGGTCTCTGGAGTAGCTAGAACTACAGGTGTGTGCCAACATGCATGGCTAATCTGTAATTTTTTTTTAGAGGTGGGGGTCTTGCTATGTTGGCCAGGCTGGTCTTAACTCCTGGCCTCAAGCGATCCTCCCACTTGGGCCTCCCAAAGTGTGGGATTACAGGTGTGAGCCACTACCCGCTGCCACTTCTCAAATCAAGTCCATCCTCTGTCTCCACATCTTTTTTTTTTTTTTTTTTTTGAGACAGTCTCACTCTGTCGCCCAGGCTGGAGTGCAATGGCATGATCTTGGCTCACTGCAACCTCTGCCTCCTGGGTTCAAGTGATTCTCCTGCCTCAGCCTCCTGGGTAGCTGGGATTACAGGCACCCACCATCATGCCCGGCTAATTTTTGTATTTTTGTAGAGATGGAGTTTCAACATGTTGGCCAGGCTGGTCTCAAATTCCTGACCTCAGGTGATCCGCCCACCTCGGCCTCCCAAAGTACTGGGATTACAGGCATGAGCCACTGCGCCCAGTCATATCCACACCTTTAATTTGGCCTATAGTCATCTCTTACCTGGACGACCTCAAAGGCTTCCTAAGGAATCTGGCTCTCGCCACCACCAATTCTCCACTATTCCCTCCAAGTAAATTATCTGAAGTATAACCAGATCTTGTCATGCTCCTGCCTCAAGCTCATCAGTGGTTCCCCACTGTCCTCTGGTTGAAGTTCAGATTCCTTAGCAAAGCCCACGAGTCCTACCCTCTGCCTTATTCTTGCCCTTATCACCTATGAATCAATCATAACGAACCACCCGCAGCCCCACAAAAGCAAGATGCCCTTTCCCACCCTTGGGCCTCTGCAAATTGTATTCCCTCCACCTATAAAGTTCTTCCTTCCCACCCCACTTACTTTTTCTTCAGGTCTCAGCCTAAACCTCATCCTTCATTAAAGCCTTCTCTGATGCCTGGCCCAGCTGGATTAGTTGTCTCTGCTATGGGATTGTCCAGCACCTCATGCTTTCCCCATCAGAGCAATTATTACACTTAAAATGACCTTTCTGTTCCTCTTAATATTTATTTATAAACTTCTTGAGGTTGATGACTGGGTCTTGTTTTACAGCATATCCTTAGCATCTAGCAGACACTAGACACACAGTGCTAGCGTCTGCTGAAAGAATGACAGACATTTGGAAAGGAACATCCTCTCTATTGCTGTAACAAATTGTATGTTGTTTCATTACCTGCTCTAAACAGGTTTTTTTTGGTTTTCTTTTGTTTTTTTTTTGAGACGGAGTCTCACTGTCACCCAGGTTGGAATGCAGTGGTGCGGTCTTGGCTCACTGCAACCTCCACCTCCCAGGTTCTAGAGATTCTCCTGCCTCAGCCTCCTGGGTGGTTGGGATTACAGGCGTGTGCCACTGCACCCAGCTATTTTTTTTTTTTTTTTTTCTGAGACAGTGTCTTACTCTGTTGCGCAGGCTGGAGTGCAGTGGCATGATCTTGGCTCACTGCAACCTCTGTTTCCTGGGTTCTAGAGATTCTCCCACCTCAGCCTCCCGAGTAGTTGGGATTACAGGCGTGCACCACCACACCAGCTAATTTTTGTACTTTTACTAGAAATAGGGTTTTGCCATGTTGGCCAGGCTGGTCTCCTGACCTCAGGTGATCTGCCCACCTCGGCCTCCCAAAGTCCTGGGGTTATGGGCGTGAGCCACCGCACCTGGCCCCACCTAATTTTTGTATTTTTATTAGGGATGGGGTTTCACTATGTTGGCTAGGCTGGCCTGGAACTCCTGACCTCAGGTGATCTGCCCGCCTTGGCCTCCCAAAATGCTGGGATTACAGGTGTGAGCCACTGTGCCTGGCCTCTAAACAGCTTATATTATAAAAAGAAACAGGCTGATTTGGGAAAACAACTCCTCCTTGGGAAACTTGACAGACACGAGAAATTAGAGTAACTGTGAGGTGAGATTAGCTCGTGGTTGCTGACATGTGAACCTACCACCAGGCCCAGGGCAGGAGCCCATGAGGACGGCAGGGAACCACCAGTGCCCTTTGCCTTGGCTCATCGCGTAGATGGGATCACATGAGATATGACTGCTTTGGAACGGCTTCCATTTGTTCCACAGCCTCCACCTGTCAGGGTGACGTTATAGGCACTCTGGGCTGAGATCTGGGTGATAGTCTTGGCTCTGCCCATTAACTATCTGAATTACCTCAGGGATTACTCCACTATGGATTTTGCCCTAGAAATAGCTAGTAGTTTCTTTTATTTATTCATTTATTTTGAGACAGAGTCTCACTCTGTCACCCAGGCTTGAGTGCAGTGGCGCGATCTTGGCTTACTGCAATCTCCCTCCCAGGTTCAAGCCATTCTCCTGCCTCAGCTTCCCATGAGGCTGGGATTACAGGTACCACCACACCTGGCTAATTTTTGTATTTTTAGTAGAGACAGGGTTTTCCCATGTTGGCCAGGCTGGTCTTGAACTCCTGACCTCAGGTGATCCTCCAGCCTCACCCTCCCAAAGTGCTGGGATTACAGGCGTGAGCCACGGCGCCTGGTTTTGAAATAGCTAGTAGTTTCTAAAACAAAGGTAACACACAAATTCCTATGTCATTCACTCAGGAGAGACCTATGATATACCTACTACATGCCAAGTAGTATCCTAGGTACTGACGATGCAGCAGTAAACCAGACAGACAACGTCCCAACTTCCTATATGTAAATGAGGGGTGAACTAGATGACCTCTAAGGTCTCTTTCAGCTCTGCAATTCTGAGACCCTCTCTTTGACCAGATGCTAATAAATTTATGCACAGAAGGCTAGTGGCAAAGCATCAGCCTCCTTTGATGCAATCTCCATCCCAAACTTAGCTCTGGGAAAACAGGAAAAGATCTGGTATCACTACAGTCTGCCTGTAGCCCAAGCTTTTAACTCTCCCAAGTACCTGTTATTTAAGACTTTTATCTCTTTTGTGAAATGAAAGGCTTGGTTTTGGTTGAACTTTAGGCAATTAAAAGGCCTGGCAAGATATTTTCGGGAAAGTTAGGTGCTTTGGCAAAAGGACAGGGAAAGGCAAAGCAGCCTCCTCTAAGTGTAGTATTTCTTTTCTTTTCTTTTTTTTTTTGAGACGGAGTTTCGCTCTTATTGCCCAGGCTGGAGTGCAATGGCGCGATCTCAGCTCACCGCAACCTCTGCCTCCCGGGTTCAAGCGATTCTCCTGCCTCAGCCTCCTAAGTAGCTGGGATTAGAGGTGTGCGCCACCATGCCCAGCTAATTTTGTATTTATAGTAGAGATGGGGGTTTCTCTGTGTTGGTCAGGCTGGTCTTGAACTCCCGACCTCAGGTGATCTGGCCGCCTTGGCCTCCCAAAGTGCTGGGCTTACAGGCGTGAGCTACCACACCTGGCCTTAAGTGTAGCATTTCTTACACTTGCCCAAAAGGGCGCCAGCTTCTTGAGCAGCTTCCTCCTCTTCCTCTGGATGATAGGAATCTCCCAGCTCTGGCCCCTTCCCTTTACAGAGGTGAAAGTTCTAGCCTTAAGGCCCAAAGTTTCTACCACTTCTGTATCTGGTACTCTGACTGGGAACAGCAGATTCCAGGACTCCCAGCCATGTTGGGGAAGGGGAGCCACAGGCTGCAGGTAAATGGGCAGATAGAGAGAGATCCTTGGGTCAGGAACTTGATTTAGTTTCCAGACACTGTCATTCCGGTGTGTCACCTATGGGATGGCACTAATCAATAACATGTTTGTGTATCAGTGAAAACTCTGGACTTTAAAGCTGATGCTGGATAATTGTGAAGTCAAAATGGGAAATTTTTGTACGACTGTGTAAAACTAGCTATTTTACTGTTGATATCTCATTACGAGACAAAACAGTTATATAGAATTATGTGTCAGATTGATATGAATAATTTTTTTTTTGAGGCACAGTCTCGCTCTGTCGTCCAGGCTAGAGTGCAATGGCTCGATCTTGGCTCACTGCAACCTCTGCCTCCTGGGTTCAAGTGATTCTCCTGCCTCAGCCTCCCGAGTAGCTGGGATTACAGGCATGTGCCACCATGCCCGGCTAATTTTGTATTTTTAGTGGAGATGGGGTTTTTCCACGTTGGTCAGGCT
The DNA here is from genome assembly GCF_000001405.40 of Homo sapiens. Taxonomy (NCBI): domain Eukaryota; kingdom Metazoa; phylum Chordata; class Mammalia; order Primates; family Hominidae; genus Homo; species Homo sapiens. Next base: position 72,236,568 of record NC_000010.11, on the reverse strand, counting down.
GGTCTCGAACTCCTGACCTCAGGTGATCCGCCTGCCTCAGCCTCCCAAAGTGCTGAGATTACAGGTGTGAGCCACTGTGTCCTGCCCCATATTGAATCTTAAGAGGGTATGCAGAAGCCAACATACAGCTAATTCCTGTTTCTGAAGAAGCTGTTCCTTCCTCATGCTCAAGATCTCTTTTTGCCAAGCCCTGGGAGGGAGGACGGAAGGTAGCGGAAGCCTTATTTTCTCCAGGTAGTTACTTCCTTTTACCATTTAATCAAAAGTTTTAGGATTTTTCCTAATACAATGTGCTGGGTTGGGTTTGGTGGGATGTGGCATAGTGAATCTAAAAGAAGCTGCTTTGGATTCTGGCTGAGTTGAACTTAAATCCAGATTTGGCCATTGACTTAGCTGTGCAGCCTTGGCAAGTGACACTTGCTCTGAGCTTCAAGTTCCTTTTCTATATTAGGGGGTATTACGTATCTTGCTGTGTTATTCAGAGGATTATAATTCATGCCTGTGAGTGACTGGCACAAGAGAAGACAGATGACAGATCAGCAACTGGGACCATCTTTGAGCCCAAAGCATAGTAACAGGCGTTGTGGACGATGCAACATAATGACTGACAAAAAGGTATAGAGAGGGAGGTACTCTCTTTAAAAAATTGTGAGAGTCTTATTCTTGGTAAGACTAAAATAGCAGCTAAGTGATCAATGAGAAAGGTGCTTCAAAAAGCATTTTTGTTTAATGCTAAGATCACTTCAGTTTCCAAGGTCATATAAAGAAACATCCAATTTAGAGAAAAAATTCTGTAATAAGTTCAAATACCAAAGCGTAAAGATGATGTAACACAGTGCCTATGCTGCATGGTTACACAAATGAAACGAGAAAGGTAGTGATTGCTTCTAAATTCTCACTGAAAATCCAATTTAAAGGTTTATTGCAGTCTAGGTATTTTTAATTTTTCCCTTGGTGATTATCAAGATGGTTGATGCTAATAAGTACTATTAAAAAACTAAAATGCTGTCGAATATGGAACTTCTTTTAGTTAAGAATTATTAATATAGAAAATGTGAGTTGGTGGACTGGTACTTCTTGTGCTCTGATTTTTATTTATTTATTTTCTTCTTTTTTTTGAGACAGTTTCGCTCTTGTTGCTCAGGCTGGAGCACACAGGCACGATCTCCACTCACTGCAACCTCCGCCTCCCGGGTTCAAACGATTCTGCTGCCTCAGCCTCCTGAGTAGCTGGGATTACAGGCGCCCGCCACCACGCCTGGCTAATTTTTTTTGTAGTTTTAGTAGAGACAAGGTTTCACCATGTTGGCCAGGCTGGTCTCGAACTCCCGATCTCAGGCAATCCGCCTGCCTCAGCCTCCCAAAGTGCCGGGATTACAGGCGTGAGCCACCACGCCCGGCTTTATTTTTTTTTTTTTGAGACAGAGTCTCGCTCTGTCACCCAGACTAGAGTGCAATGGTGTGATCTCAGCTCACTGCAACCTCCGCCTCCTGGGTTTAAGCGATTCTCATGCCTCAGCCTCCTGAGTAGCTGGGATTACAAGTGTGTGCCACCACACTGAGCTAATTTTTGTATTTTCAATAGAGACTGAGTTTCACCATGTCGGCCAGACTGGTCTTGAACTCCTGACCTCTAGTGATCCACTCACCTCAGCCTCCCCAGGTGCTGGGATTAAAGGTGGGAGCCACTGTGCCCAGTCTCCAATTTGCTTTAGAGGCAATAATGAGATGAATTATCAGGCAACTGGGATCTATTCCAAGTCCGAGATTTTCTTCTGCCTGGGCTATGTGACCATGAGCAGGTGTTTAACTTCACAGGGCTCAGGCTCTTAACCGACTGAATGAGGTCACCACCTCCCGTCAGGTAGAATGTGTTAAACATTTTGAACTCTTGAGATTAAGGCTAAATGCTACTGGGATTATATTTACTTATAATTAAGCAACTCTAAGCAGATCAGATGCAAGTTATTAATAAGGAACCAGACAAATGTTGTCTAAGGCAAAATTTGCATACAACGTAATAAATGATTATACCAGTTGTTTACTGTGGAAAGTGGGGTCCCATGAAGGAAAACAGCACATCTCTTAGCCTTCCAGGTTTTCCCCTATCATGGTATAAAAACTTACTTGAGGCCAGGCGCGGTGGCTCATGCCTGTAATCCCAGCACTTTGGAGGCCAAGGTTGGGGGGATCTCTTGAGGCCAGGAGTTCAAGACCAACCTGGGCAACATAGCAAGACCATGTCTCTTTAAAAAAAAATTGGCTGGGCAAGGTGGCTCACGCCTGTAATCCCAGCAATTTGGGAGGCTGAGGCAGGTGGATCACCTGAGGTCAGAAGTTCGAGACTAGCCTGGTCAACATGGTGAAACCCCGTCTCTACTAAATATACAAAAAATTAGCTGGGTGTGGTGGCGGGTGCCTGTAATCCCAGCTACTTGGGAGGCTGAGGCAGGAGAATTGCTTGAACCTGGGAGGTGGATGTTGCAGTGAGCAGAGATCGCGCCATTGCGATACAGCCTGGGCAACAAGAGCAAAACTTCGTCTCAAAAAAAAAAAAAAACTACTTAAATATCATTAAGATAAATTTATGTACTCCTATAAAGACAAATATCCCTTAAGTAAAGCCAGTCTACCATTTGTTTAGGAGAGATGGTTTTTAGATTCCCTTCTTCTAAAAAGTAATTTGACCTCTTCACTTCATCCCAAATCCCTGAGATTTTGAAAGGATAATGCCACCAATTTGGAGCTCTTTCAAAGGATTTATTTGCTACAGAATTGCTTGAGTCCACCAATGAGAAGAACTCAGGATTTCTGTGTTTAAAAGGATTTTGCTTACTGCTTTATTTTTACAAGTGCTGCCATATCCAAAAAGCACTTCTTTTTGCCAGCATTTGGCATGTCTATAAGAGGTTAGAAAAAGTCAGAATCTATAGAATTGATGTCTAAAAATAGGAAAAAAAAAAGAATATTTAAAAATTCCTCATTTGGATAGGTCCTGAGTTGAAAACACATTCATCTGCAAAATAACTTTTTTAGGTCAGAATGCTATATTTTTAACCACAGATGCTGACCTTGACCTTGACTGGTAAATATTTCCAGGCACCATATGGATGACAGGACAGACGCCATTCAGTTGGCCAAATCTGATATATGCCCTACTTGGCTTGTGAAAATTTTTGAGTATCTCTTAACCCCAAACCTCCTGGTTCTCTGAAACTGATTGTCTTAATCTGATTCCCAATACTTTTAAAAACAAATAAACAAAACATTCCCTGAAAGATCACACATATAAGTATTTGTTGCCTGTGAATAGATACAGAGAAACCAAGTACAAATGTGCATTAACAATTCAGTGACGTAGCTGTGGATCTCTGGATGGCTATGTAAGCTGTGAGAAAGTCCCCCACTGGCTTTGCACTTGCTGCGCACCAGAGGTGACCATCCAGGCAGTATCAACCTGAAGAGGGGGTGAATCCCAGCAGCTGCTCGATGGGCTTAAACCGCCACTCGTCAGCCTCCAGCTCTTCTACCAAACCAGCTAGTTTTTCCATCCGAGCAACTTGCTGATCTGTAAGGAGTCAAGGAAAGAATATTATGCAACAACGTATTACCCAAGAGACTGCCACCAGCCACCAAGATGATGACTGGTATAAAAATAATTTCTAGGCCGGGTGTGGTGGATCACGCCTATAATCCCAGCACTTTGGGAGGCCGAGGCGGGCGGATCACGAGGTCAAGAGATCGAGACCATCCTGGCCAATATGGTGAAACCCCATCTCTATAAAAATACAAAAAAAATTAGCTGGACGTGGTGGCATGCGCCTGTAGTCCCAGCTACTCGGGAGGCTGAGGCAGGAGAATCGCTTGAACCCTGGAGGCAGAGGTTGCAGTGAGCCGAGATCGTGCCACTGCATTCCAGCCTGGTGACAGAGTGAGAATCCGTCTCAAAAAAAAAAAATTTCTAGATGGATTTTTTTTTCTCCTCAAGATTCTCTCTCTTTTTTTGGGGGGTGGGGTGGGGGTGGGGAATGGAGTCTTGCTTTGTTGCCCAGGCTGCAGTGCAATGGCGCGATCTCGGCTCACTGAAACCTCTGCCTCGTGGGTTCAAGTGATTCTCCCGCCTCAGCCTCCTGAGTAGCTGGGACTACAGGCACCCGCCATCGTGCCCAGCTAAGTTTTTTATTTTTGTAGAGATGGGGTTTCACCATGTTGGCCAGGCTAGTCTCGAACTCCTGACCTCAGGTGATCTGCCTGCCTCAGCCTCCCAAAGTGCTGGGATTACAGACGTGAGCCACTGTGCCCGACCCTCAAAATTCTCATAATGGGGTCTTATTCTATGCTGGTCAGAAGCTTAATTTTTTTTTTTTTTTTTTTTTTTTTTTGAGACAGAGTTTCACCCTTATTGCCCAGGCTGGAGTGCAATGGTGTGATCTCAGCTCACTGCAACCTCTGTCTCCTGGGTCCAAGCGATTCTGCTGCCTCAGCCTCCCGAGTAGCTGGAATTACAGGCATATGCCACCATGCCTGGCTAATTTTGTATTTTTAGTAGAGATGGGGTTTCTCCATGTTGGTCAGGCCAGTCTCGAACTCCCGACCTCAGGTGATCCGCCCGTGTCAGCCTCCCAAATTGTTGGGATTATAGGCATGAGCCACCGTGCCCGGCCTATTTTTTTTTTTTTAAGTTGGAAGTTTCTTCTAATGTTAAAAGAAGAAAGGCTGGGCGCAGTGGCTCATGCCTGTAATCCAAGCACTTTGGGATGCCAAGGCAGGCGGATCACAAGGTCAAGAGATCAAGACCATCCTGGCCAACATGGTGAAACCCCATCTCTACTAAAAATACAAAAATTAGCTGGGCGTGGTGGCGTGCACCTGTAGTCCCAGCTATTTGTGAGGCTGAGGAAGGAGAATCACTTGAACCCAGGAGGCAAAGGTTGCAGTGAGCCGCGATCATGCCATTGCACTCCAGCCCGGGTGACAGTGAGAGACTCCGTCTCAAAAAATAAAAGTCATTTTAAAATAAAATGATCACATTTTCAGGATGTGCCCTATTTTTTTCCAGAGACAGGGTCTCACTCTGTCACCAAGGCTGGAGTATGCCTCCTGGGCTGAAGCGATCGTCCCAACTCAGCCTCCCACGTAGCTGGGACCACAGGCATGCACCACCATTCTCCACTAATTTTTGTATTTTCTTTTTTTAGATATGGGGTTTCACCATGTTGCCCAGGTCAGTCTTGAACTCCTGGGCTCAAGCAGTCTTCCTGCTTCAGCCTCCCAACGTGCTGGGATTAGAGGCATGAGCTACTGCACCCGGCCTGGATGTGCTCTGTTCCTAAAAAAAGTACTCATCCTCTATGCCATAGTGATTTGTGGACTAAAATCCTAGGGTTAGAGGCAATTACAGCTTTTCCCCCTACATAAAGTTTCAATGGAGAAATGGTCTGGAGGGGGAACACAGTTTGTTGATGCAGAAATGAAGGCCTGGTGAGGCCTAATGTAACAGAAAAAGTGTTATCAGGATGTTAGAGTATAGACAGACCAGGAGGTATCGTACAAATACTTGAAGATGATGATGGTAACCAGTGGAGGACAACAGTAAAAGGAGGTTTCAGACAGGAGAGGAAAAAGTAACACAAGAGGAGCAGGAAGCACTGACTCCCTGGAGGACCAACTTTTTTTGTTTTTCAGACAGGGTCTCTGTTGCACAGGCTAGAGTGCAGTGCTGTGATTCCGGCTCATTGCAGCCTCAACCTCCCGGGCTCAAGTGATCTTCCCACCTCAGCCTCCCAAGTAGCTGGGACTACAGGTATGCGCCACCATGCCTGACTAATTTTTTCTTTGTAGAGATGCAGTTTCACCATGTTGGCCAGGCTGGTCTCAAACTCCTGACCTCAAGTGATCCACCCGCCTCAGCCTCCCAAAGTGCTGGGATTACAAACGTGAGCCACTGCACTCGGCCCCAACCTTAAGCCTCAATGTGGACATTATGACTAGATTAAGACCTAGAATGTTCTTTAATTTAGGAAGTCCACTAAAATAGCCTTGCTGAGTTTGGGGATTTTTGTCACAGCCTCATCCACCCCCTAGCAAATTTATTCTCACAGTCAAGTACGCAACACTCATGTGCTTACCATGTTTCACCTGTTTAAGCGTGGATGCCACTTGATAGCTAAAAACAGATTCGCAGAGGAATCTCTCAGAGCCATCTACAAACAAAAGGAGAAAAGGTTTTAATCTGCTCTAAAGGTTTTATGGCTTCTGATAAACCAAGTAAACTTGTCTATTCTTTTCCCTGCTTGTACATTCAGGGTCTAGTTCTCAGTGTTTACAAAGACGGGTTCTGCTTCATTTAGAACTAAGACTGTTATAAAAGCTATTTATTCTATACCTAGAATATTAAAATAGTCCCTCTACTTAAGAGTTTAAAAATAGTGTTTAAAAAAACAAAAACAAGAAACCTCCGTCTGATGTCCTGGTCAACACTTCCCTCCTCCCAACCTGAGAGTTCCTTAATGTTCTCCTGTATGTCAAGCAAACACTGGCAGCTGACACATTTGGCCTTGTGGCTGGCTCCTGTAGTGTCAAAATATAAAGGTTCACCAAAACTCCAAATCATTTTCAGTCTAAAAAACAAAGCTGAGGAAAAAATTGTTGATTTTTAATATATCAAATTACATCACTCTGACAATCACAGAACACTGCTGGGAAATTTCATTCTGTGAACGCAAACTGTAACCTTGATTTTCCAACTGAACCAAAACACTGCAATTTGGATGACGATAAGAGTATGGTGCAAGTTCAGAACCTAGAATTGTACTGGTGCCAAGAACTGCCAACAAGAAGTGGCCAACTCAGTTGCCACAGCACTTGGAAGATGATCATGAAACATAAGCTAGTTCATGTTATTCCTTGTCAGGCAAGGGCTGATACAGCAAAACATATTCTCAAAAATTTACAGCTCACGTAGAAACATTTGATTTTTAAAAAGGTAGCAGAAACCATTTGGGGGATGTACCTTATTGCGAAAATCCTAAAACAAACGGGGAGAGAGGACACAGCTGTCCTTTTTCAGGCAGTACTTCACGTTAGCACTACTAGGCCTCAAGCATTCACCCATCAATCATGGGTTGTTGTGTTGGCCAGGTATTACATGGCAAGCAGACAGGACTAACACATTCTGGCCTCATGCTGAGTTTCACACAAAGGAAACCTTATTTCAGAAGTCACAATAACCAATTAAAAAAAAAAACAACTATAGATACTGTATCCAAAGAGCTTGAATATATAACCAAGAGGGCATCCTTCCAATATCATCTTCAAAGTGATCAAAAAAAAAAAAAAAAGAGAAAAAGAAAAAAATGAAAGTATAATTATTGGGATGTATACTTTTTGTATTCTTCAGAGACAGTGTTACATTCTGTAAATTCAAACTCAGTCTCAAAAAAAAAAGGGGTTTGAATGTCAGCAGTCATTATCCTATTCATATTCTTGCTTAAAAAGTCCAATTATAACTCATATTTTATTTTAGAAAGAGGAAAGCATAGACAATTAGAGTTTACCTCCCAGATGGTTTGATCCTGAACTTTAGGATTACACACAAGGCAGTGGGAATTATAGGCTATAAGGATCAGGCCAAGATGTATATGGAAGCTCCTGAAAGTGCCACCTCTCACTTGCATTTAATCACAGGCACCATTAGGATAAAATAGTTAAGTTGTGATATTTGCATATTTTCCTTGGTAATGAACTTCAAAGCAAAAGGATATAAGCTAAACTTTCAAAAAGGAACCTCTGCATTTCACTCCACCACACTATATGCCTGTGGAACACACTTTTGCTGATTTGCAGCTCCCTATTAACGTCCAAGTCCAATTGCTTCTTAGCCACATCCTATTAGATGTGGTATCAGTACCAGTCTAAAGCCTGGAATTGCTCCAGAACGGAGTCAGCTGGGGGCAATCTCTTCCATTTAGAAACTGTAATCAAACCCTTTGTAACACAGCAGGTAGCAATACATCAGCTTTCCTTGTCAGGGACAAGCACAGGTCATAAACAGGGAAAAGTTTAGTAAATTACCCAAATCTAACACCATAGCCAACTCCAATAAATAAGGATGGTAACAAATACATTAAAAAGAATATTACCTCACAGTAGGCAATTAGACAATGCCAGATAATTTATACTTCAGTGGCTACAATGTCTCTAAAATACAGCCACTGATGGGCTGGAAGGCAGTTTCTAATGTGCTCAGTAATAACTGGGTGAGGACAATTTTGGCCAAGGGCAGGAGAATGCTGCAAACTGCTGTATGCTGCTTATGTGAGGTGTCTGTTATCAGAGAGCAGAGGCACAAAAAAGTTAATTCACAAGGTTAACTACAGGTGATTTGGGTTTACTATCCTAGACTCACAAGGATGTAACATCAAGTTGAACCTTTTGAGATTAAAAACAGCATCCATCCTTGATTCCTAACTGCTTTTGTTCCTTACTCTTGACAGGCAACCCTTCCTGCTCTATTTTCATATCCTTTTTTTTTTTTTTTAAACCAAGTCTCGCTCTGTCGCCCAGGCTGGGGGGCAGTGGCATGATCTCGGCTCACTGCAACCTCCGCCTCCTGGGTTCAAGCAATTCTCTCAGCCTCCTGAGTAGCTGGGACTATAGGCACACACCACGATGCCTTTTTTTTTTTTTTTTTGTATTTTTAGTAGAGGTGGGGTTTCACCATATTGGTCAGGCTGGTCTCGAACTCCTGACCTCAGGTGATCCGCCCACCTCGGCCTCCCAAAGTGCTGGGATTACAGGCGTGAGGCACCGTGCCCGGCCTCTATTTTCATATTCTATTAAACTATTATTGGTCAGGTACATGTGTGTTAGATTTATTGTATAATAGAATAGTATCACCTATAAACATGGTAGAAAATGCTTCCAAATCCAACATCCTTACATTTCAGAGTACTCTTCTCAATTTAATATTCTTGATTTGACCAAGAATATTAAATGGGTTTAGGGGTTGCCATCTCTACATTATTTTTCAGTCTTTAAGTGTAATACTCTTTATATTCTTAAGATTTTAGATTTTTAAAGATTATCTTAATCTTTTTAAGATTTAAGATTATTGGTAAAACTTGAAATGTAAGAAACACAATCAAAACTGTGCACTGTGTATTTATACTTAATATAAATGTATCCTACAACAGAAACACAACACATTTCTCCATGAAGCATATTGAGATGGAATAAAAATGGATAGATCTATAACTCGTTAGAACATCAACATTCAGACTAATCTCAGAAGCCTTTCTTCTTCAATATCTCCACATAATTTGATGTATACTGACAAAGAATGCTGATAGCTTTGAGACTGTGGAGGTACCTCCTGTATTAAATTCCTCTTATAGCTAGAATTTAAATGACTTTAATCTTAGAGCTCCATTGTTGAATATGGATTCTTCTGCTGCTATAAAACTCATTAAGCAATTTAAGTGTCTCCCATTTTTGATTTGTTTTGTGGGAAACTTCCTTAATACTAGGTCTTTGCTGCATATAAATGAAGTCATAATATAGTTTTAGCACCAAATATGGTAACAGGGCCCCAATTGTTCACTACTTCTAACCAGACTCAGTGATACTAACTTGAGTATTTAGTTAACACAATTAAAGAAAATAAAAAGGCAAAGAGAGAAGTACATGTATCACTAATTACATATGCTACCTGGTCATCTACCTCACCACTAGTCATAACCCAAACCAATCCTAGGGAGCTCTATGGTCCCAGAGTCCCCCCGTGGTTTCCTGTCACAAATGATTTTGGGCTTAACCCGTAACTCTTTTTATTATTTCTGATTATTCATCACCCCCAAGGCCAACTATAGTTTGTATCTTTTCTTTTCTTTTTTTTTTTTTGAGACAAGGTCTCCATCACCCAGGCTCGAATGCAGTGATGCGATCACAGCTCACTGCAGCCTCCACCTCCCAGGCTCAGGTGAACCTCCCACCTCACCTTCCTAAGTAGCTGGGACTACAGCCACGTGCCACCACACCCAGCTAATTTTCTATTTTTTCTAGAGACAGGATTTCGTCATGTTGCCCAGGCTGGTCTCAAACTCCTGGGTTCAAGCAATCTGCCTGCCTCAGCCTCCCAAAGTGCTGGGATTACAGGTGTGAGTCACTATGCCTGGCCTATAGTTTGTATCTTTCTCACAGATATTCCTAGATTAGTTTTAAAATATAGTTGTGTAAATTTGAAATATTAAGGCCAGGTGCGGTGGTTCATGCCTGTAATCATAGCACTTTGGGAGGCTGAGGTGGGCAGATCATTTGAGGTCAGGAGTTCAAGCTCAGCCTGGGCAACATGGCGAAACCCTGCCTCTATTAAAAATATTAAAAAAATTAGCCAGGTGTGGTGGTGGGCACCTGTAATCCCAGCTGCTTGGGAGGCTGGGGCAGGAGAATCACTTGAACCCGGGAGGCAGAGGTTGTAGTGAGCCAAGATCGAGCCACTGCACTACAGCCTGGGCAACAGAGCGAGACTCTGTCTCAAAAAAAAAAAAAAATTGCAACACTTAAAGGAAAAAAGATCAATATATAATTAAGCACTAAAATACTAGAATCAAGTAAATTTTGAATCCTTAATAGGTTATTCCCCAAAGCTTTTTTTTTGCTTTTTTTTTTTGAGACAGAGTCTTGCTCTGTCACCAGCCTGGAGTACAGTGGCATGATATCTGCTCACCGCAACCTCTGCCTCCCAGATTCAAGTGATTCTCCTGCCTCAGCCTCCTGAGTAGCTGGACTACAGGCATGCGCCACCACATCCAGCTAATTTTTTTGTATTTTTAGTAGAGACGGGGTTTCACCATGTTAGCCAAGATGGTCTCAATCTCCTGACCTTGTGATCTGCCTGCCTTGGCCTCCAGAAGTGCTGGGATTACAGGCGTGAGTTACTGCGCCTGGCCTCCCAGTGCTTTTTAAAAATTTATTATTACTATTTTTTGAGACAGAGTCTCATTCTGTCACCCAGGCTGGAGTGCCATGGCATGATCATGGCTCAATGCAACCTTGAACTCCTGGGCTCAAACAATCCTCATGCCTTGGCTTCCCAAAATGCTGAAATTTTAGGTTTGAGCCACCACTCCTGGTCCCAATGTTTTTCAAAATATGGAAGACTGCCTTCATGAGAAGGGCCTGGATGCTGGTAAAAAATGGACTCCTGAGCTACACCCTAGACTAATTCAGAAACTCTAAGGTGGGCCCAGAAATATGCATTTTATTTATTTATTTATATATATTTTTGAGACAGAGTCTTGCTCTGTCACCCAGGCTGGAGTGCAGTGGCACAATATTGGCTCACTAAAACCTCTGCCTTCTGGGTTCAAGTGATTCTCCTGCCTCAGCCTCCCGATTAGCTGGGATTACAGACATCGCCACCATGCCCAGCTAGTTTTTGTATTTTTAGTAGAGATGGGGTTTCACCATGTTGGGCAGGCTGGTCTCGAACTCCTGACCTCAGGTGATCCACCCGCCTTGGCCTCCCAAAGTGCTAGAATTACAGGCATGAGCTACAGTGCCTGGCCAGAAATGTGCATTTTAAGTAACCTCTTTGCTCTTCAAATGACATGCTTACAGCCTGTACCCTGATCTTGGCCAGCCAGTCAGCCAATGATGCTGAACAAGATGGTGAATGATTTGATGCAAATCTGGCTTTGGTGCTATAAGAACCACACGGCATCATGCTGCAGTGGGTCAGGAGTCATGTTCACACAAAAGGGCAATGTATTAGCTTTTATTCCCTCTTAGAACCTTTCTGACAGGGTGAATCTATCCGTAGATTAATCACCCTAGAAAAAAATACATCAAACCTACTACCATGGGAGGTAGACAGGTGCCAGGATAAAGCAAACTGGAGTAGGAGGTCAAGAGAATTCCTGGATTCAGTGCTGCCTCTGCGTTTTTTTTTTTTTTTGAGACAGAGTCTCATTCTGTCACCCAGGCTGGAGTGCAGTGGCGAGATCTCGGCACATGGCAACTTCTACCTCCCAGGTTCAAGTGATTCTCCTGCCTCAGCCTCCCCAGTAGCCGGGATTACAGGCGCCTACCACCATGCCCGGCTAATTTTTGTATTTTTAGTAGAAATGGGGTTTCACCATGTTGGCCAGGCTGCTCTCAAACTCTTGGCCTCAAGTGATCCACCTGCCTCAGTCTCCCAAAGTGCTGGGATAACAGGAGTGAGCCACCGTGCCCAGCCCTGACTCTGCCTTTAACCTGGTCAAATCACTTAACTTTTCTGGATCTAAATAACTCTAGATGACTTCATTGATTTCCAAAGTCCTTTTCAGCTCCAAAATTCTGATTCTGGAGCAAGACTTGTTTTTAAAGATACTATTTTGAGATGGGGACAAGAAATGAAATGTGGAGCTGAAATCAGGGCAAACTCATCTTTAATCCACTTAATAGCTTCTTTACAATTAATATGCATTGCAGATCTGAATCCAATTATTCAGAAAGCAGCATGAGATCACCTTCTAACATCTCTCCAGCTCCTTTGGGGTAGGTGAAAAGGGCTTTCCGTGGTGGGGCAAGGTCTGAGACACTGAAACCAGATCCAGTGACAGAACTTCCACTGACCCCACCAGCTGAGGAGGATGATGATGAAGCAGCCATTTCCTCTCTAGCAGAGTTCTTACTTCACTACAGAGAAAGAAAAACAGCAATTGGCAAGTTTATGGAAGTGAGAGTGACAACATTTCATTCTAGCTGCTGTAAGGGCCAGCATACAGTTTTGTAAAGAGTTAGCTCCCCTTTTTTCTATGCTCTCTACTTTCACAATATTTTATTGATGTCTCAGGCCAAAATATCAGTCAGGTTTTGAACTGAAAATATGCTTAAGAATAGTATATCTACTTAAAACATGAATTCCTACCATTAGCGAACTGTTTATGTCAACTAAGATTGACTGTGGGTGATTTATGAGTTATGAAGGGGTGATATGGCAGTGCCAAGGCAGAAATTTGACAGAGGAAATAAGTTATACGAGGATAAAAGCATCACACTTCATAGGACAGTTTTTCTTGGATACATCCTGATCAAGCCACAACAATAAATTATAATATTTTCCAAATAACATTCCAGAATAACACTGTGTTCTGTTCCCAGGGAAGGGGAACTAGTTAGGAAATACATATTGGCTTTCTCATTAAAAATTAACCTTTTGGCCAGGCACGGTGGCTCACGCCTGTAATTCCAGCACTTTGGGAGGCCGAGACGGATAGGTCACCTGAGGCCAGGAGTTCAAGACCAGCCTGGCCAACATGGCGAAACTCTGTCTCTACTAAAAATACAAAAAAATTTAGCAGGGCGTGGTGGTGGACGCCTCTCATCCCAGCTACTCAGGAGGCTGAGGCAAGAGAATCATTTGAACCCGGGAGGCGGAGGTTGCAGTGAGCCTGGGCGACAGAGCGGGACTCTCAAAAAAAAAAAAAAAAAAAAAAAAAAATTAACCTTTTCATCTAAATGTAATACCCAAACTTATCACTTGGTGGCATCCCAAAACTGGAACAAAAAGTTCAGGAAACAATCTTGGAAACCATGGCCTATTATGAACAGAGCACCTACCTGTGAGTGTTTAATCCTATTTCATACCAAAAAATGCAAATGTTAACGAGAAAACTGTACTGAATACATGACACCTTACAAAAGTTCAAAACAAAACCCTCCCTTTGCCACAGAAGCTTACACGACTTTAACAAAAATTCTAAAAAGTGTATATGGTATTTTCTTTCTTTCCTTTTTTAATTTTTTGAGACGGAGTCTCGCTCTTGTCGCCCACGCTAGAGTGCAGTGGCATGATATCGGCTCACCGCAACCTCCGTCTCCTAGGTTCAAGCGATTCTCCTGTCTCAGCCTCCTGAGTAGCTGGAATTACAGGCATGAGCCACCATGCCCAGCTAATTTTTGTATTTTTAGTAGGCACGGGGTTTCACCACGTTGGCCATGCTGGTCTCAAACTCCTGACCTCAGGTGATTTGCCTGCCTTGGCCTCCCAAAGTGCTGGGATTACAGGCATGAGCCACTGCGCCTGGCCTCTTTCCTTTTTTTTTTTTTTTTAAATAGAGACAAGGTCTTGCTATGTTGCTCAGTCTGGTATGTATGTATGTATTTATTTACGGAGTCTCGCTCTGTTGGCAGGCTGGAGTGCAGTGGCGCGATCTCTGCTCACTGCAACCTCTGCCTCCCAGGTTCAAGCGATTCTCCTGCCTCAACCTCCTGAGTAGCTGGGACTACAGGCGCGTGCCACCACGCCCAGCTAATTTTTGTATTTTTAGTTGAGACAGGGTTTCGCCATGTTGGCCAGGATGGTCTCCATCTCTTGACCTCGTGATCTGCCTGCCTCGGCCTCCCAAAGTGCTGGGATTACAGGCATGAGCCATCATGCCCGGCCAGTCTGGTCTTTAACTCCTGGTCTCAAGTGATTCTCCCACCGTGGTCTCCCAAAGTCTCACTGCGCTCAGCCCTCTAACAAGTGTATTTAGTATTTTTTAAAGAAAAAATGGCCGGGTGCGGTGGCTCACACCTGTAATCCCAGCACTTTGGGAGGCCGAGGCGGGTGGATCACGAGGTCAGGAGTTCAAGACCAGCCTGGCCAACATGGTGAAACCCAATCTCTACTAAAAATACAAAAATTAGCTGGGCATGGTGGTGCGTGCCTGTAATCCCAGCTACTTGAGAGGCTGAGGCAGGAGAATCGCTTGAACCTGGGAGGCAGTGGTTGCAGTAAGCCAAGACTGCACCATTGCACTCCAGCCTGGGCAAAAGAGTGAGACTCTGTCTCAAAAAAAAAAAAAAAAAAAAATTTAGCTGGGTGTGGTGGTGGGCGCCTGTAGTCTCAGCTACTCAGGAGACTGAGGCAGGAGAATCACTTGAACCTGAACCTGGGAGGCGGAGGTTGCAGTGAGCTGAGATCATTCCATTGCACTCCAGTCTGGGTGACAGAGCCAGACTCTGTCTCAAAAAAAAAAAAAAAAAAAAAAAGAAAAGAAAAAATGGTCTAGTGCCATGCTAATAGAACTTTCTGCCATGATGGAAATGTTCCAGTGTTCTATTTCTGCACTGCACAATATGGTTGCCAGTAGCTTCATGTTGCACCTATAAACTGGTGTGACTGAAGAACTGTATTTTAAATTTTATTTAATATTAATTAAAATTTAAGTAGCCACATGTGGCTATTGGCTGTTGTAATGGATAAATTTCTAGTATTTAGATTAAAAATAACTTTATATTGAATTGTATACTTTAAAATGGCAAATGGTTAATTTTATGTTATGTGAATTTTAGCCCAATTAAAAGAAAGGACTTCAAAAAGGATTGCAGGCTGGTGGCTAACGCCTGTAATGCCAGCACTTTGGGAGGCCAAGGTGGGCAGATCACCTGAGGTCAGGAGTTCAAGACTAGCCTGGTAAACATGGCGAAACTCCATCTCTATTAAAATACAAAAATGAGCTGGGCGTGGTGGCAGGCGCCTGTAATCCCAGCTACTTGGAAGGCTGAGGCAGGAGAATAGCTTGAACTCGGGAGGTGGAGGTTGCAGTGAGCCGAGATAGCGCCATTGCACTCCAGCTTGGGCAACAAGAGCGAAACTCCATCTTGGCGGGGGAGAAAAAAGGATTGTAAAATGAATTTCCCTCTATAATGGTCAGAGAGAATTTTAGCTGAGTTTTTTTTTTTTTTTCTGGCCAGTCACGTGAAGCAGTGGGAGTGGAAAAGGAACAAAGAAATCTGTAACTGGTGGTGATCAGTTACTGTAAACACCACTTCACCTAGACCAGCCTGAGTATTTTTCTTTCGGGTTTTTTTTTTTTTTTTTTTTGCTAGTTGCAAAATGAACATATTTATTATAAAAAAGTTGAAACATATTTGTTTTTTGAGGCAGGCTCTCGCTCTGTCACCCAGGCTGAAGTGCAGCGGCGTGATCATGCTATTGCAGCCTCATCTCCTGGGCTCAAGCAATCCTCCAACCTCTCAACCTCCCAAGTCGCTGGGACCTGACCTCAGGTGCATGCCACCATGCCCAGCTAATTCTTTTTACTTTTAGTAGAGACAACTTCTCACCATGTTGCCCCTAGACTGGTATGAACTCCTGGGCTCAAGCAGTTCTCCCACCCTGGCCTCCCAAAGTGTTGGGATTACAGGTGTGACCCACCATGCCTGGCTGAAACTTATGTTTTCTTTTCTCTTCTTTTTTTTTTTTTTTTTTGAGACGGAGTTTCCCTCTTGTTGCCCAGGCTGGAAATGGCGCGATCTCGGCTCACAGCAACCTCTGCCTCCCGGATTTAAGCGATTCTCCTGCTTCAGCCTCCCGAGTAGCTGGGATTACAGGCATGCACCACCATGCCTGGCTAATTTTGTATTTCTAGTAGAGATGGGGTTTCTCCATGTTGGTCAGGCTGGTCTTGAACTCCCGACCTCAGGTGATCCACCTGCCTTGGCCTCCCAAAGTGCTGGGATTACAGGCGTGAGCCACTGCACCTGGCCATGTTTTTTGAAAACAGAAAAAAGTGAGGAAATGAAATACAAATATAAATTTATATACATAAAATCCAGATTCCTAGTAAGGAAAATGATATAGTATGTCTTGAAATACTGGCTGTTCTGTTTGCTTAATTTTGTGATGAAGATTTAAGGCTGTTAGAGAAGCAGAGCTTGGTTTCTGATTTCATTACATGTCTATAAGTAACACTGATTAATAGTGAAGTGGGGTATGGGAACGGTAAAACAGCTATTATAACTAGACTGTCAGCAAAAATGCAAATTGATTAATGACATTTTATTTTTTATTTTGTTTGGAGACAGAGTGTCGCTATGTTTCCCAGGCTGGAATGCAGTGGCACTATCCTGGCTAACTCCAGCCTTGACCTCCTGGGTACAAGTTATCCTCTCACCTCAGTCTCCCGAGTAGTTGGGACTACAGGCACGTGCCAGAACACCCCACTAATTTTGTTTATTTTTTGTAGAGAGGAAGTCTCACTATGTTGCTCAGGCGGGTCTCCAATTCCTGGGCTCAAGTGATCCTCCCACCTCAGCCTCCCAAAATGCTGGGATTACAGGCCTGAGCCACTCTGCTCAGCTGACATTTTCAATCTTGTTATTAGATCACTCTTCCTCTTTTCTCTGAGCTCTGATAACTTTCCAAATTGTACTCATATCCACAGAGGCAACAACTTTGGGAGTTAGATTAATATCCAATCTTCCGGACTACACTGGGTCAAAATACAGCCTGACAAGTTTTTGAATTGTTTTTGAACTTAAGCAGTAAGGGACCAGGTCCAAATCTCTAAGTGAATTCCTGGTGGGATTCAAATAAAGTATACAGACAACTTAGCCATCTTTTGGAGAGCAGCTCAGTCTTTATTTCCCATCAGTTCAGAGTAGAACCCACGGTGAACTGTTTATATATCTCACCTAAGATTTAAAACTCTAATCTATTTTACCTACACCCTGATAAATGCTCTATTCAGTTGCAAATGCTTTATACTTTATATTTTGAAGTCAGGTGCTGAGCAGAGCACCCAAGCAACTGCCAGAGTGAGGACAGCTTCAAAAGGTAGCCACAGTGTGACTTCTAAGCTGAATATAATCAAACGAACTCCCTTTCATCCTGTTTTCTTCCAAACTCTCAGAACTACTATCGTTCCACACACAAAACAGCCAGGGTTGAAAACTGGAGCACAGAATTAGCATAAAGCTAACTTTAAATAAGCAGTTTTCTGCTGAGGTGGAAGGATATACCTAAGTAATTTCTAGCTCTAAAGATTTAGGTTAAATTTTGAATGCTACCAGCAAGTGGTAAATGAGAGTAAAGCAAAACTAATAAACCCTAGATGGTAACTGCTCTCAGGGCAGGAATTAACTGATCACCAGAACCAAACATAACACCTGGCCTATAGTAAGGAAGTAGTTGTTCACTTCAGTAAATGTTTGCTGAGTGAATTAAATATTTCACAGAAACCACAGATTCCTTAAAGGTCATCTAACCCAACTTCCCCATTTTATATATGAAAAAATAAAACTGAGGTGTAGAGACAATTTTAGCTTATCTGCTGTGACATTTTGAAGCAATGGCTTGTTGGTATGTTATTTGTCATGTGCAACGTAAAGCAGCATAATGGGTAAGATTATGAAGCCTCTCTGAGTTCTGGTTTTGCTACTTACTTGCTGCATGACTGTGGACACATCATTTAACCCATTTATGCCTAGTGTTCCATTACTGGAACGCTAAGCATGTGGGAGTTATTTATACCCTACTGCTCAAGGTCATCGCCAAGGTCTGATGCCAAAAATGTAAAAAATTGCAACCTCCGGCATATATATATATATATATATATATATATATATATATATATATATATATATATATTTTTTTTTTTTTTTTTTTTTGAGACAGAGTTTCACTCTTGTTGCCCAGGCTAGAGTGCAATGGCACGATCTTGGCTCACTGCAACCTCCGCCTCCCCCTCCGGGATCTTTTTGTTCCTTAGTTGTCTTATCTGCAAAATGGGAAACAGGTTGAGTACCCTTCATCCGAAATGCTTGGGACTTGGAAGTATTCTGGATTTCGGATTTTTTTTTCAGGTTTTGGGATATTTGCATTATACTTAATGATTAAGCCTCTCAAATCCGAAAATCTAAAATTCAAAATGCTCCAATTAGCATTTCCTTTGACCATCCTGTCAGTGCTCAAAAAGTTTTAAATTTTGGAGGATTTTGGATTTCTGGATTAAGGATACTCAACCTGTAATAACGGCACCTACCTCACACAGGTGTGACAAAGATTAGTTAATACACGTAAAACACTTGGAACAGTTACAGGCTTAGTAAACACTTCATAAATCTTGGCTATTCAAAGTCATTAACGGAGAGTTACTACTGAGTCTTTTTTCCTATGCAGATCCCAGGTTTTCATACTTACTATGAAAAAACCTCATGGGAAAAGTATTAATTCTCTCCATCTAACAGAGTCAGCAAGCTCCCACAGGAGAAAGAATCTGTTCAGGAGGAGGGCCAGTGCCTTCTATTAAGCACTTTACACTTTCCTTTTTTTTTTTTTTTTGAGACGGATTCTCGCTGTCACCCAGGCTGAAGTGCAGTGGCGCGATCTCGGCTCACTGCAAGCTCTGCCTCCTGGGTTCACGCCATTCTCCCGCCTCAGCCTCCCGAGTAGCTGGGACTACAGGCGCCCGCCACCACACCCGGCTAATTTTTTGTATTTTTTAGGAGAGACGGGGTTTCACCGTGTTAGCCAGGATGGTCTCGATCTCCTGACCTCGTGATCCGCCCGCCTCGGCCTCCCAAAGTGCTAGGATTACAGACGTGAGCCACCGCGCCCGGCCTACACTTTCATTTTAAGGTTCAATGATCTTAAGAAACACCCTGCCACCTTCGAAAAGTCTTTCTACCCTCAATGCCGAGCACAGAACCTGGGGCAGTGTTTCCACTGTGCTTCCAGTCCCGAGCATTTCGGATGAATGAATGATGAACAAACGACAGAACGCAGGGCGAGCAGCTCAGCAAAGGTCATGCAGGAGATAGAGAAGCGCTGTGTCATGAGTATTGGATCATTATGGATTTTTTTCTTTCTCATTGTGCAGATCTATTCGCACAACTCTATCTTCAACCAGTTTGCCAGGCCCACCGGAGGTGCCCAGTAAAATTTTGTCAAACAAATACTGATGATGAAGTATCCTGGGACTTGGCCCTGTCAGGTAAGTTGGGGCTGACAGTGGAGATCCTCACAGGAGAGTAACGATGCTTTGTGGACACAGATTGCTGTGTCCGAGCTAAGATGCTTAAACATTTACTTCATGTACGGCAGGGATGACCTCGCATTCATATATTTATGAATATAAATTCCTTTCCTTTCTAACAGATATATGCCTATTTTCTTAAAAAGAGTAATTCCTTAAAAGTTCCTACCCTAGTACAAAGGCAAATTATTACAAGTAATCATTAAATTCCATCATCAACAAATCGTTCCACTTCAAAACAGCTGGATTACAACCCAAACCAAATAGATGCCGCAGCTGTAACGGGGGGGGGGGGGGGCGGGAACGGGGCGGGGGTGGGCGTGGAGAAAAAGTGGCCAGAGAGGGGAGCGCTCAGAACACCAGCGGCTCCCAAGCTAACTCCTAGCCACTTTTCCCACCCAGCTGGGTCCCCAGGAAACTACGCCATCGGCGCTGTCCCACTGCGCAGGCGCCAGCCCTCGGCCCGCATGCGCACTCGGTCAAACCCGGCCTGGGGAAATTTCCTATCGCACGTCTGCTGCAGCAGTCTCCTGTTTCTCCTCCTACCTTCTCCATTTTTCTAGTCCCTGCAGGTAGGATCCTGGGGGTTAACTCCCTTTTCACCAAGCTCCCGAGGGCCCTCGACCCCTCGGCCTCTTACCTCAGCGGCTTTAGCACTTTCCCCTACAGCCCCACCCCCAGGACCAGCCTGAGTGGCTGCGCTCACCACGACGAGGACCGCGGCGTGTTCGCCCCCCAACAGACGGAGCCAGCGGCGAAGGCGGCGTGCGCGCGCCCGTGCCGTGGTGGGCGTGGCCGGGGCGGAGACGCGAGGAGGGGAGCAGAGAACGCGCTCGCGTAGAGGAATTCCGGGTCCTCCTCCTCGCCCTACCTTGGTTTACCTGCAGCCGCCTAGTCCTCTTCTCCTTCTCTTTGATGATTCAGGGCCTCGGCTTCCCTCACGATATTGCAGAAAGACACAGCTTTCCTCTTCCTCTCCAAACCACCTCGAAGCAGGGTTAAGTTGGTTATTCCTCTCTTTCCTTCCGAGCAGTCTCGTAGCGCAGGGCCATGTAGGACAGGTAGATGCTGCATTTGCTGTCTCCGCGACAACTGCCTGTTCTTCCGGAGCTCGTGGTCTGAGGGCCCGACTTTCATCTTAGTCTGTTTTTGTGGGGAACATTTTTTTTTTAAGCTTTTCCTTTGAAAGTCTTTTTTCGTTGAGAACTTTAGAGGCCTCGGGGAATAGGCCACTGGGTTGTGATGTCATCGAGTATTGCTAATGATGTGCCCTTTTCCTCCATCCATGTCGGTTTACCTTCTGTGTTGTTATTTCTCACGAAACCTCTTCTTGGTTCTGTAAGCGCACAACTCATCAATTATTATTTTATTTATTTTTTTGAGACGAAGTCTCGCTCTGTCGCCCAGGCTGGAGTGCAGTGGCGCGATCTCAGCTCACTGCAACCTCCGCCTCTCAGGCTTAAGCCATTCTCGTGCCTCAGCTTTCCCAGTAGTTGGGACTACAGGCGCCCGCCACCACACCCGGCTACTTTCTGTATTTTCAGTAGAGACGGGGTTTCATCATGTTGGCCTGGCTGGTCTCGAACTCCTGGCCTCAGATGATCCGCCTCGGCCTCCTAAAGTGCTGGGATTACAGACGTGAGCCACCGCGCCCACGTTGGCTTGAACATTAGTGTATTTAGTAAGGATCAACTTGTTTTCTTTGGAACTTTTAAGTATTTTGGGCTTCAAGACTATCTAAGCTGTACGTGGTAGGAATATTGGTTGAATTTAACCTCAGCTAGCCTGTAAGGAACCTTTGTTTCCTAAATTATTGATTCATTAAGTGATGTGACCAGAAGCTTGGCTTCGCAGTGAGCGATGTGCATTTTGTTGGGCAGTGGCCTGTGGAAATTGGATTCCCCCCTTCAGCAGTATGTTGGTCTGAGAACCATATTGGTTAAGTTGTTATTTTAACTGTGCTTTAACAGACAACTGGAACTGATTGTTTGGTATGAATTTCTAGCACCTCTAAAAGTACTTAGGGGCTTTTTTTTTTCTGGATGGTTAAGTGTATTAAATATCCCTCATTGTCTTAATTATCTTGCTAGATAGAAAGAGTTTGCTGGGCGCAGTGGCTCACGCCTGTAATCCCAGCACTTTGGGAGACTGAGGCGGGTGGATCACCTGA
The DNA here is from genome assembly GCF_000001405.40 of Homo sapiens. Taxonomy (NCBI): domain Eukaryota; kingdom Metazoa; phylum Chordata; class Mammalia; order Primates; family Hominidae; genus Homo; species Homo sapiens. The sequence continues at coordinate 72,214,608 of NC_000010.11, read as the reverse complement.
GGCCAGGAGTTCCAGACCAGCCTGGCCAACATGACGAAACCCCATCTCTACTAAAAATACAAAAAATTAGCCGGGGGTGGTGGCAGGGGCCTGTAATTCCAGCAACTGGGAAGGCTGAGGCAGGAGAATCGCTTAAACCCGGGAGGCAGAGGTTGCAGTGAGCTGAGATTGTGTCATTGCACTCCAGCCTGGGCAACAAGAGCAATACACCGTCTCAAAAAAAAAAAAAAAAAAAAAAAAAGAGATATTGTGCAAATGGTTAGATAACCACTGAAGTTTGCATTTTACTCATTAGGTTAAAGTAATAAAGAGACCTTTATTCTCTCTTTCAAAGCCATGGACAGGCTGTGTTTATATACGGGCATTTATAATGCCTTTTATTTTTAATCTCTCTTTTTTTTGTTGTTGTTGTTGTTTTTTGAGAGACAGGGTTTCGCCATGTTGCCCAGGCTGGTTTCAAACTCTTGGGCTCAAGCAGTCCTCCTTCCTCAACCTCCCAAAGTGCTGGGAGTACAGGTGTAAGCCACCATGCCTGGCCCTTTTCTCTTTCTCTTTTTCTTTTTCTTTTTTTAAGACGGAGTTGTGCTCTGTTGCCCAGGCTGGAGTGCAGTGGCGCGATCTTAGCTCACTGCAACTTCCGCCTCCTGGGTTCAAGAGATTCTCCTGCCTCAGCCTCCCGAGTAGCTGGGATTACAGGCACGTGCCACCATGCCTAGCTAATTTTTGTATTTTTAGTAGAGATGGGGTTTCACTATGTTGGTCAGGCTGGTCTTGAACTCCTGACCTTGTGATCTGCCTGCCTCGGCCTCCCAAAGTGCTGGGATTACAGGTGTGAGCCACCACACCTGGCCCTCTTTTTCTTTTTTTAGAGACGAGGTCTCACTATGTTCATAAGGCTGATCTTGAACTCCAGCCTCAACCAATCCTCCCACCTTGGCCTCCCAAAGTGCTGGGATTACAGATGTGAACCACTGCTCCCCTCCCTTCCTTCTTTTTTTTTTTTTTTTAAGAGTGTATGCCTTTTAATCATTTTTGGGGGGGGGGTGATAAATAGTTTACAAATTACTTTGCTGTCTAGAGTGAGCCAGTGTGGTAGAAAATGCAGCAATTAACCTAAACTGGTTTACAGATGGGAAATCCAATGGGAAATGGTGCTGCTTTTGTGTGGGAGATACTGTGAACTGATGCCCAATTCAGACCTGCATAATGGTTCAGACACTAGAGATAGGAGTTTTAATTCTCACTAAGAAAGGTAAGATGGTAATTATATTTTTCAGGGCATAATTGGAATATCATTTGGAGAAAGTGTCATGGAAGTTCTGCGTCCACAGCTTATAAGAATTGATGGCCGGAATTACAGGAAGAATCCAGTCCAAGAACAGACCTATCAACATGAAGAAGATGAAGAGGACTTCTATCAAGGTAATCCTAGTTGCTCTTTGGTCAGATAAGAAGTAAAATGTCCTGTGTATTGTAGGATCAATTTTTTGTTTGTTTTAATGTGTTTCTGTGTCAGCACTGAAATTTGAGATGTTTGGCCTCATATAGCTCCATTTATGTTCATGTCTAAGGGTACTGATGAGTTTGAGTTTAGCTGAAGTGTTTTTGGTTGCAATTTATAAGTTATGTTTCTTCTTTGTACAGAGGTTTAAATATCATAGAGAAATTTTAGTTGTTAATATTAACCATTAATATTCTATGACAAAATTAAGTTCCGTTGTAGAGTTGTAATTATTATTATTAATAATATTATTATTATTTGAGATGGAGTCTTGCTCTGTCACCTAGGCTGGAATGCAGTAATGTGATCTCCACTCACTGCAGCCTCCGCCTCCCAGGTTCAAGTGATTCTGGTGCCTCAGCCTCCTGAGTAGCTGGGATTACAGCCATGTGCCAGGATGCCCAGCTAATTTTTGTATTTTTAGTAGAGACAGGGTTTCACCATGTTGGCCAGGCTAGTCTCAAACTCCTGACCTCAAGTGATCCACCTGCCTTGGCCTCTCAAAGTGCTGGGATTACAGGCATGAGCTACCGCACTTGGCCCTAAAGTAATTATGTATAAATTTTTGAAATAAATGAACGTATGTATTTAGTCCATTGCCCAATAATGTTACCAAAATCCTCAGATGGTCATGTCCCTTTTGTAGAACATCGTGGTTTTTGCATGTAATCTACACACATCCTACTTTAAATCCTGTCTTATGATACATATAATACCTAATACAATGCAAATGCTCTGTAAATAGTTGTGGTACTGTATTGTTTTTTATTTTTTATTTATTATTATTAATTTTTGAGACAGAGTTTTGCTCTTGTCACCCAGGCTGGAGTGCAGTGGCGTGATCTGGGCTCTCTGCAACCTCTACCTCCCGGGTTCAAGCAATTCTCCTGCCTCATCTTCCCCAGTAGCTGGAACTACAGGTGCCTGCCACCACACCTGGCTAATTTTTGTATTTTTAGTTGAGATAGTGATTTGGGCTCTCTGCAGCCTCTACCTCCTGGGTTCAAGCAATTCTCCTGCCTCAGCTTCCCCAGTAGCTGGGACTACAGGTGCCTGCCACCACACCTGGCTAATTTTTGTATTTTTAGTTGAGATAGTGTTTCACCATGTTGGCCAGGGTGGCCTCAAACTCCTGACTTCGGGTGATCCTCTTGCCTTGGCCTCCCAAAGTGCTGAGATTACAGGCATGAGCCACCATGACCGGCCTGTATTGTTGTTTAATTTTTATTATTTTTATTGCTGTATTGTTATTTTACTGACTTTTTTCCAAGTAATTTTTTTTTTTGAGGCGGAGTCTTGCTTTGTCACCCAGGCTGGAGTGCAGTGGCGCGATCTCGGCTCACTGCAAGCTCTGCCTCCCGGATTCACGCCATTCTCCAGCCTCAGCCTCCTGAGTAGCTGGGACTACAGGTGCACACCACCATGCCTGGCTAATTTTTTATATTTTTAGTAGAGACGGGGTTTCACTGTGATAGCCAGGATGCTGGGATTACAGGCATGAGTCACCGTGCCCAGCCGTAATTTTTTTTTTAAGAGACAAGCGCATTCTGGAGTGCAGTGGCACGACCTTGGTTCACTGCAGCCTCACCTCCCGGGCTCAAATGATTCTCCCACATCATCTTCCTGAGTAGTGGGGACTTACAGGCATGTACCATCATGCCCAGCTAATCTTTGTAGAGATGAGGGGGTTTTACTTTGTTGCCCAGGCTGGATTTTTTTTTCAAATATTTTCAATCTGCAGTTGGTTGAATCCACAGATGGAGAATCCCTGGATATGGAGGGCCAACTGTATATAGAAACCTTTGATAAAGTTTAGTTTATTAATCAGGCACAGTAAGAGATTAATAACAATAACTAACAAAATAGAACAATTATAACAATACATTGTAATAAAAGTGATGTGAATGTGGTCTCTCTGTCTCATATCCAGTATCTTATTGTAGTAATAGTTTTGGACAGCAGTTAACTGCAAGTAATTGAAACCTTGGAAAGCGAAACCACAGATGGGGGGAACTACCGTATGCATATGCTACCTTCCCAGGGTTCCAAGACTGAAAGATTTAAAATAGTCATTATGTGTTTTTTTAAGGTTTATTTCCTATACGATCGGGTCAGAAGGAGTATCAGAGCAGTGTCATGGAATGTACAGTGTCCGGCTGTTCTTTATGCCTGTGTATTGCTTTTTTTAAACCTCAACAGCGGTTGACAGCTGAGGCGAAAGCTGTTGTCCACAGAGCAACATTGTTTCTGAGTGAGATGTGATGGTTTCTGTGCAGGCTCCATGGAGTGTGCTGATGAGCCCTGTGATGCCTACGAGGTGGAGCAGACCCCACAAGGATTCCGGTCTACTTTGAGGGCCCCCAGCTTGCTCTATAAGTGAGTCATGTCCCCAACAGTTTCATGGGAAGACACTTCCAGGAAACTCAGCGGGAAGTGGACCCTTTGGTCTTCCATACTTATTGCAGTGCTTGATTACTAATGATAAAATAGTGTAGTGTTATGTCCTGAAATGTCAAAGGACTGATTACAGATTAATTTCATTGTTCCACATGTATCACTAAGCTGATTTTGCCTCTTGTGTTAGGCCATTCTTGTGTTGCTATAAAGAAATACCTGAGGCTGGGTAATTTATAAAGAAAAGAGGTTTCGGCCAGGTGCGGTGGCTCACGCCTGTAATCCCAGCACTTCGGGAGGCTGAGGCGGGTGGATCACCTGAAGTCAGAAGTTCAAGACCAGCCTGGTCAACATGGCGAAACCCCGTCTCTACTAAATATACAAAAATTAGCCGGGTGTGGTGGCAGGCATCTGTAATCCCAGCTACTTGGGAGGCTGAGGCAGGAGAATCACTTGAACCTGGGAGGCAGAGGTTGCAGTGAGCCGAGATTGTGCCATTGCACTGCAGCCTGGGCAACAAGAGTGAAACTTAGTCTTAAAAAAAAAAAAAAAAAAGAAAAGAGGTTTCATTGGCTCATGACTCTACAGACAGTACAAGCATGGCACCAGCATCTGGGGAGGCCTCAGGGACCTTTTACTCTTGGCAGAAGCTGAAGTGGGAGCAGGCATGTCACATGGTGAAAGCAGGAGCAAAAACGATGGGAGGTGAGATGTCACACACTTTTAAACAACCAGATCTTGTGTGAGCTCACTCATCGCCAAGGAGATGGTGCTAAGCCATCATGAGGGATCCACCCCCATGATCCAAACACCTGCCACCAGGCCCCACTTCCAACACTGAGGGTTACATTTCAACATGAGATTTGGCAGGGACACAGATCCAAACCACATAACCTTTTATTTAATTTATTTAATTTATTTATTTATTTTGAGACAGAGTTTCGCTCTTTCGCCTAGGCAGGAGTGCAATGGGACGATCTTGGCTCACTGCAACCTCCGCCCTCAGGGTTCAAGCCATCCTCCTGCCTCAGCCTCCTGAGTAGCTGGGATAATAGGTGCCCACCACCATGCCTGGCTAATTTTTGTATTTTTAGTAGAGATGGGGTTTCGCCATGTTGGCTAGGCTGGTCTCGAACTACTGACCTCAGGTGATCCACCTGCCTCAGCTTCCCAAAGTGCCGGAATTATAGGTGTGAGCCACTGCACCCAGCCTATTTTTATTATTGTATTTTTGAGACAGGGTGTCGCACTGTTGCCAGGTTAGAGTGCAGTGGCACAATCTTGGCTCACTGCAGCCTTGACTGCCCGGGGTAAAGTGATCCTTTCACCTCAGCCTCCCAAGTAGCTGGAACCGGCACACACCACCAAGCCTGGCTAATTTTTTGAATTATTTGTAGAGATGGGGTTTTACTATGTTTCCCAGGCTGGTCTTGAACTCCTGGACAAAAGTGATCCTCCCACCTTGGTCTCCCAAAGTGTTGGGATGAGCCACTGTGCCCAACTACCATATCCCATATTACCTTTTAAATATCTCTTTTTTTTTTTTTTAAAGACAGGGCTTTGCTTTGTTACCCAGGCTGCAGTGCAGTGGTGCGATCTCGGCTCACTGTAGCCTTGACTTCCTGGGCTCAAGTGATCCTCCCACTTAAACCCCCCAAATAGCTGGGACTACAGGTGTGTGCCACCATGCCTGGCTAATTTTTTGTATTTTTGGTAGAGACAGGGTTTCTCCATATTGCCCAGGCCGGTCTTGAACTCTGGAACTCAAGCAGTCCACCCGCCTTGGCCTCCCAGTGGGCTGGCATTACAAGTGTGTTAAATATCTTTTGAATCTACCAGCTGTCTGTATCTTCACTGCTACCTCTCTGCCTTTTCTGTGGATTACTTAAAATAGCCTGCTTATTGGTCTCTACACACACACACACACAAACACACACACACACACATTTTTTTTGAGATGGAGTCTTACTCTGTCACCCAGGCTGGTGTGCAGTGGCATGATCTTGGCTCACTGCAACCTCCTCCCCTTTGGTTCAAACGATTTTCTTGCATCAGCTTCCTGAGTAGCTGGAACTACAGGCCTGCACTACTACACCTGGCTAATTTTTGTATTTTTAGTAGAGGTGGGGTTTTACCATGTTGGCCAGGCTGGTCTCGACCTCCTGACCTCAGGTGATCCACCTGCCTCGGCCTCCCAAAGTGTTGGGATTACAGGCGTGAGCCACCGCACCCGGCCACAAATGTTTTCATTTCATCCACCTTGATAGCATTCTGAAACACCTATTAAAGATAAAATTCTCCTGGAATATGACCAAATCAGGCTCTAGTGACATTTTTTCCTAAGAAACATGATTTTAGAAAGTTGTGGCTCAGTTTCCTGGAAAAAAAAAAAAAAAATCAGTGTAACAGGTCTTGGTGTGAATCTGCTGTTGCTAAGGTGTGTAAAAGTTCCTTGCATGATTCTGACTTGATAATCTTTTGATTTCTCTATATTCTAAGCACTCATTATGTGTCAAGTGACTTGCATGTTAAATTAGGTATTGGGTCTGATAAATCCTAATTAATAGGTAATATTTACTCGGAAGGCTGGGTGTGGTGGCTCATACCTGTAATCCCAGCACTTCGGGAGGCCAAGATGGGAGGATTGCTTGAGCCCATGAGTTGGAGACCACCCAGCTTGGGCAACATGGTGAGACCCTGTTTCTACAACAAAAAATAAAAATAAAAAAAATAAATTAGCCAGGCGTGGTAGTGAGTGCTTGTAGTCTCAGCTACTTGGTAGGTTGAGGCAGGAGTATTGCTGGAGCCCAGAAGTTCAAGGTTACAGTGAGCTATGATTGTGCCAATGTAATTCCACCTGGGCGACAGAGCAATATCCTGTGTCAAAAAAAAAAAAAATACTAAGATTTCTTTCTTGGGAATAATTTCTGTAGGCTTATTTGGATCAAGAAAGAAATTACCTGGCCAAACTAATTTATAATCAGAGCCTAATATTGTCAACACCTGTCCATGGGTTATGTCTCATGCTGTGGTTCTTAGCCTCAGGTGCACAGGAGAATCATCTGGGGAACTTCTGAAAATCCCAGGGCTTGGGTGCACCCCAGACCGATTAAATCAGAGTCTGTGGGAGCAGGACCCAGGTATCACTATTTGAAGCCCCCCAGGTGATTCCAGTGTATAGCCAAGACTGAGAACCACTTGACCTGGTAGGAATTTCCTCTTATGTATTCAACCAAGGAGTCACCTTGTCACTGCTTATTTGTATTATTGTAGCAAATATTTTATTTATTTTATTATTTTGAGACGGATTCTCACTCTGTTACTCGGGCTGGAGTGCAGTGGCACGATCTGGGCTCACTGCAATCTTTACCTCCCTGGTTTAAGTGATTCTCCTGCTTCGGCCTCCCGAGTAGCTGGGACTACAGGCATGCGCCACCACACCTGGCTAATTTTTTTGTGTTTTTGTTAGAGACGGGGTTTTGCCATGTTGGTCAGGCTGGTCTTGAACTCATGACCTCAGGTGATCTGCCTGCCTCGCCTCCCAAAGTGCTGGGATTACAGGCATGAACCACTGTGTCTGGCCTATAGTGAGTATTTTAGATTTTCCATGTAAACCTCTTTTCTGTCCAGTTATACTTTTAACTGAAAAGGTGCCAGTATAGGTTTAATGAGGATAGCATATGTCATGCCGCACACCTGTTGACTTTGATGGGGATGGCACCATGTTAGAGAGGCTGGGGAAGAGACCCAGAGCCAGCAAATGAGACAGAGGATTTATTGAGGGGACTTGCATAAAGGGTGGTGCTGTGGTGGTGGGCTGGACAGAACTTCAACTGCTTGGAAAAAGCATACAGTTTATATAACATTTCCACTTAGCACCCTGCCCCTAGCAGCCATCACCTGGCAACCTTTATTTAATCCAAAACAAAGGGCCTCAATCCTCTGTATGGCCTGGGTTCCATAAACGGGTCAGGGATTCAGATGTTCCTCATAGATAAAGGAATGAATCTCTGGGTTGGAATGAATCCAAGCCGGATTCCGTAGTTTGGAACTCTGAACACATAATTCCTTTTAGATCATAGGGTGATTCTCAGGTAGGCTTAAGTTATTACTGTCAGGGTCCTTCTCCCGGTATGCTTAATCTACTAACGTTAGGGGCATCTGCCCTACAGCATGGACTGTATGGAGCTCTGTGCCACTTATTGGGAAGCTCTTTCATATATGATCACATTTAATCCTTACGACAACCTTATGACAAATAGGTATTATTCATTCCATTTTAATTTAATTTAATGTTTATTTTTTTTTGAGACGGGAGTTTCGCTCTTGTTGCCCAGGCTGGAGTGCAATGGCATGATCTCGGCTCACCACAACCTCTGCCTCCCAGGTTCAAGAGATTATCCTGCCTCAGCCTCCCGAGTAGCTGGGATTATAGGCATGCGCCACCATGCCCGGCTAATTTTGTATTTTTAGTAGAGGTGGGGTTTCTCCATGTTGGTTAGGCTGGTTTCCAACTCCTGACCTCAGGTGATCCACCCGCCTCAGCCTTCCAAAGCACAGGGATTACAGGCGTGAGCCACCATGCCTGGCCTCTTTTTTTTTTTGTTTTTGAGACAGAGTCTCGCTCTGTCACCCAGGCTGGAGTGGAATGGCACAATCTCAGCTCACTGCAACCTCTGCCTCCTGGGTCCAAGTGATTCTCCCGCCTCAGCCTCCCGAGTAACTGGCATTACAGGCATCTGCCACCATGCCTGGGTAATTTTTGTATTTTTAGTAGAGATGGTGTTTCACCACGTTGGCCAGGCTGGTCTTGAACTCCTGACCTCAGGTGATCCACCCACCTTGGCCTCCCTGGGATTACAGGCGTGAGACACCACCCCCAGCCAAATTTAATTTAATTTTATTTAGTTATTTTTTTGAGACGGAGTCTCCCTCTGTCGCCCAGGCTGGAATGCAGTGGTGCGATCTCTGCTTACTGCAACCCCTGTCTCCCAGGTTCAAGCAATTCTCCTGCTCAGCCTTCCAAGTAGCTGGGATTACAGGCGCCCGCCACCACACCCTGCTATTTTTTTTTTTTTTTTTTGAGATGGAGTTTCACTCTTGTCACCCAGGCTGGAGTGCAGTGGTGTGATCTTGGCTCACTGCAACCTCTGCCTCCCGAGTTCAAGCAATCTCCTGCCTCAGCCTCCCGAGTAGTTGGGATTACAGGTACCTGTCACCACGCCTGGCTAATTTTTGTATTTTTAGTGGAGATGGGGTTTTACCATGTTGGCCAGGCTGGCCTCGATCTCCTCACCTCAGGTGATCCCCCCCACCTCGGCCTCGCAAAGTGCTGGGATTACAGGTGTGAGCCACCGCACCCGGCATTGAGCCACCTTGCCTGGCTTTGCTAATTTTTGTATTTTTGGTAGAGACAGGGTTTCGCCATGTTGGCCAGGCTGGTCTTGAACTCCTGACCTCAAGTGATTTGCCCGCCTCTGCCTCCCAAATTATGGGATTACAGGCATGAGCCACTGCACCTGGCCTATTTTTATTTTTTTAGAGACAGGATCTCACTTTGTCACCCAGGCCAGAGTGCCACTGTGTGATCATAGCTCACCATAGCCTTGAACTCCTGGGCTTAAGGGATCCTTCTGCGTCAGCCTCTCACTTCATTTTGATAAGTGAAGAAGTAGGCTTACAGTGGTTATATGAATTCCAAGGTTTGTTTGATTCTAAAGCCTTTTAAACCTCAACCACTTTGCTTTCTAAGGTGCTGAAGCCTAGATTATTAATAGCACTTTGAACCACTGCTTTTTGTGATAGGCTTGTTCACTAGCCACATAGTAACAAACTGGAGCCTGACAGAAAGCACTCCTAATTGGTAAGGTGGGAAAACAAAGACCTCACAGAGTTTGGTGCCCTACAATCTCTATCCCAACACACAGGAAAACCACTTGGAAATTACAGACTTCCAATCTTCCTCTAAACATCTTATTTTTAAAAACTGGCTTACTATAATAGATCTTAAGGGAAGTAATTGGGCTTTCTTATCCCACGCAAAAACTAACGAATAGTTTTAGACATAGTCATCCGTAGAATTGGGTACTGTAATTGAAGTCATAGAGGTTAAAATAACGTTGATGACAAGGAGTTCTTAACTTGATAGCCCTGTGATGGCCTCTTAGTGCTTTATAGACTCTGAAACTTCTCTCTTGGGATTCGGTAGTCTCATTCACTTGAACACATCAAACGACTGTGGGTTCCAGAAGATAACTTTGGATTGTCAGAATATTTATACTTGGAAGTCCAGGCAAGTAATGTAAATGAGTCAATAAGTGATTTAAGTGGGAGTGATGGGGATTGTGAGCTCATGTCCCGTCTTCATGGGGTAGTCGAGAGTTGGCTGTAGCTCGCTGTTGCCATGAGTCCTCAGATATTCTAATTTTTCTATTGAAAAAAATTGAAAAAAAAATTTATTTTTTGAGGCAGAGTCTCGTTCTTGTCGCCCAGGCTGGAGTATAGTGGTGCGATCTCAGCTTACTGCAACCTCCACCTCCCGGGTTCAAGTGATTCTCCTGCCTTAGCCTCCCAAGTAGCTGGGATTACAGGCACCCTGCTGTCACACCCAGTTAATTTTTGTATTTTTGTAGAGATGGGGTTTTGCCATGTTGGCCAGGCTGGTCTCGAACTCTTGACCTCAGGCAATCTGCCCACCTCAGCCTCCTGGAGTGCTGGGATTACAGGCGTGAGCCACTGCCGCCAGCCTAAAATATTTTTTTAGAGACGGGGTCTTACTCTGTTGCCCAGGCTGGTCTCAAACTCCTGGTCTCAAGCAGTTCTCCCACCTCAGTCTTTTGAGTAGCAGGGATTACAGGTGTGAGCCACTGCACCTGCTGGCCAGCTTTTCTTTCACTTTATTGCAGACCCAGATTTTAAATCTCATTTTGAGAAGCAAACGGGTGTTGGGCATGGTTTTTCTATCTCTGCATTGAATTGGCTATAGGGCCAAAAACTCATCTTTGCCAATGACTTTACTGCAGCATGTTCTAAAGCTAGATGACTTGTAATTTCTTCCGCAAATATTGAGCTTTTACTGAACTACTTTTCTGTAAGGGAGTATCTCTTGTCACAAAGGATTTAAACATAATGAGGTTCTTTATTTTGGTACATTTTGACTTAATCTTCTTTTAATTACTTTATGTTACAGGCATATAGTTGGAAAGAGAGGGGACACTAGGAAGAAAATAGAAATGGAGACCAAAACTTCTATTAGCATTCCTAAACCTGGACAAGACGGGGAAATTGGTGAGACTCAGTAGATATAAGTTACATTTGAAGTCACTTTTGCATGTTTATGGAATAATGTAACCAACTGCAGTGTTTAGTAACTATGTTTTCTGTGGGGTTCTAGCTATGGGCTTTTTCTTTTCTTTTTTTTTTTTTTTGAGACGGAGTTTTGCCCTTGTTACCCAGGCTAGAGTGCAGTGGTGTGATCTCGGCTCACTGCAACCTCCGCCTCCCGGAATCAAGCGATTCTCCTGCCTCAACCTCCCTAGTAGCTGGGATTACAGGCATGTGCCACCACGCCTGGCTAATTTTGTATTTTTAGTGGAGGCGGGGTTTCTCCATGTTGGTCAGGCTGGTCTCGAACTCCTGACCTCAGGTGATCCTCCCCTCTCGGCCTCCCAAAGTGTTGGGATTATAGACGTGAGCCACCGTGCCCGGCCAGCTATGGGCGTCTTTATGGTTTATCAGTACCAGTCTCCCAAATGAGGAAAGATGGAATTATATAACCTTATCTTGATTGAGTACCTGGGCCTTAATTTTATACTTTACCATACATTGATGGAATAAAGCTTCCAGATTTCACTGTGTATTAGGAGATTTCTTTTCATGCTTTGGTAACTTGAAATGGATTTGTGAATTGTTTCCAATTAGAATTAGAGAAAATCAATGAGATCAGTGAATATAAAATAAAGTTCAGCCTTTTCCATTGTGCTCTCAATTTTTTACCCTTGATTTTGTAGACTAGGAAGGAAATTATAAGAGTAATGATTAAAATAATATAACTTGACTCAAATAACTGTTCTGATAAGGAAAAATAGTTTAGCAGTATAAATCAAGTTAGAAAGTGTCTGTACCAAGCCTCAGTGTAAACCAAGGGCATAGGCTTTTGTTGTATGTACAATGGCTTTGAGTGAGGGGCATTGTTAGGACAAAACTGTAAACTCATTCTGGAAGGATGGAATTTTTTTTTTTTTTTTGAGACAGAGTCTTGCTGTGTTACCCAGGCTGGAGTGCTGAGGTGCAATCTCAGCTCACTGCAATCTCCGCTACCCAGGTTCAAGCGATTCTCCTGCCTCAGCCTCCCGAGTAGCTGGGACTACAGGTGTGTGCCACCAAACCCAGCTAATTTTTGTATTTTTTGGTAGAGACAGGGTTTCGCCATGTTGGCCAGGCTGGTCTCAAACTTCTGGCCTCAAGTGATCCACCCACCTTGGCCTTCTAAAGTGCTGGGATTACAGGCGTGAGCACCATGTCTGGCCGATGGAACTTTTTTAAAGTCAAAGAGTGCAGCAACCTCCAATAATTCATTAACCCATTTTCTTTTTCTTTTTTCATTTAAAAATTTTTATTTATTTTTTATCCAGACAGGATTTCACCATGTTGCCCAGGCTGATCTTGAATTTTTGGTTTGAAGTGATCTGCCTGCCTCAGCCTTCCAAGGTGCTGGAATTACAGGCATGAGACACCATGCCCGGCCTTTTAGTCCTTTATTTTATTTTATTTTATTTTTGGAGACAGAGTCTCTGTTGCCCAGGCTGGAGTGTAGTGGCATGATCACAGCTCAGTGTAGACTCTACCTCCTGGACTCAATCAATCCTCTCATCTCAGCCTTGCATAGCTGGGTCTACAGGAACACGCCACCACACCTGGCTAATTTATTTGTATTTTTTGTAGAGACAAGGTTTTGCCACATTGCTCAGGCTGGTCTTGAACTCCTGAGCTCAAGCGATCTGCCTGCCTTGGCCTCCCAAAGTGTTGGGGTTACAGGCAAGAGCATGTCGCCCAGGCTAGAGTTGATTGGCTCCATCATAGCTCACTGTAGCCTTGAACTCCTGGGCTCAAGCAATACTTTTCCCTCGGCCTTCCAAGTAGCTGGGACTACAGGCGCTTAGCACCATGCCCAGCTAATTTTTAATACTTTTTGTAGAGATGGGGTCTTGCTATGTTGCCCAGGCTGGCCTTGAACTCCTGGGCTTGAGCGATCCTCCTTGGCCTCCCAAAGTGCTGGGATTATAGACAAGAGTCACTGCGTCTAGCCCCATTTTCCATAAATGTTCATAGATTGTATTGTTTTTGCATAAAAAATTATAAGTACTCTTTTTCATTTTATGTTATGTGAGAATAATCACCTTGACTGGGGACAGTGGCATATACCTGTACTTCCAGCACTGTGGGAGATTGAGGTGGGAGGATCACTTGAGACCAGGAGCTCCAGGCTGCAGTGAACTGTGTTCATGCCACCACACTCCAGCCTGGGTGACAGAGTGAGACCCTGTCATACACACACACACAAAAGAATAATCACCTTGACAGCAGATAAGTAGCAATTGACTTTTTGGACAACAGTGCTGTCCCAAAGAGCTTTCTGTGTTGATGAGAATGTTCTATATCCATGCAGTGTAGCACAGGAGCCGCACGTGTCAGGTACTGGTCATGCGTATGACTTTGAGTACTTGAGATATTGCTAGTATGAAAGGAACTGAATTTTTTTTTCTGAATTTTTACTTTTACTGAATTCTGATTAATTTAACTAACTAGCTGCATGTGGGCTCCCATATTGGCCAGTGCAGTGACACAGTTTTCTCTAGGTAATGTCAACAAACTCTAGCATTAGAACTTTTAACAGCATTTGGAAGGACTTTTATTAAAGTAAATATTCAGTTTATTAGAATTATAAGTGCAAAATTTTATTTTCCTTGAGTTTTAACATTCAAGTTACAAATACCAAGGTCATTTTATAATTGCATTAAAAGTTACTTCATCTATTTTTTTTTTTTTTTGAGATGGAGTTTCGCTCTTGTTGCCCAGGCTGGAGTGCATTGGCATGATCTTGGCTTAGTGTAATCTTGGCTCAATGCAACCTCCACCTCCTGGTTTCAAGTGATTCTCCTGCCTCAGCCTACCAAGTAGTTGGGATTACAGACATGTGCCATCATGCCTGGCTACTTTTGTACTTTTAGTAGAGATGGGGTTTCTCCATGTTGATCAGGCTGGTCTCCAACTCCCGACCTCAGGTGCAGCCAGCCTCAGCCTCCCAAAGTGCTGGTATTACAGGTATGAGCCACTGCGCCCAGCCCTAATTTTTTCTGATTATAAAATTAATACATGCTTTCAAAAAAGAGAAAGCTTGCAGAAATTATATATAAGGTATACATGGAAGTCTCTTATAATACGAACCCCAAACATAATTGCTATTAACACTTGTTATATGTTCCCCATTTTTTCTATTTGTGTAGTAAGTTATATAATATTTTTTATTGCAGTAAAATTATAACGTGGTGTAAATGTGGAGACCCTAGCCATTTTAATATACTAGATTCATTCCAGAACTTATCCAGAAAAGGGTAGACAGGCTATAAAGACTCCATTTTAACTTAGCACAAATGTTGCAGTGTGAAAAACTAGTGTGTCAGGCTGGGCTTGGTGGCTCATGCCTGTAATCCCAACACTTTGGGAGGCCTAGGTGGGAGGATCACTTGAGCCCAGGTGTTCAAGGTCAGCCCGGGCAACATGGCAAAACCCCATCTCTACAAAAAAATACAAAAATTGGCTGGGTGTGGTGGCACATGCTTGTAGTCTCAGCTACTTGGGAGGCTGAGGTGGGAGGATCTTTTTATCTGGGAAAGTCGAGGCTACAGTGAGCCAATCGCACCAGTGCACTCCCTCCTGGGTGACAGAGCGAGACTGTCTCAAAACAAACAAAAAAACAGAAAACAAAGAAGAGAAAATAAAAACTAGGCAGGCGTGTTAGCTCATGCCGGGGTGGGCGGATCATGAGGTCAGGAGATTGAGACCATCCTGGCTAACACGGTGAAATCCCGTCTCTGCTAAAAATACAAAAAATTAGCCGGCCAGGCCCAGTGGCTCACGCCTGTAATCCCAGCACTTTGGGAGGCCGAGGAGGGCACATCACAAAGTCAGGAGTTTGAGACCAGTCTGACCAACATGGTGAAACCCTGTCTCTGCTGAAAATACAAAAATTAGCAGGGCATGGTGGTGCACACCTGTAATCCCAGCTACTCAGGAGGCTGAGGCAGGAGAGTTGCTTGAACCCGGGAGGCGGAGGTTGCAGTGAGCCGAGATCGTGCCACTGCACTCCAGCCTGGGAAACAGAGTGAGACTCTGTCTCAAAAAAAAAAAAAAAAAAAAAAAAATTAGCTGGGTGTGATGGCATACACCCGTATTCCCAGCTACTTGGGAGGCTGAGGCAGGAGAATTGTTTGAACCTGGGAGATGGAGGTTGCAGTGAGCCGAGATCGTGCCACTGCACTCCAGCCTGGGCGACAGAGCAAGACTCCATCTCAAAAAATAAAAATAAACATACAAAATTAGCTGGGTGTGGTGGCTCACACCTGTAATCCTAGCATTTTGGGAGGCCAAGTTGGGTGGATCACAAGGTCAAGATTTTGAGACCAGCCTGGCCAACATGATGAAACCCTGTCTCTCCTAAGAATACAAAAATTAGCCAGGTGTGGTGGCACGTGCCTGTAATCCCAGCTACTCAGGAGGCTGAGGCAGGAGAATCGCTTGAACCTGGGAGGCGGAGGTTGCAGTGAGCCGAGATTGTACCACTGCACTGCAGCCTGGGTGACAGAGCAAGACTCTCTTGAAAATAAAATAAATAAACTGGCTTATTGATCTTGTAGAGAAGTAAAGTATATAGAAAAACCAAATGTATTGGTTAGAGTAAATTGAATTGTGATGTGAAGTCAAGTCTGCAGTTGCATTCGTGTGATATTTGCTCTGATTTACCCATTTCTTTTGTGTCTCCTAAATTAGAGAAATCAGAGAAGGAAATGATCTGGTAGCTTTTAATCCTCTAGACAAGGATCTGGTCTTGTCTGTTTTGAAATCTCAGGCAATGGAACATCAGAAGCTTCTCCACCTCCAACCACTGTAGAGACAGAGTTTCAGTAAATTGCCTAGGCTGTCTGGAACTCCTGGCCTCAGGCAATCCTCCTGCCTTGGCCTTTGCCCCAGAGTGCTGGGATTACAGGCATGAGCATGCCTTGCCTTCTTTCTTTCTTTTCTTTCCTTCCTTCCCTTCCCTTCCCTTCCCTTCCCTTCCCTCCCCTCCCCCTCCCCTCCCCTCCCCTCCCCTCCCCTCTCCTCCCCTCCCCCTCCCCTCCCCTCCCCTCCCCTCCCTCCTCACCCCTTCCATCTGCTCCCTTCCCTCCCCTCCCCTCCTCTCCCTCCTCACCCCTTCCATCTGCTCCCTTCCCTCCCCTCCCCTCCCTCCTCACCCCTTCCATCTGCTCCCTTCCCTCCCCTCCCCTCCCTCCTCACCCGTTCCGTCCCCTCCCCCTTCCCCTCCCCTCTCCCTCCCCCCTCCCCTCCCCTCTCCCTCCCCCCTCCCCTTCCCTTCCTCGTTCCCCCTCCCCCCTCCCCTCCCCTTCCCTGCTCCCCCTTCCCTTCCCTTCCCTTCCCTTTTTCTTTCTCGGTTTTTACTTATTTTGGGTATCCCTAAGGGTAGAATTTCTGGGTTATATGGTAAGTCTATGTTCAACTTTATTTATTTATTTATTTATTTATTTATTTTGAGACAGGGTCTAGCTCTGTTGCCCATGCTGGAGTGCAGTGGCGTGATCTCAGTTCACTGGAACTTCCAGCTTGCTAGTTCAAGCCATTGTTGTGCCTCAGCTTCCCAAGTAGCTGGGATTACAGACATGTGACACCACACCCAGCTAATTTTTGTATTTTTAGTAGAGATGGGGTTTTGCCATATTGGCCAGGCTGGTCTTGAACTCCTGACCTCAAGTGATCTGCCCACCTCAGCCTCCCAAAGTGTTGGGATTACAGGCGTGAGCCACTGCACCCAGCTATGTTCAACTTTTTAAGGAATTACCAAACTTTTTCATAGTGACTACACCATTTTACATTCCTACTAGCAAGGGTTTGCTTTGTAGTACTTGAATTCATTTTTCTACTTTATAAGCTGTCTTAAGGATATTCTTTTTTTTTTTTTTTTTTTTTTTTTGAGATAGAGTCTTGCTCTATTGCCCAGGCTGGAGTGCAGTAGCACGATCTTGGCTCACTGCAAGCTCCACCTCCTGGGTTCCCTCCATCCGTGCCTTAGCCTTCCGAGTAGCTGGGACTACAGGCGCCCGCCACCAGGCTGGCTAATTTTTTGTATTTTTAGTAGAGGTGGGGTTTCACTGTGTTAGCCAGGATGGTCTCGATCTCCTGACCTCGTGATCCACCTGTCTCGGCCTCCCAAAGTGCTGGGATTACAGGAATGAGCCACCGTGCCCGGCCAAGGATATTCTATTTTTAAGCCTCATTCTGCTTACATTGAATTAATTAGCAGTTTTCTTATATTTGTTATTGTCCCCTGTTTAGATTCATATACGCATTCAGAACTGCTTTAGCTCCTCAGAGGTGACAGTATCAAGAGGTCCTGTTTTATAAGCATTTGGGGGTCCTTGAGCAGTTTACCCTTTCTTCTTTGTTTACAGTAATCACTGGCCAGCATCGAAATGGTGTAATTTCAGCCCGAACACGGATTGATGTTCTTTTGGACACTTTTCGAAGAAAGCAGCCCTTCACTCACTTCCTTGCCTTTTTCCTCAATGAAGTTGAGGTTCAGGAAGGATTCCTGAGATTCCAGGAGGAAGTACTGGCGAAGTGCTCCATGGTAAGTGCAAACAAAGCAAGAAGGTTAAAAAAAAAGTTAAATATAAAAAGAATACAAAAATGGTTCATAAATCAAACAGTAGGGAGTTATAAACTTCTTCCCCCACCAAAAAAGATAACTATTTCTTTTGGCTTCTTATATTGAACTGAAAAAAAAAGTGTATGGACATATCAGCTCATAAGTTTCTATATATTACAGAAATGTCTTTAAAAAATTTTAACACATATCGGGCCAGGCGCAGTGGCTCATGCCTGTAATCCCAGCACATTGGGAGGCCGAGGTAGGCAGATCACTTGAGGTCAGGCGTTCAAGACCAGCCTGGGCAACATGGTGAAACCCCGTCTCTACTAAAAATACAAAAAAAATTAGCTGGGTGAGGTGGCATGTGCCTGTAATCCCAGTTACTTGGGAGGCTGAGGCAGGAGAATTGCTTGAACTTGGGAGATGGGGGTTGCAGTGAGCCAAGATCGTGCCACTGCAGTCCAGCCTGGGAGACAGAGTGAGATGCTGTCTCAAAAAAAAAAAAAAAAAGATTTAAGACACAAATGGCTCATCCTAATAGACACACTATTCTGCATCTTTTGGGTGGTAATGTTAATGAGATGCCATTATCTGTAGATCTTCTGACTTTGGGCGGTCATGGCTCATTTGGGATTAGTAACTAAAAGACAAATTTGCATGTAGAATTGCCATACTTAGATAACAGTGAAATGCTTGTGACCAGGATAATAGCAGATAATCCAGATTAGAAAACAAGTTTTAAACTCATTTTGGATATCAGTTAGTTGATTTTAAAAAATGTATATTGATTCAAAAAAGTATGAAAGCAATATGTTTATTATAGAAAATTTAGAAAATACAGAAAAGATTAATAAAAAATCATCCATAATTCCACTACTGAGAGATGCTGTTACATGATTGCTATATATGTGTGTGTATCAATGTGTCTGTACACTCACATACTTTTTTTTTTTTTGAGACAGCGTTTCACTCTTGTTGCCCAGGCTGGAGTGCAATGGCTCGATCTTGGCTCACTGCAACCTCTGCATCCCGGGTTCAAGCAATTCTCCTATCTCAGCCTCCTGAGTAGCTAGGATTACAGGCATGCGCCACCATACCCGGCTAATTTTGTATTTTCAGTAGAGACAGGGTTTCTCCATGTTGGTCAGGCTGGTCAGTCTCGAACTCCTGACTTCATTGCATGCCGGCCTGGGGAAGAAGAGTAAAAATCCATCTCAAAAAAAAAATAAATAAAATAAAATAAAATTTAGCTTGTATATAATCTTATATTCTAGTTTTTTTGAAAGCGTAATCATTCTACCATGAACATTGTTTTGTCATTGAAGAAAGACCTAAATCTTGGCTGGCATGTTGGCTCATGCCTCTAATCACAACACTTTGTGGAGGGCTGAGGCAGGTAGATTGCTTGAGCTTGGGAGTTTGAGACCAACTTGGGTAACATAGCAGCAAAACCCTGTCTCTACAAAAAATACAAAAATTATCCAGGCATGATGGTGTGTGCTTGTAGTCACAGTCACTTGGGAGCTGAGGTGGGAGAATGGCTTGAGCCTAGGAGGTGGAGGTGTCAGTGAACTGAGATTGTATTATTGCACTCCAGCCTGGGCAATGGAGCCAGACCCTGTCTCAAAAAAAAAAAAAAAAAAAAAAAAACACAGCAAAAAACACACAAAACCTAAAAAACCCACAAAACCTACTTCGTGAGAACAAGTAGGAAATTATAGCAGTGATGACTAAAATAACATAATCTGGGCCGGGCATGGTGGCTCACACCTGTAATACCAGCACTTTGGGAGGCTGAGGTGGGTTGATCACCTGAGGTCAGGAGTTTGAGACCAGCCTGACCAACATGGAGAAACCCCGTCTCTACTAAAAATACAAAATTATCCGGGCCTGGTGGCGCATATCTGTAATCCTAGCTACTTGAGAGGCTGAGGCAGGAGAATCGCTTGAACCTGGGAGGCTGAGGTTGCGGTGAGCCGAGATCGCACCTTTGCCCTCCAGCCTGGGCAACAAGAGCGAAACTTGTCTCAAAAACAAAAAACAAACAAAAACAAAACAAAACAAAAATCTGATTTCATTAACTGTTCAGGTGATTTGGTTTCGTAATGGCTACCTACTGTTCTATTATATGGATATGTAATTATTTAACTTTTTTAATTTCTATTTTGTTATGAGTGCTGAATACATTTTTCTGCACTAGTGGGTTATTTTACTTATACTGTTTATTTTACATATACTGTTTTTTCACTAGAAGTGAAAAAACAGTATATGTGGATGTATGAATTTTTCAACATGTATAGACATCCAGATTACCTTCAGGAAATCTTATAGCACTTTATGCTCCAAACTAGAGTTTTCTTTAGGTTTCCTTTCCCACTTTTGCCAGTACTGGATGTTATCATTCTTTTAAGGTTTTTGGTTTTTTTTTTTTTGTATTTCAGTTGACAAAAAATACTGTGTCATTGCTTTACTGTTTATTTATTCAATTATTTGTGAGATAAAGCATTTTCCTGTATTTTGTTTATTCATGTCTTGGCCCATTTTTCTTTGGGAGTGTTCTTTTTAAAAATTTATTTGTAGGAGCATCATATATATTAAGAACATCAGGCCAGGTGCAGGGGCTCATGCCCGTAATCCCAGCACTTTGGGAGGCTGAGGCGGGCAGATCACGAGGTCAGGAGATGAAGACCATCCTGGCTAACATGGTGAAACCCCGTCTCTAGATTGAGACCATCCTGGCTAACATGGTGAAACCCCGTCTCTACTAAAAATACAAAAAAAAAAAAAATTAGCCGGGTGTGGTGGCGGGCACCTGTAGCCCCAGTTACTCGTGAGGCTGAGGCAGGAGAGTGACGTGAATCCGGGAGGTGGAGCTTGCGGTGAGCAGAGATCGCACCACTGCGCTCCAACCTGGGCGACAGTGATGTCTCAAAAAAAAAAAAAAAAATCAGTATTATTTCATAATTTACATTTAGCTTTTTAGTTAATTTAGAATATGTTTTGATATACAGTAAGAGGTAAGACTTTAACTTTTTAAACCCCTATTTAGCCAATTATCCTCTGAAGAATTAAATTTTTTCAATTTTATCTTCAACATTATTATAATTAAAATGGACTTTTTTGGGGTATACATGTCTATGAATTCTAAAACATGTTTAGATTTCTGTAACTACCACAACAATTAGGATACAGAATAGTTCCACCCCAAAAACTCCCTCATGCTCTCCCTTTATAGTCACCTCTTGCTCACCCACAACCCCTGGCAATCACTGAGCTCTTCTTCACCGTAGTTTTATCATGTGTGTGTGTGGTGTGTGTGTGTGTGTGTGTGTGTGTGTGTGTGTTTTGTTTATTATTTGTAGTTTTGTCTTTTTGAGAATGTCATATAGATGGAATCATACAGTAGGTAACTGGCTTCTTTCACTCAACATAGTGCTTTTGAGATTCATCCAAGTTGTGTGTGTCTCAGGAGTTTGTTCCTTACTATTTCTGGGTAATATTCTACTTTATGGATATGCTACAATTTGTTTCTCCATTCACCCATTGGAGGACACTTGGGTTTTTGCAGTTTTTGGCAACTATGATTAGAACTGCTGTAAACATTTGTGTATGGGTTTTTGTGCGAACCTAAGTTTTCATTTCTTTACAGTAAAATACCCAGGAATGGGGTTGCTGTGATGTATGGTAGGTGTATATTTAACTTTATAAAACACTGCCAAACTGTTTTTCAGAATGCATGTACTGTTTTGCATTCCCAACAGCAATTTATGAGAATTCCAGTTGTTCTCCATCCTCACTAGCATTTGATATTATCACTATTTGTTATTTTTGCTATTCTAATAGCTGTGTAGTGACATCTTATTGTGGTTTTGATTTACATTTCTTTAATGGCTAATGATGTTGAACATTTTTTCATGTGCTTTTTTTGCCATCCTTATATTATCTTTGGTAAGGTGTCTGTTCATGTCTTTTGCCTGTTTTACAATTGGGTTGTTTGGCGGGGGGCAGTGCCCCATGCCTGTGATCCCAGCACTTTGGGAGATGGAGGTGGGTGGATCACTTGAGGCCAGGAGTTTGAGACGAGCCTTGCCAACAGGGTGAAATCCGATCTCTACTAAAAATACAAAAATTAGCCAGGCACGGTGGTGTACATCTGTAATCCCAGCTACTCGGGAGGCTGAGGCACGAGAATCACTGGATCCCAGGAGATGGAGGTTGCAGTGAGCCAAGATGGTGCCACTGCACTCCAGCATGGGTGACAAAGTGAGACTGTCTCAACAAACAACAACAATTGGGTTGTTCTCTTTTCTTCTTTCTTTCTTTTTTTTTTTTTTTGAGACGGAGTCTCGCCCTGTCACTCAGGCTGGAGTTCTATGGCTCGATCTTGGCTCACTGCAACCTTCGCCTCCTGGCTTCAAGCGATTCTTCTGGCACAGCTTCCCAAGTAGCTGGGATTACAGGCATGCATCACCATGCCCGGCTAATTTTTTGTATCTTTAGTGGAGATGGGGTTTCACCATATTGGCCAGGCCGGTCTTGAACTCCTGACCTCGTGATCCACCTGCCTCAGCCTCCCAAAGTGCTGGGATTACAGGCGTGAGCCACTGTGCCCTGCCAGATTGTTTCCTTATCATTGAGTTTTTAGGGTTCTTTATGTATATTGTTGATACAAGTCCTTTTGAGGATATGTGATTTGCAGATATTTTCTCCTAATCTGTAGCTTGTCTTTTCATTCTCTTATTCGTGTCTTTTGTAGAGCAAAAGTTTTAAATTTTGATAAAGTCTAGTTTATTTTTTTTTTATGGGTTGTACTCTTAATGTTATGTCTAAAAAATCTTTTCCTGGCCGGCGTGGTGGTTCATGCCTGTGATCCTAGCACTTTGGGAGGCCGAGGTGGGTGGATCACTTGAGGTCAGGAGTTCGAGACCAGCCTGGCCAGCGTGGTGAAGCCCCGTCTCTACTAAAAATACAAAAAATTAGCTGGGCATGGTGGCGGGCACCTGTAATCCCAGCTACTAGGGAGGCTGAGGCAGGAGAATTGCTTGAACCTGGGAGGCGGAGGTTGCAGTGAGCCGAGATCACGCCATTGTACTGTAGCCTGGGCAACCAGTGAAATTCCATCTCAAAAAAAAAGAAAATTTTTTTTCCTAACCCTCAAATATGAAGGTTTTCTTTTTAGAATGTTTATGGTTTTGGTTTTTTATATTTAGATCTATGATTCAGTAATTTTTTTGTACGAGATGCAATATTTAGGTCATGGTTCATTTTTTTACATATGTATGTCCATGCTATACTTTTTTTTTCTTTTAAAGAATTTATTTTAAACCTATTATACCACATAGTATGTTTTATACACTGATATATAACTCCCTAATAAGATAAAGCAAAGACAAAAATGTTTATCTTATTAGAAACAAGATACAACAGCCAGGCGCGGTGGCTCATGCCTGTAATCCCAGCACTTTGGGAGGCCGAGGTGGGTGGATCACGAGGTCAGGGGTTTGAGACCAGCCTGACCAACATGGTGAAACCTCGTCTCTACTAAAAATACAAAAAAAAAAAAAATTAGCTGGGCATGGTGGCGGGCGCCTGTAATCCCAGCTACTCGGGAGGCTGAGGCAGGAGAATCGCTTGAACCTGGGAGGCGGAGGTAGCAGTGAGCCGAGATCGCGCCACTGCACTCCAGCCTGGGCGACAGAGCGAGACTCTGTCTCAAAAAAAAAGAAACAAGATACACCACCGCTTACTGTCTTCAAACATTATTGCACTTTAACTTCCTTTTTTTTTTTTTTTTGAGACGGCGTCTCGCTCTGTCGCCAAGGCTGGAGTGCAATGGCGCGATCTTGGCTCACGGCAACCTCCGCCTCCCGGGTTCAAGCGATTCTCCTGCCTCAGCCTATAGAGTAGCTGGGACTACAGGCACCTGCCACCACGCCCAGCGAATTTTTATATTTTTAATAGAGATGGGGTTTCACCATGTTGGCCAGGATGGTCTCGATCTCTTGACCTCGTGATCTGTCTTCCTCGGCTTCCCAAAGTGCTGGGATTACAGGCGTGAGCCACCGTGCCCGGCCTTCACTTTAACTGTCTTAATTTGACAAAGCATTCATTAAATAATTTGCAGACTAGCTTTAACAGACAAATAACACCTGTAAGCACACATGACTGTCTTAAATTGTTTATTAGGTATGAATTTTACAAACTTTACTTATATTAGCGATAATGGTGGAGCTGGAGAGTATTGCGCCTTCTCCAAGCTGCCCTGCGAGAACCACCAATAGTGTGGTGGAACTTATGGCCCTTTCCAAGGCCACGGCTCTTTCGGCCTGCAGATGTCAGCCCACGCATCTCCCTGTGGTTGTGGACTGGTTTGGTGATCCACTGGGTGTCAGGATTTCTTCTGATAGCTTTATGGACTGGATCAATGAGGATAACCTCAAAAAATTTGTATGTGGAATCTTCACCAATCCAATATTTAAGTCATAGATCTAAATATAAATTCAGGACTCTCAGAACTCCACAGTGACATCCAGCTCATTCCTCTGCAACAGATTGAAGGCTTCAGGCAAACTTTAGCTAGTTAACACCATGATGGACAGGCTTGCCGTAAGTTGCACCCTTAGGAACTGGGTGTTTTCGGCCACCACAGCGAACATGAATCCTATATATAATGTAACCTTGCTTGGTCTTGCAGCCCAGTTGCTGCGCTTTATCAGGCTGGGTGGGGTGGGGAGCACTGTGGAGGGCAGAGAGCTGGCGGTACTGCCAGCAGTGGACCCTCAGAAGAAAGCACATGACATCAGACTGTTTCTTTCTCCGTAGCTCCTGGATATACTTGTGTGCACTTGTCTTGGCTTACCTGATGGCTGCCGCCAGACAGAAAGGCTGTACTTTCTTAATCTTATAGTGAAGACAGAAATAAAAGCATTTGGAATAAAATAGAACAATGGTTCATGTCTTTGGTTCTTTTTTTTTTTTTTTTTTTTTGAGATGGAGTTTCGCTCTTGTTGCCCAGGCAGGAATGCAGTGGTGCGATCTCGGCTCACTGCAACCTCCGCCTCCCAGATTCAAGCGATTCTCCTGCCTCAACCTCTCAAGTAGCTGGGATTACAGGCATGCGCCACCATGCCCAGCTAATTTTGTAGTTTTAATAGAGATGGGGTTTCTCCATATTGGTCAGGCTGGTCTCAAACTCCTGACCTCAGGTGATCCACCTGTCTTGGCCTCCCAAAGTGCTAGGATTACAGGTGTGAGCCACCCCACCCGAACAGTATCTTTGGTTCTTCAGACAGATGGACTTAGTTCTGATTTTGAGTTCTTCAGTCTATGTGGACTTGGACAAATGAACTTCTCCAAATATTTTTTTATTTTTATTTTTTTTTGAGATGGAGTCTTGCTCTGTTGCCCAGGCTAGAGTGCAGTGGCTCGATCTCTGCTTACTGCAAGCTCTGCCTCCCAGGTTTGCGCCATTCTCCTGCCTCAGCCTCCCGAGTAGCTGGGACCACAGGCGCCCGCCACCCCGCCCGGCTAATTTTTTTTTTTTTTGTATTTTTAGTAGAGATGGGGTTTCACCGTGTTAGCCAGAATGGTCTCGATCTCCTGACTTCATGATCCGCCCGCCTCGGCCTCCCAAAGGGCTGGTATTACAGCCGTGAGCCACTGCGCCTGGCCTAACTTCTCCAAATCTTTATAGCCTACTTGGGAGGGTTGTAGGAAGGATTAAATGAGAGACACGCTGGATGAGGTAGCTTAGGCCTTCTAATCTCAGCACTTTGGGAGGCCGAGGCTGGAGGATTGCTTGAGCCCAGGAGTTCAAGACTGCCCTGGGCAATTTAGGGAGACCCTGTCTCTACAGCAGATAAAAAATTAGCTCGCAGTGGTGGCACATATCTGTAGTTTTAACTACTCGGGAGGCTGAGGTGGGAGGATGCTTAAGCCCAGGAGGTCAAGCCTGTAGTGAGCCATGATTGTGCACTACTAGCCTGGGTGACAGAGTGAGACCCTGTCTCAAAATAAATATATGAGATGACATAAAGAACTCAGCATGGTACTTGATACATAATAAGCATTTAATAAATGGTAGTTGCTACTCCTGCTATACTTTACTGCGAGTTAAAGTTGTTAGTATTATTTGGAGTGTGAAGAGTAGATAAAGGGTAGCTTTGAAAGTTGTGGCAAAGTGAAAATGTTTTGGGTGAAAACTTTTACAAGATCTTTTCTTCTTTCTTTCCTTCCTTACTTCCCTTCCCTTTCCCTTTCTCCTTTTCCTTTTCTTTTCCTTTTTTCGATCAGGTTCATATTGCTAAAGGTAGTCTTAGGTGTTAGAATACAGTGAGAGATGGATATGCAGTGTTAGAAGTATTAGAAACCAGGTCGGGCGTGGTGGCTCATGCCTGTAATCCCAGCACTTTGGGAGGCCGAGGTGGGTGGATCACTTGAGGTCAGGAGTTCGAGACCAGCCTGGCCAAAATAGTGAAACCCCATCTCTACTAAAAATACAAAAATTAGCTGGGCGTGGTGGTGTGCACCTGTAAACCCAACTACTTGGGAGGCTGAGGCAGGAGAATCGCTTGAACCCAGAAGGTAGAGGCTGCAGTGAGCCACAATCATGCCACTGCACTCCAGCCTGACAGAGCGAGACTGTCTCAAAAAAAAAAAAAAAAAAAAAGAAGAAGTATTAGAAACCAAGTACTTTTGTGGTGTATGGGGTGAGAATTAGTAAAATTGCTTATTTATGAAGAGGGCTATGTAGGTGAATAGATTCAGATTGGGCACATACAAGAGATGGCCTGAGCTTAGTGTAGAATTGTAAAACCAATTTTTTTTTTCTTTTTTTTGAGACAGACTCTCACTCTGTCACCCAGGCTGAAGTGCAGTGGTTTGATCTCGGCTCACTGCAGGCTCTGCCTCCTGGGTTCAAGCGATTCTCCTGCCTTAGCCTCTCGAGTAGCTGGGACTACAGATGCCCACCACCTCTAACTGTAAAAAGTCAGTTTTAATAAGTTTAATCAGCCACACCTGGTTGATTTTTGTATTTGTAAAACCAGTTTTTTTTTTTTTTTTTTTTTTTGAGACGGATTCTCGCTCTGTCACCCAGGCTGGAGTGCAGTGGCGTGATCTCGGCTCACTGCAAGCTCCGTCTCCCGGGTTCTCGCCATTCTCCTGTCTCAGCTTCCCGAGTAGCTGGGACTACAGGCGCTCGCCACTGTGCCCGGCTAATTTTTTGTATTTTTAGTAGAGACAGGGTTTCACCGTGTTAGCCAGGATGGTCTCTATCTCCTGACCTCGTGATCCGCCTGGCCCAGCCTCCCAAAGTGCTGGGATTACAGGCGTGAGCCACCGCGCCCGGCCTAAGAGAAGGGGTTTCACTGTGTTAGCCGTCATGGTCTCGATCTCCTGACCTTGTGATCCACCCGCCTCGGCCTCCCAAAGTGCTGGGATTACAGGCGTGAGCCACTGTGCCCGGCCTTGTAAAACTAGTTTTTAAGTGACTAACTTTGCATTTATGTACTTAAATAAGGCCATATCTATGAGGAAAATACATATATGTGGATGTTAATATCACTGAACCATCAGAAAATCATTTTTCTCCTTAACATTTCATAACAAGATGACTTCGTTCTTAGTGGGAATGGAGGGTGGGGTAGGAGATCAGGAACGCTGAGGTTTCAGTATAGCC
This sequence comes from Homo sapiens, assembly GCF_000001405.40. NCBI lineage: Eukaryota > Metazoa > Chordata > Mammalia > Primates > Hominidae > Homo > Homo sapiens. The sequence continues at coordinate 72,187,110 of NC_000010.11, read as the reverse complement.
CAGTACTGTTTTGGGGAGTAGGGGCTAAGTTTTGAAATTATTTTAACTGGTAAATGCAAACTAGTTGAAGCTCAGTCATTGTATATATTCTTTGGAAGGATACAAATACCAGGTATAAGACAAGCAGATGTGTAATAAGTTAGTCTTTTTTTTTTTTTTTTCTGGGCATGTGCATGTGCATCCGCTTTCTTCCTTTTTTTTTTTTTTGGCTGCTGACATGGCTGACAGGGAACAAACACTGGAATTACTGCTTTGATTTCGCCAGAATGAGCTTGTTCGCTGTGAACGTCATGCTGGCCTTAATCAGTCCAAAGGACTTCCTTCCTGCTTTCAGGGAGACTGCGTATTAACATAGTCTCTTTTCTGTCTTCAAATTCGGCCCTGATAACAGCTGGAAATAAGCACAGCATTAAAGAGGAAATCAGTAAGGGACCATTATCTAGATTATATGGAAGAGATTTTTAGTAAGTTTCATTCTGATGTTAGAATGACACGAAGATGGCTATGAAAGCCTGTAGGCACTTTCCAGTAGTACTCTGCATTTATTACCTCAATTTATGTGAGTTCTCTTCTACAAGATTTGAAGAGCAAATACCTGTTCACTGAGATAGCAGTTGTTTTCTGAGAGACTGTGGGATTTTCAGTTCTTTTGGCTCCTCTGAAACTCATTTGTCATCTCTGAGAGTTTCCTCATCTCTAAAATAGGGATGATCTCAACATTCCCTTGCTTAATAGCATAAGAAAAAGATAGCATCTCTTGGTACAAAATCTCCTGGCTCATAAATTTTTTGAATACACATATATATTTGTAATATATGTTTATTCTCCAGGTGCAGTGGTGGGCACCCCAGCTACTCAGGAGGCTGAGTCAGGGAGGATAGCTTAAGCCCAGGAGTTCAGCCTGGGCAATGTAGTAAGACATTGTCTCTACAAAAAAAAAACAAAAACAGTTATATTCTTTTATATTTTATATTATATTACTTTTTTAATTAATACGTATGATATTTCAGGTCCATACATTAGAAGCTAACTCCCATTTTTAATTGCTGTGAAGTATTCTGTGAATGTACCTTAGTTTATTTAATCAATCCTCTATTGATGGAACATTAGAGGAAATTATTTTTATTAAATAACACTGCAGTGAGCATCTGTACATGCATCTTTCTGTTTGACTCCTGGTTTCTTTGGGATAAATTCTAAGAGGTAGAATAACATGGGTTAAGGGAATGCAAACTTTAAATTTTTTCATAGTTTTTTCCATTCTGTTTTAAAAGTCAGTTTTAATGAGTTATACTTTATATACAACATTATAATGCACTTGTTTTAAGAATATGGCTTGATGAGTTTTGATGAAGGTATACACCAGTGTAACAACCATCACAAACAAGATATTGAATATTTATGTCACCCTCAAATATTTCTTTCCTCTGCAGTTGATCCCCACTCCATCCCCTCACCTCCTACCACTGATTCCAGGCAACCACTAATCTATTTTGTGTTGCTATTAGGTTTCCCTTTTCTAGAATTTTAAATGAATGGAATTATATGATATATAGTCTTTTGTGTGACTTTTTTTGGTTCAATATTAATATTTTTGGGAGTCAGTCATGTGTGTTATAGGAGTTTGCTGCTTTTTATTGTTGAGTGGTATTTCTTTGCATGAATGTACCACTTTATCCATTCAACCCTGATAGATGTTTGGATTGTTTATAGCTGGAGATTTCTTTATCTATTCAACTCTGATAGATGTTTGGATGGTTTCTAGTCTTTGGCTATTATAAATTTGTGCAGAAATCTTTGTGTTCAGTATATGTTTTTATACCTCTTGGGTAAATACTTAATAGTGTAATTGTTGGATTATGTGCAAGTGTATGTTTAGTTTAATAGGAAACTGTCAGATCTTTTCCCAAGGTGGTTGTGCCCTTTTACACTGCTACAAATGATGTGTGAGAGTTTAGGTTGCTCCACATTCTTACCAACACTTAGTGGTGTCTATCTTATTTTAATTTAACCCTCTCTAGTAGGCATCTCATCATGGTAGCTCATTGTGGTTTTTATATACATTTCCCTCATGGCTGATACTGCGAAGCATCTTTTCATGTGCTCATTGGCCATTTGTGTATCTGCCTTTGTGAAGTACCTGTTCAAATATTTTGTCTATTTTTGTTGTTGTTGATGGTATTTTAGCTTTTCTTTTTATGGTGAAATATACATAACATAAAATTTACCATTTTAACCTTTTTTTAAAAAGTGCGTGATATTGCTTATTTAAAATTTTTTTTGTTTCTTACTATTGTGTTATAAATTTTTTTTTTTTTTTTGAGATAGAGTCTTGCTGTGTCACCCAGGCTGAAGTGCCGTGATCTTGGCTCACTGCAACCTCTGTATCCATACTGATTTTGTATCTACTTGTTCTTTTAGTTGCGGAGAGAGGAGTGTTGAAATCTCCACCTGTAACTGTGGATTCATCTATTTCTCTTTTCAGTTCTACCAGTTTTTTCCACACCTTCTTGATAAGATCCTTTTATAGTTATGAAATATCTTTCTCTATTCCTGATAATGTTCCTTGTTCTGGTCTACTTTTTTGATGTTAATATAACCATTCTAACCTTCTTTTGATTAGTGTTTACACTATATATCTATTTCTATCCTTTTACTTTTAACATATTTGTATCTTTATATTCAAAACAGGTTTCTTTTTAGACAGCATATAGTTAGGTATTGTTTCTTATTTTTAAATTGCAGTCTGACATCTCTACCTTTTAACTGGAGTAGATAGAACATTTACGTTTAATGTAATTCTAGCTATGGGTGAGTTTAAATCTACCATCTTATTTTTTGTTTCTTTCTGTCTCTTCTTTATTTTTTTTTTGGTCTTCTTTGTTCTTTTTTGTTTGTTTCTGTTCATCTCTTCTTTGTACCGCTTTTTTTTTTGGATTGAGGGTTTTATTTATTTATTTATTTTTTGAGATGGAGTCTGGCTCTGTTACCCAGGCTGGAGTGCAGTGGTGCAGTCTCGGCTCACTGCAACCTCCGCCTCCCCGGTTCAAGCGATTCTCCTGTCTCAGCCTCCCGAGTAGCTGGTACTGCAGGTGCATGCCACCACACTTGGCTAATTTTTATATTTTTAGTAGAGATGGGGTTTCACCATGTTGGCCAGGCTGGTCTCCAACTCCTGACCTCAGGCGATCTGCCCTCCTCAGCCTCCCAAAGTGCTGGGATTACAGGCATGAGCCACTGTGCCCAGCCTAACATTTCTTATAGTTCAGATCTGTGGGAAATAATTTCTCTCAGCTTTTATTTGTTTGAAAAATTTTTTAATTCACCTTCTTTTTTGAAAGATTTTTACTGATTATAGAATTCTAAGTAGTTTATTCTTCTAGGACTGTGAACATATAATTCTACTGTCTTCTGGCATTTATAGTTTCTTTATTTTATTTTTTATTGAAAAACATTTTTTTTGAGACATGGTCTCACTCAGATACTCAGGCTGAAGTGCAGTGGTGCAATCTCAGCTTACTGCAACCTCCACCTCTGGGGCTCAAGCAATCTTCCTGCCTCAGCCTCCCGAGTAGCTGGTACTATAAGTCTGTACCATCATGCCCAGCTAATTTTTGTAGAGATGGGCCTTTGCTGTGTTGCCCAGGCTGGTCTCAAACTTCTCTGGGCTCAAGCAATCCAACTGCTTCAGCCTCCCAAAGTGCTGGGATGGCAGGTGTGAACCACTATACCTGGCCAGGTATAGTTTCTAATAAGAAATTTGTTGTTGCCTGGGCTCAGTGGCTCACACCTGTCATCCCAGTACTTTGGGAGGCTGAGGTGGGTGGATCACCTGAGGTCGGGAGTTCCAGACAAGGCTGGCCAACATGGGGAAACCCCATCTCTACAAAAATACAAAAATTAGCCCTGTATGGTGGCGGGTGCCCGTAATCCCAGCTACTCAGGAGGCGGAGGCAGGGAGGATCGCTTGAACTTAGGAGGTGGAGGTTGCAGTGAGCTGAGATTGCACCACTGCACTCCAGCCTGGGCAACAGAGTGAGACTCTGTCTCAAAAAAAAAAAAAAAAGAAATTTTTTGTCATTCTTATCTGGCAGCCTTTTTTTTTTATTGGAAATAATTTCAATGTAGAAAAATTTGTATAAAGATAGTATAAGGAATATACCATAAGAAAGTATAAGCTTTAATGGCATATGATCTGATACTGTCCTTTATATTTTCCCCCCTCAGTACAAGATCCAGGGTAAGGTCAGGCATTGCATTTAGTTTTTTGTCTCTCTCTCTCTTTTTTTTTTTTTCTTTTAGAGACAGGGTGTTGCTATGTTGACCAGGTTGGTCTCAAGCTCCTGGCCTCAAGTGATCCTCTGGCCTCAGCCTCCCAAAATGTTGGAATTATAGATGTGAGCCACCATACCCAGCTTAAGTTTTTATGTCTCTTCAACCTCTTTTAGCAGGAACATTTTCATACCCTTTCTGAATTTTATATTATTGACTTAATTGAAAAATAATACAGTCCTCTTTAGACTTTTTTCCTTATATATATTTATCCCATATAGTATCTAGCCTTTTTTTGTTGTTGTTAAACAACCCTGCCGTGGCACCTGCCACTGCTTTCAATGGCCTCCATCCTGATATCCAGACTATGCCACCATTCCCATTAGCCCTCCAAGTCAGGTGAGACAGCAACCAGTCCCTCAGGCAGCCCCACACAAGCCAGAACATTGAAGCTAGTTCTATTTTTGCTCCATCCTGAGGGAAGAGCTGGAAATTGGGTAGCTTCTTCCCAGTGGTGGGACAAGGTGGGACAGATTGAGTGGGGCAAGGATGAATGAAAATGGCACAAAGTTTTCTACCACTTTGAAGTGTGACCTTTTCATGGTTAGGTGTATGTTTGGTTCCTGCAACTTCTTAACTGGTTTTTAGGGTTCTTCCTAAGCTACTTTGGTCTGTATGTTGTTATTTGATATGTCCATGGGGGAATGAGGGCCTAGAACTTCCTAGTCTCCTTTCTTGCTGTTTCACTCCAGTTTTGTATAATTTTCAGTCATTATTTCCTCGAATGTCTTTTCTTTCCTTTTTTTCTCATCTCCTTCTGGAACCCTGATTACATGTGTATCAGAATACTGGAGGCCGGGTGCGGTGGCTCACACCTGTAATCCCAGCACTTTGGGAGGCTGAGGTGAGTGGATCGCTTGAGGTCAGGAGTTTGAGACCACCCTGGCCAACATGGTGAAACCCCATCTCTACTAAAAATACAAAAATTAGCTGGGTGTGGTGGCACACGTTTATAATCCCAGGTACTCGGGAGGCTGAGGCACAAGAATCGCTTGAACCCGGGAGGTGAAGGTTGCAATGAGCTGAGATGGTGCCACTGCACTCCAGCCTGGGCAACAGAGTGAGACCATCTCAGAAAAAAAAAATCACTTGATATTGGTGCACAAGTTACTGAGATTCTGTCCAGACGTTTTTTTTTCTCTGCTTCAGTTTTCCAAAAATAGTTAAATATTCCTTAAGTCTCATGTATGGTTCATGAAAAAAAAAGAAAAAAATTAAATATTCCTTTATTGTTCAAAATTTTTGTTTTTCCAATTTTATAATGTTAAAATCTGTTTGTTTTTTAAATTTCAGCTTCTATTTTGTTTTTATTTCTGAAAAGCAACCATGTATGAAAATAATTCAGTTTCTTTTTATCTTAGTTCATCAGACCAGACTTCCTAAAACTGAATGTAACTTGTCTGTTAGTCCAAGCTCAGTAAGTCTTCAGCCTCTTCAGTCCCATCTCTTCTAGGCATCTTTAACTGTTGATATATTAGACTCAAGCAGGCATTTTTGTAAGATGAGAGGCAAATAGGCCGGGCGCGGTGGCTCACACCTGTAATCCCAGCACTTTGGGAGGCTGAGGCAGGTGGATCACAAGGTCAAGAGATCGAGACCATCCTGGCCAACGTGGTAAAACCCTGTCTCCACTAAAAATACAAAAATTAGCTGGGCGTGGTGGTGCGTGCCTGTAGTCCCAGCTACTCGGGAAGCTGAGGCAGGAGAATTGCTTGAACCAGGGAGGTGGAGGTTGCAGTGAGCCAAGATCGTGCCACCGCACTCTAGCCTGGTGACAGAGTGAGACTCTGTCTCCAAAAAAAAAGGCAAATGAATAGAATAATGCTTTTGAACCAATCATCTCCCGTAGCCCATTTCAATGTCCCAAAGTTTCGTTAACAGAACAGGGAAGCTGCCTTGAACTGAACTCAATTCTTTGGAATCAGCTTCTATTTTAGATTCAGGAGGTACATGTATAGGCTTGTTACATGGGTATATTTTATAATGCTGAGGTTTGGGTATGACTGATCCCCTCACCCAGGCTGCTTCAGGTTGTATAGTTTCTATAGATGTGTCTTCAAGTTCACTGATTTTTTTTTTTGAAGTGTCTAATCTTTTGTTAATCCCATTTGATGGAATTATCAATTTTGATTTTTGATTTTTATATATTTTTTGAGACAGAGTCTCATTCTGTTGCTCAGGCTGGAATGCAGTGGTGCGATCTTGGCTCACTGCAACCTCCGCCTCCTGAGTTCAAGTGATTCTTGTGCCTCAGCCACCTGAGTAGCTGGGATTACAGGCACACACCACCACACTTGGCTAATTTTTGTATTTTTAGTAGAGACAAGGTTTCACCATATTTGTAAGACTGGTCCTGAACTCCTGGCCTCAAGTGATCTGCCTGCCTAGGCCTACCAAAGTGCTGGGATTACAGGTGTGATCCACCGTGCCTGGGTAGCTCTTTTATTTTTTTATCTCTTGAAGTTCCATTTGGTTCTTTTTTTTTTCTTTTTTTCTTTTTAAGACGGGGTCTCGCTCTGTTGCCCAGGCTGGAGTGCAGTGGCACAACCTTGGCTTACTGCAACCTCTGCTCCCTGGGTTCAAGCAGTTCTTATGCCTCAGCCTCCTGGTTAGCTGGAATTATAGGCATGTGCCAACATGCCTGGCTAATTTTTGTATATTTTTAGTAGAGATGGGGTTTCACCATGTTGGCCAGGCTGGTTTCAAACTCCTGACCTCAAGTGATCCACCTGCCTTGGCCTCCTAAAATGCCGAGATTACAGGTGTGAGCCACCGTACCCGGCCGGTTCTTTTAAAGTATTTTTCTTTTCTGTCATTAGTATTTTTATGTTTTTTTAAAAATAGTTGAGTTTCACCACTGGAACATTTGGATTGTTTCCACTTATGGGATATTATGAATAAAGCTGCTGTTCATGCATTTTTTTTCTGCTAGTAATCTATAATATTGTAAATTAGCCTGAGTGTCCCACTGTTTTTATTCACTCAATTGATAATTGAGTGATGTATAAAATAGCAAATATGTATTGAGCTTTGTATTTTGCTAGACAGTGTTCTAAATGTCTCCTATGTTCATTTTGTTTAATCTTCAGTCCCTCCCTATGAGGTAGGTATTTATATCTCATTTCACTGATGAAGGAATGGAAGCTTAGAGAGAGTAACTTGCCTAAGGTGCCACAGCTAGTGGATGCCACAGTGTTAAGTAGAGCAGTGATACGAAGTTGCGTAGGATCTAGCATCTGCTCTAATCCAATAGAACAAATAGTTGACAGTCCTAGGGGTCACTGAGGAAAAGTTATTTGAATGGGAAAAAAATATCCTGTTAAACAATTGAAGACATTTTGATGGTTGCTTGCTAATCAACTGACCAACTGCTAACCAACTATACCAATCTTTCAGCAGGCATTTTCAAGTGAGAACAGCCTTGACTGGAATTCGGTAATAATTTGGACAGTATTTGAGGGTTTAAAAAAGAGCAGCAGGCCGGGCGCAGTGGCTCACACCTGTAATCCCATCACTTTGGGAGGCCAAGGCAGGTGAATCAGTTGAACCCAAGAGTTTGAGATCAGCCTGGGCAACCAAAACTTGTGTCTACAAAACATACAAAAATTAGCCAGCCTGGACAACAAGGCAAGATCCTGTCTCAGGAAACAACAACAACAACAACAAAAACAAGCAGCAGAGCTTTCCACTTTTGCTTGGGTTATTATTCAAATCATATACTCTTCCCGAATTGTTGAAAAGAAGTGTCATATGGATCAGATATTATCTAAGGACACGTTCATTAAGATGTCTGCCTTCAGTCCTGGTTCAGGACTTAAGAAGGTGAGACTCTTCATCTTCTGAAAAAAAAAATTGATATTATTAATGTTTATTTCTTTTTTTGAGAAGGTAAATTTATTTTTCTTTATAGCTTATGTCAAATACGTCAAGTGCTTTTGGGATCTCTGATATGAAAGATTCTGTTGAAATATCAGGTTATAGTTTACCCTACCTTATGAGTTTTCTATTGCTGTGTAAAAAATTACCACAATCGTAGCAGCCTAAAACCACACCCATGTATCATCTCACAGTTCTCTGGTAGTTTCATAGTACTGCAGGTCGGAAGACCCAGTGGGCTGGACTGGGTTGTCTGCTTAGGGTCTCACAAGGCCAAAATCAAGATGTTGACCAGACTGGTATCTCATCTGGAGGCTCTTGGGAAGAATCAACTTCCATGTGCATTCAGGTTGTTGGCAGAATTCAGATCCTTGTGTCTATATGTCTGAAAGTGCCGTTTCCTTGACACGTGACTGCTCTGGCTTCACCAAATCCTTCTTGTGTCAGATCTGACTTCTGCCACCAGCCAAAGACTCTGCTTTTTAAACAGCTCATGGGTATAGATTAGTCTCATTGGGATAATCTCTCTCTCTTAAAGTCCGCTGTACCATAGAACATAATATAATTTGTAGGATTCATACATTATCACAGCCACAGGGTCCACCTACAACCTGGATTATACCAGGGTAAAAGGTCATTAGGGGTCAGTCTGAGAATTCTATCACAGCTATTAATTTTCATTGTTAAACGTTGTTGTGAAGGTCACATTTTTGGTACAACAGGCAACTTTTCTATGCTCAGGTCTCATTCTATCCTTCTGATCATCCTTCCTTGAACATAATTCTTTCTTCCTTTAAAACAGTCAGCCTCTTTTTCCTCTTTGTTTGGTAGCAGACTTGTCCTTGACCTCACCCTTGGCTCTTCATGTTAACTGAATTTACCTTTTAGGATAGCATTCCCTGAAGTCACCTTTCTTTGTGTTCATCTGTTATATAAGAAATATTGTTTGACTGCAGACATTATCACTATCATCCCTGTGCTTCAGTTCCCTAATCTTGAGTATTTAATGTAGGATTTAGCTGCTCACAGACATTAGCAAGGTATTCTTCATCTGTGTGATCTGCAGATAAGCTGCACCTTATTTTTTCATTCTTTCGTCTCTTGCATTAAGATTCAAAGATGTCTCATTGCCTGCAAGTTCAAGAAGTATATTACAACCTTGTATATCTCTCAATCATTTTTTAGCTAGTAATGCTGCTATAATTCCACTTTATCTCACAGCAGGGTCCAGTAGAAAGCACATCAGTAATGAAAAACGGTAATTCAAAACCATGTGCAGTGGAACATTTGAAGGCTTATAGATCCATCTGAAGCAACAGGGGATTTCTCAGGCTGCCTAGAGAACCTGAATCAGTTATAGCTGCAGAAACTACATAATTCTGCTCATATTGTAACATGGAGGCTTACACTGGGCAGAATGGGTAATGGGTCTGCATCCCCCTAACTCCCTCAGGCAGGATTTTTTTTCCAGTTAGTATTAGTCACTGAAGAAGAAAATGTTTATATAAAAGCTTTAGTGTATAATTTAGGATTTTTCATGTTTAAGGGTAGTTGTAGGATTTGTAGTTATCTTTTGAACTGATTTAGAATGAAGATGGGATAGTTGTCTTTGGTTGTAAGGAAAATTGTAAAAAGCCCCAAGTTCTGATTGTAAAACCTACCAAGTTGGGTAGGAAAGTAAGAAAAGGAAATATTTACAAGATTCATATATTGTCCCATTTCGGTGGAGATACTAGTTTTGAACAGGTTTTTGTGTCTTATTGATTCATGCACTAGTTATTAAATGTCTACTTTATACCAGGTATATATAACATATAGGACATATTATGTGCCAACAATGGACTCTACTCTTAAGGATCCCATACTCTAGGGTGTGGGAAATAGACTTCTTCCAGAAATAGGTACCGTGTTGTGAGATAAGTGCTACTAGATAAGTGCAGTGTGTACCCAGAGGAGAAATTCTGTAGTGGTTGCAGAAGGCTTGATAAGGGAGCTGACAATTGAACAGTCTGGAAGGGACAGGAGTTTGTGCCAGGCTGGCAAATGGGGGCAGGGAGCATTCTGCGCAGAGGAAATGTCACTTGTGAGGTATTCAGGGGAGAGTGAGGAATTTGTTAAGGCTGGTACTTAGAAAGAGGTAGAGTAAGGAAGAGGTAGGAGTTAAGAGTGGAAATGACATGGCACCCAAGTTGTGAAAGCTCTTGTGTGGGTTAAGGATTTTGAATGTAATATCCTATAGAGAGTAAGAAAATAGTTAAGGCTGGGCATGGTAGCTCACACCTGTAATCTTAACACTTTGGGAGGCTGAGGTGGGAGGATCCCTTGAGTCCAGGAGTTTGAAACCAGCCTGGGCAACATAGTGAAACTCTGTGTCCACAAAAAATAAAAAAAATTAGCCAGGCATGGTGGTGTGTACCTGAGGTCCCAGCTACTTGGGAGGCTGATGTGGGAGGAGGATTGCTTGAGTCCAGAGATAGAGGTTACAGTAGCCATGATTGTGCCACTGCACTCTAGCCTGGGTGACAGAGCGAGACCCTGTCTCCAAAAGAAAGAAAGAAACAAACTAGTTAAGATTTTAAGCAAGGACTGTGATGAACTTAGCACCACAGAAAAAAAATTGAAGGCAGTGTGGAGGATGTCTTGAGAGGTAAGGAGTTGGGCACCAAGGCAGGTACCAGTTGGGAGGCTATCGATACTGTCTATTGAAAGAAGAATAGGGTTTGTGGCATATTCAGGAGGGGATATATTCCAAAGATATTTCAGAGTTCTGCTCTGAAGTGGGGATAATAATGGTATTAATGTTACAGTGTTGATATGAAGAGTAAATGAGTTAATAAGTTTAAGGTGTTTGGAGCAGAGCATGGCACATAGTGCCGAATGAATGTTATTGTTGTTATAATTGTAATTATTGCTGTACCAAGTAAGACTTGTAGTAATCCCATGGGTTACAAAATGGAGGGGAAGGAAGGAGTGGCATTAAGAAGCAGCAACAGATCTCTCTTGCGCTGTTAACCCATCAGAAACGTGAGAGGAACCAGGGTCTGTCTTTGGGAATAAATGTAAGTTGAGTAGATGCCTTGCTAACTAGTGCTTTCAAGTAACTATGGAGGAATAGTGAAGTTTTTAGAAGAGTAGGCTGAAGGATTCTTTGTGCTCATCTAAGGTAAGTGGGGTGGTGCATCCTTTAGTGAGGGGAGATGCTCTTCACTCCTCTTTAATGGGTAAAGATCTTTAGACAATGCATGAGAAGTTCTTTTCTCTGGTCAGTATAAAAGCCCATGCTTGAATGTTTGTCCACGTTTTAAGAACCTCTCCACTTTCTTGTAATTATGTATGAATAAATAGAATTTATAAGCCAGGAGAAACAAAACCCTTTTTTCTAAAGCTTATACAGCTTAACACAGTATTTCGTTAATAACACATAGTGACTTGCAAATCAAAGTCAGCTTTTCTGAACATTCTTAAAGAATAATGGAAATGACTCAGCAGAGCCTAATTTAGCTTCCAGTGCTGCTTTAAAAGGGAGAGCAAAGATGGCATTTGTCTAGTGCTGCACAGTCATGTAAAAAGGAAGAGGGGGAAGCTTGTATTTATTCCATACTACTGTGTGCCAGAGACTTCATATGTGTTTCATCTGCAGAGCAAACCTGAGACAGAAGTATTGTCTGTTTTATAGATGATGAAATTAAGCTTCATAGCAACTGAGTAACTCACCTAGGGTCATGCTGCTGATAGGTGGCAGAATTTGAACATAGGCCTGTCTGGTTGCACAGCCAAATGCTCTTTTCATCACTTTGCCTTATTTGAATAACTTCTTTAGATGAATGAACTTCATATCACCTGCCCAGAAACAGTTCTACAAGATTTGGCCATAAAAAAAGAAAGAAAATACAACGAGTATAGGGGAAGCATGCATATTTTCTCTTTTTCTTTGCATAGAATATCAGAAAGTGAATTGGTAGATCCCTCACACATAATCTATTTTGTTAGCAGATAATTATTTAGGTTTTGTGGGAACATGTAAAAAGTTTGTAGGTCCTTTGACTTACAGGTAAACCAGGCCACCTCCCTTATTTTACAGAGGAGGAAGCCGAGGCTAGAGAAGTGACATGACTTGCCTAATTACAGCTGGTTTGTGACAAAGTTAGAATTAGAACCCTAGGCTCTCTACTCCAGGTTAAAGGCACAAACGTTTGTTATACCTGGAGTTCCTAAAAGATGATATATGTGAATATGATTTGAGAATTATTTTTTGTCTCTGGCAATTGGCATGTACCACCAAGGCAGAGAGCTATAAATTATTTACATTCTGGGTGCTACACATTTGGATCAGATTCTTCACTAGCATGTAGTGGAGTGTGAGCTTACAGGTCTATGTCTGGAGAGAGGCCTCCCTTCTACTTGCTGACAGCTCTGGCAGTTGCACCTGTGTTGTATCCCATCTCATGGAAAGGATGGTTGAGCTTTAAGGAAGCAGAGAATGCTTCATGATGGACCAATCCATACTGCTGTCTACTGCCCTTTTCCCCAAGCTTGATATGTGTAGATTTTATTATGTCTTGTTAATTGTTCCTACTGATAGTATTATTAGCAGTTCTGCCCCACTCGAGCCCAGGGTGCTGGATTAAAAGTGATGCCAGTGAAGGGCCTGTGATGATGTGGTGACTGCTAGTGGTAAATCATGAGCTGCAGTTTGAATGAGAGGGCTAAGCTCCATGCACTCAGGACTGATGAGTCAGGACATGACCTTGAACTCGGTGAACTGTGACTTAGGCATGTACATAAGTTTTCTTTAGAGGAAGCTTTCGCATGCATGGATGAGGCCTTATTTAACAAGAAAGAAACTGAGGCTTAGTGATGTTGTGACTTAGTCATAAAGAAACATGTTTATTTTCATAAACAAAACTGCCCCAGGAAATTCCTGTTACTTCACTCTTTGCTTCTCCCTGCTGGGTGGAAGGTCAATACCATTAGAACTTTCAGGCGCCAGCCTGGGTGGCCAACCTAATGGAGTAAGATAGTTCCAGCTCCAAGTAATGGCAAGCTTGGAGCAGGGCCCAGTGTAATTAAACCCCTGCAGTAAAGAATTTGATGTTCGTTGGTCTTCATTCATCTCAGTGAATGGGCTTGGGGCAGGAATATGATGATATATTCCGAGCAAAGAAAAACAGTGGCTCTAGAGATTTATGCCGTTGCCTTGAAGGTTGTTTGGTTCCAAATTAAATTTAGATAATTCAGTAAGAGAAAAGTTTCTCTTGGTAGATGGCATTGTGAGGTAGGGCAGAATTTAGAGCGTTTCTCCATTCATTAAAAGACTGTCCAGTGGAGTTACTTGTAAATTATATAGTCTACAGTAGAGTTAAGGATTATTTGAACCCTTATGACTCATAATTCCAAAAAGGACTTTCGATCGTGTGACCCTTAGGTGTCCTGTCTGTACCTTGTCTTGCTCCATTGCCTTCTGTGTGTTTTGTTTCCCAGTACTTGGTGTTTTGGTGTTTTCTTGGCAAGTAAACTCAAGTTGACTAGAGTGCTAGGCTCCCAAAGGGTAAGGCAGGGAAAGCAAAGTTGTAGAACTTCCTTTTTCTAGCTGGGTATTAGAGCAAATTTATGCAAGAGAAAGTTGAAGAATAAAGAGAAAGAAAAAGGAAGAAAGAGCAATGGAATATCAAAGTGACTGAGATAGTAAGCTGGGAATTTTAAACCATTAGGCCATTTTCCCCTTATGTTTCCTAGTCATTTCCAGGTCTAGAAAGGTACTTGTGTGCACTTTCAGGCCTTTAGAATTGAGTCTGGCTCTACTAGTTAAGTCTTGATTTGGCATGCTAGTGACAGGGCATTTCTTTCCCTCATTTTTCTCTCTCTAGTCACTATATTTTATATATAAAAAAATATAAGAAATATATATATAATATAAAAATATTGTATATAACATATATAAAAATATAAAATATAATATATAATATAAAATATATAATATATAATATAAAAATATAATATATAATATATATAATATAAAAATATAATATATAATATATATAATATAAAAATATTATATATAATATAAAAATATAAAATATATATTATATATAATATAAAAATATAATATATAATATATAATATAAAAAATATAATATATAATATAAAAATATATAATATATGTAATATATATAATATAAAAATATTATATATAATATATATATTATATATTTTTAGAGGAACTAGTGTAATTTTACCTTTAAAACATCTCAACATTGGGCTGGGTGCAGTGGCTCATGCCTGTAATCCCAGCGCTTTGGGAGACTGAGGCCAGCGGATCACTTGAGGCCAGGAGTTCAAGACCAGCCTTGTCAACATAGCGCAACCCCATTTCTACAAAAGAAAAAGAAAAAAAGAAAAAAAAGCCCAACATCTATAAAAGCTTAAAAACAAACTGTTTCCTCTTTTATTTGTGCTTAGAGTTTTTCTTTTTTTTTTTTTTTTTTTTTGAGACTGAGTTTTGCTCTTTTGCCCAGACAGCAGTGCAGTGGTGCAATCTTGGCTCACTGCAACCTCTGCCTTCCGGGTTCAAGCGATTTTCCTGCTTCAGCCCTCGAAGTAGCTGGGATTACAGTTGTGCACCACTAGGCCTGGCTAATTTTTTGTATTTTTAGTAGAGACGGGGTTTCACCATGTTGCCCAGGCTGGTCTCGATCTCCTGACCTCGTGATCCGCCCGCCTCGGCCTCCCAAAGTGCTGGGATTACAGGCGTGAGCCACTGCACCCAGCCTTGTGCTTAGAGTTTTTCTAAAAAAACTTCAAAATTGTTAAATGTAACACACATCAGAAGACGATACAGAACAAATGGATGCTTTTATAACCACCGTGTAGGCTGGAGATACAATCTTATCAGCACCCTAGACTTCCTTGTCTTGCCTTTGTCTTCTTCCCCTGAAGGGTAACCACTGTCCCAACTTTTACAGTAATCACATCCTTAGTTTTCTTTAGTTTTATCACCCAAGTGTATTTCCCCAAAGATGCCTTAAAAAACATTTTGGGAAGGGGGCATGTGACAGGCAGAACAATGGCCCTCCAAAGATATTCACATCATAATCCCAAAACCGGTGACTATTACCTTTTATGGCAAAAGAGACTTTGAGATGTGATAAAGTTAAGGATGTTGAGATGGGTCTTTATAAGGGAGTTGGGCTGGGCGCGGTGGCTCACGCATGTAATCCCAGCACTTTGGGAGGCCGAGGTGGGCAGATCACTTGAGGTCAGGAGTTCGAGATCAGCCTGGCCAACATGGTGAAACCCCATGTCTACAAAATTAGCTGGACATGGTGGCGGGTGCCTGTAATCCCAGCTACTCAGGAGGCTGAGGTAGGAGAATTGCTTGAAGCCAGGAGGCGGAGGTTGCAGTGAGCTGGTATCTTGCCATTGTACTCCAGCCTGGGCGACAGAGCAAGACTCCGTCTGAGAAAAAAAAAAAGAGGAAATCAGGAAGGTCAGAGTCAGAGAAGGAGAGGTGACGATTAAAGTGGAGATTGAAGTGATGTGACTCTGAGCCAAGACATTCAGGTAGCCTCTAGAAGCTAGAAAGCTCAAGGAAGTGATTTGCCCTGGAGCCTCCGCAAGGAATGCAGCCCTGCTGACTCATGTTAGACTTCTGACCTCCAGAAGATGGTAGGATAAGTTCGTATTGTTGTAAGCCACAAAGTCTGTGGTAATTTGTTATAGCACCAATAGAGAATTTATACAGGAAGTAGTTTTAAACTCACAGAAAAGTTGAAGAAAAGAATAGTATCCTTTATTCAGATTCACCTATTGTTAATATTTCACTATTTGTTTTCGTATTCCATTTTTATCTTTCTCAACTGCTTTAGAGTGAGTTGCACATGTCATAGCCCTTTAACCCTAAATATTTCAAAATATTTTAATTAAAAATATTGGGGGGGGTGGGATCTTGCTATGTTGTCCAGGCTAGTTTTGAATTCCTGGTCTCAAGCTATCCCCTCAGCCTCCTGAGCAGCTGAGACTATAGGCGTGCACCACTGTGTCTGGCAAAATTTTTTTTTTGCATAATAATGTTATAGTTCTCAACCTCAATACGTTTAACATTGATAGTTTTATCTAATTTACCATCCACGTTCAAATTTTGTCACTTAATCCAGTAATATCCTTTGTAGCATTTTTTCCCTCTCTAGTTTGGGATTCAGTCTAGGATTAGGTGTTGTATTTAATTGTCATGTTTCTAGCCTCCTTGAATCTGGAACATTTCCACAGGCTTTCTTTGTCTGCCTTTCTTTCTTTTTTTTTTTTTTTTTTTTGAGATACAGTCTCACTCTGCTGTCACCCAGGGTGTAGTGCGGTGCTGTGAGCACCACTGCACCTTGAACTCCTGGGCTCAAGTGATCCTCCTGAGTAGCCAGGATTCCAGGCACGGTGCCACGCCGGCTCTTTGTCTTTCTTGACATTGGCTTTTTAAATAGAATGCTTCTCACTTTTGATCTGTCTGGCATTTCCTCATGAGTAGACTTAGGCATTCCTGGATGGAGCATTGCATAGGTGATAATGTGTCCTTCTTAGAGTATACAGTGTCCCTCATTGGTGATGTTAATTTTGACACCATCCAGTCAGTGTTGATTAATTTCTTTATAGTTACTATATTTTTACCTTTCAACCGATAAGCAGTCTAGAAGAGGACATTTTAAGACTATGCAAATATTCTGCTCCTCAACAAAATTTCTCCTTAGATTTAACATCCTTTAATGATTCTTGCCTGATTTTTTTTTTTTTCTTTGAGACGGAGTTTCACTCTTGTCGCCCAGGCTTTAGTGCAATGGCACGATCTTGTCTCACTGCAACGTCTTCCTCCTGGGTTCAAGCAATTCTCCTGCCTCAGCTTCTTGAGTAGCTGGGATTACAGGCACGTGATACCATGCCCTGCTAATTTTTGTGTTTTTAGTAGAGACGGGGTTTCACCATGTTGGCCAGGCTGGTCTCGAACTCCTGATCTCAGGTGATCCGCCCATCTTGGCCTCCCAAAGTGCTGGGATTACAGGCGTGAGCCACCACGCCCGGCCTTGTGTTTGTTGATTCTTTCTTAACCCCCTCTAGTGTGGATTTGATATTCATTTAAAATACAGTTGGGTTTATTTTTAGTTTACTTTCAAATTAGGTTTCTTTCCCTTTTCCATACTTGTTTATTTTATGTTTGAATATGTAGACCATTAACGTGCTTCCAAAAGTCAAAACTATGTAAGAGGCATACATACCCAGAAGTGTCACACATTCTTGTATTCTTTCTGCCCCTTTCTCCTTCATCCCTTGTGGGTGACCAATATCATTGTTTTCTGGTTTATTTGTCCTGTGTTTTTTTTGTAAAAATAAGCATATATATATTAATGTATGTTTTCTTATTTTCCCTTCTTTCTTAAATGGTAGCAAGTATAGAAGCTCTTCTGCACTTGTCTTTTTTTTTGAGACAGGATCTTGCTCTGTCACTCAGGCTGGAGTGCAGTGGCACTATCACAGCTCACTGTAGCCCCGACCTCTGGGACTCAAGTGATCCTCCCACTTCAGCCTCCTGAGTAGCTGGAACTACCGGCATGCATGTGCCACCACACCCGGCTAATTTTTGTATTTCTTGTGTAGACGGGGTTTCACCTTGTTACCCGGGCTGGTCTCAAGTGATCTGCCCACCTTGACCTCCCAAAGTGCTGGGATTGCAGGTGTGAGGCAACCCGCCCTGTCCTGCACTTTGCATTTCTCATTTAATAATAGGTCCTGAAATATCACTCCAGATCATTGTATACATGTGTTTATACATAGTTTGCAACCATTCTATACTTGAGCATTTAAGTGTTCTGCAGTAATGCTGTAATGTCTAACCTCATGCATACATATTTTACGTTGTTGATGTATCTTCAGGATAAATTCCTAGAAGTAGGATTGTTGGGTATATTAATCTGCTCAGGCTGCTGTCATAGAATACCACAGACTGGGTGGCTTAAACAATAGAAATTTGTTTTCTCTTAGCTCTAGAACTTGGAAGACTAAGATCAAGGTGCTGGCAGGGTTGCTTTCTGCTATAGCCTCTTCCTGGCTTGCAGATGGCCACCTGCTTGCTGTGTCCTCATGCGACTGTTTCTCTTTGCCGGCCTTTTCTCTGTGCTTTCTCACTCATGGTGTTTCTTCTTCTGAATAAAGACACCAGTCCTGTTGGATTAGGACCCCACCCTTATGGCCTTGTTTAACTTTATCCCCAAAAGGCCCTGTCTCCAAATACATTTACATTGAGTGGAAGGGCTTCAGCATATGAATTTGGGGGGCACACAATTCAGTCTAGAGCATTGGGTCAGATGGTAAATACTTATTTATAGTGTCTTTTGTTTTGTTAGATATTGCCAAATTTCCCTCCACAGGGATTGTACCATTTTGCATTTCTGCTAGCAATGTATGAAAGTGCCTGTGTCCCTACAGCCTCTCCAACAGAGTGTATTGTGAAGCTTTTGATTTTTTGTCAGTTTGATGGGTGAGAAATGATATTCAGTGTAGTTTTAATTTGCATTTTTTAAATGAGCAAAATTATATGTCTTTCTACATGTTCGAGTCATTTTTATATCTTTATTCATGTGAAGTGTCTGTCTTTTGCCTATTGTTCAATAGCATTTTGAGTTTTTTCTTTGATTTTTAAAAGTATTTTATTTTATTTATTTATTTATTTATTTGAGATGGAGTCTCGCTCTGTCACCCAGACTGGAGTGCAATGGCACGATCTCGGCTCACTGCAACCTCCACCTCCCAGGTTCAAGCAATTCTGCTGCCTCAGCCTCCTGAGTAGCTGGAACTACAGGCGCGTGCCACCACGCCCGGCTAGTTTTTTTGTATTTTTAGTAGAGACGGGGTTTCACTGTGTTAGCCAGGATGGTCCCGATCTCCTGACCTCGTGATCCCCCTGCCTCGGCCTCCCAAAGTGCTGGGATTACAGGGGTAAGCCACCACCAGTGAGCTAGCCAGGTGTGGTAGCTTCAGGTGGGAGGCCTGCTTAAGGCCAGGAGTTTGAAACCAGCCTGGGCAACATAATGAGACCCCATTTCTACAAAAATTTAAAAAAAATTAGCTAGGTGTGGTGATGTGAGCTTGTAGTCCCAGCCACAGGGAGGCTGAGGAGAGAGGATCGCTTGAGGCCAGGAGTTTGAGGCTGCAGGATTCATGATCATGCCACTGCACCCCAGCTTGGGTGACAGAGGAGACCTTGTCTTAAAAAAAAAAAAAAAAAAGACATAGACACAACTTATTTAACAGCTTCATTAAGGTATAATTTACATACCATAAAATTAATTCATTTTAAGTGTACAATTTAGTGATTTTAAATAAATTTACAGAGTTGTGCAGTCATTACCACAATTCAGCTTTAGAACATTTCCATCACCCTAAAAAGATCCCTTGTGCCTGTTTGCCGCCCCACTCCTCACCACAGGCAACTGTTAACCTGCTTTCAGTCTCTTTAGATTTGTCCTTTCTGGACATTTCATGTAGATAGAATCATATAATACGTAGTCTTTTGCATCTGGCTTCTTTTATTTAGCATAATATTTTGAGGCTTATCTATGTTTTTGCATGTGTTAGTAGTTCATTACTTTTGATTTCCGAATAGTGTTGCATATATGGCTAGCCTACATTTTGTTTATTCATTCACCAGTTGGTGGACTTGTGGATTGTTCCTACTCTTTGGCTATTATAAATAATACTGCTGTGAGATTTCATGTACACATCTTGAGGTGGATCTTTGTTTTCATTTCGTTGGGTAGAATCCTAGGAGTGAAATGGCTGCATTGTATTTTTTTTGTATGAATTTTTGTAAATTTATGTTTAATTTTTTGAGTAACTGCCAAACTGTTTTCCAAAGTGGCCGTGCTGTTTTACAAATTTATATTTTACAAAGTGGCTGCTCGGTTTTTCCATATCCTCATCTACACTTGTTATTGTTTATCTTTTTGATTATAATAATTCTGATGGGTGTGAGGTGATATCTCATTTTGGTTTTGATTTGCGTTTCTTTAATGACTAATGATGTTGAGCCTCTTTTCATAAGTTTGTTAGCCATTAGTATATCCTCTTTGGGAAAATATCTGTTCAAATCTTTAGCTTATTTTAAAATTGGATTATGTATCTTTTTATTGTTGAACTTTAAGAATTTTTTATGTTTATATTTATCAGATGTAGGATTTGCAAATGTTTTTCTCCCAAATATTTTTCTCTGTGGCTTATCTTTTCATTTTCTTGATGATATCTGTTGAAGCACAAGTTTTAAATTTTGATTAAGTTCACTTTATCCATTTTTTTTTCTTTTATGGATTATGCTTTTGGTGTCATATCTAAAAAAAGGCAGATATTGTGGGTTTTGTTTTTTTTTTGTAGAGAAAAAAAACTCAATTATGTTGGTTTTTTTCTCTACAAAAAGAAACATGTTTGCCAGGCTGGTCTTGAACTGGTCTAAGTTGCCCAGGCTGGTCTTGAACTCCTGGCCTCAAGCGATCCTTCCGCTTTGGCTTCCCAAAGTGCTGAGATTTCAGGCATGAGCCACTGTGCCTGGCTAGAAAAGGCAGATGTTAAAACCACTTTCCTTTGATAGAATTATGAGATTCTTTTTATTCTCAGGCCTAATTTAGTGATTAGATCCATTTATTGAGTGAGCTGTGTTGAAATGCATAAGGACTTGCCTCTGGGTGGTGGTCCTATGGTCCTAGCCCACTTTGGGCAACTATTACTAGGAAGGCTATGTATATAATATTGATCAAAAGTATAGACTTTAGGGCTTGACTGCCTGGGTTTGAATTTTGACCTCATCTCTTCCTAGCAGTGTTACCTTGGGAAAGTGGCTTAATTTCTCAGTGCCTCAGTTTCCTCATCTGTAAAGTATGGATGATAATAGTGCTTCTGTCATAAGATATTTGTCTATACATTGCATAGAAAACGTTTGGAGCAGAGCAAGGGCCCAACAAATATTACCGTTATTGCTGGGGAGCAGTTCTCAATTGTAGTTTGGGATGGAGTTGTGCATATTAAAATAATTTGAGGGGCTTTGCATGCCTTTTCTAATGTGGCAGGCCATGGGTTAGAGAAGCTGGGGTGATAAGCCTTGCACTTAGCCTTCCTTGACACATTTAAAGCTGATTGTTCCTTACAATCACTTTCATTAAATTAGGCAATTTGGGTTGATGTGTGGAATCACAAAACTTTTCATCAGATGTAAAAATAGCTCAAGCTCCATTAACACTTAGAAAACGAAGAGTCAACTAACTACTGTTGCAAAGGCAAATATTAGGCAGTAAGCCTTAGGTAAACCAAGAACAGGATGTAAGCTATTCATACTTGATAAAATACCTTTCTCTGCCTTTGGAGCATTTTATCAGGCCAGAGACCTGATTATACAATAAGAACTTGCAGTTCAGTGATAGGATTCCTGTTTCATTCCTGTTGGAATAGAAGAGCTTCAACTTGGCCGGGCGCGGTGGCTCATGCCTGTAATCCCAGCACTTTGGGAGGCTGAGGCGGGTGGATCACCTGAGGTCAGGAGTTTGGGACCAGCCTGACCAACATGGAGAAACCCCGTCTCTACTAAAAACATAAAATTAGGCGGGCATGGTGGCGCATGCCTGTCAATCCCAGCTACTCAGGAAGGCTGAGGCAGGCAAATCACTTGAACCTGGGAAGCGGAGGTTGCAGTGAGCCAAGATTGCACCATCGTACTCCAGCCTGGGCAACAAGAGCGAAACTCCGTCTCAAAAAAAAAGAAAAAGAGTTTCAACTTTTTTTTTCTTGTTTTCATTTGCAGAATGAGATTAATGAAATTTGAGACCTACCTTCCTTTAAAAGGGACCCATGGACCGATATGGGTATACTATCAATAATTTATAAAGAATTCTTAAAACTCAACAATGAAAAGACAGTTTTGAAATGGGCAAAAGATTTTAGTAGACATTTCTCCAGAGAAGATGTACAAATATCCAAAAAGCACATGAAAAGATGTCATCATCATTGATCGTTAGTGAAATGCAAGTCAAAACCACAATGTAATACCACTTTATACCCACAAGGATCGCTATCATTTTTTTAAAAAGCAAGTGTCAGTGAAGATGTGGGGAAACAGGAGCCTTCATACATTGCTGCTGGGAATGTTTGTTAGTTCAGCCAATGTAGAGAATGGTTTGGTGGTTTCTCAAAAGTTAAACATAGAATTGCCATGTGACCCAGCAGTTCTCCTCCTGGGTATATACCCTAAATAACTGAAAACATATGTTAACACAGAAATTTGTACACAAATGTTTATAGCAGCATTATTCCTAATAGCAAAGGTGCAAAAAACCCAAATCTTCAATAGATGAATTAATAAACACATTTTGATACATACATACACTAAAATATTATTTAACTCTAAAAAGGAGTGAAGGAGTGATAATGCTACAGCTTGGATGAACCTTGAAAACATCATGGTAAATGAAAGAAGCTGGTCACAGAGGTCTTATATTGTATGATCCTTTCTATATAATATATCCAGAATAGATAAATCCAAAGAGACAAAAAGCAAACTAGAGGTCACTAGGGGATGGGGCATGGAGAAAGAGGAGTGATTATTTATTTAAATGGGTATGAGGGCTGGTCATGGTGGCTCATGCATGTAATCCCAGCACTTTGGGAGGCTGAGATGGGCGGATCACCTGAGGTCAGGAATTGGAGATCAGCCTGTCCAACATGGTAAAAACCCTGTCTACAAAAAATCAAAAAATTAGCCAGGAGTGGTGGCAGGCACCTGTAATCCCAGCTACTCAGGAGGCTGAGGCAGGAGAATTGCTTGAACCCGGGAGGCAAAAGTTGTAGCGAGCCAAGATCGCATCATTGCACTCTAGCCTGGATGACAGAGCAAGACTCCATCACAAAAAATAAAAATAAATATAAAGTAAATAAATAAATGGATATGGAATGCTTTTATCAGATGATAAAGTTTTGCTACTAAAGAATGCTGGTGGTTGCACAACATTGAATACACTAAATATAAATACTGCTGTATTGTACACTTTAAAATGGTTAATTTTATATTATGTGAATTTCACCTCAATTTTAGGGATTCATGAGGTATATTTACTTTTTGTGCTTCCCAGAGCCAAAATTTTTTTTTGGAGACAGAGTGAGTCTCACTCTGTCTCCTAGGCTGGAGTGCAGTGGTGCGATCTCGGCTCACTGCAACCTTTTCCTCCCAGGTTCAAGCAATTCTCCTGCCTCAGCCTCCGTAGTAGCTGGGATTACAGGCACACACCACCACACCCGGCTAATTTTTGTATTTTTAGTAGAGACAGGGTTTTGCCATGTTGGTCAGTCTGGTCTCGAACTCCTGACCTCAGGTGATCTGCCTGCCTCGGCCTCCCAAAGTGCTGGGATTACAGGCATGAGCCACCGCGGCCAGCCAGAATTTCATTCCTTTTTGAGGCTGAATAATATTCCACTGTGTGTATATACTACGGTTTGTTTATCCATTCATCTGTTGATATACATTTGGGTTATTTCCATCTTTTGGCTGTTGTGAGTAGTGCTTCTGGAAACATGCATGTACATGTATTTGAGTCCCTTTTTCAGTTCTCTTGGGCATATACCTAGGAGTAGAATTGCTGGGTCATGTGGTAATTCTATGTTTAACTTTTTGAGGAACTGCCAAACTCTTTTTCACAGAGGCTGAGTCATTTTACCTTCCTAGCAACAATGTATGAGGGTTCCAATTTCTACACATCCTCGCCAGCACTTGTCATTTTCCATTATTTTGATTTTTAGTGGGTGTGAAATGGTACCTCATAGTGGTTTTGATTTGCATTTCCCTAAGTGACTAATGATGTTCATGTGCTTGTTAGCCAGTTCTGCTTGTTAGCCATTTGTATTTCTGCCTTGGAGAAAAGTCTATTCCAGTCCTTTTCCTTTTTTTTTGAGACAGAGTCTCACTTTGTCACCCAGGCTGGAGTGCAATGGCGTGATCTTGGCTCACTGCAACCTCTGCCTCCCAGGTTTAAGCGATTCTCCTGTGTCAGCCTCCCGAGTATGTGGGATTACAGGCGCCTGCCACCACACCCAGCTAATTTTTGTATTTTTGGTAGAGATGGGGTTTCACCATGTTGGTCAGGCTGGTCTTGAACTCCTGATCTCAAGTGATCCACCCGCCTCAGCCTCCCAAAATGTTGGGATTACAGGCGTGAGCCACTGTGCCTGGTCCCTTTTCCCATTTTAAAATTGGGTTCTACTGGGTTCTGTGGCTCACACCCATAATCCCAGCTATGCAGGAGGCTGAGGCAGGAGGATCGCTTGAGCCCAGGAGTTTGAGGTTACAGTGAGCTGTGACTGCACCACTGCAGTCCAGCCTGGGTGACAGCAAGACCCAGTCTCTTAAAAAATAAAAAAATTGGGCCAGGCGCGGTGGCTCACTCTTGTAATCCCAACACTTTGGGAGGCTGAGGCGGGCGGATCATGAGGTCAGGAGATTGAGACCATCCTGGCTAAAATGGTGAACCCTGTTCTCTACTAAAAATACAAAAAAATTAGCCGGGCGTGGTGGCGGGCGCCTGTAGTCCCAGCTACTTGGGAGGCGGAGGCAGGAGAATGGCATGAACTCAGGAGGCAGAGCTTGCAGTGAGCCAAGATCACGCCATTGCCCTCCAGCCTGGGCAACAGAGCGAGATTCTGTCTCAAAAATAAATAAATAATTAAAAAATAAAAATATTAGATTTCTTTTCGTTGTTGAATTGGAAGAGTTCTTTATATATTCCGGATACTAGACCCTTATCAGGTAAATTACTTGCAAATATTTCTGCCATTCTGTAGGCTTCTTTTCACTTTCCTGATAGTGTTCTTTGATGCACAAAAGTTTTTTAATTTGGTGAAATCCAGTTTATTTTTTTCTTTTGTCGTCCATGTTTTTGGTGTCATATCTGAGAATCCATTGCTGAATTCCAGGTCATGATCTATTTTGTTAATTTTTTTATATGGTAGGAGGTAGTAGTCTATCTTTATTCTTTTGCATGTGGGTATTCTATTGTTCTAGCATCATTTATTGAGGAGACTTTCTCTATTGAATGGTCTTGGCACCTTGTGGAAAATCACTTGGCTGTAGGTGTGTGGGTTTATTTTTGGGGACTCAATTTTATTCTTGCCATTTGCCTTTGTATGGGCTGAGTTTCTTGTTTTTCTCTCTTTGATAACAGGATCATGGGGTTGACAGCAGCATTTTCCAGAATCCTAAAAAGCTTCATCTAACTATTGGGATGTTGGTGCTTTTGAGTGAGGAAGAGATCCAGCAGACATGTGAGATGCTACAGCAGTGTAAAGAGGAATTCATTAAGTGAGTAATTCTCAGGGATGGGGGTTGGGTGGTCTACCTGGGCTGGCTTCTTTTTGGTATTACAGACTTGTTTTTGAACCAGAGGGTGTATAACATGGGAAGGACTCATGTGATTTGATGGAGCCCACTCAGGCAATACAGGCTAACCTCTCATACCAGATTCCATAACCTTAATCACATCTACAAAAATCTCTTTGCCATGTAAGATAGAATATAAATTCTAGAGAGTGGGACATTAACATCTTTGGGGGTCATTATTCTGTCTATTACAGTAACTCAAACATTATAACACGATTCTCTAGGAGAGTCTTCATTATATTTTAGAAACACTGTGTTTCTTTTTTTTTTTTTTTCCTGTCGCCCAGGCTGGAGTGCAAACATTATAACACGATTCTCTAGGGAAGTCTTCATTATATTTTAGAAATACTGACTTACTTTCTTTTTTTTTGTTTTTTGAGATGGAATCTTGCTCTGTCGCCCAGGCTGGAGTGCAGTGGCGCAATCTCGGCTCACTGCAAGCTCTGCCTGCTGGGTTCTCGCCATTCTCCTGCCTCAGCCTCCTGAGTAGCTGGGACTACAGGCGCCCGCCACCGCGTCCGGCTAATTTTTTGTATTTTTAGTAGAGACGGGGTTTCACCATTTTAGCCAGGATGGTCTTGATCTCTTGACCTTGTGATCCGCCCGCCTTGGCCTCCCAAAGTGCTGGGATTACAGGCGTGAGCAACCAAGCCCGGCCTCTTTTTTTTTTTTTTTTTTAATACAAATAATTTTATTTGATTCAGCAAGAATTTTAAAAAATAAAACTTTTTTTATTATTATTTTTATTTTTATTTTTTTTAGGGACGGGGTCTTTCTCTGTTACCCAGGCTAGCTAGTCTCAAACTCCTGGTCTCAAGCAACTCTCCTGCTTCGGCCTCCAAAAGTGCTGGGATTACAGGCGTGAGCTGCCATCTCCAGCCAGTTCAGAAAGGATACCAGAAACAGTCTAAGCAATCTGTTTTGACTCAGGGAAAGCATTACTGTTCTGAGGGCAGAGTTGTTATTCTTTTTTTACTGTAAAATTTTAATTTACACATACATCTGGCATAACAGCTTTATTTCAAAGAACCGTATCTTCCCCTATTTCCCTTTACTTTCTTCCTTTTACTTAAGATTGACAAAAGAGAGAAATGTGAAAGCCAATTCACTCAAATAGTTTTTTTACTCCATTCTTGTAGGCAGGCCCCATGCTATTCTAACATGGCCTTATAGAAATGGTTTACCTGGTTCATTGGATAGAACAAGGTAAAAGGATCTAAAATTTTTCTCTAGTTATGTTGTATATGAAACTGTTTAGCCAAGAACAGTGGCTCACACCTGTAATCCCAGCACTTTGGGAGGCCGAGGCGGGCAGATGACGAGGTCAGGAGATCGAGATCATCCTGGCTAACACGGTGAAACCTTGTCTCTACTAAAAATGCAAAAAATTAGCTGGGCATGGTGGCAGGCACCTGTAGTCCCAGCTACTCAGGAGGCTGAGGCAGGAGAATGGCGTGAACCCGGGAGGCGGAGCTTGCAGTGAGCCGAGATTGCGCCACTGCACTCCAGCCTGGGCGACAGAGTGAGACTCCATCTCAAAAAAAAAAAAAAAAAAAGAAACTGTGTAATACAAACACTTTATGGGCCAGTTATCTTTTTCAACTAATTTTTTCAAAGACAAACTATTTTTCTTGAGCAAGATCATAAGCTGATAGGGTTTGCAGTCTTCTATCCTTTCTGAATCTCAGAGAGCAAAGAACACTTCTTGTCATGTTCTTTGCTCAGTAACGGACATATCTGTTTTCTCTAGATCTTACCTGAAATTCAAAATAATTTGGTGTTTGTCATTAGATACTTTCCATTTCCCTTATATAAAGCAAAGCATTATGCTTTATTTTACAAAGCAGGGCAGTTTTACCTGGTTTAAGGATCAGTTCTGATACTTTAATGTATTCCCAGTTTACTTTTTGCTAAACTAAACTGAAAGCTACTACATTTCCTTGGCTGCCATTGGGATAATCCTGCTAAGAAAAAATTTAAAGGTAGATAAAATATTTTGTTTAGAGAAGTACTTGTTCTTTTTACCTTATGAAAATCAGGTCACAGGTTTTTAATCACTGAAGGTTTATCCTAAGCTATGCAAAGATTTAGCTGAGTTCCTCCCTTTTATGTTTCTTGGTGCCTTTTGTGACTAAATGCCAAATCTCAGCCCTTTAAGCATGTCAGAGTTAGTGTGCCTGGGGAATAAAGAGCAGTTTTAATAGTTCCTCAGAATTTTTGACATGACAGTATGAAAACAGTAATTGTAGTTTTTCAAATTCAGCAAAGCTTTTGAAATAGGACAAAGTTACCCTGCCAAAAATCTGCAGTGCATGCAAAAATTTGTTTAAAGATGCTCTTTTTAAAAAGCTGGAAAGATGTGGAACCAGCGAGTAAAATAAAGCAAGCCTCCCCAACCTTCTTCTCCTG
This sequence comes from Homo sapiens, assembly GCF_000001405.40. Lineage (NCBI taxonomy): Eukaryota > Metazoa > Chordata > Mammalia > Primates > Hominidae > Homo > Homo sapiens. Next base: position 72,159,050 of record NC_000010.11, on the reverse strand, counting down.
ATTTCTCCCATCACATGCATTTGTTTAAAAAGTGCAAAACTGATTTACTTCTGAGAAGAGACTACTTCTTAAAAAAACAAAAAGGGTACTTCTGTTAAATCTCTGGTAAGTAAATCAGTAAATTGGATCATCGAATTTTTTCTTGCTCTTTGACCTTAGTCTTTGTGCTTGGTGTACTTAGAAAAAATGTCCATAAATAATGGCATTTCTAACCTGAACCTTTTATGGTGTAGTGGTCCCAAATTAAAATATGAAAGGAAAACACTGAAAAATGAACAGACCTGTACATAGTGTGCTGTAGTTTAATTTGATGGTTTTTAAAATGGGAGTATTGAAATAAATGTGGCTATGTTGGAATTTGATTTAAACTGTGGAGCTGTATGGCTATATTGAAGAAATGAGTAGTTGAGTATTCATTTTAAATTTGGGGGTAGTTTTTTAATTTGAAGGATGCTATGAGACCAAAAACAGGAGTTTTGTTTCAATTTTTCAGTGAAAGGCTCTTGTAGCTCTATAGATTTTGAATGAATTATTCAGTGTTTAGTAAATTCGGAAGCTCCGGCTGTGTCCCTGGTGACTTTCCTTTGTGAGATGTAGGACACAGACCGTGCACTGGCTCTGAGTACGGAGTCTGACAAATGTGCAGCTCTTCTTCAGTCACAGCAGCACCCTCCTGTGCCTCAGTGTTTCCAGCAGGCCTGACGTCAAACCAAAGAAGTTTAAAGGGACTAGAAAGAGGAGAGAAAATACGCGTGAACAAACATTAATGCCTGATTATTGCCTCACGTGTCATCAGTTGGAAAGTAATTTGCTTACTGGTGTCCCAGATGTAATTGTTTGGCCACTAAGACAAAGAGTGTTTATCGGGCAAACCATCGGATTTCTATCCTGCTCTTTCATCTCCCTCTTGATAAATCTCAGGGGTGGGTTGAAACAGTTTGTGTTTCTGCTCATAAAGCAGGCTTTGGATCCTGTTTCATTGTTTCTAATTTTTTTTCTTCTTAGTACCCCATCTAATTCCAAGTATTTGAGGTAGTTAAGAGTGAGGACATGTATACAAAAGAAATGTTACAGTCAGAGATTTAGAAACCATAAGGATGGTATAGGGAGAAAATTCTATCTGAAAGTCAAGGTAAGGTAATAATTGTACTTGAGCATTAAAGTTTGGTACTATTTTCTGACACCAGTGTACTTGAACTAAATTACAAAAAGAAATACACCACTTAGTATAGTTCTTGTCTGATAAAAAGCAGTATGACAATTTTTTTTATAGTTTAAAAAAATTTTCAGTTGTGGTAAAATACAACATAAAATTTGCCATCATAACCATTTTAAGTGCATAGTTCAGTAGTGTTAAGTACACTCAGGTTGTTGTGAAGCCAACCCCAGTATAACAGTTTTTTCAGGAGAGTAACCTTTTCTGGTTCTCGATCCATCAAAAGTTTGTCATGTAAATCTTAATAAAGAATGCTGAATGATGATTGACAGTGTCTTTAACAGGAATTTTGCAGAAGATAAAAACATTGTTCATATGGGTCTTTCTTCTGTTGACCTTAGAAATTGCAGATATAACATTAAATATAACCCATTAAAAACATTTTAGTGGGAATCTAAGCCAATGGTGTGGTGATGCTTTCTGGTGATATAACTATGCAGGGTGAGAGCTTTAAAAATGTCGGAGGATGTGTATTTAGTGTGAAACTTTTTTTCAAACAAACTTTTTTGACTTCATTTTGATAGGATTCAGTGGCAATCTTTCAAATCGAATTCTTTGGCTAGTACTTGGAATGAAGATACATTGTGTATTGATGGAAGCTACATACCTCAGATGACAGTTCAGAGCTTGGCTTGTGTTTTGAAACATTTCACTTCTTATTAGAGGTGGCTATAGGAAGACTTATTATGATCAAGGCTGTAATTTTTCTTAATTAGAAAAAGTATCTGGGCCGGGCGCAGTGGCTCATGCCTGTAACCCAAGCACTTTGGGAGGCCAAGCTGGAAGGATTGCTTGAGCCCAGGAGTTTGAGACCACCCTGGGCAACATGGAAAGAAAAGTGTCCGCCTAAAATAGTTGAGTTACTAGTTTCACACTGAGAGAAGTTTTGGTCTTATGCAATAATAAGGCCTTGAAGTGTTAAGGGAATCTTTACTACTAGGATTCCTAGGCTACAAAGAGCATCCCCATGACCTGGGTTCAATGTCAAGACAACTTTTTCCTTTTTTTCCAGCTGTCTTTTGATTGATCCTAAAATCCTTTTTTTTTTCTTTTTTTTTTTTTTGAGATGGAGTCTTATTCTGTCGCCCAGGCTGGAGTGCAGTGGCGAGATCTCTGCTCACTGCAAGCTCCGCCCCCTGGGTTCGCGCCATTCTCCTGCCTCAGCCTCCTGAGTAGCCGGGACTACAGGCGCCCGCCACCACGCCCGGCTAGTTTTTTGTATATTTAGTAGAGATGGGGTTTCACCGTCTTTCAGCATGTTAGCCAGGATGGTCTCGATCTCCTGACCTCATGATCCACCCGCCTTAGCCTCCCGAAGTTCTGGGATTACAGGCGTGAGCCACCGCACCCGGCCAAATCCTTTTGTTTTTAAGGCAGTACCACATTTTTACTTAATGACAATATAGCATGTGTATTATGCTGTTCTTGCATTATTGCTATAAAGAAATACCAGAGACTGGGTAACTTATAAAGAAAAGAGGTTTAATCGGCTCACAGTTCTGCAGGATTGCAAGAAGCATGCTCGGCTTCTCGGGAGGCCTCAGAAAGCTTCAATTATGGCAGAAGGTGAAGGGGATCAAGCACATCACATAGCAGAAGCAGGAACAAGCAACAGAGAGTGGCAGGGGAGGTGCCACACACTTTGAAACAAGTAGATTTTGTGTGAACTCAGAGTGAGAGCTCATTTATCACCAAGGGGATGGCCCAAGCCATTGACAAGAGATCTGTCCCCATGATCCCAACACCTCCCACTAGGCCCCACCTCCAACATTAGGGATTACAATTCAACAGGAGACTTGGGCAGGGACAAATATCCAAACTATTTAATATATCAGCCTGTGACCATATTCTTCTCAAAATTGTCCAGAACAGCTTCCCCCTTAAAACATCCATTTAATGTTTGCCAGAGATTTATTGAACACCCATTTTGTATAAGTCATGGTGTGAGATTTTGAGGATATAGATGTGGATAAGATGGAGAAAGTGCCTATCCCCTTGGGGTTTGGAGAAGGCTGCGCAGTGAGCTGATTTTTAATTGGGTTTCAGCATGGCACAACAAGGCCTTTTCTGGTTGCAGTACAAGTTTCTTTATTAAGGGGTCCAGGAAGAAAACAGGATGGTGGGGTTTTACTTAACACAAAGGTAATACGTGTTAATTTTAGGAAAACCAGTAATTACAGATACACAAAAATAAAATATCATTTTGTAATCTTACCACTAAAAAATAATTACCATTAGCACTTTGGATATGTATATGTATGTTTTTCCTTTGAGGTGTAATTTACTTACACTAAAAATGCACAGATCTTAGGTGTAGTTGATGAGCTTTGACCAATGTCTATACCTGTGCAACCTCACCCAAATCAAGACGTGGAACATTGCCATCACCCCATGAGGGTCCCTCATGCCTTTTTCCAGTGAATTCACTTCTCCCAGAAGCAACCTCTGTTCTGATTTCTATTACATAGATTTGGTGGTTTGTTTTTAAATGTCCCATAAATAGAATTATTTAGTATATACACTTTTGTGTTTGGTTTATTTTGGATATTTTTTAAAATTTTAACTTGTTAATGGATAATACATTTACATAGTTCAAAAAGTTGCAAAGGATACGCAGTGCAGTTTCTCTACCACTGAAATTCATCAGCCACCTGCTTTCCTCTCTAGAGGCAACCAGTGTACCACTTTCTCTGTATCCTTCCAGGGATTTTATAGATGTATGAACAAATATATATAACATATTTTTTATACCTCCATCTTTTGTACAAGTAGCATAGCATGCACATTGTTGTAAACCTTTTTTAAAACTTAGAAATATAACTTATTATATCAGTTTTATATATCATTTTATATCAGTTTTTAATGTTTTTTATATTGTTTTATATCAGTACCTAAAAGCTTCCTTAGTCACATGTATAGTTTATTTATTGCTCTTAGTATTATAATTTATCTAATCAGTACCATGTTATTTGACTTTTAGTCTGTTGCCAATCTTTTGGTACTCAAAACAAAACTTTATGCCTCATTTAAAACCCTATGCATAGGCCAAGTGCAGTGGCTCACGCCTGTAATCCCAGCACTTTGGGAGGCCAAGGCAGGCAGATGTCTTCAGCCCAGGAGTTCAAGACCAGCCTGGGCAACATGGCAAAACCTAGTCTCTACTAAAAGTATAAAAATTAGCCAGACATGGTGGCACATGTTTATAATTCCAGCTACTTGGGAGGCTGAGGCACAAGAATTGCTTGAACCTGGGAGGTGGAGGTTGCAATGAGCCAAGATCACGCCACTGCACTCTAGCCTGGGTGACAGAGTGTGGCCCTGTCTCAAAAAAAAAAAAAAAACCCTATGCATAAATTATTTCTCATAAATATGAGTATATTCTTATTGCATCATGCTAAGAGGCACATATTGTCTGGTTGTTTCTTTTACTGTTAATATTCAGCTTGGTCAGTGGGTTCAGGTGTGGTCATCATGACCATTATTTATAGAGCTCCTCTTTAGAGAGGTCACTTTATATTTCCCCCAGCCTTTTGCCCAAGTTTTAGCAGCCATTGGTGATCATTGTCAAGATCTATTATTTTATCAGGAGTTGCAAGATTCTAATTTTGTTGTTCCTTCTGCATTTATTAGTTTTGGAGTTCTTCTGTAAAGGAGAACTTTGCTTTATCAACAGTTACACAAGTTGATGTGTAACTGAATTCAAAATTGTTTCCTTAGCTTGGGCTCCTGGAAATGGAATTGCTTGGGGAAAGGGTTTTTATTGATGAAGGCTTCTCATAAATATTGACAGATTGCTTGTAAAGATGTGATATCAGGCTGAGCGCAGTGGCTCATGCCTGTAATCACAGCACTTTGGGAGGCCAAGGCGGGAGGATCACCTGAGGTCTGGAGTTAAGACCACCCTGGCCAATATAGCTAAACCCCATCTCTACTAAAAATACAAAAATTAGCTTGGCGTGGTGGCAGGTGCCTGTAGTCCCAGCTACTCAGGAGGCTGAGACAGGAGAATCACTTGAATCTAGGAGGTGGAGGTTGCAATCCGAGATCGTGCCATTGCACTCCAGCCTGGGCGACTAGCAAAACTGTCTCAAAAAAAATAAAATAAAAAAGGCCAGGCGTGGTGGCTCACACCTGTAATCCCAGCACTTTGGGAGGCTGAGGCGGGCAGATCACGAGGTCAGGAGATCGAGGCCATCCTGGCTAACATGGTGAAACCCCATCTCTACTAAAAATGCAAAAAAATTAGGCGGGCGTGGTGGCGGGCGCCTGTAGTCCCAGCTACTCGGTAGGCTGAGGCAGGAGAATGGTGTGAACCCGGGAGGTGGAGGTTGCAGTGAGCCGAGATCACGCCACTGTACTCCAGCCTGGGCAACAGCAAAACTCCGTCTCAAAACAAAACAAAACAAACAAACAAAAAAGTAAATAAAGATGTGATATCAGTTTATACCTCCACCTTTGTTATATGAGTGAAATGCTGTTTGTAACTTGTAGAAATAGTAGAGATGGGCGCCTGAGAGATGAGCCAACATAGTAAATGTCTTTATGGATCAGAACTGTCATCACTTGACTTTCTTCATGAGACAGTGCTAATAAACTGGTATTGGGATAAATGTAGTTTGACATTGGAAATACTTTCCGGTGTTTTCCAATTTGTGTGCATTGAAAATTTATTAATTTTGAAATTAGAAGGGCAATTAGATAATGTTAGGAAAAAACACAACTACCATGTTTTTGTACACATGTAAGTAACATACATATTTGACTATGTGTATTAACCATGTTTCAAAATAAAATAGCCCTCTTAGCTTAAACAGTTATAGATATCTTAATGCTTTTTCCTTTGCAGTGATATTTCTGGGGGTAAACCCCTAGAAGTGGAGATGGCAGGGATAGAATACATGAATGATGATCCTGGCATGGTGGATGTTCTTTACGCCAAAGTCCATATGAAAGATGGCTCCAACAGGTATATTTCTGGAATGCTTCTTTGTTTCAATCAAGAGGTACCTAAAAGCATCCTCAAAAGTTTGATTCATTTTGATTCCTTTTCTTTGAGTTCTTATTGTAAAGAACATGTTAATTATTTCTCTCTCTTTTTTTTTAATAGTAAGTTAATCTCTTGAAAGAGGAATTTGTTGTAGGAAAAAGTATCAGATTTTAAGTCTGACTTTTAGGATGGGGGTCTTACTATGCCCAGGCTGATCTCAGCGTCCTGGGCTCCAGGGATCCTTCTGCTTCAGCCTCTCAAGTAGCTGGGACTATAGGCGCGCACCCTGCACCAGGCTAATGTGGTAGCTACTGAGTTACTTGGATAACGGGTATTGATAGTAACAATCTAGTCTTTGTGAACTCAGTGGTTCCTTTGTGTTTTCCAGGATAAGAGGCAGGAAGGATGGCATTTTAGAGTATGAGTTTCAAACGTGATGTAATGCAGTTGTAGTGGATACCAGGACAAAATGGGGATGAAAACTTTACCAACTTCATAGGGTTATTAATCTTAATTTTGGCTGGGCATGGTGGCTCACGCCCGTAATCCTAGCAGTTTGGGAGGCTGAGGTGGGTGGACTGCTTTAAGCCCAGGAGTTCAAGACTGGCCTGGGCAACAGAGTGAAAGAAACTCTCTCTATACAAAAAAAAAACACAAAAAACAAAAAAAAAAAAACCCAAAAACAAAATTAGCCAGGCATGATGGTGTGCGCCTGTAGTTTCAGCTGCTCAGGAGGCTGAGGTGGGAGGATCACCTGAGCCTAAGGAGGTCAAGGCTGCAGTGAGCCGTGATCACACCACTGCACTCCAGCCTGGGTGACAGAGCGAGACCCTGTCTCAAAAAAAAAAAAAAAAATATTGGCCGGTTGCGGTGGCTCACGCCTGTAATCCCAGTGCCTTGGGAGACTGAGGTGGGCGGATCACGAGGTCAGGAGATCGAATCCACCCTGGCTAACACGGTGAAACCCCATCTCTACTAAAAAAATACAAAAAATTAGCCGGTGTGGTGGCATGCTCCTGTAGTCCCAGCTACTCGGGAGGCTGAGGCAGGAGAATCACTTGAACCGGGGAAGCGGAGGTTGCAGTGAGCCGAGATGGTGCCACTGCACTCCAGCCTGGTGACAGAGCGAGACTCCGTCTAAAAAAAAAAAAATTTAAAAAGATTAAATTACTTAAATTATTTAAAATGCTTAAAATAGTGCTTGGCACAGACTTACATTATCGAAACATCAAAAAATGTTTACTCTTTTTTTTATTATACTTTAAGTTCTAGGGTACATGTGCACAATGTTCAGGTTTGTTACATATGTATACATGTGCTGTGTTGGTTTGCTGCACCCATTAACTCGTCATTTACATTAGGTATTTCTCTTAATGCTATCCCTCCCCCGGCCCCCCACACCACAACAGGTCCAGGTGTGTGATGTTCCCTGCCCTGTGTCCAAGTGTTCTCATTGTTCAATTCCCACCTATGAGTGAGAACATGCGGTGTTTGGTTTTCTGTCCTTGCATATAGTTTGCTCAGAATGATGGTTTCCAGCTTCATCCATGTCCACAAAGGACGTGAACTCATCCTTTTTTATGGCTGCATAGTATTCCATGGTGTATATGTGCCACATTTTCTTAATCCAGTCTATCATTGATGGACATTCGGGTTGGTTCCAAGTCTTTGCTATTGTGAATAGTGCCACAATAAACATACGTGTGCATATGTCTTTATAGTAGCATGATTTATAATCCTTTGGGTGTATACCCAGTAATGGGATTGCTGGGTCAAATGGTATTTCTAGTTCTAGATCCTTGAGGAATCACCACACTGTCTTCCACAGTGGTTGAACTAGTTTACATTCCCACCAACAGTGTAAAAGCGTTCCTATTTCTCCACATCCTCTCCAGCACCTGTTGTTTCCTGACTTTTTAATGATCACCATTCTAACTGGTGTGAGATGGTATCTCATTGTGGTTTTGATTTGCATTTCTCTGATGACCAGTGATGATGAGCATTTTTTCATGTGTCTGTTGGCTGCATAAATGTCTTCTTTTGAAAAGTGTTCATATCCTTTGCCCACTTTTTGATGAGGTTGTTTGATATTTTCTTGTAAATTTGTTTAAGTTCTTTGTAGATTCTGGATATTAGCCCTTTGTCAGATGGGTAGACTGCAAAAATTTTCTCCCATTCTGTAGGTTGCAGATGTTTACTCTTTTTAATTTTTTGTTCTTACTACACCTACATCCCTCCCAGCGATTCTCAGTCTGCAGTTGAGGCGATTTCTAAGGCTGGCCTTGGCATTCAGAGCCATTTCCAATGTTAACATCATTTATTAGTTGAATCAAAGCTTTTGGTGAACAGAGAGCCCCACATGCACTGGAAATTTGTTTTTGTGTGGTCTTTTTATTTAGGGCAGGGTAGAAGAAGGTTCACACTGAGCCAGAAACCTTCTAGAGAAAATCTGATTCTCTAGGCAGGCTCCCACATTTATTTGCTTTCCTGCAGGATTTCTTATAAGGTTTCTGTTATCTTAATTTGAATTGATAATCTCAATGGTGTCTTATCTCATTTCATTTGGAAGCAAGTTTTGGGGAGAAGGGAGGAAAAATGGTATAGAATGGCATAGGAGCTATTTTGGTGTGTGTTCTGTGCCAGATTTTTCTTTTTTTTTTTTGAGACAGAGTTTTGCTTTTGTTGCCTGGGCTGGAGTGCAGTGGTGTGATCTCAGCTCACTGCAACATCTGCTTCCCAGGTTCAAGCAATTCTCCTGTCTCAGCCTCTCGAGTAGCTGAGACTACAGATGCCCACCACCATGCCTGGCTAATTTTTGTATTTTTAGTAGAGACGGGTTTCACCATATTGGTCAGGCTGGTCTCGAACCCCTGACCTCACGTGATCCACCTGCCTCGGCCTCCCAAAGTGCTGGGATTACAGGTGTAAGCCACCGTGCCTGGCTGCCAGATTTTTCTTTTCCTCAATATCTGGTGTGTGCCTAAACAGCATACTAATGACCTACCTTAAAAACCAGGAGCACATTGTTACTTTATAGGAGATCACATACTAGGATATCCCAAAACATTTCCGCCAGGTTGAAATTTGATATCTGGATCATTTACTTTGTGTTCTAAGTATCCAAATGCCTTCACAGTATTCTAGAACTACAATGTACTATGTATAGGGTAGATTATTTTTCAACTTTGTGAACAGAAACAATGAATCATCTAAGATGGCAGTTCTGAAACTTTTTGGTCTCACAGTCTCATAATTCTTAAAAATTATTGAGAACCTCAAAGAGTTTTTGTTTTACATGAGTTGTATCTGTCAGTATTTACCTGAGTAGAAATTAAAACTGAGAAATTTACTTGTTTATTCATTAAAAAATAACACAACAACACTTTTTTTTTTTTTTTTTTTTTTTTTTTGTGACGGAGTCTCGCTCTGTCGCCCAGGCGGGAGTGCAGTGGCGTGATCTAGGCTTACTGCAAGCTCCGCCTCCCGGGTTCACGCCATTCTCCTGCCTCAGCCTCCTGAGTAGCTGAGACTACAGGCACCCGCCACCACGCCTGGCTAATTTTTTGTATTTTTAGTAGAGACAGGGTTTCACCGTGTCAGCCAGGATGGTCTTGATCTCCTGACCTTGTGCTCTGTCCACCTTGGCCTCCCAAAGTGCTGGGATTACAGGCATGAGCCACCGTGCCCGGCCACAACACTTTTTTTTTTTTAACTGAAAAGTAACACTATTTTCCAACCCCCAAATTTAGTGAGAAGATAGGCATGGTTTTACATATTTTTGAATCTCTTTAATAGAAGACAAATGGTTTCTCATACCTGCTTCTGCATTCAGTCTATTGTGATATGTTGTTTTGATTGAAGTATATGAGAAAATCCAGCCTCACAGATACAGATATGTAGTTAGAAAAATGGGGAGTACATTAATGATCTTTTCAGATAATTGTGGATATCTCATACTACTCTAAATTTGACAAGTCATAGTTTTTTTTTTAAAGATTAGTTGCAATGTGGAATCTGAACCTGTATTAGTGAACATTCATACTCTCTTACATTAAAATCCATTGGTCTGTTACACATTTTGACTGGATCTTTAACCCATGCATGGTTTTCTAACATCAGTTATTTAGAAAATACTGGTTCACTGAGTTATGCAGATTTCTCAAATGTTGACACATTTTATTTTGCAGTATTTAAAATATGTTAATATCACTACCAATTTCATCAAAATTTTTAAGCATTGGGAAGCTGTCAAACTGATGGTGGCAGATACACATTTTCCAAAATTCTAATTTTTACTTGAAAGCTCGAATTTTAATATTGGCACCAAATACTGATAGTTATTTTCCTTGATTTTCTCTTTTGAGAAAATGTCTGCCAAACAGCTAGGCCTGAATAACTATAATTTGTCTGTGGTTCTTTTAAGTAAAGATGGTGTTCTATGGATCAAGACTAGTTCAGCTCACAATTCAGACAGCTCACAAGTGCGTTTTTCCAGACAGCCATCTACTTAGGTATATGGACCCAGTACTTTATTCATTTATTTTTTTAAATTTTCTTTTACTTTTTGTATTTCTTTTTCCAAAAGGAACACAGCTTGAACTGGTGTTTTATACATACTGCCAGTTTCATCACACAGGATATTAAAAGATGTGCACTCAAGGGCTGAGATTTAATAAAATCATTTTTACTGCTTTATCAAGATTAAATGAAACTTAAAAAAAACCTGTAAATATATAGTGAAGAATATACTGCTACTAGCACAGTTTGATGCCGTTACTGTAATTCATGCTAGGGTGCCAGCAGCTTTACCTACTATTGCTTTTGCACCATTAGTGCAAATGTCATCCCCGTTAAAAAGATAGATAATGTCATAAATATTATAAAAATAGTTTTGACCTATGGACTCCCTAAAAGAGTTTCAGAGACCTCCAGAGACCCACAGACCACGTAAGAACCACTGGTCTAAGTAATATTTTATCTCTAACATTTTAGATTATAGTTTCCAGGGAATTATAACTAACTTTGGTTAGCACTTACTCTTGCCTGGCACGGTGCTTAGATTGTATTATTTCCATTTAGTCTTCGTAACATCTGTGTAAGATAAATACTGTTTTTATGCCCATTTTATAGATCAGGGAAGTTCAGAGAGCCTAAGTGATTTGGGTAAGGAACATATAGATAGCAAAGCTGTGCCCTGAACTAAGAAGGTTTTCAGTGTGTATATGCTAAGTTGAGTAGGATAGACTATGTTCCAATTCTTAGAGTGGAAAATTTAACTTAAAATTTATTATTTTAGGCCAGCCACAGTGGCTCATGCCTGTAATCCCAGCACTTTGGGATGCCAAAGTGGGTGGATCATCTGAGGTCAGGAGTTCGAGATCAGCCTGGCCAACATGGCGAAACCTTGTCTCTACTAAAAATATAAAAATTAGCTGGGTGTGGTGGCTCATGCCTGTAACGCAGCTGCTCGGGAGGCTGAGGCAGGAGAATCACTTGAACCCTGGAGGCAGAGGTTGCAGTGAGCCAAGATCGTGACACAGCACTCTAGCCTGGGTAACAGAACGAAACTCCATCACAAAAAAAATAAAAGGTGTTGTGAAATATCCACTGAATCCACTAGTGCAATCAACCAAGAACATTTTTGGATAATTCTCACCTCTTGTACTGCTCTAGTTTTTCTTTTCTATTGTCTATTCCTCTTCCTGACAATAGCCACTTTTGTATTATTTCAAAAAGATTTGTAAATTCCCCTTCCAAAATCTAGGATGCCTAAGGGACTTATTCACTTATTTAATTTCATTAAAAAACTATCTGAATGCCTCCTTTGTGCAAGATATTTTGCAAGACAGTGCAAATTGATACAGAAGCTAGTAACACATGGCCCTGTTTTTAAGGACCATTCAATCTTTTTCTTTATGTGAAAAGACAGCTCAATACAAGAACTGTGTGTAGTAAAATACATGTAATGAAGATACAAGCACTTAACTTTTTTTGGTATGCTTTCATATGTAGTATTTTAAATCAAAGATTCCCTTAAATGATTGAATGTGAAATGCCTGACCTTTAAAAGGACGTAACCACTTAGATCAGATTTGTTCTCTGGAAACAGAGAGCTGGGACAGTAGAGTTACACTTACTAATGCATCCTCGGTTTGGTTTGGTAAAGTGTGACTGGTAAGAAATTTGTTTAAGGAAGCTTTTACATTAGCTAGGAGTCAGCTGTTAGGACTTATACACTGAACACTGTGGCTATTCTGTTTTGTCTGTTACTCTCTAAACCCTCCACCTTTGTCCCTTGTCCCTCTCAAAAGAATGGTTTCTCCTATTTTGCTGAGAACATGAAGCCACTGCCTCAACTTCCTCCTTTTCCTATCACAGTTCACCTATTTTCATCTCCTGCACTCAACTCAATTTCCTTGTTTTTCTGAAAACGTTCACTCTGATGAGACTAATCCTTTTACTTATTCTCGTGACCCCATTTCTTCTTATCTCCTCAAAGACCTGACACCCTCGGTTATTCTGCTCTGCATGGCCTTTCTAGTCCCCTTTCCCCAGGCATTCTTTGAATGCCTAGGATATGCAGGGCAGTAGACCATAGCGCTTCTGTCATCCACAAGAGGCAGATGGCAGCCATTAAGATCCACTAGGGTGAGGCTGTGATTGAGATGCCAGGGCTGTCGGGAAGGGCAGGACACCTCTGCCCACGGATGGGCAAATCTCCTAAAGGAAGGCTTCATGGAGGAGGTTTCTTTGCTGAATAAAGAGTTTGCAGGCTAAAGGAGTACCTTTTTAGGAAATGGGAATAAATAGCAAATGCAAAGTCACAGAGGCACGAAAGAGCATTATTTTCCAATAGAATGTGTGAGATGGGAATGGGGTAAGGTGGGAGATGAGGCTGCAGAACAGGCAGGGTTTAGATCTAGAAGTGCTGTTATATGCCACTTAAAGGAAGTTTTTTTCCATTTGGTCATTTGTTTATTCAACAAAACTTTATTGAAAGCCTACTGTATCCCAGGTACTGTGTTATAGTCTGAGTATAGAGTAGTGAATAAAGCCAGACACAGCCATTGCTCCAGTGTAGTTTACAGACAAGTGGGGAAAACAGACATTAACAAATACCACATGAATATATTAATGTAATTGCAAAGTGGGATAAAGACTGAGCAAGGGAAAAACGATGCTCTCTAACAGAGGGAAACTATTATGGCAATTTAGGGAAGAGATTTAATAACACTTACCATTTTCACTGCTTTATCAAGATTAAATGAAACTTAAAAGAAAAAGCCTCAAGGAAAGCTTCTCTAAGGAATTGATGTTAAAAGCCTGTCTAAGGAATTGATGTTAAACTGAGATCTAAAAGAGTTGGAGTTTGCAGGCTAAGAGTGGTGGGAAGGTTCTTTCCAGCTTTTAGGCAAACAGAAGAGCAGAGCAAAAGCCCCATGGCAAGAAAAAGCCTGGCAAACTCCAGATATAGATGGGGCATGAGGAGTAGGAGAGTGATACAGATGGAGACCTGAAGAAATTAGAGGGGTGCTTGGATTAAGGTAGAAGCAGTAGATAAGAGGAAAAAGATTAAATGCAAACAATACATAAAAAGAAATCCACATCAAGATAGATCATAATGGAACTACAGATCATTAAAGACAAAGAGAAGATCTTAAAAGAAGCCACCTATGGAGGATTGACAATTATGACGACAGCAGACTTCTCAATAACAATAACAGAAGCCAAAGACAGCAGAATGATATTTTCTGAATGTTAAAACAACTGGCAACCTGGAATTGTGTACTCAGGAAAAAACAAAATATTTAAACAACAAAGGTATGAAATAAAAACTTTCAGAGATGAACAAAAACGGAGAGAATTTACCACTGTGAGATAACCACAGTAAAGGAACTTCTAAAGGGTATATTTCGGAAAAGGAAAATGAATCCAGAAAGTCTGAGATATAAGGAGGCTAGTATGAGATGCAGAAAGCAATCGTGGGTAAATAAAATAGTCTGTATAAAATAATGATTTTATATTTAAGGGGGCGTTTAAAAATGATAGAACTAAAATATCAACTAACAGCAGGTAAATCAGGACTAAGGGGAATTCTAGAATTGAAGTATTCTAGAGTGTTTTTTTTAATTTCAAGGGAGAGGCAGGATATTAAGATATTAATTAACTTTAGACTTTGAAAAGCTAAATGTACATAGTAAAAATTTAAAAATAAGTCTAAAAATAGTGTAAATTCCAAACAAGTAGAGACAGAAAAAAGGGGACAAACACAAATTCAATCCAAGAAGGGACAAGAAGCATGGGAAAAAGTGGAATGAGCAGAAATTAAGAAGTAAGGTGGTGGGAAGAAATCCAGACATATAATAATTACAATATATGTTAATGGAATAAACTCACCAGTTAAGAAAATATAGGATTAGATATAGCCAAAATTAAGTTATATGCTTTTAATAAGTGACATGTCTACATAAGGTTGAAATAGTACAAAGGAAAAAGATATATGAGGCAAACACCAAAAGAAAGTTGGCGTAACTGAATTAATATCAGACATGATAAACTTAAAGAAAAAATGCAGCCAGCTGTGGTGGCTCACGCCTGTAATCCCAGCGCTTTGGGAGGCCGAGGCGGGTGGATCATGAGGTCAGGAGTTCAAGACCAGCCTGGCCAAGATGGTGAAACCCCATCTCTACTAAAAATACAAAAATTAGCTGGGCGTGGTGGCAGGTCCCTGTAATCCCAGCTACTTGGGAGGCTGAGACAGATAATTGCTTGAACCCAGGAGGTGGAGGTTGCAGTGAGCCAAGATCACGTGTGGGCAACAGAGTGAGACTGTTAAAAAAAAAAGAAAGAAAGAAAAGAAAAAATGCATTATTAGCAATAGAGAAGGCTATTATATATGATAAAGGGTTCATTTTACCAGGAAGATATAACAGTTCTGAACTTGTATGAGCCTAATAGAACAGCCTCAAAGTAGATTAAGTGAAATTTGTATAGTTAATTTTTTATTAGGGAAAAACTGAGAAACCCTTCATCATAGGAGGAGATTGCAACCTATTTCTTAATTATTGGTAGATCAAGCAGATATAAAGTCAGTAAAGATACAGAATATTTTAACCATGAGCAAGTTTTATCTAATACTCATCTCTGGAATTATATGCCCAGTAATTAGAGAATTCATATTCT
Organism: Homo sapiens; assembly: GCF_000001405.40. NCBI lineage: Eukaryota > Metazoa > Chordata > Mammalia > Primates > Hominidae > Homo > Homo sapiens. The sequence continues at coordinate 72,143,664 of NC_000010.11, read as the reverse complement.
TTTCAGGCACATGGAACAGTAGAAAAAAAATGATTACATACTAGATCATAAAGTAAGGCTTAGTACATTTTAATGAGTTGGTATCTTGCATATTATACTTTCTGACCAGAGATAAAACAAGGTTACCTACAGTTACCAAATTATTAGGAAATAATAAGGGAGTTTGAGGCGTGGTGGTATGCATCTGTAATCCCAGCTACTTGAGAGGCTGAGACTGGAGGGTTGCTTGAGCCCAGGGGTTTGAGGCCAGTCTGAGCAACAGAGAGACCCTGTCTCTTAACAACAACAACAACAACAAAAAGGGAGTTTAGTAAGGTGATTGACTGTAAAATCAGTATAATAAAATCCTTTGGTTTTCTGTATACCAGCAGCAAACAGAAAGCAGTATCATTTAAAATAAAACACATTTATAGTAGCAACAAAAATTATAAGGAAATTAGGAATAACTATGACAAAACACATTTAATAACACATTTAATACCTTTTTTTTTTTTTTTTTTTCCTGAGACGGAGTCTCGCTCTGTCACCCAGGCTCGAGTGCAGTGGCACCATCTCTGCTCACTGCAAGCTCCACTGCCTGGGTTCACGCCATTCTTCTGCCTTGTCCTCACGAGTAGCTGGGACTACAGGCGCCCACTACCATGTCCGGCTAATTTTTCGTATTTTTAGTAGAGATGGGGTTTCACCATGTTAGCCAGGATGGTCTAGATCTCCTGACTCGTGATCCACCCACCTCAGCCCTCCCAAAGTGCTGGAATTACAGGCGTAAGTCACCATGCCTGGCCCATTTAATACCTTTTTGCAGGAAATTATAAATAAATTGAGAGACTATATGAATTGTATGCAATTATATACTACATGTGTAATGGAAACGAAGTATCAGGAACAGGAGGGGGAGGTATTTAAAAGTCATTACTCTAGTCCAGCTGAGAAGCAAAGAAGGCCTGAACTAGAGCAGTAGCAATGAGAATCACGTGGATGCAAGAATAGTGAAATCTGGCCGGGTGCAGTGCCTCACACCTGTAATCCCAGCACTTTGGGAGGCTGAGGCGGGCAGATCACCAGAGGTCAGGAGTTCAAGACCAGCCTGGCCAACATGGTGAAACCCCGTCTCTACGAAAAATACAAAAATTAGCCGGGCATGGTGGCACATGCCTGTAATCCCAGCTCCTCCAGAGGCTGTGGCAGGAGGATTGTCTGAGCCTGGGAGGTGGAGGTTGCAGTGAGCTGAGATCACGCCACTGCACTCAAACCTGGGCAACAGAGGAAGACTCAGTCTCACCAAAAAAAAAAAAAAAAGTGAAATCTGCTGGATTTGGCAATTTTCTGAAAGTAGAGGGTAAGAATAAGATGAATGTGAACTCTCATGACTAAACTGGTTAATCTCAGGAATGCAAAGATGAATTAGGAACAGAAAAATCTAATAATATCCTACTAAATGGGTCAAATTAAAAAATAATAGCTAAGTGCATGGCTGAAAGACTTTTGATAAAATTTAATATTTTTTCAAGAAACTTTCAAAAAATAAAAATAGATACTGTCTAATATGTCTATTTTAAATCAACAATCATATTGAACAGTAATATACCAGGTTTATTCCCATTACAATCAGAAAACAGGGTTGCCTACATTTATCATTAATATTAAACACATTGTTCTGACAGTTTTGGCTAATACCCCAGCTACAGAGACAATTTTAAAAAGTACATAGGTGTTGTGTGGGAAAATTTTTTTAGAAGACCAATGGTCATTATTTGCAAATAAATAGCATTCTACTAAAAATACTTGTAAAAGCTTTAACATTGATAAGAGATCAGTAAAAGTGCTAATAAGTAGTTAGACAAAAGATAAATATCCAAAAATAAATAATTTAGTATCTACAAAGTACCAGGCATTGTATCAGATACCGTAAGGGAAACAAAAATGGGTACAATGGCTCTTATGTTAGGGAGCTTAAATCTATTCAGTAATTCATCTGTTACAAGGAAGGCTAATTTTAAAAGTAGAAGAAAACTAGGTAGATGTTTGATAAGAGACATGAGAAGGTCATTGCTGGTAAAAGTATAAATTAATATAAGCTTTCTAGAGAGCATATTCGCCTTTTACTCCCAGAGTTTTATTTTGTATTTCTTAGACTTTGCTGATTTTCCCTGTAGGAATTTATCCAATGGAATTAATCAGAAATATGGGGACAAATATCTATATGAAGATCCCGATTACAGTATTGTATATAACAGTAAATACTGGCGGCAGTCTAAATGGTCATCAAAATCAAATTGATGGAAAATAAACTGTAGAACATCTGTAGAATAGAGAATACTGTGGGTTGACTAAACATTATATCTTGGGAAAGTATTCACTGTAGATTATTATGTGTTAAAAAGAGATTACAAAGCAATTTGTATACTGACTTCTATCTCAAAAGTGGGAAGAGAGAGCAATAGAAGAATAAGTCAGCCTGGATACATAAACAATTTACCAGTCGTTATTTGTGGATAACAAGTAATTTTTTTCTTTTAGCTTGTCTGATATATATCTATATATATCTGTATATCTATATCTCTATGTCTATATCTATATCTATCTATCTATCTATCTATCTATCTATCTATCTATCTATCTATCTATAAACAATTTGATGTTATACTTGGTATACTTGGTCAGCTCCAGGTTAGTGGTAATTAGTATGTGCTTGTAAGTGGTAGAATTGTGGTTTGACCCAGCTCTGTTTGACTGTAAAGCCTGTGCTTATGGGACAGAAAGAGGACATTAAAAATAAGTGGATATAGTCTACTCTTTTGAGCGTTTGGTGAAAAGATGAGAGAGGTATATATGTGTGCATTAAATTCCACAGTGGTGCAGCCCTGCATCACTATACATAGTTTGCCATCTTCCTTTCACAGCCAAGCCTCTTTTTACATTGTTTTTGCTTACAAAAATAAAATCTTACAGATGGGTGAAGTGAAAATTAAACAGTTCCTTTTCCCCCTCCTCCAACTCTTGAGTTTTCCTCCTCAGAGCAAATACCGAGAGTCATTGTCTATGCATATAATTTTACATAAATTGATCACATTACACATATATTTCTGCAGTTCATTCTTGTGAAATATAACCTACACATTACTTTTATGTTAGTGAATATAGATATTATGAAACACTACTACATCAGTCTAAGCAATAGCTTATGTACCATAGGACTTTGCTTAAAAATCTTTCATCATTTCTCATCATCTTTTGAATTCATAATCCTCAGTCTAGCATTCAAGATCTTCCAGTATGACATCATCTTAATACTTCAGCTTTATCTCCCACTATCTAGTGCCTGCCCTGGGCCCCAGCCTGCTTCATTATTGGTTGTTGATCTTTTGTTGTTAATATTGTTTCTTGTGACTGAAATTTCCCTTATATTACTCCTCTTTTGTCCAAATGCTATTTCTCTTTCCTCTTGCCATCCTTTCTTCTTTTTCTTAAATAGACTGTAAGATTCTTGGGGGCAGGGAGTTATGTGTTATTTGGCTGCCTTTTGTAATGCATGACATAGATGTTCGAAGAATGTTTGTTATTTATTCATTTAACTGATGTAAAAAAATGCATTGAGTGCAGTTAGCTTCTTATCCTAAGCCCGTCCTCCTTGCAACCTATACTGGTCCTAACCCCACTATAATCTCTTCCACTTTTAAATTACCCGAAACACTCTGTATTGCTTATGTTATTACCAAAATCTACTTTATAGTCTCATAAAAATAATAACAAAATTTTATCTTAGTGGATTGTAGATCTATTAATAACAAGGACCATCTTTGCTTAGTTTTTATTCTTGTAATCACTAGGATGATGTCTGTACACAGTGAGCGCTCAGGAAGCATTAATTGGATGGAGCTGAATTAAATTGGGAGGGAAAGCCCAAACAAAAGCTTGAAATTTGCACTTTCTAGGCAGTCAGTGATCATTCTGCAGCACAAACTCCTTATTTGTAAAGATGGTCCTGGAATGCTTGAGCTTTATAGCACTTACAGGCCTTTAAACTAAGAGCTTAGATTTAGTGCATTAATAACTGGCTTCTGTTTTCAAATCCAAAGCACTATCTAAGTGATAAAGCTGCTTAAGAATAATTCATTCCTTTTTTCATAGCAACCCTGTTATATTTAATTTGCTTATTAGGAAGCAAAGGCATAGAGAAGCTTTGTGATTTATTCATAAACAGGAAAGGATCAATGAAATAAGAATTGAAATAATATACTGTTAGAAATGGCTGGGTGCCGTGGCTCACACCTGTAATCCCAGCACTTTGGGAGGCCAAGGTTGGGTGGATCACGAGGTCAGGAGATCGAGACCATCCTGGCTAACACGGTGAAACCCTGTCTCTACTAAAAAATACAAAAAATTAGCCGGGCGTGGTGGCGGGCATCTGTAGTCCCAGCTGCTCGGGAGGCTGAGGCAGGACAATCGCTTGAACCTGGGAGGCGAAGGTTGCAATGAGCTGAGATTGTGCCACTGCACTCCAGACTGGGCAACAGAGTGAGACGCCGTCTCAAAAAAAAAAAAAAAAAGAAAAAGAAAAAAGAAATATAGTGACATATTGTCAACCTGAAATTTAACGATTATGTCCAAGTACCCTTAAGCTCTCTTAATAGAATTCCAAAATATTTGCTATCTGTGAATTCATTCATGAATGCATGTAAAGACTGTTGAGCACTGATTATGTGCCAATTAGGCATTAGTTTAGGTGCAGAGATAAAACAGTGAATAAGACAAATAGCCAGTCTTCGTGGAGTGCACAGTGAATTGAAAACAGAACAAGCCGAGCGCGGTGGCTCACGCCTGTAATCCCAGCACTTTGGGAGGCCAAGGCCAGCAGATCACCTGAGGTCAGTGGATCAGCCTGCCCAACATGGCAAAACCCCATCTCTGCTAAAAACACAAAAATTAGCTGGGTGTGGTGGCGAATGTCTGTAATCCCAGCTACTCGGGAGATGGAGGTTGCAGTGAGCCAAGATTGCGCCACTGCACTCCAGCCTAGGTGACAGAGTGACTCCATCTCAAAAAAAAAAAAAAAAAAAAAAAGAAAGAAAGAAAGAAAAAGGAAACAGCACAGGCTGCCTGTAGACTTGGATTCTGGTTCCTCTGTCACTGACTGAGCAACCCAGCCTCTCTGCATCATTTCCTTCTGTGTAAAAAGAGCAGGTTACACTAGAACTTTTTAAAGGATATTAGTCCCTTCAAAGTTTTGAGTCTGTAAATTGTCAGAAATCCTAGTTTTCCAGAAAGACAAAGGTGGAAACTGATTTCTTTCATGTAGTCTGTTTAGTTTACTTACTCCAGTATTTCATGCTTCGTGTTTCATGTTCAGTTTTATATAGCTGAACTCCCTGTCTACTTTTTTTCTTCAAGAGATTAAGGGGGAAAGTGAGGAATTATTCTGTTGTGATTTGTAACTGAAGTGCAATTTGCGGTGCATGGTTATATTCAGACCTAAGTTATATTTAGAAATATATGGTTCAGCCAGGCACAGTGGCTCACGCCTGTAATCCCAACACTTTGGGAGGCCAAGGCAGGTGGATCGTTTGAGGGCAGGAGTTTGAGACCAGCCTGGGCAACATGGCAAAACCCTGTCTCTACTAAAAATACAAAAATTAGCCGGTGGCAGTGGCACACGCCTGTAATCCCAGCTACTCGGGAGACTGAGGTAGGAGAATCGCTTGAGCCTGGGAGGCAGAGGGTTGCGGTGAGCTGAGATCGTGCCACTGCACTCTAGCCTGGATGAGAGAGTGAGACCCTGTCTCTGAAAAAAAAAAAAGAAGAAGAAGAAATATTATGGTTCTTAGATGGTGTTAATCAGAAACTTTTAAAAGCAGTTTATCTGAAAATTTTTTCTGATTACGTAACCTCACCATCCATAGATATACATTTAACACAAAAGGTTAAGTGTTTATCTGCGTGGTGAGGTTATGTTTTCCTTTTTATGCTTTTCGTACTTTTTTCATATGTTCTATAATGAGCTTGTATTATTTTTGTAATTGGGGAAAAAGATTAAGATAACTATATAAGGAAGCACAACATCTCTCTTAATTGGTTTCCGTGCTTTTAGTTGTTTTTCGTTTTTCCTTATGTTTTTTCCTTTTTTTTTTTTTTTTTTTGAGATGGAGTCTTGCCCTGTCACCCAGGCTGGAGTGCAATGGCGCAATCTTGGCTCACTGCGACCTCCGCCTCACGTGTTCAAGCTATTCTCCTGCCTCATCCTCCCAAGGAGCTGGGATTATAGGCATGCACCACCACACCCATCTAATTTTTTGTATCTTTAGTAGAGATGGGGTTTCACCATGTTGGCCAGGCTGATCTCGAACTTCTGACCTCGTGATCTGCACGCCTTGGCCTCCCAAAGTGCTGGGATTACAGGCGTGAGCCACTGCACTTGGCCTGTTTCTTGCTTCTTAAAAACTGTCATTGATGGCCTGGCATGGTGGCTCACACCTGTCGTCCCAGCACTTTGGGAGGCCAAGGAGGGAAGGTCGCTTGAGGCCAGGAGTTCAAGACCTACTTGAGCAATATAGTGATACCCCGTCTCTACAAAAAGTTAAAAAAAAAAAATTAGCTGGGCATGGTGGTATGTCCAGAATTGGTTCCTTCCGGTGGGTTCTTGGTCTTGCTGACTTCAAGAATGAGGCCGCGGACCCTCGTGGTGAGTGTTACAGTTCTTAAAGATGGTGTGTCCGGAGTTTGTTCCTTCAGATGTTCAGATGTGTCCGGAGTTTCTTCCTGCCGGTGGGTTCGTGGTCTTGCTGACTTCAGGAGTGAAGCTGCAGACCTTTGCAGTGAGTGTTACAGCTCTTAAAGGTGGCGCATCCGGAGTTGTTTGTTCCTTCCGGTGGGTTCATGGTCTTGCTGACTTCAGGAATGAAGCCGCAGACCCTCGTTGTGTTAGAGCTCATAAAGGTAGTGCGGACCCAAAGAGTGAGCAGCAGCAAGATTGATTGTGAAGAGTGAAAGAACAAAGCTTCCACAGCATGGAAGGGGGACCCAAGTGGGTTGCTGCTGCTGGCTTGGGTGGCCAGCTTTTATTTTTATCCCTTATTTGGCCCCGCCCACATCCCCCTGCTGATTGGCCCATTCTGATTGGTCCATTTTACAGAGTGCTGATGGGTGCATTTATAATCTTTAAGCTAGACACAGAGCGCTGATTGGTGCATTTTTACAGAGTGCTGATTGGTGTGCTTACAATCCTTTAGCTAGACACAGAGTGCTGATTGGTGCGTTTTCACAGAGTGCTGATTGGTGCGTTTACAATCCTTTAGCTAGACACAGAGCGCTGATTGGTGCGTTTTCATAGAGTGCTGATTGGTGCGTTTACAATCCTTTAGCTAGACACAGAGCGCTGATTGGTGCGTTTTTACAGAGTGCCGATTGGTGCATTTACAATCCTCTAGCTAGGCAGAAAAGTTCTCCAAGTCCCCCATTCAACCCAGGAAGTCCAGCTGGCTTAACCTCTCAGTGGCATTTACTTGTAGTCCCAACAACTTGGGAGGCTGAGGCAGGAGGATAGCTTGACCCCAGGAGTTCAAGGCTGCAGTTAGCTGTGATTGTGCTACTGCACTCTAGCCTGGGCAGCAGAGTGAGATCATGTCTCTTAAAAAAAGAAAAACAACAACAACAACAACAAAAAACAACCCTCGGTTTCCTATGGCTTACCAAGTAAGAGTCCAATGCTGCCTGACCCATGTGGCCTTCACAGCTTGGCTTCAGCCTGCCCTTCCCTTTCTACAGATTTTCTCCAGTCCTTGAATGTATTGTGTTCTTTGACATTCAATCTCTCAAATACTCAGGAGAAACATTGTTTTAGAGTCACCTTCACTTCTTTGATTCCCTTATACCAGAGAATCTCACTTCTCACCACTTACAGTGCCACTGTCCCAGCCATCTGGGTGATTGCCACAGCCTCCTAACTGCCTTCCTGCTTCTGTCCTGCCTCCACTGCTGTCTGTCCTCCACACAGCAGCCAGATCATGTCAGTCTTCTGCCTAACACCCTCCAAAAGCTCCCACCTCACTCTGTAACTACTGAAGTCGTTCCATGGGCCTGAGAGCTTCAGCTAACCTGGTCACACCTCTCCGACTTCATCACTTCTCTCTTCCTAGTTTCACTGCAGACACTGGCATCCTTTCTATTCCTCAGTCCTTCTGTGCATATGCCTGTCTCAGAAATGCGTATTTGCTGTTTCCTCTCTCCAGAATGCTTTTCCCTCAGGTCTCTGTCAAATGTCACTTTATTAGGGAGACCCTTCCTGATCACTCTACTTAACATAGTGCCCCCACCCCCATTCACACTCTACTCCCTCTCTGCCGTTTCATCTCCTTCAAGGCATGTGGCACCCAGAGGTGTGCGTGTGTGTTTGTTCATTCCTCCTACCTGAATGTGAGCTGCACAAGGGTGGGGCTTGTTTTGTTCACTGCTGTGTTCCTATCACCTGTGAACACACCATCCTTTGAGGTCTTGTTCTGTCCATTTCCCCTATTGCCTGGTTTCCTTTTCTTTCTCTGTTGGATAATTTCTTGTCAGTAAGCGTTTGCAACTTTTTCTCCTCATTGAAAACACACACAGCCCTCACTCAACTCTGTATCTTCAGATTCCCCAGGTATTCGTTTCTCTCCTTCCTTTCAAGTTTCTTGACAGAGTTATGTGCACTTCCTGCCTTCCCTCCTCTCTGGCTCCTCCGTCAGAAGATTTCTATCCCCAGTGTGCTAGCAAAACTGCTCTGATAGAGGACTCTAATTGTGAGAAACAAGGAGGCATATTTTTGCTTTTTTTCTTTTCTCGAGTGTTGTACTGTACGGTTATTCCTTTTTTCCCCCTTGTAATTCTCATTTCAGCCTCTCTGAAGTCTTCCTGTTCTTATTTCCTCATCCTTATCAGTTGTCTTTGCTGGTTCCCAGGTGGCTGGGACAGTGGCACTGGAAGTGGTGAGAAGTGAGATGCCCTGGTATAAGGGAGTCAAAGAAGTGAAGGTGATTCTAAAACAATGTTTGTCCTAAGTAATTGAGAGATTCAATATCAAAGAACATAATACATTCAAGGACTGGAGAAAATCTATAGAAAGGGAAGGGCAGCAATGAAACAGAAAGGCAGGCTGAAGCCAAGCTGTGAAGGCCACATGGGTCAGGAAGGATTGGACTCTTACTTGGAAGACCATAGGAAACCGAGGGTTGTTTTTTGTTATTGTTGTTTTTCTTTTTTTAAGAGACGTGATCTCACTCTGCTGCCCAGGCTAGAGTGCAGTGGCACAATCACAGCTCACTGCAGCCTTGAACTCCTGGGGTCAAGCTATCCTCCTGCTTCAGCCTCCCGAGTTGCTGGGACTACAAGTGCATGCCACCATGCCCAGCTAATTTAAAAAATTTTTCTTGTAGAGACGAGGTATTGCTATATTGCTCAAGTGGATCTTGAACTTCTGGCCTCAAGTGATCTTCCCTCTTTGGCCTCCCAAAGTGCTGGGATGACAGGTGTGAGCCACCATGCACGCGCCACTACCACCTGGCTAGTTTTTGTATTTTTAGTAGAGATGGGGTTTCACCATGTTGGCCAGGCTGGTCTCAAACTCCTGACCTCAAGTGATCAGCCTGCCTCAGCCTTCCAAAGTGCTGGGATCACAGACATGAGCCACTGCACCCGGCCCCTTCTAATTTTGGATTTGCCACTTAGTTTTGTGAAGTTGGTCAAGTTTTGTAACTTCTCTGTGCCTTGGCTTCTGTATTGGTAAATAGGGATAATAATTGGTTATGAGGATTAAATGATTTAACAGATAAAAAGTGCTTAGAACTGTGCCTGACACATCATAGTGATGTTGACTGTTGAAGTAGCCACCTAGCTGACTGACCTCTGTAGCTGTTCCTCTTCTAAAGCCCTTCCCACTCTGCTATTGAGTCAGCTTTCAAAAATGGACATCAGACCACATAATTCCCTTTTGAAAGTCTTTCTGTGGCTTCCCTAATCTGACCACTGCTTATAGACTTAGCTCATCTCCATTGTCCCTTTTCTGTCACTCTCTGTCATAACTGTATTGTAAATAATTGACAGTTTTTTGAATATGCTGTGATCTTGCATGCCTTGGCATCTTTGCACTTGCTGTTTCTTCTTCTACTTGAAGTGCCCCTCCTTCCCTGGTGTTATTTGCAAATCTTTAATGATCATTCCAGACTATGTCTAAACCTCCTGTGGAAACCTGGCCCTCTCCATGTAGAGTTGATCACTCCCTTCACGCTCACCATAATATATTGCCATCATTTATTTCTACTATCTGTTAAGCAGACAAACAAGACTGATCTTTAGCTCCATGATGGTGGGAGATGAGTCTCTTATTCTTCCTCCTGTGATGCAGGGCTTTGTATGGTGATTAGCACAGAGCACATGCTCCATAAACATTGTTGAATTGGTAATCGCATGTTCAGAAGTTTACTAAGATTTCTGCATTACTTTTCTCCAATTTCTCCAGGCTACAAGAATTAGTTGATCGAGTGCTGGAACGTTTTCAGGCATCTGGACTAATAGTGAAAGAGTGGAATAGTGTGAAACTGCATGCTACAGTTATGAATACACTATTCAGGAAAGACCCCAATGGTAAGTCCCCCAGAGAACTATAGCACAGTTTGTGATCAGCGGCCTTGTGGCATCTCTGAGGTTTAGGTAGAATGAGCTATCAAAGAATCTCTGATATAGCTTCTTTTTTAGACCTCTTAGCTTATTCTGATGAGCATAGTAGAGGTGGGCAAGAACATATATAGCATGGAACTGTGGCTTCCAGATCTTTTATTTCTGTCACACATAGGATTGCCATATTTAGCAAATACAAATACAGGATGCTCTGGTAAATTTTATATAAACAGTGAATAAATTTTTGGCATAAGTATGTCGCATGCAATACTTGGTGGCTTTTTTTTTTTTTAAAGAGAAAAAAGAAAGGAAGGTGAGCTAGTGAAAGTAAATGTTAAATCAGTGTTTCTCAACTGGGGGTTATTTTGCCCCCAGATGACATTTGGCATTGTCTGGAGACATTTTTGGTTATCATAGTTAGGGAGCTGGAGATGGGTTGCTGCTGGCACCTAGTGGGTGCTGTCTAACACTCTACAATGCATGGGACGGTCCCCCATGACAAAGAATTATTCTTCCCAAAATGTCGTAGCACAGAGGTTGAGAAACCTTGTGTTAAAATAATAGTTTTTTTCTTCATGGACTCTGAGCCTTTTTATAAAAATGCCTTGTTTTAATCCTTGATTTGGGATAGTTGTTTATTTCAAAAAGAAGTTTTCTTTTCTTCCTGTCCCTATCTCCAAAGTGAAAGCTTCTCTAGTACCTTCAGCATCGGATCAGGAGTCACACATTCAAGCCATATGCAGCTCTTCCTTCCAAGACTCGTGGTTCAAAATACACTAGCAGCACCAAGGTCACGTATTCCGGTTTCATTTCCTTTCTTGAGCCCTGACCTTGGTTTTAGAAAATCTAGGTGGGGGCCAGGTGCGGTGGCTCATGCCTGTAATCCTAGCACTTTGGAAGGCTGAGGCGGGTGGATCACTTGCATTTAGGAGTTCAAGACCAGCCTGGCCAACATGGTGAAACCCCGTCTCTACTAAAAATACAAAAATTAGCCGGGTGTGGTGGCACATGCCTGTAATCCCAGCTACTTGGGAGGTTGAGGCAAGACAATCGCTTGAACCTGGGAGGCGGAGGTTACAGTGTGCCGAGATCGCACTCCAGCCTGGCAACAGAGCAAGACTCCTTCTCAAAAAAAAAAAAAAAAAAAAAATCTATCTAGAGGAGAAGATAACTCCATCAGGACTTGAATCATTGACTATTTGTAGGTTTTTAGTTAGGACAATTTGTGTGTCCCTTTTAGTTAAGGCACGTCTTTTAATTTCTCTCAGATATGTACCAAAGATCCCAACTGGCAATCATTTGATAATTAACCCCGTTTAGTTACAGTCATGGTAGGACCAAGAAATTTGTAGCTATCTAGTTATTAGTTCTAAAATACTACTATTTTGTGATGCCATATTGAATTTTATTTAAGACTTATAAATAAATCTCTATTTTACTTTTGAGAACACTGAGATTAAGAGAGCTTCAAATAACTCAGTTAAAGCCTATATACTCTTGTTTGGGTAGGTAATAGAATCCAAAACTTTGAACTTGTTCCAGTTGAGTGTGTGTGTGTGTGTGTGTGTGTGTGTGTGTGTGTGTATTTTTATTTTATTTTTTTGAAATGGAGTCTTGCTCTGTCGCCCAGGCCGGAGTGTGCAGTGGCGCCATCTCAGCTCACTGCAACCTCCGCCCCCCAGGTTGAAGCAATTCTCCTGCCTCAGCCTCCTGAGTAGCTGGGATTACAGGCACCTGCCACCGCGCTCAGCTAATTTTCGTATTTTTAGTAGAGACAGGGTTTCACCATCTTGGCCAGGCTGATCTTGAACTCCTGACCTTGTGATCCACCTGCCTCGGCCTCCCAAAGTGCTGGGATTACAGGCATGAGCCACTGCGCCCGGCCCAGTTGAGCATATTTCTTTCCTTCGGGGAGTAGTAGTACAGGAAGTAGGAATATTTTCAATATCTATGTATTATAATGCAGCTTGTCCAGTAGAAGCATGTAACTAGGTTTGTGCTATTTGTTTTATTCTGAACAGTGTATTTTAATTTTGGAAAACAAATTGAGAATCCCCTGAGATGATGTACATTTTAACATTATTATGTAAAGGCAGAGTTTCAGAACTCTGGAGTATACTCTAAATTTATTGTTTCAGAAGACATACTGTATTAAGAAAACGGTCTGTGATGATTGAAGTATTCTGTATCTGCGATGTCCAATATGGTAGCCACTAGACACATGGGGTTATTGAGCACTTGAAAGGTGGCTAGTGAGACTGTGAAAGTGAACTTTTATTTTTAATTTTAATTAAAATTTATGGGAAAACATCTGGATAGTGGCCACTGTTTTGGGCGTTGCAGGTATAGACAGTATTTTATTAGACATTTATTAGCTATCAGTACATTTTCCATTTGTCTTAGTCCTTAAATATTTGTTCAGAGCTCTTAAAACTATGTCATGGTCCATCATTAACTAATCTCTTAACACAGGAAGAGTTCAGATATGTAGGAATCTGTATATTCTAAGTTGTGTGGATCCAGGTTTATATTCAGTTAGTACTAGAGCTTTATATAAGAGAGTGTTGTGTGTTTACAGTCTAGTTATCCCTCTATTTGCAGATGTTCAAAATATAATTGCTTTATTGAGATATAATTCACATACTCTACAATTTACTCTCTTGATATATATATATAATTTAGTGGTTTTTAGTCTGGTTAAACTTGTATAGCCATCACCACAATCAGTTCTAGAACATTTTCATCACCCTAAAATGAAACCCCATACCCACTGGCAGTCACTTTCCATTTCTTCCTACCCCTCTCACTCTGCCCTCCCCTGACCTCCACCAAGCCCTAGGCACCACTTGCCTACTTTATGTCTCTATAGAGCTGCCTGTTCTGGACATTTCATATAAACAGAATCATGCTGTATGTGATCTTTTGTGGCTGGCTGCTTTCACTTAGCATAATATTTTCAAGGCTCATCCATGTTATAACACATCAGTACTTTATTCCTTTTTTTGTTTTGTTTTCTGTGTGTTTTTTTTTTTTTTTTTTTTTTTTTTGAGACAAGGTCTCTGTTGCCCAGGCTGGAGTGTAGTAGAGTGATCTTGGCTCTCTGCAACCTCCACCTCCCGCACTCAAATGATTCTCCCACTTCAGCCTCCTGAGTAGTTGGGAATACAGGCACATGCCACTACACCCAGCTAATTTTTAAACTTTTTTTTTTTTTCCTAAGATGAAGTTTTGCTCTTGTTGCCTAGGCTGGAGTACAGTGGTGCAATCTTGGCTCACTGCAACCTCCGCCTCCCAGGTTCAGGTGATTCTCTTGCCTCAGCCTCCTGAGTAGCTGGGATTACAGGTGTGCGCCACCATGCCTGGCTAATTTTTGCATTTTTAGTAGAGACGGGGTTTCACCATGTTGGTCAGGCTAGTTAGTCTCCAACTCCTGACCTAAGGTGATCCACCTGTCCCGGCCTCCCAAAGTGCTGGGGTTACAGGCATGAGCCACCATGTCTGGCTTAAACTTTTTTTTATAGTGACAAGGTCTCACTATATTGCCCAGGTTGGTTTCAGACTCCTGGGATCAAGTGGTCCTTCTGCTTCAGCCTCCCAAAGTGTTGGGATTACAGACGTGAGCCACCATGCCTGGTGCTTCATTTCTTTATGGCTGAATAATATTCCATTGTATGGATATGCCACATTTTATGTATCCTTTCATCAATTGGTGGACATTTGTGTTGTTTCCACTTTTTGATATTTATTTGGTATCAATTTATTTGTTGTTCTTTTGCAACTTCACACATTCTCTTTCTCTTAATTTTAAGTTGTGAAATATGCACGGGGTTGGGATCTTTGATTAAGAGCATCCTTCTCATTAGAGACATAGTTCCATAGTTACCCATGTGCAACTCCAGTGGGCTAGCTGAAATGTATTATGTATTATGTTCATGGAGTTTTTAAAACTCTAGATGTATTTCATCAATTCTGGCCTAGTACCCTCCTTACTTATAAAAGTAAAATAACGTACTTAAATGTGGAAATAAGTATTTTTGAAGGTCTGTCAGTGGGTAGGAAATGATTAATATTTCAGAAAATATTCTGAGTTAATTCTTGAGGATGCTTTGAATTTTTTGTACTCTGGACTCTCCTGTATTGAATTTTTACTTGAGAAGGACATGAAATGATGTTACATTTTTTTTCTTTCCTGTTTCCCTCTCTTTTGATATTCTTTTCCTTGCCAACCTTTAAGGATGTCTTTTGAGATATGCAACCCAAATTAACTTAAGAAGCTAGAGCACAGCTTGGTTTAGGCTAAGGTCATAGATTTGCTGCATTCCTGTGTAGAATATCTGTAAGGATACCTTTGATTGCAACTGAAGGGCTCTTTTTCCTCTGGGGGAAGCCCTTAAATCAACCCAGAGCATGAGTTTTGACTAGCTAATGTGTGAACTCTTATGTATTTTTACATATTTAAAATTATATGCCACTTTTCTTGGATCTATAGAACATAAGGAACCTTTGAAGATCACTTAGTCCTGCCTCTCACTTTGTCAATGAGGAACTAAGGTCCACAATGGAGACATAATTTGCCTAATAATGTAGCTAGTTGCATAGTTAGGAATATATAGTGAGTGCCTGGAGAATGTCGAATGAATAGATGAATGAATAAATGTATACTGAATGAATTGTTGACAGAACTGAGACTAGAAGCCAGGTCTCTTGATTCATAGCCTGACATTTTTCCTCTTCATTATGCCACTTTCCAGGTAGTTCATGAAAATTTTGCTAGTCGTACCTATGTACCTATAGAAATCCAAGAGAAAACAACCAATCAATCTAAGCTTCTAACATTATCTTTGGAATATTTACAGCTGAAGGCAGGTACAATCTCTACACAGCGGAAGGCAAATATATCTTCAAGGAAAGAGAATCATTTGATGGCCGAAATATTTTAAAGGTCAGTATGAAGCAGAGTGAATTGGAAATCCTTTGGCACATGTCCTAAATAAGGCAGGAAAACAAGTAGTTCTCCGTATATTTCTTCATACTTCTTCATACTTTTTCTCATACTTTTTTTTTTTAATTATCTAAAGGGAAAGAGAGGAAAAGTAGCTGGTCCTCTTAAGGCTTTGGCACTTCTAGAGTATTTGAAATTGGTGGTTTGTTTGTTTATTTGTTTATCTGAGACAGTGTCTCGCTCTGTTGCTCACGCTGGAGTGCAGTGGTGCAAACACTGCTCACTGGAGCCTTGACCTCCTGGGCTCAAGTGGTCCTGCCACCTCTGTCTCCCAAAGTGCTGGAATAACAGGTGTGAGCCTCTGCACCCTGCCTGAAATTGGTGATATAAGAAACACTTAGGAAAAAAAAAAAAAAAGAAACCCTTAGGTATTCCAACCACTTGGATTCATAGAAATAAGTTGATTTCAACCTAAGTTTTACTCTGTACTTATGAGGTTTGAGCTTGCATTTTTTTTAAGTGGAAAATAATTATTTGTCTTGTTTTAGTAGATTTTTCTCTTTACCCACAAAGTCAATCTCTGCAGTGGCTTTATAAGCCATTTTTACTCAGGAACAGCCTATGTCCTAAAAAGTAGATGGTCCATTTTTGACCATTGAAGCTTTGCCTTTCTGAGTGTTGAATTAATCTATGAAATGTAAGTAAAGGGGTTCTTCAGGATTACATTTGTCTTTCTCTAACAGACTACCCTTCTGTAATATTCATGATTTATGCCTTCTCCATCAGGTTAGCATGCCATTGTTCCTCTGGACAAAGAGAAACATAAGTTGATACTAATGGAGAGGTTTTCATTTCTTCTTTTCACTTGCTCTGTAAGGGTTTAGGTCATTTTCAAGGCTATGGGTGTTTTGCTGAGGTGGAGGAGGGAGTATATGATAACGTCAGAATAGGCTTTAGCTTTAGAAATGCTTTTACTTTTTCTTCCCTATTCCACCCTCCATTCCCTTATGTTGTCTCTTTACAGTTTTTTTGCCAAATGCCTAATGTGACCCCATTGCTTTAATTAATGACATCACTCTTCAGCAGCTGTGACTGCTTACCATGGAGCCCAATAGGGCAGTGTCAGCCATCGTCTCAGGCATTCCCGCACCTGCATTGCAGAGCTATGCTGAGTCCTTCCTTTCCTTGATATGTTTTCTCTTTTTGAGTAGTTTTCTTGTTTTTGAGGTAGCTTTGGGTTTGAGTGGCAGGCTGCTAATGAATTCAGTTGTAGTTAACTTTACTGTTTTTTCCAGGCTACAGCTTCGGTGTGATATGAATCTTTCTCCTCCTTTATCTCCCTTCTTTGGGGATTTTCCAGTATCACAATGAATTACTTTGCTTTTTGTTGTTGTTAATTTGGTTAAGAAAGAAAATAGACTGAATGGGGAAAGAAATCTTTAGGAATGGCTCAAAGCCAACTGGGTTTTCATGGAATTAAAACTGAAGCCTTGTGTGTTGGTACAAGTCAGGTGTGAGGTGCTTTGACATCTGTAAGAGTGGGGTGATGGCAGAGAGCCTGTTGGGTGGCCGTATGAGCAGTGTGGAGCTCTTACCTTGCTATAGAATTTCTCTCATTCTGGAAAGTAAGTTTTCAATTTAACTGCTTTTCCCTGAAATCTTCTGAACCACCCCAGTGATGATATGAATGTAGCTCCCTCTGGTGTTGACAAGGACTTGCTATATCAGTAATACCCTTATTAATTCAAGCCCAATCACTTTTAGAGCTGGACCTAGCTAGGTTCTTGGAGACCATTTAGTCCAATTCCCCACTTTAATCTCTGACATGAAATCTACTAAGGTAAAGTGACTTGCCAGAGGTACCGCTAGTTAGTAGCAGAATCTGAATCAGAAAAGAAAGACTCAAAACTCACAAATTGAGCATTATTTTCTGCTGCCTCCCGTAAAGATGCCCAGTGTTTAGGTAGAGACCATTAGATATTTGAAGTTGGGCATATCTGCCTGATCTGGGATAATGGCCAATTAAAGCTTGTTTCATTAATGGTGGGGCAGTGAGTGTGCCAATTAGTCTAAAACCGTAGCTAGTTAATAATTAGATTTTTGTATCGAATATAATATCAACACTAACAGAAATACTTATTGACTATATACCATCTGCCAGACTATGTGCCTTAAAGATGAAACAGTCATTATGATACAATCCCTGCCTTCTAGGAGCTTCCAGTCCGTGAGGGGTACAGATAGTTAATAGACAATTAGAATATAAAAACCATGGGGTGAGTTATGGACAAGTGCCTTTGACCACAGATAGTTATGATGACGTATCCTTTAGTATAGTATTTAATATTTTACTCCTTAATCACTAGTTCCAGAAAAATAATCTTTCACCTATGTTCAATCAAGAGAATTAGCTTCTTTTTTAAAATAAAAGTAAATGTGGGCTCCAACAGTTACCTCCCACCCCCAACACAGAGGCAGTTAAATATGCTTGTGAAGTAGCCATAGTCCACCCACCTTTTGGCATTACCATGAATGGACACGTCTTTCTCAATTAAAACATGAGAATCCATGGCTCCTGAAGCCCTTAAAATAAAAACAGGATTTAGAAAACCAGTGAACTTCATATATATAGTTTTTGTATGATATGAAATTATTATGCTTAGAAAGAAAAAAAATCAATTTCACTAACAAGATAGGAACTGACTTGGAGTAAACAGAAAGGTTAACTGTATTGGTTGTTAAGGAGCCCAGGCATACGTGTGCAGCATATTAACAGCTGCATAGGCCAAGGATCAGGAATGCTGGTGATGGGAGGCAGCCTTAGAAAAAAAAAATCAACTTCATCTACTATTCAAAGAGAAACAAAACAAGAAAGAAAGTCATTGCTCATTGCTGTAAGAATTTAATGAGTAACAGCCAATTGCTATTCTACTCCATGAAGAAAATTGGTTCTTTTGGCTTGGTATAATATGTGTTCTGGGAGCCTTAGTAAGAAAAAAGAAATCTTTAATGACTGTTGCAGATGGAAGCCACATTTTTCTTTTGTACAGCTTTTTTGAGAGTTGTTGCAGCTGTAATATACTAGTGTCTGGTTATTCCTAGTTAAAAATAAGAAAGTCTTGCCCTAAGAAAGACTTTGAATTAAGAACTGACAACTAGAATCATTCTCCTGTGTTATTCAAACCTGAAAAAGAACAAACATATTTGGTTATGGTGGTTTTTTATGGAAAAGTGCCAGATAGCTCCAAAAGGAGGATGCATGAGTGAAGAAGACCTAGGCCAAATTAATGGGATGGTGTCCCCTCAGAGAGTATCCATTTCTAATCTAAGAGATAGCAAAAAAAAAAAAAAAAAAAAAGATGTTGTTTGTTTAGCCATAGGCAGTGATAAATTTATAATTGGAGAAATCATGCTGACCTAAAGACACACTGCCTGGAAGTAAATGCTCCCTCACTAGCTAGAAGTAAAATGGTCATTAATTGCCAGCTTCTGGGGAGAGAGGTAATGACAGTCTGTTTGGGGTCTTAAGCAATAGAATCAGTATTCCAAGATTGTGCTCTCAGCAGATTGAACCAGGGGTACAATGTTAACTGTTCAAAAGCATAGCTTCTGACTGCAGAGTGAAGAGGAGGCATTAGAGCCCTAGGTTGTACTCATCAGAGAAGGTGATATGGTACAAATAAAGGCACAGTGATATATTTGGGAAAGAATGGAAAGTACTATAGGTCTAAAGTCAGAGGATAGTGTAAAAGTGCCATTTCTTTAGACACTTAGAAATCCTGGAAAATATAAGCCATGTAAAAGGGAGATGAATTTGTACCTTTTCTATTTTATATATAAGAATCTTTTAATTTAGAGAAAGAAGAGACTGGCAGTACTAAACTAACTGTATTAATTTTAAATACTTTCCCCTGAAAATATGTTTTAAATCTCTAGCCACATTGAGACTTTTCTTGAAAGATGTGAATGAGCCACCCAAGTATTTCATTCAGTTTTGGTTTTGTCCCATCTCTGTTCTTCAGAGCCTTTAAAAGGGCAATTATAATGAATAAATTTCAATGAGATCTTTATTTAGTTTGCTTTACTTAGAGACATTTTTATGAAGGAAGCTTTTAAAAATACTGTTTATTCTTTTTTGCTGAAATATATATGTGTATATTTATATATGTACATGAGACGTACATTTAATGTTTAACAAATAGTCATAAAATGAACAATGTGACTACTACCAAGGTCAAAGAGTGGAGCCTGCCTCCCATGCTCCTCCCGGGAGACTCTTTAGTCAGTCTGTCCTAAGGGAACGAAAGCACAATTAACTTCTTAAACACTCTCAGGGGAGAGACTTGTTTTGAATGAATATTTTGTTTTGAAGTATTAGAAGAGTGTTGAAAAGATAAATTCAATTTTTTTTTTCTAGAGGACAGAGAAGGGGGGTGAGATTTAGAACTATGCGGTCACTTTTTAAAAAATTTAATAAACTTTATTTTTTAGAGCAGTTTCAGGTTCACAGCAAAATTGAGCAGAAAGTACAGTGTTCCCAAATGCCCCCATCCCTGCACACGCACAGCCTCCCCCACTATTGGCATCTGATACCACATTGGTACATCTTTAAAATCGATAGGCCACATTGACACATCATCACCCATGGTCCGCCGTTTACATTAGGATTCACTCCTGATTTTCTCTATTGAGTTCCTCTTTTCAGTTATTTTCATTTCTGCTCTCATTTTTTTTTTTTTTTTTGAGACGGAGTCTTGCTCTGCCGCCCAGGCTGGAGTGCAGTGGCACGATCCCGGCTCACTGCAAGCTCCACCTCCCGGGTTCATGCCATTCTCCTGCCTCAGCCTCCCCAGCAGCTGGGACTACAGGCACACGCCACCATGCCTGGCTAATTTTTTTTGTATTTTTAGTAGAGTCGGGGTTTCACCATGTTGGCCAGGATGGTCTCGATCTCCTGACCTTGTGATCTGCCTGCCTCGGCCTCCCAAAGTGCTGGGATTACAGGCATTAGCCACCGCGCCCAGCCTCTGCTCTGATTTTTTAAATTATTTCTTTCATTCTGCTTAATTTGGATTTAATTTGTTCTTACTTTTCTAGTTGCCTAAGGAAGAAGCTTAGATTATTGATTTTATATCATTTTTCTTTTCTAACATGCACTAAATACTATAAATTTCCCTCTGAGCACTGCTTTTGATGTATCCTACAAATTTTGATAAGTTGTATCTTCATTTTCATTTACCTTAAAATATTTTAAATCTCTCTTGAAGTTTCTTTTTTAAAAGTTAATTTTTAATTTCTTTAGGTATAGGGCCTCATCGCTCTGTCACCCAGGCTGGAGTGCAGTGGCACAATCATAGCTCATCGCAGCCTCGAACTCATGGACTCAAGTAATCCTTTCACCTCAGCCTCCCAAGTAGCTGAGACTACAGGCATGCACTGTCATGCCTGGCTAATTTTTATTTTAAATTGTTTTGTAAAGATGGGGTTTCACTTTGTTATCCAGGCTGTTCTCTAACTCCTGGGCTCAAGCACTCAGCCTCACAAAATGTTGGGATTATAGGAGTGAGCTACCACACCCAGCTAAGGGTGTGGTAGCTAAGGTCTTTTTGTTGGTTAGAAGTGTGTGTTGGTTAGAAGTGTGTGGGTTTTTTTTTTTTTTTTTGAGACTGCGTCTGGTTCTGTTGCCCAGGCTGGAGTGCAGTGGCACGATTTTGGCTCACTGCAACCTCCGCCCCTGCAGGTTCAAGCAATTCTCATGCCTCAGCCTCCCACGTAGCTGGGACTACAAGCATGTGCCACCACACCCAGCTACTTTTTGTATTTTCAGTAGAGATGGGGTTTCACCATGTTGGCCAGGATGGTCTTGAACTCCTGATGTTGTGATCCGCCCACCTTGGCATCCCAAAGTGTTGGGATTACAGGCGTGAGCCGCTGCGCCTGGCTGAAGTGTGTGGTTTAATTTCCACCTATTTTGGGATTTTCCTGCTATCTTTGTTATCACTTTCAAGTTTAATTTCATTGTGGCCTGAGAGCAGACACTGTATGATTCTATTCTTTTAAATTTATTACAGCGTATTTTATGGCCCAGAATGTGATCTGTTTTAGTCAGTGTTTCCTGTGAGCCTGAGAAGAACATGTAATCTGCTGTTGTTGGATAAAATATTCTATAGATGTCAATTATATCCAGTCAGTTGGTAGTGCTGTTGAGTTCTACTATATCCTCACTGATTTTATGCCTTCTGGATCTGTCCATTTCTGATACATGGGGTTAGTTAAAGTCTCCAACTATAATAGTGAGTTCATTGTTTCTTCTTGCTTCTGTCAACTTTTGCCTCATGTATTTTGACACTGTTTTTAGGCACATATGTGTTAAGGATTGTTAGGTCTTCTTGGACAGTTGATCTTTTTATCATTATGTATTGCTCCTCTTTATTCATAATAACTTTCCTTGCTCTGAAGTTTGCTCCATCTGAAATTAATATAGCTACTCAACTTTCTTTCAGTTAGTGTTAGAATGGTATATCTTTCTTCATCCCTTTATTTACTTTTCTTTTTTTTTTTTTTAAGAACCCATCTATGCTGGGACATCCCTTTATTTTTAATCTCTGTGTGTCTTTATATTTAAAGTGAGTCTCTTGGCTGGGTACAATGCCTCATGCCTGTAGTCCCAGCGCTTTGGGAGGCCCATGTGGGAGGATCACTTGAGGCCAGGAGTTCAAGACCAGCATAAGCAACACAGTGGGACCCTGTCTCTACAAAAAATTAAAAAAATTAGCTGGGCATGGTGGTGCACGCCTGTAGTCCCAGCTACTTTGGAGGCTGAGGTGGGAGGATCGCTTGTGCCTGGGAGGTTGAGGCTACAGTGAGCTATGATTGCACCATTGCACTCCAGCCTGTGTGACAGAGCAAGACCCTGTCGCAAAATAAATGAATAAATAAAAAGTCGGTCTCTTATAGACAATATATTGTTTGGCTGCTTTATTATTATTATTTTAATTTAACACTCTCTGTCTCTTAATTGGTGTATTTAGACCATTGATGTTTAAAGTGATTATTGATTAATATAGTTGGATTAATGTTTATTATATATGTTACTGTTTTGTATTTGTTGCCCTTGTTCTTTGTTTCTATTTTTGCCTCCCACACTTTTTCTGCCTTTTTTGGTTTATTTGAGCATTATATATAATTTCTTTTTCTCTTCTTTCTTAGCATATCGCTTATACTTGTTTCTCCCTCATTTTTTGAAGGATAATTTCACAGGGTTCAGAATTCCAGGTTGATGGAGTTTCTTTCTCTCAACAGTATTTCACTCCACTCTCTTTTTGATTGCATGGTTTCTGAGGAAAAGTCAAATGTAATTCTTATCTTGGCTTCTATATAGGAAAAGTATTTGTTTTTTCCCTTCGGCTTCTTTCACGATTTTTTCTTTATCTTTGGTTTTCAGAAGTGTGACTATGATATGCCTAGGTACAATTTTTTTTTTTTTTTTGGTCTTTATTCTGCTTGGTACTCTCTGAGCTTCCTAGATCTGTGGTTTGGAATCTGACATTAATTTAGGAAAATTCTCAGTCTTTATTCCTTCAAATATTGTTTCCATTCCTTTTTTTCTTCTCCTGGTATTTGCATTGTGTGCACCTTATATCTTTCGTAGTTGTACCACAGTTCTTGGATATTCTGTTGTGTTTTTTCAGTCTTTGTTCTCTGCTTTTCAGTTTGGGAAGTTTCTGTTGTCATATCCTCAAGCTCAGAGATTCTTTCTCAGCCATGTCCAGTCTGCTAATGAGCCCATCAAAGGCATTCTTTATTTTTGTTACAGTATTTTTATTATTTATTTATTTACTTATTTATTTATTTGAGATGGAGTCTCACTCTGTCGCCCAGGCTGGAGTGCAGTGGTGCAGTCTCGGCTCACTGCAACCTCCGCCTCCTGGGTTCAGTCAATTCTCTCGCCTCAGCCTCCCGAGTATCTGGGATTACAGGCACCCGCCATCATATCTGGCTAATTTTTGTAGAGATGGGATTTCACCATGTTGGCCAGGCCAGTCTTAAACTCCTGACCTCAGGTGATCCGCCTGCCTCGGCCTCCAAAAGTGCTGGGATTACAGGCGTGAGCCACTGCACCCAGCCTGTTACAGTGCTTTTAATCACTAGTATTTCTCTTTGATTCTTTCTTAGAATTTCCATCTCTCTGCCTGCATTATCCATCTGTCCTTGCATGTTGTCTCCTTTATCCATTGGAGTCCTTAGCATATTAATCATAGTTGTTCCCAGTATGATAATTCCAGCACGCCTGCCATTTCTGACTCTGGTTCTGATGTTTGCCCTGTCTCTTCAAATTGTGTTGTGTTGGTTTTTTTTTTTTCCTTTTACTATGTCTTGTAGTAATTTTTTGTTGAATCTGGACGTGATGTACTGGGTGAAAGGGACATGATGTACTGTTGTGTGATGGTAAGGTTGGACGGAGGGGAAGTGTTCTGTAATTCTGTGATTAGGTCTCAGTCTTTTGGTGAGCTTGTGCCACTGGACTGTGAATATCACCTATGCTTCTCATCACCCCCGTTAGGTGGAACAGGATGGTTAGAGGGGCCCCTATGTGGAAGACTGGAGGGAGCTGAGGTGGGGTTCCTACACATGGAAGGTTAGTGCCCACTAGGGCTGGATATTTCTCTTCCCCACTGTGGATGGCTAGAGGGGGCTGGAGTTGGATATCATCCTTCCCCTAGGTATGTTAAGCTTTCATAAAACCCCAGCAGGTTAGGCTCTGGTAAAATAGTTTCTCCTGAGGGCAGGCCTTGTTAAGAACAAAGTGGTCTGGCATATTTCAGAATGGTTCTTTTATTCCTCCCCCTGCTGGAAGCAGGAGGCCAAGTAGAGCTCCTGGAGGTAAAATTACAAAAACTTTTGGTGAGGTGGTTCCCTGGAGTTTCTAACTCTTAGACTTGTCCACACAGCCTCTAGCAGTTCGTCAATTACAGTTAGGTTACTCCACTCTCTGGAGGTTTCTCCTGTGGGTTTCTTCTCCCTTGTGATTCTCTGTATCCACCTGTGTGTGTCTCCAGTTTTGGGGGCAGCAATTTGTCCCCGACCTCAGTCTTCTGACAGACCTATGAAGAGTTGTCAAGGTTTCAGTCTGTTCAGCTTTTCCCTTGTTAGGATGGAGTGGCGACTTCCGAAGTCCTTAATGCTAGACTGGAAACTAGAAGTCTTGTAGCTTTTAAAAAAAGATATTAATGCTTGCAAAGGGAGACTAGCATTTAGAAAGTATATTATTTCTTTCTTTTTCTTTTTTTTCTTTTTTTTTTGAGACGGAGTTTCATTCTTGTTGCCCAGGCTGGAGTGCAATGGTGCGATCTTGGCTCACTGCAGCATCTGCCTCCCAGGATCAAGCAATTCTCCTGCCTCAGCATCCTGAGTAGCTGGGACTACAGGCGTGCACCACCATGACCGGCTAATTTTGTATTTTTAGTAGAGACGGGGTTTCACCATGTTGGTCAGGCTGGTCTCGAACTCCTGACCTCAGGTAATCCACCCGCCTTGGCCTCCTGAAGTGTTAGGATTACAGGCGTGAGCCACCATGCCCAGCCAGAAAGTGTATTATTTCATTTGAGGAAGAAAACGTTGTTTCTTTTTATTATCCATTTTTATTATTCGATTCAATATTCAGCCATATTATATACTGTTTTTGAAAATTATTTCTTTTCTTTTTTTTTTTTTTGAGATGGAGTCTCGCTCTGTCACCCGGGCTGGAGTGCAGTGGCACGATCTTGGCTCACTGCAAGCTCTGCCTCCCGGGTTCACGCCATTCTCCTGCCTCAGCCTCCCAAGTAGCTGGGACTATACGCGTGTGCCACCACCCCCGACTAGTTTTTTGTATTTTTAGTAGAGATAGGCTTTCACCGTGTTAGCCAGGATGGTCTCGATCTCCTGACCTTGTGATCTGCCCGCCTCAGCCTCCCAAAGTGCTGGGATTACAGGCGTGAGCCACCATGTCCGGCCGAAAATTATTTGCTTAGTCACTTGGCTCTTCTTTAGATTTTTTTCTCAAAACTCAAATTTCTCAGAAAGTCTTTCCTTGATTATCTATTGCTAAATGTCCCATTGCACTATTATAGCAGGATATATAACAGCAAATGGAATTTAGGATAAAGTTATTGTCCCTTGATTTTCACCATGGCTCTTGTGCCTTTTTTAATACGTTATATTTCTATGACTGGATATTTTAACATTGTTTAAGTAAAATCACTAGCAGATGTCACTTCTTCTCCAGGCTTTTAAAGCTAATACACAAACTGCAGTTCAGTTGGCCATACTAATATTTTGTAATAGCTTTTATATATAGCATTGAAAGCAATGACATTATTCTTGACAATCATGTGAAGTAGACAATTGTTAGTGAAACAGATATGCAACTTCCTGAAGAATCATTTGGAAAGTAAAAATGTTATTTAAAAGGATCAATTAGAGAATGAGAGGGTCCTTGGAGATTACATATATGCACTCACATATATGCATATTTAATCAAAGACTGGAAGAAAGAGTCAAGGAAATCTCTGGCAAATGGCAAAGAGAAAATATGAGGGGAAAATATGACAAAGAGCGTTCTCAATCAGTGCAAAAATTAACATTAGTGTTCTAAAAGGAGGAAATAGACCCTAAGGTCTTGATCTTGGATGAAAGAGGCTCTGAACTGGTAGTGCTTCCAGGCATATGGCAGTAGCAAACAGAAATCTCTGGAAGAAGGTACCATCACCCTCTGCCTAAAAATATTCCTCCAGGGAACTTTTTCTCCAAAAGTGGCCAATACACAGTCAAAGATGATTAGACATAAGAGGAAACCAGTCACAATAAGCAAACAGACTTATAAAACTCATAAATATATGACATACTAGAGTTATCAGACTTGGACTAAAAACAACTATGCTTACTGTGTTCGAAGAAATCAAAGCCAAGCTTAAATTTGTTTTTTAATTCTTAAAATTTAAAAAGCCAGGCATGGTGGCTCACGCCTGTAATCCCAGCACTTTGGGAGGCTGAGGCAGGAGAATCGCTTCAACCTGGGAGGTGGAGGTTGCAGTGACCTGAGATCATGCCACTGCACTCCAGCCTGGGCAACAGAGTGAGACTCCATTGCAGAAAATAAAAAATTTAAAATATAGAGATGGGGTCTTACTGTGTTGCCCAGACTGGTCTTGAACTTCTGAGCTTAAGTGATCCTCCTGTCTTGGCCTCCCAAGTGCTAGGATTAAAGGCATGAGCCACTGTGCCTGGCTGGCAAGCTTAAAATTTTTATCAGAGAATTGGGAACTATTAAAAAGAAAAACCAATATAACAGTTCTGAAAAAGAACCAAATAGAAATGCTAGATCTATAAAAGGCAATAACTGAAATAAAGAGCTCAGTGTATGGGTTTAGCAGCAAATTAGACATAGCTGAAGAGGGAAATCGTGAACTGGAAGTTAGATCAGAAGAAATTATGTAGAATGATGCATAGACAGAGATAAAAATTACAGAAAGAGAACAAAACGTTCAGGATAGTAAGTGAGAAGATCTAACATATATTTAATTGGAACCTCAGAAGGAGAGAATGGGGCATGGTTGGTGAAAAACATCAATCTGAAGATTAAAGAAGCCCAATGAATTTTAAACAGGAACTCTGTTAAGTGAGCTTATATTGTACTTTGCTTTCTTACAACTTGTGACTGAATCATGGACAACATTAACTAAACTACTTGAGTCCTAACAGTTTTTAAACTGATGGCCAAAATTTAATGGCAGTATCTACATTACAAAGAACAAAAAGCAGGAAGTTCAGCCAAAGAATGCTTTTCTTGAAGTAGGTTTTTAAAAAAGAAGGAAGGATAAAACTATTCAGGATTCCTTTTACTATTCTTATTACATTTTTATAAGTGTAAAACTATGTTGAAATAAAAAATTTTATGAAGAAAGAAGGACAGACAGGCATACACTTAGGAGCTTAGTAGGACACTTAACCATTTGGGGTGTACGTGTGTTTATATAGCACCTTCCAGAAAAGTTTGTTGATTCTTGGCTGTGTCTTTTTGCAATGTTTACGATAGATGCACCTTTTATTAACTGTTGATCTTACCACATAAATTGGGCCATTTGATTTCAAAGAGTGTAAGAATTTAATTGGTATAAAGAACAACTTTCTTATTAGAGTGTTTCATATTAGAGCAATTTACTAAGAAAGTAGCTGCATCTTTCATGAGAGTGTTTTTTGTTTTAAGGAAGGAGAACCCATTTCTCTAGTCTGAATAAACACTATAAAGCCATTCTTCCTGCCACCGTCCCTTTCAGACTAGTCCCTATTTATTCTCTCCAACCTGTCTGCCACCTCTACCATTATACCAAAACAACACTGTAAAAAGTCATTGATAGCCCCTGTTTGTTCAGTGCCTTGACCTACTTTTACTTTTTCCCCAGTATCTGCACTGAGAGTGTTAAGCCCTTTTCTCCTTCAAATGCTTTCTTCTCTTGGCTTCAGTGGCAGCTGGCTCTCCTGGTTTTCTTCCTGACTCTGGAGCTACTTTTTAAAAAATTCACTCCATAATATGTCTATTCCCTAAGGTTTTGTCCTTATCTCTGTGTTTTTCTTTTACTACAGTCTCCCTGTATTCAAATGATACTTGTTCTTCAAAGTCCAATACAGATACTACCTCTTCCTTAATGGTAAGAGCTGTCCAAATCAATAGAGCTCTCTCCATCTCTCAGCTACCCCCCTCTCCCTACTTTGATTGTTCAGAGACCTCTTAGGTGCCTCTCAGTGCTTAGCAATGTGTCTTGCACCTGGCAGGCACTCAGGAAACTTTTTTGGAACTGTTTTCTACAGACATCAGATTTTGGAAGGAGAGAAGAAAAAGATTTTTTCTTATGCATCAATAGAACACTAGATTTGCCAGAGGGGATATTTTTTGCCTTGTACTTCATATAATAAACTCTTAAAGCAGGACTTGGCAAACTACTGTTTGAAGGCCAAACGTGGCCCACCACCTGTATTTTTTATGGCCCTCTAACCAAGAATAGTTTTTACATTTTTTAATGATTGAAAAAACATCAAAAGAAGAATACTGTACTATTTAATGATGTGAAAATTATGTGAAATCCAAATAAGTAAAACTTTGTTGAAACACAGCTCAGCTCATTTACTTACACACCATTTGGCACAGTTGTGTACTTGTGGTGGAATCCGTGTGGCCTCCTGGCCTTTAAAAAAAAAAGTTTGCTGACTCCTGTCTTAGAGGTTAGAGTTTAGTTTTTCTTTTATTTCACCCAACACAATTTTGCTTTATGATTAAATATGATGCATTTATTTAATAGGCCCTCAAGATAAACTAATTATGTCATAAAGATATAGTTAACAACAGTCAATCCTATTGAATTTCTGTTTAACTAATTATTTTCATTTCTAGCAAATGTTTCTTTTTTTTTTTTTTTTTTTGAGACGGAGTCTCACTCTGTCACCCAGGCTGGAGTGCAGTGGTGCGATCCAGTTCACTGCATGCTCCGCCTCCCGGGTTCACACCATTCTCCTGCCTCAGCCTCCCGAGTAGCTGGGACTACAGGGGCCCGCCACCATGCCCGGCTAATATTTTGTATTTTTAGTAGAGACGGGGTTTCACCATGTTAGCCAGGATGGTCTCGATCTCCTGACCTCGTGATCCGCCTGCCTCGGCCTCCCAAAATGCTGGGATTATAGGCGTGAGCCACCACGCCCAGCCATTTATTTCTTTTTTAAAATTAGGTTACTCAACTCAAGAAAAGAGAGCCGCAAACTGAATATACCTATAGCTCATACTCACAATCTTTCAAGTTCATTTCTCAATTAAATTTGATTGCAGCTTTATTACTACACATAGCAAGACTCAGCTGATAAAGATAATAATGAGCTTACATTTACATTTAACTTTCTTTTATTTCAAAATACATCCAAAATTAATTCTGTGCTTCTCTATGGTATGCACTGATTAACTTGAAACATGGACAGTGATTTTGTTTGAAGGCAGCTTCATTTATGCCTTATTACAGAAGGTATTAATAAAAAATATTGAATGAAAAATAAAGTGCACTGAACTTGCAAGTAAATGGTGCTAATTTTACAATTAGCATGAATGTCAGAAAAATGTGAAAGTTTAGGAAGGAGATTGTGACAAGACATCCTGCTAGAATATGGTGCTTTGTTAGTGATAAGATATGGCTCTGCCTCCCTTCTTTGATGATGAAAAGCTATAAAAATAGGAGATTGCAGAAGATTATTAGGGGCTTTTCATATTTTGACAGCAATAGAAAAGCAATATACTATGTTTTAAAGGATCTGAAAGACTTCTGACAGGTGATTGGGCAGTTCCTTAGAGCATCAGATATATAAGGAAAAAGTACAGTTTGAAATGCTTCAGTTTGGTGTTGTAGCTTCTTATTTCAGTCTATTTAGGGGGTGAGGGAAAGGAAGATTCAAATCTAAGCTGTGTTTCACCAAATTTTTTCCTTGGAATTTTTAAATGTGTCTTATGTGTTACTTTGCCTGGACAGTGAAGTCTTAAAACACTAATGAGAGCATCTGAAGATATGGCTGTCAGTGAGGTGAAACCATTGTTAACATGGAACTGCAAAACAAGAAATTGACTGATTTTTGGCAGAAGCCAACATCCATTCTGGGAAGATGCACCTTCCCTGGTCTGTAAAATACCTTTGCTCTCTTTTGAATTCATGTTCACAGGTTATTCCTCTTTGCAGTGGGACTGGAATACTTCCATGTGTTGTCCTGGGTCAGGCAGGGAATGATGCAGGGTTTTTGAAAGGGCCCAGCCAGCACAATAGCAAGAAATAGAAAAAAAATTAAGAGGTTAGCATTACCTTTCTTAAAATCATTTCTGGTTCTTATCAGAATGAAAATAAATATTTGGTAATGTTTATTGAATACCTACTAAATATAAAACACTAAGCTACATGCTTGCTTGGTGCATTTGAGGGAGGGGGAATAAATATTCAATTGTCTTTGGTTCCTGTGATGTCATTCTTATGAACTCTTTGAACGGGATGTCTGTTCTTACTGTAGAAAATACTTATCTTTTTTATGTGTTCATTTCTAGGACTGTTCATATTATTTTGGATGTAGTTCACTGATGAAATGAGTGGGTCACTTTGGGTCCATTGTATGTTGGGGTTTTTTTTTTTTTTTTTTTTTTTGGAGGCAGAGTCTAGCTCTGTTGCCCAGGCTGGGGTGCAGTGGAGGATCTCGGCTCACTGCAGCCTCCACCACTTGGGTTCAAGTGATTCTCGTGCTTCAGCCTCCTGAGTAGTTGGGATTACAGGCGTGTGCCACCATGCCTGGCAAATTTTTGTATTTTTAGTAGAGATGGGGTTTCATGTTGGCCTGGCTGGTCTTGAACTACTGACCTCAAGTGATCCACCCACCTGGGCCTCCCAAAGTGATGTGCTTACAGGTGTGAGCCACTGCACCCGGCCGTTGTTTTTTTAAATTGTGGTAAAATATACATAAGATTGGCTATTTTAACCATTTTTAAGTGTACAATTCAGTGGCATTAAGTACATTCATGTTGTTACGCGACCATCATCACTATCCATCTCCAGAACTTTTTCATCATTCCAAATTAAAACTCATTTTAATGAACAACTCCCCATTTCCCCTTCTCCTTGGTAACCACCACTCCAGTTTCTGTCTCTATGAATTTGACTACTCTAGGTACCTCATGTAAGTGGAATTGTACATTTGTCCTTTTGTGTCCAGTTTATTTCACTCAGCATAATGTTTTCAAGGTTCACCTATGTTGTAGCATATGTCAGAATTTCATTCCTTATTAAGGCTGAATATTATTCCATTGTACATATATTCTGCATTGTGTGTTTTTAGCTACAGTATAAACAAACCAGTAGCAGAATATAAATCTGGACCCAGAGATGGTGACAGGGCACTGTCCTCTTTGAAGCAGCCCTTTGTTAGAGACCAGACCAAATAAAACCGTTTTAGTTTCGGGGGCTTTGTATCAACAATGGCTAAGTGTTATTCCAAATGTTAGAGGACACTGGTGGAAAGAGGTAAAAGAAACAAGAGTGAAGCTCACTATGCTATGAAGCTGTGATGTCTTCTTAAAAAATGATGCTTGGCCTGGCGTGGTGGCTCACGCCTGTAATCCCAGCACTTTGGGAGGCCGAGGCGGGAGGATCACGAGGTCAGGAGATCGAGACCATCCTGGCTAACACAGTGAAACCCCGTCTCTACTAAAAATACAAAAAAATTAGCCGGGCGTGGTGGCAGGCACCTGTAGTCCCAGCTACTCGGGAGGCTGAGGCAGGAGAATGGCATGAACCCGGGAGGTGGAGCTTGCAGTGAGCCAAGATCGCACCATTGCACTCCAGCCTGGGCTACAGTGAGAGACTCCGTTTCCAAAAAAAAAAGATGCTGTCTTCCCCATATCCGAGGGATGAAACAATTTTAGAATTAATACTCAAATGTGAACATTATTATTACAAATTAAAAGCGAGAAAATGGTATAATCAGAAATTCAATTCAGAGTTTATTCTCTCAGTTGTAGGTTAAAACTTTGAATTTTTTTTTTTGAGATAGGGTCTTGCTCTGTCACCCAAGGCTGGAGTGTAGTGGCATCATCTTGGCTTACTGCAGCCTCAGTCTCCCAGGCTTAAGTGATCCTCCCACTTCAGCCTCCTGAGTAGATGGGACTACAGGCGTGTGCTGCCACACCCAACTAATTTTTGTATTTTTTTGTAGAGATGTCTTGCCATGTTGCCCAGGCTGGTCTTGAACTCCTGGGCTCAAATGATCCACCCACCTTGGCCCCGCAAAGTGCTGGGATTACAGGCATGAGCCACCACGCCTGGCCTGATACCAATTTCTTAAATTGTAGTGGCCTTATGACTGTGACATGCACGGAGATGATAACCCTCTCTCTCTTCCAAAGCATTTTGCTTATTTGACATCTAGCCCACACCTTTGCAGAGGGGAAGGAGGGCCATCTGAATTAGATTATAGAAAAGTGTGTGTTAGAGTCTATAAAGTTACAGTGGTGCTACTCAAGGCATGTTTCCTTTGGTTCTGACAGAGGATGCAGTATTTCATGTCTTCCCGTCTAATGAGGTAACTTAGTTGAAAATAACTTAGTTGATAACATGTGGCAGCCTCTCTCCCCTCTTCCAGGGAGCCAATCCAAGGCCAGCCATTATTTGGATAGCTGTTATTTATATGCATGTGTACTCTTTGCATTGTCTGATGTTGCCTAGAGACATCTGATTTGCTTTTTTTGAGACGGAGTCTCGCTGTATCACCCAGACTGGAGTGCAATGGCGTGATCTCAGCTCACTGCAACCTCCGCCTCCCGGGTTCAAGCGATTCTCCTGCCTCAGCCTCCTGAGTAGCTGGGATTACAGGCACGTGCCACCACGCCCAGCTGATTTTTGTATTTTTAGTAGAGACGGGGTTTCACCATGTTGGTTAGGCTGGTCTCGAACTCCTGACCTCATGATCCACCCACCTCGGCCTCCCAAAGTGCTAGGATTACAGGCATGGGCCACTGCGCCCGGCCTGATTTGCTCTTTAACTTCTGGATGCTGCCTTGTTGGTGGAGAAGTTGGAGTGGAGATGGCCTGAGGCTGGTGACTGGTTTCCTCCATGCTGCTCCTGAATCTGTTGCCTTGGCACAATAGTCAGCCACTTTGTGCCCAGCCTCCCAAAAGCCGGGGGCCAGGAAGAAATGTCCCTGTTGCTGTCCCCTGTGTACTCCCCTCTAAGGATTCATTTCTGCTGACTTGCTCTTCCTTTCTACTGTGTAATACGGAGACCAAACATTTATCTTCTGTTGCATTTGTTTGAGGGACCATTATGAATAATACCTGAGGGAAGATGACCACACCAGAAATAAGAGCATTAAGAAGAGGTATTTTTCTAAGGGAGAGAATTTATCTGCAGAAACATCATCTAGATTAGTTCTGAAAGGGCACCTGCCCTTAGGGTTGCTAGTCACAGGCTTGAAGAGTCTCTGCTAGCCATCAGCCCCAGGGGCAGTTTTGTCAGGTAAAGCAGTAATACCCATGCCCTGTGGCAAGGCTTCTTTGGGAAGAAATAATGCAGCAAATTGAACTTTCACCTCTCATCTCTGAGGCTAATTCTGTGACGTAATGTGGAAACGGGCGGAGTGTGCCTAGCCTGTGCCGAGATTAGGCGGAGATTAGGTGTGGGTTCTCCAGCCGGGTCAGCGTAGCCTCTTTTCTCCTCTACCTCCTACCCCTACTCATATTATTTTCTTACTATTTTTCAAAATTGAAAGACTGCAGAGAGGGGAAATCCCTTGGCATTTTGAATTTTGAGGTGCTCAGCAGAACTGCCTGGCATCCTGTTTGTATATAGCGGTTTTAATTCATCCTCTAATAGGTCATTTGGCCTTACCAGCAGTCTTAAACTTGATAATCCTTACATCAGCAGTGAGCCTCAGGCCAAATTCCCAAAGTGCATCCCTGAGTGATTATTTGAAGGAAGTTTTCAAGCCTTCCCTCCCTGGCTCTGTTTGTCTGCCTTCTGCCAGCACATCCTTAGGTCAGGCTAATGCTCATTTGAGCATTCCTCTTGCTCACTGCAGCAAGACAGGCAGGTGATTTGAGAGCAGGATGAGTGAGGGGAAGTTGCTGTTCCCATTCTGTGCAAGGAATGCCATCTCAGTCAGTGGAGAGGGGACTTGGGCTCTGGGGACACACAAGCCTTTTGGTACTATTTTAATGGAGACAAAAACAGGAGTGGCCTGCTGATGGGTTGAAAAATCACAGCTGTTCTACTGACTTAACAGCCTTTTTGCTGCTCTCCTAATAGAGGCCACGATGTTGATAAGAATTGCTCCTCCCACAGACTGCCCTTGACCTTTCTCCTTGGATCTGAGGTGCCCCAGGCCTTCTGGAAGGGCATTATGTCCTCTCTTTTATTGGCTATTATTAGCTACTATAATATTATTGGCTCTCACACCACTGATCACTGCAGTCTGATGTTTCAGATTAAAAGTGGCATCTTGGGCAGAGTTAAGCTGTGTTTGGAGATGACTCTAGGATAGTCACTACCTGCCACCCTCATTGTCTTTTATTCTGAAGTAGATGTTCCTATTTTGGTCTTTAAAAATATTACAGCCCTATGAGACCAGATAATGACTGTAGAGCCTGTAAGCTGTCAGAGTACCTGATAAACCTTCTTCCTTTTTTCTTTTAAGGATACTCTGCATTTTGGTTCCTGCAGTGATGCATTAGAGATTATAGTCAGTGAGTGACAATAATAATCAGAGCTCAAAATTTCATCTTATAATTTATCTTTAACTGCAGAACATCTTTGTAAAGGATCATCCCTGTTTAAAGATGGAGAAATTGGGGGAGGGAGTGGGTCTGTAGTCATTGATAATGTCGACCAGCAATAATGGAAAGGATCAGAACTCAGTTTTTAAAAGTTTATTCAAGTGAAAAGCTGGGAATGGCCATTTGGGAAACAGGGACTTCACAGAAATGAGGTCAGTGCTTAAAGTTAAAAGTTAAGGTCCTGCTTATATAGGCAGAAAACAAATTTAGTAGGATTATAACATTTTCTATACAAGGTTGGTTTATGAGCTATAATTTAGTTAATTACAGTTTGTTTTCTTTTCTGTACAGCTTGTTTTCACTTCCTTTCCAACTTAGGAGTGTAGGACCTGGCATGGTGGCTCACGCCTGTAATCTCAGCAGTTTGGGAGGTGGAGGTAGGAGGATCACTTGAGCCCAGGAGTTTGAGACCAGCCTGGGCAACATGGAAAAACCCTGTCTCTATAAAAAATGCAAAAATTAGCCAGGCATGGTGGCATGCACCTGTAGTCTCAGCTACTCAGGAGACTGAGGAGGGAGGATCTCTTGCGCCTGGGAGGTGGAGGCTGCAGTGAGCTGTGATCACGCCACTGCACTCCAGCCTGGCTGACAGAGTAAGACCTTGTTTCAAAAAAAAAAAAAAAAAAGAAAAAGAAAAAGAAAAAGAAAGTATTTAACATACCATCCTAGATGATGTGATAGTCTTTTAAGTCTTTGTATGAGAAATGTAAGAGGGAAGTTTAATCAAAATGAAGATCAACAGTTAAAAGGGAAGGGATCTTCTCTGGCACTGTTTATTCATTTACAACCATTTACAAAACAGTGTAGGTGAGGAAAAAGGCTAATCTATAATCAGAAAAACAACAGTTACAGCTGCCCAGGTTACAGATACAAGTTTAAGTGACTCACATAATCACATTCCCTTAAGCCTTACAATATGTTAAGATTCCAACAGCTTAGATTTTGAATTACTTATTTTCACAATAGGAAAGCATTAAAAACGTCTAGTCTGCCCAAGAAACTTTTTGTGCCCTTTCTTCAGTAGAAAAGAAATATCAATTTTTTTGTACCTAGGTGAAGGTATGTGTGTCTGTGTGTAGAGGAGCATGACTTACCTTAGGGTAAACAGACTCAATTACATTCTTCTGTGATGATGTTTAGAAAGAATCCACTTGGGCACAGCCCATGTGAGTATTTTTAAAGTAGATGGAAGGTTTTTTTTGACCCCGGATGTGGTGGATCTCCATTTCCTTCTTGCCTCTTCCTACCTCCCACATTTGGTCTCCTCAGAAGTAATCTCACAGGTGGCCCAGAAGACAAATGCACGGTATTTGGCAGAAACTCAGAATTTTTTTTTTTTAGGTTTGAGGAATTTTAATAAACATAACTTTGAAACAAAATTTATTTTTTTGGGGGGGGGGTAACTTATTTGTGAACTTAATTCTTTTTGATGACTTAACTCCCAATAAAGTGATCTTAATTCTGAGTGAGATTAGTAACATGACATACGAAGAACCTTGATTTTTTTTTTTTCAAAATCGATTATATTTTTAGTCTGGTATTTGTATCTTTCTGTTTGCTCCCTGAAGTCATACTAGTCCTGTACCTACATGCCTCTTTTATGAGGAATGCATCTGAAATATACCATTATTTGTTTTGATGTTTTGCAATTGGGATCTTCCAAGGGCTGTGATGATAGCTTTTCACATCATTTGCTCCTCATTCTTTGCTATCTGGTTGTATATGCACAGCCTAAGGATGGACCTGCTTCCCCACTTGGCATTCTTTGGTACATATTTGTTATTGGAATTGAGAGGCCCATACACACTGCCTTGTGGACGTGGCCTTCCACTGGCCTGTATCCTAGGCCTCATCCCAGGAACTCTTAAATTTCTCTGACAGTATTAGTGGTCCTAGCTTGTCCCTGTTTCTTATATAAATGGGGATAATAATGCTCAGCTCTGGTTTATATCATAGCAATTTTTTTGGAGTTAATGAGCTGGGCTTTGTAAGACACTTTTAGATCCTTAGATGAAAGGTGTTATTTAACCACAGCAAGGCTTCATACTGGGAGTGCCTTCCCAAAGAGCTCAAAGTACTTGTCAGCCTGTCTTCTGTTCATACCATCCCTCATAGGGAGGTAGGTGGTTAAGTGTTATTATTAAGTACAAAATAGTGTTACTACTTTTATCTATAAACGGGATAATTGTGAGAAATAGAAGTTGGTAAACAGGCTGTGGAAGAAAAACACTGGGAAAACCTCAAAGTAGCATGCATTTGCTATTCCTATTCACTCTGCTTTGAGTTTCAAAAGTCTGATTGCCATACATGAGAACAATAGCATCCTTTCTTAGAGAGAAATATGACCTAGAACATCCTTCTAAATACTTGAATTAATTGAACCCCCTGTACTTACTTTCAGTTGCATCAGATTATATTCTAAAGGTTGGTTTATCTCATGTGTGTCAAGAATGATTATAAATAGCGTAAGACTTGAATATTTTGAATTTTCATTTTTAACTTCAAAACTGAATTTCTTCTTATTCAAGTAGTATTGAGACAGCAAATAGTTCACCGAGGCCACCAGCACAAGAAGTAGATTTTCTTAAAAGAGGGATCTTGGAAGAGAGTAACCACAGCTTTGTCTAAGATTGAAGAAAAGAGCGAGCCTCATTTGGGAAAGCCAAGTGAGCAGGGATCCCCAGCAGATTGTCACTGTGCTGTTGCGGACTGGCCATTTATTCGGTTCTATAGCCCGAGGTCACAGATATAAGAAAAGGCCCCTCTCCACCCTCCTCCCCACCTCTGTTTGAGATTGCCAGTTTCATTTTGGCAGCCTTGTTGCATTTGGAGTTATTTCTGGTCTTTGATGGCTGTGTCACAGGGCAATGGGGAAGGAGTAGAAGCTTTGAAACGAATGCAAGGAAAAATAACCACAGTGAGCCCTTAAATCTTGCTATTTGTTTTCTTTCAGTGTATACCACAACATTACCAGAAATCAATAATTCCCTTTGTGTTCTCCCTAGGAAAGAAACATGTACAAACTGAAAATGGTAGGCTTCACAGATCATGTGAGCAGGGGACAGCAGGATGGTTGGATTTTATCTTGCCATTGTTTGTCAGGGAAAACCTTGATTTTGACCAAAAACCTTTCATCAAAGGTCTACATTTCTCTCTTTACTTGGTGATAGGAAAAGTTTGTTTAATTTTCTAAAGATATTATTGATGCAGGATTTTTCTTGACCTCTTCGTCAGACTTGTGACGGGGGTGCCCCATTTATTTGGCTCTCTGTGCTCAACCCCTTGTGGGAGGGAGCACGTGAGCAAGTGAGTATGGGATCTGGCTGGCCATTTTGGGTGCTGGCAGAAGCAGGCTCTGTGTGGGCCCCGTGGCAGTGTCTAGGTGAGGGTGCCAGCGATCCCCAAAGCCCCAGAGGGCATGTTAGAATGTTCTCTTTGTCCCGCTGTCTGTGGACAGCAGCGTGTGATCAGCTCAGTGGTACCCTTGCCTCGTCATGTGGGGTGGCTGCCCTCTGCCACTGAGGGCAAAGGGCCAGTGTGACAGCCTTTTCTGGGTACCCGCACCCAATGGGTCCTGAACTCTTGTCTGGCATCCAAGAAGAATGAGGTTGCCCAGACACTTGAAGGATGTTGAAGGCAGAGAATTTTATTAAGTGATGGAAATGGCTCTCAGCAGACATGGGAGCTGGAGAAGGGACGGGATGGGCAAGTAATCTTACCCCAAAGTCTGCCTGTTTCTGGCTGGCTCTTCCCGGAAGTCAAGCCATCTCTCCTCTGGAGTCCAGCCATCCCTCTGAACTCAAGTCATAAGTCACCCCGCCCGGTGTGGTTTTAAATTTTCTTAAATCGTCCAAGTCAGTACTTATTATTTACTAATTATATCACAGCGATTGGCAGTTTTAATCCTATTTCCATTTCCTCATTAAATATTTGTAGTTTTGTGTACTGTTCGTTGTTATGTTCCTTTATAGCAGGTTTTAAAAAATACTGACTTCCATAACAACAGGGCTGTATGTGTGTGCGTGTCAGGGAAAATGTTTTCAGGTTTCAAAATCCCCAAGGGAATTGTTATAAAACAACAGTGAGGAGAAAAAATTCAACATGATTCAGACACCTTAACTAGATTCTTTTTTAATTTAAATTTTTCCTGTTAGGTCTGTTACTTTCTAAACAATACAACACTTTGTTCTTCATGTTTAGTTCAGGTTCAAAAGAGCAACCAAGTTTCTTTTTTTTAAACTTGTAGTTTAAGCTTTTTCATCTTTCCCCATTCAAATACCAAATTAAATATAGCCTTTTAGTTGACTCGTGCTTATTTTCATCCAGAATTCAATTAAAATGCTTCCAGCTGAGCTAGAGCCATCCGATTCTTAAACCAGGTCCAGGAAAAGCAGTGGCAGTGAATATAGGAACAGCAAGTGAAAGAACATGTTCATTTCAGTCTTTGGGAGTTGTCTGGGTCAGCGTTCCTCACTGTGGCTATTTAATGGGGCTGTGTTTCAAGGGGAGCCACTCACATTAAGGGGCAATAGAGTACAGGAATCAACGGGCTCAGACTCTAGAGTGAGGCTGTCTGGGTGTGAATCTCAGTTTTTTGCCTTTATTTTGTAGGAGAGGAAAGATTTCTTCTCTCACCCATCACTAGGTTCATGGCTGAGGCCCCTGTAACAAAAGTCAGATTAATAAGAGAAAAACATACAAATTTATTTAATACAAGCTTTACATGACACGGGAGCCTTCAGAATAAAGATCCAAAGGAAGTGGTAACTTGTGTATTTTTATAAGTAGGTTTGATAAAGGTTTTGTAAGTAGGTTTGATTTTTATAAGTAAGTTTGACTGTCATGGAGAAGTATGGTTGGAGGACAAAGGGTGTGGCCTAATGGTAATAAACTGAGGGGAGGCTTAGCAAGGCCTGTTTGTTCGGATTCTTTTCTATGCTCTATGTCTTCACAGATAAGGATATTCCTTTCCTCTGGGCAAAGGGAGGGTATCTGTCGAATGAGGGTCTTATGACCTGCTTCAGGGGAGAAGAGCAGGAGGTCACAGGACGGCCTTCATAGGTCTTCATAGGTTTTATCGTCTGCTTCAGGGAAGAGGGGCTGTGGAAGGTGAGAGAGACTTTCCTGCTTCTGCTGTTTGCTCAAATGCCAAGGTGCCACATTTTGAGAAGTCCTGAACACCATCAACTTCGTGTGTGTCTTTAGGCAAATTACTTAAGCCATCTAAACCTAAGGCTCATCTGTAAATGGGGATTAATCATAGGATCTATTGGCCGGGCGCGGTGGCTCACGCCTGTAATCCCAGCACTTTGGGAGGCTGAGGCGGGTGGATCACGAGGTCAGGAGATCGAGACCATCTTGGCTAACACGGTGAAACCCCATCTCTACTAAAAATACAAAAAATTAGCCGGGTGCGGTGGCAGGCGCCTGTAGTCCCAGCTACTCGGGAGGCTGAGGCAGGAGAATGGCATGAACCCGGGAGGTGGAGCTTGCAGTGAGCTGAGATCGCGCCACTGCACTCCAGCCTGGGCGACAGAGCAAGACTCTGTCTCAAAAAAAAAAGGAAAAAAAAACATAGTATCTATTTCGTGGGGTTGTGAGGACGCAATAAGATAATTCCTGGCACATGTGTTTACTTAATAAATGTTGGCTGTTGTCATCTTTATTACTGTTGTTGTCAATACCTACATATTTCTAGTTCACTTTGATCTTTTTTTTGTTTTGTTTTGAGACAGAGCTTTGCCTTGTTGCCCAGGCTGGAGTACAATGATGCAATCTCCGCTCACTGCAACCTGTGCCTCCCGGGTTCAAGTGATTCTCCTGCCTCAGCCTCCCAAGTAGCTGGGATTACAGGTGACCGCCACCATGCCTGGCTAATTTTTGTATTTTTAGTAGAGATGGGGTTTCACCATGTTGGCCAGGCTGGTCTTGAGCTCCTGACCTCAGATGATCTGCCTGCCTTAGCCTCCCAAAGTGTTGGGATTACAGGTGTGAGCCACCACATCCGGCCAATCTTTTAATGTATAATTATTGGCATTAGGTAACTTTGTTTTTAAAATCTCCTGTTATGATAATTGTGAG
The DNA here is from genome assembly GCF_000001405.40 of Homo sapiens. Taxonomy (NCBI): domain Eukaryota; kingdom Metazoa; phylum Chordata; class Mammalia; order Primates; family Hominidae; genus Homo; species Homo sapiens. The sequence goes on along the minus strand of NC_000010.11, from coordinate 72,102,621 downwards.
TTCATAAAAATTAAAGTTGACATGGTAAATACCATTATAAGCAGAGTCAAAAGACAAGTGACAAACTAGAGGAAATACATGTATTTGCAACTTGTAACATAGACAAAAAAGGTTCATTTCCCTAGTATAAAAAGAACTACAACTCAATAAAAGGAGGGACGCTCATAAAGCCTTTTATAGTGATCTGTTTCCACTTAACTGTGCTACAGGTGTCTCTGATGCATATTCTCAGAGCCTACCAGGAAAATCCTAGAATCGAGAAGGGCTTGGGACACAGAGAGCTAGTGGGTAAGATACAGCCGTGAGTGTGTAAACACACCTGAACTTGTTGTTTTCCCCATGAAGTAGCTCCCTTTCAAAAATGTTCTGTTACTGTCAATGGCAGCCTCATATACACCCATTGGACCCATCATCACTGATTTTTCCATCTCCTTCTCATCTAGAAAGTCACCAAGGCGTTTCTATGTTTCTTTTGTAATTTTTATTTTAGGTTTGGGGGTACATGTGAAGGTTTGTTACACAGGTAAACATGTGTCACGGGGGTTTGTTGCACAGATTATTACATCACTCAGGTATTAAGCTCAGTACCCAGTAGTTACCTTTTCTGCTTCTCTCCCTCCTCCCTCCCTCCACCCTCAAGGAGGCCCCAGTGTCTGTTGTTTCCTTCTTTGTGTTTATAAGTTCTCATCATTTAGCTCCGGTCTGTGTTTCATTTATAGTTTCATTCATGGCTTCATTCATTCATTCACATCTGCTCCAGTCTTTCCAAGCCCACTGCCTGTTTGTAGTTGAGACACTCAACATCACCCTCATGACTGAACTACTACCATGGTCTCCTTTTTTTTCTTTATCTTGTTCCCTTCTCCAGTCAGCACAATACATCATACCCAGGTTAATCTCCCTAAAACATGGTTTTCATCTTGGGCCACCAACCTACCCTAAAGCCTTCAGTGGTTCCCCACCATGTAGGATGAAGTATAACTTGTGAACTTGAGCCTCAGGTCCCCCAGACACCCTTAATCTGATTCTCCTTCCTTCTGTCTTTCTCACTGCTTCACTCTAGGAACCTTCCAAACATCTAAACTGTTTGCCTGGCCCAGCCCACCATGCCCATTTCTGCCTTCATGCTGCCCTCCCTCCTCTGTGTTACGCCCTATACCTGCCACAAGGCCCAGCTCAGGTCTCGTCTCCTCCAGATGGCTTTCCTAGGTCCGCAGCCCTCAGCATCCCTTGTTTCCTTACCTCCTGCTGCATTTATTGATGGCCTGTACCTCTCATCTCACGCACTTAACCTTTACTACCTATATTGTTTTAGGTAAGCTTTTTTCATTAAAGTAGAACATACATACAGAAAGCTACACAGATCACAGAGTAAAGGACTCAGTGACTTTTCATAAGATGGACACACCCAGGTCATCAGCATTTCCCTCTTCTGATATGCACTCTCCCTAACGAGATGGTAAGCACTTGGGAGACAGAACTACTTTCATGTGCCTCTTTGCATGAAAATGCATAACATCAGGTGCTCAGCAATATTCCAGATCAGGAACTGAAGCTAAGAAAGAGATCCAGGTTTTCACAAATAAGAAACATGTAGAAATGTCCCCCGCCTCCTTGATTTGAAGTAATATAATTTGGCAAGTCCTGTTCAGAAATTCCTTGGTGGGAACTGATACATTAGACCTTTAAATTCAGTCTAGACAAGTGCATGTCATAGTTTTCTCTTTCCAGACTTGGGGATGTACATGGACATCTACAGCATTAGTTTTCATTGTCATTTTGTCCAGCAGATATTTATCGATCAGATGCAGTCTACTAGATAATGTTACAGTACAGTAGGATCCAGCTTCTTCCTCTGTAGGGCTTATATTTTAGTGAGTCATTAGAAATAATTGATAGAACTAAAAGACTTAAGAATAAAGATACATTGGCGGGACACAGTGTCTCATGCCTATAATCCCAGCACTTTGGGAGGCCAAGGCAGGAGGATCACTTGAGCCCAGGAGTTCAAGACCAGCTTGGGCAACCTAGCAAGACCCTGTCTCTATTAAGAAAATAAATAAAAAGGAAAAAAACAAAGAATAAAGATATAATAGGCTGGGCATGGTGGCTCATGCCTGTAATCCCAGCACTTTGAGAGGCCAAGGCAGGCGGACCACCTGAGGTCAGGAGTTCAAGACCAGCCTGGCCAACATGGAGAAACCCCGTCTCTACTGAAAAATACAGAAATTATCTGGGTGTGGTGGTGTATGCCTGTAATCCCAGCTACTCAGGAGGCTGAGGGAGAATAGCTTGAACCCGGGAGGCAGAGGTTGTGGTGAGCTGAGATCGCGCCACTGCACTCCAGCCGGGGTGACAGAGAGAGAGAGAGTCCGTCTAAAAAAAAAAAAAAGATATAACAATAACTAAGCAGTAAGATAACTGAAAAATTGCTAGTAAATTATCTGTTACTAAATCATAAACATAGAGGACAAGAACAGAGGTAGGAAGGGTGACATGAAGATTGGCACTGGCACTAGGGACGTCTGGATGAGAAATCCATTTGTTGTGATATTATCAAAAGGTATGAAAGAACATGGCGACTTACAAAGGTAAAATAAATACAAGGGTGATGATGGCAGAGAGATATTTAAAAACATCATAAGAAATACCATACGGAAATACCATATTGCTACGGAAATACTAATTTTCCATAGCACTTTACAGTTTACAAGATATTTTTTATTTTTTTTAAACCCTGCTCAGTGAGCACACAAGGTACTTGTACTAGCTTTTTTTTTGGTTTATTTGTTTGTTTGTTTGAGACAGAGTTTCTCTCTTGTTGCCCTGGCTGAAATGCAGTGATGCAATCTCGGCTCACCGCAACCTCCGCCTCCCAGGTTCAAGCGATTCTCCTCCCTCAGTCTCCCGGGTAGCTGCGATTACAGGCATGCGCTGCCACGCCTGGCTAATTTTGTATTTTTAGTAGAGACGGGGTTTCTCCATGTAGGGCAGGCTGGTCTCGAACTCCCAACCTCAGGTGATCCCGCTGCCTCAGCCTCTCAAAGTGCTGGGATTACAGGCATGAGTCACCGCGCCTGGCCTTGTACTTGCTCTTATGAGGTCTTTGCCCATTATGATCTTGTGCCCCTGTTGTGGTTGGTACAGTGGGTGGTGCCTTCTGTCCACAGTCACACAGCTTACATGTCTGGGCATACGTTTAGAATCCAGCACTCTTTCCACAGCCTGCTCTTGCCTTAGTGGATGTGAGAATTTATGTTTAGTTATCTCTCTCAATTCTTCTGTTATTGCATTGCAGTCACATCCCAGCTAACTTCATGATTGCTACATTTGCTATTTCCTTAAACCTGGAGTAGGAGAATATCCCTGGCAGATTCATGCTGTCTGTAGGCCATCTGCATAAGGTGAAGTGAAGTCATGGGTCGGTCACTTGCAGCTTCTCACTGTGGCCTCCCCACTACTTGAAAACATGGGCACAAAGAGAAGAAGGTAGCACTCACAGGCTGCCAATCCTTAAAAAGTAACTTGTTGAAAGTATTATGAGTTTCCTTTTAGTTTTCTTTTGTATTGTCTTTTATTGCTTCTTTGGTTATAGCTTTTCTGTACCTAGAAGGCTTCAGTTTGCAGAGCTATAAATCTGTCAGTCTTAGTGACGTGTCTTTCACTTCAAATTAGTGTTCAGCAAAGGGATTAGCAGATAACCATTTCAGGCTGAATTTCTTTACATAAAAGGGTGGATATGGTTTAAGCAGGCTGCCAAAGCCAGGAAGAGAAGTTAATTGTGTAAATCAATGCAGGCAGGAGCTGATCACCTTTCTGAAACACAAGACAATGCAGCATACAACCTCTAAATAGATCTTTGGGGTCAAGTTGATGTCATGTTGAAGAATCAATATTTACTGGGCTTTATAAAGTTAGCCTTTAATGAACCCTCAGGCATTTTGCTAGGCCATTAATTGCAGGAAGAGGAAAAGCAATGGTGGCCAAGGTCCATGTTTGTGGAGGTTGTATAAAAATAAGTGAAAAGACAGTCACTTGTCCATGTGCAAAGGTCCCCTCAGGCATCGTTGGGGACATGTGTCACAAGCCTTTCTTGGGGCCAGGTATGGTGGCTAATGCCTGTAATCTCCGTGCTTTGGGAGGCTGAGATGGGAGGATTGCCTGAGTTTAGGAGTTGAGGCCATGATTGCACTACTGCAATCCAAGGCACTCCAGCCTGGGCAACAAAGCGAGAGACCCTATCTCTAAAAAACAACCAAGGCTTTCTTGGGATTGTACTGACATTTTAAGAAAGAGCAATTCCTACATCCTAACAGAGGAAGGTACGCTCTTTACTCTTTGACGCTCCTTATTCAGGCACTATGGCTGCATTTTCCTGGGATGAATTCTGATGTCATTTTGGGTCCTGCCTTATAAATGTGGTAATCACAAAGTCCAGTCCCTCTTGGAGTATGTATGGTTCATCCCTCACTCTGACACACTTTTGAAAGCTTTTGTAAAGTACAGGATCATAGCAAAAAGTATTTATTTTAGGTCGCTGGCTTGAATCCAAGTCTAATAAAGGTATTTGATAAGTAATCACTTGTACTTGTTCTGTTGGCAGTAGAAGTGTCCCTTGGGTTGTTCTGTGTGTGTGTGCATGCTCTGTGTCCCTCAGTGGTTTGTCTGAATCACTTGTGAGTCAGGAGCCTTATCTTCTATTTATTTTAGTCAGCGCTCCTAACAAATGGCGTTGATTAGATATATGTTACGTCAAATTTAACCCTGGTGCAACAAAGCCGAGATCCCTGCATGGTCAGTCACTGGAAGTCAGAAGCAGCCTGGTCAGACTCTGTGAGTCAGGGTGTGGCCATGGGGCGTTTGCTATAAGTTCTTGGTCATATCTGGTCAGTAGATGAATTTCGGATTTGACTTTTCAGAACCTCTTTCTCTGGTGCATTTGTCAGGGGAGACTTTAGAATTAATCAGAGAGAAGAGCTGGCTGTTCTTTTCTCACTCCCACCCCCATCCCTCCTCTCCTGGATCATTATTCAGAGTAAACACTGAAAAGAAAAAGCATGAGAGATTTGTTGGGATTGTTGTGGTTTGGTGTTTTTACAAGATAATCTGATGTTTAATATTTTCATCTATACTTTAAATATTCATTCTGGGTTTTTATTCTTCCTTTTCAGTTGTTTGAGAACTTCTACTTTGGCTCCCTAAAGCTGAATTCAATTCACATCTCTCAGAGGTTCACCGTAGACAGCTTTGGAAACTACGCTTCCTGTGGACAAATTGACTTCTCCTGAGGTGGATCTTGGAAAGCACTAGAAACTAAACATCTTCACCAGGTGCTGAAGAAAAGTGTCTTCGTTTTAATTGCCAAGCAGGGATGTGGACATTTGGATGGTGACTTTCCTGGGTGGTTCCCCATAGATTCACCATTGCCTCTAATGGTGTCTACACCCGTCATACTACCAGCTGAGATGGTGGTGGGCATAAGGAGAATTTGTGCCTATAACCCTTAGTGTGTTCTGGTTTTTTTTCTTTTAATTTTTAAATTGTCGTAAAATACTCATAAAACATACTGTCTTCACCATTTTTAAGTGCACAGTTCAGTAACGTTAACTGTTAATACATTCATAATGCTGTGTGGCCGTCACCGCCGTCCATCTCCATAGGCTTCTCAGCTTGTAAAATGGAAACTGTACCCATTAAACAGTAATTCCCACTCCTCCCAGCCCCCGCAGCCACCATTCTGCTTTCTGTCTCTCTGGTTTTGACTATTCTCAGTATCTCATATAAGTGGAATCATACAGTGACTTGTCTTTTTGTGACTGGCTTATTTCACTTAGCATAATGTCCTCAAGGTTCATCCATGTTGTGTCAGGTGACAGGATTTCCTTCCTGTATTATACATATAATGGAATGTTCCGTTACATGTGCGTACCACACTCTGTTCCTCCATCAGTGAACACTTGGCTTGCTTCCTCTTGACTATTGGGAGTAGTGCTAATACAGACACGGGGGTGCAAATATCTCTTTGAGACTCTGCCTTTAATTCCTTTACCACCCAGAGTTTTATCTTTAGCAAAATAACCATTAAAGTTGTTTGCCTTTTACTTTGCTTGGTCTATCATTTTCCTACCAAAGTTTGTCCTCTTAATATTTGTTGGATTCCTGTTCCTTCACCCCATCCCCACCCTCATCTTCCCATGCCCCTGATGGAGTTGCAGTGTTGCAGCCCTTTTTTGTTTACTTTTCAAGGCAGCAGCAAAAGAAACTGATGATATCAGCAGGACTGTGCAGAGTTCCCTGGAAGAATGTCAGCCACAGGAGGCCCTCACTCCTCCCTCACCACGGACCAGCAGAGGGAGGCGGGAATGCTGGGGAGCCCCAGCCTCCCACCCCTGCCTCCTCACATTCTTCCTCCCTCCATGTCCTCTCCTTCTTCTCCTTCCTTATTCTTGCCTTGATTCTTTCTCTCTTTATATTCTTTAACTGCACTTCTGAACTCTGTGTTAAGTTGCTACATTGTGAGGACTGTGTCTAACAGTGAGATTTATTATTGGGACTGCACAAATCACTTGTGAATAAAATGTTTAACGGTGTTTCTGTTAGTATGATCACATAGTTCACATAGTTTGAATTTGACCCCTTCCTGTGTTGGGATACAATGTTGCCCTCACTTATTTACCAGCATAGCTGGATCATTCATGGAGGACTTACATATTAGTACCTGCAAGGTTGATTTTTTTTTTTTTTTTTTTTTTGAGACGGAGTCTCGCTCTGTCGCCCAGGCTGGAGTACGGTGGCACGATCTCGGCTCACTGCAAGCTCCGCCTCCTGGGTTCACACCATTCTCCTGCCTCAGCCTCCTGAGTAGCTGGGACTACAGGCGCCCGCCACTGCACCCGGCTAATTTTTTTTTTTTTTGTATTTTTAGTAGAGACGGGGCTTCACCTTGTTAGTCAGGATGGTCTCAATCTCCTGACCTCGTGATCTGCCCGTCTCAGCCTCCCAAAGTACTGGGATTGCAGGCGTGAGCCACCGTGCCTGGCCGCAAGGTTGATTTTTTTCCCAGAAGGCCTCCTCTTTCTACGGATATTCATTTTCTATACAAATTGAGATTTTACTTCACCTCAGATTGTTGTTAGGTGGCACTTGGGAATGAGTGCTCCAGGGACAGTGCTGAATTCTGAAGCTGACTATGGAGTTAATGCCCCATCTCATCTTGATGTGCCTCTCTCTCGGTTTCTTTCTGACAAGCCATTGGGCAACCTCAGCCAGGAAGTAAATGTCACTTCTTTTGAGTTTCTGAGACTTATGACTTAACATTTGTAGGAAACTTTTTTTTCTAAGTTTTTTGTCTTTGGAAAATTTAGCTTTATATATTGAATACCAAATTCTTTTTTTTTTTTTTTTTTTTTTGAGACAGGGTCTCACTCTGTCACCCAGTCTGGAGTGCAGTGGCGCAATCATGGCTCACTGCAGCCTTGACCTCTTGGGCTCAAGCTATCCTCCCACCTCAGCCTACCGAGCAGCTGGGACTACAGGCGTGCACCACCATGCCTGGCTACTTTTTATAAAAAAATTTTTTGTAGAGATGGGGTCTCACTGTGTTGCCCAGGCCGATCTCGAACTCCTGGGCTCAAGACATCTTCCTGCCTTGGCCTCCCAAAGTGTTAGGATTACTGCTGTGAGCCACCACACTGGGCCCAAATACCAAATTCTAAATAGAATTGGAAATTGTGTTATTGAGGATTTAGTGATTACTCTTCCCTATGTCTTGTTAAGTAATTCTTCTCAAGTTGTTTGCCTTTTTCCCTCTGTTTCTCTCACCAGTTATACAGTGGGGTTTTCCAGAGGCTCTATGACGCGACAGCATCATCACTCTGGTGGTTAATGGAATGTGTGTTTGTGTATTTCTGAGTTCTCTAGAGTTTTGTAAGTTGGTAGGTATTGGTAGAATTGGAAAATTTTTAACATTTAAATTTTAAAAAATTCCTTTTTTTTCACATGCTGTGGTAGGCAGAGATAAAATATTCTCTCATGAAGTCTGTATTCCAATTTTGGGGACAGTATAGCTCTAAGGAAATACAGTTTTCAGTGCTGTTGTGGAAGAGGGAGTAACAGTTTTGATGTAGAACTTTTATGAAAAAGCAAAATGGTAGAGAGCAACAACAGTAAAAGGGTTAGAGTTAAGGTTCCCCTCTCACCAAATGATAATGGGGTAAATGTTGGAGGATTTGCTGCTGCTGTGCTTACAATCAAACCTTCCTTCATATTACTGTTTTGTAATTCATTCTACACTGAAATAGTTCATTGTACCTAACACTGCTCCAGCCAGCTTTTGAGGCACTGACTTCACCCTCAATTTCTCTTAAGAGGAAGAGGGAAAAAAATCTCTCACTCGCTACTTCACAGAATCTGTGTTGTTATACATGGAACTTTGTTATGGAGAGTAATTTTTATTTTAGACACATTGTAAATGTTTCTTACAATGATTATTTTTAAAGCAAGCTCTAGAGTTTCCAAAACTGGGCATTGAGTAGAATCCAGCATCGTAATAATTCAGATTTGGTTCCTGTTTGCCCTTGTACTGTGCTGGAGCTCACTGTCCTGGAGCTCAAGGGAACCCACTGGCACTAGAGGTGTATTGAGTTGAGTCAATGGAACACCTGTCAGCTTCCATCTCGATACCATAGGGAGCATGAATGTTCAAGCTCTTGCTGCTAGAAGTGATGAAAGTGGCTGCCGTTATGGTTTTTATTAATAGCTTTTTTTTTTTGTAAAATGTCCTTTTAAATGAAGACAAGTTTACTTTATGAAAAATAATCAAGTTTATGCTTTGTGCTTTTGTCACTGTGTGTTATACTTCAATTTAAATCGGAGGCTGAAACCAGAGGTTCGCTTGAGGCCGGGAGTCCAAGACCAGCATCGGCAAACTAGTAAGACCCCATCTCTACAAAAATAAATAAATAAATAAATAAATAAATAAATAAATAATAAATGAAAATAAATGTTAGCTTCCAGAGGTAACTACTCCCTATACATTTAGACATATATAAAATATGAGAAGTTAAGAAATTTTTCACAAATAATAGCTAATGTTAGTGGAGTGTTCACATTTGTTATTTTTTTGTGCATTAATTCAATCTTTACAATAGCCCACTTAAGTAGGTAATATTGTCCCCATTTTACAAACTGAGGCTTAACAAGGTTAAGAAATTTTCCTTAAAGTTGGGGGCAGTGGCTCACACCTGTAATCCTAGCACTTTGGGAGGCAAGAGGATTGCTTAAGCCCAGGAGTTCAAGACCAGACTGGGCAACATGGTGAGACACTGTCTCTACCAAAATAAAAGCACAAAAGAAAATTAGCCAGGCATAGTGGCATGCGACTGTAGTCCCAGCTACTTCAGAGGCTGAGGTGGGATCAATTGAGCCCAGGAGGGCAAGCCTGTAGTGAGCCATGATTACATCACTGCACTCTAGCCTGGGTGACAGTGAGTGAAACCCTGTCTCAAAAAAAAAAGGAAAAAAAAAATTGCCTTAAGTCATATAGATTGTACCAGCAGCTCTCACAGTGTGGACTTTGGACTTCTAGGAGTCCCCAGGAACCTTTTAGGGGATGCCTACGAGGAGGTCCAAACTGTTTTCATAAGAACGCTAAGGTGCTATGTGCCTTTTTAACTCATTCTCTCACGAGTGTTCAGTGGAGTTTTCCAGAGGCTCTGTGACATGGTGACATCACTCTGATAATTAGTAGAATGTGTGTGTGTGTACTTTTGTTTTCTAGAATATTGTAAATTGATAGATTTAGGGTATAAATATATGTGTTTTCAGAGATTAACTCAGTTTGCTGCCAGTGCTTCTACTGTGCTCTTACTGGCTATTTTCATTTATACCTGCTGCTGAGTCATGACCACCCAAAATCTACATGTTGAAGCTCTAACTCCCAGTAACTCAGAATGTGACTGTTTATTTGGGGATTGGGCTTTTAGTGGGGTGATTAGGTTAAAGTGAGGCTGTTAGGGTCGGCCCTAATGCAATCTGTCTGGTGTCTTTATAAGAAGAGGGAATTTGGACACACAGAGACACCAGACTAGTGTGTGCACAGAGGAAACGAAGACACAGCAAGAAGGCGGCCACCCTGCAGGCCATGAAGAGAGGGCTCAGGAGAAACCAGACCCACCAACAGTTTGATCTTGAACTCTGAGCCTCCAGAACTGTGAGAAAATAATCGTCTGTTGTTGAAGCCACCCAGTCTGTGGTACTTTGTTACGGCAGCCCCAGCAATGGATACACGTGCTGTAATGCAGAAGCTTATGCCAGACTCTGTCTTCTTCTGACCAGACACTAAAGAGATTTGTAAAACTGTAAAACAGTGCCACTCTCTTACTAATTTGGGGGAGCGGTAGAGACGGTTGTTTTTCATAAAATATTCTGTTAATATGAAATGGGTACATTTATTATTTTAAAATAAATTTAAATTCTTAATTTGATTTTCAAATACAGTAAATATCACTATATATATAACTCACAGAAACAAAAGTTCTTTGGGGTCCTCAATAATTTTTTAGTGTTAAGGGCTCCTGACGCCAGAAAGTTTGAGAATGGCTATACTATACTATACTTCCAAATGGGATCCTATTATATATGATCTTATATAACGAGCTTTTCTCACCCAGCAATACATAGTGGATCACATTGGTCTTTAATAGATACAGATCTACATCATTATTTGTAATGTCTGCACAATAGTCTGTTACAGGTATGTTTTATCCTTTAATTAGGTGGTTCCTGGCTAATGGACATTGAATTGGTTTCCAGGATGGGCTATTATGAACAATTCTGGATCTTTGTGTGTTTATCTTTTTGTGCTTGTGGGGTCATCTAGAAATGGAATTAAATGGATTTTAAGATACATTCAGGCCAGGCACGGTGGCTCATGCTGGTAATTCCAGCACTTTGGGAGGCCAATGCGGATGGATCACATGAGATCAGTTTGAGACCAGCCAGACCAACATGGAGAAACCCCATCTCTACTAAAAATACAAAATTAGCCGGGTGTGTTGGTGCGTTCCTGTAATCCCAGCTACTCGGGAGGCTGAGGCAGGAGATTTGCTTTTGAACCTGGGAGGCAGAGGTTGCAGTAAGCTGAGATCGCGCCATTGCACTCCAGCCTGGGCAAGAGCGAAACTCGATGTATTCAATTTGGGTTTCTTATGAGGAAACTAAGGTTTCTCTTCTCCATTTTAGAATTGCTAAATATTAAGTGCAAACAGAAAAATGTGTAAAATATATGTACCACTTAATACATATACCTAGCAGCAGCTCCTCATGTTTGGGGCTATTGTCTTGAAAAGGCTAACCTGCCAGTAATTCTTTCAAACATGAGGAAAACCAAGCTGGGTGTGGTGGCTTATGCTTGTAATCCCAGCACTTTGGGAGGCTGAGGAGGGAGGATCACCTGAAGCCAGGAGTTCAAGACCAGCTTGGCCAACATGGTGAAACCCCATTTCTACTAAAAATACAAAAATTAGCTGAGCATGGGGACGGGCACCTGTAATCCCAGGTACTCGGGAGGCTGAGGCAGGAGAATCCCTTAAACTTGGGAGGCGGAGGTTGCAATGAGCCGAGATCGCACCACTGCTCTCCAGCCTGGGCGACAGAGTGAGACTCCATCTCAAAAAAAAAAAAAAAAAAAATTGAAAAACCTTTTCTTTTTCTTCTTTTCTGTTTTCTTTTGAGAAAGAGTCTCGCTCTGTTTCTCCAGCTGGAGTGCAGTGGCACGATGCTAGCCCAGTGTAGCCTTAATTCCGAGGCTCAAGCAGTCCTCTCACCTCAGCCTCCGAGTAGCTGGGACCACAGGCATGTGCAACGTGGCTCATTTTTTAAATTTTGTATAGAGATAGGGTCTCGCTATGTTGCCCACGATGGTCTGGAACTCCTAGGCTCAAGCCATCCTCCTGCCTCTTGGCCTCCTAAAGTGCTGGGATTACAGGTGTGAGTCAGCACACCTGGCCCTTTTTTTCTTCTTTGTAAACTAAAACTATTGGCCATTTCCTACAAGTTTTACACCAGTCATCTGGAAATTTGGGTTCTTCTTCCTAAATAGCATTACTATTGGCTTCACTAATGGGACTGGAATGTTGTTGATTAGCTTTCGACACAGGACTAGTATTGACCCAGCTTGAAGGTGCTACAGAAGGCAAGTCCCACTGGAGAAGCTACCTGGGACTGTGGGAGCCATTTTGACCCTCAGAGTCTGGAGACAGCTATTGTCATATTGATGGGCATCTTGACAGCACCTTTCCAAACTCTTTATTCAGCAACTTTGGTAACTCTGGAAGCCCCTAAGATAGCACAGGAATGGGAGAGCTGTGGTATCTGGTACCTATCTCCTAAGTGCCTTAGAGATATATAGCTAGCTTTGCTAAAAACGAAAACAGAAACAAAAAAAAAAAAAACAACAAAAAACTAGGATTGTAGGATTGAGATGGTGGAAAAGATGGCAAATTTTGATGAATCTTCAGAACTATGGGACACCGTAGCCTTCTCTTCCCAACCAGAGGAAAGACTAACTTTTTAAAAAAATGCCCATTATGCCCACTTAGTATGTAATTTTGCTTGCACTTTACAGCAGTTTTAATGATGGTATTACCATTAGTTTTAGATAGAAAATAGGTAATTGCTCAAGAATCCAGCCAGTAAGTGGGATTCTGTCCTCTAGTCTCCACGACAGCAAGCCGTGCTCTCTCACTGTACAGCGCCAGGACACACCCAGGAAGAATGCTTTATTACTGTGAGATGAAGACGTCAATGGCCAGGGCCTCACTGCAGCACCACCACTAAATCCAACAGCAAAGGAAACAAGAAAACATGGAAAGGGAGCTATTGTTTTCTGTTTTCCCAACGAGACTCCGGCCTGAGCCACTGAGGCATTCAGAGTTCCCAGATAGGCCAGATTCAGGGTGACAAGGAACCTTGTAAGCTATGTTTTTTCCTACTGATTAAGATTATGTTTTTTAAAGCATTTTAAATTTTTATTTTATTTTTAGATCACAGCAGCTAAGTCTTTTTATAAAAACACAATCTAGGGCTTGGGTCCCAAAAGTTCACTAGGTTTTGTCCCATCAGATGATGTTTCCTCTTTAATGTATTTGTAATGTAAACCTGTCCCCATTTCTGCTGTGCTCTTGGGACTGTGGCCAGCCTCCAGCCTTCCCCGCTGGTATGTCAACATTTAAATCTACAGCCAATAAGGAGGGTCGCAGTTTCAACAAAACCCGAAACACCTCAAACAAAACCAGCACCCCACCCCAGCCCCCCACTCCCCGGCTTCCCCAGTGGCTTATTCAAACTAACTTGAAGTCAAAAAACCATAAGCAAATATGCCTTTTCCAAATTTGCAGCCTCCAAGGCAGATGAAATGGTCAGACATTTGCCTTTTAGGGTTGTCCTGGGAAGAGCTGACAAAACGGGTGACAGCCCCTAAACAGCTGCCTGGGGAGGAGGACATCTGCCTCTGTTTCACCAGCCACTCAGTGCTCAGGCCTTGCCTTGCGCAACGCGGTGCCGCTGGGGAGCAATGGTTCTGAGCAGCCAGTTGTTATACGGCTTTTGTCTTAACGAAGCCACCCATTACGGTAGAGCCATAACTCGCAGGAAGCCAGCTGTCAGGGCTGTGGCGCAGGCCCCTCTGGGTGGGAGGCAAGGGGAGAAAAACAGTGTCTGGCCAAATTCCCTTTCCGACACCTGAGCCTGGCTGGCTTTGTAACCGGAGAGTTTTGTGCCCTCTCCCCCATCCCATCTTCCCCGGGGAGATCCTGGGGCCCTTCTTGCTCTCCATCCTTTGAGGGAGCTCAGGGACATTTCGGGATTCTGGATTTCTTGGTCTGCAACTCCCTGTGTGCCAGGCGGGGCTGGGCCCCGCTGCGGCTGGCTGGCGTTTGGCGCTCTCATCGAGGGAGCGCTTCGCTTTGAAATCTACCCACTCCTTTTTTTTTTTTTTTTTTAAACCAGGTATGATGATGTCAAACGTGATGCTGATGCTACAGTTACAGCCCCTGCTGGCGCAGCCTCTCTGATTCTCTCTCCCTCTCCGCGTCCAGTGCTGGGCTTTTTCAGACAAGTGCATCTCCTAACCAGGTCACATTTCAGCCGCGACCCACTCTCCGCCAGTCACCGGAGGCAGACCGCGGGAGGAGAGCTGAGGACAGCCGCGTGCGCTTCGCCAGCAGCGGGGTGGGAGGAAGGACATTAAAATACTGCAGAAGTCAAGACCCCCCCAGGTCGAACCCAGACCACGATGCGCGCCCCGGGCTGCGGGCGGCTGGTGCTGCCGCTGCTGCTCCTGGCCGCGGCAGCCCTGGCCGAAGGCGACGCCAAGGGGCTCAAGGAGGGCGAGACCCCCGGCAATTTCATGGAGGACGAGCAATGGCTGTCGTCCATCTCGCAGTACAGCGGCAAGATCAAGCACTGGAACCGCTTCCGAGACGTGAGTCCGCAGGGCTGCCAAGGCAGAGACCCGGGGTTGCGGGTTCGGGGATTGAGCTCCGGGGTCTGCGGGAGCGGCCGCCGCACGTCGCAGCCCGAGGCTCCGCAGCCTGGCCGGCTAATTACACGGAAAGTAAACAGTACTGGGGGTCACAGCCCAGCGCCCCTCCCCTGTCCCTGCGGCCCGGGCCGGCGGCCCTGGGACCCCCCAGCCCCGGGACCCCCAGCTCCACACCTGCCCGACGCTCCGGGGTCGCGCGCTCCGGGGTCTCCCCTGCGGGCCGGGAGTGGGAAGGGGTGCGGGGCCGGGGGGACCCGGACCCCGGCTGCCGCTGGACCCCGACCCGGTCCCCAGCTGCGTTGTGCGAGCCGCCCCCGGGCCTGCCCCAGCCGCTGGGATGCTGCAGGCTGCACATACGGGGCACTGCAGCACCGGCAGGTCTGGGTGGGGCCGGCAGTGAGGGTGGCATCGGCTCGCGCGGTGCCCTCTGTTCCCACCGTGGGCTTTGCGGGAGGGGGACAGCATGGGACGGGAGTGTGACCGGGGCTCTGGGTCTGGGGTCCCAGCAGCCTTCTAGGCGAGATGGTGGAAGGCGTGTCCGTACGGGGGTGGGCTGGGGTCCCCGTGCAGAAGGGCGCGCGAGGACCCAGGCTGGTTTTCCCGGACCAACATTTCAGGGGGGAATCCAGCCTGGAGCGAGGGGAGCAGCTCGGAGCCAGAGGAAGGCTCCCGGCCCGGTGGGCTTGAGAAGCCGGGGAGAGTCCAGAAGCTGGGTTTGGGGGCCCCCGGCGGGCGCCGCCCGAACCCCGGCGTAACCTTGGGCCGAACTCCGCGGGGTGGGGGCGGGGGGGTAGCTGCGGCACTTTTGTTTACCGGCACCTGTGGATCAGAGGGGAAGTCGCAGGCGGCGGCCCGGCGGGGCTGGCTCCTTCCTCTCGGCCGGGCCGGGTTGGGGGCTGGGGAAGCAGGGGTGAGGCAGGGCGGGCGGAGGGTGTGGCTGGACCCCGAGATCGTTGGGGGTGCTGTGGGGGATGGGCCCGGATGCGCCAGAGGCGACGCCGGCTGCTCCTGGCGACCTGGTGCTCACCGCGGCCCTGACCCCAGAAAACCTCTTCTAGGACCCTGGCCCTTACTCCTCCTTCCCCAGGTTCCCTCGTCCGACCCACCCAGTACAACGCAGGCCACACCATGACCTCTCCCGTTTTCTCCTTAAACTGCGTGCATCCACAAGTTCCTTGGAAATTTGTTTAAAACACACATGCTTCATAGGCTATCCAGCCAAGTGATGGGAAGAGGCAGAGATTTGGATCTTTTTGTTACCGTCAGACAAGTGACTGTTTCTCCCCAAAGTCAAACTGGCAGGTTGTAATTCACAGAGGACAGCAGGAACCACGGGCAGCCAGGTCTCCAGGCTGAGTGGCCGGGCCCCGCGATGGGCTGCTGATCTCCGCCTTCGCCCCACATGCGACCTGTCCAGCCGCAGGAGCCTGGAGCCCCGCGAGGCCTTCCCGAAGCACCTGCAGGCCCAGCGCAGATGAGCCGCAGTCTCCTGCCGCTTCCTGGGCAGCAGCCCGGCCACAGCAGCGAGGGGGCGGCAGCAGGCCGGCCCATCCGGAATCCATGTGTCACTGGCCTAGGCCTCCCTCCGACTCGCTGGCTGTTTGATCTGCCAAAATGGGACCAGTGAAGGTCAGAGGGAAAAGAAATGCTTAATCAGAACAGGAAAGGTTTAAAATAAAAGATTCCTCCCCACCTCCCTTCTTCCACCTGCTTCCAATAGCCAGCTCCGTGGGTGAGAATAAATGACTTACTGCTTGACCCCATGGCACTGGGCTACCCACCTGTCTCTCTGTATTGGTGCCAACCACTTCCCCCTTCCTCTCATGCTCATCAGAAGAAAGGCACTAGATTTGAAAGTCTTCAGGACTTGCACATGTAAGATTCATGGGAAAGCTTTAGGTGTGTGTTGATTTTGGTAGCCTCAGGCTTTTGTAGGACAGATGTCCTCTAAAACCCCATTTAAGGTAGTCCTGGCTGCAGGAGGACAGGGTCAGGGAGAGAAGTAGGACAAAGAAGGCTGGGCAAGAGGGCCTGGCCCTGGGGATCTGTTGACAGCCTCTGCAGAAAGGCAGGAAGGAGGCTGCTAGCTCAGAGCCACTGCATTGCATAACTCTAGGGGTGCCACAATAGAAATGGTGCCCCCTGAAGTTGTGCAGTGCCCAGACAGTACACAGGGTCCCCACCAGCACTACAAACATATCCCTCTTCTGCCAGAAGAAGCCCTACTTCCTGCCTAAGGGCTGAAGGCACTCTAACTGGGCCCAGTAGCAACGGGCTTTATATTTCCATTAGGCCAGCTCTTTGGAAAATATGCTCCTTGGTTCCTCAAAGGAGAGAGGGGAATTTCGTTTGAACCCCTTAAGGGGTTACAAGGTTGAACTGGGACCTTGTTCATAACCCCAAAATGGTACAGGGCCCCCCTATTTGTCCTAGTAGGGTGGAGGCAAGCAGGACGAGTGGGATACTCTTGGGGAACAGGATTGGGAGGGAAATGCCTCATTCACATGGTGTGGACAGAACTGAAGGGGGAACTTGAGGGAATCAGGTTGAAAGGGTCAGGAGAATGAAGAAGAGCATGAAAACTTGGGGAGTTGCTCCACTTTGGAATTGGCCAGAGCTGGTTGAGAGGGAGCGCAGCTTAGCATCTTTCTCTGAGCACTAGGATTATAGGGAAGGCAGGATTTACCAGTTGAGTAATCCTCCCCTCCAGTGGGCTGAGGGCTCTTACAGCCTGTGCCTGGGTCGATCTCTTCTAATGCTGGGTGCCCGGCTGCCAGGGAGGAGGGGATTCTGGCAGAAGACGGGGGAGATTGTGGACTCCGCCTGGCTCCCTGGCCTACAGATCTAGCTGTACCCTGCCCTGGGCAGTCCTGGGCTTTTCCAAGCCCTGCTCTTCGATGCTCCTACCTCCCAATTCACTCCCTGCACAACTGGGTGGAATTTAATGCAGGTCTTTGGAACAAAGCATCTAGGGCCTAGAGGGATGGACACTTGGAGGAGACAGGTCCATTATACAGCATTCTTCAGGGCAGGCTCCACAGAGCTTGGCTACGAAGAGCTGACTGTTCTCTTTCTTCTTGGCTCTTCTCTACTTTGTACTCCACTTCTATGAAGTTTTCATTATATTTATGAGTGTCTAACACAGTGCTTGGCACCCAGGAGGCGCACAGTTCATATAAGTTGAATCCCTGATGCAGTGAGCACTCACATCTGCCATTAAATTAAATCAAATTAAAGCACTTTAATTTGAGTGGTCTCTTGTGCCTCTCAAGGATCTGGGAGATAGTTATTGTTACTTTACAGCCTACCATTTTATGGTTGTAGAAACTGAGGCACAGAGAAGTAATTTACCCAAAGGTCAAATAGCTAGTAAGTAGCAGAGCTGAGATTTGAATCCAAGTCATCTCACTTAATTTTGCTTTTCAGGGAATTCTAGGCCTCACCCTTAGCGAAAGTGAGAAGGAGGGGTCTACCCTGAAGAGCAAAGTATACTCTGGCTTGTGTCCTCTGAGTCTTCAAGGATGCCCTGAGTAGGAGTGTCACCTCCTAGGAAGGTGGGCCAAAGCCCTCAGTGTCTCCAGCAGCCTGCCTATAGCCTACTCCCCACCCAGGCCTAGCAACACTCCAGAGGCAGCTCTCCACCCAGGAGGGGCCGGGGTGCAGTGTGCTGGGACAGCTCTGGCCTGGGTGCCAGTTCGGGCTCTGCCGCTGACTGGCCCCAGGATGCCGGGCACATCACCTAAACCCTCTGAGCTTTGGTTTCAGACTAGGAAACTGAAAGGGACGCATAGGTGTGAAGGCACCTTGCCAGGGGGCTGGAGGGCTTCCAGGGCAGGTACTACGCTCCTCCCCCACGGAAAAACCACCAGATGGGTCCTCATTTCTAGGGCTGGCCCACACCATGCCTGTCCCTGTGAGAAAGACGTTACTGCACGCTCACTGTCACTCATTCACTGCAGATCTGAGCCCTTCCTGTATGCCAGGGACTTCACCATGATCCTGGGGTCTGGTCCAGGGATATTGTTACCTGCCGGCTAACAATATCGTGTGTTTAGGAACACCAAGAAGGCAAGTAGCAAGTAGCCACAAAGGGGCTCCCTCCTGACCACCCCTCCCTGCTTCCCACCCCACACACCTAAACCACTGCGAGTGTGGGGATGCGCTGCGCCGACGTCTGTGGGTAAGTGTGGGTGTGTGAGAAGAACCCAAAAGTGGGTCAGGATGGATTTCATAATTGGGGTTTGGGTCCTTTGCCAGATAAAGTGACTAAAAACAAAACAAAACATATAACAACAACAACAACAATTGGGGTTTGAGAATGGGAGGGTGGGCCTTTCCCTGACCTCCCCTCCACCCCACCTTCTAACTGGAGCTGGAGCAGTGTCAGCAGAGTGATGGGCTCTTGAACACCCAGCGAGACTCCAAGCCTGGGAAGAGAGGGAGAGAAGAGCCCTCTTTGCCTGGAGAGGCTGTCATATGCTACTCCAGTCTAGCAGCAGCCTGAGAGGATGGGAAGCCAGCACCCTCCCGTCCCCTTCTCAAAAAGGTCAGAAGGCTACCTGGAGCACAGAAGAGCTCTGTCCTACCCTAAGCCCCAAGGGCCAGAGAGAGTGCTCTGCTCATCTTCCCAGTGAGGGGACAGAACTAGCTGTGTGACCTTGCAGCAGCCACTTCACCTTTCTGGGCCTTGATTTTCCTGGTGGTTTAGTGGGGAGGTGAAACCAAATCATCTGCAGAGGCTTTAGCATGCTGTCACTCCAGGAAGAGCCTGGCAATGGCCTGGCCACCCACATGTATACCCTGCTTATCCTACCACACCACCGCCACAGGCTGGGCAGCAGGTCTTTGGGTTTAAGGAAGAGATTCTCTTTTTTCTCCAGAGAAAGTACCTGTGACCAGATTAGGGGAGGGTGTATATTAGCTGGAGACCAAGAAACCTGAGAAATGGGGCCTAATGGCATCTTGGGGCAAGCACCAGGCTGAGGACACACGTATCATCTCTCTTAGCGTGGGCTGCTGTAACAAGATACCAGAGATGGGGTGGCTTAAACAACAGAGATTTATTTTGTCCTCACAGTTCTGGAGGCCAGGAAGTCTAAGATCAGGACGCTGGCAGACTTGATGTTTGATGAGGGCCCTCTTCCTGGCCATTATAGCCTCACATGGCTGAGAGAGAGAGCATGAGCTCTATGTAGCCTCTTCTTTTTTTTTTTTTTTTTTTTTTTTGAGACAGGGTCTCACTCTGTCACCCAGGTTGGAGTGCAGTGATGCAATCCTGGCTCACTGCAACCTCCACCTCCTGGACTCAAGCGATCCTCCCACCTCAGCCTCCCAAGTAGCTGGGATCACAGGCACACACCACCATGCCTGGCTAATTTTTGTATTTTTTGTAGACAGGGGGTTTCACCATGTTGCCCTTGCTGGTCTTGAACTCCTGGACTCAAGCAATCCACCCCCCTCCGCCTCCCAAAGTGCTAGGATTACAGACATGAGCCACTGTGCCAGCCTCTAGCCTCTTATTCAGACCCCAATCTCATCATGAGGGCCCTACCCTGATGGCTTATCTAAACTGAATCCCTCCCCCAAGGCCCCGCCTCCTAATCGACTCCCATTGGAGGTCAGGATTTCAGCATATGGGTCTGGGGGGGACACAGATATGCAGTCCACAACCCCGTCTCTGCGCGTCTCCTTGCAGGAGCAATGTGGGTCTTCTAAGAGCCGTGGATGGGAAAAATGTATGCCCAGGCCTATGCCTGCATACACAGTTTAGATACCACTGTGCCCAGCCTCAGTGTGCAGACCTGGCCCGGCTGTGGCTCTTGAAGTGTGCCAGCCTCTGACCGCCCAAGGGCTTGGCCAGCATCCAGTTGCAGGTGTGGCTCCTTCCTTGGGGTTCCTGCAGCATTTATTGGCCATAACTCATTTGGCACAGGTTGGATGCTGCCTCATAGCATCACTTACACTGCGGGCTGTATCTTCAGAGTCCTTCTGCTGGTATTTGTAATGTGTGTTTGTCACATTCCTCCCATCGTGATCCCCTGAGGAGTGGGTCTGGGAACAGTCAGCCTTGTGTACCTTACCACCCCATCCCCAGAGCATTGCATGGGGTGTTTGGCACACAGTAGGTGCTCAATGTAAACGTGTGCACTGTGGCATGTTAGAGCCAGACAGGATCTCATCCAGCCCGTTCTCTGCACCCCTCCCTCCCCTCTCCAAGTAGCCCTGCTGTGGGTTCAAGTAAAGAGGGGCTGGGGCGCTGGTCTGATTGTGTGGGTGATTTGGGGAGATCTCTTCCTCTTCCGGAACCCCAAAAGGTTGGGACAAACACAGCAACAAGCCCAGCTCCCTGAATTTCAGTGATTCATTTGTGGGATAAAGGAGTGAATGATAAAGTGAAGGACGACTGTCCCCGCGTCTCCCTGTCCTTCAGCCCTCCGTGCCTATCCCTGGCTACAGCCAGTCTCCCACTTTATCCTGTGGAGAGGGTGCTCTGAGCCTCTTCCCCACTCCCACACCATATTATGCCCACAGAGTGGGCCAGCCACCTGTCAGACATGTGGATGGTGGAGACAGGGCTCCCTCGGGTAGAGAACAGATTCTGTAGGGTGGGGCGTCCAGCCCCCTCCTGCTGTCTTCCCCAACACCTGCCAGTCGGTCAAGGCTGCCCTGTATAGAAGGACAAGCCAGGCCCAGCTGGTGTCTTACCTCTGCCTGGATGCAAACAGCTCGCTCCTTCCCTGACCCCTTGTCCCCTGGCACAGGGCAGAGGACGCGAAGTCTCTGAAATCGTTCGGGCTCCTATTCCGCTCATCTCCAAGTTCTCAGTTTGGAAGAACTGGGGGAGCAGAATCCTGGAGACTCAGAAGCACTGAGCCCCACATTTCACAGGTGAAGAAACAGGGCCAGAGAAAGGGCAGGCACCTGCAACCCCACTCCTCTTGTGGCCTGGGGCTCTTCCCCTGCACCACGGCCTGTGGCTCAGCTCCAGCCCTGGGGTCTTCCTCAGACCTCCCTGGGCTTGAATTCTGACCCCCACCCCCATGTTCCAGGAGGGAAGCCAGGGTCCTGAGGCAGCTCAGAACATAGCCCCGGGCCCCTCACACCTCCCGCTGTTCTCTGCCCTTTATGGACTATTGGGGCCACCGCCCGGAGCAGGGACCAAGGACTAGGGCAGCCACCAAGATGCCACTGGACCAGCAGGGAGGTCAGGGCCCGGGCAGCAGGTGGGTGTTGGCGCAGGCATACCTGAGCCCAGGCCCAGCCCGGCTCCTGGCATGCAGGGAGTGATGATATGCACATTTTTGTCCTCCAAGGAAATTCCTCTGAGGGCAGAGGAGGTGGGAGGCCAGAGTCTTCTAGATGCCTGTCTCCTTCTGTTTATCCAGGCCTATCACAGCCTCTGCCGCCCCCTCCAAGAGAGGCTCAAGTATTTAATGACTGGCCCCTCTGCCCCCCACTTCCCAGCCACCCCCACCCCCTCACAGGGACACTGCCTCCCCAGGTGCCCTCTCCCAGGTGTGTGATGGGGTGTTAATCCTCAGCGGAGGAGGATCCCAGGTGTCCCCACTGGGCCCCACCTTGCTCTTTTCTGAGTCCTTCTGTCTGTGCCCTGTGGCTATTTCCAGGGAGGGCAGGAGGAGGCCACAGAGGCAAGCTTCTCTCCAGTCCTGGGCCTTCTTCAGTGGACTGGCCTCCATCACAGGCCCCGTTGCCTGAGGAATGAGGCCAAAATAATGGCAGATACAGGGCCTCTCAGAGGCTGAGCCAGGCCTGGCCCACTTCCATTTTTAGAGATTCTTGATCTATTAAAAAATGAAGAAATGCCGTAACAGGGTTAGGGAAATTGTGGTGTATTCAGTCTTATGATGACTGTCTTCTTTCCGTCCTGTCGCTGTGCCTCTGGCTGTGTGTCCTCAAGTGGAGACAATGTCAGATGTCCATATTGAGACCCCTTGTAACACTGAGACCCTACAGAACCTCTGCCCAGTCCTGTCCCTAGGCTCCCCGGGTGTGTGCCAGAGAACCCGGGGTTCAGGTGTCCTGTCTTGTGTCTTTTGAAAGTATGGAGCTTCAGTTCACAAAGTCCCCTTGCAGACATGATTGCCTGGGTTCTTCTGCAGCTCAGAGGGGAAGGCAAGGGGGTCATCCTTATTTTACAGCCAAGGAAGCCAGTCCAGCAAGGGAAGCGACTCACTTGCTGGCAGTCAGTGGCAAGGCCAAGCAGGAGCCCAGGCCCCTGAGTCCTTGGTGGTGAGGGGTGTAGGGGGTGAGGTCTCTCTGTCACACTGTGCTGCAAAGAAGCAGGTGGATCTTGACCCCATAAGCCAGGGTCTGGAGGGCTGCTCTTCTTTGCTGATTCGCTGCTAGGTCCCAAGCTTCATACCAGATGGAGAAGCTGGGAGAGATTGGGTTAATTCAAGCTGTGAAGTGAGCGGGTGATTTGGGTGCTAATTAAAATGACAGGAAGTAAACAGCACTTGGAAACACCCAGCATGTGCCCCCTAAGCCTGACTAGGCCTGCGCACTCACTGCTGTCTCCCCCAGCTTGGCTCAGTGGGCACCGTCTCCATGGCAACTGAGCTGAGCTGCAGAGATCAAAGCTGAAGATGGGTTAGCTCCAAACCAGCTGAACCAGGGGTCATGTGAAGGGGTTTCTGAAAAATGCCTGGAGAACGGGGGCCCCCAGGTGTCTTCCCCTTCCACCACCAGACCCTCCTCTCCTGGCTGCAAAACTCCCTGCCTAGGACTTGAAGCAGAGTTGGTGTGGTAGGAGAAACCACCTGTGGGCTGGGATTGGGCCTCCTGGGACCCACCCCTGGCCTAGGACTTTTTTCATCAGCTAACATTTATGGAGTGCTGGTTAGGGGCACGGATTCTGGAATCACAGTTCTGGGTGCAGCACTCTTCTCCTGTGCAATTGCTGTGTGACCCTGCCTAAGTCACTTAACCTCTCTGAGCCTCAATTTTATCATCTGAGACATGGAGATAATAATAGTAATGTTTCTTAGAGCTGTTGTGAAGAGGAAACAAGCCAATGAATGTGAAGTGTTTAGCATAATGCTTGCCACGTGGTAATTGCTATAAAGATGTCAGCTATTGTTAGGAGTGTGTATTACTAGGTACTAGATGTTGGGCATAGAGAGAAGAAATTTACATGGTCTCTGCTCTCAAGGAACTGGCTATTTAACTAGGGCGGAGTGAGGCAGAGGCGACATTGCCTGGTGTCACTGGAACAATGGTAGACTTCTGTGAGGCACAGCTGGCCTGAAGGATAAGGAGTGGGGCTCGGGAAGATGATGGCTGAGCTGGGTTTTGGGAGATGAGTAGAAATTCTGGGGCTGATGTGAACTTGCATTCTGGATGGAGACAGCTGTGCTGGGGTTTGGCCATGCTGGAACCTTGCAGGAAGGACCTGGAGCTGGGGTAGCCAGGGAGAGATCAAGAGAAGATGGAATTTCTTCTGTAGGTGACTGGGAACCCGTGAAAGGCTTTCAAAATATAATACTTATTATATTTTTTATTATTTTTAAAATTTATTTTATTTTTATTATTTATTTCTTTATTTTTTTGAGACGGAGTCTCACTCTGTCGCCCAGGCTGGAGTGCAGTGGCGTGATCTTGGCTCACTACAAGCTCTGCCTACCGGGTTCACGCCATTCTCCTGTCTCAGCCTCCCGAGTAGCTGGGACTACAGGCGCCCGCCATCACACACGGCTATTTTTGTATTTTTAGTAGAGATGGGGTTTTACCGTGTTATCCAGGGTGCTCGATCTCCTGACCTCGTGATCCGCCCGCCTTGGCCTCCCAAAGTGCTGGGATTACAGGTGTGAGCCACCGCGCCTGGCCTATTATTTATATTTATTATGATTATGATTATGTTTTTTCTCTTTATTACAAAGTAATATATGTTCATTGCAGAAATTTTGGGGAAAGTTGGAGAAAAGCAGAAAGATGTCAGAATTCTCTGTATTCCTACCCAGCAGTGGAAATGACTGTTACCATTTTGGTATAAATCCTTTTCACCTACTCACTTTCTTTTTCCCCAAAATGAGATCAAACTGTATATTCAGTTTCAAAGAGAGAGAGACCGGGTCAGAATTGTGTTTTGGAAGGATCCGGGTGGCCGCAGCCGTGTGGAAGACAGTGGGAGGAGGGAGACCCTCAGGAGGCGCTGCAGTTTTTCGGGTTGGGGTGGTCCTGGCCGGTGGGTGTAGGGCAGGGAGGGCAAGCGAGAGGGATTCGGGAGGGGAAGGGGCAGGACAGTCTTTGGGTTGGTGAGGGTGGCACGGTAAGCGTGCTCCAGGAACGGGCCTGGAATTGGAAGCAGGAGCCTGGGTTCTCCCAGGGCCGGCCTGCTCCTCAGCACACCTTGTATCGCTTTGTGTGAGGCACCCTCGGAGGGAGGAAGAATGGCTGTTCTTTTTCATCCCAGAGGCCCCGTGTTTGGGGTGAAGACACCCAAGAACATAAGCAAAATATTAGACATAAGCACAGAGCGGGAGGGACCTGAGGCCTGATGGCTGGCCCAGTGGTCTCTAAGCTGCCTGCCTAGAGCCAGCACAGAAGCGTGGCCCGAGCTGGGTACCACCCATGGGATTTCAGGGGTCTCAGGTAGCATGTGCGTGCTGGAAGGTTTAAAAAGCTCCTTGGGGAAGGGCACAGTGGCTCATGCCTGTAACCCCAGTGCTTTGGGGAGCTGAGGGAGGAGGATCACTTGAGCCCAGGAGTTCGAGATCAGCCTGGGCAGCATATCAAGACCCTATCTCTATGAAAAAAACCACCACAATAAAAATTAGACAGGCATGGTGGCACATGCCTGTGCTCCCAGGTACTTGGAAGGCTGAGGTGGGAGGATCGCTTGAGCCTGGGAGTTCGGGGCTACAGTGAG
Organism: Homo sapiens; assembly: GCF_000001405.40. Lineage (NCBI taxonomy): Eukaryota > Metazoa > Chordata > Mammalia > Primates > Hominidae > Homo > Homo sapiens. The sequence continues at coordinate 72,077,191 of NC_000010.11, read as the reverse complement.
CTATGATTGCACCACTGCACTCCTGCCTGGGTGACAGAGCAAGACTCTGTCTCAATAAATAAATAAAAATAAAGAGCTCCTCGGCTGATTCTAAGGTGCAGTCACCACTGAGGTCCTCAACAACGAGGAAGTGACTTCTTTGAGGACACACCGTGGGCCAGGCTGAAAGTGGACTCCTGGTCCAGTGCCCCTTCTATGTCCTCTCTCTGCCTCCTCCTCCTCAGTGCAGATGCTGGTCCTCTCTTAAGGAGAGAGACTCTAACTTGTGGGGTGGGAGGGGGCGATGGGGAACCCTGACTCAGCTCCTCTTTTGTCTTGCCATCTCTGGCCAGTTGCTCTGCCTCTCTGAGCCTTCGTTTTCTCCTTTCTTCTGGTGTTGATCCTATTGGCTCTGACTACTTCACAGGACTGTGAGGATAAAAGGCAGACCCATCCAAATGCCTGGAGAGAACTTACTCTAAAAGCACCATGCAGGCTGGGTGCAGTGGCTCACGCCTATAATCTCAGCACTGTAGGAGTCTAAGGCAGGAGGACTGCCTGAGCCCAGGAGTTCAAGACCAGCCTGGGCAACATGGCAAGACCCCATCTCTATTAAAACATTTTTTTAAATTAAAAGCTTTACTCATATAGATAGGTAGATAGATAAGCATATATAAGCACCATGCAATACAAGCCACGAGCTCTTCCAAATCCCCATTTTCCAGGTGAGGTCGGCAGCAGAGCCACCTGCCACCACTCTCAGGTGTAGAACGGGGCCTCTGTTTCCTGAGAAGCCCCAGGTGCCCTGATCAGACTATTTCTCACAACTGCTAATGAGCCCACTGGGGTGCCATAAATAGACACCCAACACTGCACTGAAAGGCATTATTTGCACTTGCCAACAAACACCTTTTTTTCAGCTTAAAGGTGGCGCCAGCCCACACCTGGCCTCAGGGACCCCTCAGTGTGTCCTTGAGTTTTACCCTCAGAGTGGCCACTCCCCAGCTGCCCAGAGGACTTCCTCGTCATTCCTCCCCACAAGACCTCCTAGGGGACTCTCCTCGTATCCCTTCTGGTCTCTGCTGTCCCCATGGTGGCCTCTCCCTCTCCACTTTTTTGGGGTTCCTCATGTGGCATCTCTGTCCCTCATTTTCCGCACTTGCAGTCCGGGGGTCTCTTCTCCATCATAGCAGCTTTGATTTGTTAAGTGCTTCCTGGACCCCAGGCACCCCGCAGGTGCCATCTGCTTTAATCTCTGAGTAGTCCTGGGAGATAGGCACTGAGCCCCTCGAGGTCGGGTGCTTGCCCAAGGTGCACTGGTCGGGGGAAGCCTGGGGATCTGCAGGACCCCAGGGCCCTGCTCTCCTCGTCCCTCTCTGGCTGGCTGCCTTTGCTTTCCTGGGAGTGAGGGTCCTGGAATCCAGATCCACTGGGGCCCCTCCATCCTGCCTGCCCAGCCTGGCCACAGCAGAGGCAAAAAGTCGAGGCTGGAACCGGGGGCAGTGCTTTGCACAGAAGGGGCTCCCTCCCTGCCAGCTGAGTCAGGAAGGGAGTGGGGGATGGTGGAGCAGCTGGGGAAAGCCCCTTTCTTAGAACTCCCACGCCATCCCCACTTTCCCCCAAATTTCTAATCATAAATTCTTGGTCTTGACCTTTGAGAATCCACTGTGTACTGAGTCCCAAAAATTCCACTCACGGCCTGGTTGGAGGTTAAGGCAGCAGGGTTGGGCCAGAAGGTGGGAGTGAGCCGGTGCCAGGGGCCTCAGATGACACCCAGGGGCTGGAGGCACCTTCCCTACTTCCACTCTGGGGCAGGTGGGTTATGGGCACACAGATCTTGTTGGTTGAGGGCAGGTATGGTTGAGGGCTCATACCTCCCTCCCAGAACCCAGCCATTTCCCATCACCTGCACAGCCTTGTCCCCACCCCTGCCCCAGGGGATGATGGGTACAGACGGGAAGACCCCAGCTGATGGAGACCAGTTGCCACTTTTGCCCCAACCCTTGTCATCATGGCCTCAGCAGCTGCACCTCTCTTGGCCTCCCTCCATCTCCTGTGGGGTGGACCCCCAGCAGAGGACCCCTGAACCCTGAGGAGCTCCTGGAGAAGGCTTCGTTGGTTTTAGCAAACGAGGGAAGTGGTGCCTGCAGCCTCCCCAGAGGCTTGCCTGGGGGCTCAGGAGCGCTCAGGTCAAGCCTGAGGGATGGGGTGAGTGCTGGGCCAGGTGCCCCACAGGCTCCCAGGAAGCACCCCTGCAGCCTTCCTCTGTCTGCTCCTGGGCCCAGGGGCTGCGGGACTCTTGGCTGCTAGGACAGGTACGTGTGGGCCAGGTGTGGGCCGAGCAGAGGGATGAGGAAGAGGCTCAATGAGAGACAGAGGAGAGAGGGACACAGGAACACACGGGGAGGCACGTGAAAGCAAGAGGAAGAAGGAGAGAGAGGGAGAGAGCCGCCGTGGGCTCTCACGGGAGCAGTCTGCGGTCCTCCCGCCCTCCCCATCCTTCCCGACTCCTGCTGCCTCCTTCTCTCACTGCGGAAGAGGCAGGAAGGCCAGCCTGAGGGAGAGCCTCGAGTGTGAAACTGGAGGCTGCTCACAGAGTGGGTTTTGTTACCTCGTTTCTGGATAAAAACCATCTGGCACTGGGTGAACAATGTCCTTGTTAGTGTCCTTGTTTTCCTTCTGTCACTACACATGTGTGTGCATATGTCCACCTGTGCATAAATGAGGATGTGCATACACACAAACATGCCTGCACACACATGCTACATAATACAGACCTGTGAGTGTGCATGGGTGCACCTGGGTCTGCATAAATGCACACACACATGCAGAAGCATGCACTCAGGTCTATGCCTGTGCACACCGCATCTTTCTCGGTGGTGATGCCAACTGCTTGCTCGGGTCTGGCCCCTTCGGCCTTTGTCCAGGAGGCCTCACCCTGCCTGCTCTGACGCTTGCCAGCTTCCAGGGGAGGCTTCAGAAGCCTGAAGGCCTTGGATTTCAAAGCCCTTTAGGCACCCTTCTGTGTGCCCACTGCTGCACGCATGTGGGTGCCGTTTGGTGCCATGGCCCCACCGCCCTTTTCCCCCAGACCTGACAGCTCTGCTCACCCCTACACATCTCTGCTCCTTTGGGCTATGGCAGAACTCAGGATGAAGGGGGCAGCTGCGCGTAGCTTCTCATGCCCCTCTCCCCCCAGCTCCCAGAGCCCCTCCTGGAGCCCCACGCAGAGGAAGTGGGCAGCTGGTCCTTGTCACTGCCAGCCTGCAGGCCTGGGAAGCCCCCTCCTTGCCTGCCTGGCAGAGTTTCCACCAGGAGTGCCCTGGGACTGTTAGGTGTTTTTTAGCAACTGTCTCTGCCCCGTAGGGGAAAGGGAGGAAGCCAGATAAGTTGAGTGTTCTTGCCAGGGAGCTGGGTCAGGTGGGAGGCTCTCTGCCTCTGGCCACTCTGCGGTCCACGGGCCTGAGAGGCCCCTGCAGCTGGAGCAGGGTGAGAAGGTCTCCCTTGTGCCTTAGGCCTCAGAGAGTGTGTTGTAGCAAGAAAAGTGGTCTGTGCTGGGCATCGGGAGACCTGGGTTGTGTGACGGGAGGACCTGGGTCAGGTCATCTGTCTCTGGGCTTTCTCCGGCACAAAGGGGGGGCTGGACCAGGTGACCTCGTAGGACCCTTTCTGGGTCCTCTGCCTCTGAGGGTTTGAAGCTGAATCGTGATAACTGGGCAAGCCTCATCACAGGCATGGCCTCCTCCCTCACTCCGTGTATGAGCTGAGCTCTGCAGAGATGTCAGACCTTGAGCAAAAAGCATCCCTTTGCAGACTGGGTGAGGGGGTCTTCCTCCCACCTCACTCACATGGTGGGCAGAGGTCAGGAGTGGGGACTGACAAGGAAGGGGCCTTGGCAGGAGACAGACAGTGCACCGTTTCTCAGGCAGTTTCTGAGACACCCAGGGCATAGGCATGAGAAGCTCTGTTCCTACGCAGCATGGGCACCTCGGACATCTGTCCTGGTGGTGGGGCTGGGGCTGGACTGGGAACGGAGTGGGGGTGCCCCACCCTCTCAAAGCCACGGGCCCCTGCTACTCCTAAGGCCAGTCTTGAGCTCTGTGATGAAGACGTAAGAATACTGGCCTCTTATTGGGGTTCCTGGGGGTCAGAGGAACACAGCCATCGAAGGCCATTGCTCGGCCACATGATGAGGCAGGGGACCCCAGGAACACCAGAGGGCCTCACACTGATATCCCCATCTTTCTCCCTTTCTCTTCCTGCTCCGTTTTCCATGGCCTGCTGCTGTTCCCTGATCTCCAGGAAGTGGAGGTGAGTACTGCCCAGGACCCCACTCTGTGTGGTCTCTGCAGAGCACACCCCCTCCCCTCCTGTGTCCCTCCACACCCTCATTCTGACTTGCCTTCCCTGCCAGCCTCCAGTGTGGCATGGGAGCAATCAGGAGCTCACGGGAGAGGCTGGAAAGGATTCTGGACATGGGTTTATAGGGATAGAGGTGTGGGGGAGGCAGCTGGCAGGGCCTGGGTGGACAGGGGTCAGCCACCAGGATGACGGCCATTGGCACATGACATCGCTGGCCCAGGCCTCTCCTCGACCCCGCAGTTGAACCTCTGGGATATGGATCTTAGCCTTTCCCTTCTCCCTTGTCCCTCTCTGTCCTCTAGGATGACTATATCAAGAGCTGGGAGGACAATCAGCAAGGAGATGAAGGTAACATGACTCTCCCGGCGGGGGAAGGTGACTGACACGTGTGAAGACTTGAGACCAGAGGGCAAGCCCTTAGCCCGCTTGGGGGCTCCTTGAGCAGCCAGGCCCCGGTGGGGATGGGACTCCTGAGCTCAGGAGCTCTGGTTATCAAGGGCTGCTGGAGGGAGAGGCCTCCCAGCTCAGAAGTGGGGCTGGAGGTTCCTGGGTTCTCCCAGGTGACCTGTGTCCTGACTCTGTGCCCCTGCAGCCCTGGATACCACCAAGGACCCCTGCCAGAAGGTGAAGTGCAGCCGCCACAAGGTGTGCATTGCCCAGGGCTACCAGCGGGCCATGTGCATCAGTCGCAAGAAGCTGGAGCACAGGTGAGAGGTTTGGGGAGGTGGGAGCCCTGGAGGGGGTGTGTTCAAAGAGCAAGGGCTCAACTGACCCTCTCCTTATGAATTAGCCATCTACTGCTGTTAAATAAATTGTAAAACTTAGTGCTTAAAACAGCAAATATGTATTATCTGACATCATTTCTGAGGGTTGGAATCCAGAAGTGGTTCTCTTAGATGGTTCTGGCTCTGGGTCTGTCTTGAGGTTATAGTCAAGGTGCTGGCTGGGGCTGTTTCATCTGAAAGCTTGTCGGGCTGGAGGATCCACTTCTAAGCTCACTCTTATGCTCTTGGTGGGAGGCCTCAGTTCCTGATCATGTGGACCCCTCCATAGGGATGCTTGAGTGTCCTCACAACATGGCGGCTGCCTTCACCTAAAGTAAGTCATTTAAGAGATGAGCAAGGAGAAAGCCACACCATATGAGAACAATTACCAAACCCTGTGGGATGCAGGGAAAGTCACATCTCCTTTTTGGGCCTTGATGTAGTATCTCTAAGACAAATAGGTTAGACCATATAATTTGAGGTTCCTTTCAGCTCTGACATGCAGTGACTTCATGAAATATTTAAGGTGGTAGCTTGTGAGAGGTTGTAGCTTGCAGAGGAGAAAGGAGTGAGGGACATTTAAGGAAGCCTTAGCTCCAGCTGGGTGCAGTGGCTCCTGCCTGTAATCCCAGCACTTTGGGAAGCCAAGGCGGGTGGATCACCTAAGGTCAGGAGTTTGAGACCAGCCTGACCAATGTGGTGAAACCCCATCTCTACTGAAAATACAAAATTAGCTGGGCATGGTCGCTTGTGCCTGTAGTCCCAGATACTCGTGTGGCTGAGACAGGAGAATTGCTTGAACCTGGGAGGCGGAGGTTGCAGTGAGCCGAGATCACGCCACTGCACTCCAGCCTGGGTGACAGAGTGAGACTCCGTCTCAAAAAAAAAAAACACAACAAAACAAACAAAAAAAGGAAGTCTTAGCTCCAGCCCAAGGACAAGGCTCTGCCTGGCTCCAAGACCCTGGAAAAGGTTCCAGTTCCCTCCCTTCTTTCCTGAATCATAGAAGATGAAAGATGGGGTTGCAGTCTTAGAAGGCTGCAGGGGCATGGCCGGTAATGTAATGCATGAAGAGTGCTTGGTCACGGGCCACTCTGTGGAGCACAGGTGTGGTGGAAAGCAGGCAGCTGCTTCTTGGCCCTGGTCTATTACAGCTATGTAGGAATGCAGGTCCAGGACTCCCATGCTTCCATTTTTCAAAGACAGGCCAAGAATCCAGGTATTTATGTGAACTCTCCCATTTGGTAAATGTTAGTGCATAAATAACTCAATTAAAAAAAAAAACACTTGGTGGCCAAGTATGGCCCAGAGGTCATCAGTTTGCAACCTCAGATTTGGTCTGACCCCCTAAGTGAAGTGTGACCCCCTTTTACCTCTGGCCTTCAGACCTGGAGTTGCTACCTGAAGGCCCCATGGGACTCAGTGACTCCTAGAAGAAGAGAAGCTGGGGGAATTTATGCCCTGCTCAGTTGGTTCCACCCTTCTGAGCTGGAGGAGGGTCTGGCAGCAGTGTGGGGAGGGTGGGCAGGGGCAGGAAGGGGCTGATCTGCTGAAGATTGCTGCTGCCTTCCTGTTGGAACAGGTCTGCTCAGCCCTCCCTTCCCCTGCTCCTTCCTCATTGTCACTTCCACCCTGGTGTGCCCCCCACCCTCTCCTGTAGGATCAAGCAGCCGACCGTGAAACTCCATGGAAACAAAGACTCCATCTGCAAGCCCTGCCACATGGCCCAGCTTGCCTCTGTCTGCGGCTCAGATGGCCACACTTACAGCTCTGTGGTGAGGAGCCCAGGCCCCAGGTAGGGTGGGGGTGGAGTCACCTGAGGCCACAGGAAGCAGAAAGGATGACCCAGCTGGGGCCTCCGGAGGGGTTTCCAGGACTGAGGTGGGGCCAGATGGCAAGGTCAGTGTGTTCAATGCAGCCAGCCATACTGGGGCCACCTGCAGCCCTGGCTGGAACTACCTGAGAGTTGGAGCCAGACCCTGTCTGTCCCTGACCTCGGACAGGTGCAGGTGGGGAGTGGGGCCTGGAAGAGACACTATGGTCAGGTAACTGCAAGTCAAAGGAACTGAGGGAAGACCTCAGCCAAGTGTGGAGGGCTGTGGAAGAAGGAGCTCTGGCATCCAATTGTTAGTGGGGGAAGAAAGGAGGATTTCCACAGGGAGGCGCCAGTGTTCACCAGTGAGCAGGGGCCTTCTGGGGCAGCAGGAAATAATCCTCCATAAGAAGGTGATGGAAGAAGGAACCGATTGGGAGAATGAATTTGCACCTTATGTGGATTTTTATGAGGATTTCAGGAGACAATATTTGAGAAAGCATTTAAAAAATTTTAGGCTGGTCACGGTGGCTCACGCCTGCAATCCCAGCACTTTGAGAGGCCGAGACGGGTGGATTGCTTGAATCCGGGAGTTTGAGACCAGCCTGGGTAACATAGTGAGACCCTGTCTCTACAAAAAATACAAAAATTAGCTGGGTGCAGTGGCGTGTGCCTGTGATTCCAGCTATCTGAGAGGCTGAGGGGGATGCCAGGAGTTCGAGGCTGTAGTGAGCCATGATTGTACCACTGCACTCCAGCCTGGGTGACAGAGTGAGACCTTGTCTCCAAAAAAAAAAAAAAAAAAGTAACATAGAAATGCAGGTGCTGATAATGAATGTTTTTACTGGCAACAAGGAGTCGGGAATTGCTTGGTTTGGGAGGGCACTGACAGCTGGCTTGGGGTGGGTGCCAGGGCTGAGGGGCCTTCTTGGAGTGAGATGCAGATTTCAGTCACCCGCTGTGGGTGATGATTGACATTGCTGTGGGGATGAGGTCATCCAGGGAGAAGAAAGGGAGGAGAGAGAGAATGAGCAAGAGGCCAGGGCAGAGGCTGCATTTAGGAGGTGAGAGGGGTGCAGGGGAGCTGGCAGAGCTGGCAGAGAGGAGGAGGAGAAGAAGAGGAGCTAGTGTCCCACAACCCAAGGCCAGGGCGAGGTCTGGGCAGGACGCTGCAGTGCGGTCCGGTCCAGGGGTCACGCTGTCCTTTAGGGAGGTGGAGGTCAGCAGGAAGTCTGGCTTTCATCCCGGCTCATGGCCTTGGGCAAGTCACTGGGCCTCTGTGCGCCTTGCTGTTCTCTGCTGAGCAGGAGAAACCCAAGCCTCCCAAGTGAGATAATGTTGTCGAGCGCTGTGATGACCCGCTTCCCATTAGCAGCCGCCCCATGAGAAGAAAGAGATATGACCAGGAGAAAAGGCCCTGGTCAGAACCTGGCTTTAGCAGGCAGCTGTGGCAGAAGCAGTTCTTAGCGAAGGCCGAGGAATTGTTAGATGCTCCATAGGCGGTGCTGTGTCCTATCAGGAGAACTGAGAAAAGTCCACTGGGGTGACTGGGGGGAGATCATTGAGGGAAGGGCTGATGGCTGATTACAGAGGGACCAAGGAACAGGCCATGAGAGCCAGGGGGGCAACAGACAGCTAACACAGGGGAAGGGCGACAGGGGCAGGGGAGGGGTGACAGGGGCAGGGGAGGGGAGACAGGTGTCCTGGGAGGGACAAATCCTTAGAGAGGGCCGAGCAGGCTCATGGGAGCCTGCATGGCTAGGACCAGCTCTGAGCCCTGCTTCCCGGGCCCTGCTTCTCTCCACCGTGCACCTCAGTCTGCAGAGGAACCAAGAGGACCCTTCAGGCTGTTCATGGGCACTCCATGGGGGGAGGCAGATGTGGCTGCCATGAGAGGCTTGAGGGTGTCCCCAGCTGTGGGGACCCCTGGGGTAAGCCCTCAGTCCCCTGTTCCACCTTTCCCCATGTGCAGTGTAAGCTGGAGCAACAGGCGTGCCTGAGCAGCAAGCAGCTGGCGGTGCGATGCGAGGGCCCCTGCCCCTGCCCCACGGAGCAGGCTGCCACCTCCACCGCCGATGGCAAACCAGGTGAGGACAGTGCTGGGCCACCAGGCTAGGGGTGCTGAAGGGCCACCTGGCACCTCCTTCAGGGCTCTAGGGTGGTAGAAGAGGTGTGCAGAGCAAGAGGGAAGTGGCAAAAATGCAGAAAGCTTGAGGGAGCTGTGAGGTCAGAGGCCCAGATTAACACAGAGCAGGAGGCGTGGGCTCAGCCCTCGTTTCTCCCCTGGGTGCCTGGAAGGTGGGCAGAGGGAGGGACTCAGCCACAAGGAACCTGGGCTGTGTGTTTTTCATGCCAGGAAGGAGTGGGTGGTGGGAAATGGGAGAGGACTCGAGAGGAAGCCCCCGATTTCCACCTTCCCTTCTGCTGCTGCCTCCCGGACCCCTGCCCAGCCTCCTGGCCTGTAGGGCAGGATCCCAGACTGAGATCGAGCCTGCTGCTCCACTGCACATTCGCCCTCCATGCCTTCTCTCTGTTCTGCAGAGACTTGCACCGGTCAGGACCTGGCTGACCTGGGAGATCGGCTGCGGGACTGGTTCCAGCTCCTTCATGAGAACTCCAAGCAGAATGGCTCAGCCAGCAGTGTAGCCGGCCCGGCCAGCGGTAGGAAGCTTGCTGCTCTGCCTGGAGGAGGGAGGGAAATAGGGAAGGGGCTGAGGACACAGGTGTATGCTGGGCCAGTCTGCCCTTGTTCCTTCCTGCCAGACTCTGGGCCCTACAATCTGGGCCCCAAAAGAACCTTCACCCCAAAGAAGTCGGCTTCCACCAGAGCAGGAGGGATACCAGTTAGCTAGTAGGAAGAACTTAACATGGGTGGAGGGAGCTTAAACCCTGACATGGGTAGCCCAGGGAAAGCAGGAATTCTTTTCCCTGCAGGGCTTTCAGAACGGGTTTTGAATGGTTCAGGCATAGTCCTATGTGGAGGTGGAAGGAAGGACCTTTCGCCGTTCTCGAGTTTCTCAATCCCATGGTTAGATTCCAAGCTGCCCAGACCCAGAATAGAGGGCTGGGGCTGATGGCGAGGCGGAGAGATGGAGGGCTGGAGAAACGGCTGAATAGCCAGATGAAGCGTGCCTGAACCTGATCTTTTCCCAGGGCTGGACAAGAGCCTGGGGGCCAGCTGCAAGGACTCCATTGGCTGGATGTTCTCCAAGCTGGACACCAGTGCTGACCTCTTCCTGGACCAGACGGAGCTGGCCGCCATCAACCTGGACAAGTACGAGGTCTGCATCCGTCCCTTCTTCAACTCCTGTGACACCTACAAGGATGGCCGGGTCTCTACTGCTGAGTGGTGCTTCTGCTTCTGGAGGGAGAGTGAGTGCAGCCCCCCTCCCAGGCCCCTGCCTCACCCGTGTGGGCTCTACCCGAAGTTCCAGGCTCTCTTGGGAAGTCAGAGTGGCTCTTTCTTGGCTACGTCCCCAGGCCCAGCACTTTCCCAGCTTGCCCACTTCCTGCACTCCCTTAGGGCTTCATCCCTTAAGGCCCAGGGAAGCCAACACTTTCAGCTCCCTTCCTTGGCAGGCTCCCAGGCGGATCCAGATTTTGTGGGTCCTGAAGCTTATATACTTTTGGAGGTCTTCTTTAAGAAAGAGTTAAAAAAGAAATCCCAGCACTTTGGGAGGCCAAGGTGGGAGGATCATGTGACCCAGGAGTTGGCGACCAGCCCAAACAATACAGGGAGACCTCCTCTCTGTGAAAAAAAAAAAAAAAAATAGCCAGGCATGGTGGCATGCATTTGTGGTCCCTGCCACTTGAGAGGCTGAGGTGGGAGGATTGCTTGAGCCTAGGAAGTCAAGGCTACAGTGAGCTGAGATTGTGCCAGCGCACTCCAGCCTGAGCAACAGAGCAAGAACCTATTAAAAAAAAAAAAGAAGGAAAGAAAGAATATGAAAAATAACGAATGTAAACTTTCTGGGGCCCCTCAGAGGGCTTGGGAAGGGGCTGTACAAGTGAGGGTCTTAGAGGTGAAGATGCATTTGCTTCTCGGTGATTCTTCTTTTAGGCACATCTTAAATTTTGTGCCACCAATAAGTGATTACATACGTTGTCATCAGCCTTAGAGATGTGATGAAATTTCTCAGCTGAATATACCTGAAACCAGAGCTTTCAAACCAGAGTCATCTCGGAAAATGGAGGTCCCCAGGCTCACCTGACCTGTGTGGCTGGAGCTGGGGAAGCCCTGGTGTTCCTCACTGGATGCTTCTCCCCATCTTGGTGGGGGATCGGCAGTCAGGGCCCAAAGCTTCAGCCCGGGCCCCACCATACGCTAGTCAGGGACCCCCGGCAAGTGACCACATCTTTCTGAGTTCTGCTTCTTCATCTGCGTCAGGAAATAACAATACCTATCTTGGAGCCTGTTGTGAGGATGAGCCAAGAAAATCTGTGCAGAGCACCGTGTAATTCACAAATCCCTCTGCAAATGTGTGGTATTGTGATCTGTTTCACCACTCTGACTGCCCAGCCCTCCTGCGACCAGCATCACTCCAGCACTTTGACTTTCTGGGCCTTTGAAGGCCACTCCATCCATTCTGTACTTTCTTGGGCAGGAGGCCGGGAACTGTCCTCATTTTACAACCAGGCAGGCTTCCAGCTTGGAGAGGTGGGGACTTCCCAAGGTCGCAGACAAGTTAGAGGCTGGCTGCCGGTTACAGTCATGCGTCACTTGACGAGGGGGATACATTCTGAGAAATGCATCATTAGGTGATTTTGTCACTGTGCAAGCATCATAGGAGTACTTACACAGACCTTGGTGGTGCGGCCTCCTGTGCACCTGGCCCATTGCTCCCAGGTTACAACCTGTGCAGCATGTTATGTGCTGAATACTGCAGGCAGTTGTAACACAATGGTAAGCATTTGTGCATCTAAACATAGCTAAACATAGACCGGGCGCGGTGGCTCACGCCTGTAATCCCAGCACTTTGGGAGGCCGAGGTGGGTGGATCACCTGAGGTCAGGAGTTTGAGACCAGCCTGACCAACATGGTGAAATCCTGTCTCTACTAAAAATACAAAAATTAGCCAGGCATGGTGGCAGGTGCCTGTAATCTCAGCTACTTGGGAGGCTGAGGCAGGAGAATCACTTGAACCCGGGAGGCAGAGGTTGCAGTGAGCCAAGATCGTGCCGTTGCACTCCAGCCTGGGCGACGAGAGCAAAAATTTATTTTATTTATCTCAAAAAATAAAATAAGGCTGGGCGCGGTGGCTCATGCCTGTAATCCCAGCACTTTGCGGGGCTGAGGCGGGCAGATTATGAGGTCAGGAGATCAAGACCATCCTGGCTAACAGGGTGAAACCCCGTCTCTACTAAAAATACAAAAAATTAGCCAGGCGTGGTGGCGGGCGCCTGTAGTCCCAGCTGCTCGGGAGGCTGAGGCAGGAGAATGGCGTGAACCCGGGAGGCAGAGCTTGCAGTGAGCCGAGATCGCGCCAATGCACTCCAGCCTGGGTGACAGAGCAAGACTCCGTCTCAAAAAAATAAATAAATAAAAAATAAAAAAATAAACATAACTAAGCATAGAAAAGGTACAGTAAAAATAGTGTTGTAATCTTATGGGGCCACCGTCCATTGTTGACTGAAGTGTTGTTGTGTAGCGCGTGGCTGTATTTTCAGGCCTGGGAGTTCTCTCTAACATTCCCTCTAGCATTACGTTCCCCTGGGCTCTCTCATACTTGGGTGTCTGTGTGTTCACCCCACCTCCTCTTCTGAATCCTGTTACTCCTCTCATGGGTCCCTAGGACTTCTTGGGGACCTCAGGTCATCCACAGCTGTGGAATGAGCTCCCCTAAATAGAGAGTGAGCGTTTTCGTGCCATAGAACCCTTGTACTTCCCACCCCTGCTGTGGGGTGACCCCGTGTCAGAAACGGGGTGTTTTCATCTTGCAGAGCCCCTGCCTGGGTCTCTAAGCCTTGAAGGGCTCAGTGCATCCCCCCAGCACCAGGGGACAGTCCCATCAGAGGCTGCTTCTCTCCCCACAGAGCCCCCCTGCCTGGCAGAGCTGGAGCGCATCCAGATCCAGGAGGCCGCCAAGAAGAAGCCAGGTGAGGGGCCAGACCAGGCTCTCAGAGGAGGAGGTGGGGACGGCTTCCTGGGTTTGTCTGAGACCCAGGGCCTCCAGCCTTGGGCCTCATGGCAGACATGGAGCCCAGAGGAGGCCCTGGCCTAGGAAGACAGAAGAGGGTTGCCCCCTTCCTGTGTCTATCCTTGTGGTGGGGCAGGGACTCCCAATCTGCCCCGGGAAAAGTGTGTTTTAGGCACTAATTTTATGCCCATCCATGCTGGAGCTAGAGTTTGGGATACAGAAGGATCCTGGAACCCTCCACTGAGTTCAGTTTCCTTCAGCAAGGGTGTGACTAATGTTTTAGTGAGGCCACTCCCTGAGTGACACTCACTCACATGCTCCATAAACACCTGGGGGCCGGCCCCAGAGATACAACAGCAATAGACCCAGCCCAACTCTGAGCGGATGGCAAGAAGGATGCACTCCCTGGCCTCATAACCCTTTAGCTCGGGCCAGTCCGGAAACACACAACACACAAATGGACACACTAAAAAGACAGAACTAGCAGTGTGACCTGTACACAGGCGCCTGGGAGCTTCAGCTGGGGAGCCTGCAGGAAAGCAAGTGGGCCCCGGAGGCAGGTCGGACTCAGAGTGGCTGGGAGGAGAAGGCTGGGCCTTCCTAGCAGGGGACAGCCAGGCCGGCGGAACTGTGGGAGGATGGAGAGTGTCAAACCTGGTGAAGTCAGACTGGCTGTCCTAGAAGACTTGGGCCATGGAGTCAGGGAAACTGATGGGGCGGCTGGGAGCTAGCACAGGGGCCTGAGCAGTGGTTCAAGGAAGCGGGTTTCCTCATCTCCAGCGAGTAGAGCCGAAAGAATTGCTGGCTGGTGTCCAGCTCTCAGCATCTGGGCCTGTTGGGGGGTCAGCACCCGGTCTGGCTGGGCTCTGGGGGTGTATAGACTTCTGCTCATGCATGAGGACCTGAGGTCACCTCTCTGAGGGGCCCACAGCCTGGGCCCCTGCTCTGACCCTGCCTGGCACTGTCTCATTCAGGCATCTTCATCCCGAGCTGCGACGAGGATGGCTACTACCGGAAGATGCAGTGTGACCAGAGCAGCGGTGACTGCTGGTGTGTGGACCAGCTGGGCCTGGAGCTGACTGGCACGCGCACGCATGGGAGCCCCGACTGCGGTACGGGCTGGGCAGCTCAGGGCCTGCTGGGGGCCCAGGCCTGGGGGCCCTTGTCGTGGGATGCTGGGGGGTGCGTGCCAGAAGCTCCCTCACCCCCTGTTGGCTTGATCCCCTCACAGATGACATCGTGGGCTTCTCGGGGGACTTTGGAAGCGGTGTCGGCTGGGAGGATGAGGAGGAGAAGGAGACGGAGGAAGCAGGCGAGGAGGCCGAGGAGGAGGAGGGCGAGGCAGGCGAGGCTGACGACGGGGGCTACATCTGGTAGACGCCCTCAGGAGCCGGCTGCCGGGGGGGACTCAACAGCAGAGCTCTGAGCAGCAGCAGGCAACTTCGAGAACGGATCCAGAAATGCAGTCAGAAGGACCCTGCTCCACCTGGGGGGACTGGGAGTGTGAGTGTGCATGGCATGTGTGTGGCACAGATGGCTGGGACGGGTGACAGTGTGAGTGCATGTGTGCATGCATGTGTGTATGTGTGTGTGTGTGTGGCATGCGCTGACAAATGTGTCCTTGATCCACACTGCTCCTGGCAGAGTGAGTCACCCAAAGGCCCCTTCGGCCTCCTTGTAGCTGTTTTCTTTCCTTTTGTTGTTGGTTTTAAAATACATTCACACACAAATACAAATTGACAGGTCAAAATCCATGAAATGAGATCCCCCAGCCGTGTCCTCCAGCCCAGCCCTGACCCCTTGGTTTCTACCCTGGCTCCCCTTGGTTTCTACCCTGGCTCAACCGACCCCTGTCTGCCCTTCTCCCTCTTGCTTCTGAGGTCAAGCTCTGGCCTGCGAGCCTGTCCCCATTGCAAAGGGGAGGGAGGGGCAGGGAGCTGTCTACCAGCTGAGGTCCTCCCAAAACTGGGCCGATGTGGTGTGACATCCCCACCAGCCTCAGATGAGACGGGCCAGGACGCCCAGCCACAGCAAGCCCTGTCCCTTTGCCGGATCCCCAAACACTAGAGAAGCTCTCCTAACCCAAGGCGGAGAATGAAGGTGGTGGCGGCAGAGGAGGAGGGCAGCAGCTGAGAGGCCAGGGACAGGGTGCCTCGCCAAGCTGTCTGAGGTCTGTCCCAGGTGGCCCAGGTGGTGCAGGTAGAACAGGGTGAGGAGAGGGGGTCGGCTCAGCAGGAGGAGGCTGTGGCTGCAGAGCCTGGGGGAGCTTTTAGGTGTTGAGATGGGGCAGCTCTGAATCCTAGACCCTGGAATAGCCTGTCCCTTTTCTCTGGGTCTCGTGGTGGAGCCATGATCTGGGCTGCTCTCTTGGGGACACTGGGTGGTGGTTACACAGTTGACCTCTGCCTGGCTCCCCCTTGGTGCAACTCCTGCCTCCATCCCCCTTGCTGGGGTCCCCTCATCCACTTGAGGGCGCCTGAGGGCCAGGAGCAGCAGGCAAGGAGCCTGGGTCTAGGCTAAGGGGGTGTGTGCCCACCTCCTCCCTGACCCTTAACACTCCTGTCCTGCCCAGACCAACAGAGAGAGCTGTCCCTGAGACCCCGGAGAGAAGCAGCTGCCGAAAGCTGCAGCCTTTCCGCACTCTGAGACCATGATCTTCCTCCTGCCAGGGGAGAGCCACCCACAGGCCATGTCCAGCCCCACTTCCCTCAGCCCCCAGGGCTTCCTTCTGGCCCCTCTGAGGATTCCCTAGGGCTGCCCCGCAGAGGGGCTTCCCCAAGCTCTGTTTTGAAGCCTGCAATGTGGAAAAGTGAGAAGTCAGAGGGAACAGGACAGGTGCAGCCGGGCTCTGAGGCCACACCTCACACCTCGCTGTTCCCCAACATCCCCTGAGCAGTGTGAGCTCATCTCACCAGATGAGAAGAGGCCCTGTGCATTTCTTTTGTTTGTTTGTTGCTGTTTTCCCCCACCCATCCAGTTCTCCTCAGCAAAGCAAATTCCTTAACACCTTTGGTGGAGAATTTCTTACCCAGACTTGGGGCTGTGATGCCCTTCAGTGCGTGGTGAGTGCAGCGTGTGTGCGTGTGCCTGTGTGTGAACCTGGGGGCCATCCTGGTGGCCTGGGAGCGTGAGGAGAGGCCCCCTGTGTGCTGGGTGAGTGGTGGGTGTGGGGTCAATGCAGTGAGGCTCTCTGGGTGAGGCTCCCAACCTGGCAGTCCCCAGCCTCCCAGCATCTGTGAGCGTCTGTTGGACTTTACAGAAGAGCCTCATCCTGTCTGCCCCTCACTCTGCCCTGGAATCAACATCTTCCGAGTCCTTCTTGGGGGAAATAGCAGAGCCCCACTTAACTCCATAAACTGCTTCCCATTCCGCAGCCCAGTTCTGATTGTTGAGGTGTCGCGTCGTTCCAGGTCCCCCAGTCCCCTCTTTCTCCTGTCCTCTCTCTGTCCTTCACCTCCCCACTCCAGCCCCGGCTCAGTTCAGGGAAATGCTGTTCCACATCAGCCCTCTGCTCTCTGAGGCAGCCGCGCCTCTGACTCGGAGCTACTTGAAACTTCTGCTCTTGCTAGGATTGGAGTCTACCTATCTCTTCCATTTGTCCCAGCTGGAGTTCTGGAACTTTCCTCCTCGGGGTGGGGGTGGGGGTTGTTAAGGATGCTGGGGGGCCTGGGGAAGGAAGGAGTTCAGAGGAAGGGTGTCCCCTGTCCTCTTGATGTCACCCTCCGCTCCTGGGACACGTGCTCTCTCTGTCTCTGGGTCTTCTGGCTGTGCACGTTTGTGTGTCCTTGTAAATATGTTTTAGGAAGAAAGCAAAAGGGACTGAACTAGCCTCTGGTAGGATTGCAGGGGTCCAGCCTTGCCTGTTTCCGAAGCCCCCACACTGCCTTTCGCCCTACTGAGACTGGTCCCCTCAAAAGGTAGACAAAACAGCAGCTCCCTGTGGAGCTGAAGGGCGGCCTCAAAGTGGCTTTTTGTTAGACAAGGTTAAGGTTTCCTCATGAGCAAGGTTGCAGATCGGTCCTTCCTCAGCTCCTTGATTTGTGACCTTGACCAAGGGGCCTGCCACCCAGCCCCTCCAGTGCCCTCTCCTCGATGCCTCGCTCCTTCCTGCCCCCACTCCCCTGGCTTAGGCAGGTAGGGGAATTAGGGCCATGCTGGAAGAAGCTTAACCATGTGTTCAAAGAACGGTTTCTTGCTTGCTTGGTCCTGGAACTCCCCTTGGCTGCCCCAGGCCTCCTTGGCCCATGGGTGCTGGGGGAGGTGGATGTCAGATCTGGTAGGTTGCAGCAGAGAAAATAAATGTGCCTTGAGAGACCACTCAGAGAGGGTCCAAGGGTGATGGAGAAGGAAGCATGGCCTGGGAGCTTGGAAGGGAGGGGTGGTGGGTGGCGGCATCTTGACTGCCCCCTGTTGTCCCACACGTGGGGGGTGGTCACCCCCCTTCACTCCAGCCCGCCTGCCTTCAGCCTTCCATGAGCTTCACCTGCTTCCAACTTCACTTTGGAGGGGGTGGGGTCCGTTGGCATCAACACGGGGACCCTCTGCTTCACCAAAGCCCGAGCCCTCAGCCCCTGGGGAGAACAAATGGCTGAGCTTTGATACCTGGGGTCGTCGAGAGGCTGCGGGCTGGCGGCAGTCCCAGGGGAGAGACACCACAGAAGGAGACCCAGACATCCCGAGGAAGTTCCCAGCAGAGCAAACTGCTTTCCAGCCTGAAGCCTGCTTAAACTGTGTGATGTGCAATAACTGAGCTTAGAGTTAGGAATTGTGTTCAAGTGCTTGGATTTCCGTCTGTAGATTTAACTGCTGAAATTGTATCTCTCAGTAATTTTAGATGTCTTTTAAAAAATTGAAAAACAAAGTGTTAGACTGTGTGCGTGTGCGTTGATGGGCACTCAAGAGTCCCGTGAGTCATCCAGCCCTGCCTTTCCCCTGCGCCCCCATCCTCTCACGTCCCGCCCCGCCTCCACTTGGGGACCCTGCCTCGTGTCGTCTTTATCTGCCTATTACTCAGCCTAAGGAAACAAGTACACTCCACACATGCATAAAGGAAATCAAATGTTATTTTTAAGAAAATGGAAAATAAAAACTTTATAAACACCATCTGCTGGCAATACTCTGATTATTCTTACCCTTGGTATTATTTTTCACGAAAACAGCATTTATGGCTGAGCGTGGTGGCTCACACCTATAATCCCAGCACTTTGGGAGGCTGAGGCAGGACAATCCCTTGAGCCCAGGAGTTTGAGACTGGCCTAGGCAACATAGTGAGACCCCGTATCTATCAAAACAAAAAAATTAGGCTGAGAAGGAGGGGCAGTGGGTGAGGCTAAGGATTGCTTGAGCCTAGGAGGTTGAGGCTGCAGTGAGCTATGGTCGTGCCACTGCATTCCAGCCTGGGCAACAGAGGGAGACTATCTCTTAAAAGATAAAAATACAGTACAGTACAATTCAGTGGCATTTAGTACGTTCGCAGTGTCATACAGCCGTCACCACAATCCAACTCCAGAGCATTTTCATCCAGGGTATGAGCTTTTCAAAGACTTCAACCACCTCTTAGCAAACGGCTTGTGAGAAAGGTAAAACCAGTTGAGACAGCGCCGCTAGTGGAGTATGTATCGGGCCCTTACATGCTTGTTAGCATTATGATTCTAATTTTTAAATTTTTTTTTGAGACAGAGTCTCGCTTTGTCGCCCAGGCTGGAGTGCAGTGGCACGATTTTGGCTCACTGCCACCCCACCTCCCAGGTTCAAGTGATTATCCTGCCTCAGTCTCCCAAGTAGCTGGGACTACAGGCACCCGCCACCATGCCTGACTAATTTTGTATTTTAAGTAGAGACGGGGTTTCACCATGTTGGCCAGGCTGGTCTCGAACTCCTGACCTCTAGTGATCCTCCCGTGCTGGCCTCCCAAAGTGCTGGGATTACAGGCGTGAGCCACCATGCCCGGCCCATGATTCTATTTTTTTATGTATTTTTATTTTTTATTATTTTTTTTGAGACAGTCTTGCTCTGTTGCTCAGGCTGGAATGCAGTGGTGCAGTCTCGGCTCACTGCAACCTCCGTCTCCCCACTTCAAGCGATTCTCCTGCCTCAGCTGCCCAAGTAGCTGGGACTACAGGTGTGTGCCACCATACCCGGCTAATTTCTGTATTTTTAGTAGAGACAGGGTTTCACTCTGTTGGCCAGGCTGATCTGCCCACCTTGGCCTCCCAAAGTCCTGGGATTACAAGCATGAGCCACCACGCCTGGCCAGTGTGGCAGAAGAATACCTAAATGTCTTACTTTTATTTCTGGGATTATCTGAGCTGGGGGACTGTCGTCATTATTCTGTGACTTTTCTTCTCTTGGGCCTTGCCAACCCCTCACTAGACGTGTCTTTTAACAAATTGTTTGCGGTGTGGAGGGGGATGGAATCTGGGCACAGGAGCTCTAATCTCTAGCCCTGGAGCTTGCTAACTGTGGCCTTGGGCCAGGATCTGCTGGATGGATCACCTGTGGTAACCAGCCCCCGTGCTTTCCAAACAGCGAAAGCCCCCGGTGCCAGCCTGCAGCCAGGGCACGCTCTGCCCGTCTGGCTGGAACGACTCCTTAGGAAGGGAGCTTTTCTGCCATTCATTGTGTCTCAATGCCACCAGCAAGCTCAGACTTGGAGGCTCAGGAGCTTTCTGGAAGGTGGCGTGAGGAGCGATGGGGTTTGCCAAGGGGCTGCTCCCAGCATGTAGGATGAAAGGGATGGTGATGAGAACAGCGGTTTCGGATTCGGAGTGGCTAGGAGGAGCCTGCAGCCTGCTGAGGGGGAGGCCTTCTGAATGAGCGTCTTCAACCGTCAGGGAAATGTTGGCTTTTGTACCTGGCGGATTGACATTTGCTCAGGTGACGGGAAGCCAGAGGCCAGCCAGGGCCCCGGCTTCTGGAACAATCCTTCCATTGTCACCATGTCCTGTCAACCTGGGTTCCCAGGGTTCCTTGGCCCAACAGCAAACAGAGCATTGCCGGGGACAGGCCCAGGTGTCAACCTGCAGTACAGACGTGGCTGCGGCCGTTCGGGAAACCATTGCTGGAGCCCAGATGCGTGGGAACCCCCTGCCCACCCCCTCCCTGGGCACAGCACCGTCCTCAACCAGGCCTCCCCATGTGCCCACCGCATCCTGGCACCTTGCTTTCCCTCAGCATTTAGCCTCCTGGGAACAGGGTCTATGTATTGACTTCTCTCCGGTGAATAACTGGGTCCTGGGAACAAATCTGAAAGAAAAAACCCAGACTGCACACAGAGTCCTACAGGCAGCATTTCCCTCCCACCCGCCACCTTTGTGGAGAGCTCAGAGAGGTGAGGGGGTGTATTTGACCAAAAACAAACAAAAACCAGAACTTTTTATATTTTGAGCAAAATAGGTGAGGGAGAGGAGAGGAAAAAACAAACATTTCTATGTTCCCTTCAATGCCCTATGTCCTTTACATTATTATTATTATTATTATTATTATTATTATTATTATTATTCAGAGAAGGTTTCTCACTCTGTTACCTAGGCTGGAGTGCAGTGGTGAGATCATAGCTCACAGTAACCTCAGACTTCTGGGCACAAGTAATCCTCCCACCTCAGCCTCCCTAGTAGCTGGAACTACAGGTGTGTGCTACCATGCCCAGCTAATTGTTAAACTTTTTGTAGAGATGGGGGTCTTGCTATGTTGCCCAGGCTGGTCTCGAACTCCTGGGCTCAGCCTCCCAAAGTGCTGGGATCACAAGCGTGAGCCAGTCCAGGCTGCGTCTGCTGTTGAATCCCCTCAGCAACTCCACGAGGCAGGGATCACCAGCCACTCAGACCCATTTATGGATGAGAAGACTCTGTTTCCCAGGGCTGACCTTGGCTCAGGCAGGGGTGTGTGGTGGAGCCTTGGTGTTGCTCCAGGCCTGGCTCACTGCAAGTTCAGCTGCCCAGGGCTGTAGCCACTCCTGGCATGCCTCCCGCACTGAGATAATGCCCAAGGTGGAAAATCCTGTGTTTTCATCAGTAAGTCATGGTTGAATGTGGATGGGAGCGTGGGTACTGGGGAAGTACAGAAGAAGGTAAGACATGGAGATTCTTCCAGGACCTGCTTCTGAACTTGGGTCAGCACCTCTCCATGGGCCTCAGTTTCCCCATCTGTAAGATGAGGGGATTGGACTCAGTTGTCCAGTGTTGTGAGTCTGTGAAAACGTGCACAGGCAAACAAACAAACAAACAAAAAAACAAAAAACATGCACAGGTACGAGTCCAGAAAATGTCTTGTTAGGTTCGGGATTGTCTTGCTTTCTCTCTCTCTCTCTCTCTCTCTCACATTGCACATTTGGTGTGACTCTGCCACTGTTTCTCTGGAAGGGTGGGCATCCTTGATGCACCCCTGTGGGATGGGTCAGCCTCTAGAGAAAGCTGGGCTGACCCTTGAGGTCAAGCTCCTGCTCCCGCTGCCCATCCTCTTCTGATTCCAGCCATGCCAGTAGAGGGGAGGGTGGATGCCTTCCAAGTCTCCCAGGAATATTTGCTTCCCTGGCGCTGGTGGGGAAGGAGGCCCCTCCCTGCACTATCTCCTCTCAATCTCCTTATTTTAATTTTATTTATTTATTTATTTGTTCTTGAGACAGAGTCTCACTCTGTCGCCCAGGCTGGAGTGCAATGGCGTGATCTCAGCTCACTGCAACCTCCGCCTCCCGGGTTCAAGCGATTCTCCTGCTTCAGCCTCCCAAGTAGCTGGGATTATAGGTGCACACCACAATACCCAGCTAATTTTTTTTTGTATTTTTAGTATAGATGGGGTTTCACTATGTTGTCCAGGCTGGTCTAGAATTCCTGACCTCAAGTGATCCACCCGCCTTGGCCTCCCAAAGTGCTGGGATTACAGGCATGAGCCACCGTGCCTGGCCTCAATCTCCTTTATAGTCTATCTGAGGGGGAAAAAAAGCGAAACTATTTTTTTCTCTTCTACTCTCACTCTGTCAACACACAATACTTCCCCTTTGGTCACCAAAATGTGTGGGGATTTTTCTCTACACACCAAGTTGTTCTCCAGGGGACACCACTTAGCTGTCCCACATTCAATTCAATTCCTACACTGCCTGGAGAGAGTGACACATCGTGCAGGTCAGGGCTCAGTCCCACCAGGCACAGTGGCGAACTGGGAGGCCAAAATGGGAGGATGTCTTGAGGCCAGGAATTTGAGACCAGTCTGGGCAACAGAGTAAGACCCAATCTCTACAAAAAAGCAAAACAATTAGTCAGATGAGGTGGCATGCACCTACAGTCCCAGTTACTTGGGAGGCTGAGGCTGGAGGATTGCTTGAGCCTGGGAGGTCAAGGCTGCAGTGAGCCATAATTATACCACTGCACTCCAGCCTGGGCAAGAGAGTGGGACCCTGTCTAAAAAAAATTAAAATGAATTTAGCAATTTTAAAAAGGGCTCAGTCCCACAAGTCTGCCCCCACCTCAGATGCCCGTCACCAGCCCCAGGTTCTGACCTGTGCTTCTGACCTATGGGCTACAGATCAGGGTTCTCATACTCCCTCCTCAGGTTCAGTTAATTTGCTAGAGCCTTGCAGAACTGAGGGAGACACCTTTACCCATTTATGGTGAAGGATATTTCAGAGGACACAGATGAACAGCCCGATGGAAGAGATGCATAGGGTGAGGTGGGTGGGAAGGGACGTGGAGCCTCCATGCCCTCCATGGGCACCACCCTCCAGGAACCTCCATGTGTTCAGCTGTCAGGAAGCTCTCCAAACCCTGTCTTTTTGGGTTTCTATGGAGGCTTCATTATGTAGGCATGACTGATGAAATCACTGGCCACTGGTGATCGCCTCAACCTTTGGCCCCTCTCCCTTCCCCAGCGGTTGGGGGTAGTTGGTTCCCCTGGCAGCCAGTCCTTATCCTGAGGGTATCCAGGAGCCCCCCAGGAGTCACCTCATTGGAACAAAAGATGCTCCTATCACTCCAGAAATTCCAAGGGATTTCAGAGCTCTGTGTCAGAAGTTCCTATCACTCAGGAAATTACAAAGGTTTTGGGCTCTGGGTCAGGAACTGAGGGCAAAGACCAAATACATATTTCTTCTTATATCACGATATCACAGTCAGTGACACCAACAGAGGCTGCGCTCAGTGGGGCAACCTCTCCTCCTCCGCAGCCCCAGCCTCCTCCCTGACTCTGCCAGGCAGCTAGCTCCAGCCAGGTCCTCCAACACTCCCCTTGTCCTGGAGGGCCAGCCTGGGGCCTGGCAACGCCCAGCTGTTCAACATGAAGTTGCCCCAGGACCCCCAGGATCACCCTGGAGGGGCCCCCATCAGGAGACGCAAGACCCCTGGGCCAGGGCTGAGAGGGCCTGTTCACTTGCTGAGCTGCTGATGGGCAGGTGACGGCCTATCCTGCAGCAGTTAGAGGGCAGCTAGGGAGACGTGGGCTCCTACCTTTCTCTCCCTGCACCCCTTCTCCAGCATTGTTCCCAGCAGGCTTGGGACTCCACTGAACTTGGATCTCTTTGGTTTTGTTCCTTGTCCTCTCCCTCTGCTCACACACTGGGCTCCAAGGAGCCCGTTCAACCCCAGATTCTTGGATTCAGAATCCTGGGATCATCAAATCCCAGAGATGTCAAAGCTCATTTGGTCTGCCCCTTCCTTAGAGCTACACCATCCGGCCTTGACCCTTGGAGATGGGATGTCCACTTGGCTGGGTTTATTGCACCCTTGCTGTATGCAAGGCTCTTTGCTTATCAGGCTTGGAGAAATTGAGTTAGGTGGTGCAAAAGAGGATACAGAGGGAAATAGTGCCCGGCCTGCCTTAGGAAGCCCACAGTCCAATAAAAAAGACACAAGAACACGTGTCTCAGTGTGATTTTTCTCGGGGCAGGAAGGTGCTTTCCCAAGGGTTGCAAACTCTTTGTGAAGGGGTGACGGGGCCTGTGTGACAGTAGGGAGGGCTGGGAATGGTGGTGGTCTGCTGGGTGCACACCGTGTGCAGAGGGTGCTGCAGACCTTGTGCGTGCTATGGCTGGGAGGCAGGAAAGGATTCAAATGAAGACTGGAGAAATAGTTGGGGCTGAACTGTCCAGGCTAAAGTCTGCCTTCTAGTTGGGTACAGATTCATCAATACCTGCTGAATGAGTGCATTCCCCAGCTTAGCCCTGATCACCTGTCACTTGGACAGTTGCAGCAGCTGGCAAACTGGGCTTCTAGCTCCTTCCTTTCTAGCGCTCCTCGTCCACTTTTGTCATAACTACCATGGAGATGGGTGAGGTGGGGTCTTTCCTCTACATAAAACCCTCAATGACTCCCTACTACCCACAGGGTGAAAGTCAAGTTCCTTCACCTTTTGAAAGCCTGGAGAATTGGTCCTCACCCTTGTCATCAGCCTCATTGTCCTCCCTTTTCCCTCTACCCTCTGTGCCTTACAATCTTTTGCTTAGGGCTGCCCCCACTGCCTGAAAATGTTCACCACTCCTTTCTTTACTTTCCTACACATCCTTCAAAACCCAGGCCAAGCCAGGTGCAGTGGTGCATGTCTGTAGTCTCAGCTACTTGGGAGGCTGAGGCAGGAGGATCACTTGAGCCCAGGAGTTCAAGACCAGCCTAGGCAACATAGGGAACCCTTTCTCTTAAAAAAAAAATAAAACTGGCCTGGTGTGGTGGCTCATGCCTGTAATCCCAACACTTTGGGAGGCTGAGGCAGGTGGATCGCTTGATTCAATACCAGCCTGGGCAACATGGCGAAACCCCATCTCTACTAAAAATACAAGAACATTAGCCTGGCATGGTGGCAGGTGCCTGTAATCCCAGCTACTCAGGAGGCTGAGGCAGGAGAATCGCTTGGACCCAGGAGGCAGAGGCTGCAGTGGACTGAGATAGCGCCACTGCACTCCAGCTTGGGTGACAGAGTAAGATTCCGTCTCAAAAAAAAAAAAAAAAATTAACCCAGCTCAAATGTCATGACTTCCCTGACCTCCGCAGGCAGAGAGAACTAGGCTGCCTCTGCTCCTTGATGGCCTTGCACAGGCCTCTACCCTGCCCTGGGCTAGATATACGATATATCTATAAGGATATAGAACTGGGTTGCATCTTCTTGACTCCCTGAAGCGCTTCCTGCCAAGTTCTTTGGCATGTCTTGTCACATCTGTATCCTTGAGGCCTGGGCCTCGTGGGTAACCAGGACATACATTGAAATGAATGCATGAATGAATGATCTTGACCCAATTCAGCCCTGACATCACCCTTAGGCTACCTTCTCTACTTGTCATTTGAATATCATCCATGTCTAAAACATCTACCAGCCTGGCCAACGTGGTGAAACCCCATCTCTACCAAAAATATACAAAAAATTAGCTGGGAGTGGTGGCATGGGCCTGTAGTCCCTACTACTTGGGAGGCTGAGGCAAGATAATTGCTTGAACCCTGGAGGTGGAGGTTGCAGTGAGCCGAGATTGTGCCACTGCACTACAGCCTGGGTGACAGAGCAAGACCCTGTCACAAAAAATAAATAAATAAAAAATAAAATAAAATAAAACATCTAAGAGCACTCTTAGTACTTTTTCTCACCGTTGGAGATTCATTTCTCTTCAGTTACTTTAAACAATTTTACTTTTCCCTTTAGAATCTTTCTGTAAATTTTTTCCAAGCCAACATATCCCAGCTGCTTCTTGTTGGAAACCAAAATGTCAACACTTTACATGAATTTCTGAAAATGTTATATTTAGTTAAAAAAACAAGTTTTTAGTAATTTTGATTTACAAAATTTGCACCAGTAAATTTGGTGGCTGCATCTAAGGTATTTTGGTATTTTGGCAAATTGGCCTACTTTCTGCCTCTTGAACTTTTGTCCCAGCTTATATTTCAAAGAGAACTGTAATCCAAAGGAATGACTGAGGGTGGGCATGTGTGTCCTTTGGAGAGAGTCTGATTTGTTATCTTCTCTTACCCTATTCATAATTGACTTCAATTCACATCCCTGTGCTTTTTCAGCGTCACCCTTTTCAGCACTAAGCACCCATCAGAAAGTGCCCTGGAGTGACCTGTCTGAACCGGAGAGAGGGCTGCTGCCAGGATGGGCACCGTCTCCCTTTGCTTTCACTGGTTGCTTGGTCAGCAGGGGCAGGGTTTTAGAAACAGGACTGTACCAGCCAAGAGCCTTTGGTTGCAAGTGACAGACACCTACCTAACTCTGACTGGCTTAGACAGAGAAATAATGTATTGGCTCTCACAGAAGATGGGGATCCTGCAGCAAGTCTTGGAATTGAAGGAAGAATTTGAGGAACCAGGTCTTTGGGGATGGCAACTGTGAGTTCAGCACCCCAGGGCTCCTCCATGCTGACCGTCTTTGCTTTACTGTTTCTTTTCACCTGTTGGCCTCATTCTGTCTGACTCCTGATGGGCTGTCTCCATGTAGCAGGGAACAAGACTGCCCCAGCAGACAGAGAGAGCTGGTTGCACCCGAAATCTGCATATTAATCCCAGGGAAGGACCCTGATTGGATCCGTTACTGTTGCCAGGTGGATGGAATGCAGTGATTGGCCAGGTCTGGGCCAGTCATGTGCCCATGCTTGCCTCCAGGGCATGGGTCTATTACCAGGGGAAGGGACCCTGGAAAGACACAAAACCAACAGCCCTCTCTATACAAGAGGTGAGTGAAATAGCTTGAAGGAAAACCCCTGGGGAGGTGTGTAAATGTCAAATTCTTTATTTAGCATGCTTGGGGACCCAGGATTTTGTAAAGATTTAGACTCTGCTGTTTCATTTCAACCTACTGACCCCACTTGGCCACATAACTTCATCCAACTAAGCTCATTGCTCACTGCTTGGTGAAGAAATATTCAAGGAAGGGATGGATGAATGTTACTGTGCATGACCCACACGTTCCTCCTCTGGGTCTTTCACTGCTCTATCGCCTGGAATATGCCTTGCACTCCCACCAGTTTCTGCTTGTCTTGTCATAGCCATCCTTGAAGCCCAGTTCAGGTGCCACCTCTTCCATGAAGCCCTCCCTGATCCCACTACCAGCAGGGTTTCTTTCTTTTTATGATCTTGTTTCAACCCACTTTTTTTCAGTGTTTTCCAGGTACACTTCCCCCCACTTTTTATAGACTCTAGCCTGATTTTGTGTTGTTTGTGTTGTGTACCGGTTTAGCAGAAAGAACTTTCCAATGATTAGTCCATCACTCAGCTGGGAGATGTGAGCTCTCCCTCCCTTGAGGCTTTAGAGCAGAGGCCTGTTTGCGGGATGTTGTAGAAGGGCAAGGGTTTCCTGGGGATTGCATGTTGGTTTTCTAGGGCTGTCATGAGAAATGACCATACACTGGGTGGTTTAAAACAACACAAATTTATTCTTCCACAGTTCTGGCAGCCAAAAGTTCAAACTCAAGGTGTCAGTGGGGTTGGCTCCTTCTTGAAGTTCTTGGGGAGGATCTGTGCCAGGCCTGTCCCCAGCTTCTGTGTTTGCCAGCCATCCTTGCATTCCTGGACCTGCAGATGCCTCACTCTAGGCTGTCTCCATTTCCATATGGCCTTCTCCTCTGTGCCTGTCTATCTTCCTCGTCTTCCTCATTCTTCTTCTTCTCCTCTTTCTCCTTATCCTTCTTCTTGTCCTCCTTCTTCTTCTTTTTCTTTCTTCTTCTTTTTTTTTTTTTTTTTTTTGAGACAGGGTCTCATTCTGTGGCCCAGGCTGGAGTGCAGCGGTATGATCATAGCTCACTGTAACCTCAAATTCCTGGGCTCAAGTGACCCTCCTGCCTCAACCTCCTGAGCAGCTAGGACTACAGGTGTGAGCCACCAAGCCTGGTTAATTTTTAAAAATTTCTGTAGAGACTGGGTCTTGCTATGCTGCCCAAGCTCATCCCAAACTCCTGGCCTCAAGCAATCCTCCTTCCTCGGCCTCCCAAAGCATTGGGATAACAGATGTGAGCCACTGCACCCAGCTGGTATTCTCCCTCTTCCTATAGAGACATAAATTGTTGGATTTAGGGCCCACCCCAAATCCAGTATGATTTTATCTTCAGGTGATTTACTAATTACATCTGTAAAGATCTTATTTCTAAAATAAGGTCACATTCCAAGGTTCCTGGCGGACACAAATATTTGGGACTTATTATTCCGCCCACTACAGGGATTGTGTGCTGGAGAAACTGAACATAAACCACAGAGGCCAGACGGGTAACTGGAGAGTGCGGGTCTCTGCC
This sequence comes from Homo sapiens, assembly GCF_000001405.40. Classification (NCBI taxonomy): domain Eukaryota; kingdom Metazoa; phylum Chordata; class Mammalia; order Primates; family Hominidae; genus Homo; species Homo sapiens. Next base: position 72,048,946 of record NC_000010.11, on the reverse strand, counting down.
TGTCATTGTCAGACTTGGCTTTCCAAAGAAGCCAGAAATCTGGATTTGTACGTAAAATATCTAGATTTTTAAATGCTGGTAACATATTAAGAACCTGGTCCCTATATTCATGCTTTATAGATAGCACATCTATAGGTCGCATTCAGCCTGTAGAGCAACCAGTTTGTGACCTCTAGTGGAAGCTCTAAAACTTGGCTTCTGTGAGCTCAGAAAGACAGCACGGACCTATGCACTTCTGCCAGTAGCCACCAGAGGGCGTGCTAGGCATTGCGTCAGAAAACGCCTCTGGCAACCAGGCCCAGGAGGTGGCCAGGGAAATCCAACGGAGGTTTTTCAAGTCAGGGAGTGGATGGGATCGGGGGAGGTCTGGGATTAGGCTAATGACCAAAATTCATTCTATTTAACATTTACTCTTCCATAATTGTCTCTTAATCTTTTATGACTGGTACCCCTTGTCCACTAAAGATACCTGCTCCCTTGGCAGACAAAACAAGTTCAAAAACAGCAAAAGAATACTACAGGGAAAAGAAAGGAACAGCCAACAATAACCATTTGAAGACTTTTCTTGATTATGAATCAATCAATTAACTTAAGAAAATTGACACATGGCTGGGTGCGGTGGCTGACGCTTGTAATCCCGGCACTTTGAGGGCCGAGGTGGGCAGATCACTTGAGGTCAGGAGTTTGAGATCAGCCATGGCTAACATGGTGAAACCCCATCTCTGCTAAAAATTCAAAAATTAGCCGGGCATGGTGGCATGCGCCTGTAATCCCAGCTACTCGGGAGGCTGAGGCAGGAGAGTCGCTTGAACCTGGGAGGTGGAGGTTGCAGTGAGCTGAGATTGCACCACTGCACTCTAGCCTGGGTGACAGAGCAAGACTTCGTCTCAGAAAACAAACAGATAAACAAACAAACAAACACCCCTCATGTACCCACCCCTAGCTTCAACAATTAGCAACTCATGACAAATCTTGGTCCCTCTATGTACTTTTTGTTTCTTTGCTGGAATATTTTAAAGCAAATCCCAGGCATTGTATAACTGTATCCCAAAATACTTTAGATAGACACATTGTTTTATTTGTTCTTTTATTGTTGCTGTTGTTCTTTGTTTTCCACCAGAGAACTAACTCACAGCTAACTCTCATCCAACATGGGCGGATGAGAGCCCCTCTTAACTCGTCTCAGCCTCAGCTGTCTTAGGGGTGGGAGCAAACACCTTTTCCATAATTTCCATCTGTAGGTCCACTTTTCTGTTTTCCACCTTTTAAGAAATTTTTTAATGGAGATGGAGGTCTCACTATGTTGCCCAGGTTGATCTTGAACTTGTGGGCTCAAGTGATCCTCCTGCCTCAGCCTCCTAAAGTGCTGGGATAACACGTGTGAGTCACAGTGCTCGGCCTCTACTCATTTTTCAAAAATCAGATAGTATGGGTAAAACTCAGTGGTGTATTTTATTTTATTTTATTATTTTTGTTTATTTATTTTTTGAGATGGAGTCTCACTCTGTCACCCAGGCTGGAGTGCAGTGATGTGATCTCGGCTCACTGCAACCTCCACCTCCCATGTTCAAATGATCCTCTGCCTCAGCCTCCCGAGTAGCTGGGATTACAGGTGTGTGCCACCACGCCTGGGTAAGTTTTGTATTTTTAGTAGAGACGGAGTTTCACCATGTTGACCAGGCTCGCCTCGAACTCCTGACCTCAGGTGATCCACCCGCCTTGGCATCCCAAAGTGATGGGATTACAGGCATGAGTCACTGCGCCCAGCCTCAACAGTGTATTTAAATAATTGCCCAAACTCAGCCTTGCTGACAGACAAAGATGGCCACTGCCAAAGCTCATTTCTTGGCCGACACTTGGGCCTATCACAGCTCAAAGTGTTTGTGGGTTAACTGAGGCCTATGATGGCTGAATTTGGTGTAGATAAAAGGTAGTCTTAGGGTGTCAATGTCAAATGTTCAAAGGCCAAAGGTTTCGGGACTTGCATTTGCCTCAGTTTGTTCTTACCTGCTCTGGATATTGGTGATGGCTCTGTGTGGAAGATTATATTTTCCAAAGATGGTTGCAACATCCCTCAATCTACATGATGTTGAGTGACCTTGACACTCCTTCCATGGAGAGGTCTGTGTCCTGCATCTTTGAATCTGTTGGGCCTGTTGCTTGCTCATAGCCAATAGAAAGCAATGGAAGTAACACGGATGACTTCCAATCCTAGCCTATAGTATGTGATGCAGCTTCTGCTTGGTCAGTTAGAATACTTGGGCTTGGAGGCCCGAGCTGCCATATAAGTAGACTAGCCATCCTGAAGCTGCCATGCTGTTAGGAAGCACAAGCTGTCACACATGAAGAGACCACATGGAGAGGCCCTGAGACTATATGAAGAGAGACACTCGGCCATCCCTAGCTGTTCCAGTCTTGAGCCATTCCAACACCAGCCTCCATCTGACTACAACTTTATGAGATCCTTCCTGAGCCAGAACCACCCAACTGAGCCCATCCTGATTTCCTGGACCTCAGAAACTATGAGAGATAATAAAAGGATTGCTGTTGTGAACTTTAGTTCACTAAGTTCTGGGGTGATTTGTGACTCAGCAATAGATATTTGGAACACTTTTGAATATGTTCTGTAGATTTTCCTCTGAGGTTGGTGGAAAAGCCCTCCTAGGCTTGGGTGGAGTGAACAGCTTTCTGTATATTCTGATTTCAGTAACCTCCAAATATTCTTCTACTTGTGCCAGACAGTCGACAACTCTTGGCTGACTCTTTGCGATGTTGCTACCTGTCCTTCTTATGAAGAAGCGAACAGCGAGTGTCTGACCCCATCTCACTCTATCCTATTTTGAAGAAATGAGTCAGCCCCTTTCCTGAATGGGGCCAGCCGAGGGAGGCTGCCAGGTGTTCCCCTGGACAGATGGATTGTCTGATATTTGCAGATGCCTCAGCCCCTCATCGAGGCTTCCCTGCACCCTGTCCTCACACTCTATGAGCCAGCCTCCTTCCCAGTTGCCCTGCCTCTCCAGAGAACTCTCTACCCTCTTTAATGCCAAAAGCAGTCACTTATTTTCTCCTATGAACACTGGGAAATAGTAACTGACCACATTTTTGGTTTTGCTTTGGTTGCTTGAAGATGTATGGCCACAGTTGTGGCTTACCATGATAAGGGCATAGATCACGCTGGTAGAAGAATGATGAAAAAATACACAATTCTAATACTCAGAGATAAGGACACTTTGAAGTTTGTGGTACAGCCTCCCAGACTACACACATACGTAAAAGTGGGATTTTACAATACATAGAGTTTATACTGTGACTCTTGACTTCTTGGAGGCCATAGTCATTTCAAGAAGGTCATGAGACTTCTAGCTCCCTTTGAGGAAAAATCCTCTTAGGCCTATACATACAAACTTGCCATTAGGTTCTATAAATACATAAGTAGTAAATTAATTAGGTTCTATACCTATAACTTCAGTATTAATCACTGCATAATAAATATTATGAATTGAATTGTGTGGCTATATTGTAATTTATTTAATCAATTCCCTATCATTGAACATTTACATGGCTTCTGATGTTCCTCTGTTTTAAACTATACTCAAAATCTCGACCTGGTGTGGTGGCGTGCACCTATAGTCTCTACTAAGGAGGCTGAGGCAGGGAGACTGCTTGAGCCCAGGAGTTTGAGGCTGCAGTGAGCTAGGATCCCACCACGGCACTCCAGCCTGAGCAACAGAGTGAAACCCTGTCTCTTAAAAAAAAAAAAAAAAGTCATTCTGAGCATTTCATCCGAGTCTTCATTTACACTGGTTGCATCTGATGTGTCCTTGTAGCTGCTTTAGATCTTCTCTGGAACAAGGCAGGGCATGTTTAAATACATGCAGTGTTTTAAAAATGAGAAATACACCTTGGAACTGTCCCTAGCTGTGGCCCCAGGCGGATCCCGGTCCTGCCTCACCCACAGCTCCAGGAGGCCTGCGGAAGCAGGACTGGGCCCTGTTTCCAGGCAGCACGCGTCAGTGGTGCCTGTGATACATGCTGCCTGGCCAGAGAAGCAGTGACTTATGTTGTGGGTTGAGGAAGAACAGGGGCTGTGTGTTCATTCCTGGATTCAGGACCTCGCAGAGCTGGGTGGGGAGGGGGCTGGGAACGTGGCAGAGGCTGGCTGTCGGTCCTGTTTACCTCCTGGATGAGCAGGAGGGGGAAGCAGCTGGCTTCCAAGGGCCAGGGTGCACCAGCCGGCTGGTTCATGTGTCCACAAAGGCGGCCCTTCAGCAGCGGGCAGGGACTGTGTCCTCGTGCCTGCCAGCAGTGTCTGGAGGCTGCCCGTGGAGGTGGGTAGGGCCCAACACAAACAGCCACCAGAGAAAGGGGCCTTTATGGCCAGTGGAGGACGGCTGCTGGACTGCAGGGAGGATGCCAGCACCGTGCGGCCAGGGAAGTGGCCAGCAGGTGCTGCTCCAGGCCGTCCTGGCATGGTTGCACCAGGGCATTTGGGAAGAGGCTGTGTGCAGTGCTATGGGTCAGGGGCTTGTCTGCACTTCCTTCCTTCCTCCCTCCTTCCTTCCTTCTTGCCCTCCTTTCTTTCCTGTCTGTCTCCCTTTCATTTTTTTGTGGGGGGTGGTTCTTTCATCATTTTTCTTTCTTTCTTTTCTTTCTTTTTTTCTTTTCTTTTTTTTTTTTTTGAGACAGAGTCTCGCTCTGTTGCCCAAGCTGGAGTGCAGTGGCAAGATCTTGGCTCACTGCAACCTCCACCTCCCAGGTTCAAGCGATTATCCTGCCTCGGCCTCCTGAGTAGCTGGGATTACAGGCACCTGTCACCATGCCCAGCTAATTTTTGTATTTTTAGTAGAGATGGGGTTTCACCATATTGGCCAGTCTGATCTCAAACTCCTGACCTCAGGTGATTCACCTGCCTTGGCCCCCAAAGTGCTGGGATTACTGGCGTGAGCCACTGCATCGGGCCATGAGCTTCTTTTCAAATGGTGACTGGGCTGCTGATTTTCCTGTTGTCAATTTCCATTGTACATGCCTCTGGGGAACCCTCGTGGAGTAGGGGAGCTTGGTCCTGTTCACTTTCTTGCTGGGTGACACTTTCTTGCACTGATTGTCCATTTCTTCAGGGCTCAAGGATTGACAGTGTCACCTTTCAGGGTTGTTGTAAGGTAGTATCAGCTCGCAAAGCGCCATTGCCCTCAATCATCCTGACCACCTTTGCCTTTCATAGGCCCTGCCTCATCTAATTAGAGCACCCTCGTGAGATAGGGATGGCCGTTTCATCTATATTGCAGATAAGAAAACAGACCCAGAGAGGTTAAGCTGCTTGCCCAAAGTCACCCAGCAAGTAGACAGCACAGCCAGGATCCAAACCCAAGTGTGAGTTCTGAACTCAGCTCCTAACCACAGCGGAACCTCCCCCTCGGCGCCCCGTGTCACCTCTGCACGGATGCTCCCCTGCCTCTATCAGCCCCAGGAAAGCCCCTCTTCTCCTCCTTTCCCCAGAGACCCTTTCTCACCCAGCCTATCTCTCTCCCTTCCCTGCCAGCCCTGCAGGAGAGTGAGGACAGTAGGCTCCTGCCTGCCAGAGCTCACCCCAAACAGCTTCCTTACTGTTCAGCCAAGGAAACTGAGGCCCAGAGAGGGCTAAGGACTCATCCCAATCACACAGCAAATTGGCAACAGAGAACCAGAGCCCAGGCCTCCTGACCCCTTCCTCATTAGAACATTCTTTGCATTCCCCGTAGAGTTCATTGGGAACTGCTGAGGAATCTGTACCAGTTTGACCTGAATATGAAGGCATGTTACTTTCCACCCAAACACTGCTATCAGCTGGGGAAAGCCAAATGCCCCAATTTCTACCCCTTGGAGATATCTTGAGAAGATTCTCTGTTTTTCTGCTGACATAGTTTTCTGAATGAGTCCTGTCTAATTTAAAGTGCTGGTCTTGTTCCTGATTGGGCATTGCTTCTGCACGCCCTAGTGGGGGTCAGAGCTGAACCCTCACGGTGAGGGGTCTCTGACACTGAGGGGGCTCCTTCCATCTTTGTTTTGCTTGTTGCTGGGGACAGGAGCAGACTCGGGATGCAGGGGACACTCATGGGTTGTGGGTGGCTGAACTCTGATGTCCCAGCTGCTGGGGCCCTGCAGCTATGGGGGTCTCTTTGTAGATGGGCTGCATGGCCTGCATGGGCAGTGCCCAACTTCATGGCAGCCCCCCTGTGCTGAGGACCCTCAGAGAGGGGCCCTGGGTCCTGCCCGCAGTCACACCTTTACCCCTTCTGCAGCTCAGGCCCCTGGTTCCTCCCCCATCCTCACCCCCACCCACAGGGTTCCTTCACAGGGACGCCTTTCCTGCTTCCAAGGGCTGTGGGGGCCTGGGGCACCCCACATTTGCTTCTCAGGCCTCCTGCCCAGGCTGCTTCCCAGGTATGTGGCCTGTGCTATCGCCCAGGCCCTGTGCTTAGAAGGGCTTGGCGTTTGGTTTAACACTCTGCTGTCGTCTTGAAATTCCTCATAGTCTTTGAGGAGTGTTGGTAAGTTATCTTATAGAATGTCATTCAATTTGGATTTGTCTGATGATTTTCTCCTGGTTAGACTGGAGTTATGGGTTTTGTTTTGTTTTTTAGACAGAGTCTCCCTCTGTCACCCAGGGTGTAGTGCAGTAGCACGATCTTGGCTCACTGCAACCTCTGCCTCTCCAGTTCAAGAGCTTCTCCTGCCTCAGCCTCCCGAGTAGCTGGGACTACAGGCATGCACCATCATGCCTGGCTAATTTTTTGTATTGTAGTAGAGATGGGGTTTCACCATGTTGGCCAGGCTTGTCCTGAACTCCTGAGCTCAGGAAATCTGCCCGCTTCAGCCTCCCAAAGTGCTAGGATTATAGGTGTGAGCCACTGTGCCCACTGAGTTATGGGGTTTTGGGAGGACCCCAGAGGTAAAGTGCTCTTCCCCTCACATCATACCAAAGGCACATGGTACAAACATGGCCTCACCACTGACGTTAACCTTGCTCAGGAATCCTTGAACTAGAGCCCTGCATTTTTATCTTGTGTGGGGCCCTGCCTTTATCCCATGCATCCGTGAACACCTACTGGTGCAGCTTGCCCTCCTGTCATCCTGTCCTGTGAGCAAGTGAACTACGATGATAGTTCTGGGCCTCGTGCAGAGGGACCAGGCACCCCTTGCAAGCCAGGCCCTGTGCTGGGTGTTGGAGGCAGTGGGGGAAGCCAGACAAAGCTGAGCTCCATGGATTTCACAAGTTTGTGGATCCAGGACGATGAGGCAGAAATAAAGCATGTGAAAATAGTCACCAGCACCCAGCAGGCTGGGCTGCTCTACCCAGGCAGGTCAGGAAGGCCCTCCTGAGAAGGTGACTCGAAACTGAGAACTAAATTAGAACCACTGTTAATCCAGCAGTCCCACTACTGAGCATCGACCCAAAGGAAAAGAAGTCATTGTATCAAAAAGATACCTGCATTTGTATGTTTATAGCAGCACTATTTACAATAACAAAGATATGGAATCAACCTCAGTGTCCATCAATGGTTGATTGGATAAAGAAAATATGGTATATATGCTCATAAAATACTATGCAGGCATAAAAAAGAGTGAAATCATGTCTTTTACAGCAGCATGGATAGAACCAAAGGCCATTATCTTTTTTTTTTTTTCTTCCTGAGATGGAGTCTCTCTCTGTCACCCAGGCTGGAGTGCAGTGGCGTGATCTCAGCTCACTGCAACCTCCGCCTCCTGGGCTCAAGTGATTCTCCTGCCTCAGCCTCCCATGTAGCTGGGATTACAGGTGCCCACCACCACACCCAGCTAAATTTTGTATTTTTACTAGAGACAGGATTTCACCCTGTTGGCCAGGCTGGTCTCGAACTCCTGACCTCAGGTGATCCATCTACCTTGGCCTCCCAAAGTGCTGGAATGATAGGTGTGAGCCACTGCGCCTGGTCAAAGGCCATTATCTTAAGTGAATCAACTCAGAAAAAAAGTCAAATACCGCATATTCTCACTTGTAAGTGGGAGCTAAAAAAAAGGAGTGCACATGGACCCACAGAGGGGAATGAAGGACACTGCAGACTCGGGAGGGTGGGAGAGAGTGAGGGGTGAGGCATTACTCAATGGGTACAATGTAAACTATTCAGGAGATGGTTGCACTAAAACCCCAGACTTCACCTTATGCATGGAACAAAACTGCACCTGTACCTCTTATATTTATACAATTTTTTTTTAAAGAGAGAAACTAAGGCCTGAAGTATGAGGGAGCAGCAAGTGTTCCAGGCGAAGGGGACACCTTCATTACCCTGCCTGGGTGGTGAGAGATGTCATGGGGTCATCTCCAGCCCCAGCTGTCCAGCCTTGGGTCAGATAGGCATCTCCCGAGATGGGGGCCTGGCCCTCCCCAAGGCCCCTGGGTGCACCTTGCTGCAGGTGCCATCTCCACAGCTGCCAGTCATCCCTTGGCAGGAAAGTGTGGGCGGTTGGCCTGCTCCTCCTGGTTTTCCATCCTCTCTGTCCTCCTAGTCTTTCCTGGCCTCCTCACCGCCACCCCGCCCTGTAATTTCCCTGTCTGCCATGGGAGCTTATTTGGGACATACCCAGGAATGGTTTCACATAAGGCAAGAACAGGGTTCTCAGTGCTCACCCTGAGTCAGGGCGGCCACCCATCCACCACCACCACTTCCCTGCAGAGGCCTGTGCCATGGAGGTGTGGCTGGCAGAGCCCTGACCCTACGGCGGGGGGCTCGGACCTTGTCCTGGCATGCTTCAGCTCACTGGGTGACCCTGGGTACATCACTGACCCTCTCTGGACTTTTCCAAACTAACTCCACACAGTTCAACTGAGGAGAACTTAGAATCCCATGAGAATCTCAGGTGGCGAGAAGCCCGGCATCATCCCAGGGCACAGAGGGGGAAACTGAGGCTGTACCACAACACGTGAGACATCAGAGATGGCATCAGGGGTGCAGGCACTCAGTCCGGCGTCACGGTTCAGAAGCTTTCCAGTGTGGGGACAGGAAGCCAGGCCTAGACAGTGGAAGACTTGTCCCTGTTCTAGTCCCATCTCTGACCCCCACTGGCCGTGAGGCCTGGCCACACAAGACCCTCAGAACCTAGGTTTCTCCATCTGTAAAACGGCGTTAAAGCTTTTTTTCTCCCAGGGTTGCTGTGAAGTTAAAATGCAATAAGCAATGTTAAAGGGTCTTGTAGGGAGCATCTCCTGGGTAAGAGTCCTCACTCTCTACAGGACGAGGCCCCAGTCTCAGCCCTGCCCAAGCCTCTGAGAATACAAACCTCATGCGACTCAGGGACAGCTCAGAGGCACAGCTGTGGAAGACACCTCCTCCTGGGTGGCCGGGAGGAAGTCGAGAGGGGCGCTGTGACAGGGACGTACCTTCTTCAAAGGCTACTATGGGACAGTGGCTGACTACAGATAGGGAAGCCTTGAAACCTCAGCTCCCTTCTCTATAAATACAGATGCACATATTAGCAATTTACCAAGTGAGAAGCTGCTTGGCTTACTATTTGACTGCTTTTTATCTGCGAGGGCGGCATGAGGCAGATGTGCGCGCCTCCATTTTGCAGATGAGGACTGAGTGACAGAGGAGCCCAGTGCCAAGCTTGAGCCCCAACCTGCCATTCTCCAGGCGGGGATGGATGGGCTCCAGAGACTGGGTGGGACCAGGGAGGTCTGAAAGCCTGGGGACAGGGTCTAGCCTCCAACTCTGAAAAATCACATTAGGTCACCAGGGGACAGGGTGCTCTGAGGAGACAAAAACAAGGCCAAACCACTTCCCGGCCGGGTGCTGGAAGTCAACACCAACTCTTTTTGCTCTATAAATAAATTTCATATTTAAATAAATATGGAACAACGTGACCTTTTTTTTTCCTTCTGCAAAAGAAAAGAGCATTTATCCCACCTCCAGAAGCTCATTTCTTCTTTCCAGCTCCTCTGACATCACCCAGGGGCAGCCAGGGAGGAATTTTTTCTTCTGGGATGACTCGATCCCAGCATCAGGCACATCTGGGCGGCGCCTGCTCCACAAGCCACAGACAGGCCCTGTGCCCACGATTCTGCTACAAGTCGTTGTTCAGAACTCAGAGCGGATTTTCCCGTGGAAGCAATATTGCTAGGTGACCGTGATAACCATGACACCATGGACACTCACTTGGAAGCAATCTTGCGTGTGGGTGTTTGGTTCCCAGGCTAGACCAGCAGCCCATTTTGGAGGCAGGAGGGAAAGACAAGGGCTTTGGGGTCAGGTGTGTCCTGGCTGTGTGACCTTTAGAAGTGACTCAACTTCTGAGCGCCTCCCTTCCCCAGTCTGTTGACGCTGGGAGATCGTTCTCCAGGGCCCCTTGCATTCCTGCTTGTCTTGTGACAGCTTTTGTTCTGGATTATCTTTTCAAGGACGTTTGTGTAGTCAACAGCCTAGGAAGTGTACACAGAGTAGCTGAGACAAGTCCCAATCAATTTAGAAAATTTATTTTGCCACGGTTAAGGATGCGTCCTCAGGAGGTCCTGAGGACACATGCCCAAGGTAGTCGGGGCACAGCTTGGTTTTATACATTTTAGGAAAACATGAGACATCAGTCAATGTATGTAAGATGTATATTGGCTGAGTCTGGAAAGGTGGGACAACTCAAAGCAAGGAGGGGGCTTCCAGGTCATAGGGTGGATAAGAGACAAAAGGTTGCATTCTTTTGAGTTTCTGATTAGCTTTTCACTGAATACCCAATTTACAGGAATAGCTACTTGTGCCGTAGTCTGGCTTAGTGAAACAATAGGGCAGAGGAAATAATCAGACCTGCATTTGTCTCCTGTGAGCAGAGGGATGACTCTGAACTCTGTCTGTCCTTTGTCCACAAGGAATTTCCTTGTAGGCAAATTGTGAGGGAGGACAAGGAATTTCCTTGTAGGCAAATTGTGAGGGAGGTATGTAGCTTTGTCTTGGGAGGCAGGTTTGCACTACTCAGTTCCCAGGTTAAGGACCTGCTTGACTTAGTTCCCAGCTTGATTCTTCCCTTTGGCTTAGCGATTTTGGCGTCTCCCTCCAGGGAAGAGGGAAGATTTATTTGTTTGCTTTCCAGGGGAATAAAAACAATGCTTCCCATCAGGGCAAAGATTGGGCAAGTTTGCTGGAAGCCCCCTCCTAAGACTGGGAGTTTTCCAGGTTTGGGGTTCTTCAGCTAAACCCACTGAACATGGGCCCACCTCCAAATCTGCCCCACGAGACAAGGGGAACCAAGGCGAACATGAACTCCTGTTGCCTGTTGTGTTTGAGCAATAAAGCCCTTTGTCTGGGTCCCAGGAGTCTTGCGTCTTCTGCCAGCATCCATGAAACCATGGCAGGCTACCTTGCTAGCCTAAAAGCAGGGTGAAACTCAGACCCTGCAGTTCTTGACGGTCAATTCCATGCTTATAATACTCACCTTGTTGCTGTGAGGGAGATGCCGGGCCGTGCCTTGCCCTTGGTGGGTGGTTAATAAAAGGTGACTGTGGCAGTTTTACTATCAGTGGCCAGGAAGTTAGTTATTTACAAGCCACACAGGATTCCCACTCTGAGTGCCAGTGGTACAACCTGGCCCTAGCCCTGGGATTAGAAATTCCATTCCTTTTGTGGGGTCTGGGCGCCTGGATAGGCTCGCTGCGCCTGGGGGAAGGGCTCCGGAGGGTGAAAATCCTCCTTGGTCACCCCTTCAGCCCCTTCGGGTAACCGCTATAACCCATGTAAAATATATCTTTCTAGACCTTTCCCTGCACATCAGTATGTTTAGAGAATGTATAGCAGTTTGTTTTCATATAAATTATTTATACTGTATGTGTTGTTTTGCAATTTTCATTTTTCACTTAAAAATATTTCAGCCGGGCGCAGTGGCTCACGCTTGTAATCCCAGCACTTTGGGAGGCTGAGGCGGGCGGATCACGAGGTCAGGAGATCGAGACCATCCTGGCTAACATGGTGAAACCCCGTCTCTACTAAAAACACAAAAAAATTAGCCAGGTATGGTGGTGGGCACCTGTAGTCCCAGCTACTTGGGAGGCTGAGGCAGGAGAATGGCATGAACCCGGGAGGTGGAGCTTGCAGTGAGCCGAGATCGTGCCACTGCACTCCAGCCTGAGCCACAGAGTGAGACTCTGCCTCAAAAACAAAAAAACAAAACAAAACAAAAAATTCCTGGACACCTTTCTCTGTCAGCCCACCTAGCTTCTGACTGCTGCATACCTTTCATAATAGGACTCTCCAGCCATGTGTCTGCCCCTCCCCTCGTGGTGGACCTTTGGTTCTTTCCATTTCTCATCAGTTCAAAAATGCGCATTGCGTGGCCAGGCACGGTGGCTCACGCCTGTCATCCCAGCGCTTTGGGAGGCCGAGGCGGGTGGATCACCTGAAATTAGGAGTTCAAGACCAGCCTGGACAACATGGTGAAACCCCATCCCTACTGAAAAAACAAAAATTAGCCAGGCGTGGTGGCTTGCGCCTGTAATCCCAGCTACTTGGGAGGTTGAGGCATGAGAATCGCTTGAACCTGGGAGGCAGAGGTTGCAGTCAGCCAAGATTGCACCACTGCACCCCAGCCTGGGCCACAGAGCAAGATTCTGTCTCAAAAAAAAAAAAAAAAAAAAAGAAAGAAAAGAAATGCACATTGTGTGTGTTGGAAAAGCCTCCCTGGATGCACAGGGCAGGGCTTCCCCGGGGCAGAAGCGAAGACTTCACTTGCACGCTACAGCCTTGGAAATGGAGGCCCGAGGGGCTGTAATGTCCCAAGGTGAGGTCACACCAGGCGTCTCAGCCCCTCCTTTCAGGCCCTAGAGCCTGGTGTCCCCCTCCTTCCTCTCCACTGGGAGTCTCTGCCCTGAAAGAGGAGGGGAGGGACTAGGAGATCAGGCTGGGGAAAGGAGGGAAGGGGTGACTAGGTAACAGGGGGCTTCTCCCTGTGATGCTAGCAGACCCAGTGGGGACAACTGGGGAGGCAGCACAGAGACCCCTGAGGAGCTACCACACTGGAGGGGAAATACAGCCACCAAGGGCCACTGGGCCCCAGGTCTCCTGAGAACCCTCTCCTGGGTGTCCTGCTTTGGAAAAAGGCTCTGTCCAGAGTGACACTGACTCAGAAGCTATCAGGTAGGGGCCCAGACCCTTTGAGCTCAGCCTAGAACCCTGCATCCGCCAGCCCTAGGTCCTCTCAGGCTGCTGCCCCGTCACATGTTCTTACAGTACAGATACTGCACAGCAGATCCGTCAGGTCAGCCAACGAACGCTCAGGGCCGGAGGAAGAGGCCAGCTGAGCCTGTGCAGCCCACCCCTTTTCACAGCAGACCAGGTGACAGAAACGCCAACTCGGGTCCCCGAGAGCTCCTGCCATGCTTTGTGCTGGGCCTGCTGGGGACATCCACGGAAGGCACAGCTAGCTGAGGTTAAACTGGCAGGAGGATTTAGAAACTTCTAGGTGACATCACACAATAACAAGCAGAACAGACCTAACTAAAGGTTAACTAACCAACCACTGACTGGGAGCTTGAAACATGCCACATACTGTATCGAGCTGGCTCCCATCTCTCCTGCACTGGGAGGTCAGTGTTATGACAATCCCCCTTCTACAGACCAGGAAACAGGCTCGGAAGGGCACAGAACTTAGTCCAGTCCTGCAGGGGATAAGTAACGTGCCTGGGACTCAAACCCAGGCCTGTCTGACACTGACCTTCTGCTACTAAATGGTTTATAACCTTTGGAGTATCCTGGACCTCTATGAGATTTTTTTTTTTTTTTGAGACAGAGTCTCACTATGTTACCCAGGCGGAGTGCAGTGGTGCGATCACAGCTCACTGCAACCTCTGCCTCCCCGGCTCAAGTGATTCTGAGGCACAAGAGTACAGCTCTGGAGTAGCTGGGTTTACAGGCATGTGCCACCACACAGGGCTAATTTTTGTATTTTTAGAAGAGATGGGGTCTTGTCATGTTGGCCAGGCTGGTCTCAAACTCCTGACCTCAAGTGATCCGCCCACCTCAGCCTCCCAGAGGGCTGAGATTATGGGTGTTAGCCACTGTGCTGCCACCCTTTGAGATTCTAATGGAAGCCTGGAGCCCTTTAACCAGAAAAGTGCCTTGGTGTAAACACAACATGTGTGTGCAGGGCCTGCTTCCTGGGCATATGGCCTGGGCAGTTGCACAGGACCCCAAATTCACAAAAGCCCCATTTTTGGTTTAATGCTCTGCTGTTGCCATCATGAAATGCTTAATGCTTTTGTACAAGGGGTGCCACATTTTCATTTTGCCCCGGGCCCTGCAACTTCTGTAGTCTGTCCTGCATATGCGACACTGACACACACATGTCCACATGCACCACCACTTTGCAAATGACTTTAGGTGTGCAGGAATCCTATAGGCCATTATAGACTCAGGAGATACCCTTTCGCTTTGCCCTGCACCCTGGCAAGCTGTGCACACGTGCATGTGTGTGTGGAGGAAACTGTCAGGTGGATCTGAGTGTGGGCAGGGAGCTGGGCCAGCAAGCAGGGGAGGGGGCGGCAAGGCCAGCATCGACTTCCACACAGACCGTGACAGCAACTCCTACGCCTCCGGGAGAGGGAACCAGTCCTGGTAATAAATAGCCCATATCCTCAATCCATGTCCTTAAAAATCTGTCCCCTTCTTGGACAGGACAAGGGGCCTTTGTCAGGCATGGTGGCCTCAGAATAAACACAGGAAGGCGACCAGTGGCGGATGATCGGGCTGCTGTCTGGGGCAGAGTTTTCTAAGTCAGGCTTGGCATTTCACTCAGAATGCTCCTGCCTGTGGCCAACTGGAGGGATCCCTGTGCCCACGCCTGAAAGCAAGAATGTCCAGGCCGGGCAACGGGGCACAGAGATGGTTACACAAGCCTCTGAGGACAGAGAGAGCACCCTGAGCCTCTGCAGTCGGGAAGCGGCAGCTGGTGTGGGAAGGGGCTTTATACAATCTTCCCTTGATCTGTGTGATCTTGGGCAAGTGGCTTAATGTCTCCATGACTCAGTTTCCTATCTGTAAAATGCAGGTGATCATGATACCTACCCCAGGATTTTTGTGAATGTTGAATTATTGTCTAATGTCCTTCCAACAAAGCACAATAAATAATAGCTGTATTTATCATTATCATTATTATTATTTGAAACTAGGTTAGAGGACCAGGCTTCAACATAGCTGTGCTTTTAGTTTCACTGTTTGTTCATGTTATTTTTTAAAATCAGTTAAAGCCCCATGTGAGAGATCATATGCGGGGAGTGGGGAGGATTCACCAACAAAGGTTGGAGAATTAATACGGGGATGAAAAGCACCCAGGGAGAGACACAGGGCTGGTGTGTGTGTGTGTGGGGGGGGGGGTCATCCCATGACACAAGAGTCTGGAGTGCCTGGGAGGGAACGGGCCAGAGTCTAAGGCTAGGCTCTCTTCAGGGGAAAGGTTTGGAAAAGGAGCATTTCTTTTCTTTCCTTTTTCTTTTTATTATTATTTTTTTGAGACAGGTCTGTCATCCAGGCTGGAGTGCAGTGGCACGATCACAGATCACTGCATCCTCGCCCTTCTGGGCTCAAGCGATCCTCCTGCCTCAGCCTCCTGGGTACCTGGGACTACAGGTTCATGCCACCACTCCCAGCTAATACATTTTTTAATTTCTTTGTAGAAATGGGGTCTTGCTATGTTGCTAGGGCTGGTCTCAAACTCCTGGGCTCCAACTATCCTTCTACTTTGACCTCCCAAAGTGCCAATGTTACAGGAAAGGGGTCCCCACCCCATGTCCCAAGAGAGGGTTCTTGGATCTCGTGCAAGAAAGAATTCAGGGCAAGTCTGCGGTGCAGTGAAAGCAGGTTTATTAAGAAAGTAAAGGAATAAAAGAATGGCTACTCCATAGACAGAGCAGCCCTGAGAACTGCTGTTTGCCCATTTTTATGGTTATTTATTGATGATATGCTAAAAAAAAAAGGGGTGGATTATTCATGCCTCCCCTTTTTAGACCATATAGGGTAACTTCCTGATGTTGCCATGGCATCTGTAAACTGTCATGGCGCTGGTGGGAGTGTAGCAGTGAGGATGACCAGAGGTCACTCTCGTCACCATCTTGGTTTTGGTAGGATTTAGTGGCTTCTTTACTGCAAGCTGTTTCATCAGCTAGGTCTTTATGACCAGCATTTTGTGCTGACCTCCTGTCTCATCCTGTGACTTAGAATGTCTTAACTATCCGGAAATGCAGCCCAGTGGGTTTCAGCCTCATTTTACCCAGCTTCTATTCAAGATGGAGCTGCTCTGGTTCACATGCCTCTGACACTGGAATTACAGGTGTGAGTCACCTTGCTGGCCTCTTTTCCCTTTAGTAACAGCCAAGGGGCTGTTTCTGTGTCTTCACATGTGACAGATTCACGTGTGACACATCACTGGGCTCCGGGCTTGCGCCCAGCCTCGTCTTTCGGCCCAGTCACAGGAATAAGGTGCTCCGGGGGTTGTGAGCAGCCTCCTGGCACAGAGCAGGACAGGGTGTTGGGGGGCCAGGGAGGCTGGCAGTGGGGACTGGAAGGAGGGTCCCATGCTTTACCCCCCCACACACCCAGGGCTAAGAAGAGTGCTGCCCTGGAGTCCTGGGGCCTGAGAGGAGGGGGATTTAGTCATCACTGTTCACCCTCCCCCAGTATTCCAGAGGAATTGCAGCCATCTCTGTGGACAAGGCAGCTTGTTGTCTGTGAGCACTTTATGATTTTGAAATTCATCCCTGCCATAATTATAAATTAACATTTGGAGGGCTTTCTACATGCCAAGCTCTTTTCTAAGCCCTCCTGTCCGCCTTTTTTTGGAGTCAAGGTACCACTCTGTTGCCCAGGCTGGAGTGCAGTGGCTACATCTCAGCTCACTGCAGCCTCGATGTTCTGGGCTCAAGTGATCCTCCCGATTCAGCCTCCTAAGTAGCTGGGACTACAGGCATATGCCACCACGCCGGGCTAATTTTTAAATTTTCCATAGAAATGGGATCTCGCTAGGTTGCCCAGGTTAGTCTCCAGCTCCTGTCCTCAAATGATCCTCCTGCCTCGGCCTCCCAAAGTGCTGGGATTACAGGTGCGAGCTGCTGCATCCGGCCTCTTTTTAAGCTCTGTCTGCATTATCTCATTCAAATCTCACAACATTCACAACGTTCAGGGCTGAGAAAACTGAGGCTGTGAAAGGGACAATCACAAGCCCCAGGTTGCCCAGCCAGGGAAGCACTGTGAGCCGGGACGGGAACTCAGCTCAGGGGAACGTCAAAACTGTGTTCTTAACAACAGTCAGCCCAAACATTGGGTCCCTAAGCCCATGGCTTCAAGCTGGCCCTTCTCTGTGGGACAGTAGCAGCCCTCCCATCTGCTGATGTTTCTCTCTACCAGCCCCTCAGCATCTGGACAAGGCAGCTGACCCCTTCCACGTGCCCACATACCTTGGTAGCAGAGGGACCTCTCAGCATTTTTACTGGCTTTTCAGATTAAAAAAAAAGTTAGCCAGGTGTGGTGGTGGGCACCTCTATTTCCAGCTGCTTGGGAGGCTGACGCCCGAGAATTGCTTGAACTCGGGAGGCGGAGGCTGCAATGAGCCGAGATTGCGCCACTACACTTCAGCCTGGGCGACAGAGTGAGACTCCATCACAAAAAACCCCCAAAACAAAAAAAACAAAAACAAAAAAACTGGGAGAAGAAGGAAATGGGGAGGAGTTGAGCGGAGGCTCAGGAGAGTCAGGCAAATGAACCACAAGAAGCTGGGAGAGGGGCTGATCTTTCCATCTCCTGTGAAGGCAGCCGTGACATCCTCCACTGGAAGGATGAGTACCTGGGGCTGGAAGGGGTTGCACAACTTGCTCAAAGCCACCAGCCTTGTTCCTGACAACCTGACACCCTCACAGACCCACCATTGTCCCCCTGCCCAGAGTTCCAGCACTGCGTGGGGTGAGGCGGGAGGTGAGGCAGTGTTTGCAACAGCTCAAGGCCGCAGTCCAGGATGACCCTGCCTCCCCTTAAGCTGCCTGCCCGAGAGAACAAACACAAGGCTGCCGCCAGAACTGTTTGTTCCAGCCAAGCCCCGAAGATAGGGCCCCTGCTCCCACTCTCTGTAGGAAGATAGGAGCCTCACTCCCATGGCGCCGGTTAGCATTGGACCAAGCTCCTTCTCCCGGCTTTTTGTAATGTATCACTTTGTCCCATCCATCCTAATACACACACACACACACACACACACACACACACACACTCACAGGAGGACTGGTCAGGGTTCCCTGCACATGACCCTCATATTTTGTAGGGGAAACTGGGATTCATTTCGGATCATCCACTCTTTCCTCCCTCCTAAGACCATGTTCCTCATATTCCGCCACCTCAGACGAGGTGGGGCTCAGTCTTTGTTCAAGCCGTATTGCTTCAGCCTCATAACTTCAAGACCTTGAGCAAGTTACTTTACACCTCCAAGCCCTGGTTTCCTCATCTGCAAAGTGGGAATAATAAAATAATCTAGTTTGCAGAGTTGCTGAGAGATTGTTTTATTTTTGTTTAGTTTCTGTTTTGTTTTGCTTTTTTTGAGAAGGAGTCCCGCTCTGTTGCACAGGCTGGAATACAATGACGCAATCTCGGCTCACTGCAACCTCTGCCTCCCGGGTTCAAGTGATTCTCCTGCCTCAGCCTCCCGAGTAGCTGGGATTACAGGTGAGCACCACCAGGTTGGGCTAATTTTTGTATTTTAGTAGAGACGGGGTTTCACCATGTTGGCCAGGCTGAACTCCTGACCTTAGGTGATCCGCCCACCTCAGCCTCCCAAAGTGCTGGGATTACAGACGTGAGCCACCACGCCTGGCCAAGATTGTTTTACGTCAACAGCGAAACAGTATCTGGTACAGAGTAGGTGTTAAACAAATAATTGCTATTGTTATTTTGTTATTATCTGGTCCTCACCTCTATCCTCAAAAATAGCTCCAGTTGACTCAGTTATTCCTCTTTTATAAATCACTACCAAAACCAACACTTATCAAAACACCACTCTGTATCCCATAAATATATACAATTATTATATGTCAATTGAAAATAAAAGGGAAAAAAACCAATACAAACAAATAAAAAACACCCAGGTGTGTTTCAGCATCTCTCGTCTCCTTGGGGCACTAACTCCTTGCCACACTTCACCTGCATGAGAGCTGAGTAAGCTTCTGGAGCTTTGGAGAAAGTCTGGGGTCAGGAAATTGGGAGATGTTACTGGCACCTGAGAGGGGGAAGCTGTGAGTGGGGACAGGAGAGACTGCCCAGCTGCAGCTCAAGTCCAGAGTGGTTCAAAGGGCATGGCTGGGGGACAGAAAGCGTATACTCCCTTGCCTCCTGTACTAGTGCAGGAACTGTGAAATAGGCATTCAAATATGCAACTGGCAGGAATGTCATTTGTACAACCATTTCAGAACATTGGTTGGTAGGCTGGGATAGTGGCTCAGGCCTGTAATCTCAGTACTTTGGGAGGTTCAGGTGGGAGGACTGCTTGAGCCCAGGAGTTAGAGACCAGCCTGGGCAACATAGGGAGACCCCATGTCTATTATTTTTTAAAAACAAAAACAACAACAAAAAGAACATTAGTTGGCAGCA
This sequence comes from Homo sapiens, assembly GCF_000001405.40. Lineage (NCBI taxonomy): Eukaryota > Metazoa > Chordata > Mammalia > Primates > Hominidae > Homo > Homo sapiens. The sequence goes on along the minus strand of NC_000010.11, from coordinate 72,029,336 downwards.
TGAATTGAGAGATACTAAAATGTAGATTTTTGTTGTTGTTGTTTTGAGACAGAGTCTCACTGTGTCGCCCAGGGTGGAGTGCAGTGGCGCGATCTCGGCTCATTGCAGCCTCTGCCTCCTGGGTTTAAGTGATTCTCATGTCTCAGCTTCCCAAGTAGCTGGGATTACAGGCATTTACCATCACACCGGGCTAATTTTTGTATTATTAGTAGAGACGGGGTTTCACCATGTTGGCCATGCTGGTCTCGAACTCCTGACTTCAGGTGATCCACCCGCCTTGGCCTCCCAAAGTGCTGGGATCACAGGCGTGAGCCACCACACCCAGCCTAGATATTCTTTGATGCTAAAATTCTGTTAACAGAAATGTATCCTAGGAAGATAATAGAGTACGAGAAAAAAAAACCCCAGAGATGCAGATTGAGTTTTTTACATAAAGAGGTTCATGTTATGCTATTTAGAATAACAACAATTTGAAAGTAAATCTAATGCCCCAAATTAATGAGTAGTGGCACGACGTGTGACACCTCTGATTTAGCGAGGATTAGATTCACTCTTGAGTAATAGAGCACCCAAAATTACAGCAACATTATGAAACACAAACTTCACACACATTCCAGAGATAGGCTGTCCAAGGCTAGCGTGGTGCCTCCATAATTATCAAGGACTCAGGAGACGTCTATCCAGTTCTGCTGTCCTCAGTGAGTGGCTTTTACCCCACACTCCAATATGGCGGCTTGAGTCTTGCCATTATGTCTGCATTTGAGCTGTCATGAGGTGGAAGAAGCAAAAAAGAGTACCACTCTCCCTTTATGAAATCGCACCTAACGCTTCCACTTACTTTCCATTGGTTGGACATTAGTCACATAGGTACACCTAGCTGTAAGAGATGCCAGGAAAGACGATAAGACAATAAAGAAACACCTTTCTTTTTCTTCTTCTTTTTTTTTTTTTTTTTGAGACAGGTTCTCGCTTTGTCGTCCAGGCTGGAGTGAGATGATACAATCATGACTCACTGCAGCCTCCACCTCCTGGGCTCAAGTGATCCTGCCACCTTAGCCTCCCAAAGTGCTGGGATTACAGGCATGAGCCACCGCACCCAACCTAGACAGCTGACGCTGACCCAGAGCCCCAAGAGGTCAGGTCTCTGGCACCTTACAGCATTGGGGTTTCGGTCCATTTTTGTACCACAAATAGGTCTAAAATGATTTTGAGTGTGACTGTGTCTTTTATTTTCTGATAGACGGGGTGCTTTTAAATTTTCCCTTTTAGAGGCAGAGGTTGCAGTGAGCCGAGATCACACCGCTGCACTCCAGCCTGGGCCACAGAGTCAGACTCTGTCTCAAAAAACATACGTTAAAAAAATTAAAAAAATAAATTTTCCCTTTTAATGTTTTGCCCGTTTATTGCTGTTTCTGGGACCACAGGGCCTCAAAGCATGGATGTGAAACTAACCTGACTGGAAGCCCTCCCCACCTCCCTTGACTGCATTTTATAGATGGTAAAACAGATTCAGAGAGGCAAGAGGGCTTGGCTGCGGGGCTGCCCGAACCCAGTCGTAAAATGACTCACAGGACTATTGACACCTAGACTTTAAAACTTTCCAGCGATTTTCCTCCCATTTGAGATAAGGGGAATCATATAACAGTTCAACATTTCTCTCTCTCTCTCTCTTTTTTTGTTTTTTTCAATTAGGCTGGGAGGCTCCATGGGGGAGGTTATGGGCAAAGACGAAGATTTAAGAAAATGAAGATGGAATCTGTGTGCGCTGGGGCTGGGAAGACTGAGGGGTAGGAATCAACACACACATGCACACAGGCACACACACACCTGTATGCACATACATGAGTGCTTACCCGTGCCCTTTTGCCAGTTCCCACTCGGCTTGTTTGTATCAGACCCAAGGAGGCAGGATAGGTCAGCAGTCACATCTTCCAGATCAAGGTCTACTGTGGCATCATAAGGATTAATTTTTTTTAATTTTAATTTTTTTTTTTTGCGATGGGATCTTGCTCTGTTGCCCAGGCTGGAGTGCAGTGGCACGATCTCAGCTCACTGCAACCTCTGCCTCCCAGGTTCAAGCAATTCTCCTTACAGGCACTTGCCACCATGCCTGGCTAAGTTTTATATTTTTAGTAGAGACGGGGTTTCACCATGTTGACCAGACTGGTCTCGAACTCCTGACCTCCTGATCTGCCCATCTTGGACTCCCAAAGTGCTGGGATTACAGGCGTGAGCCACTGCGCCTGGCCGTCATAAGGATTAATTAGGATATTGCCTATAATTGCCTGGCCCAGGAGAGGTGAGATGTGCATGTCTTCCTCCCCAGTCCTCACCGTGGCTGCTTGGTCACTGGCTTGCCTGCTTGGTTTCTCTTTGAGGCTCCTCTGAGTAGGATTGGCCAGCATCCATGGGCCACTCCCTTCCTGAATGTACTGGGACCCAGTCTGCAATGAAGTCATTGTTTGAAGCATCTGCTCTTTGTTTGGTAAATCTTCCCACAGGGGGCTGGAAGCCCACAGCTCCCCTCTGCCAGGCCTCGGCTGGAGGCAGGGTCCACAGTCTTGCCTTGGCATCCTTGTGATTTATGTCCATGTGGGTCTCGCCAGGCGGAGGGATAAGGGTCATAGGATATCGGCTATTCCACAGACCAAGGCAAGTCGCTTTCTATCTGCTCAGTCGTAAGGAAGGCAAGTCATTGGGGATCTCTGCACATAGACAAGATGAGGGAATGTTTCTCCCAGAACAAAGGAAAGAAGGGGAGGCACTTGAGAGAAAATCAGAGCAATAAGATGTCAAGGAAACTGTAGACTCAGAGCCAAGAGATGCCACCAAGCGCTCCTGCCCCAGAGCTCAGCCAGGCCAGGCCACGTGGAGACGGCTCCTGCAAAGCTGCAGAGGGGCTAAGACCAGGATGTGGAAAGGGAACAGGAATTAGATGAGGTTGAAGCAGCTGGAGCTTAGCAAGTACTTAACTGAGAGCTGGATGTTTCTGCTTATTTCTACTTTTATGTTATTTATTTTTTTTAGAGTCCACGTCCTGCTGAAAGTGCTTATTTTTATAATGTGCTCTCGTAGAAGATTCTCCATAACTGGCCTTGATGGTGTGAACCATGGCTCTTCTGGGATACCCTGGGTGCTTTTAAACAACAGCTGCCAAAGAAACCCCACTCCAAACCAACCAAATCAGTCTCTGAGGACCGGGGGTGGGGTGGTGGTTCTCAAAGTTGGACCCGGGGACCAGCAGCATCAGCATCACCAGGGCACCTGTTAAAGTGCAAACTCTCAGGCCCCACCCTGACAACAGAATCCAAAGCTGTTAGGGTGGGGTCCAGAGATCTGTGTTTTAACAAGGCCTTCAGGAGCAGGGCGTCGCATACCCAGGAAAGTGTGAGAACTAGTGGGAGATTTTAACTTGTGTCCGGTGCTGAAAACCACTGGGTTTGTTTAGTATTGAGTTTGGGGACTCTTTCTTCCCTGTAGAGGGCCAGAGTTCAGAATGAGGAAAGCTGGTCTCTCTCTACTCCCTGTAGGGGAATGGGTATAATGACTTTACCATTCATTGAATCTCTTCTACATACATAAGTGAGAATAAGGAAAATCGATCGCCACAATTAATGTCCCTGACCACTGTTCTATCTCCAACACCAGTAACAGAAGAGATCCACCCCACCCCCGCGCAGGGCAGCCTTGCTAACTCTCCTGAAATGCTGAGACGTCCAGGACCCCGTCCCATAGCTGCGTCATGGCTAGCTTCTCTTAAACCAAGTTCACACCCTGCAAACACAAAGCCTTTTTCTTAGGTTTTGGCACCTCCTTCGCAACCCTGATCCTGAAGGAATTAATTTCTCATTTGGAGTAGTGGAGTTGTTGTGGGAAGTGGGTGGAGTGGGAACTTCTAGGAATCACAACTTCTTTCATGCACTTCTTTCTCTCATTTTCAACCTGATGCTCCCGTCAGCCCTTCCGACATGCTCGTCAGCCACAGTCACTCTGCTTTGTCTGGGGTCATGAGACATCCGCAGGCAGAGGGGCTACAGTATCCCTACAGGCCAGACCAACAGGAGGAGGGACTCTAGCTGAAGCTCCATGACCCTTCTGCCCTCCAGTCTGGGAGGAGGGGGCGTGTGTATGTGTGCGCGCGTGCGCGTGTGTGTGTAACAACTACAAGGTGTCCCAAATCCTGTTCTCCCATATCTGGAAAATCTGTGACCTACATAAAGCCAGTTCCTGCCTAGTGAGGAACAACAGGAAAGGATAGAAACCAAGGGCAGGTGGTCGCTTCTGGAGGCTGCTGCTGGCTTCAATGGGCATGCCTCTGTCTGGCCCATAATCTTGATTTCTGAACACATGGGTCTCAGCTCACCTGCCAGATGCGCCCCGGTTCCCACTTGGTTATTCACCATCCTCCTCTTTCCTGTCTGTCTCTTTGCCTCTATGGGTCCTTGCTGGCAACCCCACAGGGTTTCTCCTTGGCTTCTTCTAAGTCTGCTGGGCAAAGGAAGATGTCTTGGATTTATTAAATCAGCCCCATATTGGGGCCAGATGTTCCACAGCAAATGAGGTGGTCAGGACTGAAGTCAAGAAACTAAGTGAGGAAACAAGGAGGCCCCAGTGATGAACGATGGTCTCTCCTCAGCCCTTACTGAAAAATCTCCTTTCTGTCCTATTTTGCTCTCGGTATGAGCTCTGCTCTTCCTCTCCTCCCAAATCAAACATTTGGTGATGCATTTCTGCAAACTTCCACGTCTCGCTCTGGGGCCAGGAGACTGGTGTTTGCTGGGCTGTTTCTTCCAAGCCTTCTCTGCAGAAAAGGGCACGGAGGAGAAAACACGGGAGTTCTGGCAAGTGTGGGCTGAAGGCCTCACAGTAAGTCTGAGAGCGAGCGCCAACCTGGCAGGGAAGAGCTGGTGGGGACAGCTCTCGGGGACTCTGGGTGGCCAGAGGATATGGGCAGAGGCCAAGGCTTCTCACCTTCCTAATTGCAAAGGTTATATTAATAATTATAACAGTAATTAGTCATGGTGATAACAGTAACAGTAATGGATAACTGTGGGGTACTGTGCCAGGGGGAGCACACGGGTTGTATCATCTCACTTAGAGCCTTCCAACACCCACCCAGCCAGCGTCTTGGCTTTATTATTATTCTCTCCATCTTGTACCTGAAGACTGCGGCTCAGAGAGGTCTCAGCTAACCCATGATGGAATTGGGATTTGAACTCAGGCAGCCTAACTCTGAAGCCCAAGCTCTTAACTGCTATGTGATGACACAAGGAATACGTGTTTGTTAAAGAAATTGTTAACAATTCAGATAAAGAGAGGGAAAACCATAAAATACTCACCATCTACTGTCAACACTTTGGTTTCTTTCTTTTTTTTTTTTTTTTGAGACAGAACCTCGCTCTGTCACCCAGGCTGGAGTGCAGTGGCGCCATCTCGGCTCACTGCAAGCTCCGCCTCCCAGGTTCACGCCATTCTCCTGCCTCAGCCTCCTGAGTAGCTGGGACTACAGGCACCCACCACCACGCCTGGCTATTTTTTTTTTTTTTTGTATTTTTAGTAGAGACGGAGTTTCACCGTGTTAGCCAGGATGGTCTCGATCTCCTGACCTCGTGATCTGCCTGCCTCGGCCTCCCAAAGTGCTGGGATTACAGGCGTGAGCCACCGCGCCCGGCCTTGTCTTTGTGTTTTAACTAGCATTTCATGTTTTTATCTCTCTCTGCTGCATTCTGGGTAGTTTATGCCATGATAATTTATTCAGCTCTCTCTTTTAGATTTATTGTTTTCTTTTTAGTTGTGTTTAATCTACATTTTTTTTTTTTTTGAGACGGAGTCTCGCTCTGTCCCCCAGGCTGGAGTGCAGTGGCGCCATCTTGGCTCACTGCAAGCTCAGCCTCCCAGGTTCACCCCATTCTCCTGCCTCAGTCTCCCGAGTAGCTGGGACTACAGGTGCCCGCCACCATGCCTGGCAAATTTTTATTTATTTTTATTTATTTTTATTTTTAGTAGAGACGGGGTTTCACAGTGTTAGCCGGGATGGTCTCGATCTCCTGACCTCGTGATCCGACCGCCTCGGCCTCCCAAAGTGCTGGGATTACAGGCGTGAGCCACTGCGCCCGGCCGTCAACACTTTGGTTTCTATCTTTCCAATCATTTATCTGTGCAGATATATTCATATTAGAGATAATACTTCATTTCACAAAAATGAGGTCATATGGCGCTTGTTGTTTTACAGCCCACTTTTGTCATCTAATGTATCCTAAACATTTTTGTCATGAAAAAACCTGCATGATCATTTTAATGGCTGCAGAGAATCCATCATATGTGTAACCATACTGATGTAACCAGCCCCCTGTCATTCAGCAATTGAGTGGTTTTCCAGTTTTTTACTATTATAAACAACATTTAATGTTTAATAACATTAAATATTAGCATTCAGCCACAGTTAATTCCTTAGGATAAGTTCCTGTAACTGGGCCAGGTGCGGTGGCTCACGCCTGTAATCCCAGCACTTTGGGAGGCCGAGGTGGGTGGATCACTTGAGGCCAGGAGTTAGAGACCAGCCTGGCCAACACAGTAAAACTCTGTCTCTACCAAAACAAACAAACAAACAAACAAACAAACAAAATACAAAAATTAGCAGGGCGTGGTGGCATGTGCCTGTAGTCCCACCTATTCGGGAGGCTGAGGCAGGAGAATAGCTTGAACCCAGGAAGCAGAGGGTGCAGTGAGCTGAGATCGCCCCACTGGACTCCAGCCTGGGTGACACAGCGAGACCCTGTCTCAAAAATAAAATAAAATAAATTCCTGTAACTGGATTTGCTGGATGAAAGGGTAGGAAACATGTTAAGATGTTTGATACACGTCACCAAACTGCCCTTCAGAAGTCTCCCATCAAAAGAATGAATGTTTCCCCACACCTTCACCAGCACTGGGTTTTGCTTTTTTTTTGTTTGTTTTTGAGACGGAGTCTCACTCTGTTGCTCAGGCTGGAGTGCAGTGGCATGATCTTGGCTCCCAAAGTGCTGGGATTACAGACGTGAGCCACTTCGCCCAGCCAGGTTTTGCTATTTTTTAAAAAAAAAATATTGCCAGTGTAAGAGGTCACTGTTATTTGGGTTTGCCTTTCTTTGATCTCCACTGGGTCTGAGCTTTATTCCTGTGTTTATTTTGGGCTTGCATCTAGAATGGAACAGGAGACTTTGTCTAGGAGCTCTTCATGTGGTGTTTCCCTGCCTTTGCACAGCATCACTGGCATCAAAAGCCAAGTTCTTTTATTTTATTTTATTTTTTTTTTATTTTGAGACAGAGTCTCACTCTGTCCCCCAGGCTGGAGTGCAGTGGTGCCATCTCGGCTCACTGCAACCTCCGTCTCCTGGGTTCAAGCAATTCTCCCTGCCTCAGCCTCCCAAGTAGCTGGGATTACAGGCACCTGCCACCATGCCCAGCTAATTTTTGTGATTTTTAGTAGAGAAGGGGTTTCGCCATGTTGGCCGGGCTGGTCTTGAACTCCTGACCTCAGGTGATCTGTCTGCTTTGGCCTCCCAAAGAGCCGAGATTACAGGCGTGAGCCACTGTGTCCAGCTGCAATCTTGTCATTTTTGAAACAGACCCAATTATCCCATAGAACTGACATTTATGGCTACTTTGGAATAAATATTGAAATGAAACCTCCCAGTCTTGAAACTTGGCAAAGTTACATTTGTCTTATCTGAGTTCATTTCTCAGGAAACCAACCATCAGGCCTCCCTGATTGAAACTCACTGGATCTGGACAATGAGATGCCAGACCTCTCACCCTTCATGATTTCCTAAGCCAACGCCTGCCTGTTGTTGACCAACTCCTCTTCCTTACCCCTCCCTAATTCCTGTTTTCCTAGATGTAGTTACATTTCTTCCTTGCTATATAAACCCCTAAGTTTAATTGGTCAGGGAGACAGAGTTGGGACTGATCTCCTTGGATGCGGTACCCAGTTGAAGCCTTCTTCCCCGGCAATCCTCATTGTCTTAGTGATTGGCTTTCTGTGTTGTAAGCAGCAGGACCTAGCCCGAACCCCTGTGGTTTCAGTAACAATTTCTTGAAAGAAAAACCATTAGAACTTCCTGTTTTACCCTCTTCTACCTCCGGCCAGGCTCTTAGCATAGCAGTAATCATTTCTGAGCGCTTACTATGCGCCAATTTTCATGCATTAACTTAATACTTACAACAACCTCATGAGGTAGATACCAGCTTTATCCCCATTTCACAGATGAGGAAACTGCAGCAAAGACAGGCTGGGTACTTTGCCCTAGGCCACACAGCCATGAAATGGGCAGAGCCAGGACTTGAGACCAGGCAGATTGGCTCCAGATTCCACACTCTTGTCTTCCATGTCATACAAACACTGACATTTGCAAAGACAGTGCACCACTGTGTATTTAAAAAGACATGGCTGGGTGTGGTGGCTCATGGCTGTAATCCCAGAACTTTGGGAACCCAAGGCAGGAGGATCACTTAAGCCCAGGAGTTTGAGACCAGCCTGGGCAACATGGCAAAACCCTTTCTCTACAAAAAATACAAAAAAATTAAAATTAGCTGGCTGTGGTGGTGTGCACCTGTAGTCTTAGCTACCCAGGAGGCTGATGTGGGCTTGAGCCTGGGAGGCTGAGGCTGCAGTGAGCCATGATCATGCCACTGTACTCCAGCCTGGGCAACAGAGTGAGACCCTGTCTCCAAAAAAAAAAGTTCTTATTCCAAATGCTTCTAGAACTTTATCACCATTAATTAATTAATTCATTCAACCACTGATCTTGCTGGGTCAGGCACAGTGGCAGGCTATGTGAATGCTGAGGTCAGGGACCGAGGCTTAAACACCCCTCAAAGAGAAAGAGAAAGGCACTGGCGTCTAGAAGTAAGATGTCAGGAGCATTCCCCTGTAATGGGCATCTTGGATTCCTGCTTCCATGAGCAAGTCTTGATACATGTCTTCTCAACTGTTTCCCTGCTCCCCAGCCGAATAGGACATGTGTCAGGAAGTGGTGGGTCAGGCCAAGTGTGAACATGCCACTATTTGGGCTGGCCAGACCCCTCAAGAGCCAGGGCTGGAGGGAGAAGCACTGCCCATCAGCCAATGTCTTGAGTGAACTGATTTAAACCAGGGTCTTCTTGGTTCTAAGTGTCGGTCTCTCCACTGATAGAGACAGAGGCAGAGGGCATTTTTTCTTGGAAGGGAAACTGCTTAAATAAATCAACCTCAAGTCAGGGGAAAGAGAATGTTAAAAAAATACAGAAGTGGAATGAATGAACACTCCCAAAAGGAACGAGAAAACTCTCCCCTGCTCACTTGTTCAAACTCTGGGAATTGCTCCATGGGGTGTCTCAGAGTTGGTCCCTGGAACCTCAATTCTGGTTTTCAGTATTGTCCTGCAGTATTTGTCCTTTCAGTATTTGTCCAGGTTTACAGCCTGCCTGCCTGGGGCAGATGCCGAGGGACTCATTCTATGTGGCCCTAGGTTGCATGATAAGCTCCACTTGGGCCTCCATTCCAGACTTCAAAGTATTTGTTGATTCAGGCTCACTGCAAATCAGGCATGCGCCATACAGCACCCTACCCTTCCCGTCGATATTATCCCCCATTCTACACATGAGCTAGCTGAGGCTCAGAGAGGGCAAGTCACTGGTCCAAGGTCCCACAGCTAGGACACATTGTTGCTATTCAAGCGTGGAGAAGAGCAGACTCAGGGGCAGACTTTGGAAAGTTAGCACCCAAGAGAGAGCTGGGGCTTGCCCTGTATGACTCCAGAGAGAAGCCTGTGATTCTGGCTTGGGTTTCATAGCATGTACACAGTGTCTTCATCCAATTGTGTTGCTATTAGGTTGGTGCAAAAAAATTGCAGTTTTTTACGTTAAAGTAATGGCAAAAAACCCATGACTTTTGCACCAACTTAATATACTAAAATACCACAGACTGGGCAAGTTCTAAGCAATAGAAATTTATCTCTCAAGTTCTGGAGGCTGGATGTCCAAGATCCAGGTGCTGCAGGTTTGGTGTCTGGTGAGGGATGTTCTCTGCTTCCTGTCTTACTCTGGATTCTTCTGGAAACGACGAGTGCTGTGCTGTCACATGGCAGAGGGCAAAAAGGAGTGATTACTAGTTTCCTCCAGCCCTTTCATAAGGTTGCTAATTCCACTCTTTTTTTTTTTTTTTTTTTGAGACAGAGTCACTCTGTCTCCCAGGCTGACGTGCAATGGTGCGATCTCGGCTCACTGCAACCTCCGCCTCTCAGGCTCAAGCGATTCTCCTGCCTCAGCCTCCCGAGCAGCTGGGATTACAGGGGCCCACCACCATGCCTGACTAATTTTTGTATTTTTAGTAGAGATGGGGTTTCACCATGTGGGCCAGGCTGGTCTCAAACTCCTGACCTCATGATCTGCCCACCTCAGCCTCCCAAAGTGCTGGGATTACAGGTGTGAGCCACCGCACCCAGCTGCTAATTCCATTCTTGAAGGCTCTCTCCTCATGATTTACTTTCTAAACATCTCACTTCTTGATACTATCACACTGGTGATGAAGTTTCAACACATGAATCTTGGGGGACATTCAAACCATAGCACACAGCCCATGGGGTCTTAATACATTGGGTGGGAGGTGTGAGGCAAAGGATAGGACAGGAGGATCTAGGCTTGGAATCCAAGGATGAGTGGCGTGGGTTCATGTTCTGACGCTGCTGGTCATTTCAGCTCTCCGTGCCTCACTCTTCTCTCTGTAAAATAGAATACAGTTGATCAGACCAAACCACTCTGCTTCACTCTGCCTTTCAATGGCTCTCTATAGCTCTTAGGAGCAAGTCAGACCTCTTTTTCTTAGTACATTCGGGCCCCAGTTTTCCTCTCCAGCTTCCTGTCTCATCACCATCTCGGCCAGAGCAAACTGCTTCTTGGTCTCCAAACTTCCCATGTCCCCTTTATCCTCCAGGTCTTTGCACACACAGTGTCCTCTGTCACTCTGTTGAGCTTTCTTGTGTGGGAGAGAATGGAGAAGCATTTGAGCCCAGGCACTGGGAACTGCCATGCTGATCACAGTGAGCGCGTGCCCAAGGGGTCTGTGTGCCCCACAGAGGAGCATGCCCCACTGTGTGCACCGAGGCAGAAATGAGTTGAAAACATTCCAGGGGGCAGCTCTGGCGTGGACTGGATGCAGGCCTAGCCCTGTTCACCTCCAGGTGGGCAAAACCAGCTGTCCTCTTCTTCAGTGTTTATTCTGGCCATCTGCTTAGGTGGGCGGGAGAAGTCTAGGTAGGTGCCGTGAGAGATGGCCAGGGGGTGTTGAGTTCCATGGTGTGCAGACCAGGGAGAGCAACCACCTCATTCCTGAGGTCTAAGCATTAAGAAGCCTAGAGTGTATTTGTTTTTTTTTTAGTAGAGACACAGCTACTGGGGAGGCTGAGGCAGGAGAATGGCATGAACCCAGGAGGCGGAGCTTGCAGTGAGCCGAGATAGCACTGCACTCCAGCCTGGCGACAGAGCAAGACTCTGTCTCAAAAAAAAAGAAGCCTAGAGTGAATGTTGTCAGGAAAGCCAGCCCAGCCCTTAGCATTCCAGGACTTTAAGCCAGGGCTGCAAACCCAAATACCCGTAGTGGCTGGGGAGCTGTCACAGTGAATGGCTTGGGAGCCGTGGCCCTCTTGGCCTGACACTTTCTCATGTTGGACAGACATGAATTCACAGAGAAGATATTGTGTTGGAAGTCAAACATCAGTGCAAGTGCTATGATACATGGCAAAGGGCATTGCTGCCTCAGTAATTGGGGAGACCGGGGGATGGGCAGGTGGGGACCCTGACCTTCTCCGGTTAAAAAGGCTGCTGCCCCCTCCCACCAGAGCCTATTTTTCCTGTGGGAATGAGAGCACCCCAGGGCGTAGATGTTGTCAGACCGTGCCCTATCCCCTACACCTAACCTTTTACTGTGCTCTGGAAACTTCTAGCCACCTGTATCTTTACCTCTGAGTCTAATGGTTTGTTCCAGAGTTTGGGAATGCTGTTCTGCTGGGGCCAGCGGCTGTGCTGTGAAATTAATACCCTCCAAGAGCAGTCTCAGCCAGAAGCTGACAGGCACTGGTGTAGGAACCTTCAGACTCCCTCTCCTCACCCCGGGGTGGAGTGAGTCCAAGGCACCGGCTTTGCACTGTGGTTCCCAGAGGGATTCGGCTCCAGTTCCCCAAAGTGGCAGCTGGCTCAGCGGCACGGTTCTGCTGGCTGCCTGCCTCCTCTCCTCCCTTGCCGGACCATCCACAGCTCCTAAAGAAACCATTTTGCCCTTGTCCCAGTGTCAGCTGCCGGTGTAACCCAAACCAAGACACCTGATTTTCAAGAGGAGCCAAGTCTGCCTTTTATATAAAACCCCTTCAGTTTTTAGTGTTGTCCTTGAATGCCAACTGTTTGTTTTTGAGACAGAGTCTCACTTTGTCACCCAGGCTAGAGTGCAGTGATGTGATCACAGCTCACTGCAGCCTCAACCTCCTGGGCTTAGGCAATCCTCCCACCTCAGCCTCCCGAGTAGCTAGGACTACAGGTGCGCACCACCACACTCGGTGAATATTTTGTTTTGTATCTGTAGAGACAGGGTTTCACCGTGTTGCCCAGGCTGGTCTCACACTCCTGGATTCAAGTGATCCACCTGCCTTGGCCTCCCAGGGTGCTGGGGGTTATAGGTGTGAGCCACCGTGCTGGCCTGCCGATTGTTAAAAACAGAAACAAACATGGTGTGAGCCACATATCCATGGGGCAAATTAGCCCCATGGCCAAAGGTGTACAGGACTGAGTGTACCTGGGCTTGGCCTGACCCTCTAAACTCTTGGGCACTGTGGCTGTGGCTATCCCCAAGGGTGTTCTTTTCAACAACTTGGCTGTCTTCCTCCTCTGCATTGGCATGAAATGCATCCCACTGTCACCCTCCCTCCCTTCCTCTCTCCCTTCCTTTCCCAACCTTCCCCACCCTTCCTTCCTCTTTCTTTTTCTTCTTTTTAAGAGGTGGGATCTTGCCATGTTGACCAGGCTGTTCTCGAACTCCTAGCCGCAAGCAATCCTCCCATCTCAGCCTCCCAAAGTGCTGGAATTATAGGTGTGAGCCACCGCGCCCAGCCTCTTCCTCCCTTTTTTCCTTCTTTCCTCTTCTCTTCCCTCTCCTTCCTTCCCCCTCCCTCCCTTCCTTCTTTTTCCCCCTTCTAATTTTCTTGGGCGGGCCTCTCCTGCTGGGCACTTACTACCTGCTTCTTCTTCCAATAAACGGCCCGCAGATTTCAGCGAAGGTTTTACTAGCTACTAGAGGATTACACCTCCAGGAAACCTATTTACTGCTGGTAACCTTTGTCCCACTGTTTCAGAAATGGCTCCTTTAAGAGCAATCTCAAACTCCTATTTCTCAGATAAATAGTATCCCGTGGTGTTTATACCTGGCCTGGTTCTCCAGAGTTCCCACTCTCTGTGGGGTGTTCCACATCTTTTGGGTCATGCCACGGAGGCCCCACAGCGTGGGTTGAGTTGAGGAAGCCAAGAACCAGGGAGGTTTGGGGACAGCAAGTCTCAGGGCCTTGAACCCTGGCCCTCAGTGCCCCGAACCCTGGCTCTCAGTGCCCCTGAGGCTGCTGCAATCTCTGAGGGCTCCTCTTAGCCTGGCAGCTCGGGGAGGATGGTGTGAAGGGGGATGGGCCTTAAACCCAACCCTAGATTTTTTCTCCCAGCCAACTCACCCACCACCTAATGGCTGCTTAGGGTGGCTTTTGGTCCTACACACTTCCAGCTGCAGGCTGCTGGTAGCTACTAACTCTTTTGCAGAATGACAGAGTCTTGGCTAGGTATAGTGTCTCATGCCTATAATCCCAACACTTTGGTAGGCTGAGGCCGGCAGATTGCTTGAGTTCGGAGTTCAAGACCAGCCTAGGCAACATGGCGAGATCCCATTACTACAAAAAATACAAAAAAGCTAGCAAGTGTGGTGCATGCCTATAGTCCCAGCTACTTGGGAGGCTGAGGCAGGAGGACTGCTTGAGCCTGAGAGGTCCAGGCTGCAGTGAGCTGTGATTGCGTCATTGCACTCCCACCTGGGTGACAGAGTCTTAAAAAATAAAGAAGGCCAGAGTCTTGAAAAAGACTGTTGTTTGGAAAAAAGTTTTTCATGATAAACGAATTCCATAAAAATGGTTCTTTCTAGAAGGTAATCCTTAATGCTGGGTGAGTCAAAGGAAAGCGGCCTACCTGGAGCCTGTAATCGCAAATGTGCACTGTAACTTCCCAAGAGCAATCCTGTGACCACAGTTTCTCCAAACACACTTGAGGATGCTGCTGCAGGCTCCAGGGCTGGGCCAGTGCTGGGCCTGGCAGGGCTCTGTGGGCAATGGCACAGGTCCCTGACCCCAGCCCCCTGCTGATCAAACTGCTTTCCAGAGAGTCCCAGCCAACTCTCCCTGTCCCAGAGAGCCCACGGGGCGCTTGACTCCTCCCCAGGGTTGAGTAAATTGGGGTGTAGGAAGGAAGACTGACGATCCTGAAGGGGTCTGGGGGTGGGGGAAAGGAGGAGGAGGAGAGACGGTTCCGGCCTGGCAGCTGAGGGGTGGGTGGGTGGGGAGGTGTCCAGGCTTCTCTGCTCTGTGATTAGTGCAATTTGTTTCCCCAGGGGGTCATTTGTGGTAGGAAACACAGCCCAGAAATTAAACTAACTATATCCAGCCCCCAGCGTAGGGGAGACAGCAATAGCACCTGACTGGGGTGGGCAGCTTCTGTTCAGGTTGGGATGACAGGCACCGGCTCAAATACTTTAAGAGGTGGGAGGGAGCTGGCTTGAGCTTCCCAAGCCTGGACTGGGTGAACTGGCAGAGACACAGGTTAAGATTTGGGGAGGGGGGCCTGTTCCCTCACATTGAGCCTCTCTGAGTCTTCATTCCCTCACTCCAGGAGCCACTGTCCCCGTGCTCAGCCCTCCTCTGCCTCTTCCTGCAGCTGCTGGTCCTGCTACCCCTGTGTCCTGAGACCCACAAAGCCCCACCAGCTCTGGCTTCTGTGTTCCAAAATGAGCTCTCTCCCTTCTCCCCAGGGAAACACCCATGCTCTGCAGGCAGCTCTTGGGAGACAAGCAGGGCTGAAATGTAGTAAGAACTAAAGTTGTTATGACGGATGTAACTGCAATTTGAAAGGACTCCATTCAATTTCTTAGCTGAAAGGGTCCTTGGCAACCTTCTTATGTGTTTTTGGAGATTTAGTTGAAGGCCAAATAAATCTGAAATGCTATCTGAACACGTGAAGCAGATCAAAACGCACAGTGACTCTTGTTGAGAGGGTGCCGCCTGCCCTTTCAGCTGACTTTTGAATCCCTAATGGGGCTTTTTGGGAACAATGTTTGTGAACAACTGATTACACCTTCATTCTAAAAGGAAACTGGTGTCCAAGTAAGGGAAGTGACTTATGCAAGGTCACACAGCCAGACAGTGGCAAAGCTGGGACTCATCCCCAGGCCCCCTGACCGCTGGCCCAACACTCCTGTCTCTGCCCCCAAATACCTGGGTTTTCTCTCTCTCCGCTCAGCGCAGTCCCCATCAGCTCTGCCAGCCTGGTGACGCAAGGTACATTCATCCTGCCCCATATTCCCCTAGTGCCTTTGGTCCCTTGGGAATGGGCAGGGGGATTCTCTGTCCTGCTTCATGCTGGAAGTCACCTCCTTTCTACCACTGTTAATTAAAAAAAAAAAAAAATTATGACCCAATTGCTGCTGAGAACAAATGCAAAGGAAAAGGCAGAGACACGCTGCAGGTTTTGCTCATTGCATGATTTCATCTTTAATTAAATAAGTCAAGTAGGCCATCAGGAGTTGGGTTCACATTCTATTCTGCAAAGCAGGCCCTGACTGCTGGGGCTGCCAGCTCTCTGAAGGGCAGCCCCAGCGTTTCCAGGAGACGGCAGATTGTCTGTGGCCATGGCAAGGACATCTGGGACGACAGTGACAGCAATGGGGCTGGGAGCAATGTGGAACGGCGCCAGAGGCTGAGCAGAATGAGCTACATGCTACACATACACACACGTGGATGCATATGTACATACCATGGCAGTGTATGCCGTGAAGGGGTGTCTCGTACCATGCAGACATGAAATAGCAAACAGGGCTGAGGTGTTGGCAAAAAGACAGTGTGCAGGACCTGGGAGGGAGCAGGGGAGCCAGGAAAATTTGGACTAGAATATACAGCTGAGATGGAGACTTCAGGGGGTGCCCAGTTCAAGCCAATGGCAGAAGACGCAGACCACATGGGTCATTGTATCCCCCCAGCAAAGCACCTGATCCATGACATGAGCTAGGCCTGTGAGGATGGCGCCATGTCTGTAGCCTTGGAAACACGTAACAAATTTGTCCCCAGTCCAGTTACGGGGTGCCAAAGGACACGAGACCAAAGGATCTTGGAGCTCTTGAGACAAGTGAAGTTGCCAATTCTGCTTTGTGCTTTTGAGGTAAAGAGCAGCTTCCACTGTCTCTGAAACTGCAGCGAGTTGACAGGTGATGCGGCTGCATTTAGGAAGCCCTGGACCCTCTCCCTTCCATCTGGCTGCGCCTTGTCCTAGAAGCTTCACAAGCAAACCCACCAACTCAGGAGCCCTGGATTTCAGCAGATGGTCCTTCTATCAGCTTGTACAGATCAATAAGACACACTTGGCTTGTGCAGGCATCTGCTTCCACTCAGCCCCAATTTCTCTCCCCTTAGCTCTCCTTGCCTCAGGTATCAGCCCTTGAGATCTGGCTTCACTTTCTGACTTTGGGAATGGGGATGGGAGGGGACTGCCTTGAGGACACAGCCATCCAGTCTTCTGCTCCTGTCTTAGCAAGGGACAAGCCCTACAGTCAATTGGTCTCACCATGTTGCCCAGGCTGGTCTCCAACTCTTGGGCTCAAGCAATCCTCCCACCTTGGCCTCCCCAACTGCTGGGATTACAGGTATGAGCCACCGCACCTGGCCTCTACGGTCAATAGGCCCTAGTATAGGAGAGGATGACCCGGGGCTGGAAGACTTTAGGGTCAGGATATCTCCTCTACCACCCAGGCCAAGAATCAACCTTCTGGGAAGGACCTCCTGCTGAAGCTCCTTCCATTGCCAGACAGACAGATGGCAGAGATGGGAGGGAAAGATGTCGTGTGATGCCTGGTGCCCTCTGTTCTGTGGGGTTTGGTCAGCAGCTGCCCCACTACGCCAGCCTCTGGCAGTAGCTCCCAGGCTGAGGGTGCTAGCAGACCGGAAGTAAACTTGTTATTAAACATCTCTTTTCTGTTTATTTTCAAGTGCATGTATTGCAGAAGGACAAAAGCCTAAATTTGCTTTATGTTCCTCAGCTTTTGGAAAATAACTCGGTGACCACCTGCGGTGTATGTGACAGAGACTGGCTTCTATGCACATCTGGTCTTCTCTTTCCCTCTCTATGGGGACCTGAGAATCCTGCCCTCCACTAACTACTCCCAAGGACCCTCCAGGGCCCTCATCCATTCCTCAATTTATAAACAGGTCCCGAGGGGAAGATGGGAACAGGCAGAGTGGGGACAGCCTGTGAGCATTGGACGCTGCTGTGTCTCACCAAGGCCTGGAACGTTCTGAGCCATTTCTATATGCTGGGCCGCAGAACTCATCAACAAGAAAGAACATGAGTAAACACTCATTGCTGAATGGTCCCCTTGTGCTAGGGAGGCTGGCGGCCAGTGGAGAGAGGCCTCAGCTGCTCCCTCTGTCTCCGGGCAGGTGGGCACCTTGCAGGGGAAGGCTTCTGGCAGACAAGCTGGAACAGAGGAGAAGCCAGGGCTGGCCTCGCTGGAAAAAGAGGCCCGGCCACCAGTGCTTCCATCTTCTCCATCCCAGCTCCAAGCTGAAAATCATATCCACATGGGTGACTCCAACCATATCCATAACGTTTCAAGCCAATAGTCACACCACACTGTCCTTCCCCAAACCCCAAGGGTTCCCAGAGCATCGCTGAGCCCCAGGGGAATACACTTCCAGGAAACATCCACGCGCTTGTGACCTGTCTCAAACACCCGGGCAGAGGTAATACAGCAGCAAGGGCCCTGATGTAGCATCTCAGATCAACAAGAGAGAAACCAAGGGATCTCAGATCTTAAACAACGTCCTGGGGCCATCGTGGTGCTGGCGCTCCAGCTCATTCTCCTCTTGTGTTCTGAATCGTCTTCTGGTGTCCATGCATGAACGGAGTGTGTGAATGGTTTCTATTGTTATTTTGTCTTTCTTGATTTGGGTACAGCTTTGAGTCCCTGCAGATAATAAGGTATTTTCTGTCTCTTCTTTTCAAAAAATAAATAAATTAAGTCAACCTGCAGTGTGCACATTGTCAATGTCCTGAGAAGTCCCAAAGGCCCATTCTTGGTACCATCCTCAGAGGGCGGAGTGGGAGGTCTTGGCCCAGAGTAAGAAGGAGGGATAAAGTCTACTGTCCACATTAGCAGGGCCCCTAGGAAGAGCCTTGGATGGAGGTGGCTGCCCCCTCCCCAGTCCCAGCCCCTCCGACCTCCACATGGGGAACAGAGGAGGGAGCAGTGGGGAGGCTGGGGAAGAACGGCCAGCACTTCTGGGCCTGCCAGAAACATCCTGGCCCCACGGTCATGTTTTCAGAGCTGGTGTTCCTTTGAACTCCAAATTAGAACCATGTCTCTGCACAACTTACTCTTGGACTCTAAAACCAAGAGTGTTGGGGTGTTCAGGCAAAATAGCAAAAGAAAAGAAAATAAAAAAAACCCAAGAGTGGAGACCTCCTTGAATGACTGGAGTCCACAGTGACAGAGACCCAGCAGCTCAAATAGGCTGATTATAGCGAATCCCATGAGATGGTTACTGGCCTCACCTTCTCCAATGGTGGCTTCCTGCCAGGACACACTCTTCCCTCCCCCATGGCAATGTTGGACTCAGATCCTGTACTTCCATGGTGTCCATATTACTCAACCCAAAATGCAGCCCTCTGGGTTTACAATGGGCCGTATCTGACAGAGAAATTGTCCAGGAAACCAGAAGCAGAGCTGGGCAGCCCTCGGCAAACCCTTGCAGCTCCTTGTAAGCTCTGGATACTGAGTTCTGCTCCTGGGTTTGAGGTGGGAGTGGGGAAGGCCTTCTACTCTGGGTACACTTGTCGCTTGTCATGAGGCCCCTGCCCACCCAGGAAACATGTTAGGGCCTGTGAGGGATTTTCAAATCCAGCTTCTTCTCAGGGAGGGGCGAGGGCTGCAAATCTCTGCTGCTCTGGACACTAGGCAAGAACGCTGGTGGCTTTGAGATTCATCCCACATGGGGTTCAAACAGAAAAGCCCATAGGGCACTGTGGCCTGCCACGTGGCCACCTCTCCTCGTTCCTCCTGGGGAAGGCTCCTCCTCCTGTCCTCTCCCTCTGCCAGGAGCCAAGTGCTCC
This sequence comes from Homo sapiens, assembly GCF_000001405.40. NCBI lineage: Eukaryota > Metazoa > Chordata > Mammalia > Primates > Hominidae > Homo > Homo sapiens. The sequence goes on along the minus strand of NC_000010.11, from coordinate 72,009,923 downwards.
CTGCTGGTTTTCCCCAGCCTCCCTCAAGCCCTCAGGCCTCCACTGCTTGGAAGAGGCGCTCCTACAGAAACAAAAGCAAAAACACAGCCATGAAACAAGAAAGACACCAAGCCATAAATAAAAGCCCGAAACAAAACACCCAGCACATCCTGCGTTAAGCAATACTCTTCCCAGGGCCCTAAGGAGGAATTCCAGGCACTGGCTGTAACCACAGCAACCAACTGGCTGACTCCTGTCCACGAGGGAGAAGGCGGGCTTCTCAGGGGAGGGGGGGCATCCTGGTGGGACTTCTCCCCCACGGGCACTCTGTACTTTCCTCTTGGCCCTACCCCAGATGAGGCCTGGCTGGAAATGGAAGGCCCCGTGAGCTGCCTTTTGCCTCCAGGGACCACAGCTGCTTCTGCCTGCCAGGCCTGAGGCAGCCTTCAAATATGGACATGTTCGGGAGCCAGCCAAGCTAGACGGGGCCTTTGGCTGCACCATTTCAAAACATCCTGCCTGCCAGCCGCAAGGATGTGGATGGGTCAGAGGAGGTAGCCATGAGAATCTAAGGCGGGCAGGGGCTTTGAACGCTGCAGTTCTGAATCCACTGTTCAGTCCAAACCCGGCCAGGGAACTGTGTCATGTCATGGCCCTTTAACGCGTTTCTTTCCCCTGCCCTGCCCTCGAAATAATCCTACAAATGTTAAGCACAGGCTCCTCTGAGGTGTGTCATACAGAAAAACCCTGTGGGCATAAGCAGCGAGGAAGCTTGTCTGCATAGATGTGTGTGCACTTGTGCCTTTATGATGCTTGTCTATGTATGGTGTACATGTATGTATGTCTATACGCATGTGTGTGTTTTGCAGCTCTATAAGGGGCCCATATTCATCAGTAACCAGCACAGCCAACCCATTCATGAAAACGCTGAATCGCTCTGTACTAGTTGGTAAACAGCCACTGTCACCTCAAACGAGCCTCAAATGCCACCTTTGACACCCACGGCTGTCCTAGCCCCTCCTCCAAGGACCCACCCAGATTCCAGACTTCACCATCCAGACAAGAAACGGTTAACACCAAATAAAGCAGGAGGTCTGACTGTCACTGGTCAGAGCCTTGCCCCTTCTGATTGTTAAATATTTGGACTCTGGCCTGCAGGGTCTCCAGGCACGAATGTATGTTTCTGTGTGTGTGAGATCGAAGCTTGCCAACAGGCCCGGGCCTGCCTAGGCCTGCTCAGGAGGCTGCAACCCGTTGGGTCTGGGTGTGATGGCCCTCAAGGGGACCGGGCACTGTCCTGTTCTCCGCAATTAACCCTGGGGCCGCCGCTTTGGCTGGAGCGCTGGCTGGGGGCCCTACTGCTACAGGAGGCGCTGCCCGCTCATGGCGCTGTGCACCCGCCCTCTGCGAGGGCTGCGGCAGAAAGACGGGGCAGGCCTTTCACGAGGAGGGGCATACGGGGCCCCGGCCCCCCTACGTGACCCAGAAGGTGCCCCTCTCCTCCAGCAGGCTGACTGAGCGGTTGGTGAGGGCGGCGGCGTCCCGCGCCAGTTTGTAGCCGAAGAGGCGCATGGCAGGGCCGCAGGCGGCCTGCACCACCTGGGCCAGCTTGAAGGGCATGCTGAAGCGCCACTTCTCGAACTGCTCCGAGGAGTTCTTCTGCGTGGAGTAGATGCCGCTGCCGTCGTGGGCCGCCTGCGTGTTCTTTTGGATCCAGTCTTCCACCTGCGGGGTCAGGGGGATGCCGGCGAAGCGGTACATCTCGCGGGCCTTCTGCAGCGGCCCGCGTGCCACGTCCTCGTAGCGCACCAGCATGTAGCGGCCCCGCAGCCAGGCGGGCTGCCGCAGCCCCAGCTCCGCGGACAGGCGGATGCTCTCGCAGTTGCCCCGCAGCCGCTGCACCTCCTCTTCCCTCAGGCCGTCCTGGCCCTCGTCGTCCAGCCACTTCTTCCAGGTCTTATACTTGCCGGCGAAGGCCACCATGCGCGAGGCCAGCACGGCCCGGGGGTCGCGCACCAGCTGGATGACGCGCAGGTCCAGGCGGGGGTCCTCGGCCAGCGGCTGCAGGAACTCCAGCTGCCGGATGCGCACCGCCTTGAGGGCCATGTGCTCCTTGCGGCGGCAGGCCTCTGCGGCCAGCGTCACGTTGAGGGGGCCGCAGCGGCGGTTCTTGCAGTGGTACTTCTCGAAGACCTTCTTGACGAAGGGCGTACAGACGGGGTCCTCGCACAGGGAGCGGCTGGAGCCCCGGCGGAACATGAACTGAGTCAGGTGGTCCTCGGGCAGCGGCGTGATGAAGTGCTCCAGCACGTACAGGTCGCACAGGAAGAGCTGCTTGAGCACGTCGCGGTACACCAGGGCCGAGCCCGCGGCGTTGGCGCCCCCCGGCTCGAAGGACACTGTGCGCTCGATGTGCCACAGCGGCTCGAAGAGGTAGAAGATGTTGCCCTGCTGGTTGAAGAACTCGCCCACGAACGAGGAGCCGGTGCGCGTGGTGGCCATGAGCAGCACGTGGCGCCGGGGCCCCGCCACGGCCGGTCTGGGCGGCTCCTCCTCCTTTCTCTGCTCTTCCTCTTCCTCCCCTGCGGCCTCCATGGCTGGCTCCACGCCCAGCTGCAAGCTGAGGTTGCGGAGACGGCTCTGAAGCTGGGAGAAGGCTGAATCGAGCTCGCTCAGGGACAAGAGAGATGCGTTCTCAGCTAAGATCAGGGCTGGGTCGGTGCTGTTGGCATCTGCTAGAGCTTGGGGAATCTGCTTCAGCTTGTCTGAGACCCTGTGAGGACAAAGAAGATCAGGGTCAGTGGCTGACTGGGGACCCCGTCTCCTGGGCAACCCTAAGCAGTCCTCCAAGCAGATCACCAAAACCTGTCTCAGTTGGGTTTCCCCAAAAGCAGACGTTGAGGCAAGGATTTGTGTTTAAGTAAGTTTATTTGGGACATGATCACAGGAAGTACTGGATGGGGAAGTGAGGCAGGGGAGGAAAGAGGTGCATGATGGATGTGCTGCTAGGAGCAGGTGTGGGCATCGGAGGCTTAGTCTGATGGGGATCTGGGGGGGACAGTTACTCCCTAGTACTTCCGGCTTGCCAGTGTGCCAGTGGAGAGAAAGCTCTCAGGTGCAGAGCTGTAGGGGCTTGCAGTAGAACCCAATAGGCACAAGCTAGAACGGTCCTTGCTCAGTGACCCAAGGGGGGGGATTGACGGTGTCCACTATATTGCCCAATCCCTGACCCACCCATCTTAGCTAATGCTTTCTTGCAGGGCTTGTGCCTGGGAGGAGAACAGGCTAAGAAATCTTTCTACATCTAACAGGCCCACTGCACATAGCTGTATGCTGCCAATTCAAAGGGGTAAAGGGGCGTTCCCAGATTAGCCTATTTGAGGGACATGCCCCTGGAGTTGAGCAGTACACAACTTGGCAGCTGCACATTGGCAGCCTTGCCCATCAGAGTATCCATACTAGGACCTTGCCTTTCCATGGGCTCAGTGACATCAAGACTTCTATAGGGGATGTGCTGCTAATGCAAGGCCAGGAGGTAAATTAACAGTAATAGTCACAGCCAGCAAATACTGGACACCAACTATGTGCCAGGCAGTGGGCTAAATGCTTTTACATTTTCTCATTTAATCTTTACAACAATGCTGGTCCCATTATTAGCCATGTTTTACAAAAGAGGAACCGAAGACTCAGAAATGTTAAGTATCTTGTCTAACCTTTCACAGCTGTAGAGGGCCAACATGGGGGGGCTCCAACCCAGGCTGTTTGAGTCCAGAGCCCAAGTCTCACCCCTGTGCAGTCATGAGGACGTGTGCAGGAGCCACTGCCTGGGACATAGAAGGGGCCTGGGGATGGCTCGTTGAAGGAATGCATTTGCAGGTCCACAGAGAGCCCTGCAGTTACCTCCCTGTCCCCACCCACCCCACCTTGAAAGGAAGATGAAGACTTGGGCTTGCAACCCTCACCTTGATATGATTTTATTTTCCTTTTCGATGAAGACAAAAACTATCACCACAAAAACCAAGAAAAGGGCGTATTTGCTTCTCATCTTCAGGCTGTGCACAAAGTCCCGGCAGTCCTGGGGCAAAGTGAGTCCTTTCTCCATGGGGAAAGGTGGGGCCGTGGGGGCTCCTCGGGCCAGCCTTGGACACTCAGCTGAGGGGCATCACTCAGGACCCAGCTTGCCGTCTTCAGGTGGGGGACACCCTTGTCCTGCGGAGAGACAGGTGGTCAGAACACCCTTGTCTGTACACGAGGAATGCAGAGGATGTCTCTCCACCAGACTTTTGAGGATCTCGGCCCTGGTTAGCAGCCAGGACCCCAGACCCACTCTCCAGACAGACTGTGCCCCAGAGACACTGAAGGTCTCTTTAATAGGTCATTTAAAATGCTAATGAACCATCGGGTTCATCCATCCCACCTCCATCAGTTTCTCCCTTGACCTCACACATCAAAGGCCTGTGCACGGAAAAGAATAACCTTTGTAGCATAAATGTTTATAATAGCAAAAAGAGTGCAAACACCTAAATGAAAATGGTGGAGCATCCAGGTAATGGATTTTTATGTGGCCACAAAGAATAATGAGGTGGATGTATAAATGTGAATGATCCAGAAAATACATGAGAACACACACACACACACACACAGACACACACACACACACAAAGGTGCAGACCCTGTGCTTATGCAGGACGGGGCTTCCCAACCTCAGCACTGTTGACATTTTCCACCAGGTAAGTGGGGACTGTCCTGTGAATTATAGAATGTTTGACAGCAGTCTTGGCCTCTACCCACTAATTGCCAATAATTGTTTGTTTGTTTTTGAGACAGGGTCTCACTATGTTGCCCAGGCTGGAGTGCAGTGGCACGATCATAGTTTACTGCAGCCTCAACCTCCCAGGCTCAATTGATCCTCCCACCTCAGCCCCCTTAGTCACCACAAGTGCACACCACCACACCCAGCTAATTTTTAAAATTTTTTGTAGAGATGGGGTCTTGCCATGTTGCCCAGCCTGGTCTTGAACTCCTGAGTGCAAGCAATCCACCTGCCTCGGCCTCCCAAAGTGCTGGGATTATAGGCACGAGCCACCACGCCTGGCCCCCACTGCTCATCTGTAACCATCAAATATCTCCAGACATTGCTAAGTGTCTCCTGGGGTGGGAAGGTGGGGGGTGACAAATCATCCAAGGTGGAGAGACTCCGATGTAGCAAGCTCCCATTCAGAAACAAATGCCGGGAAGAAAATATAGATGCGGGATACAAATGGACTCTGGCTGCAGGAAAACGCAAGGCCTGGTAACAATGGCTGCATCTAGAAGGTGGACAGGTAGGTGGAGAGAGAAGGTGGAGTGAGGCTTATGTTTGCTATGTAACACTGTGCCTTGTTACACATTTTACCATGTGTATACGTAAATTATAAAAAATTAACGAAAGAAAAAAATATCATAGCGCATAAATTCTACCTAAATCCTTAACATGGCCTCAGCCTTCAGGTCTCCACTTTCTAGGCAGCCTCCCCCAGGCTATGTTAGGGCTCCCTACAGCCCCACCACTGTACAAAGATTATCATGAGCACCTGGGACTTTGTCATAAAGCCATAAAGCAACAATTGTTCAATACTGAACATCCCTTCAGGCAGGACAGGGAGTTCATCTGGGCCCCTCATTATCTCTCAATCCTGGGCCAGGCAAGAGATACACAGTTGGTGAACAACAGATGGATAAAGGAAAAAATGACCCTCGACTGAAATAGTATGTATCATTATTATTATTATTATTTTGAGATGGAGTCTCGCTCTGTCGTCCAGGCTGGAGTGCAATGGCGTAATCTTGGCTCACTGCAACCTCTGCCTCAAGCAATTCTCCTGCCTCAGCCTCCCGAGTAGCTGGGATTATAGGCATGCATCACTGCGCCCAGCTAATTTTTGTATTTTTAGTAGAGACGGGGTTTCACTATGTTGCCCAGGCTGGTCTTGAACTCCTGACCTCAGATGATCCACCTGCCTTGGTCTCCCAAAGTACTGGGATTACAGGTCATTATTATTATCTAAATAGATAATATCTAACAGGGTCTTGCTATATTGCCCAGGCTGGCCTCCAACTCCTAGGCTCAAGCAATCCTCCCTCCTCAGCCTCCGGAGTAGCTGGGACTATAGGTGTGCCACTGCACTTGGCTACAAAGTTGTTTACAGCTAGAGCAAATACAGCTGCAGAAAGAAGAGTCTATTCCCTTTTTTTTTTTTTTTTTGAGACAGAGTCTTGCTCTGCAACCCAGGCTGGAGTGCAGTGGTGCAATCTCAGCTCACTGCAATCTCCGCCTCCTGGGTTCAAGTAATTCTCGTGCCTCAGCCTCCTGAGTAGCTGGGATTACAGGCGTGTGCCACCACTCCCAGCTAATTTTTGTATTTTTTGGTAGAGATGGGGTTTCACCATGTTGGCCAAGTTGGTCTCGAACTCCTGACCTCAGGTGATCTGCTTGCCTCGGCCTCCCAAAGTGCTGGGATTACAGGTGTGAGCCACTGTGCCTGGCATAGGAGAGTCTATTCCTAACTGGAATAGTCCTGCCTCTTCCTAATTTTCCTGGGCCTTTTCTCATGAACTTATTAAGTTAATATTTTCTGAGCATTTACCTTGTGCTGGCTTCTGGCCTAGGCACTGAAAATATGGCGGTGAACAAGCAGGTATGGTCTGTGCCCTCCCGGGGCTTGCACTCTGGTTGGGAGGGCCAACCAATGATATGGGCAGCTTAAGTTTACTGAGTGCATATTTCTCTGTGCCAGGTGCCATGCTAAGCACTTGCACTCATCAAATCCTCAGCAAAGCCCTGTGAGGCAGCAACTAGCCCATTTTACAGGTGAGGAAACTGAGGTTGAGACAGGTTAGGTAACTGACCTAAGGTTCCTCCAGCAGAAGCCTCTGGCCACCCCTCCCAGGTCCAGGTCACTTGAGCTTCTTGGTGTACCTTGGGGACCCCCAACCTAGCTCCTATGGTGGGGCTTTCTGGCTGACCATCTCCCTTCCCAGAATGCAAGCACCCCAAAGTCGGGACTCGCATCTAGAATGGCACTTGGCACAGACCAGCTGTCCAAAAATCAATGGTGAGGCTGGTGCCTGGTAGCTGTTGGCATGAATGTGTAGAATGGCCAGTGGGGCTACGTCCCCCATGCACCCTGTTTAGCCTGTGGTGGGGTGTGAGGCCACCTGCCCCACTGACAGGGTGAGAACCACCACTGAGTTTTCAGAGTACGAGGTGTTGAAATCCTGACTTTCTGTCCTCTCCAATCTCAGGTTGTCTGGAGCTGATGATGTGAGGGAAGCAGAAGGAGCTAGGGTTAGAAGTCCTGGGCTCTAGTCCTTCCTGTGTCTCTACCATGCTGTGCAACCTTGTATAAGTGACAACCTCTCTGGGCCTGTTTGTAGCATGAAAAGGGCAGTCCCTGCTGATAAAGGTGCTGTGAGGAACATATCTGTTGATGCATGGTAAATGCTTGTGAAATAGGAGAGGGGTGAAAAGGCAGGTGCGGGTCGGGGAGCTGCCCTGGCTACCCCCTTCCCTCTGGGCCTGGCACCTTGGTAAGGTATAGAAGTTGGGGTGCCTAAATGACAAGCCTCTGAACCTTCTCCTTCCCTCCCTTCCAGGGACTATTTCTTTTTTTAAGTTGCTGTTCCAGCCTCCTCATCCCCAGAGCAACACAGCTTTCCTAAGATCCTTCTTGACGCTGCCCTAAGAGGAAGAAGCAAAGCTGGACACTTGGACAGGAAACCCAGGCAGGCTGTTGGCTCCCTTGCCCTGCCCAGACAGCTGCCCCTCTGTTTAGCTTTGGAAACCTAGCAGGCAGGTGGGCAGGCAGGTGAGAGAGGTTTGGAGCTTCCCAGAGCCAGAAGCGGGGAGAGGGTCATGGTGCCAGGAAGTCACAGGGCCATGAGGGAAGGGGATAGAGCCCGGATGGGGGTTACTCAGCAAAGCCCCACGCAGAACTCACCATGCAGGAGGCCCTTTACAAGAAGCAGGCCTGTGACACCTGTGACATCAGATACACCTTTGTATCACTTCTCTCCCACTTCCATGGTGCAAGGGCTAGGCCTGCCTCCCTTGCTTAGTTCATGGGTAGAACCGAAAAATCTCTTCCTCCTTCTCTTGGTCCCTCCTAGCCCCTAGTACTCAATACCTTTCATCCGGCCAGGCACGATGGTTCACGCCTGTAATCCCAGCACTTTGGGAGGCCAAGGCAGGTGGACCTGAGGTCTGGAGTTTGAGACCAGCCTGGCCAACATGGTGAAACCCTGTCTCTACTAAAAATACAAGAAGTAGCCAGGTGTGGTGGTGGTCGCCTGTAATCCCAGCTATTTGGGAGGCGGAGGCAGGAGAATTGCTTGAACCTGAGAGGTGGAGGTTGCAGTGAGCCGAGATCATGCCATTGTACCCCAGCCTAGGCACCCAGAGTAAAACTCTGTCTCAAAAAAAAAAACAACCCAAAAAACAAAAAAACCTTTCATCCCCTCAATGCCCCAGCAACTACATAACAGCCCAAGGAACGGGTGGTATCCCCTGCTTGGGCCCACTGGGGGCCTCTTTGCAGGGTGCCAGGGCCAACAGGAAGTATGCCAGAGGCATGTGCCAGGTCAGCTCTGCTTGAGGGCAGCAGGCAGTGGGACAGCTCCCTTGGCCCAGTTTTGTCCAGCACTCTGCATATTGACAGCAAACACCAGAGGCAGGAAAAGAGGCACAGTGCTGAGTTCTTTCAGGGCGGCGACCATCTGGTGAGTGCACACCACGTGCCAGGCCCTGGGCAGAGCCAGCCCAACCTTCTAGGTGCTGGCTGGGATGTGGACTCCTATCCCACCTACGATACAGTTCTCAAATCACTGTCCTCCCTCTGTCTCACATTCTCACCTGCCTGCCACCTCCCAGCTGTCTCATCTGGCTTCTGCCCCGCACCCCTCCACCGAATAATGCTCCCGACGGCGTCCACAATCTCCTGGGGGCCTAGTGTGGCTGGTGTGGGCTTCTCATCTTCCATGCTGCATCACCTCCTCCCTCCCCGCTGAGGCCCACACCCCTGCTGGCCTCCCCACACCCCCTCCTGCTTCCCTGGCTTCCTCAGGCCCAGCCTCTTCTATGGGATCACATGTGGGCAGCCACCCAGACAGGGGAACACCTGAGCACTGATTATAACTGTGCTGCCACCCAGCTTCTCAGCCACATGGAAACTTCTCGGAGGCACAGACAATAAGGCAGCTTCTGCTTCAAACACTCTATGCACTACTTGGTAAAATAAAAGCCCTGTAAGGGCCTTCAAGATCCAGACCCTGCTCACCCTTCCCACCTCTTCTCCCAACACCCCCACCCTGGCCCTTCCTGCCACTCCCCACCTGGGGGCTTCTGCATCAGCTGGTACCTCTGCCCGGGCCAGATCTGCTCTGGCTGGCTCCTTCTAAGCAATCAGGACTCAGCTCAAATGCCCCCCCAGCTCTGGAGTACTTCCCTGACCCCTGACCTAATGTGGGCCACCCCCATCACTTTCCCTCTTGGCGCCCTGCTTTACTCCCTTCATAGATGGAAATGCACTTGCTGATGGCCTCTCATCCCCCAGAACGTTGACTCCGGGAGAGGAGAGCTTCATCTGTCTGCTCCACCCTTGCATCTCCAGTGCCCAGAACTGTACCTGGCACAGAGTGGGTGCTTCATAAATACTTGCTGAATGAATGAATGAATGAATGAACGAATCAATGTCCTTCCCAAAGCATTGAGCCTACTGCAAGATGCTTAATCGTTCTAAGTTGACAGAAGATATGAAGAGGAAGAAAAAAAGGCAATTGCTCCATACATGAGTGGCTGTGAGCATGAGCGTGTGGGCCACAGGTGCATGCTGAGGGCGTGTGCTGGGACCACGGTGCGAACCATGGCCACCAACTGTGGGCAAAACTTCACACTTGGGACCGCACATAACTTTAGTCTCTTGAATTCTTGTTTCCATCCAGCCTCTCACAGCTGTGGGGTAACAAGGGGGAGGGCAGAAAACAGCCTAAGCCATCTGCAGACAAATGTGAGGGAGAGAACGCTGTGGAAAAAGGGGGCTGCGAGCTGAGGCCAGGCAAGCCCCAGCAAGTGAGGCTTCGGCTTCCCTCCCTTCTCTCCCCCAGGGGTCTTTCTGCTCAGGCCTCCCTCGTGACTTGGCAAGGTGCCTCCCAGAGAACGAGTTTTCTACTTGGATGGCCTCCAACCAGGCCCTTCCACTGAGGCCCAAAATGGACTGCGGCCTGTTCCGGCCTCCTCCGGGGAAGGTGGGGGTCCCAGCAAGTCGGCTGTGATAAGGGACGGCCCTGCCAGACATTGCATCAGGCAGCAAAACTCCACTCCCCTCGCCTGCCTGGGGCCAAGAGCACAGTGGGGTGGGGTGGGGTAGGGAGAGGTTGAGGGGATGCTCAGCTGTTGCTGGCCCGGCCTCTCGGCCTTTCCCACGAGCTGGAGGAGGAGCTGCATGGGAAAGAGGAGCCAAGGGAGGGCAAGAGCTGGTGACAGAGTAGCTCCGAGGCAGAGTGGGAGCGCTGAAACCCACTGCGGGAAAGCTCCATGTGTGCTGGGTGCTGGGAGGCTGCCCCCACCTTGTTGCCAAACACCTTGGAGTGGGCTCTTTTGTGAGTTTTCTCAGAATCTGCAGAGTGGAGAGAGGCGGCAGGGGAGCCCCCAGGCCACTGGCACAGTAGGGCAGGGAAATGGAGCTCCTATGCCAGCCTGCCTGGTTTTTATTTTTTAATTTTGTTCTTATCATTTAGCCCACAATGTCAACTGCCTTGGTTTTAGATGAGAAGAGCTTGTCCATCCGGTGGCCTGTCCAGCCCAGATTCCGTTTCACTTGGGGACAGCCAGAGACAGCTTGGGAAGGCCAAGGCCACCCAATCAGGAGTGTGTTGCCTGACAGGAGAGTAAACGCCCAGCCCAGAGGCTGCTGAATGAGTCAGTGAGCAAAAGAAGAGCAGGAATGAAAGAACGGGAAGTGAATGAATGCCTGGCTGCAGCTCCCCCACCACCTCCACCCCCCTGCACCCAGTATAGCCCCGGGGCTATGGGGCTATGTTACTCCCAAGAGCATCTGAGCACCCCAGGGCTCCAGCTTGCTCTTCCTCTCCCAAGAAAGAACCGATCTTTGATTTCCTTTTGTCCAACTGCTGCCAAGACTGAGTAGAAGCAGGCAAAGGTGTGTCACCTGAGTGTCAGTGGATGTCCACGTAGCTGTAAAGGGGCGAGTGCCATAGGTGGATCTTGGGGCTAAGGGCCAGCCTGGCAGGGGTGGGGCTGCCACAGACTCTGAGCCAGCCCTAGCCAGGACAGGCCTGGCTGCCCCTCGGCCCTTTATGCCTGAGTGGGGCTGTGGGGGAGCACACTTTCTTGCTCCCATTGGATACGATCCCTTCCAACAGCTGCAGGAAGTGCAGGACCTCAGGTTGGAGAGGTAGGAACTGACCTACACCTCCCGGCTTCACTGCACCTGCCTGGTCAGGAGCTGTGGCTGAAGCTGGTGTCCAGGATGCCCTCAACCATGTAGCCGGGCAGCCCCGGGAGGAGTCTGCTGGCTCATTCAGAACCGACCTGGACATAGACCAAGATTCATGCCCAAGGACGTGGCCCAAGTCCAGCATGGGAGAAGCATGGCGAGCATCTTATCAGAGCCGGCAGGCTGGGTAACTGTGGTGCATTGGCACAGTGAAAGCAAGCCATGCAGGGGGCACCATCACAGAGGCAGAGCTACAAAAACATAATGTTACGATTCTTTTCACCTTATGCCCTTTGATTTATTTATTTTTGGGGGGGACAGGGTCGCACTCTGTCACCCAGGCTGGGGTACAGTGGCATGATCTTGGCTCACTGCAGCCTCGACATCCCACACTCAGGCAATCCTCCCACCTCAGCTTCCCAAGGAGCTGGGAGCACAGGCACGTGCCACTACGCCTGGCTACATTTTTTCTTAAATCATTTATGGAGACTGGGCGTGGTGGCTTATGCTTGTAATCCCAGCACTTTGGGAGGCTAAGGTGGGTGGATCACGAGGTCAGGAGTTCAAGACCAGCCTGGCCAACATGGTGAAACCCCGTCTCTACTAAAAATACAAAAATTAGCTGGGCATGGTGGCGCATGCCTGTAATCTCAGCTACTCAGGAGGCTAAGGCAGGAGAAATGCTTGAATGAGGACCCGGGAGGTGGAGGTTGCAGTGCGCCGAGATCCCACCACTGCAAGACTCCGTCTCAAAAAAAAAAAAAAAAAAATTTATGGAGACAGGGTCTCTCTACATTGCCCAGGCTGGTATTCTCTTTTACACTGTTTGAATTTTTGGTAACCATACACCTGTATTGCTTTAGTAACCAAATCTAAAATTTCAAAAGAGGAATGTATTATCACTTTGGAAGTGGTATGAAAAATACATTAGAAGAGGGCAGGACTGGAGGCCAGGAGCCCAGTCAGTCCCTTCTGCAAGGGTCCAGGAGAGAGCAGGTGGCTGAGCGAGGCAGTGGCAGAGAGGTAGAGGGGGAGGTGACACCCACGAGATGTTTGAGAAGTCAAAATGATGCTAGCACCTCTTCCACACGGATGCTCCCAGAGGACATCACGCTTGGTGAGATAAGCTGGTCACCAAAGGAGAAATACTATACAATCTCACTTATCTATGAGGTACCCAGAGCGCCAAAATCATAGAGGCAGACAGAAGGGTGTCTGCCAGGGGCTGGGATGAAGGGCCGGGGGGTTGATGTTTAATGGGGACAGTTTCGGTTCTGCAAGATGAAAGGGGTTCTGCAGTGGAAGAGTGGGGAGGGTTACCCAACAGTGTGAATGTACTTAGTGCCACTGAACTGTACACTTGAAAATAGTTAAAACGGTCAATTTTATGCTATGTACATTTGACCACAATAAATAAATAAACAACGGCCAGGCACGGTGAGGCCGAGGCAGGAGATTGCTCGAGCCCAGGAGTTTGAGACCATCCTGAGCAACATAGTGAGACCCTGTCTCAAAAAAACAAAACAAAACAAAACAAAAAACAAAACAAACCAACCAACCCAGGAAAATACCCCCAGCAATGCCTGTGGGTGAGAGGAGGTTAGGGGGACAGAGGAAGCTAGGAGGAGCCCAGCTCTTGCCTCGGACAGTAGTCTTGTTCTCCACGATACCCACAGTGCCTGGCACGTGGCAGGGCTCAATGAATGTTTGTGAAGCAAATGAATGGACTTATGCACTGCCTTAAAGAGTTAGCTGTTGTTTCCTGTAGGCTGGCCTTCTTCCCCCAGAACCAGCAGAATATTGGGCACATACAAGATGCTTAATTAATACTCCACTGAAAAAAGAAGGCCAGCATAAAGTTAATTTATTGCCTAGAAAGATGCTTATGTTATGACGCTGCACCAAAAAATAGGACACACCAGTATCTCCAGTTGCAGTCTATTTTATAAAAAAAAAAGTGGGTGTATACATGCATATGCACACACACACACACACACACACGCAGAGACACATACGTTGGGGGGGGGTTGGTAGAGAGACAGAGAGAGGGAGAGAAAGAGAGAGAGTCTTGGCACAACGTCTGACAAAGTTAGCAATGAATCTCTGTGTAGCTATGAGTGCGTTCAGTTTCCTTGCTTTTGCTTATTGTCTTTGAGGTCCTATGACCTTAGGCAAGGAATTTAAACCTCTTTGAGTACAGTTTTCTCATAGGTGAAATAGGGACATTTACAGCAACTATTGTATACCTTTGTCCCTTGCTTGGCTTGTCTTTCATGAATGAGGGAGGAGGTGGAGGCACAGAGAGCCTGGGAAATGGCACAGAACTGCTGCCAATCCATTCCACACCACAGCTGGCAACGATCTTGACCCAGCTAATTTTATATTATTACTCACATGCCTTTATATGTTTTTGTGAATACAAACAGGACAGACTTTATTGTGCTTTGCTTTATTATGCTTCACAGATACTGTGTTTTCTACAAATCAAAGGTTGTGGCAACCCTGTCTTGAGCAAGTCTTATCAGTGCCATTTCTCCAAAAGCATGAGCTCTCTGTGTGTCTCTGTGTCACATTTTGGTAATTTTCGCAATAGTGCAGATTTTTTCATTATTATTATATCTGTTATGGTGATCTGTGATCAGTGATTGTTGATGTTACTATTGTAAGTGTTTTGGGGTGCCACAAACCACACCCATAGAAGACAATGGATTTAATCGATAAATGTCTGTGTTCTGACTGCCCCACCAACCAGCCATTCCCTGGTCTCTTTCCCTCTCTCCAGGCCTCTCCTTGTTCCTTGAAATGCAACAATATTGAAATTAGGCCAATTAATAACCCTGCCATGGCCTCTAAGTGTTCAAGTGAAAGAAAGAGTCACGCTTTTGTTGCTTAAAATCAAAAGCTAGAAATGATGGAGCTTAGTGAGGCAGGAATGCTGAAAGCCAGAAAGGCTAAAAGTGAGGCCTCTTGCACCAAACAGTTAGCCAAGCTGTGAGTGCGAAAGACAAATTCTTTTTTTTTTTTTTTTTTTGAGACAGACTCTCGCTCTGCCCAGGCTGGAGCGCAGTGGCGTGATCTCGGCTCACTGCAACCTCCACCTCCTGGGTTCAGGTGATTCTTGTGCCTCAACCTCCCAAGTAACTGGGATTACGGGTGCCTGCCACCACACCAGGCTAATTTTTGTATTTTTAGTAGAGAGGGGGTTTCATCAGGTTGGCCAGGCTGGTCTCGAACTCCTGACCTTAAGTGATCTGCCCACCTCAGCCTCCCAAAGTGCTGGGATTACAGGCGTGAGTCACCGCACCCGGCTGGAAAAGTTCTTGAAGGAAATGAAAAGGGCTACTCTAGTGAACACACAAATTATAATAATGTGAAAAAGACTTGTTGCTGATATGGAGAAAGTTTGAGTGGTCTGGATAGAAAATCAAACCAACCACAACATTCCCTTAAGCCAAAACCTAAACCAGAGCATGTCCCTAACTCTCTTCAATTCTAGGAAAGCTGAGAGAGACAAGGAAGCTGCAGAAAATTTGGAAGCTGCTAGCGTTGGTTGGTTCATGAGGTTTAAGGAAAGAAGACATCTCCATAACATAAAAGTGCAAGGTAAAGCAGGAAGTGCTGATGGAGAATTGGCAGCAAGTTATCCCAAGGATCTAGCTAAGATCACTGACGAAGGTGGCTACAATAATCAACAGGTTTTCGATGTAGACCAAACAGCCTTCTATTGAAAGAAGATACCATCTAGGACTTCCATAGCTAGAGAGGAGAAGTCAATGCTTGGCTTCAAAGCTTCAAAGGACAGACTGATTCTCTTGTTAGGGGCTAAGGTAGCTGGTGACTTTAAGCTGAAGCCAATGCTCGTTGACCCTTCTAAAACTCCTAGGGACCTTAACAATTAAGCAAGATGTACTCTGCCTGTGCTTGTAAATGGAACAGGCCTGGATGACAGCATATCTGTTTACAGTATGATTTATTCAATATTTTAAGCCCACTGTTGACACCTACTGCTTAAAATACTACTGCTCATTGACAATGCACCTGGTCTCCCAAGAGCTCTGATGGACAGGTAAGAGGAGAGTAATGTTTTCATGCCTGTTAACACAACATTAATTCTGCAGCCCATGGATCAAGGAGTAATTTTGACTTTCAAGTCTGTTTTTTAATTAATTAATTTTTTTTTTTTTTGAGACAGGGTTTTCTTACTCTGTCACCCAGGCTGGAATGCAGTAGCATGATTATGGCTTACTGTAGCCTCAAACTCCTGGGCTCAAGTGATCCTCCTGTCTCAGCCTCCCAAGTAGCTGGGACTACAGGTGCATGGTATTTCACCTGGCTAATTTTCGTTGTTGTTTTTGAATGGAGTCTCGCTTTGTCACCCAGGCTGGAGTATAGTGGCGTGATCTCGGCTCACTGCAACCTCCGCCTCCCGAGTTCAAGCGATTCTCCTGCCTCAGCCTCCCAAGTAGCTGGGATTACAGGTGCCCGCCACCACGCTTGGCTAATTTTTGTATTTTTAGCAGAGACAGGGTTTCATCATGTTGGCCAGGCTGGTCTTGAACTCCTGACCTCAGGTGATCCACCCACCTCAGCCTCCCAAAGTGTTGGGATTACAGATGTGAGCCACTGCACCCGGCCTCCTGGCTAATTTTTAAATTTTAATTTGTAGAGATGTCTCACTATGTTGCCCAGGCTGGTCTTGAACTCCTGGCCTCAAACAATCCTCCTCCCTTGGCCTCCCAAAGTGCTGAGATTACAGACGTGAACCACCATATCTGACCCTCAAGTTACATTATTTAAGAAATACATTTTGTAAGGCTATAGCTGCAATAGACAGTGATTCCTCTGTTGGATCTGGGCAAAGTAAACTGAAAACCTTCCATTGTAGATGCCAGTAAGAACATTTGTGACTCAGGAGAGGAGGTGAAAATATCAACATGAATAGGAATGTGGAAGAAGTGGATGCTAATTTAGAAGAAGTGGATGCTAAGAAGTGGATGGAGGAAGTGGATCCATGTGGATGATTTTGAGGGGTTTAAGACTTCAGTGGAGAAATGAACTGCAGATGTGGTGGAAGTAATAAGAGAAAACTAGAATTAGACATGAAGCCTGCAGATATGAGCGAATTGCTGCAATCTCATGATAAAACTTGAATGAATGAGTTGCTTCTTATGTATGAGTCAAGAAAGTGGTTTTTGAGATGGAAGCTACTCCTGGTGAAGATGCTGTGAATGACAACAAAGGATTTGGAGCAGGGTGTCCAGTCTTTTAGCTTTCCTGGGCCACACTGGAAGAAGAATTGCCTTGTTCTACACATAAAATACACTAACAACTAACGATATGTGATGAGAAAACAAACAAACAAAAAACGCAAAGAAAATCTCATAATATTTTAAGAAAATTTACAAATTTGTGTTGGGCCACATTCAAAGCCGTCCTGAGCTGCACGTGGCCTGCGGGTTGGACAAGCTTGATTTAGAATATTCTATAAATTGTCTGGGAGTGGTGGCTCACACCTGTAATCCCCACACTTTGGGGGGCCGGGGCAGGTGGATCACCTGAGATCAGGAGTTCAAGACCAGCCTGGCCAACATGGTGAAACCCTGCCTCTACTAAAAATACAAAAAATTAGCCAAGCGTGGTGGCGGACGCCTGTAATCCCACCTACTCTGGAGGCTGAGGCAGTAGAATTGCTTGAATCTGGGAGGTGGAGGTTGCAGTGAGCCGAGATCGTGCCACTGCACTCCAGCCTGGGCAACAAAAGTGAAACTCCATCTCAAAAAAAAAAAAAAAAAAAGAATATTCCATAAACTTAGTTGATAAAGCAGCAGCAGAGTTAGAAAGAATTGACTCTAATTTTGAAAGAAGTGCTACTGTGAATCAAACAGCATTGCATGCTACAGAGAAATCCGTCATGAAAAGAAGAGTCAATTGATGCAGCAAACTTTATTGTTGTGTTATTTTAAGAAATTGTGGCTGGGTGCAGTGGCTCACACCTGTAATCCCATCACTTTGGGAGGCCCAAGCGGGCCCAGGAACTCCTTGAGCCCAGGAGTTCGAGACCAGCCTGGGAAACATAGTGAGACTGTGTCTCTGCAAATAATAAAAACATAGGCTGGGTGTGGTGACATGCACTTGTGGTTCCAACTACTCGGAAGGCTGAGGTCGGGGCATTGCCAAGGTGATCAGGGCTGCTGCAAGCCATGATTGTGGCATTGCACTCCAGCCTGGGCAACAGAGCAAGACCCTGTCTCAAAACACAAAAAACAAAAACAAAAAAAATAAAAAGAAAGAAAGAAATTGCCATAGCCACCCTACTCTTCAGCAGTTAGTCAGCAGCCATCAACATTGAGGCAAGACCCTCTCCAGCAAAAAGACTACAAGTCGCTTGCTAAAGTCTCAGATGATTGTTAGCATTTTTTTCAGCAAATAAAGTATTTTTAAGTTATGTACTTTTTTTAGACATACTACTGTACACTTAATAGACTACAGTATAGTATAAAAGTAACTTTTTTTTTTTCAGACAGAGTTTTGCTCTTGTTGCCCAGGCTGGAGTGCAATGGCATGTATCTCGGCTCACTGCAACCTCTGCCGCCCGGGTTCCAGCGATTCTCCTGCCTCAGCCTCCCGAGTAGCTGGGATTACAGGTGCCTGCCACCATGCCTGGCTAATTTTTTGTATATTTAGTAGTGACGGGGTTTCACCATGTTGGCCAGGGTGGTCTCGAACTCCTGACCTCAGGTGATCCGCCTGACTTGGCCTCCCAAAGTGCTGGTATTACAGGTGCGAGCCACTGCACCCGGCCGTGTAAATGTAAATTTTATATGCACTGGGAAACAAAAAAATTTGTGTGATTTGCTTTATTGTGATATTAATTTTGTTGCAGTGGTCTGGAACTGAACCTGCAATACCTCTGAGGTATGCCTGTAACAGCCAAAATATAGAATGTCTTAGGGCTTCCCCACAAAAGGTTTTGGGGTTTTGGGAAAATTTGGGGAAGGCCACTGGAGTGTGTCTGGAGTGAACATAATCCCCTATGAATATTTCAGCAGAAAAAGGCGGAGGGCAACTGCCCAAAGAAAGCACAGACGTGCAGGGCAGAACGACAGTCTACATGACGCCATTTTTCATATATTTAATTAGCGAAGAACAAAACGCCCTGGAATATACTGTGTGGGTGAATTTCTGGGGAACCGACTGGCAGAGACGTGAGGCTCATCGAGTGGCCAGGGGCTCCTCCACATTGCCCAGACTCTTTTGCAGTCAGGCTGAGGCCATATGACTGGTTCTGACAGGTAGGATGTGGGTGAAAGTGATGTAAGCCACTTTGCTTAAAATTTTCCCACACATTCATCCAGGCCTCTCTCCCCTGGCTGTGGCAACAGTGGAGGCCACATGTTCCAACTGGCTTAGTTCACAATGGAAGCAGCCTGGATCCCTGGGATGCTGCTTAGAGAGCCACCCCATCTGCATCAGATGTGACGCAAGAGAAAAAACAAGCCTTTGCTGTGTTAAATACTAAGATTTGGGGGACTAATTGTTCCTACAGCATAGCCCGTCCCGTCCTAATACATAATGTTCATGGGAGTGTCCTTTCTGAAGGATGATTTGGCCAAACCATCACAAGTTTTAAATATGCATACTCTTAGCTATGGGCTGAATGTTTGTGCCCCTCTAAAATTTTTGTGTTGTAATCGAATCCCAGTGTGCTGGCATTAACAGGTAGGGCCTTTGGGAGGTGACTAGGTCACCAGTGTGGAGCCCTCATGAATGGGATTAGTGTTCTTTTTAGAGGCTGGGCATGGTGGCTCATGCCTGTAATTCCAGCACTTTGGGAGGCCGAGGCAGGTGGATCACCTGAGGGCGGGAGTTTGAGACCAGCCTGACCAATATGGACAAACCCCATCTCTAATAAAAATACAAAATTAGCTGGGCATGGAGGCGTATGCCTGTAATCTCAGCTACTCAGGAGGCTGAGGCAGGAGAATTGCTTGAACGTGGGAGGTGGAGGTTGCGGTGAGCCAAGATCACACCATTGCACTCCAGCCTGGGCAACAAGAGCAAAACTCCGTGTCAAAAAAAAAAAGAAAAATTATTAGAGCCCTAAGGGAGCTTGTCTGCTCCTTCCACCAGGTAAGGACGCCACAGGTAGGTGCCATCTTGGAAGCAGAGAGCAGCCCTCCCCAAATCAAATCTGCTGGCTCCTTGATTTTGGACTTCCCAGCCTCCAGAACCATGAGCAATAAATTTCTGCTACTTGTAAGTTTCTCAGTGTATGGTATTTGTTATAGCAGCCCCAAAGGACTGCTATAACACTCTTCGACCCAGGAATTCCACTTCTAGGAACTAATCTTGCTGATATATTTGCATGGATACAACAAGGACATATACAACAATAAATCGATTATAATTACAAAAGGCTAACCATGACATTAATGCATGTTAATAGGCAAAACCAAAACCAAAACAAAAAACAGCAACTTGTTAGCTCAATGTTAGGTACATTTATCAGTGCAATACTCTGTAATGATTAAAAAGAAAGAGGAAGTTCTGGAGGGCTGACATAAAATGCTGTTCAAGACATGAGTGATAAAAGCAAGGGCAAGAGTATGCGTGGCATGCTACCAACTGCCTACAAACTGGACTGGATCCATGCAAATGCTGGATATCTTTGGAGATGGAAAGAAGAGATTGACAAGAGTGGTTGAGGGAACTGGGGAATGGGTGGGAACTGTCACTGACTTTTAACTTCTACTTTCTTCTATTGTTTAAATTTGTTACCATGTTACTAAAATATCAATATAAGAGAAAGTTATAAAAATAATGGAAATAAAAAGCATATGGAGTTGTGTCCCAATCCATCATCCTACACACAGTTAGCGCTTAATATTTACTTGAATAACCAAGTCCATCTAAGCAGCTTTGTGATGAACCTAACCCAGAACAAGCAAGAGGGATCCTGACAAAAATGGTGACTGTATCAGGTTTCCAACTTTTTTTTTTCTTTTTGAGGACGGGTCTTGCTCCACTGCCTAGGCTGGAATACGGTGGTGTGATCATGGCTCACTGCAGCCTCAACCTCCTGGACTCAAGTGATCCTCCTGCTTCAGCCTCCCAAATAGCTGGGATCACAGGCATGTGCCACCACACCTCGCTATTTTTAAAAAAAGCTTTTTGGAGAGTCAGGGTCTTTCCCTGTTGTCCAGGCTTGTCTCGAACTCCTGGGCTCAAGCTGAGGCTGGCAAATTATTTTCTCCTTCCTTCCTTCCTTTCTTTTTCTTTCTTTCTTTCTGTCAGACAGAGCCTTGCTCTGTCGCCCAGGCTGGAATGCAGTGGCGCAATCTCAGCTCACTGCAACCTCCACCTCCTAAGTTCAAGAGATTCTCCTGCCTCAGCCTCCTGAGTAGATGGGATTACAGGTGAGTGCCAGCATGCCCGGCTAATTTTTACATTTTTGTAGAGATGGGGTTTCACCATTTTGGTCAGGCTGGTCTCGAATTCCTGACCTCAAGTGATCCACCTGCCTCGGACTCCCAAAGTGCTGGGATTACAGGTGTGAGCCACCACACCCGGCCTGGCAAATCATTTTCATCTCATGAGTAAAAGCTAATAGGTTGGTAATTGGCAGCCTGGAGCACTTTGATGAGAAGAATCCTGAGATCAGGCTTGTTTTCTGTGGGAAAGAACATGGCAGTTGAGTAGTGATGTCTGCTGTGTGTATAGATAGGGTGTATTAGGCTGTTTTTGCACTGCTATAAAGAAATACCTGAGACTGGGTAATTTATAAAGAAAAGCAGTTTAATTGGCTCTTGGTTCTGCAGGATGTACAAGAAGCATGGTGCTGGCATCTGCTTGGCTTCTGGTGAAGCCTCAGGGAGCTTTCAATCATGGCGGAAAGCAAAGCAGGAGCAGGCACTTCAAATGGCAAAAGCAGGAATGAGAGATAGAGAATGGGGAGGTGCCACACACTTTTAAATGACCTGATCTGGCAAGAACTCACTATGAGGAAGACAGCACCAAGCCATGAGGGATCCACCCCCATGACTCAAACACCTCCCACCAGGCCCCACTTCCAGCATTGGGGATTACAATTCAACATGAGATTTGGGTGCGGACAAATATCCCAACTATATCACAGGGGAAGGGCTGGCACATGTGCCATGTACTTATTACCCCTACTTTAGGAGGAGGTGGCTAAGGAAGCCTAGGAATCTTCTGGGCCCTGGAGTCCTTTTTCTTCCCTCATCCCTCATGTGCCCTATTTTTTCCCATTTTGGTCATGCTCATTATTACAAAACGCTGTGCTCATTTGTGGGGTTTGGAGCTTTTGTCAGTTTTATCAATCATCAACCTTTTGACCAGAAATGTGTGCATGTACGTATACATGCAATGGGTGCATCATACGTGCACATGCTCGGGAGAAGCCCATGGAAGCTGTGAGGGGACCATGGGCTAGCCTTCAATGGCTACACAATGGCCACAGCTTCCCATTTTGTTCTGCACCTCTGGAAAGACGGCTCCATTACAGGATTTCTGAGATAACCGGGTAGAGAAAAACTCTCCATGCATAAGTCTAGGATCCCTAATTCTTGCTCTATCCTCCTTCCTGACCTTCTAAGGAGGCTTTCTGATCCTGGAGAATGATCAAGTAAGGGACAGGACAGAGAGGAGAATTTCTTCTGCTCCCTGTTTTCTTCCAACCCTACTTCTATTTCCTCTGTCTTTTTTTTTTTTTTTTTTTGAGACAGTCTCACTCTTGTTACCCAGGGTGGAGTGCAGTGGCACAATCTTGGCTCAACGCAACCTCCGCCTCCCGGGTTCAAGCCATTCTCCTGCCTCAGCCTCCCGAGTAGTTGGGATTACAGTTAGGCACCACCACGCCCAGCTAATTTTTTTGTATTTTTAGTACAGACAGGGTTTCACCATGCGGACCAGGCTGGTCTTGAACTCCTGACCTCAAGTGATCTGCCCGCCTCAGCCTCCCAAAGTGCTGGGATTACAGATGTGAGTCACTGCGTCGGTCTCCTCTGTTTCTATACAGTGGCAACAGAATTTGAATCCTCTGGAGCTTCCTCAAACTCCCACTTAATGGTCCCATTGACAGCAGGAAGGGGTTTTATTCCTGTGATGAAAGGAGGAACTCCAGCCTCTTTTCTTCTTATTCTTTTTTTTTTTCCTGCTCCCGCCCTGACTTCAACCTCTTGTGTTCTGTCCAACATCTCTGCACTAGATCTGTAGGAGAAGCAGCGGTTAGGGAGAGAGGGGCCACAGGGGTCTTGGGCAGCAGGAGGCTTGGTCCGCATGTGTCTGCTGCTATCCTCTGACTGATCTATGGCCACAGAGGAGCCCATCTACACTCGGTCTGCCAGTGGAAACAGAGGTCAATTGTCTAACTGCTCTGAGCGTTGGACAGATGGCCCTGAACTCGGACAGACTTGGAGTGGGTCCCAGCTCTCCCACTTACTCTCTGCTGACGTTGGGTGAGGAATTTAACTTCTCTGAGCTTAGGCTGGCCCCACAGGGTTGTTGTGAGCATCAAGGAAGCTGTGTGAGCTCCGAAAATTGGGAAGATTGCACACAGGCTGGGCATTATTGCTGGTCTGAACAAATGTCAGCCAGAGCCCGTCTATGCCAATGGCACTGTTGGTTGGTATTTCTTGGGTACATCTCTCCCCATGCTGGGCTGCAGGGGAGGGACACTGGCTGATCCACTTCGGGTTTATCTTATAGAACCAGCCCCAGGCGATCTCTGCCTGCTGCAACTATTCCTATCGGTCAAGGGCCCACCTTTCCAGCATTACTTACAGGGACACTCACCTAACATGTCAGGCCTCGGGCCTGGGCACACCTGGACATGGCCATGGCCAAACGGTTTCTCAGCTAAGAGGGCAAGTCAATTTCCACCCCGGGCCAAAGCTGACAGATGGGAAGGGGCTGCCTGGAGCGCCGTATTTGAAAATACGAGTGCTGCGATTGCTCTGTGACATCTATCATGGGTGGAGGATGGCACAGCTATTGTGAATCTGCTGCGGCTGTTTTAGAGGACTGGTTTTCAACTCTGACAGCATAAGAATCATCCAGAGAAGTTTACAAATCACTGAGGCCTGGGTGCCACCTCCAGATTCAGATTGCATTGGTGTGGCCTGGGCATCAAGATTACTTAAAGCTCCTTAGGTGATTCTAACCTAGAATCAGCAAAGATGGAGAGCCACTACTTTTAGAGCACCCAACTTCACTACCCTGGCGCTCTTACAGACAGCGGGAGCTGCTGCCTGCACACACACTAGCTATCAGCAAGGCCAGAGTGGCAGCGGCCTGCTGAATCTCTTGCTAACCAGGGAGGGATGCCAGGAGAACAGGTCTGTGTCCCTTGTTTTACCTACTTAGTAAAAAAAAACAACACTGATACACATACAATAACTTGGATGAATTTCCAGGGAACTGTGCTGAGTGAAAACAGCCAATCACAAAAGGTTACACACTGCATAATTCCATTTATAGAACATTCCTGAAATGACAAAACTGTAAGAATGGAGAACAGACTAGTATTGCCAAGGGTCAAGGAAGGGGTGGGGGCAGGAGGGAAGTGAGTGTAGTTATAAAAGGGCACCACAGGGGATTCTGTATGAAGTCAACATTCTGATTGTGACATTAGGCTAGGCTTTCACAGAATGTTACCATAGGGGGAAGTGGGTAACAGATTCATGAGACCTCTCTGTACAATTTATTAAAATTGCGTGTGAATCTACTGTTATGTCAAAATGAAACTGTGTAATGAAAAGGAAAAAAAAGAAAAGAAAACTAGCTCCCACAACAGGAGGCAGGGTTTCAAGAGATCTTTGCAAGTTGGAAGTAGAGGTGGGGCAGTAAGATTGAGCAGAAATGGCCTTTCTAGGGCAGAGGAGTGAACTAGTTGGGTTCAAACTGGACCTCAACTGGAGTTTGGCTTTTTGCAGAACCATGAGAAAGTGACCTTCCTGGGATCTATTCATGTGTAGTGATAAGCGTGGGGACTTTCTGAGGGAAAGGCTAAATGAGGATGCTACTCCTCATGGCAGGGGGAGAAAAACAGGGGACAGGATCCTGGAGGGAATAGCATGATATGTGATCCCCCATCAGCTGGACAACATGGTGTGGGTTCTGGTAAGGAGGGGAGCTGGGACTAGCGGCTGCAGGCAGTGAGTCCCATGAGACCATGCAAGGCTTGGTGCCCAAGCAGTGCTGCTACAGGGCCCAAAAAGCTCTGCGCAACCTCAGCGGGTCAGGGGGTCGGCCAAGCATGGCCTTGGGGCGAAGGAGACTGGGGCAACCACGCCAGCTGCGCAGCACAGGCACTCTGGCTGGGAGGCTTGGGACATCTGGGTTATCTTTGAACGGCTCACTGGACTTTGCAAGGGGCAGAGCAAGCTTCAGGCTGCTCTATGGCAATTCTGCGGCAGGAAGGAGGAGAAGAAAGATTTGAAGAACTAAGATGGAAATTTGTAAGAGTGCAAGCTTTTGGGAAAGTACCTAAAGAATCTCTGAGTGACAAAAGCTCACATGAAACAAGTATATTCATTTGCTGAGGACTTGCTCTGGGCCAAGCATGGAACCAGGCACTAGGAACAGGAAGGAAAAGACACAGCCCCTGCCCTAGAGGAGCTGAATAGTAACAGAAGTTAACACAGTGAACAAGGAATTGTTCCAAGTACTTCATGTACATAAATGTACTTAATCTTTGGAAGAACCCTGGATAATGCTTATGGATAATAGTCACCATCCCCATCAAAGGCAAGGGGATGAGAAAACTTACCCTGAGTTAAAGGCAGAGCTGGGATCGGAACACAGGAAGCCTGGCTCCACAGTCCACAAATTCAACCACTATGCTCTGTGTCTGAGCAAGCTGATTTAGCCAGAAGGGAGCAGCTGTACAGCAGTGGACAGATCAGAGTCCTAGTCAGGAACTGATCTTTCAGGACCTGTCACCAACTTGTGGTGTGGCTTTGTGTTAAAGGTGGAGGGTGTCCAGGTTCTTGGTGTCTTGAACACAGAGTTAGACAAAACGCACAAAGCAAGGAAGGGATGAAGGGATTTACTGAGAAAGTGCGCTCCACAGCGTGGGGCGGCCCGAGCACAGGAGCTCAAAAGGCCGTCAGCCGAGCATGGTGGCTCACGCCTGTAATCTCAGCACTTTGGGAGGCTGAGGCGGGCAGATCACTTGAGGTCAGGAGTTCGAACCCAGCCTGGACAACATGATGAAACCCCGTCTCTACTAAAAATACAATAATTAGCTGGGTGCGGTGGCGCATGCCTGTAATCCCAGCTACTCGAGAGGCTGAGGCAGGAGAATTGCTTGAACCTGGGAGGCGGAGGCTGTAGTGAGCTGAGATTGCGCCACTGCGCTCCAGCCTGGGTGACAGAGTGAGACTGTGTCTCAAAACAAACAAACAAACAAAAGGCCCGTTACAGAATTTTGGGGAGTTTAAATACCCTCTAGAGGATTCCATTTGTTATTTTGGGTACGCCCTATGTAAATGGAGAGGATGAAGTAAAGTTACAAAGTCATTTACAGAGCACGAGCTATGGAGAGGGTATTTCCTGTTATAGCTGAAGTGTGATTGGCCTTACATTCCCTGCCTCTAGACCCTATTTTCCTGCCTCATCTGGAAAACTCTCTGTATTTGTTTGTATTTCATACTTTTACTCTAAAAAATATGCATGGTCTTGGGCAGGCGCAGTGGCTCACGCCTGTAATCCCAGCACTTTGGGAGGCCGAGGCAGGTGAATCACTTGAGTTCAGGAGTTCCAGACCAGCCTGAACAACATGGTGAAACCCCGTCTCTACTGAAAATACAAAAAATAGCCAGGCATCGTGGCATGTGCTTATAATCCCAGCCACCCAGGAGGCTGAGGCAAGAGAACTGTTTGAACCCGGGAGGCAGAGGTTGCAGTGAGCCAAGATTGAGCCACTGCACTCTAGCCTGGGCAACAGAACAAGACTCCTTTTCAAAAAAAAAGGCATGGTCCCAAATGCATGGTTCTAGGAGAATCTTGGAAGAAACATTTTGGAGGCACCAGGGCCACTGCTGGCTTCCTGGGAAACAGGAGCTCACTGGCCGTCCCAGATAAATGGCTGTCACTGGCTGTGGGTGACAAGGAGTAGAATGATGATTCTGGTCCCAATCCTGAGGTTCTCAATGGGAGCTGGGTTGCTGCATTATGTCAGATCTCAAAGACTGAGCAGGCCTGCGGGTCTGAGGCATCATCAAGAAATATGGCAGAGGAGACCAGACAGTGCCCTGTGGGCTCCATTCCTCCAAAATCAAGTCCAAACTCTTCCACCTGGGGACAACCTGGCCCACCCTATCTTTCCAACTGGTCTCCACCCCTCCCCTTCCTGGGGCCTCCCCCTGGCCAAACAAGCCTCACCAGCAGCACAGGACACACAGACAGAAGATGACAGAGCTGAGATTGAACCCATGTCTGTCTGACTGCCAAGAGGGGGCAGTGTGGTGAGGTGTGGTGGGCAGTGAAGAAGGGGTCGGACAACCTGGTTCTTCCAGCTCGGTAGCCCACTAGCTGGGTGAGCCCAGGTGACTGCCTGGCCCCCGTACTTCATCTGTAAAGCAGGGTTAATGACAGCCCCGTATCTGTTTCCTACTGCTGTTGTAACACATTGCCACAAACTTAGTACCTTCAAATAACACTTACTTTCTTTCCTTTTTTTTTGAGACAGGGTCATGCTCTGTTGCCCAGGCTGAGTGCAGTGGCATGATCATGGCCCACTGCAGCCTCAATCTCTCGGGTTCAAGAGATTCTCCCACCTCAGCTTCTGAATAGCCGGGGCAGATGCGTGCAACCACACTCAGCTAATTTTTTTATTTTTGTAGAGACAGGGGTTTCATCAGGTTGCCCAGGCTGGTCTCAAACTCCTGGCCTCAAGAGATCCTCCCGTTGCAGCCTCCCAAAGTGCTGTAATTATAGGCATAAGCCACCGTGCCCAGCTGGAACAACACACTGATTATCGTACAGTTCTGAATGTCAGAAGTGTGAGGTCAGTTTCACTGACTTAACATGAAGGTGCCAAAAGGCCTGGGTTCCTTCTGGAGAGTCTGCAGCCTTGCCTTTCCCAGCTTCTGGAGGCTATCTGCTTTCCATGGCTCATGCCCCCTTCCTCCATCTGCAAACCAGCAATGGCTGATAGTTTTTTTCACCATGCATTATTCTGACACTCCTCTTCTGTAGTCAAATCTTCTGCCTCCCTCTTATAAGGACACTTGTGATTATATTTAGGGCTCTCCTGGATAATCCAGGATAATCTCTCAACTCAAAATCCTTAACTTAATCCCATCTGGACAGTCCTTACCATGCAAGCTCACATATCCACAGGTGCTGGTGGCTCATACGTGGACATCTGTGGGGGCCACATTTCAGCATCCCATAAGCACCTGCTTCCTTAAATGGGGTACTCCAAGTTAAATGCTTAGCACAGCATCTGACAGACTGGAGGCCAGTGATGCTGCATCCCTGCTGGGCATGAGAATCACTCTGAGAGCTTTTAAAAAATATCAGTGCCAAGGGTTCACCCCTGAAGATTCTGAGGTGGGAGGAATCTGTGCCTGGGAATTTTTATAAGTTCCCTAGAGACTACTGGGCAGCCAGGGGCGGGGTTGACAGTAAGAAGCATTGAATTCATGTCAGCAGTTATTCTTATTCCCCACAGCTACTTAGCACCAAACCTCAGTGGCCAGGACTATTCAATAACTGACTGTTGAATTGGACAGAACGGAATCACTCCTGGGGCCTTACACTGCCCTGGGATGGGCGTTTCTCCCTGCTGCACCAGGGCCTGAAGAATGAGGTTCTGTGGGCAGACAGAGGCTCAGGCCTCTGAATCAACCTCACACCCAGAAATGGCTGCCTGGGGGGGCTGGAGTCCTTTCTCCTCCTCAAAGTCCAGTTGAGGGAGCTGACCTGGGCAGAATCTAGTCATCAACGGGCCATTGTTACTGGAACAGAAGTGCTCTGTGCCCACTGAACATTCCCCTCCCTCGCAAAGCTGCTCCCAGCTGAGGGCTGGCTTCTGGAGGGCTGCGAGGCTGGGGAGGGGCCCATGGAGGCCCCAAGGCTACAGAGGAGGAGGCTTAGGGGTGGGGGCTGACAGTCCCTGGTTGGAGAGCAGAAGCAGTTTGGGATACAGGCCAGTCTCCAAAGCTGGCAGGCTGCAAGGCCGAGGTGCTGCCGCGTGATACAATGCCAGGAAAATTTCCGGTTAAAGCTGGGAAACTGGGGACCGCCAGTGA
Source organism: Homo sapiens (assembly GCF_000001405.40). Lineage (NCBI taxonomy): Eukaryota > Metazoa > Chordata > Mammalia > Primates > Hominidae > Homo > Homo sapiens. The sequence continues at coordinate 71,981,173 of NC_000010.11, read as the reverse complement.
AACCCACCAGACCCCTACCAGAGCCAGCGGGGACAGCCTTCCCCATGGGGCAGTCACGCTTGACCTACCTTCTTCCCTTTGAAAAAACAGAAAGTTGAAACCCACATGCTAAATAGCGCCTTTCATTGCCTTTAGAAGAACAGTGTTTTCAGAAAGGCTGGGAGGGTTTTATGTTCTGCAGGTCTGGGATTTGAGAGGCAGGGAATTCAACTAGGGCTAGGCATAAATGTCCCTTTGCTTAGCAGGCCTTTTCTACATGCAACACTTTATATTAATAGTGTGAGCTGGATTTTAGGAGGGTGGTGTTAAAGATCCCAACGACAATGCCTGACCAGCATCCTCAAGTATCTCAGAGATCCACCGTTCGGATGTTAGCAATCAGCAATTCTCATCCATTCAATAAAGCAAATCCCCTGATGGTCTTTGCCAAGGGAGCATGTTGCCTTAAAAACACCCCAGGAGGGTGGGTCTCAAAGTGGGGTCCCCAGACTGGCAGTATCAGCCCCTCCTGGGAACTTGGTGGAAATGCGAATCCTCAGGTCCCACTCCAGAACTAATGACTCAGAACCTCAGGAGAGGGGAGCAGATTGTTTTAGCACACTCTGCAGTTGAGTCTGATGCACACGAACGTTTGAAAATCGCTGGTCAACAGTGACATTTCTCAAACTGCAGGCTGTGCCAACAATTTGGTAGGTTAAGATAAGCTTTTTTTTTCTTTTTTAAACACAACAGCATTGTGTAGATTAGAAAATATCAGAATGCCTCTGTATCATAATGATAAGCATGAGTTGATAAGCATGAGTTTCTTTTTTCACTTTGTTGCCCGGGTTGGAGTACAACGCTGCAAACACTGCAGCCTTGATCCCCTGGGCTCAAGTGATCTTCCTACCTCGGCCTCCCAAAGTGTTTGGAATTACAGACATGAGCCACTGTGCCCAGCTAAAATATGGGTTTCATAAGGCTTTTGTTTCAGTTATGTGTGGGTGTCTGTGTCTGAGGTTTTAGTCTAAAAGTTGGAAAGCCACTGTTCTAGAGCTGGAATATGCTCACTGAGACTGGCTCCTTTTCTGTAATTTGTCTGAATGGGGAGGTTTTGAAGGCCATGGCCTGAAAGTTCCCCATTCCCTCTTTCCCCATCCGATACAGTCATGTAGGCAGCGGACAGAAGGGAAGGACTGTTTCAGGTGAGACAATCTTTCCAACTCTGGCCTGAAGGTAAATTTAAACTGTGCATTTTCCCTGTGCTTATAAAACTTTCTGGCCCTCCAGCCCCCATGCTCCCACTCCCACCCACCGGGTAGGCCTACTGAGGTGTCTATACGCATACGGACCAAATAACTAAACAGTTCCATCTGGGTGGTGGGAGTGGTGGTGATTTGCTGCATTCTTCTCTGTATTTACCCATTGTACTTGAATTTTACATACTAAGCATCTAGCATTATCACAAAAATAATATTCTGACTACCTTAGATAGAGAAAAAAAATAAAAACAATAAAGTCACTTCCTAAAAAGAATTCAAAGCTGAGAGTCCATCTCTGGGTGGAAATGCAGAAAAGGGAAGGCGGTACCGGAAGGGAGGGTGGCAACCATGAGCCTAGGGCTGGTGATGCCCAAAGCACCACCCCTCCCCCATCTGTGCCTGGCCAAATTCCACCCATCCCTTAAGGCCGAGCCCAAACCCTACACATCCCCAGAGCCTCCCTCCGACTTCCCCCACAGCCATAACCAATCCCCCAGGGGACTAGTCTAACCCCTCTCCTGCCATCTAACCCCTCTCCCGCCATCTAACCCCCCTCCCGAGACTCCGTCTAAAAAAACAAAAAAGAAAGCCCTTTTACACCTCCAATTCTCACAAGAGCCTGGCAGGCAACCTGGGTCCTCACCTCCACCCTCTCCTTCATTATCCAGATGAGAAACAGAGGTCCAGACACGCTGAGCGACCCGCCCAAGGCCACCGGCTGGAGGTTTGAGGCCAGGATGTGAAGGGAGGGCCTCCTACCACACGTTCCTCTCCCAGCACCATTCCTCTCTCTACCTTGCACCATTCATATCACTTTTCACCTTGTATTAGAGGTAACACGTGTGCGCTATCGCTGTATGGCACTGAATAAATATGTAAGGAAAGAAGGAAGAAAGGAAGGAAGGATGCAGGGAGGAGGGAAGGAAAGGGAAGGAACCTGTCCCAGGGCCAAGGAGAAACCTGGTATGTTATTGAACTTCCCCCTTGGCACTGGACTCCCCAAGGTCAGACATGGGGAGGCATCCTGGGGAGGGGTCCAGACATCGTCTATCTGTGCCTCAAACACTCCTGCTCTTGGCCCACAGAGCTGTGCTGAGCAGGGGCCCCTCGGAGGCCATTTCCAAAGGCTCAACAGAGAAGAGGCAGGGCGCCTCCCCTCTGGGTACAAGAGGAGCCCTGCATTCCCTAGAGGCCGGTTCTTCACTGCCCTTTAGACATGGGCTGCTTACCAGGCAGGCTCCTGTGCCTTGGGCTTATCTGCAAAAAGAGTATAAGGACAGCACCTACCACATGGGAGCGCTGTGAGGACTAAATGATCGATGTGTGCGCTTCTAGAACAATGCCTTGCACATAGTAAAGGGTAAAGAAGGTTAACTATGATTACTACTCTTGTTATTAAATGAGCTCTGGGGAATGAGAGGTTGCCCTGCAGAGGAAGGGAGCGGATTGTTGAGTTCATGATATTGTCCGGGGAAGCCTGGCAGCACGGGGTTAGGAATCTGGTGACTGGGGCCCAGCATGTTGGAGATCCAAGCCCAGCTGAGCCACTTTGTTTTTTTTTTTTTTTAAGACGGAGGCTCGGTCTATCGCCTAGGCTGGAGTGCAATGGTGTGATCTCGGCTCACCGCAACCTCCGTCTCCCTGGTTCAAGAGATTCTCCTGCCTCAGCCTCCCGAGTAGCTGGATTACAGCCGCCTGCCACCACGTCCAGCTAATTAGAGATGGGGTATCACCTTGTTGGTCAGGCTGGTCTCAAACTCCTGACCTCAAGTGATCCACCCACCTTGGCCTCCCAAAGTGTTGGGATTACAGGCATAAGCCAGTGAGTCCAGCCCTGAGCCACTTTGTACAGTGTGACCGGGCAAGTGACTGGCTTCTCCAGAAGTCAGCATAGAGGCATAGGAAGGCGTAGGAAGAAGCACAGAGGCAGGTTCAATATGAGGAGGTGGTGGTGCTGTTACTATTGCTGAATGCTTCATGGACTTCACTTCTCAGCCAGTGGCTCAGATCCAGCTGGTGGGAGACCTTCTTTAAAAAAATAAAAAAATCAGCCTGGCCAACATGATGAAACCCTGTCTCTACTAAAAACACAAAAATTAACTGGGTGTGGTGGTGCACACCTGTAATCCCAGCTACTCAGGAGGCTGAGGCAGGAGAATCACTTGAATCTGGGAGGCAGAGGTTGTGGTGAGCTGAGATCACGCCACTGCACTCAAACCTGGGCAACTGAGCAAGACCCTGTCTTCAAACAAACAAACAAACAAACAATCAAGCTCCAGCCTGGGCAACATAGAAAGACCCCTTCTCTAAAAAAAAATTTAAAAATTAGGTGGAGCACACCTGTAGTCCCACCTACTTGGGAGGCTGAGGTGGGAGGATCACTTGAGGTTGGGAGGTCAAGGCTGCAGTGAGCTATGGCTGTACCAATGCACTCCAGCCTGGGTGACAGAGTGAGACCCTGTCTCAAAAAAAAAAAAAAAAAAATCGAGCTTAGGGGACTCCGAATATACAGTCTGGCTAAGAGGCAGCATAGTTTGGTCAGATCACCCTTGCCATGCCCTGACCCCACAGCCCCAGCTGTGGCTACTGCCCTGCAAGACAAGAGGGGACAATGTTGAAGGGGCAGCTGGGAGGCCAGGGTTAGCCCAGAGCCTGAGACTGCTAGGCTTGGAAGCTGAGCGGGCAGGCTGGGGCTGGCCCCATTCATGCTGTGTGGGTGACTGCTCAGGTCTGGGGGCTGGGACTGTGGGCAGCAACACTTTTTGGGAAGGGACAGCCTTAGCAATGATCGTTATCATAATAACAGTCCTCGGGAAGAGCTGGACGCTGCAGGGGGCCCGATGCTATTTCCAGGTTATTTTTCAGGTTGTGCCTCGGTCAACCTAATTGTGAAACAGGGAAGGGTTTTGTTTTAAAGCTGGACAATTTAAACACAGCTTACACACACACACAAAACTAACAATGCTGAGTGTCTGAGTCCGGCATGGGAAAGAGACCACACATAGACTGTTTTGTGCCTTTTCAACTTTGCACCATGGACATGTATTATTGATTTTATACAATTTAATAAAACTAAAACCAAAATAAAAGTAGGTTCCAGTTTTCTATCCGTAGAGGCAAAGTTCTTTTGAGGGTAGCCTCTTGTTTGAGAAAAGTCATTTTAACAAGTCTTTGAATTTAAGCAGAGACAAAGGACAAATCCTATCACAGAAAGGAAAATTTGAGGGCAACTGGAAGAAAAATGGCCCCTCCAGTCTGAATTCAAGGCCTGCCTTCTCTGCAAGAGCAAAGACAGCTCCCCAGAAATTATTACAGCAACCATTGGGCCTGAGCCTGAGGAGGGGTAGTTACTGGTTTGAGTTCTCTCTCTCCTGGAGGGGAGGAATGGCCACCCCTGAAGCCTGATGAGACTGGGGCTGGGGAGGGCAGACTGTGAACTTATCAGCATTCCTGGGGGCTTCCCAGAAATCCTTGGGGTAGGGGCCAGAGTTGTACAAACTACACAGAACTGAGGCTTGGGGTACACTGATACACGCGTTAAAAGGCATGGGGGACCCCTGAAGACAGCAGGCCCGCAGACCCGTGTCCCCACAGCACCTGCCCACTGAGAGCAATGGCAATGTGCTGCATGCTGGGTAATGAGTCACCGCAGTGAGGCCCTTCCAGGGACAAGTACTGCCAGGACCAGGGTGGTGTTGGCATCTGGGTGGAGAAGGAACATTTTCCAAAGCCTGGAAAGGGCCTCTATGGCTTCAAAAGTGCTCCAAGAGCTTTTCTCCTACCCTAGAGGGTCATTTTCCCGAACCACAAAGAGCCAGTGACTGCAGAATGAATCAGAAGTGCAAGCCCCGAACAGAGAATCGAACAGGGCTGTGCTACCCAGTGTCAGAGGGCAAGCTGGCTCCTCCCTCCTCCAGGAAGAAACTGGCCATCTGCCTGCAGAAAGAAGACTTGAGTCTCGGTTCTACCGCGGGAGCTCAGGCCAAGGGAGCTCAGACAGCCAGAAAACTTCTCTAGGCCTCAGTGTCCTCACCTGGAAAGCAAGGATAATCACGCTTCCCTTGTGAAGGTGAGAGGATGTCATTCTGCACAGGGCACGGCCACTGGCCCCTCCACTCCAGCTGGCCTGACTGAGGGCGGCACCGGGAGAGAGCTGTGAGTTGCAGCAGCAGCTGCAAAGGCTGGCATCTGCGCCCACAGACAGGCCAAGGAAGCTGGCACTGGGCCCCTGGCTTGATTCATAGTCCGTTTCTAGGTGTGGCCACCAATGCCAGGACAGGCGCCCCCTGAGCCCCCGTGCTCCTTCCAGAGAAGAGAGTCAACAGACATTTAAAGAAACTTCTCACCCCAAACAGCCGCATGGGTGGGATTTGCACAGCCAGTGAAGCTGGATGTTCTCCTAAATGGATCTACAGACTTCAAGCCACTCTGGGGAGTGACCTACACTTTGAGATGAAAACTCCCTGTACTTCCTGTCTGCACTATACAATTTATCGGGCAAATGTTGGATATGTTCCACCTTCTGTGGTTCTCTGGTGGCTTTATTTGTGGCCGGATGGCAGAGTGGCTAAGAGCACATCTGGAGTTGGACAGTTATGGGTGTGAATCCTGGCTGTGTGGCCTTGGACAAGTTGCCTAACCTCTCTGGGCCTCGGGGATGGCATCTGTAAAATAAGACTACCTCGCGCAATCAGATGGACGAAAATAAAGCACTCAGTTCAAAGATGCTTAGTACAGAAAGAACTCTCAGACACTCAACTGTATTCTGCAGGAAGGCAGGGCCTGCCCGTCAGTCTGAATCTCCTCTAGGTCATGGCATAGTGCTGGTCACATAGCTCTACCAGGCTTTACTTTTTAAAAGTGATCCCACCCAAACAGCAGGCACCATTCTCAAGGAAAAGCAACTCTAAAAGCTCGACACAGGCTTCTGAGCTGTCCCCTCCCCACCCAGAATTCCAATCAAGGGCTTGGCATGGAAGCCCTTCTGGAAGCTCTTCATGCCCATCACCACTTCCAGAAGCTTCTGCCTCAGCAGTGTGTATGAGTAGGGCTGGGGCAGGGGACCCAGGCAGGGAAGGGAGTGGTGGGAAGGTGGGAGACAGTGGCTGGGGAGGAGAACCCAGTGCAGGAAGCTGGAGTGCTGACCTGGCCCTGCTACATGGGGTGTGCGGGTCCCCTTGCAGGACTTGGGGCACTGAGGTCATCAGGAGAACCATAGAGGGCAGACAGCAGGTGGGCGGCAGACAGTGAGACTCAGTGATGTCATGTTTTCCCCAAATGACTCAATGGTTTGCCCTGGGCTATGAATGGTGAGCTGTATGCTGTAGCCTCCAGTCCTCCCTACCCTCCAGGCCCGCCTGGCATCTCTCCCCGTCTCCACCCTGCCCCAGGGACCCACAGTTGCCACATTCCTGCTCTGCTCCTGGCTGCGGCCCCAGCCCAGGGCTCATCCCTGTGATGCCCCTGCCATGTCTCTCCAATCTTCACTTTGAGGGAAGACTCAAGCGACAGCAGACCTGGGTGTTATTACTGGCTCTGACTCTCCCTGACTGAGTGACTTTAGGCAGGTTACTCAACCTCTCTGAGCCTCAGTTTCCTCATCTGTGAAATGGAGACATTGCTAACAACCTTGCCGGGTTGTAGGGGGCTTGGTGAGAATGACTGTGAAGAATCTGGCACATGGCAGGTGCTTAGTGAATGGAAAGAATGACATTCAAGGGCCTCTATGATCTGACCTCAATTTCCTTTTCTAGCTGCATTAAAACATATACCTATATAATAATAGCTCACCCTTCCTGATGCTCAGTGTGCCAGGCACTGCTCTCAACACTTGTATAGAAATACATTTTATTCCCATGTCTTCCCCATGTGGGGGGTACCAGTAGTGAGAAAACTGAGCTCAGAGAAGGTAAGCAACTTGGCCACGGCCACACAGCCAGTAAGTGGGGAGTTGGGGTTCCCGTGAAGGCAGCCCGGCTCTAGAGCCTGTGTGCGTAACCACAACTCCATCCTGCCTGTCTCTCCTCGTGTATCCTATACATTTCAGTTCAGTCCAGCCAGACTCCTCACCAGTCCCTGTCTTCAATCGGAACTTTCCCATCCTCGTGCCTTTGCCCAGCTTCCCTCATGCACTGGAATGCCTGCCTCCTCTAGGAAGGCTTCCCCAAGTCTTCCCTCATGTCCACCTCTGTGGGCTCATCACAGTGGGACTCAAAGGTGGTTACTGGGGCACCCAGCTCTCCTCTCTTCCAGCTTGAAAGTCCCTCCTGTTATCCCACCATCTTGCAGTGTCAGCATGAGCATAGGCGCGCAGGACCTGGACAGGTGATGCCCAAGAACCCAGCACTCTGTGCCCCACTACTTTTGCAAGGACAGACAGCTTGAGGGCTGGAGGTGGGGCCACAGAACAGTTCTACCCACCCCTGGGGAGGCAGCCGGCCAGTAGGGCTTCCTTCTCTCTGCTCAGGGAAACGACTCAGCCACGGCAGGCCTCGTTACTTGCAGATGGGAACTGGACCCTGGGGCTGTTGAATGGCTCTCCACTTGCTGGTGGGGTTGAGCAGTGGGCCCAGAGTGCAGCCAGCCACCAGCCCAAAAACGGGCATCCAGGGCAGGCAGGCAGACAAGTGGCAGGACTGGAGGGGCTTCTGGAAGGGTTTCAGGCTCATCCTCAGTATCCCAGCCCAATACCCATGGGGTAATGACCTCAAGAGGCCATGTGCCGGGGTCCCACTCTTCCTGTCTGTCCCTTCCTTGGCCCACGTTAGCCACCCCTCCCGCTCACCACGACTCCTGCCACCCTCCCCAGACTCGAAGCGCTCCCTCACAGAAGCATCCTGGACTGGGCCTGCCCCACTGAGGGCTCTGTGCCACATCAGTCACTCATTCCTTCCATAATCAGGTAGCAGCATTCACTGCTAAGTCGGGGGCTACAAGGATGGACAAGGCAGACAGCTGTCCTGCCCTTGCACATCCCATTGCCTGGTGCAGACCACAGATCACTGAACCAGCAATCATAATACCACAGGCAAAGGGCAGTGAGGGGGACCTGTGGGCAGCCATGGGGAGGGCCACCACCCAGGCTTCCAGGAGAAGGTGGCATCCAAGCCAAGGGGAAAAGGGGGAAGGAGGGAATGTTCTTGGCAGCTGGGAAGGCTACAGAGAGCAGGGTGTGTGTGTCTGGGAAATTAGGACAATTTGGAACATGGGATACCGAGTCCAGGTGAGGCTGGGGAAGAAATATTTGCTGAAAGGTCACAGGGCCAGACATCACTCGGGGTGGGGTTCCTGTCTTGCTGGAATGGCCACTAGGGAGGCAGAAGTCCCTGGATCTGCCAGCTCCCCCTTGCTAACTGAGACCACACTCGCTGCCATCTGCACCCTTCCTGTGACCAGGTCAGGGCACAGGGGAGTGGCATCAGCAGAGCGGGCAAAAGACCCTGAGGCAGGATCCAAAATGCCCTGCCCAGGGCAGCCGGCAGGTACTGGAGTCAGACCTGGAGAAGGCCGAGGCTCACTGGTAGTGCCCACAATAGGCCATGCAACGCCAACATTGCCAGAGCTTCCCAGTCAGAACGCAATGACATGCACTGGCCACGGTTTGAAAATGAATGCCTGTGTGCTGTTTCTCCTCTCGGTGCAGCCACAACGGGACAGACGCACGCACAGGTGGTACTGAGAGCACAGACTCTGGAGTCAGCTGTGGGGCTCAGGCCCGGCTTTGCCCCTCACCGGCTGTGGCATGTCAGCAACTTATCCAGCTGTCTGCCTCTGTCTTCCCATCTGTAAAATGGTGGGAATAACCGGAGCCACCTCTAGAGCTTCTGGTGAGAACTCGGTGAGGACGCCTTGTAGGTGCTCAGGGCAGTATTAGGCACACCAGCTGCTCTTACTATTATTGTTTCCTGGGCACGCTACCCCCAGGCACCTACACCAGATGCAAGAGAAGGAAGAAAAGTGAAAGAGAAATAGCATGTCTCGGTAAAAAGAAAGCAAGTGGGTGACCTGCGAGGTCACAGTCAGTTCTTCATCCTCTGGTGGGTGACACTGCTTCGTGACTGGCAGGTTCTAGATTTCTATTCTCGGGGCCTCTTCAGACACATCAAACCTGCAGGACAGGCCCTCAGCTTCTCTCCGTGTCTCTAACAAGCCCCTGGAAGTCTCCAGAGGAAAGCCAGGCACCTGCGGCCCTGCCCTGTGGCTGGAGTGAAATTCCTTGCTGAAAATCAGTGTAGTCACAGTGCGGGGACGGGGGTGGCCCAGTGTGTTTTCAAAATATTTCCTCAGATAGCACTGTTTGGCTCAGACACATTAGCACTTTCCAGAATCTTGCAGATGGCGAGGCAGCTGGAGAGGAAGGGAGGAGAGGAGGGGGAAGCGGGAAAGGGTAGGGGAGATGCCCAGGGCTAAATCTCAGGTAGCTGTGTGGGCTGGGGCTGGCACAGGCACAGGCGGGCATCGGCGCAGCATGTGTGAACAGGAACAGCACACACATGACAGAAAGCTGATCAACCTGCAGACTGGTCTGCAGACGGCTAAGCTGTGAAGCCGTCTTATGAACCAGAACTTTTTTCAGAAGCCCAATATGTAGAATACGAACATGTGGACGTGCGGAGCGCAGGACTCACCCCACAACCACCCTCTCCAGAAGCCTGGCAGCAGCAGAACAAAGCAGGAACCAGAACCTTCCAGCAGTGCCCCACTCCCCAAATCCCAGAGGCTTCAGGGCTCGCTGACTCAGCTCAGCACAGCCACAGAGAACGAGAAGGGCCCTCAGCCACTCCCTGGATGCAAGGTGAGGACCCTCCGCTGCCAAGCCCTGGCTCTCCCCCTTCTAACCGGGTGCCTGGTTTTAAAGTTGGTCACTAAGTAAATTGAAGTTATTAAGAGATGGAAAATGTGCTTCCTATCCCACAGACTTAGTCACTCAGAATAGTGCTTGAGTTTCTGGAAATCATTGGTGTGACCTTACACCACCACCCCTGAGCTGATAGGACTCCAGCCCAAAGCAAAGAAACCTGACATTTTTGTCCAGGTAGCCTACAAAGTAAATGAATCTATGAGGGTTTGCTCACAGGTAGGCCCCGTCTTGGAGAGACATAACGGGAAAATTAGCTTTGGTCTATCCACCCTAAAGCAATGTTTAAGAAGCAAAGCTTCTCAGATGCCACAAAATGGAGAAAAGTCTCATCATTCTGCACCATCAAAGTTAAACTCACCAACCAACCAAGACGTCACCGTCTGCCTGCTGGGGAGGGTCCAGGCTTGGGACTGACTCAGAGGGAGCAGGGCTGAGCTGGGACCCCCGGCCGTCTTCTCTCCCATATACATGTTCCTCCTGTGCCCAGCCACCAGCGTCCCTGCAGCACAAGGACTGGCCAGCGGAGGGTGTGTTCCCTGACTTTTGAGGCTCTTAAAGTTAAGGAGGAGGGACTGGGCGGGGAGGGGGCAGGTGTAACCACAGAGGCCAAATAAGAACATCCCGGGCTGGCCTCCGAGGTGGTTGTTTACTTGCGGCATTCAGGAGAGGCTGAACTGGGAACTGGCTTGTTTATTTTCCACACTTTTTCTCCAAATCCTTTTCATAGAGTCCTCTGAAACCTCAGTGATAAATTTCCTAGGGCCCAGGGAAGCCACAGTCCCTCAGCACACAGCCATCTTTGTGAGGAGGTGGTGGGGGGTGAGGGGGATCAAGAGGACGGAGGGCAGCTGGAGACAAGAAGTCACTGGTGGTCAGGGGCTCCCGGGGCCCACCCTGCCCTCCAAGCTGGTGGCGGCCCAGCAGCCACAGGCCAGATTTGGGGCAATAGAGACAGAGGGCTGAAGCGTGTCCACCGGCAAGCACAGAACAAACCGTCCAGGCCTGCCAGGGGCCACCCCACACCCCGCTGTGGAGTCCACGCGCTCAGGGTAGGACCAGCAGCATTCTGTCATCTCTTTAGGCCTTAGAGAAGAAAAGGTGGCAAATATCATTTCTGTTTAACGAATGAAAAGGAGAAGTGTCTCCTCTCCTGAGGCATAACCTCACGAAAGCCAGAGACTCTCTGAGTGTTCCTTCGCAGCAAAGACCCTCTCTGTGCCGCCACTCTAGGAGTTCCCAGCAGAAGCATTCACGGCCCCTCCTGGGGCTTCACCCAGCATCTGACTACATTTCCAAGAACTTCCCATGCCTCAGGCACTGGGATGGAACCAGGGGTACAAAGATGGACAGCCCCGGCCCCTGCAGTGGGGTGGCTTCTCCCCACACCCAGTCCCCCAACTTCCGTCCTGGTCACTGTGTCCCCTCTGCAGTGGAGGGGGAGAGGGCTCCAGTTTCTTTGCAGCTCAGCACTAGGAAGGCTCTAAGAACTCACCCAGGTGGGCTTCCTGTGGAAGGTGGGCAGGGATCAGCTGGGCAGTGCTCATCCAATGCTCTTTGCGTCCTTTGAAGGGCGCCAGCCTTTCCCGTTCTATGGACATCTGTACTGGGGGCTCTCAGGGCAGAGATGAGGGTGGGTGGAGCAGTGAGGACCCTGCCCCAGCAGGGATAACCACTCTCAGCCCTTGGGGCCGGGGATAGAAAATACCACCCCGACTGAAAACGTGGCTGTCCCAGGCCTTTGCAGATGCCTGGCTTCGTGACCTTGGGCATCCACTGCACCTCTCTGAGCCTCATGTCCTCATCTGTAAAGTGGGGCCAACAGATAATTGCTGTCTCCCTGTGGGGCGTGGATGTAAAAGCAAGAGCTGGGGACCAGATGAGCGTGTGGTTATCACCTCCCCTGGCTGCTCCGGCTCTGCCCCATTCTTCTCTCCTGTGGACCAGGTGCTGCTGAGGAGTCCAGCTCTCCAGAACACGTGGCAGGGGTGGGAAGGACAGCTGTGACATGGCCCCTTATGTTCACCAGGTAAATGACAATAGGAGGTGTCAGGTGAAGGCTGATTTCCCCAGGTAATAGATTACCCTGGAGAGGACCAAAAAGGGGAAAAAAATACAGTAACCCATTTGAGGATGTTTGGTCTACCTGGCAATTTCTTCCCTATTCACGGTATGGTCACAAGAGGCAGCTTTGTCCCAACTTCTCAGATAAGCAGTGAGTCATGTCTCACTGGAATTACTGCAACATCTCCCTGTGTGCCCCCCCAAAATCTCCACAGTTTTCTGACTCCAGAGCCACACAGAAGGCTCCAGCAGCCTGGTACCACCCAGCCTTTGATTCCCACAGCCTAAGGTATATCCAGGCTCGGCAGAGTGTATGGAAAAAGAAGAATGCAAGCAGAGGCCCTGGGACCACGTTAGTAAGAAGCATCAGGGCTGTTTCCCTGTTGCCATGGAGAACCAATAAGGGCCTTGCAGACAGCCTGGCATGGTGGAGACAGGGTGGGTTCTGGAGTTAGACAATCTGGGTTCAAATACTGGCTTTGCAATTGCAGCAAAAACAAAAATTGACAAATGGGACCTAATTAAACTAAAGAGCCTCTGCACAGCAAAAGAAACTATCAACAGAGTAAACAGACAACCTACAGAACAGGAGAAAATATTTGCAAACTATGCATCCGACAAAAGTCTAATATCCAGAATCTATAAGGAACTTGAACAAGTTAACAAGCAAAAAACAACCCCATTAAAAAGTGGGCAAAGGACACAAACAGATACTTTTCAAAAGAAGACATACATGTGTCCAACAAACATATGAAAAAACGGTCAACATCACTAATCATTAGAAAAATGCAAATCAAAACCACAATGAGATACCATCTCATACCAGTCAGAATAGCTATTATTAAAAAGTCAAACATTAACAGATGCTGGCCAGGTTGTGGAGAAAAGGGAGTGCTGGCCAAGCGAGGCGGCTCATGCCTGTAATCCCAGCATTTTGCGGGGCTGAGGTGAGCAGATCACGAGGTCAGGAGATCGAGACCATTCTGGCCAACATGGTGAAACCTCGTCTCTACTAAAATACAAAAAAAAAAAAAAATTAGCCACGCATGGTGGTGCACGCCTATCAGGGGGCTGAGGCAGGGGAATTGCTTGAACCTGGGAGGTGGAAGTTGCAGTGAGCCAAGATCGCACCACTGTACTCCAGCCTGGTGACAGAGCAAGACTCCATCCCACCACTCCCACCAAAAACAAAAAACAAAAAACAGAGTGCTTATACACTGCTGATGGGTATGTAAATTAGTTCAGCCATTGTGGAAAGCAGTTTGGAGAGTTCTCAAAGAACTCAAAGTAGGATTACCATTCTACCAAGCAATCCCATTATTGGGTACATACCCAAAATAATATAAATTGTTCTACCATAAAGATACATGCACACGTATGTTTATCATAGCACTAGTCACAATAGCAAAAACATGAAATCAACCTAAATGCCCATCAACGGTAGACCAGATAAAGAAATGTGGTACATATATACCATGAAATACTATGTAGCCATAAAAGAGAATGAGATCATGTCCTTTGCAGCAACATGGATGGAGTTAGCGGCTATTATCCTAAGCAAACTAACACAGGAACAGAAAATCAAGTGCCCCATGCTCTCACTTAGAAGTGGGAGCTAAACATTGGGTACATCTGAACGCAAAGAAGGGAACAACAGACACCAGGACCTACTTGAGGGTGGAGACAGTGGGGAGGGTGAGGATCAAAAACCACCCATCTCGGGCCTGTGCAGTGTGTCAGACCTGTAATCCCAGCACTTTGGGAGGTGGAGGCAGGCAGATCGCTAGAGCTCCAGAGTTTGAGACCAGCCTGGGCAACATGGTAAAACCCTGTCTCTACAAAAAATACAAAAAAATTAGTCAGGCATGGTGGTGCCAGCTACTCGGGAGGCTGGGGCAGGAGGATCACCTGAGTCCAGGAGGTCGAGGCTATGGTGAGTGGCAGTGATCGTGCCACTGCACTCCTGCCTGAGCAATAGAGACCCTGTCTCAAACAAACCCAACAACTACCTATTGGGTACTATGCTTACTACCTGGATGATGAAATAATCTGTACACCAAACCCCCATGGCATACAATTTACCTATGTAACAAACCTGTATACGTACCTCTGAACCTAACATAAAGTTTAAAAAAACCAAATACACAAACACTGGCTTTGTCTCTCACTACCTGTGTGACATTGAAAAAGTTACTTAACTTTTCTGGTCCTCAGTTTCCTAATCTGCAAAATGGAGATGAAATGCTAACCTCATAGGGATATAATGATTTAATTAGAAAATGTATACAGAACTCTCGATTCACAGAGGGCATAATGAAGGTGGAAAGGTGATATAGGGAAGGAACTGGCTGCAGGGTTCCACCTGAAATTGGGGGTGCCCAAGCCCAGATCACCTCCTCTTTCATCTGAGGCCAGTCCTTGGTGCCGCCCACATGCCTTGCTAATTTCAGCATTTAGAAGTTTGAAATGCACACTGAACCTAGTCAGAGCTCTTCACAAGGGGGCAGGGGTGGGGAATGACACATTTCTTTTGGATGACATGCCCAGGCCACCCCCACATCTTTGTGCACTCTCAATCCCAAGACTACTGGCAATCCAGTTCCAGGAACACGAATGTTTCTGCTCCTCTGGGAAACTCATGCAAGCTGGCACAGGAGAACCCACAGCAATACTCAGTACAGGGACTGTGACCACTGCTCTACCTGCTGCCACCACAGAGCCAAGCCACTGCTGCAGAACACAGCTCCTAGACCCTTCATGAGACCCATCTCCAGCCAGGCCATCAGGAGCCAGGAAGAAAAACGGCTGCCCCCAAATTCTACATGTTCCCATGTTCCTCCTACCCCCAGCACATGCCCAGCAGCACGGCCCATCTCTTTCTCCACTTACCCACCCCTCTTCTCCAGCAGCCAGGAGATGGGAGGGTTGATGGAACCAACCCCTCTCTCTGCTGCAGATCTAAAGTTATTCTTCAATTGAGACCCCACAGAATCTGCCAAACAGCCTGCCATCTACCAAAACCCACATCAACCCCATCTTAGCCAGATACAGAAATGAAGCTTTTCCTGCTGCCCTCTTAGAGGGGCAGAGGCCAATGATGAGCTCCAGTCTCCCAAGGCCAGCCCACGGGACACAGTGGAACACACAGTGCCTGGGCCACTGGCCCAAGCAGATCAGGCAGGGCTCCTAGGAGCTACTCAGGCCCCCTTCTCTGCTGGAAAATCAATTTCAACCCAGCAGAGGCCCACTGGCCTTGCCGCACAGTGAGTCCATAATGAATGATAATTACCGGTGTCATTATTCATCAAGCAAGTACTGACTGAGTGCCCACTGTGCCAGGCACTATGCTAGGCCCAGGACAATCCCCCGTACATCCTGGGGCCCAGCAACACCACGCATCAGAAACCAAACACAACTTCAGGTGCAAGGAAAATAATGAAGGCGTCAGGCCTGCCTTGGTTTCTCCCTAACCTTTTAGGCTTAAATCCCCCCACCTCCCCTTACCCCGTCCACACCCAGGACTGGAATCTGCTCACCCGGTTCCCTTGGAAGTCCCTGGAGGAAGCACATCCGCTGGGGGGAAGGGTCCCTGCTTCCCTGGAAGACTGTCACGGCCACTACCCTTCTGTCTAGCGCAGCAACGGCCTGCCAGCCTCTTCCACGCTGCTCACAGACCCTGGCACGCCGGCTCTGAGTTTATGAATCACTCCCTCCTCTCTCCGGGCCTCGCCTCCGGAAGGGCTTCGCACACTCACACATCACCCAGACACCGAGTTTCCACACCAAATTCGCTCCTGCAGAACTCCGAGAACCGACTGCAACATCTGCTCCCCTTGGTCTCGGGGTTCTGGCCACAAGTTTTCAAAACCCAGGCAGCCTCTCTCCTGCCCGCTGCGCTTTGGGGGCTCCCTCTCCTTGGGGGCTGCGGGGGCAGCAGACAAAGGCCGTGGATGTGACGGAGGGGTGTGAGGACGTGCCTGCTGTAGAGGCCAAATCCCCCGCGCTCCCAGGAATGTGCATTTCGGTGTGTGGCATGTGCCTGGCCGGTGTGGGTGTGCGCAGATCAGCCTGCGCCGTGTGCGGGGTATGAGTGGCGATGAGCTGTGTGTACCTGGCAGGTGTGATCCGGTTGCAGCGGGTTGTGGGTGCCTGCCTGGGCTTTTCCCCGAGCTGGGAACTCCACCTCCCACCGTCCGCTTCGCCCCCTTCTCCCTCCAAAGTCTGGCGCGCGCGCCTGGACGCGGAAGGCGGGGGCTCCCGGCTGGGCGGCCTCCCCCGGGCTGGGCGGCGGTTCCAGGACGCCGGCGCCCCACTTACCCCGGCCGCCGAGACTCCACCGGCGGCCCCGACCCTCCGCGGCTGGGGTCCGGCGCGGGCAGCATCCGCTCGCAACTTCGCTTTCCTCCTGGAAGATCCCGGCAGAAGCGGTTCCGCGGCCCCGGCGCCCGCGCGGCCCGAGCTGTGCGTCTTCTCCGGGGCGGGCCGGAGGGATGGAGGCGCTGCGGGGCCGGTCGGCACGCTGGAAGGGAAGCGGCGCCAGGCGGGCGCCGTCCTGCGCAGCGAGCCTGCGAGAGGTCCTGCCTGGCGCCCTCCCCGCTCAGGCCCGAGCCGGCTAGCGGCGGCGGATTCCTGAACCGCGTCCAAGGCGTCCGGGAGCCCTTCTCCTCCTCCTCCTCCTCTTCCTCACCCCACCCAGCTCCCACCCCTGCGCGCCCGGCAACTTGGGAACCGTTGGCGAAGTTGGCGCTGCTCGGGCCGCGAGCCGGCCGGGCCTCTGGGGGAGGAAGGGGAGGAGAAGGAGGAGCTGGCGGGAGAGGAGAGGAGGGGAGAGAGGGGAGAGAGGGGAGCCGCCCCCGGGGAGCCGCTGTCTCCAGGACCCCTCTGCGGGCCTTTGTTCCGGGCGCTGCCCCTCGGCCCTCCAGTCCCCGGGGACTCGCTTGGGGCCGCTCGGGTATCCACGCTCTCCTGGCGAGGCTGGTGGGTGGAGGCTGCTTGGAGAACCCCCTTGGCTTCTCCGTGCCGGAGCGCCCGGGGCCGTTACGGCCGCCCCCTCCCCCGACCTTTGCCAGGGAGACCCTCTGGCTGCACGGGTTCCCCATCATCTCTGCCCGGAGAGGATCTTCCTGCTCCCCCCTGGGGCAAGTGGGCTGGAGGACGGTTTCCCTGGTTCCAAAGAACAGAGCACCGTCTCCCTGGGCGGCAGCAGGTCCCACATCCGCCCTCCTGCACTTTCCTGCGCCGCCAGCCAGTCCAAGGCTCCCCTAATTCAAGAACTGGGAAACGGGAGGGACAGAGGGTCTTCCCGGCCCGCCAGGGCTGCCTGGCATTATCTTCGGACCCTCCCAGGCAGCTGGGTCTCCGGCCGGGCTGCCAGGCAAGTGGGGTCCCAGTCGCCTCCCGTGCATGGCGTGGTCGGCTGGGCAGCACCGGCTGCGGGGTGCAAAGGCCAGCTTCTCGAGGGATGAGGTAAAGGGCTCAGAACTGGAACACAAACCGAACCTCCCTGTTCCTTTCCGAATCCTGGTGATGGCCCTGTCCCCGAGAAGGCGAGAACGTCTTGGATTCCACTTGCTGGGCATTCCTCCTGGGACTTCCAGTACGTAACGTCATGAGCTAATTCAGGCCTAAGACAGCACTCCTGACATTTAATGGGATAGTATGGGGTTTAGACAATAAGTTATTTCCTGTACAGGAGAAGTAGGAAAATCCAAAAAAGCTAAAACCTGATTATCTACACTTGGCCTCCCTCTGCCATTCTCAGCATTTACAGATGGACAGCAAATAGAGAACCAGATAGAACTAATCCTGACCCTGTTAGGGACAAGTTGCCCCAGGAACCCCCCGCCCCACACACAATGCAGCTGACCCTTACCCTGAATACTCCGAAGCTGCATTCCTGGACCCTTATCTAGGTGCTACAGCAAGGTCACCAGACTTGCTTACAGCCCAACAGGCAGCATGGGGAAGGTCACGAGAAATGTGGATAAACTTAAGTTACACCCTCTTCTAAATTCCTATATTGTAAGCGGTCACGAGATGATATGTGGTAAAGTTAACCGACAACCCCAGGGTCTCTCTCCCCCATATGAACCCCTCATTTTATAAGCTCCAGGGCTGCCTCCTCTGACTGTGGTGGAGCAGCCCGGCAGGATAAACTTACTCGCCTAACTTTGGGTCTCTCTCTTGTCCTTTCTCTCAGCTAACGTTACATTTTGGTGCCGAAACCCAGGAAGGGGACAGGCTCTGGCTGCGTGTCCTTAGAGGTGTCTCTCTCTCTCTCCCTCTCCCCCCTCCCCTCTCTCTCTCCTATCACCCCTCACCCAAGGGCCTTGTCCAGAATAGAGGAGACCTGAAGGACACCTGACTCGGTGGCTGCCTCTATTCCAGACAAGGCCTGCAGGACAGGGGACACCCTCTCTCGCCATCCTTGTCATCTGCAGTCTCTTCTTCCTCTACCCCCCACCCTCCATTCACTATGGGAGCCTCTCAGTCTACCCATCCCAAGACCACCCGCCTTGGCTGTCTCCTCTGCAATCTCAAGGCTCTCAGCCTCCATTCAGAGGTCCGTTCTAAGAGACTTATCTTTTACTGCAATACCACTTGGCCTCAATACCAATTGGACAATGGCTCCCAATGGCCTGAAAATGGCACTTTTGATTTCAATATACTTAGAGACTTAGACGACTTTTGCCATCGCAGTGGGAAATGGTCTGAGATTCCTTATGTTCAGGCTTTCTTCACTCTCCGTAACCGCCCTTCCCTCTGCCAGTACTGCTCCACTTTCCAAATCCTACTCACCAGACTTGTCTCCCACCACCCCCGTCTCCCACCACCCCCGCAACAGCCCCAGCCGACAACTCCTCTTTCTTTGACCCCGCCAATTTTGCCCCTCCCTGACAGCATCTTGATCCTCCACCAGAGCATCATGATTCTTCACGGTATGTCCCTGCTCTGGCTCTACCCATCTGTCCCCCTCTCTCCAACCACCCCGCTTCTGACTCTGAGTCCTCTCCATCTCCACCCCTCACCCGCTCTTGGGCCCAACATACTCAGCAACCAGTTCCCTTGCTTCCTCTCTGGGAAGTAGCAGGAGCAAGGGGATCATCCGTGTCCATTTCCCTTTCTCCCTCTCCAATCTCTCACAGATTGAAAAACGTCTCAGGTCCTTCTCCTCCGATCCTGATACTTATATCAAAGAATTTAAATATCTTACCCAATCTTATGAACTCACTTGGCATGATCTCTACATTATCCTCTCTTCTATACTCTCCTTCCAGAAGAGAAGGAAAGAGTGTGGCTTGTAGCACAGGCACACACTGACGATCTTCATGGGCAAGATCCTGCTAAGCCCATAGGAGCCACTGCTGTTCCCCAGGAAGAGCCTTCCTGGGAGTACCAACCCACAGACCCCAGCTGGGCGTCTGTAACTATATGATTACTTGCCTCATTGCAGGCCTTAACAAAGCTGCCGGGTAATGGCCAGGCGCTATGGCTCACACCTGTAATCCCAAAACTTTGGGAGGTCGAGGTGGGCGGATCACGAGGTCAGGAAATCGAGACCATCCTGGCTAACACCGTGAAACCACGTCTCTGGACTCTTCAGAGGACTCTTCCCAGAGTCCTCTCTTCCTGCTGTAGCTCATGATAGATTTTCAGATGTTTGGTGGGCACTCATACAGGCACCTGATTGTTACCTGAGAGACACAAGCAAATCCTATTCCCCATATAATTATCCACCCTTTGATTAAATTTAAAGGGCTATGTCACTCTCATATGAGTGACATAGAAAGGGGAATGCCTTTGTTGTACTGCTTGCTGTAAAGAATGAAATAAAAGATTAAGTTGGTCATTAGTCACATTTTGAATTAAGGCACATTCAATATTTTGTGTGGCTTGCACTACATAGGCTGAATCAGAAACAGTGTTTATTGGCTGTTTAAAAGTTTTTAACACTGTTATCACAGCCATAAGTTCAGCATTTTGAGCAGAAGCAAAGTCAGTTTGAAAAACTTGTTGTTGAGGTCCCACAAATGAGGCCTTTCCATTACTAGATCCATCAGTAAAAACAGTAATGGCCCCTTCAATAGGGGCTTTTTGAGTAATGGAAGGCAATATCCATGATATTAATTTAAGAAATTGGAATATTTTGGATTTAGGATAATGATTACCAAGAATGCCAATAAAACCTGCCAAATTAATTTGCCATTCCTGGGAATTAATATAAGCTTGCTGAATTTGTTGTTTGTTTAATGGAAGTATAATTTGATTTGGATCATATCCCATTAACTTTGTTGTGCACAGCCTTGCACACTACATTAATACAGCAACTTGATCTAAGTACAGAGTAAGCGTTTTGGTTGTATTGTGAGGTACAAAAAGCCGCTCAACCAGATCATTCTGTTGAACAATAATTCCTGTACGTGAATGTTTAGTAGGAAAAACTAAAAACTGTAATGACTGCAATGGGTCAACTCGAGTCACTTGTGCCTGTGGAAATTTTTCTTCAATTAATTGAAGTTTCTCTAATGCCTCCTTGGACAGGGAGTGTTTACTGTTTAAGTTAGAATCACCTCGTAAGGTAGAAAAGAGGTGAGACATAACATAAGTAGGACTGCCTAAAGTGGGATGAATCCAATTAATGTCTCCTAATAATTTTTGAAAATCATTAGAGGTTTTAAATTATCTCTTCTAATTTGAATGTTTTGAGGCTTAATAGTACTTTGTTCTACTTTCATTCCTAAATACTGAAAGGGAGTAGAAGTTTGGATTTTATCAGGGGCTATGATTAACCTTGCTGCTGTTACAGCCTTTTCCTCCCTAGTTTCAGCTGCACATAAAATATCATCCATGTAATGGATAATATAACATTTATTGAATTGTTCTCTAGCTGGCTTAATACCTTTTCTGACATAAGTTTGACAAATAGTAATACTTTCCAATGGTATTTGTCTGCTGGTTCTTTGTTATTTATAGCGGGAACAGTAAAAGCAAATTTTTCCTAATCTTGGGTAGCTAAAGGAATGGTAAAGAAGCAATCTTTTAAATTTATCACTATTAGAGGCCAGGATTTAGGAATCATAGTTGGGGAGGGCAGCTCTGGTTGCAGTGCACCCATGGGTAGAATGACAGCATTAACGGCCCTCAAATCTGTTAACATTCTCCATTTCTGGGATTTTTTCTTAATAACAAACACAGGAGAATTCCAAGGAGAGAGAGTAGGCTCTGTGTGTCCCTTTTGTAATTGTTTCTGTACCAATTATTTTAAAGCCTCCAGTTTTTCCTGTTTCAGTGGCCATTGCTCCACCCAAACTGGTTTAGCAGTTAACCAAACAAGAGGAATGGGAGCCGGAGGCTCAGCAATGGCCGTTCCTAAAAATGATACCCTAATCCAGTTTGATCTGTTTGTCCTTTTAGTTCTAAATGTTCTGGTTGGCCATTTTCATTTTTTCCTAGTCCCTTCCCTGGGAGATATCCCATTTTTCTCATCATTTGTTTACCGTTAATACTATACTGATCAATAGGAATAGGTATTTCAGCACCCCATTGTTGTAATAAGTCTCTACCCCATAGATCGACAGGAATAGGTGTAATAGGTTGAATTGTCCCTTCTTGGCCATCTGGCCCTTGGCATGGCAAAATTAAAGAACTTTGAAAAACTTCTGAGGCAGCCCCTACTCCAACAATACCAATGGATGCCTTTTGCTTAGGCCAATGCTGGGGCCATTGATTCAAACCAATATAGAAACATCAGCTCCAGTTATCTACTAGCCCTTCAAAGTTCTTTCCTTGAATGGTTACTGTACAAATAGGTCTCTTATCAGACACTTGATTAACCCAATATACAGCTTTTCCTGCTGGATTCATACTACCAAAGCCTCCCATTCTTTTTACTATGCTGCGTCCCAGTTTTGCATAAGGTAACAGTAACAACTGAGCGATTCTTTCTCCTGAGGAAGCAGACCATGGAATTGAGGAACTAGCAACTAATTGAATCTCTCTGGTATAATCAGAATCAATTATTCCTACATGCATAGTGACACCTCTAAAATTTAAACTAGACCTTCCTAGCAATAGACCAACTGTTCTGAGGGTAAAGGGCCCCTGACTCCCATGGGGACCTTCTTTGGTGGCTCCCCAGGAAGTAGGGAAATGGGAACTGTGCTGCAAAGATCTACAGCAACACTGCCTGCTGTGGCAGGGGACAACTGTTGTACATTTGTAAGGGCACTGAATGTGCCAGATATACCTTGGTTTGTTGAGGGGCCCGAGGTGGGCCCCTCTTCCCGTTTCCCAAAAAAAGGTTGCCCATCTTTGCTAAATTTAGAATGACACCGATTTGCCCAGTGATTGCCCTTCTTACATCAGGGGCATACGCCAGGACTTTTCTGTTGATTGATGGTAATAGTTTTTGCCTTTTGATTTTCTTTTCTACATTCCTTTTTTGTGTGTCCAAATTGCCCACAATTAAAACAAGAGCCTGAGAAACGGGGCATATTTTTTCCCACCTTTAGTCCAGCCATAGCTTGGGCTAAAAGAGTAGCCTTATTTAAGTTACCTCCAATGCCATCAGAAGCCTTAATATATTCAGCCAAATGAGCCTTCCCTCTCATAGGTCTAATAGCATTTTGACACTCTGTATTGGCATTATCATATGCAAGGAGTTGTATTACCACATCTTGAGCTATTTCATCAGTTATGGCTTTACGCACAGCCTCTTGGAGCCGAGCAATAAAGTCAGTATATGATTCTTTAGGTCCTTGTCAGACAGAACTGAAAGAAGGATATTTTTTCCCCATAACATTTATTTTTTTTCCATGCCCATAAACACACAGTGTGTAACTGAACAATGGCAACGTTTTTCATTACTGCTTGATTGTCTAGTCGGCCCCAATTAGGGCCCAACCCCATTAACTGTTCAAAGGAAACAGGCACAGGCGGCTGTGCTTGTGTGTTTTCTCTTGCTTGAGTTTGAGCTTCATCGGCCCACCAAGTTTTAAACTGCATGTACTGGGACGGAGTGAGAACAGGTTTTGTTAAAGTATCCCAGTCATATGGTATTAATCTATTATCAAGAGCCACATTTTTTAGTAAAGTTTGTACAAAAGGAGAATTTGGCCCATATTGACTAATGGCTTCCGCTTGAATTCCTTTAACAACTTAAAAGGAAAAGTGGCCCAATTAGCTATATTCTGCCCTCCTTGCTGGGTTATAGTAACTGGAAATTGCCATACTTCAAGGTCTCCCTCGGCTCTAGCCTTTTGAATAGAATTTTGTATAGCGCCACCAATAGCTCCAGGTTTTAATGTTGCAACTACAGGAGCAGTTTTTTAGTTTTTTAGCTAGTTCATGTTCTTGTCCATTAAGGGGAGAGGGAGGAGGTGGCCATTCACTTAATTCAGCAGGTGGAACCGACAGGCTAGTGAAATGTACCTTTTTCAGTTTCCCTCTCTTTTATTTAATTTCCTCTGGTTCCTGTTCCTCACATTCAGAATCTGAAGTTAATTTTTTACACTTGTCTGCCTCTTCCTCATCTGAATCTGTCTTGTCATTGTTTGAAATGGCTCAAGAGCTGCCTTTATCAATGCTCACACTGACCAAACAGAAACTGGAATTTTGGCTCCTTCTTTATGCACCTTTTTAAAATCTCTGCCAATTCTTTCCCATTCATCCAACCCCATTGTCCCTTGTTCTGGGAACCATGGGCAAACTGCTCTACTGTACTAAAGAGTGTTAATAAATTCTGAGTACTAACTTTCACTCCCCCTTTCCATAATAAATGCCTTAAGAAATTTAAATAACTAAGGCCGGGAGTGGTGGCTCACGCCTGTAATCCCAGCACTTTGGGAGGCCAAGGCAGGCATATCACAAGGTCAGGAGATCGAGACATTCCTGGCTAACACGGTGAAACCCTGTCTCTATTAAAAATACAAAAAATTAGCTGGGCATGGTGGCACATGCCTGTAGTCCCAGCTACTCGGGAGGCTGAGGTGGGAGAATGGCGTGAACTCGGGAGGCAGAGATTGCACTGAGCCGAGATCGTGCCACAGTACTGCAGCCTGGGTGACAGAGCAAGGCTCTGTCTCAAAAAATGTAGGGATCAGCCCTACAGGGCCTGTAGGTTTTTCTCCTTGTGTGCGGAGACGAGAGATCATAGAAATAAAGACACAAGACAAAGAGATAGAAGAAAAGACAGCTGGGCCCGGGTGACCACTACCACCAAAATGTGGAGACCGGTAGTGGCCCCGAATGCCTGGCTGTGCTGTTATTTATTGTATACAAGGCAAGGGGGCAGGGTAAGGAATGTGAGTCATTTCCAATGATAGGTAAGGTCATGTGAGTCACATGTCCACCAGACAGGGAGCCCTTCCCTGTTTGGCAGCTGAGGCAGAGAGAGAGAGAGGGGACAGCTTATGCCATTATTTCTTCTATGAATTTCTTGGAGAGATCAAAGACTTTAATATTCTCACTAATTCTGCTACTGCTATCTAGAAGGCAGAGCCAGGTGTACAGGGCTGAACATGAAAGTGGACAAGGAGCGTGACCGCTGAAGCACAGCATCACAGGGAGACGTTTAGGCCTCTGGATGGCTGTGGGTGGGCTTAACTGATGTCAGGCCTTTCACAAGAGGTGGTGGAGCAGAGTCTTCTCTAACTCCCCCAGGGAAGGGGAGACTCCCTTTCCCCGTCTGCTAAGTAACGGGTGCCTTCCCAGGCACTGGTACTACCGCTAGACCAAGGAGCCCTCTAGTGGCCCTGTCTGGGCGTGACAGAGGGCTCGCATTCTTGTCTTCTGGTCACTTCTCACCATGTCCCTTCAGCTCCTATCTCTGTATGGCCTGGTTTTTCCTAGGTTATAATTGTAAAACAGAGATTATTATAATATTGGAATAAAGAGTAATGCTACAAACTAATGATTGATAATATTCATATATAATCGTGTCTATATTCTACGTCTAATATAACTATTCTTATTTTAAGTATTTTCTTTATTATACTGTAACAAGCTTGTGCCTTCAGTCTCTTGCCTTGGCGCCTGGGTGGCTTGCCACCCACACACAAAAAAAAGAAATGTAAATAAGCAGAATGTTTACTTTCATTCTGTCCCATTGTTACCCTGGTTCTTACGAGTGCCCAGCTTACCTGCCGAGCTTCTTTCAGTCATCCTCGGGTGTCCTCTGACAATGTGTCCTCTGCTTCCACATGCTCTAGTGTTCCTTCACCAGGGTCTTCATAGCCCCATGTTGGGCGCCAGAAATGTTAGGGTGATCAGACCCAACACTAGGCCATGGGGGCTACGAAGTCTGGCAGAGTCAAATGAATGAGAAAAGACAAGTTAAGAGTGCATAAGGTGGGTCCAGGGGGCCAATGCTGGTATGGAGGCTGTGAAGCACCCGAGCTCTGGGAACCCACACTATTTATTGGTGATCAAACAAAGAAGCAGGTGGTGAGGACATGCGGATATGGGGGTAGAAAGGTAGCGGTGCATCAAGCGTAGCTGTGACACTTTAGCATTTTCTTTGACACATATGAATATGCTCTGCTGCTTGAGATAATGGAGAACATGTTTATGAGCCTGGGAGAGCAACCAACAAGTCTGTGCACATTCCAGAGGCTACGAGGGGTTGTATGCCCTGAGCCCTGGATTCCATCCAAGTCATGAGGAGTTTTATGCCCTGGGCTTAAATTTGTGGTGCGGCAGGGCAGCCTTCCACCCTTTGGCACAGAGCTTGGTGTTCCAAAGGCCACAAGGGGTTTTAGACCCGGACCCCGGACATCTTCCAATACTCTTTTATATTATGACAGACAAGCCAGTCCTGCCTCAGCAACTCTACCAACATCAAGTCTTAGTTGTGGGGGTTGATGGACTCATCTGACGTCCATGCACCAGCAGACCTCCTACTTGTTCCCTGTTTGATACCGTTTTCTCACACTCTTTCCTTATCATGCCTCGTTGCCCCACCCCCATTCTAGGCCAAGACCTTTTAGCCAAATTCAAAGCTTCTATCACCTTTTCCTGCTCCCCTCAAGCAGAGTCCCTCCTGCTCCTCTCCACTAGTCCAGCCTCTGATCCCTCTCCCCAGTACCACTTCCCGCCTCTCTCTTTAACCCAGTAGTGTGGGACACCACCATCCCTTCCATAGCTGCTCACCATGACCCCATCAAAATCCAGTTAAAAGACCCCTCCAAATTTCTCAATGTTCGCCAATACCCAATCTGCCTAACTCACCAAAAAGGCCTACAACCCATCATAAACAAGCTCTGCTTATGCACTCTTCTTAGACCGACACACTCTCCATATAACACCCCCATCCTCCCTGTTAAAAAATATGATGGCTCTGGGCCAGGCGCAGTGGCTCACGCCTGTAATCCCAGCACTTTGGGAGGCCAAGGCAGGTGGATTGCCTGAGGACAGGAGTTCGAGACCAGTCTGGCCAACATGGTGAAACCCCGTCTCTACTAAAAATAGAAAAAAATTAGCCAGGCATGGTGGCATGCACCTGTAATCCCAGCTACTCAGGAGGCTGAGGCAGGAGAATTGCTTTAACCGGGGAGGTGGAGGTTGCAGTGAGCCAAGATCACATCACTGCACTCCAGCCTGGGTGACAGAGCAAGACTTTGTCTCAAAAGAAAAAAAAAATCTGATGGCTCATACCAACTCGTTCAGGACCTCTGAGCCATCAATCAGGCTGTCCTCCCTATCCATCCCATAGTCCCTAGCCCCTATACACTTCTCTCTCTTGTCCCCACCAACACCACCCACTACACCACAATTGACCTGAAGGATGCCTTCTTTACCATTCCCCTACACCCTGATGCCCCAAACCTATTTGATTTCACCTGGACTGACCCTGACACCCTCCAGTTACAACAACTCACATGGACTGTCCTTCCTCAGGGCTTCAGGGATAGCCCTCATTTCTTCCGACAAGCTCTAGTCTGAGGCCTCACCTCCTTAAACCTGTCTCCCAGTCTTCTTGTTTAATACGTGGAAGACCTTCTTCTTTGCAGCCTCTCTCTAAGAGACTCTCAAATTCACACGGCCACTCTCTTAAACTTTCTCACTATCAAAAGGTATAGGGTCTCCCCCTCCAAGGCCCAACTAACTCTCCACCTCCATGGTGACCTACTTAGGAATTCAACTTTCCCCTGGGGCCTGGGTTATGACTCCAGCTGGGGCAGCATTAATAGATAATCTACCCCCATCCTCCTCCAAAAGCGAAATCCTTTCCTTCCTAGGGCTAGCAGGCTTCTTCAGAATATGGATTTCCAACTTTGTCCTCCTAGTTGATGTCCTCTATGAAGTGGCCAAAGGCCCTCTCAATGAACCCCTAAACCCCACACATAACATACACCCCAGCTTTCGCAAACTCCAAACTGCTCTTGTCACTGCATCAGCTCTGTCCTTACCTGATATCTCCCAACCTTTCACTCTCTATACTGCCGAAAGCCAAGGAATAGCCCTCGGTGTCTTAGCACAACAGAAAGGAAATCCTTCCTTTGCCCCTGTAGCTTACCTCTCTAAACAACTAGATAACACAGTCAAAGGGTGGCCAACCTGCCTTAAAGCACTAGCAGCAGTTACCGTTTTAGCTCTAGAAAGCAGGAAACTAACTTTCAGCCAGAATACCACCATCCACAGTCCTCATAATCTACAAGATCGCCTCTCCTCCCGAGCACTAAGCTCCCTTCCTCCTTCCTGGATTCAATTACTCCATGCCCTCTTTATCGAAAATCCCGAATCCAGTCTTGCCAAAAGTGCTCCCCTGAACCCAGCATCCTTACTCCCTGTATTCTCTTCCCCTCCTACTCATTCTTGCACTGACATTCTGGACCATGTACAGCTACATTTCCCAAACATTTCCTCCGAGTCTCTCACCAGCCTTGATGAACAACTATTCATAGATGGCTCCTCTTCTGGGCCCACCAGCTCCCCCAAAATTGCTGGATATACATTTGTTTCCCTTGACAAGTAATTGAAGCCAAGCCCCTACCCCCAGGAACCTCCTCCCAAAAGGCAGAACTCATAGCTCTCACCAGGGCTCTAACCCTTTCCAAAGGCAAATGAGTCAACATTTATACAGACTCCAAATATGCCTATCACATTCGTCATTCCCACACCTCCATCTGGCAAGAGAGAGGATTCCTTACTGCCAAAGGAACCCCCATCACTAACAGCCCCCTTATTTACCAACTCCTTCAGGTTGCACACCTCCCAGCGAAAGCAGGAGTTATACACTGTCGAGGACATCAAACAGGATCAGATGAAATCTCAAGAGGGAACAGAAAGGCCAATGAGGCAGCAAAAGAATCCTCCCTTTCTTCTGCCCCTCCCCCTCTCCTCCTCATTATCTCAGCAATCCAACCCAAGTACTCTCTCACTGAGAAAGCTTCGCTACTACAGCAAGGAGCCTCCTTTCAAGGGACTGGATAGTCAAAAATCAAAAGCTCATCCTCCCCCAAGAGCAAACCAAAGAAATTCTGACATCTCTTCACCAATCCTTCCATATTGGTGAGCACCCCTGTACCTACTCCATCGCCCTTATTTCTCCTCTCCCCTTCTATTCACGTCACTAAAAGACATAACCTTAAACTGTCATATATGCTGTGTTACTTCCTCCCAAGGGGCCCTCCGCTCTCCCCCTATTCCTACACATCAGCTCAGAGGAACACTCCCAGGGCAGGACTGGCAAGTAGACTTCACCCACATGCCTCCCGTCAAGAGGACAAAATTTCTTCTTACTCTTATAGATACCTTCTCTGGGTGGGTAGAAGCATTTCCTACCTTTCCAGAAAAGGCCGCAGATGTCCCCCAAATTCTTATAACAGAAATCATCCCTAGATTTGGTCTCCCTCACTCCATACAATCAGACAGTAGCCCTAGCTTCATCTCCCAAATCACCCAACAGGTTTCTCAGTCCCTCAGCATCCAGTGGTGACTTCATATCCCATACTGGCCCCAGTCATCTGGAAAAGTCAAGAGGGCAAATGGGATCCTTAAAGCTTAGTTGACCAAACTCATTCTTGAAGTCCAAAACCCATGGACCTCCCTTTTGCCCATAGCACTGGCCTGCATCAGAGCCAGTCCAAAAGCACCCTTGTTCCTCAGTCCATTTGAGTTAATGTATGGACAGCCTTTCCTCTTACAAAACAGGCCCCCTTCTAACTCTCAGCTAGGAGAATACCTCCCAACACTCTCCCTCATCCACCATCTCCTCCACCAACAAGCTGACCAGGCCCTCCCAAAACCCCACGAAGGCCCCCCAACCGGAATCTCCTTCCAGGACAGCATGTCTTGCTAAAAACTCTTAACCCAACAACCCTTAAACCAAAGTGGGAAGGCCCTTTTCAAGTTCTTCTCATACCCCCACTGCAGCTAAACTCTCAGGACATATCTCTTGGTACCATCTTTCCAGATTAAAAAGAGCCCCCGAAGCACCCACCGACCCACCAACTGCCATCCTCTGTCGATTCTCCAGTACTCTCCTTGGCCCAACCAAACCCCGCCTCACACCTGTCCTGAAGAAGACCATTGAACAATACCCAGACTCCTCCTTCCCTTCCTGACAATCATAAGTACACTCCTGATTTCTTAAATGCCCTGTTCTTGCCTACCTTGCTGTTTCACCCTCTTCCTCATCTCCGTTTGCCAAGACATCTCTTGGTTTCATCCCCAAACTCCCAATCTTGACTCTCTTGTAGAGTGGATAGATGACGTTCTCTTCCAAGGCACCCTATGTGACTTTTCCTCAGATGAAATGCACTTATTTACTTTCCTACTCACTCTTTGCCTGTCTACCTCTCCTACTCCCTTGGCTGCCCCACGTAGCCACATCTCCCCTTACAATAGTACCCGACTACCTCTATAAGACCCTTAACCTAACTCACTCCCTGCTAAACCAGTCCAACCCCATCCTAGCAAAAGACTGTGGGCTCTGCCCACAGTCCTATCAACTACCACCTATGTTGCCACCCCCGTTCACTCAAAAAACTGGGTTCTTAATTAACCTATCACACCCGTTATGAAGGAAAAAGCCCCTTTCAACTTTTAGACATGCAGCTATTGGCCGAGTTTTCTATCACAGATATGACAAAAAGCACTCTGACAGGGAACACAGTACAATTGTTACGCTCCTGTATCTCCAGTCTTACCCAACAGACAAGTAATAACAAGCCCATTCATGGCCCTGTGACCACCGACACCAGTCTAACTTTTCAAGCCCTAATATGTATCCAACACAACCTGTCCTCAGGTCTGACTTTAGGTCACCTACCATCCCATCAATGTAACTATACCTTACAGCTTCAAGTCCCAAACGACCACCAAAATTTTAAGGTCACCCAAACAGCCGAATTTAAACGGCTTGTCAGTTTTTCAGGACCCCCAAAGGTCATTACCAGCTCTTTACTAAATAAACATTCAGGATTTTGTAATGGCAGATATACGAACTGTATAACCATTCACCCATGGACCCCTTGCAGCATGGCTTCCCTCCCTGCCGAATGCCTCCTTATACCCTCTTTCAATTACTCCTCTGAATGGCTCCTAATAGACACAAAACGATTCTTTCTCCAATGGGAAAATAAAACACAAGGAGCCACTCAAACTATCCCTGCAACTCCTTTTCAGTCACTCACTGGAGCTGCCTTAGTAAGGACTCCAGGC
Source organism: Homo sapiens (assembly GCF_000001405.40). Taxonomy (NCBI): domain Eukaryota; kingdom Metazoa; phylum Chordata; class Mammalia; order Primates; family Hominidae; genus Homo; species Homo sapiens. Next base: position 71,950,348 of record NC_000010.11, on the reverse strand, counting down.
ATGTGGGAAAATGAAAACAATATACTCTCGCACCTTTTCAATAAACATAACCAGTTCTGTCTGCCCAGCCAAGGCATATTTTTCTTGTGCAGAACCTCAACCTATGTCTGCTTCTCTGCCAATTGGACCAGCACCTGCACCCTGGTCTTCTTAAGCCCCAAAATTGACATTGCCCCTGGAAATCAGAGTTTACCAGTCCCTGTTAAGGCTCAAGTCTGTCAGCGTGGAGCCGTACAGTTAATACTCCTGCTTATAGGACTAGGAATTACCACTGCAACAGGAACAAGGATAGCAGGCTTGTCCACTTCCCTGTCCTACTATCACGCTCTCTCAAAAGATCTCTCAGACAGCCTACAAGATATAACTGAATCCATCCTTGCTCTCCAATCCCAAATAGACTCTTTAGCAGCAGTGACACTTCAAAACTGTTGAGGTTTAGATCTCCTCACTGCCAAGAAAGGTGGACTGTGCATCTTTTTAGGAGATGAGTGCTGTTTCTATACTAACTGGTCAGGACTAGTGTGAGATGCCACCTGATGAATAAATGAAAAAGCTTTTGAAATCAGGCAGCACCTTTCAGACTCCTGGCCCCAGTGGTTTCGTAACTCCTGGGCACAATGGCTACTGCCCTTCCTAGGCCCTGCCATAACCCTCTTCCTCCTTTTAGCATTTGGCCCTTGTCTCTTATGTTTCCTTACCCAGTTTTTACAGGACCGTATTAGAGCCTTCACCCACGGAACAATACAGGATATGATGCTGCTCCAAGAATACCGACAACTCCAGGAATGGCAGTCCCCACCACCCAGACTCTCCCCATAACCGTCGCCCCTATCCAGCAAGAAGCAGCCAGATAACAATGGCACCCCTCTTCTATTACCTATTAAAAGGCTGGAATGTTAGGGACAAGCTGCCCCAGGACCCCCCACACACAATGCAGCTGACCCTTACCCTGAATACTCTGAAGCTGCATTCCTGGACCCTTATCTAGGTGCTACAGCAAGGTCACCAGACTTGCTTACAGCCCAACAGGCAGCATGGGGAAGGTCATGAGAAATGTGGATAAACCTAAGTTACACCCTCTTGTAAATTCCTATATTGTAAGCTGGTCACAAGATGATATGTGGTAAAGTTAATCGACCAACAACCCCAGGGTCTCTCTCCCTCATATAAACCCCTCATTTTGTAAGCTCAGGGCTTCCTCCTCTGACTGTGGTGGAGCAGCCTGGCAGGTTAATAAACTTACTTGCCTGACCTTGGGTCTCTCTTTCATCCTTTCTCTCAGCTAACCTTAGACCCACGTTTCCCAGGAGCCAGCCTCTCAGTCGGTGGGAGTCAAAAGTCCCAGTTCATCATCTGGGTCCAGGCCAGCTAAAGCTTCCACCAAGACTGCTGGGGGAGGGACCCGGATGAAGCACTCCAGATCCTCCTGTGAGACCAAAGAGTCTCTTTTAGCAGAAAAACCTGTTTGGGGGCCTTGGTCCTATTACTAATAGTTCTGTGACCTGCCCTAGGGAACCAGAGGTTTGCTGAGAATTCAGAGCCCAGCTCACCTCCAAGTCCCTGTCTGCATCTTCAGCAGCCCTGGCTGCCCTCACCCCACCCCACCCTACCGGTGGCCTCTGCCTTGGAATCAGTCTGCCTGCTCTCCAACAGCTTTTCAGCGCTCTTCTGTCTCAGATGGGAGGGCCATGGTTCAGCCTCACAAGTTTGTCAAGAAGCCACATTCTAACTGCACCTGCTGGCCTTATAAGGGGGCTTTCCACTGGGACATTTGGAGTGTTGTATTTTATTGCGGGAACTTTGTGATGCACCTCAGGGATACAAAGGTCAAATGCCAGAACTGTGTCACCATCAAATTAAGGAGAAAAGGACTGTGCTGCTGTTTTGGGGCAGAGTGGTGGTGGGATGAAAAATTCCCGTGTTAACCCACCCCTTGTTGAGCACATACTGGATGCCGGGTCCACAGGGGAAACAAGCCTTAGTCCTACTCTGTCTAGAGAAGACACACATACGTCTTAACAAATACTAATGAGAAAATGTGCACATGAGGTGAGGCTGGGGAGGGGTTTCCAGAGCAGAACCACAGGCTAGCACAACTCCAGGGGGTGCCAGGCACCCCTGGAATTGTACAATGCTGCAGCCTTATTTCTGGAGCTGAACCCTGGCCTGGGCTTGAGAGATGAACAGGAGTTCTAGAGGCAGAGAACAGGTAGAGGTGGGACAAGGGCTTTTCTAGAATCTTCTGATCTGTAGTCAGATGTGTTATCCATTGCACCACTGGCCCCTCCAAGGGCTTTCCAGATGAAGGAACCAGTAACAAAAAGAAAAAACAGGTGTGAAAGGACATTCGTTCTCCAAGCTGTGGACTGGCATGACAGCTAATGCTTGGGCCTCCAGTGATGGTATCTTGAGTGCAAATGAGAGCTAGAGGGTCTGATCCAGGACATAGGGAATTTTTGTCCTAAAATAGTTTCCAGGCTCAATTTCTTCCCACAGTTTCTCAACCAAGAGAATTAGTCTCATTTTCTACCCTGTTTGAAAAATGGAAAGAACTTTCCTGGCCAGAGGCAGAATTGCATAGTGGTTAAGAATATGGGAGCTTGAGTGGCCCCTGGGGATGATGGCTCATACCTGTAATCTGAGCACTTTGGGAGGCTGAGGCAGGAGAATCTCTTGAGCACAGGAGTTTGGGACCTGGACAACATCTCAAGACCCCATCTCTACAAAAAAATTTACAAAATAGCCAGGTGTGGTGGTGCATGCCTGTGGTCCCGGCTACTCGGGAGGCTGAGGTGGAGGACCACTTGAGCTCAGGAGTCCTAGGTTGAAGTGAGCCAAGATCACACCATTGCACTCCAACCTGGGTGACAGAGTGAGACCCTGTCTCAAAAAAAAAAAAAAATAAAAAGAAAGAGCTTGAGCACTATTTTAAACAAGCAATCCAAGTTACTATCACTAATAAGGGGACAAACCTCCTGATGCGATGCACTAAGAATACAACATTGAATGTGAGGTATTCCTGAAAAAAATGCATTGCTTGAATGGAATTATGAGGAAACATCAAACAGACTCAAACTGTTTACAAAACAAAGGATGTTTACAAAACAACTAGCCTGCAATATTTAAAATGCCAAGGACATGAAAGACAATAAAAAGGCTAAGAAACTGTTCCAGATCAGAAGAGACTAGAGACATAAACATGTGATAGGCAGATGTCAGTGATGAGATATCACTTCTGAGATTAGGTTACAAAGGACTGAGACTTCCATCTTGCTAGAATTCTCTTTCTGGCTCTTCTCAGCTTGCTTGTTCTGGTGAAGCAAGCTGCCAAATTGTGAGCTGCCCTCTGGAGAGGCCCATGTTTCAAGGAACTGAGGAATTCCTAGCCAACAGCCAGCCAGGAACTGAAGCCCTAAATCCAACAGTCTGCAGTGACCTGAATCCTGCCAACAATCACTGAATGAGCTTGGAAGCAGATCGTATTGCACTTGAATTCTGAGATGACTGTGGCCGACACCTTGGTTGCAGTCTTGTGAGAGACCCTGAGCTCAAGAGCCCAGCTAAGCCATGTCTAGATTCCTGACCCATGGAAACGGAGATGACAAATATTGTTTTGAGCTACCAAGTTTGTTGTGCAGCTAAATTTAACTAATACAACAACTAAATGCATCCTGAACTAGATCCTGAAACTGAAAAAAAGGATTACTGTGAAAGACACTATTTAGATAATTGGTAAAATATGAATAGGGACAAAATAGATAATATTGTCTCAATGTTAACTTTCCTGAGTGATAGCTGTACTGTGGTTTTATAAACAGAAGTTTTGTTCATTAAAGATTTTGTAGCAGGACCGGTCTTAGACAAGACCTCTCGGACACCAGTTTTAGGAAGGAATAGGCTTTAATCAGCTGGGAGCATTGGTAGACTCGTGTCTCAAGATCTGAGCTCCCCGAAGTCAAGATTCCTGTCCCTTTTAAGAGCTTACAACTAACTAAGGTGTCCAAGTGAAAGGGTCATGATACATTGTGCAAGCGGGGGCTACGTGACTGGGGCTGCATGCACCGGTGATCAGAACAGAACTGAACCGAACAGGGAGTTACACAATGCTCCCTCATGCAATGTCTGGAATCTATAGGTAACATAAGCGATTAGGTCAGGGGTCAATCTTTAACTACTAGGCCTGGGGTGTGGTGATGGGCTGTCTGACTATTGAATTTCACTTCTGCCTTTTCTTTAACTCCTACTTTCTCTTTCCTTTGAGGCAGAAATTAGGCAGAAGACAATATGAGACGTGGTCTCCTCCCTTAGTCCCCCCTTTGAGAACCTCACTTATTAGTGGGAGTTCTCATCTTCATCTTCACTATCTAGGTTTTCTTGTAAGACAGATCAATAGCAATTCATGTAGTACACTTGTGCTGAAGTATTTTGATGGACTAAGTTGTAACAAAACTTTTTATTACTTGAAGGAGCAAGGGCAGCACACAGGGAAGCAACAGGCAGGTTCCTATTATAATTTCTATTATAAGAGTTTTAAATCCTCTTAGCACTGGAAACCATTTTCTAAACATGGTCCCAGGATCAAACCCATGCCACACTTGCACGGGCACAAGTGCCAGCTTTGTTATATCTTTAACTATATTTTTAACTACTTGCCCTTTATGTGCAGGCAGCAATTGGTTAGGTTAAATTTCCCACAAACTCCTCTTTCAGCTGCTAGCAAGTAACCTAGGGCTAGTCTATTCTGATAAATGGCATTTCTCATCAGGGTTTCTTGCCTGGCTAAAACGGTCAAAGCTCTGCCAGTTTCATTAGTGATTATTTCTTTTTTTTTTTTTTGAGATGGAGTCTCACTCTGTCACCCAGGCTGGAGTGCAGTGGCACGATCTTGGCTCACTGCAAGCTCCGCCTCCCAGGTTCACACCATTCTCCTGCCTCAGCCTCCCAAGTAGCTGGGACTACAGGTGTCTGCCACCACACCTGGCTAATTGCTTTTTTGTATTTTTAGTAGAGATGGGGTTTCACTGTGTTAGCCAGGATAGTCTCGATCTCCTGACCTCATGATCCACCTGCCTCGGCCTCCCAAAGTGCTGGGATTACAGGCGGGAGCCACCACGCCTGGCCCATTAGTGATTATTTCTAAGACAGCTTGTAACCGTATAATCTGGTTGAGCACATAGATGGGGGTTCGGCATCCCTATGAGCAGTCTTGTGCCCATGTGGCAGGCCCATAGTACTGTATGATTCTTTCAGGGGGCCACTCATCATTTTTCCAATTGCCTATGGCTGTGCTCCTCTTTTCTCGGGAAGCATAGACAGGGAAGGCTAGGAGGTCACCCATTTTTATGGGCAGTAGGAAAAAGGATGGCTTAATGGTGCTAACAACACAACTACCTGCCCATTGGTCAGGTAGTTTGGTATAGGCTCTATGCCCGCATATCCAGTATAGTCCAGCTGGAGCCATCCAGTCCTGGTGAGACTCTGGATGGACCCAAACAGTTTTCAACTTAGGAAACTTACTAAATGGATTTTTCTTAGTATGGTTTAGACCCCACCAGGTGACTGTTCTTAATTTTATTTCAAAAACTGTGACCACAGGGGGCTCAGATGGGTTATAACACACATCAGGCTGGTGAGTTCCTGGGCTACATACCTTGTACTGGGTGGCATTATACAAACAAGTCCCTTTTAGGGTTCCAACATATTTACAATAACTATAGAACAAAATGACAGTTTTAACTTTTTGCCCTACCTCAGTGACCTGATATATACACTAGGAACAGTCCCTGGTTTGAGGGAGGTCAGTTGAAGTCCTTACTGTACAAGTCCAAAATTTAAGGAAAGTAAGTCCCATGGTGAGTTTCATTACACTTCGGCCGTGCATGGACCAGTTGGCTTCCAGGTGTAACTGGAGCAGGGCTTGTCATCTTCCTCAGAGTCACTTTGCAGGGATTGTCTGTGCTTGGTCTCGCCTCCCAGGTCTCAGGTGCTGCGGGTTTCAGGCGGCTGTGGTGGATCCAGGCTGGGATTCCTTCTACTTTCACAGCTGTGGGAGTGGTCAAGATGGCGGTCTGGGGTCCTTTCCACTGTGGCTCCAAGGGGGCTACGTTCCAATCCTTGATCCATACCCAATCGCCTTTGCTGTCTTCTGTACCAAGTCATCCACAAATGCTAACCCGTTGTCCGAGCCGATTTGCAAGGGCAGTCCAAACCTAGGGATGAGATCTCCACATTTGGGGGTCTCGGTGAAGTCTACCTGGGAATCTTCAAAGGGGGCTGCTCCATAAGCCTGTATGCCAGGCGGGATGGTTGGACCTTGCCTAGCATTGTGCTGCCGGCAGGTGACACACTGTGGCACCACTGTTTTGCCAAGGGCTGACAGATGTAAGATGTAGAAGTACAACTTTTTAAGTGACTCTTGGCCCAGGTGGGTGGACTCATGCACAGCCAGTACAACTGCGGCTCCTAGCAGTTGTGACATGGCTATTCTTCTGTCCAATAACCAGATCCATCCTTTTTCTATCACCTGCCTTCCCTCCGGCTGATGAAATGCCAGGGTGAAAGGGATAGCCAATTGGTGTAAAGCAAAAATGCCACTCCAGTTATTTGGCAGAGTGTCCAGTAAAGGTCCACCACAATACCACCACACATCCGCTTGGAGATGAACAAGGGCTGACTTGTTGGTAAGCTCTTGAAAGTTCTTAAACTCACTACATCCCTTCAGGTCTCCAAGGAAAACTAAGTTTCCTCCCTGTTGTGAGAGACACAAAGTGAACTTAGTGTTGGGAGACGGAAGCTGGATGGCCCTTGGGGGCTGACCCTCAGGGTACTGAACTTCGGGATATAGCAGAGAGAGAACTTGGCATGACCTTTACTTCAGGCTGTGGAATCCTGGAAAAGAGCTACCATGCAGCCCACGCCTGGTCAACTGGAGGACCACCTTAGTGGAAAGGGGACAATCTGGGCCTCTGGCCTGCCACGTGCACAAACATAACAATTGCTTTTGTTTAACGTGCGGACGGAATATTTGATCCTTTCCAACCAGGCATTTGCATCTTGGTATCCTGCCTTAATTGCCAAAGTTTGTTTTAAGTCTTTAACTTCTATGATACTCTAGTAAAATGAATGTATGGTTTTAGGAAATTACAAAAACCAGTTGGGGCAGTCATCCTTGCTCTTTAGTGATCCACAGAACATTGGACCAACTATGGCATAAAAGCTCTACATCAGGGGGCAATACTCCAGGTTGACACTGGGGTCTATCAAAATCTCCCCGGATTAAATGATCCCAATTTACTAATGCCCAGTCTGAGGACAGTCAGGAGGGACAGAGGTACTTTTCTGAAGTAGAGAGCTGTCTTTGAGACTTGGCAAGTCCCCACAGGGTATAACAAGGCAAGCATTAAATGCAATAGTTTGAGGCGAAATTGACTTGGTTATGTTAATAACTAGATGGTCAGCAATAGAACTAGGAAAGAAGAAAGAGTAATAGAATAGATGAAAGAGTTAAATTTTTCTTAGCTTTAGTTTGGTAGGGTTTTCCCCTGGGACTATGGCCCACAACTCCGGACCGGGTGGCGCTTTCTTGACTCGGGTGTGATGAGTCCATCCTTTTTTGCTGTACGAGCAGCAGTCTCGGTGGTTAGCAGCACAAAGTAGGGTCCTTCCCAGGCTGGCTGGAGTTTTCCTTCTTTCCACCCTTTGATGAGAACGTAATCTTCAGGCTGGTGCTGGTTTACAGGAAATTCTAGGGGTGGTACATGTGCTAAAAGACTTTTAGTTTTGAGGGAAAGGAAAGTGGAAGATAAACCAAGTATATAATTTCTAAGAAATTGACCTTTTGTTTTAAATGTGGGGTCATCAGCAGCAGATTTTATAGTCCTTGGTGCCTTTTTACTGAGAAATTTCCTTTAGCACCTATATTTATTAGTTTTTAGGCCAAAGAAAGCCATATACCATTTTATATCTGACGATGCTTCCTGTATGATTTTTATACCAGATAAGCTAAAGTTCACCTTTATATTAGTGTGTTATTAATGTCAAACTTAGTTTTAATAAAACTTTGTAGACATATTTATTCAATTTTTGATGTCTGACCATAAGGTAAGATTTTTATAGACTCTTTTTAACCTATTATAATTTTTGTTAAAGAGCAGGTTAGTGCTTTAAGAAAAACCCGTTGTGTTTTTACTTTAATGTCCAGTTCACAGAAAAACTGGATGATACCTCTTTAACTTTAGCCAATATGTTTATACACAGAATTTCTTTTACAATTAACGTTTTAAAACTTGCTTAAACCTTCAAAACAAAAACAATTTTTTAACTTTTTAATGTAGATAAAAATCCACATTTTTATGCCTCCTTATAATCCTTTTACTAAAAGTATATTTTACTTTCCTCATACACCTTGCATATAAACTGTTTCTTCAATAGTTTTACATTCAGGAGGCCTAATTACTTTTAAATTATACAACATTTCTTGCGTAAATTCCTTTTTTATAACACACATTTTTTTCTTCTTTCACGACTTTTACAGACAATTCTTCGACATGTCTCAATTTTCTGACTTATTGCAAACATCCTTTTCTTTAAACAACCAGTTAATTTATTTTAGGACAAGAATTTACCATATAACATTCTTTTTACATAAACTCCCCCCTGCCCCCCTCTCCCCCCCCCCCGCTTTTTCTCTCTCTTTTTTTTTTTTCCCCTAATTTCCCGGGAGGAACCATCTATCGTCCAGTCTTGAAGGGGGTTCCTCCTAGGTCTGGTCGGACCTTTGTAAGGTAATTAAGATTTAAATCCCTTGTTAGGAAACCTGCTGGGTTAAGGGAATTTTTATTGGTTAATATTAAATCATCTTTTTCTAACAGAATAGCCTCATACTTTAAGATTTTTGAGTCAGGAAGTTACGTTTTTGCTTTTTTTTTTTTTTTAATTTAGGATAGTTCTGAACTGGTGAAGTGTGCTCACAACGAGGTTTCCTCTAAAAGTTATTTTTCTACTTGCTTCTGTTAGCAAAGCCGTTGCCGCTGCAGATTGAATGTATATGGGCCATCTGTGGATTACTGGGCTAAGAAATTTTGATAGGGAGGCTACGGATTGCCAGTGGCCTCAGTGCTTTTGGGCTATGCCCTTGTTTACGCTGACAACAAAGTGGTATTGGAGTGTTACATGGTCACGGAGAAGACCTTTAATTATCAATTATAGGTTCCAAATTTAGCTTGGCTTTTAAAGGACTAGGACACACTGTTTTTTTCTTAACTACTTGTATATCTCTCTTTTTCTCTCTTTGACTTTCTTTTTTTCTCTTTGACTTTCTTTTTATCTCTGTCTCTTCCTCTCTCTGCCTCTCTCTCTCTTTGACTCCTCTTTGTCTCTCTGTCTCTTCCTCTGTCTTTCTTTCTCTCTTTGCCTCTTGTATTCTCTCTCTCTTTCCTCTCTCTCTTTCTCCTCTCTCTCTTTTTCTCTCTGCTGGTCTTTCCTTGCCTCTGTGAGCCGCGTATTCTGCTGTTCTCCTCTCTCCTTCCTCTTCCCCAAGGGAAAGGACCGACGGGAGTGGAGCTACTCTTTCTTCCTTGGCTGTCTGTCCCTTTGCCACTAGTACTACTACTGCTGCCTGTCCTCTTAACCACTGTGAGGGGTCTAAAACCAGCTGCAACCAAGTATCTATGTATGGAAACTGATCTGGGTGTCCTGATTTACCAGTTACTTTGTGCCATACCTTTGAAACTAGGGACCTGTCTAGGCTTCCTTCTGATGGCCATCCCACCTCTAATGCCGGCCAATCTATCTCACCAAAGCTTTAAGCTTTTCAGGTGTCATAGCGATTCCATAGGCCCCATTGAATCCTTTCTTGAAATTCTTTAACATAGTTCCTAACGGGGTAGGCTTACTTTGTGTTTTACTCATTTTCCTCTCTCAGGAGACAAAACAACACTCTTACCACAAAGAGGGAAGGGGAGAGGGGGCAAAAAGTCACCCGCTAACCAAGCAATTCACACTAAAACCAAAGTACGGATAAGGAGTTACTCATTCATTAAGCAATTTGAGCCAAGTCAGAACCGAAATCAAAGCCAAAACAGTTCAAATCCGAAGGTCAATACTGAAATCTAAACCAAAACAGTGCGAATCTAGTCAAAATCAAAACCAAAACCAAGGTACCGATAAAAGCACGTTGTGGGTGATCAGGCCAGGCTTCCACTCAAATGGAGTGGGCAAGTTCCAAGACCGCTTCTTACCATATTCCAGATGTCCGGACACCAAGCGACTCCAAGCGCCGATTCCTTGCCGGTGTTCATCCGCTGCGTTAATCCTCCGCGGGGCCCTACCATGCCCTGCTCTGGAGAGGCATTCCACCCGGGCAATTCCCTACCCGGGAGCGCTCTTTTCGCGTCACTAAAGCCTGCCAGAGTCCCCCGCAGGGATGCTCCACAGGGCAGGCCTAAGCCGCCTAAGGGGCTGCCTCAACCGTCCACTAATCACCTGGCTTCTTGGTCAGGGAACCAAGAAATGTAGCAGGACCTGTCTTAGACAAGACCTCTCAGACACCCGTTTTAGCAAGGAATAGGCTTTAATCAACTAGGAGCATTGGTAGACTCGCATCTCAAGATCCGACCTCCTCGATGTCAAGATTCCTGTCCCTTTTAAGGGCTTACAACTAACTAAGGGGTCCAAGTGAAAGGGTCGTGATACATTGTGCAAGCGGGGGCTATGTGACTGGGGCTGCATGCACCAGTGATCATAACAGAACAGAACTGAACAGGGAGTTAAACAATGCTCCCTCATACAATGTCTGGAATCTATAGGTAACATAAGTGATTAGGTCAGGGGTCGATCTTTAACCACCAGGCCTGGGGTGTGGCGCCAGGCTGTCTGACTATTGAATTTCACTTCTGCCTTTTCTTTAACTCCTACTTTCTCTTTCCTTTGAGGCAGAAATTAGGCAGAAAACAATATGAGAGATGGTCTCCTTTAATTTAGGGTTATGATTTTTGCCATTTCCTCTCAGATGGTTCAGAAATAATAAGTAATATTATATATATAACAAATAATTATAAAGTTTTATCCATATATTAATTTATCTGTTGCATAACTACCTCAAAACTTAATGCCTTAAAACAACAGAAATGTATTATTTCTCACAATTTTGTGGATTAACTGGATTCAGCTGGAAGATTCCTTTGCTCTGTATGGCATTAACTGAGATCATGCACTCTGCTTCGGTCAGCTGGGCTGGGCTGGGCTAGAAAGTCCAAGAAAGCTTCACTCACATGTATAGCACCTTGTTGTTTCTTAATATGGCCTCTATGGCTCAAGCTATGTGACTACCTTGGGTTTCCTCACAACATGGTGGTTTCAGAGGAGACAGACTTCTTGTATCGGCTAGCTTGCAAGAGGGAGAAATGTAAGCTGCCCATCCTCTTAAGGCAGGAAGTTGCTGAGCCATATCAGGATCTAGGGCAAATCCTCTTTTCTAGGCCAGGAAAAGCCAGTTAGGCAGTGACTCAGGGAGGAATCCTAGGGGCAAAAGAGGAGGAGGGAGAGGAAGAACACAAAGAGGCTCCCCCCAGACAGAGGTCAGAGGGTTCAGAGGTTCAGTAGCCTAGAGTACTTCCTTTGCCTCTAATATCTTTAGCCTAGGAGCTCATTTAAAGAAATCAAGGGGTGGAGAGGAAGGAAAATGTCACTGACTTAGCACAAAGTGCCAGGAGCTCTTTCACATCAACTCTGTGAAAAAAGCCATTACTATCTGCTTGAAAAGAAGAGGTAGCAGAGGACCTGTGAGCACACTCATGCTACATGTTTTGGATTAATGAACATATTTGCTTCTTTATTTCAGTGAATATCTTTTGGGCCAGGACTCTGCTTGGGAACACAAGGATGAATGATGTCTTAGTCAGCTATTGCTGCCATGATGCCATGTAACAAACATCCTCCAAATCTTGGTGGTTTACAACACCAAATATTTATTTTCCTCATTCACAGGTCAGTGGGTCTGCAGGCTTCTGTTGCAGACCAGGAGTTGGCTGGCGCTAGGACCAGGCTTTAGGTTGAGTTCAAGTCTACTCATATCTCCACACTCTACTTGGCCCAGTGGCTACCCTGGGATATGTTCTTCTCAAGAGAGATCACAGGAGTATGAATACAGGAGATGGGCCAAACCACACTGGCACAATGAAGACTTCTGCTTATATCATTGGCCAAAGCAAATCCCATACCCAAATCTAAAGTCACTGAGGCAGAGATGTGTATTCTGCCCACTGTGAAGCCATGATATGGCATAGCTGGATAATTAATGATGATAAGTCAGGAAGGGAGTGAAAAATTGAGAGCAATGATCCAGTCTGCTCCAAGTGATGAGGCACAAGCTTTGCTTGTACTCAGAGAGCTTACAGTCTAGTGGGGGGATTCATAAAGCAACAATTACAATGCAATAAGGCAAGTGCAATGAGGAGGCATAGGTGGGTGGCATGGGAGTGTGTGTGTGCACATGAATGCATATATATACATGTGCATGCAGGCAAGTCCCTGCAGCCATCTGGACATCTAGAAAGACTTTCTAGAGAAGGAGATGCCTAAGGTATAAGTGCAAAAGGGTAAAATAAGGACAAGCTCTTAGTTGAAATGGAGAGAAGTGGGTAGGGGAGGGAGGAAGGGCATTACAGGCCTTGAAGACTGTGTGAGCCAAGGCAGGAGGCCAGGAGCAGGGTGGTATGTGCAGGGAAAATGAGAAGCAGTTTTCTGTCACTGGAACATGCAGGGGGAGGGAGTAGGCATGAGGAGAAGAGAGGCAGAGGTTGGCAGGACCCAGCCACGGGGGGCTTTCTAATGCTCTGGACGTCTTCCTTTATCCCCCTGATCTCTTCTCATGTCCTACTCCATTTCTGTTGCTCGTAGCATAATACCTGAAACTGGATAATTCGTAAAGAAAAGAAATTTATTTTTTACGGTTATGGAGGCTGAGAAGTCCAAGGTGAGGGGCTGCATTTGGTGAGGGCCTTTTTGCTAGCAGAGACTCCCTTCAGTCTTGAGGTGGTGCAGGGCATCACACAGCAAAGAGGCTGAGTGTGCTGGCTCAGATCTCTTTTCTTCTTATAAAGCCACCATCCCACATCCATGATAACTCATTAGTCCATTCATCCATTAATCCATTAATGGGCGGAGACCTCATGACCCAATCACCTCTTAAAGGCCTCTCAGTACTGTCACTTTGGGGATTAAATTTAAACATGAGTTTTGGAGAGGACAAACATTCAACCATAGCACCGTAATTGCTCCACTTTGCTCCACGTCCTGGGTAGCTGACCTGTGTGGGCTGTCTCCAGAGCCTATCTTATTCTGGGAAGATGAAAGATAGCAGAATGTAGTTTTTGCCTTTCTCCATATTCCCCCTGTGATGGACTCAATTGTGCCCCCCACCTCCAATTCATATGTTGAAGCCTTAACTCCCAGAGAGACTATATTTGGAGAAAAGGCCTACTGCTATGGTTTTGAATATATGTGTGTCTCCAAAATTTATGTTGGAATTTAACCCCCAAAATAATGATATGGGCCAGACGCGGTGGCTCACATCTGTAATCCAGCACTTTGGGAGGCCAAGGTGGTGGATGGTTTGAGGTCAGGAGTTCAAGACCAGCCTGGCCAATATGGTGAAATCCTGTCTCTACTAAAAATACAAAAATTAGCTGGGCGTGGTGGTGCTCCTGTAGTTTCAGCTACTCAGGAGGCTGAGGCATGAGAATGGCTTGAACCTGGGGGGTGGAGTTTGCAGAGAGCCGAGATGGCACCATTGCACTCCAGCCTGGGCCACAGAGCAAGACTCTGTCTCAAACAAACAAACAAACCAAAAAAAAAAAAAAAACAAAAACCCAAAACAAAGGAATGATATGAAGAGGTCTGGCCTTTGGGAGGTGATTAGGCCAAGAGGGCTCCACCCTCATAAATAAGATTAACACCCTTATAAAAGAGGCTTCAGAAAGCTTCCTGGCCCTTCCATCTGCTCCACCATGTGAGGACACAGCAAGAGGCACCATCTTGAAAGCATACACCGGGCCTACACCAGACACCAGATTTACTGGTGCCTCAATCTTGGACTACTCAACCTTTAGAACTGTGAGAAAAAAAATTGCTATTCTTTATAAATTACTTAGTCTCACCCACAGAATGGGAGAAAATCTTTGCAAACTATGCATCCGGCAAAGGACTAGTGTCCAGAATCTATAAGGAACTCAAACAAATTAGCAAGAAAAAAAAACAAATATTCCCATCAAAAAGTGGGCTAAGGACATGTATAGATAATCCTCAAAAGAAGATATACAAATGGCCAACAAACATAGGAAAAAATGCTCAACATCACTAATTATCAGGAAAATGCAAATCAAAACCACAATGTGACAATATCACCTTACTCCTGCAAGAACAGCCATAATTTTTAAAATAAGAAAATAATTGATGTCGGTGTGGATGTGGTGAAAAGGGAACACTTTTACACTGCTGGTGGGAATGTAAACTAGTACAACCACTATGGAAAACAGTGTGAAGATTCCTTAAAGAACTAAAAGTAGATCTACCATTTGATCCAGGAATCCCACTACTGGGTATCTACCCAGAGGAAAAGAAGTCATATGAAAAAGATGCTTGCACATGCATGTTTATATTGTATATTATGATAGCAGCACAATTTGAAATTACAAAAATATGGCACCAGGGCCATGTGCAGTGGCTCATGCCTGTAATCCCAGCACTTTGGCATTGGTGAGGGGATTGCTTGAGCTCAGGGGTTTGAGACTAGCCTGGGCAACATAGCAAGACCTCATCTCTACTAAACAAACAAACAAACAAAAAAAAAAAAAAAAGAAAAGAAAGAACGAAAAAGATGGATCAATTCAAGCTACATAAAAATCAAAACTTCTGCTTGGTCACGAACAACAATAATAACAAAAATATGAAACCAGCCCAAATGCCCATCAATCAATAAGTGGATAAAGAAAATGTGGTATATATATGTTGAAATATATATATATACACACACACACACACATATACACACACACACACATATATATATACACACACGTATAACTCAGCCATGAAAAAGAATGAAATAATGGCATTTGCAAAAACCTGGATAGAGTTGGAGACTATTATTCTAACTGAAGTAACTCAGGTATGGAAAACCAAACATCATATATTCTCACTCATAAGTGGGAGCTAAGCTATGAGGACGCAAAGGCATAAGAATGATACAATGGACTTTGAAAACTTGGCGGGTGGTGGGGAAGGATGGAAGTGGGGTGAGAGATAAAAGACTACACATTGGGCCATCCTGGCTAACATGGTGAAGCCCCATCTCTACTAAAAATACAAAAGAAATTAGCTGGTCGTGGTGGCACATGCCTGTGATCCTAGCTACTCGGGAGGCTGAGGCAGAAGAATGGCTTGAACCTGGGAGGTGGAGCTTGCAGTGAGCTGAGATTGTGCCCCTGTACTCCAGCCTGGGCGACAGAGCGAGACTCTGTCTCAGGAAGAAACAACAACAACAAAAAACGCTACACATTGGGTACAGTGTACACTGCTTGGGTAATGGGTGCACCAAAATCTCAGAAATCACCACTAAAGAACTTATCTGGGGCTGGGCACAGAGGCTCACACCTGTAATCCCAGCACTTTGGGAGGCCGAGGGGGGTGGATCACGAGGTCAAGAGATCGAGACCATCCTGGCCAACGTGGTGAAACCCCATCTCTACTAAAAATACAAAAATTAGTTGGGCGTGGTGGCATGCACCTGTAGTCCCAGCTATTCAGGAGGCTGAGGCATGAGAATTGCTTGAACCTAGGAGGCAGAGGTTGCAGTGAGTGGAGATCGCTGCACTGCACTCCCGCCAGGCAACAGAGCGAGACTCTGTCTCAAAAAAAAAAAAAAAAAAAAAGGACTTATCCATGCAACCAAACACCACCTGTTCCCCAAAAACCTATTGAAATAAAAATAAATTAATAAAAAAAACTAGTCTTAGCTGTTTTTTTTTCTTTTTCTTTTTCTCATTGCCAGTGGAGGGAAATAGTCTTGGGTGTTTTTGTTCTTGTTTTTTTCTTACAGCAGCACAAATGAAACAAGATAGACCTTTATGGAGATTTAAAGGTCTAAATTACAATTAACTGAGGCCATAAGGGTGGGGCCCTAATCCAATAGGACTGGTGTCCTCATAAGAAGAAGACACAGCATACACCAGATATCTTCCTTTCTCTGCACCTGCACAGAGGAAAGTCTATGTGAGAACACAGCAAGAAGGTGGCTGTCTATAAGCTGGAAGAGAGGCCTCACCAGGAACCAAACTAATGGCACCTGATGTTGGACTTCCAGCCTCCAGAAAATAAGTTGCCATTGTGTAAGTCTGTTATGGCAGACCTAGTAGAATAATACACCCCAAATGAAAACAAAAGTAGGATTTTAAAAACCCCAGATCTACAGATCATATCCACAACAAAACTAGGTGACGGGTTAAACCCACAAGCTTAAGGTGCAGGTGGGTGGGGAAAAACCACAGCAGTTACAAAGGCTTCTTGCACCAAACAGTCAAGTTGTGAAGGCAAAGGAAAATTTCTTGAAGGAAATCAAAAGAGCTGCTCCAGTGAACACACAAATGATAAGAAAGCACAACAGTCTTGCTGATATGGAGAAAGTTTCTGAGTGGTATAGACAGAAGATCAAGCCAGCCATAACATTCCCTTAAGCCAAAGCCTAATGCAGAGCAAGGCCCCAACTATCTTCAATTCTATGAAGGCTGAGAGAGACGAGGAAGCTGCAGAAAAGTTGGAAGCTGGCAGAAGTGGGTTCATGGGGTTTAAGGAAATATGTCATATACATAACATAAAACCTGCAGAAAGTTATTCAGAAGATCCAGCTAAGGTCATTGATGAAGGTGGCTACACTAAACAACAGGTGTTTTAATGGAGACGACACAGCCTTACGTGGGAAGAAGAGGCCATCTAGGACTTTCACAGCTAGAGAGGAGAAGTCAGTGCCTGGCTTCAAAGCTTCAAGCGACAGGCTGACTCTCTTGTTAGGGGCAGCAGGTGACTTTAAGTTGTTAGGGGAAGCTGGTGACTTTAAGTTAAAGCCAATGCTCATTGACCATTCCAAAAGTCCTAGAGCCCTTAAAAATTATGCTAAATCAGCTGGGTGCGGTGGCTCACGCCTGTAATCCCAGCACTTTGAGAAGCTGAGGCGGTTGGATCACCTGAGGTCAGGAGTTCAAAACCAGCCTGGCCAACATGGTGAAACCCCATCTCTACTAAAAATACAAAAATTAGCCAGGTGCGGTGGTGGGCGCCTGTAATCCCAGCTACTTGGGAGGCTAAGGCAGGAGAATTGCTTGAACCTGGGAGGCGGAGGTTACAGTGAGCCGAGATTGCACCATTGCACTCCAGCCTGGGCGACAGAGTGAGACTCTGCCTCAAAAAAAAAAAAAAAAAAAAAAAAAAAAAACTAAATCTAGACTATATCAGATTATTATTGAAGTGGGGAAAAAAAAAGAATTATGCTAGGTTCACTCTGCCTGTGCTCTATAAAAAAAAAACTTGCACAACAGCTTATCTGTTCATTGAATATTTTCAGCCAACTGTTGAGACCTACTGCTCAGAAAAAATATTTTTTTTCAAAATATCACTGCTTACTGACAATGCATCTAGTCACCCATGGGCTCTGATGGAGATGTACAAGGAGATGAATGTTGTTTCCATGCCTGCAAACACAACATCCATTCTGTGGCCCATGGATCAAGGAGTAATTTCAACTTTCAAGCCTTCTTCTCCTTAAGTAATGCATTTCATAAGGCTATAGCTGCCACAGATAGTGATTCCTCTGATGGATCTGGGCAAAGTAAATTGAAAATTTTCTGGAAAGGAGTCACCATTCTAGATGCCATTAAGGCTGTTCAGGATTCATGGGAGGAGGTGAAAATATCAACATGAAGAGGAGTTTGGAAGAAATGGACCCCAACCCTCATAGATGACTGAGGGGGTTCAAGACTTCAGGAGGGAAAAAAACTTGCAGATCTGGTGGAAATAGCAAGAGAGCTAGAATTAGAAGCGGAGCCTGAAGACAGGATTGAATTGCAGCAATCTCATGAAGCTTGGACGGATGCGGAGCTGCTTCTATGGATAAATCAACTTAAGTGGTTTCTTAAGGTGGCATCTACTCCCAGGGAAGATGCTGTGAACATTGTTGAAATGACAACAAAGGATTCAGAATATTCCATAAACTCTGTTGATAAAGCAGCAGGAGGGTTAGAGAGGATTGACTCCAATTTTTAAAGAAATTCTACTGTGCGTAAAATGCTATCAAATAGCATCACATGCTACAGAGAAATCTTTCCTGAGCTGAAGAGTCAATTACTATGGCAAACTTTACGGTTATCTTATTTTAAGAAATTGCCACAGCCTCCCCAGCCTTCAGCAACCACCACCCTGATCAGTCAGCAGCCATCAATATCAAGGCAAGACCCTCCATCAATAAAAACATATGACTCACTGAAGACTCAGGTGATTGTAAACATTTTTTAACGTAAAGTTTTGTGGGATTTCTTTTTGAGACAGAGTCTTGCTCTGTTGCCCAGGCTGGAGTGGAGTGGAGTGATCATGGCTCACTGCAGACTTGACTTTCTGGGGCTTAAGTGATCCTCCCACCTCAACTTCCCAAGTGGCTGGGACTACAGGTGTGTGCCACTCCCCCCAGCTAATTTTTTCTACAGGGTCTCACTATGTTGCCTAGGCTGGTCTTGAATTCCTCGGCTCAAGCCATTCACCTGCCTGGGTCTCACAAAGTGTTGGGATTACAGGCATGAGCCACCATGTCTAGCCAGTTTTGTGGGTTTTTTAGAGACAGTCTTGCTCTGTCACCCAGGCCAGAGTGCAGTGGCATGATCATAGCTCCCTGTAACTTCAAACTCCCAAGCTCAAGGGAACCTTCCACCTCAGCCTCCTGAGTAGCTGGGACTACAAGCATGCACTACCACATATGGATAATTTTTTTTTCTGTAGTAGAGTCAGGGTCTTGCAATGTTGCCCGGGCTAGTCTCAAACTCCTGACCTCAAGTGATCCTTCTGCATCAGCCTCCCAAAGTGTTGGGAGTACAGGTGTGTGCCACTACCCAGCCTCATTTTACTTTATAAAGTAGCATCAGAAAAGGATCAAATGTGACTGGATGCAGTAGCACATACCTGTTGCCCCAGCTATTGGGAGGCTGAAGCAGGAGGATCATTTGAGCCTGGAAGGTCAAGGCTACAGCGTGCTATAATTGCACACCTGCACTCCAGCCTGGGCATAGCAAGACCCCGTCACTTAAAAAAAGAAAAAGGAAAAAAAGAAAGAGGTTGAATCTCATGTAAAATTATAAGAAAAAAGAGAATAAGTAGCAGAACAGAATTCCTACAAAGCAAGCATGCCAGAACATGTTCATGAAGCAGATGAAAACTACAACCTAATATTTCAAAGCAAAATTAGAAAAATTATTTAAATGGTAGACGTTATGAAGTTATATAAATCAAAATTAAACTCAGAAGTTAGGTAATTGGGGAAAAAAGAAGGGAGATTTGGGAAAAATGATAATAAGCCCTGGTGCCAGGGCTCCCGTCTCTAATCCTAGTGCTTTGGGAGGCCAAGGTGGGAGGATAGCTTCAGCCCAAAAGTTCGAGGCCACAGTGAACTATGATCGTGCCCCTGCACTTCAGCCCAGGTGACAGAGTGAGATCTTGACTCTTTTTTTTTTTTTTTGAGACGAAGTCTCGCTCTTGTCCCCCAGGCTGGAGTGAGATGGCGCAATCTCGGCTCACTGCAACCTCCGCCTCCCAGGTTCAAGCAATTCTCCTGCCTCGGTCCCCACTGAGTAGCTGGGATTACTGGCGCCTGCCACTATGCCTGGCTAATTTTTGTATTTTTAGTAGAGACAAGGTTTCACCATGTTGGCCAGGCTGGTCTAGAACTCCTGACCTCAGGTGATCCATCCACCTCGGCCTCCCAAAGTGCTGGGATTGCCCTTGACTCTTAAAAAATAAAAAGATTATAAAGGTCAGCAAATAATTAAATATAAAAGAACAACAATTTCAGAAATGAAGATGAAAACAAAAGAAATGAAAGAGAATAATTACAATAAATAAGACTTTAAGAGAAAAATAAGATACAAAAGAGGGCATTTACCAGCCTGCAACATAGTGAGACCGTCTCTAAAAAAAAAATTTTTAAATTAGCCAGGGATGGTGGGGCACACCTATTGTCCTGCCTTCTTGGGAGGCTGAGGTGGGAAGATCACTTGAGTCCAAAAGTTCAAAGCTGCAGTGAGCTATGATAGTACCACTGCACTCCAGCCCGGTGACAGAGCGAAATTCTGTCTCTAAAAATTAATTTTTTTATAAAATAAAAATAAAAAGAGGGCTTTTTTTTTTTTGAGACAGTTTTGCTCTTGTTGCCCAGGCTGAAGTGCAGTAGTACGATCTCAGCTCACTGGAAACTCTGCCTCCTGGGTTCAAGCGATTCTCCTGCCTCAGCCTCCCAATTAGCTGGGATTACAGGCGCCCGCCACCATGCCCAGCTAATTTTGTATTTTTAGTAGAGACAGGGTTTCACCATGTTGGCCAGGCTGGTCTCAAACTCATGACCTCAGGTGACCCAGTCGCCTTGGCCTCCCACAATGTTAGGATTACAGGCATGAGCCACCCCACCCTGCCAGCAATTTAAAATCTAGAAATAAAGGGGCTGTGAAGAACTCTAAAGAAAACCAAACCAGTAGATAGAACAAAAACCAAACTATAATTGAAAGAAATGATCCTCACATAAAACATGGCTTGAAATTAACTATTGGGCCGGGAGCGGTGGCTCACACCTGTAATCCCAGCACTTTGGGAGGCTGAGGCGGGCGGATCACGACATTGGGAGATCGAGACCATCCTGGCTAACACGGTGAAACCCCGTCTCTACTAATGATACAGAAAAATTAGCCGGGTGTGGCGGCGGGCGTCTGTAGTCCCAGCTACTGGGGAGGCTGAGGCAGGAGAATGGCGTGAACCCAGGAGGCGGAGCTTGCAGTGAGCCGAATCGTGCCACTGCAGTCCAGCCTGGGCGACAGAGCGAGACTCCGTCTTAAAAAAAAAAAAAAAGAAATTAACTATTGAAGAGGCACACTGTATTCCTGGACAAATCAACCCTGAGACCTGTGTCTAAGAAAACTACTGGGCATTGAAGAAAAAGGAAAAAATGCAGGGAATTCAAGAAAAAGACAAATCAGTCCGGGCGCGGTGGCTCAAGCCTGTAATCTCAGTACTTTGGGAGGTTGAGGTGGGTGGATCACCTGAGGTCAGGAGTTCGAGACCAGCCTGGCCAACATGGTGAAACCTCATCCCTACTAAAAATACAAAAAGTAGCGGGGCGTGGTGGTGCGTGCCTGTAGTCCCAGCTACTGCGGAGGCTAAGGCAGGAGAATCTCGTAAACCTGGGAGGTGGAGGTTGCAGTGAGCCGAGATCATGCCACTGCACTCCAGCCTGGGCAACAAGAGCGAAACTCAATCTCAAAATAAATAAATAAATAAATAAATAAATAGAAAAAAAGAAACAGACAAATCACTTATAAACAAAGGAAAAATAAATTGTCATCTTACTTTCAACAGCAATGCCTTATGCCAGAAGACAATCTAATGACATGTCTCAGGAAATGTGAACCAAGGATTTTATACTGAGTGAAACTGACCTTTAAGTATAAAAGACATAAATAAACTATTATGAACATGGAAAAACCCAAGGAATATTGTTTCTTTGAGCCTTTTCTGGATAATCCACTAAAAAGCAATCTTTTTTTTTTTTTTGAGTGAGGGTCTCACTCTGTTACCCAGGCTGGAATGCTGTGATGCAATCACGGCTGACTGTAGCCTTGACCTCCCATGCTCAAGCAATCCTCCCAAATCAGCCTCCTGAATAGCTGGGACCACAGGTGCATGCCACAACACACAGCTAATTTTTAAAAAAAATTTTAGAGACAGGGTCTCACTTTGTTGACCAGGCTGGTCTTACATTCCTGGTCTCAAGAGAGCCTCCTGCCTGAGTTTCCTGAGTTGCTGGGATTACAGGGATGAGCCACTGCAGCTGACAAAAAAACAATCTTCAGAAAACTGAAAAGATTGGTGAATCATTTACATGAAGTATGTGAAGTATTCCAACTAATAAACAAGGAACCATAGAAGTGGAATATCACTGTTTTGCAATCCGTAATGAGTTAAACAATGCAGGCAATGATTACCAGCAGTTGCTAATATCACAAAAAAAGATCATCAAGTATTATGTATCTCCTGATGGAAGAACAAAGTGTCACCTATTAAACAATCTTGCTGAAAAGAAGTAGAAAAAGGAAGAAGAGGAGAGAAGAAATGACCTAGAATCTGATAAAGTATGAGAGACCGTGGCATGGTGGCACACACCTGTAGTCCCAGCTACTCAGGAGCCTGAGATGGGAGGATCGCTTGAGCTCAGCAGTTCAAGAGTTCAGTGAGCTATGATCATGCCATTGCACTCCAGCCTGAGCGATAGAGCAAGACCCTGTCTCTGAAACAAAACAAATATAAAGGACAGAAGAATATTGCTAAAATGATACCACCAAGATCAGCATGCTCCAGACTGCGGAAAACTCTACCGATGGAAAACTCAAGGTTTTCAACAACCACCACCAAATAGAAATTATAAGGAAAAAAAAAAGAAGAGATATAAGGGAAACTTACAGAATAAACAAGATTGAAGGGGAAAAAAAGGAAACCTAAGGGATACTGTATTATATATTTGAAAAACTTCGTATTTTCCTGAAGCTTCAACATCCTCACAAACAGGCTGTGAACACCCCACCCAGGTGGCCAGGTGGCCAGGTGCCCCAGTGTGGGAAGGCTGGTCCCTCCCATAAGTCCCTCTCTCCTTATTCCACAACCCCCATAACTGCGACTTAGGGCCACTCAACACACAATGAAATCTTTATGCCTTTTAGCTCCCCACCTGCTCAGTGGATCCTGGGAGCTGCTTCCCAGTCGCCCTCCATGTGGCATGGTGTATCTCCTGTCTCCAGGACCTGTGAATATAAACCCTTCCACTGCATATGCCTCTCCAAGTGAGATTTCGTAGTTCATTTTGGGATGATACTCAAAGGCTCCATGAGAGGGGCTTACAGCCCATTTACAACACAGGCATATTAGGCAAACACAATGTGTGGACTTCGGCCGGGTGCGATGGCTCACACCTGTAATCCCAGCACTTTGGGAGGCTGAAGTGGGCTGATCACTTGAGGCCAGGAGTTTGAGACCAGCCTGGGCAACATGGTGAAAACCCATCTGTACAACAAATACCCAAATTAGCCGGGCATGGTGGGGTGCACCTGAGGATTGCTTGAGCCTGAGAGACGGAGGTTGCAGTGAACCGAGATCATGCCATTGCACTCCAACCTGGGCGACAGAGCCAAACCCTGACTCAAAAATAAATAAACAAATAAATAAATAAAAATAAAAACAATGCGTGGACTTTATATCTTGATTCAAACAAACTGTATTTTTTTAAAGATTTATAAAATAATTTGGTGAAATATGAATTTTGATGGCATATTTGATGATTTAAGAAACTGTCGTTACATTGTATAGGTGTGATAATGATATTGTGGTTCTGTTTTTGTGAAAAGGAGCCTTTGCCGTATAGAGTTATGTGCGGAAATACAGTTAAAATGATGTGCCTGATGTGTGGGATTCCCTTCCAAACACTCTGAAGAGAGGGAGGCATGGGTGGGTGGGAGTGGGTGGAAGTGTGGATGAAACCTGTGCCTTGTAGTGATCATTGTTGAAGCTGATGATGGGTATGTTGGGCTCATTAGACAATTCCTTTTAGTTTTTTACCTGTTTAAAAATTTCTTCGCTGGGCACAGTGGCTCATGCCTGTAATCCCAGCACTTTGGGAGGCTGAGGTGGGCGGATCACTTGAGGTCAGGAGTTTGAAACCAGCTTGGCCAACATGGTGAAACCCTGTCTCTGCTAAAGATACAAAAAGCAGCTGGGCATGGTGGCAGGCGCCTGTAATCCCAGCTACTCAGGAGACTGAGGCAAGAGAATCGCCAAGAGGCAGAGGTTGCAGTGAGGCAAGATCGCGCCACTGCACTCCTGCCTGGGCGACAGAGTGAGATCCCATCTCAAAAAAAAAAAAAAAAAAAAAAAAAAAATATTTTCTTCAGCCGGATGCGGTGGCTCATGCCTGTAACCCCAGCACTTCGGGAGGCCAAGGAGGGTGGATCACCTGAGGTCAGGAGTTCAAGACCAGCCTGGCCAACATGGCGAAATGCCGTCTCTACCAAAATACAAAAAATTAGCCAGGCGTAGTGGCGGGCGCCTGTAATCGCAGCTACTTGGGAGGCTGAGGCGGGAGAATCACTTGAACCGGGGAGGCAGAGGTTACAGTGAGCCAAGATCGTGCCACTGCACTCCAGCCTGGGCAACAAGAGTGAGATTTCATCTCAAACAAAACAAAACAAAAATTACAAAAAATTGGCTGGGTGTGGTGGCGTGTGCCTGTGGTCCCAGCTACTCAGGAGGCTGAGGCATGAGAATTGCTTGAACCTGGAAGGCGGAGGTTGCGATGAGCCGAGAGACTTTGTCTCAAAAAAAAAAAAAAAAAAAAAACAGGGGTTTCAGCTTCAGGCAGCCCTGAGCTCAAATGCCAGTTCCGCCATATGCTGGCTGTGACCTTTCTGCGTCTCAGGTTCCTCATCTGTAAGATGGGACAATAACGGACTCTACAGCATAGGTACTTAGCACAGGGCTGGCACAGAGTGTGAGACACTTACTGCTACTGTCATTGTGTGAGACGCAGGGAGAGGAATCCCCTTATACCCAGGGACACCACGGAAGGCTTTGCAGGGGAAGGATGCTTAACACAGGTTTTATGGTGATTCCATTTGCCTCCTTCACACCCCATCCACTCTCTGCGCTTCTCAGCTTGCTCTATGCCAAAGGGCTGGGCCTCTACAGGCGGCATTACCTGGGCCCTATCCTCTGGCTTCTAGCTGGACTCAGCCTATGAAACGCACTGGCAGAAGATGGAAGCAGGGAGGTGAGAGAGGTGGGAATATTTACTCCTCCCTGGATCCAGCTCTCCCTGGCTCCAGTAGCCCCCTACCTCTTCTTGCCCCAAAGGCCTCCAAGCTTACCCCAAGTGCTAGTCCCTAGATGGTTCCCATCCCATGTTACCCCCAACCCTGCCCACATCTCTGTCCTCTGTCCTTTCTTGAGAGCATCTTTAGTGTGCCGGGACCTTAACCAAATAAGATTGGAATCGGTGTCCCTGGTGAAAAGGGAACAGCATGTGCAAAGACACAGAGGCATTCATTCATTCACTCATTCATTCATTCATTCATTCATCATGTAGGACTAGCCACATAATTTGTAGGGCCTTGTGAAAAATGAAAATGCAGGTATGTTTGTTCAAATTATTAAGAACTTCAAGACAGCATCAGCAGAGCATACAAGTGCAAAGCCCTTCTAAGCCCAGGGCCCTGTGCAGTTGCACAGGTCGCACACTCACGAAGCTGGCCCCACATTCATCAAAAGTTTGACAAATATCTCGTACAGACCAAGCACTGGACCAAATATTGGGGATACATTGGGACCAAGACAGATAAGAACAGGGACCTTGGAGCAGGCAGACTGGTGGGCAGTAAAGCAGGTCTCACTGCGGGAACTGCAAGAGTTTCAGGGTTGAAATGTAAGGTGTGAAATGGGGAGTGCCTGAGAGACAGAAAGTCCAAGTGCCCCACAGAGTGGTGCTCTGTAGACAGCGAGAGGATTGGATTGCAGGAGGAGAACTAGAGGAACGGAGGCCCTCAGGACCTGTGATGCTCTAGAAGAGAGATGAACAAGGTGTGAGCAGGGCCAGGCAGATGGAGAGGAGGGGACATGAGTTATCTGATTCTAGAAATAACCAGCCGGTGCCCAGTCCTGGGGGACCTAAGGGAACGGTGACCACATGGGACTCCACAGACCAGACTCTGGCCTGCTCACTGATCCACACAGCCTTGGGTGTCTATTATCTCTTAAGGCCTCAGTTTCCCCTTCCACACATCAAGGGCATGGTGCCATAGCTCTGAGCACCCTCCCTGCTTGGGATTCTGCAACACGGAGCAAAACCAAGTGCTCTGTGCTCCAGCTTCGCCTCTGCCCCTCTGACTTCTGTGCACTCACTGGTCTGGTGCGTTTGGAGGATGTGCACATTGGCCAGCAAGTTCTCTGAGCGTTTCCCTTTTTTTTTTTTTTTTCGAGATGGAGTTTTGTTGTTGTTGCCCAGCCTGGAGTGCAATGGCGCGATCTCAGCTCATTGCAACCTCCGCATCCTGGGTTCAAACAATTCTCCTGCCTCAGCCTCCCGAGTAGCTGGGATTACAGACATGTGCCACTATGCCCGGCTAATTTTTGTATTTTTAGTAGAGATGGGGTTTTGCCATGTTGGCCAGGCTGGTCTCGAACTCCTGACCTCGTGATCTGCCCACCTCGGCCTCTCAAAGTGCTGGGATTACAGGTGTGAGCCACTGCGCCTGGCCTCTCTGAGCATTTCTAGAACACCTCCTGTGTGCAGAGCCGGTGTGTCAGTTGGAGCCAGACACACCAATGGCTTGTCCAAGCATTGCCTGTCTCCTCTTGGCTTTCTCTTCTTTCACCTCCCTGATTTCCAGCAGCTCAGGGTGGGAACGTGATGAGAAACATCTGAGTAAAATGGGAAACTCACAGGACTTGGAGCCAGGGGAGTTGGTCCCAGGCCTGCCTCTTCTATTAACTAACTGTGTGACCTTAAGCAAGTGACTTGCCTTCTCTGAGCATCAGTTTCCTCCTCCGTACAATGAGAGAGAACCTGGTGAACTCTGGAGCAGATGAGATCTTTCCTTCCTGCTCCCTTCACTTCTGGGCCACCCTCTCCCAGTGTGCTCCACCCCCTACAGCCAGCGTCTGCGTCTCTTTGTTGAAGGACTGTCCTGGGCTGCATCACCTGCCTGGCCCGTGCTCAGGAGGGAGCCCTGGAAGTACCTGGGAATTCACGCTCTCCTGGGGCAGATTTTTGTCAACAGCTGGCAAGTGGGGAGCCATAGAATTTCCAGCTCCCTTGTCACCTGATCAGGATAACTTTGAGATGTGTCAACCTAAATAACGGAGAGATGCTCTCCAAAAGAAAAGGAATATATTTGGAAATGGAGCATTGCTTTGGGAATATGCAGCCATAGTAAACTATGCGGGTATTCAGGGAGGTAAAAGAAGACAGAGGTTTCTAAGGGAAAAATGAGGAGGATTACATAATGGTCTTGAAATAATTATCCTTGGCTACAAAGATCAGTAACATGGTGACGCCAGTTCAAGTTTGGACAGGCAGTTGCCAGGCAGATGTCCTTGCAGAAAGACTTTTTGTGTAAGGTTGTGATTGGCCTTTCTGCAAGGCTGTGGTTTTGCAGTCTTTTGTGATAATTTTTGTTATCAGGCATACAAGCATGAGAACCATCTCTTCATGGCCTTCTCTGGCTCTATTTGTCAGGTTTTTTTTTTTTTTTTTTCTTTTTTAGTGTTAGTGACTGTTCGGCCAGGCACCATGGCTCACGACTGTAATCCCAGCACTTTGGGAGGCCGGGGTGGAGGGATCACCTGAGGTCAGGAGTTCGAGACCAGCCTGGCCAACATGGTGAAATCTCGTCTCTACTAAAACTACAAAACTTAGCTGGGCGTGGTGCTGGGCGCCTGTAATCCCGGCTACTCAGGAGGCTGAGGCAGGAGAATTGCTTAAACCCGGGAGGCAGAGGTTGCACTGAGCCGAGATCGCGCCATTGCACTCCAGCCTGGGCGACAAGAGTGAGACTCTGTCTCAAAAAAAAAAAAAAAAAAAAAAGGTAGTGACTGTTCTGACAACTTCATAGGTGTGACCCACGTTGCCTCCACAGCTGAGCTCTCTCCAGGACTGGGTACCCCCCACCTCCCCACCTGTGGTACATGACTTGACATTACCCCTTTGTTTGGCCTCCATCTCTCCCTACTCCCAAAGAATTCCAAATAATCACTTTCACACAAATCCTAGACTCAGGGCCTTGCTTCAGGGAATCCAACCTAAAACCATTTCCACTCTGACACTCACACCCTGCATGACCTTGGGCAAGTTGCTTCCCCTCTCTGGGCCTCAGTCTCCCCATCTGGACAACAAAGACATTGGATGAGTTGATGCTGAAGGTCCCTTGTAGCTCTGGAATCAGTGACTCTGCAGTCGCCTATTTTCCAGTCTTGAGCACAGGGTTCCAGCCACCCACAACCCCCTGCCAAATGTGCTAATCCTGGCAATCTCTCCTTTCTTGGAATCCTGATCAGAAACTGAGTCAACAGGTCAGCCCTGCAATCCTGGATACCCCAGGCCACTCTGAGCCTCTCCTCAGGGCCAGCTTGGGCAGGAGGGGCTGGTTGGATGCTGTCCAAAGATGTCCTTAGAAGGAAGCCCAGGGGCCCAGTTTCCATGGTGACCAGAATCCGCTTTGTGCTGGTGAGGAACACACAGACCCATCTGACTGTGACTGCAGGCCTGGCACTGGATACTGGCCTTTAGTCCAAGCTGGCCAAGGGTTTCATACAGGGGCCGGCCACATTAGTAACCCTTACCCTGCTGGAGAACTTTGAATGGGTTTTGCTGCCATGCTCAGAAATATCCCAGATGTCTACCATTCCCTCAAATCCCCTTGCTTAAACTCTCCAGGCAAGAGGTAGGAGGAAGGATCGTGGGTGTTTGGCAAACTCTTTTGCAGCCCCACCCACTAGGGACTCCACCAGGACAGCCTGGGACTGGAGGACCTGGGTTGAAATCCTGAGCGCAGCTGGAGCTAACTCTGCAGCCTCCTTCCATCACATAATCTCATTATGCCCCTGTAGTAGGATGGCAGATGGAAAAAGCAACCATTTAGCATCAGGCAAACTGAAACTGCCTTTGCAAAATTATGACAGACAGTGAAGATCTAACCTAACCTACTCTATCTTGCTTCTAACCTCTAAGCTGTCCTCATTCATTCCTGGGCGTTGACTGAACTAACTTTGGGAGGAACTTAGTTTATAGTTTATGGTTTAAAACAAAGACAATAACAGCCCTTTACCAAAACAAACTTCCTTCTTGCCCGGGGACAAGACTGCCTTTGTAAGGACTAATAAATTAGCCACAAGATTAGAAATTATAGTTTAGAAGTCATGCAGCTGGAGGCTACAAGATTCTGACCCTCCCTAAACTGCTCCTAACCTCAGTGCTTGGATATGTTGTAGACCCTGCACTTGATGGATCAGCTGACACCATGCAGATCCATAAACTGGCTCATCTGATCTTGTGGCCCCCACCCAGGAACTGACTCAGCACAGGAGGACAGCTTCGACTCCCTACAATTTTATCTCTGACCTGACCAATCAGCACTCCTAGCTCACTGGCTTCCCACCACCCACCAAGTTGTCCTTAAAAACTGATCCTGTTATGCTCAGGGAGACTGATTTGAGTAATAATAAAACTCCAGTCTCCTGCACAGCTAGCTCTGAGTGAATCACTCTTTATTGCAATTCCTCTGTCTTGATGAATCGGCTCTGTCTGTCTAGGCAGCGGGCAAGGTGAACCCATTGGGTGGTTACAAGACCTGGGTTCGGATCCGGACTTTGCCCCTGAATTTGTTCCGTGAAACCAGCTGATTGCCCTCAACATGCCATCCCTGCTCTAGGTGCTGAGATTCAGCTGCGATCAAAGCAGACTAAGTCCCTGTTCCCAAGGGGCTTATACTCTAGGGAGAAACAGGCCAGGATCTGATAACAGAATGGAAAGCAAATGACACTCCAGGAGGTAGAGGTTAATGCTGTCAAGGGATAGAATTCGGGGCTGCCTGCTCTGCCTATGGAGTAGTCACTCTTTATTCCTTTACTTTCTTAATAAACTTGCTTTCACTTTATGGACTCGCCTTGAATTCTTTCTTGTGCAAGATCCAAGAACCTGGCTGGGCACGGTGGCTCATGCCTGTAATCACAGCACTTCGGGAGGCTGAGGTGGGTGGATCACCTGAGGTCAGGAGTTCAAGATCAGCCTGACTAAAATGATGAAACTCCGTCTCTACTAAAAATACAAAAATTAGTTAGGCTTGGTGGTAGGTGCCTGTAATCCCAACTACTCTGGAGGCTGATGCAGGAGAATCACTTGAACCTGGAAGGTTGAGATTGCAATGAGCTGAGATCATGCGATTGCACTTCAGCCTAGGTGACAAGAGTGAGACTACATTTCAAAAAAAAAAAGAACCTTCTCTTGTGGTCTGGATTGGGACCCCTTTCTGGTAACATCTTTCAGGTGAACCACGGAAGGGACAATACTGAGGAAACCCCCAACCCAAAGAAAATAGACTATAGCACTGATTGGTTGACTTTAGATAAGTGGGATGCATTTACCTGGATAAAGGATGGGATTGGGTTAGAGGCCCAACTTAGGGGAGTTAGAGTCTCTCCTAAGACAGAGAAGTTTAAAGCTTCCTCTTAATGAAAGGTAAGAGGCAGGAGAATGGCATGAACCTGGGAGGCGGAGCTTGCAGTGAGCCGAGATCATACCACTGCACTACAGCCTGGCAACAGAGCGAGACTCTGCCTAAAAAAAAAAAAAAAAAAAAAGTAAGGACGCTTGATTGAACTTGGGTTCAAGTCTCAACTCAGGAAGGTTAAAGCCTTCCTAAAGTTTAGGGAGTTAGAGGCCCCCCACCTCAGTAAAGTCGCTCTCAGCAAAGAATGGGTTTGGCACTATAGGATGTTAACTGCTATTGTCTTTGAATTAATCTGCCTTGCACTCTTTGCTGAGGGCTGTTGGTGACAGGATTAGGCATGTACAGGGATATGGAACATGGGGAGTGTTTTCCTCCCTAGAAGGGGAAACTTGAGAGCTGATGGGACTGCTGGAAAAGATCCCTTTGCAACTGACAAGTGGCTGCCTGAACTTTTAATTCAGCATTGAGGCGATGGGTGGGTCTTTCTCTGGCTTCCCTGAGCACCTTGCCTTCCCCACCCTGCTGCAGGCAATGCTTTTCTCTCTCTCTTTCTCTCCTTTCCCTTTCTTATCTTTTCTGTTACTCAGGGCGACCATCTTGCCCAGAGACCACATGTTGAAAAATGTCCTTGGGAGCTTGACCTTGTAAACACGTGGCGGAACTTCCTCTTGGTCTCCACCATCCAGGGAATGGGAATTTAATTTAAAATGATCATTGCTCAAACCTAAGCCAGTAATTAAAAAAAAAAAAAAAAAAAAAAAGGGCCGGGCACGGTGGCTTACGCCTGTAATCCCAACACTTTGGGAGGCCCCGAGGTCAGGAGATCAAGACCAACCTGGTTAACATGGTGAAACCCCATCTCTACTAAAAATACAAAATTAGCCAGGTGTGGTGGCGGGTGCCTATAGTCCCAGCTACTCGGGAGGCTGAGGCAGGAGAATGGCGTACACCCAGGAGGTGGAGGTTGCAGTGAGCTGAGATCATGCCACTGCACTCCAGCCTGGGCGACAGAGTGAGACTCCATCTCAAAAAATATAATAATAATAATAATAAAAAGAGCTTAAATCAAACATTTAATCAGAAAAATAAAAAGTGTAATGCCTTTTGGTTCACATGACTTAAGTAATTTTTGGGAAATACAGACAGTTTTAAAGATTATTGGTAGATGGGTATGGTGGCTCACGCCTGTAATCCCAGCACTTTGGGAGGCTGAGGCAGGCAGATCACCTGAGGTTGGGAATTTGAGACCAGCCTGACCAACATGGACAAACCCTGTCTCTGCTGAAAATACAAAAAATTAGCCAGGCATAGTGGCGCATGCCTGTAATCCCAGCTACTCGGGAGGCTGAGGTAGAAGAATCAATTGAATCTGGGAGGTGGAGGTTGTGGTGAGCCGAGATTGTGCCATTGCTCTCCAGCCTGGGCAGCAAGAGCAAAACTCCGTCTCAAAAACAAACAAAAAAAGATTATTGGTAAAATAAAAGTGTCTTGAAAATTTAGACATTTGATCTAAATTAGGCAGGTCAGATATTAGGTTTGCTAAATGCTTTAAGGTCATAAATTGCTTCTTTGACTTTTAAAAATTGTTCAATTTACCTACTTTGGAGCATTAGATTCTAGAAAGGCTTGGGGACATGTGGATAACCATGCCCCCTGTGATGCTGGAAAGAGTCAGCCCTTACCTGCACTTCTGTCTGATGTCTTAGGCTTCACACCTAGTACATAAAAATGTAACATGTAATTGAGACTACTGAAGAAACAGTTTTACATGCAAGGTATATAAAGAAAGTGAAATGTGTTTTGGTAAAAGATTATAAGAAGTCATGGGAATTTTTTTTGGCTTTGCCTAAAGGATTAAAACATTAAGTTAGATAAGATAAAGCTGAAAGTTTAAGCAAGTTGTGGAAGGTTTGTGAAAAGTTAATCTTGTAAAAGAAATTCTGCATGTGAACATATTGGCTAAGGTTAAAGGGGTATTATTCGGTTTTTCTGTAAATTGAGCATTGGAATAAAAGCAGAACAGGTCTCTCTTAGAGCAGACCTACTCTTTAACAAAAATTGTAAAGGTTATAAAAAAAGATTTATGAGAATCTTAACCTTATGGTCAAACTTATTAACATGAAATACATTTGTCTATAAGGTTTTGTTAAGAATTGGGTTTAACGTCAATAATGCAACAGTGAAATTTGGCTTATTTGGTATAAAAATCATATAGGAAGCATTGTCAAATATGAAATGGTGTTTGGTTTTCTTTGTGCTGTATTTGTATAAATATGTAATTGGTATGTGTTCCAAAATTACAGGAAACTCTATAATTCTTGTACAACTTAGTGTATGTTATTAGTAGTTATAATTGTTAAGTAAATTGTTGTATGCCACAGAAATAACCAAAATTCCTAGTCAATTGTGGCTTTAATGGAGGCCCAAAGACCTTTTGTCATTCACAGACAATTGCTGTCTTGTTTCAATCCTCTTCAAAAGGTAGTTTTATAATCAACTATAGAACTCTTAACAGGTGCTCTTGAATGCAGATTTCTGATAACTTTGGAGACTGTGACATTAGAATAGAGAAAAAACATTCAGGACTCTCATGTACAGCTGAAATGTTCATGAATACCAAGCAGAACAGGAGTTAATAGCATGGAATAATCTTTCTGACTTTTTGGTTAAAACATTGCTGATCCTTTGTTTTATTTTTCAGAGTCAAGAAAACTTTTAAGCTATTTACAGCTTGTAGCAATTGAATAAAATATATCCCTGTGAACAAAATTTGGAACATACCTGATTTCTCCAAAATTTGGAAGCTATTTGTGAGTATTCTTAATTTATGGCAAAATAGTAATTTACACAAGTGCAATAAGAATCTGTTTTCTTTTGCAACAGGACACAATTTGATAAATTGATTATTTTACCAAGGCTTTGACTGGAATGGTGTGCTTTCCTTTAAGGAATCAAATTTGACTTATAAAGTCAATAAAAGCCCCTTGGGAAAACTGGCCTCATATCTTGTCTACACAGTCCATTTGCAGGGTTCCTGACCTGTGGTAAGTAAAGAATGTCACTTTCTTTTTTTTCCTTTTTTTTTTTTTTTTTTTTGAGACAGAGTCAAGTTCTGTTGCCCAGGCTGAAGTGCAGTGGTATGATCTCGGCTCACTGAAAATTCTGCCTCCTGGGTTCAAGCAGTTCTCCTACCTCAGCCTCCCAGGTAGGGGCTGGGATTACAGGCATGCACCATCACACCCGGCTAATTTTGTATTTTTAGTAGAGACAGGGTTTCACCATGTTAGCCAGGTTGTTCTTGAACTCCTGACCTCAGGTGATCCGTCTGCCTCAGCCTTATAAGCTTGTTGGCTGCTTCTGATTGGTTAAGTTCAACTTCTGTTTTTCTTTAATATAAGCATTTACAAGAAATAGCTTAAGTTCAGTTTTACTTATGTTTGTAAATCAAGCAAGGCTTAGATCATTTATGATGCCGAACTGGTTTTATCTGCTCGGGGATTCTTCAGGCCTGACCTCCATTTCAATTTAACACATACTAGATTCCCTTCTTCCTAAGGAGCTAGGGCTTTATTTTGTGGATTCTGGAGGAGAGGTAGGATGGAAGCTGAGTTTTAGTGAAACAACCTTGACAGGCATATAAAGGACCCCTAGTGTCTTCCTTGAGGCATGACAGCATGTAGCCACATGATCAATCTAAGACAGGCTGCAGAGGAATTCTGCCTCTCTAAAGTGATGGTGCCCAAGAAACAGGGATGGGCTTTACTGAAGGCTGCCTCAGCACCTGAGCCACCGGCCCCCCATGCTGCTCCTCCAGCCTCAGGTTTTTTTTTTTTTTTTTTGAGACAGAGTCTTGCTCTGTCACCCAGGCTGGAGTGCAGTGGTACGATCTTGGCTTACTGCAACCTCCATCTCCCTGGTTCAAGTGGCTCTCCTGCCTCAGCCTCCTGAGTTCCTGGGATTACAGGTGTGTGCCACCATGCCCGGCTAATTTTCATATTTTTAGTAGAGACAGGGTTCCTCCATGTTGGTCAGGCTGGTCTCGAACTCTTGACCTCCAGTAATTCACCTGTCTTGGCCTCCCAAAGTACTAGGATTACAGGCCACCACGCCTGATCCGGCCTCACCTTTTTATAGCAAGCCCCACTCTCAGCACCAACTGGTCTCCTTTGAGAAGTGGTGGTACACTCATATTTCCAGGACGGCCAGATGCAATTTGATGGTGGAAGTGAGACGATTGCAAAAAATCCAAAGGCCCCAGACTCCCTCCCCCATTTTGACTCCACTGCACCAAGTTCTGACCCCTAATTTGCCGAAGAGACTTCTGGCCACAGAGCATCACCAAAATGCAAGTCAAAGGGGCCAACCTAAGGTCTGAAGGTCTGCCAGGGAATTATATAGTACAGGGGTGGCCAGACTCCCAAATTATAGGGCTGCCAGGCTAGCTGGTGATTGGGGTGGATAAAAATAAGCCCTGGCCAAGGTTGGGAGGTGAAGGGGCATCTCCTCTTGGAGAACAGGGCTGGCTACAGACGTGGCCTTAGCAGGACATGGGTGGCAGGGTCACGCCTCTCCCTCTGTCCTGCGTCTCTGCCATTGACAGTCACTTGTCCACAGACAATCAAAGATAGAGGATATAACATGTTAACATTAGTTACTTCTCTTTTCTTCCATCTTTGGGGACTAATTAAAAAACATCTTGGGAAAATATTTTGGGGCCCATTTATAAAGCTTACAATATTGTGTTTTATTCTTAGTATCTTTACTTTTAAAATATGCCATTCCATCTTTGTGAAAATACCAGGAAAAAAAAAATTAAAGTGTGCTAGAAGGGCCAGGCATGGTGGCTCGCGCCTGTAGTCCTAGCATTTTAGGAGGTGGCAACAGAGGGAGACCCCCTCTCTACACGAAAAAACATTAACCAGATGTGGTGGCTCCTGTTTGTAGTTTGTACTTGGAAGGCTGAGGTAGGAGGATCGCTTGAGCCTGGGAGGTCGAGGCTGAGGTGAGCCGAGATCACGTCACTGCACTCTAGTCTGGGTGACAGAGATACCCTGTGTCTGAAACAAAACAAGTAGAATGTGCCAGAAGGGCAGAATTGTGTTCAGAGCTGGCTACCATTGTGTGAAATGGATTGGGAGAAATATATTACTATCTTTTTATATAGAAGCATGGATTATGCCCAGAAGAATTATATAGAAATTAATATGCTAGTTGCTTCCAGGAAGGGGAATTGGGTGACTGGGGCCAGAGGTGGGTAGAAAATATTTATGTTTTTCTTTTGCTTACTGAAGAGGGTCTCAAAAGACTCTCAAAAAGTTGACGGGGTGTCATGGAGGCATGCCTTGGACACAGCAATTTCATTTCTAGAAATTTGTCCTCAGAGATAACTGGTGAAGTGCACAAAGATGCACAAAGGGGCTGGGCATGGTGGCTCATGTCTGTATTCCCAGCACTTTGGGAGGCTGAGGTGGGAGGATTGCCCAAGGCCAGGAGTTCAAGACCAGCCTGGACAAGATAGTGAGACCCTGTCTCTATTAATAAATAAATAAGTAATAAAAAAAGAACTGCACAAAGTGTTTTACACGGTATTGTTTGTGTACTGAACTGGAACTATGAAAATAAATTATCTATGGAAAACTATGTAGCTATTAAAAAGGACAATGTAGATCTATAAACCTGGACCCTGAAAGACATCCATGTATTGCTGAGGGAAAATACGCACTATAAAGCCACATGAGCTGTATGGCTCCATTTGTGTGAAACCATGTGCATATGTCACATGGTCAATACCTGGGAAGATGATCACACAAGGGCAAGACTAACTTCTGGCTCCCAGGAGTGGCAGAGTCATTTATCTGCCATTGGCAGATGGACAAATCTGGCAATAACAATTACAGCTTTGGGGCCGGGTGCGGTGGCTCACACCTGTAATCCCAGCACTTTGGGAGCCCGAGGTGGGTGGATCACCTGAGGTCAGGAGTTTGAGACCAACCTGACCAACATGGAGAAACCCCATCTCTACTAAAAATACGAAAAATTAGCCGGGCATGGTGGTGCATGCCTGTAATCCCAGCTACTCAGAAGGCTGAGGCAGGAGAATTGCTTGAACCTGGGAGGCAGAGGTTGCAGTGAGCCAAAATCGCGCCATTGCACTCCAGCCTGGGCAACAAGAGTGAAACTCCATCTCAAAAACAACAACAACAACAAAAACAATTACAGCTCTGGATGCAATAGAAAAAAACAACCCTTTGAAGGCATTGGAGAACAGCACAGAGCAGGAGAGTGGAGTGGATGTGACTCTTGAAAGAAGGGGGTCGTGGGCTGACATCCATGTTTCTCCAGTTTTCCCTCTGGTATCCAGAGGATGAAAGCCACTGGACACTGGCTTCAGGGATCAGAGGTCAGAGTGTTACAGTAGATAGTTAGCGAGACATCAACAGGGCCCCCCAACACCAGGAATGTCAGGCAACCATCAGGTGATGGTCAGGCGGTTGTTAACTGTCTCTCTAAAATAATAAGTGGTTGCAGCCAGTGCCAGGGAAAGGCAGTCTCCTAATAGATAGAAACACCTGAAGCAGCTTCTGGGTAAGATCTCAGGAGTTAGGTGAGTGGGCTCCAGCATGCGCACTAAGAGGCAAAATGGTGGAGTTTAACTGGCATGTAACCTTCCTCTAGGAACACTCACTGGTAAGGGAAGAATGCCTCAAGTGAGCATGTGCCCAACTTCAGTACACACACTGAGCATGCTCCCTCCCAAGTGCTGTCATCCCACTGTGCATGCAGACAGCCCACCCCAAGGGAAGAATCAGGGGAGAAATAATGCAAAACCGCGGAAGCGTGCCAACATACAAAATCCCAAGTCAGAGGTTGAGCCGTGCACTTGACTCTCTCAAGTTGCCTGCTTGGCCCTCTTCCAAGTGTACTTTACTTCCTTTCATTCCTGCTCTAAAATTTTTTAATAAACTTTTGATCCTGCTCTAAAACATGCCTTGGTCTCTCACTCTGCCTTATGCCCTTTGGTTGAATTCTGTCTTCTGAGGAGGCAAGGATTGAGGTTGCTGCAGACCTGTGCAGATGACCATACAGATTCACTGCCTCTAAACTACTCTGGTGCCATGTGACTCAGAGACATCCCTAGTGGTAACAGGAGTTAAGGGCAGGTCCAGCAGCTAGGGATGGAGGGAGGAAATCCCAGCAGAGTAGGAGCCATGATTGGGGTTGGGGAGGGGGAGAGCAACATCTGCCTAAGAACACCCTAAGATTCTTTGCCAACTCCTGACCTGCACGTGTGCTGGGCGAGACTCTCAGGAGACCAGGGGAATTAAGAAGCCCATGGAAATCCTGGAATAGCCAGATACAATTCTGAAATAAAAAAATCTAGGCCGGGCGCGGTGGCTCACGCCTGTAATCCCAGCACTTTGGGAGGCCGAGGCGGGCCGATCACGAGGTCAGGAGATCGAGACCATCCCGGCTAAAACGGTGAAACCCCGTCTCTACTAAAAATACAAAAAATTAGCTGGGCGTAGTGGCGGGCGCCTGTAGTCCCAGCTACTTGGGAGGCTGAGGCAGGAGAATGGCGTGAACCCGGGAGGCGGAGCTTGCAGTGAGCCGAGATCCCACCACTGCACTCCAGCCTGGGCGACAGAGCGAGACTCCGTCTCAAAAAAAAAAAAAAAAAAAAAAAATCTACTGGGCTGGGCACAGTGGTTCACACCTGTAATCCCAGCACTTTGGGAGGCCAAGGCAAGCAGATCACCTAAGGTCAGGAGTTCGAGATCAGTCTGGCCAACATGGTGAAACCCTGTCTCTACTGAAAATACAAAAATTAGCCAGGCGTGGTGGTGCGTGCCTGTAATCCCAGCTACTCTGAAGGCTGAGGCAGGAGAATCGCTTGAACCCAGGAGGCAGAGGTTGCAGTGAGCCGAGATTGCACCCCTGCACTCCAGCCTGGGCAACAGAGCGAGACTCCGCCTCCAAAAAAAAAAAAAAAAAAAAAAACTATTGAAAGAGGGCTGGGCACAGTGGCTCATGCCTGTGACCTCAGTATAACTGTGAGAAGTTCATTGCCCAAAGCACACAGCATGTCAATACAAGACCCCAGGCTGCAGAAGAGAAAGAGGTTTAATCGTAGGGTCACCAAACAAAGAAATGGGAGAGAACCTCAAATCCATCTCCCTGAGGAGCCTGGGGCTAGGGTTCCTAAGGGTTTTGGAGTGGGCTGAAGTGTGGAGATCACTGATTGGTGGAAAAGTGCAGGGTGAAGTCATGGGACTGGGAGAGGAAGCAGCTGTATTCCCATGCTGATCCCATTCCTCTGTGGGAGTGTCCAAACTGGCTGCTGGAATTTGGCGTCTGAAAAACATCTGAAGTGATCCTTCAAGAAAAGCCTTATGATTCTTATGTCAGAGACCCTGTCTATGGGAACAATGGGGATGCAATCGGTCAGGATCTCATGCTGACTTCTAGAAACAAGGAAGTGGGCGAAAGTGTAGCCTGATTAATGCTTAATTGTAACTGTATTTCTGTCTAGAACCCAGCATGCAATGCTTGTCAACCCTTCACCAGCACTTTGGGAAGCCCAGGCAGGAGGATCACTTGAGCCCAGGAGGTTGAGGCTGCAGCGAGCTATGATTGCACCACTGCACTCCAGCCTGTGTGACAGAACACGACCCTGTCTCTAAGAAAATTTTAAAAATCTACTAAAAGAGGCCGGGCACGGTGGCTCATGCCTGTAATCCTAGCACTTTGGGAGGCCCAGGCGGGCGGATCACCTGAGGTCAGGAGCTCAAGACTGGCCTGACCAAAATGGCGAAACCCTGTCTCTACTGAAAATATGAAAAAATTAGCTGAGCGTGGTGATGGGCACCTGTAATCCCAGCTACTTGGGAGGCTGAGGCAGGAGAATCGTTTGAACCTGGGAGGCAGAGGTTGCAGAGAGCCAAGATCACACCACTGCTCTCCAGCCTGGGCAACAGAGTGAGATTCTGCCTCAAAATAAATAAATAAATAAATAAAAATCTACTAAAAGAAATTAATATTTTGTGCTTTTGTTATCTTTCACTTATAAATATTTTCTAATTTCCCTTGTGACTTTTTCCGTGGCCCAGAGAATATGTATTTAGAAGTCTTGCTTCCTTTGAGGGTGTTTCTGGATATCATATTGCTATTGATTTCTAAAAGAATTTTTTAAATTCCATTGGATCAAAGAACATACTCTGTATTGTTTCAATCCTGTTAAGTTTATTGAGACTCATTTTATGGTCCAACATACAGTTTGTCTTTTTTTTTTTTTTTTTTTTTGAGACAGGGTCTCACTCTGTCCCCCAGGCTGTCCCCCAGCCTTGACCTCCCAGGTTCAAGCGATTCTCCTACCTTAGCCTCCTGAGTGGCTGGGACTACAAGTGTGCTCCACTACTTCCAGTTAATTTTTTATATTTTCTGAAGAGATGGGGTTTTGCCATATTACCCAGGCTGGTCTTGAATGCCTGGGTTCAAGCAATCTGCCCACCTTGTCCTCCCAAAGTGCTGAGATTACAGATATGAGCTGCCATGCCTGGTCCATATGGTTTATCTTGACCAGCATTCCTTGGGTATTCTAGAAGAATGTGTATTCTACTGTTGGTGAGTATTGTGTTTTACATATTTCTGTCTCCTGCATGGCCAGCCCCACGTCAATTAGGTCTGAGTTCCAGGAGGAAGGAGACAGAAGACAAGTTTGCAGCCGTATCAGGAAAGCAAAGACTTTCCTGGGATTCCCCAGTAGCTTTCTTGGTCAAAATTGTGTCACATGGCCACTGCTAGCTGCAAGGGCTTGAGAAAAGGTGAGTTTGTAGTTGTCTAAGATCCTACCTGATCCAACTTGAATATGTGATGAGTGGCCCAACCCATAACACCTGCCACATTGTGTTAGTGAAACCACCTTTGCAAAATTATGACAGTGAGAGAACTCTGACAGAGTGGACTCCATCTTCCCTCTAACCTCCAAGCTGTCCTTGGTCATTCCTGGGCATAGGCCAAGCTGACTTTGGGAGGAATTTAGTTTTTAGCTTAAGGCAAGCATGGTAATAGCCCTTCCCAAAACTAAACCACCTTTGTAAAGCTAATAAAAGTCCACAAAGATAGGGTTATGAGAAGGGCCTGAACTCTGATAAGATGAAGGCGCAGTAAATTATTATCAGTATTGTTCCGGATGTCACAGATGTGTGACTTCCTCAGTTACTCCTATAAATAACAACACTCTTGTAGAACCGAAGATCGGCCTTTTGAGATGTCTTTTCAGACTTTTGCATTTCTGATGATCAACTGACCCCACCTGGACCACCGACTCGTGACTCAACTGGTCCTGTGGCCCCCACCCAGAGGACTTGGAGCACGAGGACAATTTTCCACACCCCTGTGATTTCACCCCAACCAATCAATATTCCTTCTCCCCCAGCCCCCTGCCCACCAAACTGTCCTTGAAAAACTCTAACCTCTGAGCCTTTGGGGACACTGATTTTAGTAATAACTCCGTCTTCCACGTAGCTACCTTCTTTCTCTACTGCAGTACCATGGTCTCAATGAATTGGTTTTGTTCGTACAGGAAGCAGGAGGAACCCATCGGCTAATCATATCTAAGTCACATCTAACCCTCACACCTTTGCACGTGTTGTTTCCTGTACTGGGAACACCTTTGTCTCTGCCATGAACATACCCAAACTTCAGGCTCATCCTAGATAGTACCTCCTCCATGAGGCCTTCCTGGCTCCCCAGTAATTTTTCTCTGTCTTTCTTTCTGTCTGTCTTTCTTCTTTCTTCCTTTCTTCCTTTCTGTCTTTTCTTTCTCTTTTCTTTCTTTTTTTTTTTTTTTTGACAGAGTTTTGCTCTTGTTGCCCAGGCTGGTGCAGTGGTGCAATCTCGGCTTACTGCAACCTCTGCCTCCCAGGTTCAAGTGATTCTCCTGCCTCAGGCTCTTGAGTTGCTGGGATTACAGGCACCCACCACCATGCCCAGCTTATTTTTGTATTTTTTAGTAGAGACAGGGTTTCACCATGTTGGCCAGGCTGGTCTTGAAATCCTGACCTCATGATCTGCCTGCATTGGCCTCCCAAAGTGTTGGGATTACAGGCGTGAGCCACGGGTCTCAAGAATAGCTTCTTTTTTTAATCTGGAGGCTTGCAGCCCTTTGTGCACACCTGTTCTTCTTCAATGAATACCTGTGTGCCCCCAACCCAGATTTCACCAATTCTTCACATTTTAGCATGTTTTCTCCCTCCCGTCCCCATCCTTTTAATCTCTGTCTCTGTGTCTCTATTTTCTTTTTCTTTTGTTTTTGTTTTTTGAGATGGAGTTTCCCTCTTGTTGCCCAGGCTGGAGTGCAATGGCATGATCTTTGCTCACTGCAACCTCCGCCTTCTGGGTTCAGGCGATTCTCCTGCCTCAGCCTCCCGAGCAGCTGGGATTACAGGCATGCACCACCATGCCCAGCTAATTTTTATATTTTTAGTAGAGACGGGGTTTCTCCATGTTGGTCAGGCTGGTCTCAAACTCCCGACCTCAGGTGATCCGCCTGCCTCGGCCTCCCAAAGTGCTGGGATTACAGGTGTGAGCCACTATGCCCAGCCTCTGTCTATTTTCTAATTTGAAAGTAACTTGCCAATCTCTTGGCCCTTCACCCATAAACACGAAGGTGTACGTCTCCTAAGAACAAAGATATCCTCCTACGGAATCACAGAATCATCATGACACCCGAGAATAACATTCATTCAAAAAGATCAGCAAACATGCAGTCTACAGGACATTCACATTTCTTCAACTTTTCCCTTAAATTGTCTTTTTTATTTCCTGATCCAGGATCCAATCAAATTTCCTGGCTACATTTGGTTGTTATGTCTCTCTGGTCTGGATTAGACTGAAACCATCTGCCAAGCCTGTGTGTTGTAGGGGTGACTTTGCTAGGTCTCAGGGCCCTTATTGATAGTCCCTCTGGCATACAAGATACTCAAGTTTTGGTTGTGATCGTTCCTGAGCACCTTAGTTTGGGTTTGTTACCTGGAAAAAAAAACCCAGGGGTTATCAATAGGCATTTTATTACTAGGTGTGAGTAAGGACGCTGGGAGGATTCTCTAAAGCAGTGCCTCTTCCAGGGAGAGTGACAGGAGGGTTTTATCGGGTGAGGAGAGGGGAGAGGTTGTGTGGTCGTGTGTACAGGCCAAGCCCCAGTGGCGTAGATGCAGTGAGCCATCACACCAGCACCTGGGCCGCATGCGATGGTGATGAAGCCATCTCTCCTCCTGAGTGGAGACCGTAGCAGGCTCATGAGGAGAGGTCACTTGGGTTCATCTGTAAGTTGAGGGCTCTGTCAGGAGCTGACTTTTTTTAATCTTGAGACAGAGTCTTGCTCTGTTGCTGAGGCTGGAGTGCAGTGGCGCAATCTCCGCTCACTGCAAACTGTCTCGCGGGTTCACGCCATTCTCCTGCCTCAGCCTCCCGAGTAACTGGGACTACAGGCGCCTGCCACCACGCCCGGCTAATTTTTTGTATTTTTAGTAGAGACAAGGTTTCACCGTGTTAGCCAGGATGGTCTTGATCTCCTGACCTCATGATCCGCCCGCCTCGGCCTCCCAGAGTGCTGGGATTACAGGCGTGAGCCACCGCGCCCAGCCTTTTTTTGGTGTGTGTGACAAGATCTTACTCTGTTGCCCAGGCTGGAATGCAGTGGCACCATCTTGGCTCACGGCAACCTCTGCCTCCCAGGCTCAAGGCTCAAACAATCCTCCCAC
Organism: Homo sapiens; assembly: GCF_000001405.40. Taxonomy (NCBI): domain Eukaryota; kingdom Metazoa; phylum Chordata; class Mammalia; order Primates; family Hominidae; genus Homo; species Homo sapiens. The sequence goes on along the minus strand of NC_000010.11, from coordinate 71,907,021 downwards.
CTAAGCCTCGCGAATAGCTGGAACTAATTAATTAGCCACCACACCCAGCTAATTTTTGTATTTTGTATTTTTATTTTTTGAGACAGAGTCTTGCTCTATCACCAGGCTGGAGTGCAGTGGCACGATCTTGGCTCACTGCAACCTTGAACCCCGCTTCCTGGGTTCAAGCAATTCTCCTGCGTGCCACTACACCCAGCTAATTTTTGTATTTTTAGTAGAGATGGGGTTTCACCTTGTTGGCCAGGGTGGTCTCGATCTCTTGACCTCAAGTGATCTGCCTTCCTCGGCCTCCCAAAGTGCCTGGATTACAGATGTCAGCCACTGTGCCCGGCCAATTTTTGTATCTTTTGTAGAGACAGGGTTTCACCATGTTCCCAGGCTGGTCTCAAACTCCTGGCCTCATGCGATCTGCCTGCCTTAGCCTCCCAAAGTGCTGGGATTACAGGCATGAGCCACCACGCCCGGCCAGGAGCTGATTTTAACCAAGTAGGCGAGTGCATTCCGCACGGGGTTTAGGAAGAAACAGGCTGCAGGTCAGGAGGCTATAAAACAAGTGGATTGTTCAGTTGATTAAATTCCTATGACCCTGGAGACCCTTACAGCTTCTGCTGGAAGCAGAGCCTCAGACAAGGACTTGGGTGCAAGAGTTTATCGGGGTCCTCCCAGGAAGCAGGGGTGAGGAAGGGAGGGGCTGCCACAGGGACAGTGGAAATGCTGACAAAAGGTGTGTGATTGAGGTTGCTTGTCTCATACAGAAGTCATCCCAGAATGGTCCATCCTGAACCCCTGGCTGGGGTCAAGCGATCCTCCTGCTTCAGCCTCCTGAGTAGCGCGATTGCAGGCACAAGGCATCACACCTGGCCCAGAATGGTCCATCTCAGGGTGGGAGGCTGGGGTTCCTCCCCTGGCTCCTCCCCGCACTGGCTGTGGATGGCCTGGAGGTCAGCTTCCCCACCCTACCAGGCTGTGCTTGCCCAGGGGCCCAGCAAGATTCTGCAGCTTTTGAGAAAGTCCTGGGACAGAGGAGTGGAGGGTCACAGAACGTAAGCTTTGAGGGATGAGCCACCATCAGCATCCATTTACAGCGGTCCACCACAACTGTGGCTGTCATCAGGGGCTGAAGGGGTGTGACAGGGCCATTAAAAGCATCTGCTTAGGTAGCCTTACCATCTAACTCAAGTAAAAGCTCTGGAAGGCACAGAGGAACAACGCTGTCTTGCCCTTCAAGGCTGGTGCTCACCTGGAGAAGGGCCCAGGCGTACACACGAGCCCTTGTTCTCTGTGGGTCTGTGTGCCCCAAATGGATTCAGGGCTCAGGAGAGGAGAGAAGGTATCCTATGCTTCTCTTTGGCCCTCCATCCTCCCGACAAAAGAGGAGGTACAGGTGAGCCCAATCGCACTGTGTTCAAGGAAGAGGTGCTCCCTGAGGGTTGACTGGGCTCCAGAAGGCAGGTGGGGAGGGTGTAGTGGCTGGGCTGGAAGGAGCTGAAGGCCAAGTCCAAAGGGAGGCAGCAGGGCCTTCTTGGTGGGAGAATCAGTACAGCAAGACAGCGCCTTTGGTGGCTAAAGGGTTCTTCCCTGAAGGAGTTGGAGCCAGAGAGGCCTGCCTAGCCTCCCAGGTCCTGAGAAATCTGGCCATGGTGATAGGCTGTTTTGTGTCTACTGTATTTATTTTCTGTTGCTGCTGTAACAAATAATCCCAAACTTTGTGGTTTAAAACAACATAAATTAATTGTCTTACAGTTCTAAAGACAAGAAGTGCAACACAGGTCTCACTGAGCTAAAATCCAGGTGTGGACAGGGCTGTGCTCCTGGAGGCTCTAGGGGAGAGGCCATTTTTTGGCCTTTTCCAAGTTCTAGAGGCTGCTCATGTTCCTTGGCCCACGGCCTCTTCTTCCATGTTCAAAGCCAGCAACTTCGCCTCTCTCCGACCACAGCTGGGAAGGGTTATCAGCTTTTAAGGACTTGTGTGATTAGTTTGGGCCCACCCAGTTAATCCAGTATTATCTCCACATCTTAAGTTCCTTCACCTTAATCACATCTGCAAAGCCCTTTGCCCCTGAGGTAACACAGTCCCCGGTTCTTGGGATGAGGAAGTGGAGCTCCCAGGATCCACACCTGCCTCCCTCGGCCTCCTCCCTGCCTGCTGGGGCTGATGTGTTTCCACCCGGGCAACCTTGGGCCTTGCAAAGAAGGGAAGAGCAGCTATTTTTTTTTTTTTTTTTGAGATGGAGTCTCGCTCTGTTGCCTAGGCCGGAGTGCAGTGGCACGATCTTGACTCACTGCAAGCTCTGCCTTCCAGGTTCACGCCATTCTCCTGCTTCAGCCTCCCGAGTAGCTGGTACTATAGGCGCCCGCCACCACGCCCAGCTAATTTTTTGTATTTTTAGTAGAGATGGGGTTTCACCGTGTTAGCCAGGATGGTCTCGATCTCCTGACCTCGTGATCCGCCCGCCTTAGCCTCCTGAGAGCAGCTATTTTTAAAGGCAGAAAACTTTTTACATCCAGGGCTGGGGAGCCTGGGGAGCAGGCACTCTCACCCTCTGTGCATGGGAGTGTAAATTTAGGAGAGTAAGTTGACAACAGGTACTAACATTTTAAATCCACTTCCCTCTGAATTAGCCATTCCACTTCCAGAAGTTGACCCTATAGAAATAAAGCGTGACAATGTCAGTTAGAGACTGATACAAATATATAGTTACAGGTGTAGATATTAATGTTTTCTGTAATCTTGTAATGCAGAAAACTGAAAATATGCAGCCATAAAAAAAGAATGAGATCAGCTGGGCGAGGTGCCTCATGCCTTTAATTCCAGCACTTTGGGAGGCCAAGGCAAGTGGATTACCTGAGGTTGGGAGTTCGAGACCAGCCTGACCAACATGGAGAAACCCTATCTCTACTAAAACTACAAAATTACCTGGGTGTGGTGGCGCATGCCTCTAATCCCAGCTACTCAGGAGACCGAGACAGGAGAATCGCTTGAACCTGGGAGGCGGAGTTTGCAGTGAGCTGAGATGGCACCATTGCACTGCAGCCTGGGGAAAAAGAGCGAAACTCTCTCTCTCAAAAAAAAAAAAAAAAAAAAAAAAGAATGAGATCATATCCTTTGCGGGAACATGGATGGAGCTAGAGGCCATTATCTCTAGGAAACTAAATCAGGAACAGAACAACAAATACTGCATGTTCTCACTTGTGAGTGGGAGCTAAATGATGAGAACACATACACACATGGAGGGGAACAACAGACACCGGGGCCTGCTAGAGGGTGGAGAGTGGGAGGAGGGAGAGGATCAGGAAAAAGTAAATACTGGGTACGAGGCTTAGTACCTGGGTCACGAAATAATCTGTACGCCAAACCCCTGTGACACGAGTTTACCAATATAACAAACCTGCACATGGACCCCAAACCGAAAATAAAGGTTTTTTAAAAATAAGAAAACTGAAAGTAACATCTATCTATATTTTTGTCTATGTTTATATGTATAGCTATATATCAATTGTGAACTGAGTGAATAAATTATGCTATGTCCATGCAATGAAATTCTATGCAGTCATTGGAAAAGGATAAGGTAAATCTATCAATACTGAGCTGAAAAAAATATCCATAGTATATTACTGAGTGTAAAAAATACAGATCAATATTAAGAGCATAATCCCATTGAAAAAATTTTTTTGAAATGGGGGTCTCACTGTGTTGCCCAGGCTGGTCTCAAACTCCTGAGCTTTAGTGGTCCTCCTGCCTCAGCCTCTCAAGTAGCTGGGACTACAGGTGTGCATCCCCACACCTGGCTCTATAATCCCATTTTTTTTTTCTGAGATGGAGTCTTGCTTGATCACCTAGGCTGGAGTGCAGTGGCATGATCTCTGCTCACTGCAACCTCCACCTCCCAGGTTCAAACCATTCTCCTGCCTCAGCCTCCCAAGTAGCTAGAATTACAGGCATGTGCCACCACACCCAGCTAATTTTTGTATTTTTAGTAGAGACAGGGTTTCACCATGTTGACCAGGCTGGTCTTGAACTCCTGACTGCAGGTGATCCACCCTCCTCGGCCTCCCAAAGTGTTGGGATTATAGGCATGAGCCACTGCGCCCGGCCTAATCCCATGTTTAAGAAGGAAAAAATGTATTATTCTGTAAACTATCTATACACTTACCCGTAAAGTGATGTCTACTTAAACTTGGGGAAAGTTTGGGAAGACTATGCCCCAAACCGGTAACAGAGGTTAGAATGTGGCAGGGGTGGGGGATGGGACGGTGGTGCTGGGAGCTGATGGGTAAAGATGGGCATTTCCCTTCTTACTGGACGATGTGTAGAGTGGTGGGATCTGGGGGTGATTTCTGAACTCTTTTTGTCTGTTTTTCAGCGTTAGAGAAAACATTAGGGATGCTTTGCCCGGACCATGGCATGCAGCCCAGCTGTGTGTCCAGGAGGGCATGTGAGGTGGGTGCTCATGTGGGGGCTGGGTCTTGGTCACACTGCATGGCTGACAGAGGCTCCATGTCCTGCACCATCTGGAAAGCAGGCGGAGGGGCCAGTCCAATGGGCCGTCAGCCTCTGCCCTACCAGCTTTAGGTGGGCCCTGAAATTGCTCCAAGGCACCTGAGGGACAGGACAGGAAGAGGGGTTCACGCCCCACTCTGCCCCAACATTTTCTGACAGTCACTCCATCCTCTCTGCCTCAGTCTCTCTCTCTTTAAACAGGAACCACATGGATTGCAAAGGCAAAGTTATGAAATATATACAATATGACCCTATAGTGTAAAACTATATATCAATTTTTATTTTTAATTATTATTATTATTTTTTGAGACAGAGTCTCGTTCTGTCACCCAGGCTGGAGCTCAGTGATGTGATCTCGGCTCACTGCAGCCTCTACCTCCTGGGTTCAAGTGATGCTCCTGCCGTGGCCTCCTGAGTAGCTGGGACTACAGATGTGCGCCACCATGCCCAGCTAATTTTTGTATTTTTAGTAGAGATGGCGTTTTGCCATATTGGCCAGGCTGGTCTTGAACTCTCGACCTCAGGTTATCTGCCTGCCTCAGCCTCCCAAAGTGCTGAGATTACAGGCATGAGCCACTGCACCTAGCACTTGAACCGGGGAGGCAGAGGCTGCAGTGATCCGAGATGGCACCATTGCACTCCAACCTGGGCAACAGAGCAAGAATCCATCTCAAAAAATAAAAAATAACAATAAAGCCAGGTACGGTGACTCATGCCTATAATCCCAGCACTTTGGGAGGCCGAGGTGGGCAGATCACCTGAGGTTGGGAGTTTGAGACCAGCCTGACCAACATGGAGAAACCCCGTCTCTACTAAAAAAAAACAAAAAACAAAAAACAAAAAAAAGTTAGCGAGGCTTGGTGGCACATGCCTGTAATCCCAGCCACTCGGGAGGCTGAGGCAGGAGAATCGCTTGAACCCAGGAGGCAAAGGTTGCGGTGAGCCGAGGTCATGCCATTGCACTCTAGCCTGGGCAACAGAAGCAAAACTCCGTCTTAAAAAATAAATAAATAAAATAAAATAAAATATAAAATAAAATGAATACACATGGAGAAAAAAAAAACTAGATGTCTATTTTCCAAGATATTCTCAATGGTTCTCTCTGAGGAGCAAGATTAGGGGCGACAGTTCTTTCTGCTTTCCAACAATGAACATTTAATTGATGCTATTGTTTTTCAGCTGTCTGATCCAAAGGAACTCACAGGGCTGCTGATTTGGGAAAATGTGTAAGGGGTTCTGCAAATGGCAGATGGAGGGAGGGAAGATGGGAATGGGGAGGGAAGATGGGAATGGGGAGGGAAGATGGGAATGGGGAGGGAAGATGGGAATGGGGAGGGAGAGAGGGAGGGCAAGCAGGGCAAACTGTAACAGCCACACATCTGCCGCCCCCCACCCCCCGTCATATTCAAGAAAAAGAGCAAATGACAAAATAATCTCAAGGGTATTCGAGGGACTTGTTCCCCAAAGCCACTTCCAGGGATGCCTGGGGATCGGGGACGGAGGGCATCTGTGCCATACCCTCCTTCCCCAGGCCGGCTGCACCCATCCACCACCCCAGGCTCAGCAGCTGCAGCGGATCATGGCCTCCACGGAGGACTGGCTAGCAAAGGGTTTGGGCCGAGTCCCCAGGAGTTGGTTTGCAAGAGCGCCTATGTCCCCCAGGCTACCATGCTGGGTCACTCTGTGCACACTACAGTAGCGTGACCACCTGTTCATGTCTGTGTCCAGATTCTCCACTAGACTGGAAAGCCTGGAAACAGAGCGAGAGTCCTGCTCCAGGCTACCTGCACAGTGTCCTGAACAGGCCTGGGCAACGACAGGCTCCCAAGAAGTGTTTGTTGAATGAATGCGTGATTCATACCCATTATCTGTCTCTGAGTGGTGACATGACTTGTTCAAGGTCACTCAAAATCACTCAGCCAGTTGGGGGGCAGGGCACATGACCTATTGAGACATCAGCTGGGGCAGCCAAGGGCATGCTGGCATCACCCCTCCCCTAACCCCAGGCTGCACAGCTCATGGCTCCAAAAGAGACCCCTTCCCTCCTCTTGAGGAGAGGAGAGGGGAAGAGTGGGGAGGACTTTTGTCTTGCATCTTGACTACCAGCTCAGCCACAGCAGGATAGGGCACTAGTCAGAGACCCCACTTCCAGGCCCTAGCTCCCAGATGACATTTCTATACACACCCTTGGCAGGAAGAGAACCTGTTGCCTTGAAGGGAAGGAGCCAGTCCTGGCAGCATTCACCCCCTGCTGACTGAAGAGCCCTTGGGCCCTGAATAACCAGCAGCGATGCCCAGGAGCTATGTCAAGGGCCTCAGTGAGCCTCTGAGACTTGCTGGCTTCAGGTGAGACTCAGCACATTCCCAGCTGTGGTGGCTGTGGGGTGAGGCTCCTTCCACTTGAGCAAAGCAGAGTGAAAAGTAAAGGGGACTTTGTCTTACACTTTAGGAACCAGCACAGCCACAGAGGGGTAGAGTGCCAAGTGGACTCTTGGGGTCCCCAATTCCAGGACTTGACTCTTGGGTGGCATTTCTGGGCCTACCCTGGGCCAGAGAGGAGCCCACTGCCCTGAAGGGTGAGTCCCAGCCATGCAGCATTCACCACAAGCTGACTGAAGAGCTTTTGGGCCTTAAGGGAACTCTGGCAGAACTCCCTGTGGGCCTGTGGTGGTGGTGGCCACGGGGTGAGGCTCCTCTGCCTTTAGAAAGGGGAGGGAACAGCGGGTAGGGCTGTGTCTTGTGATTTGAGTGCCAGCTCAGCCACAGTACAATAGAACACCAGGTAGACTTGTAAGATTTTGGACTCTAGTCCCTGGCTTGCAGACAGCATCTTTGGACCTGCCTAGGGCCTGGGAGACCTCACTGCCCTGGAAGGAAGGACACAGGCCTGGCTGGCTTTGCCACCAGCTGATTGCAGAGCCCCAGGCCCTTGAACTGTCATAGGCAGTGGCCAGGGAGTGGTTACAGCAGGCCTTGGGCAAGACCCATTGCTGTCTTGGCTTTGGGTCTGCAGCACTGTCACAGTGCTGGTGGCCACAGGGGTGCTTGTGTCACTCTACCCCCAGCTTCAGGTGGCTCAGAACAGAGAGAGAGACTCCATTTATTTGAGAGAAAGTTAGGGAAGAGAACAAGAGTCTCTGCCTGGTAATCCAGAGAATTCGCCCAGATCTTGTCTGAGACCATCAAGGCAGTACCTCTATGAGTCTGCAAGAACCACAGTGTTACTGGGTGTGGGTGCCCCCTAAAGCAGATACAGCTTAGATCACAACACCCAAGTCCTTTCAATATCTGGAAAGTCTTCCTAAGAAGGACGGGTACAGCTGGGCGCGGTGGCTCACGCCTCTAATCCCAGCACTTTGGGAGGCTGGGGAGAGTGGATCACGAGTCCAGGAGTTCAAGACCAGCCTGGCCAAGATGGTGAAACCCCATCTCTACTAAAAATACAAAAATTAGCCAGGCGTGGTGGCAGGCGCCTGTAATCCTAGCTACTTGGGAGGCTAAGGCAGAGAATTGCTTGAACCCGGAAGGCAGAGGTTGCAGTGAGCCGAGATCGCACCACTGCACTCCAGCCTGGGTGACAAAGTGAGACTTGATCTCAAAAAAAAAAAAAAAAAAAAAAAAGACAACTAAGGCTAGACAATGAAGACTGCAATAAATACTGAACTCTTCAATGCCCAGACACCGAAGAACATCTGCTAGCAGCATGACCCAGGAAAACATGACCTCCCCAAATGAACCAAATTAGACACCAGGGACCAATCCTGGAGAAACAGAGCTCTGACCTTTCAGACAGAATTCTGTTTGAGGAAACTCAAAGAAATTCAAAATAACACAGAGAAGGAATTCAGAATTCTATCAGATACATTTAACAAAGGGATTGAAATAATTAAAAAACATCCAGAGCAGAATTTCTGGAGCTGAAAAATGCAATTGGCATACTGAAGAATGCATCAGAGTCCTTTAATAGCAGAATTGGGCTGGGCGCAGTGGCTCATGCCTGTAATCCCAGCACCTTGGGAGGCCGAGATGGGTGAATCACCTGAGGTCAGGAGTTGGAGACCAGCCTGGCCAACATGGTGAAACTCCGTCTCTACTAAAATTGCAAAAATTAGTTGGGCATGGTGGTGGGCACCTGTAATCCCAGCTGCTCGGGAGGCTGAGGCAAGAGAATCGCTTGAACCTGGGAGGTGGAGGTTGCAGTGAGCTGAGATCTGGCCACTGCATTCCAGCCTGGGCAAGAGAGTGAGACTAAACAACAAAAAGTTAAAAAGTTGCCAAGACAGTATTAAATTGAAACAAAAATCAAGAAGCTTTTAAAAACAAAGTTAAAAAGCAGGAGATGCTGGGCACCATGGCTCATGGCTGGAATGACAATACATTAGGGGGCCGAAATGAGAGGATCACTTGAGCTTGGGAGCTTGAGACCAGACTGGGCAACATGGTGAGATCCCCATCTCTACAAAAAAAAAAAAAAAAACCCCAAAAAACAAAAAAAACAAAAAAAACTTAGTCGGATGTGGTGGCACATGTTTGTAGTCTGTGGTGGAAGGTGAGCCATGATTGTGCCACTGCATGCACACCAGCCTGGGTAACAGACTGAGACTCTGTTTCAAAAAAAAAAAAAAAAAAATGCGAGGGGACTAAGTTAAGAGGTAGTTTTGTTTGTTTGTTTTGTTTTGAGACAGAGTCTTGCTCTGTCAGCCAGGCTGGAGAGCAGTGGCACAATCTCGGCTCACTACAATCTCGGCTCACTGCAACCTCTGTCTCCCAGGCTCAAGCTATTGTCCTCCCTCAGCCTCCTGAGTAGCTGGGATTACAGACACGTGCCACCATGCCCAGCTAAGTTTTGTATTTTTAGTATAGATGGGGATTCACCATGTTGTCCATGCTGGCCTCGAACTCCTGACCTCAAGTGATCTGCCTGCCTTGGCCTCTCAAAGTGCTGGGATTACAGGCATGAACCACCATGCCCAGCCAGGAATCACATTTCAACATGAGATTTGGAGGACAAACGTCCAAACCGTATCAACCTTTATGCTTCTTTTTGGCTTCCAGGAAAAACAAGACCCCTCTCTCAGGTGCCCTTAAAGAACCCCATCCTTTTTCACAGCATCTAACCAAACTTTGGTTTTTTGAGACTAAATTTTTTTTGTTCCCTCACCAAATTATAAGTCCCATGTGGGCAGGACCTGGGCCCCTTTTGCTTCTCACTGTGTCCTCAGTGACTAGGACAGTGCCTGGCACTTTGCAGGTGCTCAAACATCTTTTCTTGGTTACATGAAAGAGTGAATGGCTTTTTTGAGCACCTACTAGAGATTAAAAGTTTTATAGATGTCAAGTTTTCCTAAAGCCAAGCACAGTGGTGGCCCGGTTTGGCACTCAATAACTTACTGAGTCCTTGCCACCCAGGTCTGCGTTCTGTCTCTCTGGGTTTAGGGGTCTGGGATGTGGCCTTCCCTAGGGCTGCTATGAGTTGCTGTGGAGGCAGAGAAGACAAGGCTTAGCCTGCTAGCTGGAGCACTTCAGGCATCATTACTGTGGGCAGCTCTGTGAGGTCACTCCTGCCCCAATCCCTGGGCACCCGGCTGAGTGTGAGGCTTTGAGGACCAACCTAGAGATTAGGAACAGGGTTTTAGGCCAGGCATGGTGGCTCATGCCCATAATTCCAGCACTTTGAGAGACCAAGGTGAGAGGGTCACTTGACCCGAGGAGTCGGGGATCAGCCTGGGCAACATAGTGAGTCCCCTTAGCTACACTTAAATTTAAAAAAATAGAAAAGAAGGAACAGAAAATAGAAAAGAAGCAAATAGAAATAGAAAAGAAAAAGAAAAGCAAGTATAATAGAAATAGAAAAGAAGCAAATACTGTATTCTTCTGCCGTCTCATGGTCAGTCCTAGAATAGCAAGGGAAGCTTCCCCACCTCTCTGGTACTATACTGGGAGTGACCGCCAGAGGGCAGTGTTCTCCACATTGTTGCACCCAATAGGTGTCCCACCACACAAACCCAGCTCTTTAAAAAGTAGATTTTTTTCTTATCCAAAGTCGATTCATACAAAAAGAAAAAGAAATAAAAAATAAATTATTTTAATGGCTTCATTGCTACATGTTTGTTTTTTTGAAAAGGAGTCTTGCTCTGTCGCCCAGGCTGGAGTGCAGGGGGGTGATCTCCCCTCACTGCAACCTCCGCCCCCTGGTTTCAAGCGATTCTCCTGCCTCAGCCTCCGAGTAGCTGGGTTTACAGGCATGAGCCACCACGCCCGGCTAATTTTTGTATTTTTAGTAGAGACAGAGTTTCACCATGTTGGCCAGGCTGTTCTTGAACTCCTGACCTCAAGTGATCTGCCCACCTTGGCCTCCCAAAGTGCTGGGATTACAGGCGCGAGACACCGAGCCCAGCCCTCATCTCTATTTTAAATTATAAAAAAATTTTTAAAAGAATTATTGAGGACCCAGATATTTATTAATTTATCAAAAAGTAATAATGAACTCATTACATGTAAACATAAACATATTTTTACGAAAAATACCTTCATTTCCAAAACAAAGAGAAATTTAGTGAGAAAAACAGCATTGTTTTACACTTTTGCAAATCTCTCAAGCAACTGTCTTAATTAAAGACTGTTGGAGCCTCATGTCTACTTCTGCATTCAGTCTGTTGCAATATGTTGGGGCTTTTAAAATTTTTATTTATTTTTTTATTTTGAAACAAAGTTTTGCCCTTGTCGCCCAGCCTGGAGTGTAATGTTGTGATCTTGGCTCACTGCATCCTCCACCTCCCAGGTTCAGGTGATTCTCCTGCCTCAGCCTCCCGAGTAGCTGGGATTACAGGAGTGCGCCACCACATCCAGCTAATTTTTTTGTATTTTTAGTAGAGATGGGGTTTCACCATGTTGGCCAGTCTGGTCTTGAACGCCTGACCTCAGGTGACCCGCCCACCTCAGCCTCCCAAACTGCTGGGATTATAAGCATGAACCACTGCGTCCCGCAATATATTGTTTTGATTGAAGAAAATCCAGCCTCCCGCAAACACGGAGTTGGAAAAAAAGACGAGTATTTTGATAGCTTTTTCAGATAATTGTGAATATTCTTCTTTAATGCTACGCCAAAACTTAACAAGCAATTGTTTCTTTAAGGTTGATTATAATGTAGAATCTGAACCCATATCAATGAACATTTCATGCTTTATTATATTAAAATGCACGGGCCTATCTTGTACTTTTGTTTGTTTGTTTGTTTTGGAGAAGGACTCTCACTCTGTTGCCCAGGCTGGAGTGCAGTGGTACCATCTTGGCTTACTGCAACCTCCACCTCCTGGGTTCAAGTGAGTCTCCCACCTCAGACTCCTGAGTAGCTGGGATTTCAGACACATGCCACCATGCTTGGCTAATTTTTCTGTTTTTAGTAGAGCTAGGATTTCACCATGTTGGCCAGGCTGGTCTCGAACTCCTGACCTCAAGTGATCTGCCTGCCTCAGCCTCCCAAGGTGCTAGGATTGCAGGCATGAGCCACTGTGCCTGGCCTATCTTGTACCGTGAATGGCTGTTTTACCTACATGTGATGTGCAGCATCATGTGGCCTCTTTGAAATTTTGTACCCATTAAATCACATACATCTCCCAAAAGATGACATGTCACTGAACAGTGTCAAAAAATAGCATTTGTTAGCACTGCCATCCATCGCATCAGAAAAATCTTTAAATATTGAGAAGTTGTCAAGCTTGTGGTGGTGTACACAAATTTTCCAAAATTCTAATTTTCCCTTGAAAGCTCCAAGTTCCAACTTTATCATTGGCAACAAATGCTTCAGTTTCTTGAAGGGACAGGCTCACTTTGCTCATTTATGAGAAAATGTCTGTCTGCCAAATGCCCAGATCTGAATACCCATCATGTGTCTGTTCGTCGTTCTTTCCCGTATAAACAGTGTTCTCGGCTGGGCGCAGTGGCTCACGCCTGTAATCCCAGCACTTTGGGAGACAGAGGCAAGCAGATCACGAGGTCAGGAGTTCGAGACCAGCCTGACCAACATGGTGACACCCCCCATCTTTACTAAAAATACAAAAATTACCCAGCCTGGTGGTGTGTGCCTGTGATCCCAGCTACTCAGGAGGCTGAGGCAGGAGAATTGCTTGAACCCAGGAAGCGGAGGTTGCAGTGAGCCAAGATCGAGCCATTGCACTCCAGCCTGGGTGACAGAGCAAGACTCCATCTCAAAAATAAATAAATAAATAAATTAATTAATTAATTTAAAAAATAAGATAAACTGTGTTCCCTGGACCAGAGGCTCGCGTGGCTCCACCTCTGACAAGTTGTTTCTGCGAGCCAGTCCCCTGCTCTGGAGCAGGCGCTCTGTGTGCATCCCTGCTTCATCACACAGGAGATCAAAAGGGTATGTACTTAAGTGACACAGGCATATTTTGTCCCCACAAGTGCTTATCTAGGGGAGTGCACAGAGACCTGCCTAGTCTGTGGCCACTGCCTTGCTTCCTGAAGTTCCAGCAGTTTCACCCATAGTGGCTTTTTTTTTTTTTTTTTTTTTTGAGGCTGGAGTGCAACGGCACGATCACGGCTCACTGCAGCCTCTACCACCCGAGCACAAGTAATTCTCCCACCTAAGCCTCCCATGTAGCTGGGACTATAGATGCGTGCCACCATGCCCAGATAATTTTATTATTATTATTATTATTATTATTATTATTACTTGTAGAGACGGGGTCTTGCCATGTTGCCTAGGCTGGTCTGGGCAAACTCTGCGGCTCAAGCTATCTGCCCGCCTCACCCTCCCAAAGTGCTGGGATTACAGGTGCGAGCCGCTGCACCCTGCCCACAGTGGCTTTTATGTCACCAATGCCATCACAGTGAAAAGGCAATACTGTCTTAGGATTGTGAGGGAAGGGTCTTAGGACTCCGGGACTCAGTGGGCAGCTGCTCACATTGCATGGGAAGCATCACAGATACCCAGCCACCAACGCCGATGGTGGAGGATGCTGTTTTGGTGACCTGAACCTGGGAGAGAAGCCGCTATCAGTGCTGTGATTCTCTGAAATGGTTAAACTCTTGGCGAAGTTCCCTACAAAACAAAGTCCAATCTTCCATTCATTTGTGTTCTCAGAGTATGTTTTAAAATATGCAAAAAGGCTGGGTGCAGTGGCTCACACCTGTAATCTCAGCACTTTGGGAGGTCGAGCCAGGTGGATAACCTGAGGTCAGGAATTCAAGACCAGACTGGGCAACATGGTGAAACCCCGCCTGTACTGAATATACAAAAATTAGCTGGGCATGGTGGTGCACGCCTGTAGTTCCAGCTACTCGGGAGGCTGAGGCACGAGAATCACTTGAACCCTGGAAGAGAAGGTTGCAGCGAGCCGAGATTGTGCCACTGCACTCCAGCCTGGCAACAAAGTGGGACTCTGTCTCAAAAATAAAAAATAGGCTGGGTGCCTGTAATCTCAGCACTTTGGGAGGCCGAGGTGGGTGGATCACCTGAGGTCAGGAGTTCAAGACCAGCCTGACCAACATGGTGAAACCCCATCTCTACTGGAAATACAAAATTAGTCAGGCGTGGTGGCGCATGCCTGTAATCCCAGCTACTTGGAAGGCTGAGGCAGGAGAATCGCTTGAACCCGGGAGGCGGAGTTTGCAGTGAGCCGAGATTGTGCAATTGCACTCCAGCCTGGGTAACAAGAGCAAAACTCCGTCTCAAAAAATACAATAAAATAAATAAAAAATAAAATAAAATAAAATATTCAAAAATACCTCATGTTTAGGTGTGAAATGGAGTTTGGTTTTTCAGTGACACGAATATGTGAAAGTGTCTTGTCTCACCCCCAGCCCTCAGCTAGGGTTGCCCCAAAAGTGGTGGCAGAGGAGTTCCCACAAGGGAGTGCCTGAATCATCCTGAAGGGGGGCCAGCTGGGATTCCAAAGAGAGAAGCACGAAGCGCCGGGGTGATGAGTCCAGGCTTTTATTAGGGGAGCTCACTTCCACAGGGCCGTGCACATCCTCAGGCAGCCAGGAGAGAAAGGGAGGTCCACCTAGGTGTGTCCACAGCCATGAGGTCAGGGTGTGGAATTTTTCTGAGGCTTTAAGGAATTGGGCTCAAGCCTGGGGCCAGTTTTGTTCAGGGTTTTGGGCAATAACCTAGACTTCTTTATCAGTGCCTGGGAATGTTCGAGGCCCTGGTTTGGGTTCAAGCCTGCTGGGAAGCCCTGCAGCTGGTTGGGTCATGAAACAGTCAAGGCACTCTAGATTTTCGGTCAGGACACGGAAAGAAAGTGGGACAAACTAGGGGACGCTACAGAAGGGACATTTGAAAATCAGAATACTTTGGACAGTTTTTTTGTTGTTGTTGTTCCAAAGGGCGGCTCTGAGCATTGCAGGATGTTCGGCCGTCCTGGTCTCTGGCCCAAACACCAGCAGTGCCTCCCACATCCCTGCAACAACCCAAACCGTCCCTATGAGTACTCAAAACGCCACGAGGCTCCAGCTCTGCCTGCTGGAGCCCCAAGGATCTAACCCCTCTGGAGCCAAGGACATGTTGCATGCCAGGGATCCCTTACTGGGTGACTGAAGCAGGGTTAGGGTCAGGGGAGGGACCCCAGTGAGCAGTTGATGAGCTCAGGTCGGCCATCTTGTGTGGTGCTGCTGGGAGGGTACAGGCCCAGAGCTGGGCACTTGCCGGGGAGACCAGATGTGTGTGCTGAAAAGTATCTGCATGATCTTGTCTTCAAGGAGCTGGTGAATGTCAGGCCTGGAAGGAGTTGAACAGCCAGGGAGACAGCAGGGCATGTGGCGTTTCCAGACCCTAAACCTGCTGTCAGCCTTGGGATGAGACCTCCCCAGGTGCAGCCTCACCCCTCCAGGGCCTGCATGCTGCGTGCTCTGCTTTTCCTTGGGCCTTCACATATGCCGCATCCTCAGCCTGCGGCACTCTCGCCGACCTGCTGTGTGTGCCTGGTGGACTTCCCTCCGCTTCTCACTTCAGATACTGCCTCCTCCAGGAAGCTCTCTCTGACCCCCTCAGTCTGAGCTGAGTGGCCTTGCAGGCCCTGTACTCACCCACTGAAGCATTTACCCCTCTCTATCCCTATTTGTGGGTCTCTCTCCCTAGTAGAGCTGGGAGTCCACAGAGGGCTCTAATTCTCTCTTGAATTCCCAGGCCTAACATAGGGCTGGCAACCATGGTCAGTAATATCTGTGGGCTGAAGGAGAAGGCAGAAACATAGAGTGGAAGGCAGGGAGGTGTAGGGAGACAGAGTTTGAGGGCAGGAAGGTTTGAAGGGTCAGAGGAGGAGGCGCCTGTGGAGGGTTGCAAAGACAAGAACGGTGCCAAGCCATGGCACGGAGGGAGGGACAAGGGCTGAAGGGAGAGACGCAGAATTCATGGTAGGGCCGGGCCCCAGGGACTCTAGGACAATGGCCCATGCCACTAGCCTGAGGAGTGTGCCCTCCGAGTGAGGACAAAACAAGAAACCATTACCGCGGAAGTGCACAGGCCCTAAAATGTCTAGAGTGCTGAGTTCACAGGACCCTTAAAGATCACAAATCTGAGCCCGGTGTGGTAGCTCACGCCTGTATTCCCAGCACTTTGAGAGGCCAAGGCAGGTGAATCACCTGAGGTCAGGAGTTTGAGACCAGCCTGACCAATATGGTGAAACCTCATCTCTACTAAAATTACAAAAATCAGCTGGATGTGGTGGCGTGCACCTGTAGTCCCAGCTACTTGGGAGGCTGAGGCAGGATAATTGCTTGAACCCAGGAGGCAGAGGTTGCAGTGAGCCGAGATTGCACTACTGTACTCCAGCCTGGGCGACAGAGAAAACAAACAAACAAACAAACAAAAAACAAACCACTAGTCTGATTGACCATTGTATAGATGAGGAAAACCAAGGCCGAGTCCAATGTGACATTTCTGGGGTCAAGGCCAGTCTGCCCCTGGAGAATTTCTTGTCCATAGAGGCTTAGGGTTTCTTATGGCAAAATACTTCCCCTACTGCACTCACTTGCACTCCAATTCCCGCTACTATGCATTTCTTCAGCTTAAGGCACCTAAAGCAGAAATGTCAGTTTCAGATCCCACAGGGCTCCCATGGCTGGGTGTGGACACTTCCCATGGCTCAGTGGAGCATGCATGACCCTGCAAGAACAGGTCAAACAGGCCGTGTGATCCCTTGATCTGAACTGTTGGCTACTAACTGAAATTATGTTTAAAAACCAGACATGATGCCTTTAAGACTGTGCAAGTCAAGCAGATCCTTTAGGGGACAGACTCAGTGGCCAACTGTCTGGGAGGCCCAGTTGGGACTTCCCATGATTTTGGAAATGGACTTCCTCATTATTTTGGAAATCCCCCAGAAGGGTATCCTTGGAGCCTCTTAGTCACCGATACCAACGGTACCATACTCAGAGATGTTTTCCAAAAGGAGGCTCAAATTGGGAGGGCTTTGGGGGGCTGGAGGATGGTAGGGAGGGAGGAGGGGAGCAGAGGGCAGAGGGGAAGCTGGCCTGTACAGGATTGAAAAAAAGAGAGAAGGAAAGTTGCTTCCTTCTAATGTGCTCATTTATGCCATTCATACAAAATTCCTGAGTTTGTTTAACTCCTTCATTTTATTTTTATTTTTTAATCACTTTTTTTTTTAAAGACAGGGTCTTGCTCTGTTGCCCAGGCTGGGGTGCAGTGGCAAGATCTCCGCTCACTCTAACCTCTGCCCCCCGGGCTCAAACGATCCTCCTGCCTCAGCCTGCAGGTAGCTGGAACTACAGGTGCCACCACACTGGGCTCACCTCCTTCATTTTAGAGCTGAGGAAATGGAAGTCCAATAAAAGAGTGACTTGCCCAAAGAACCAGCAGGTGGTGGCAGGGCTACCCTGTGGTAGGGGTTGGGGGCAGAGGTAGAATCCAGGTCTCCAGGCTCTTTCCTCTCTCAGGAAGAAGGTGAGGGTGAGTGTGCCCGGCGCTGGCCTCAGCACCACACAGCTTATCTCCATTTTACAGGGAGAGGGAAGAACTCTTACAAGGTTCCACAAGCAGCCGGTATCGGCATGGATGAGACCCCCTCAGGTTGGATAAGTTCGCAGGAGAGACAATTTCCCATGGGCTGGGAGAGACGGTTGTTTCTTGGAAGAGATGGCCCCAAAGGGTGGACAGGAAGGGATAGAGAGAGAGAAACAGAGAGAGGAGAGGGAGAGAGAGAGAGAGAGAGGACACACAGAGAGAGTTAAAGATCAATAAACAGCGGGGAAAGGTGTGAAGTGACAACTGAGCCCTTCCACAGACTCTCTCCCTAGTTCGACTGCCCCCCACCCCCACCCCCAAGGGACCCACTCGACGCTGCCCGCGCATGCCCCAACCCGTTCGTGCCCCCGCCTGGCCGCGTGCAGTCTCGCGGATGCGTCAGGCCACGAGTGCGCCACTGCTCGCCCCGCGCTGCGTCCCAGCAGACCTGCGCGCCTCTCCTCTGCCCCGGTCTGCGCCCTCAACCCCGCGCTTCCGCTATATTCCGGAGGAATCTGAAATCAGATTCAGATGTGAAGCGCGGTTTCGGATCCTCTTTCGCTTCTCTATCTCGAGAAACTTGAAACTGCGTCCTCTAGGATTGCATCAAACTGCATCTTGAGCGTGGAGGAGGACTGCTGAGCCCCACGGGTTCGCCGGGCTGGAGAGGTCTTGCGCAACCTGAGGGTTGGGGAGAGAGGGGTGTTAGCGGAGGGAATGGGCCCTGACGGCCCTAGAAGCTTCCCCGAGCGCCTCCCACCTCCAGCGGACTTGCTGTTAAAAACGCAATTAATGCGTCCTGTGAGTCAGAATAAGGATGACTACTTATGGAAGAGGAAGGAGTGACTGGGGTGGGGCGCGTGGAGAGACTTCTGCTGTGGCTGGCAAAGTTCTTTTTCTTGGTCTCGGAGGCAGTTCACTTTGTAGTAATTAGTTAAGCCGTACATCAGAACCATTGGATTCTGTATCCGGGTTTTATTTTTACAATAAAAATACGTTTAAAATAATCAGTTACAGTTATAAAACTGAAATTCTTCCCATTCTAATTTTCTTTCTCTTTTTCTTCCTTCTTTCTTTCTCTCCTCCTCCTCCTTTTTCTTCTTTTGTTGTTGTTGTTTTGTTTTTTATTTTTTATTTATTTATTTGAGACAAGAGTTTTGCTGTTGCCCACGCTGGAACACAGTGGCACGATCTGGCTCACTGCAGCCTTGACCTCCTGGGCTCAAGCGATCCTCCCTCCTCAGCTTCCCGAATAGCTAGGATCATAGGCGTGGACCATCACACCCGGCTAATATTTTTTATTATTTATGTAGAGACAGGGTCTCGCCATGTTGCCCAGGCTGGTCCTGAACTACTGGGCTCAAACGATCCTCCTACCTCAGTCTCCTAAAGGGTTGAGATTACACGTGTGAGCCACTTTGCCCGCCTGAGCAGCTTTTTAAGTCAGGCATTGAGTCAGTATCTCTGGGGACTGAGAAGAGGTATATATTTTTAAAGTTCCTCCAGTTTTTCAAAAGGGCAGCCAGGATTGAGAAACACTGGGCTATCATGGTGGGATTCCATATTAAGATTTTGAAAGCCACAGGCCTTGAAGAAGGAAGCAGAGGCTCCCAGAAGCCCAGGTGGATGCTCTGCCTGAGCCCTCCCAGCAGGCGAGGTGCAAAGCTGGCCTGGAGCAGGAACTCCCACTGCCCACGCCAGGGCTCTGCCCTCAGACCACCCTGAGTGTGCCTCCTTCATGCAAATTTCTCTGTCTTCAGATTGGAGATCATGGGGTAAAGATATATGTATATGTGTGTGTGAGAGTATATATATATATGATATATATATATATATGATATATATGATATATATATATAAAAGATATATATAAGGTGTATATATATAAAAGATATATATAAGGTATATGTATATATAAAAGTATATATATATTTTTTTTAAATTAAGATTTAGGCCAGGCATGGTGGCTCATGCTTGTAATCCCAGCACTTTGGGAGGCTGAGGCAGGTGGATCTCCTGATGTCAGGAGTTCGAGACCAGCCTGGCCAACATGGTGAAACCCCGTCTCTACTAAAAATACAAAAATTAGCTGGGCATGGTGGCACAAGCCTGTAATCCCAGCTATTCGAGAGGCCGAGGTGGGAGAATTTCTTGAAACTGGGAGGCAGGCGGAGGTTGCAGTGAGCTGAGATTGTGCCACTGCACTCCAGCCTGGGCAACAGAGTGAGACTCTTGTCTCAAAAAAAACAAAAACAAAAACAAAAACTAAGATTTATATTACTGTTGCAATTATTAAGGCAATGCAGTTCTAATAAATAACCATCCAAAGATGTACATAAATGCAATTCACAAAATAAGAAATCCACATAGGCTGTAATCATGGAAAAGGAGTCTCACCAAGTTTTAAAGAGACACAAATTAAACCAACAATGAAACATTTTCTCACCTATACCATTGGCAAAGATAAAATGCTAATGCTGCATAAATATGGGGAAATGAGTACTACCTTCAAATTCATACCTGTACAATCTTCTAAAAGGAATGTATTAATGTGGAGGAAAAGCATTAAACATGCCTTCTGTTTGCTCCAGCAATTACACTTCTAGGAAAAACACATGTGCCGAGGTATATGTTCATTGCAGAGTCATATGTCATGATTAAAGTAATTGGAAACAGCACAAAAATCCAGAGATAAGAGATTTGTTACCAAAAAAAAATTCTGCATCCTACAGTGGAAATTAAGCAGCCATCAAATAGAATGAAGTCTTTAAGTTAAAAAAAAAGAAAAAAGAAAGAAAAGAAAAAAGGGCTGGGCGCAGTGGCTCACACCTGTAATCCCAGCACTTTGGGAGGCCAAGGTGGGCGGATCACCTGAGGTCGGGAGTTCGAGACCAGTCTGACCAGCATGGAGAAACCCTGTCTCTACTAAAAATACAAAAAAATTGGCCGGGCGTGGTGGCTCATGCCTGTAATCCCAGCTACTCGGAAGGCTGAGGCAGGAGAATCGCTTGAACCTGGGAGTAGAGGTTATGGTGAGCCGAGATTGGGCCATTGCACTCCAGCCTGGGCAACAGGAGCAAAACTCCATCTCAATAAATAAATAAATAAATAAATAAATAAATAAATAAATAAATAAAAATAAAGGGAGGAAGAAGGAAGGAAAGGAAAGGAAAGGAAGAGGCAGCCAGGCACGGTGGCTCACACCTGTAATCTCAGCAATTTGGGAGGCCAAGGCGGGTGGATTGTGTGAGCCCAGGAGTTCAAGACCAGCCTGGGCAACATGGTGAAATCCGATGTCTACAAAATATACAAAAATTAGCCAGGCCTGGTGGTACATGCCTATATTCCCAGCTACTTGGGAAGCTGAGGTGAGGATGACTTGAGCCCGGGGAGGTCAAGGTTGCAGTAAGCTGTGTTCACGCTATTGCAGTCCAGCCTGGGTGACAGAATGAGAGCTTATCTCAAAAAAAACAAACAAACAAACAAAAAAAACAGAGATTGAGTCTGGCCAGGTGCAATGGCTCACGCCTGTAATTCCAGCACTTTGGAAGCCTGAGGTAGGAGGCTTGCTTGAGGTCAGGAGTTTGAGACCAGCCCGGCCAACATAGTGAAACCCCATCTCTAAAAAAAAAGGTTTTTTTAAATAAAGAAAAAATGTTAAATATAAAGGGGATGAGGCTGATTGATCTATATGAATTGATGTGGAGAAATGGATATATCATGTTACATGAAAAAATAAGTTCCAAAACAGTAGTTCTATATACACACATGTATATATGTGTATGTATTTGTGCATACATGCATGTCCATGTGTGTATATATATATACACACAGGTATGTGTATATGTGCATAAGTGCATGTATAGATACGGATGTGTATATGTAGTATGTATGTGTATATGTATGTATGCGTGTTGTAACCCAGAAAAGTGTCTGAGGCAAGTCTCCATCAATATTTAGAGGTCTATTTTGACAAGACTGAGGACGTGCCCCAAAAAAGAGGCATATGCCACAGTGGGATCTGTGGCCGCATAATTTTTTCAGAGAAGATTTTGAGGGCTTCAGTATTAGAAGGAGAAAGAGCAGGCAGGAGGGAAAGTGGGGAAGGAAAAAAAAAGGAGGGTAGGCAGTGAGATAAGGGGGCACATTTCTGTGAGGCTTTGATTAGTGCTCACCAAATCCACGTGTTACCTATGAAAGGAGAGGGTGGAGGCACAGGCAATTATGCCTCTGTCGCCGGCTCAGTAAATCTGCATTTGTCTCTGGGTGGCTGGAGGGGTGATTTCTAGTCTTGTCTTTGTCTTATACCTGTGAAGATAAGGTGTTAATGTACATGGTCAGGGTGAGGGAAGCCACCAGCGGAGACACGGTCTTCTATTTTGTAGCTATCTGCTTAGAAACAAAAAGAAAGGCAGTTTGACCAGGTGTGGTGGCTCACGCCTGTAATCCCAGCGTTTTGGGAGGCCGAGGCAGGTGGATCACCTGAGGTCAGGAGTTCGAAACCAGCCTGCCCAACATGGTGAAACCCCATTTCTACTAAAAATAAGAAAATTAGCCAGGCATAGTGGTGGGCACCTATAATACCAGCTACTCAGGAGGCTGAGGCAGGAGAATCGCTTGAACCCAGGAGGCAGAGGTTGCATTGAGCTGACATTGTGCCACTGCACTCTAGCCTGGGCAACAGAGTGAGAATCTGTCTCAAAAGAAAAAAAAAAGAAAGAAAGAAAGAAAAAAAGAAAGGGCAGCTTTTGGTGTGACTCAGTTTCCAAGCTTAACTTTTCCCTTTGGCATAGTGAGTTTGGGGTCCTGAGATTCTATTTTCCCTTCACTCTGTGTACGTGTATATGTGGGTGTCCATGTGTATATGTGTATATAGGTACAGGAATGTGACCACTTACCTCACTGCCTGTGTTTTATGTGTGTGTGCATGACTAAGAAAATATTAACTATTAACACTGGTTATCTCTGGGCAGTGGAATTACAGGGGTTCTTTCACTTTTTACTCTCATACATATCTATATTGTTTGTATTTTTATTTTTTTACCAGCAGAATGTACTGTTTTTTGTTTTTGTTTTTGTTTTTGTTTTTTGAGACAAGGTCTTGTTCTATCGCCCAGGCTGGAGTGCAGTAGCACGATCTGGGCTCACTGCAACCTCTGACTCCCAGGTTCAAGCGATTCTCATGCCTCAGCCTCCCAAGTAGCTGGGATTACAGGCATATGCCACCACAGCCTGGCTAATTTTTGTATTTTTAGTAGAGACGGGGTTTCACCATGTTGGTCAGGCTGGTCTTGAACTCCTGACCTCAATTGATCCACCGGCCTCGGGCTCCCAAAGTGCCACCATGCCTGGCCATACTGATTACTGATTTTATAATCAGAAAAGAAGTGTAAAATATTTTTCATTTTTAAAGAAAAAAGCAGGCCGGGTGCAGTGGCTCACACCTGCAATCCCAGCACTTTGGGAGGCAGAGGGGGGCGGATTACCTGAGGTCAGGAGTTCAGGTGGCTAACATAGTGAAACCCTGTTTTTACTAAAAATACAAAAAATTAGCCAGGTGTGGTGGTGCGCGCCTGTAATCCCAGTTACTTGGGAGGCTGAGGCAGGAGAATCACTTGAACCCGGGAAGCAGAGGTTGCAGTGAGCTGAGATTGCATCATTGCACCCAGCTTGGGCAACAAGAGTGAAACCCTGTCTGGAAAAAAAACAAGCAATACATATATATTAAAGAAAATGCCAACAAGAAGAATAAAAAACCCAAGTTCCCCAAGTTCTCCCCAGTTCCATCCCACAAAAGCCACTGCAGTACCGTTTTGGCCCATTTGCTTCCTATCTTTCTCCTATGCCTTTTTAAAATAGCTGTTGTTATTCAGCATAAATTATTTCACATCCTGTTTTTCTACACCTGACTTCTTGATGTTCATATTTTTCTCCGTTATGAAAAAGCCCTCACAAATGGCCCTCTGATTGGGCCTATAACATGTTGTGACTGTCTTGATTTTCTTAACAGCTTTCTTATTGTCAGACATTTGGCTCATCTCCAGTCTTTTACCATTGAACTAATGCCCTGATCAGCATCTCTGTATGAGTGTTTTCCTGGCCATAGGCCTTAGGACGCATTCCCAGCTGTTAAATTACTGGGCTAACGGAAAGGAACACATTTGAGTCCCTGACTCCTCATTGCCAAATTGCATTCTGCGCAGGTGGAGCCGTGGTGCCCCTCGAAAGATAATTTTTCTTTCGTTTTCTAGTAAGTCCAGTTGCTTTTCTGAATCTTCTTCCTGCAAACAGACTCAGTTTTCCCTGCTTCTGTCCTCCTTCCCCGTGGTTTAATGGACAGAGAAGGTCCTGTGGGTTCAACTCATAGCTGGGTCTAAGGCTGGCTATGTAGCTTTGGGAAAATCACTTGCCCTCCCTGGGCCTCCTCCATGTCTCTCCTCTAGCTCTTGCCTTCCTTCCCACGTGGCTTGAAAGATAATGTGCCTGACTTTGCCTTCCAGAGGTCAGATGGGGTTGGATAGTACTGTTATCTTTCTTCTCCAGGATAGCAGCAAACCTTTCCCTCCAAGTTTTCCTCCAGAGATCTGGCAAGAAATGTTCCCTTCGTTTGTAAGGAAGGCCTTCTGGTTTCCTACCTGGCACCATGGAGTGGAAAGGTGACCTTTCCTAGAACATCTCCCCAAGGCCAGCCTTCTCCCAAGAGAAAGAAAACAGGGCCTGTTGGCTCACGGTTCGTTCTGTTTTCCCTTCCTTGAAAATCAGGGTAGAGAAGCTCCAAGTAACTTTCCTCCTCCTTGGCCTGCCCAGAGGCCAAACAAGATTGTTACTGAAGACTCAGGGAGGCTGGGCATGATGGCTCACACCTGTAATCCCAGCACTTTGAGAGGCTGAGGTGAGTGGATCACAAGGTCAGGAGTTCAAGACCAGCCTGGCCAACGTGGTGAAACCCCGTCTCTACTAAAAATACAAAAATTAGCCAGGAATGGTGGCAGCCACCTGTAATCCCAGCTGCTTGGGAGGCTGAGGCAGAAAATTGCTTGAACCCAGAGGCGGAGGTTGCAGTGAGCTCAGATCGTGCCACTGCACTCCAGTCTAAAAAAAAAAAAAAAATTGCCGGGCATGGTACTGGGTGCCTGTAATCCCAGCTACTCAGGGGGCTGAGACTGGAGAATCGTTTGAACCCAGGAGGCAGAGGTTGCAGTGAGCCGAGATTGCACCTGGGTGACAGAGTGAGACTCTATCTCAAAAAAAAAGACTCAGGGAAACAGCACTAGAAACCCTGGATTCACCCATTCCCACATGCATGGGAAGGAGAGAAAAGACATCATCTTTGTTCATCCCTCACAAGTTCGTGATTGAGGCATTCTCCTCAAACAAAAGATAGATTGACAAGAAAAAGAAGCAATTTTATTTTTAACACGTGCTATGCCCATCATGTGGGAGAAACCTCAGTTCAAAAATATCTTTTGAAGGCTGGGCACAGTGGCTCACACCTGTAATCCTAGCATTTTGGGAGGCTGAGGCGGGGGAATCACTTGAGGCCTGGAGTTTGAGACCAGCCTGGGCAACATAGCAAGACCTTCGTCTCTACAAAAAAATTTACAGTTAGCTGGGCATGGTGGCTCAAACCTGTAGTCCCAGCCACTTGGGGGCAGGATCGATTGAGCCCCAGAGGTCAAAGCTGCAGTGAGCCTAGATTATGCCACTGCACTCCACCCTAGGTGACATATCAGGACCCTGTCACACACACACACACAAAGGCCGGGCACAGTGGCTCATGCCTGTAATCCCAGCTACTCGGGAGGCCAAGGCGGGTGGATCACCTGAGGTCAGGAGTTTGAGACCAGACTGACCAATATGGTGAAACCCTGTCTCTACTAAAAATACAGAATTGGACTCACACCTGTAATCCCAGCTACTCGGAAGGCTGAGGCAGGAGAATTGCTTGAACCTGGGAGGCAGAGGTTGCAGTGAGCCAGGATCGTGCCATTGCACTCCAGCCTGGGTGACAGAGCAAGACTGTCTCAAAAAAACAAAACAGAACAAAACAAAACAAAAAAATGTCAAGGAGGCATATTTTAGGGGTGGAATACTCTGGTTTCCTTCAAATGTATCAGTTCATTGTTACATTTATTCATGAAATAATTTGCTTAGTCACCTATTTAACTAGGGTTCCTGAAGGCCTTCTGTGGGGTGCCTGGCTTGGTGCCCTTGAGATGTGCCTGGGAGCCAGCTTCTGCCCCTTAGCATCACATGCTGAGGGAGGCATTGTGAGACAGTCATGGCTTCCCCTTCAGGCCTGCTGAGCTCTGCATGGCCCGGCTCACTTCCACCTCATGCCCAGCTCAGCCCTCCTTCTGCCAGACACATGTGCACCCAGGACTCTGCCTGGAAGATGAGCTCTGTGCCCCACCCCTCTGCCAGGCTGACTCTTGCCTATGCTTGGGTCTCAGCTCAGATCCGCCTGCTCCCAGAAGCCTTCTACGGCTGCCCAATTCTGGACTGGGTGGCTTCCGAGGCAGCCCCTCCCTTTAAATCTGACCACATGCCCTGTGGTCTCTGCCCCTTCTCTTGTAGGTCCCCCCCCCACCCCTGACCGCAGACTGTAACCTCTGGAGGGCAGAGATGGTATCTGTCTCATTAAGCCTTGGATCTGTTTTATCCCAAACAGTGTTCAGCATGCCCTAGGTGCCCAGTAAACACATGGGGAGAGGGGTGAAAGGTGTAAGGATTGCTGGGAGCAGCAGGCAATGTGCAGCGTAGCTCTCTGAAAGATACAGACCTCAGAAATGCTGCAGGAGCCCGGTGGGGCTGGGATGATGAGAGGAGACCTCCAGGATGCAGGGGGCATGCGCTGGCCTTGCAGAGTAAACAGGCACCAGACGAGCCGAGGGGAGGAGAGGCACTCGGGTGAGGCAAGCGGCATGAGCAAAGCACAGACGGTACACAGCATGGTGTGTACACATGAGCCAGTATTGGCTGGAGTAGAGGCATGGGCAGGGAGGTCCATGGGACAGGTGGGCATTGCAGGTTGAGGTCACTGGGGCAGAATGTTGTGGGAGCATGCTGGAGAGGTGGAGAGGTGGAGGGGAGAAGGAGAATAGAGCATTGACTGCCAGGGAGATGAATTTGGCATTGATCCCATGGGCATTAGAGAGCCAAAAGAGACTCTATCTCTGTTTTTTGTTTTTTTTTTTTTTCTTTCTTTTTTCTTTTTTTGAGACAGGGTTTCACTGTTGTTGCCCAGGCTGGAGTGCAGTGGTGCAATCTCAGCTCACTGCAACCTCCTCCTCCCAGGTTCAAGCGATTCTCCTGCCTCAGCCTCCCAAGTAGCTGGGATTACAGGTGCCCGCCACCACGCCTGGCTAATTTTTATATTTTTAGTAGAGATGGGGTTTCACCATGTTGGTGAGGCTGGTCTCAAACTCCTGACCTGAGGTGATGCACCTGCCTCGGCCTCCCAAAGTGCTGGGATTATAGGTGTGAGCCACCTTGCCTGGCCGAGAGTCCATCTTTAAAAATAAATAAATAAATAAATAAATAAAAAGTAATTTTATTTGAAAAACAGGAAGACCAGGCATGGTGGCCCACACTTGTAATCCCCACACTTTGGGAGGCTGAGGCAGGAGGATTGCTTGAGGCCAGGAATTTGAGACCAGCCTGGGTAACACAGTGAGACCCCATCTCTACAAAAAAAACTTAAAATGATCACTGCTCAAACCTAAGCCAGTAATAAAAAAAGAAAAAAAAGGGCTGGGCACGGTGGCTCACACCTGTAATCCCAGCACTTTGGGAGGCCAAAGTGAGCAGATCACGAGGTCAGGAGATTGAGACCATCCTGGCTAACACAGTGAAACCCTGTCTCTGCTAAAAATACAAAAAATTAGCCGGGCATGGTGGTGGGCACCTGTAGTCCCAGCTACTCGGGAGGCTGAGGCAGGAGAATGGCATGAACTTGGGAGGTGGAGCTTGCAGTGAGCCAAGATCGCGCCACTGCACTCCAGGCTGGAGGACAGAGTGAGACTCCATCTCAAAAAAAAAAAAAAAAGAGAAGAAAAGAAAAAGGAAAGAACAAAAATAGCCAGGTGTGGTGCTGTGCCTGTAGTCCCAGCTACTTGAGAGGCTGAGGCAGGAGGATCTCTTGAGCCCAGGATGTTGAGGCTGCAGTTAGCTATGATCGTGCCACTGCACTCCAGACTGCATGACAGAGTGAGACCCTGTCTCAAAAAAAGAAAAGAACAAGCATTACAGGGGCTGGGGGTAAGGGGGATGGGGATGGGACGTTATCGTTTAATGGGTACAGAGTTTCTGCTTTGCAAGATAAAGCGAGTTCTGGAGATGGGTGGTGGTGACTTTGCACAGCACAATGCGTGTATTTCATACCACTGAACTGTACACTTAACAAACAGTGAAGCTGGCAAATTTTATGTTATATATATTTTACTACAATTTTAAAAGCTGGGGGAAGAATTGCAAATTTTGGCTGCACAGCCTTTACATCAGAGGAGATGGCCCAGGTGCAGCCATGTGCGGTGGCTGCGGAGGCAACAGTGAAGATGACAATGATTGCTGACATTTAAGAAGTCCCCAGAGACAGCAGGGATAATGAGTAGGAAAAAACTCTGAGGGCAGGGGCTATGTCATACCCTCCTCTCCATACCCAGCACCAAGCCCATAGAGTGCAGTGGCGGGCTCTCAGCCACAGCGGCTGAGGAAGTGGTTGCGTCTGCATCGGCCTGCAGTGGACTGCCGGGGCAGGAAGAAGAACTAGCTTGTCTTTCACGGAGTCTTGTGTCCTTAAACCCAGATAAAGCGGCCTAGAGACAGTGAGAGAACAATGAGGGTTGTTGCAGACTAAAGCCGGGCCCTGGGCAATGTTTGGCCTCTGCCTGGGCCTCGGGCCCCACCCCCCATGTCCCCGGGCCCCACCCCCCAGGTCCCCGGGCCCCACCCCCCAGGTCCCCTTCCAGAACTTCACCAGTCTTGCCGGCCTCTCAGAGAGTCAGCCAACCCCTGAGGCCTTTCGGGGACTGATAACGCTCACCTTTGGCTCAGACTGAATCCAAACACTTCACCTCTTTTTCTTCACAGAGCCCCATCCTCCAAAGGACCCTGTTCCAGCTTGTGACAAACCCAGAGGCAATCCTGGTCATCCGGAGGAGGAGGTGTCTGTGCCGTTGCTTGGAGCTGACTGTAGGCCTAGAGGCACAGGATTATACAGGATTGTAAGAGAATTGTATTTTTCTTCCTTGCATTTTTCGGTGTTTTCTAAATTTTTTCAATGAGTATCCTTTTGAGAATCATTAAAAAAGAATACATTTTACTTGACAAGGTATATAAATACATGGGTTAAGATATTAAAATAGAAAGAGTAAGGATTGCTTGCACGTTACAGAGTCTGGGATTTGGAGCTCAGTGCCTGGCACTGAGGGGATCAAAGTGCCAGGTGCTCAAAGTGTTCGTTGAATGAGAGGCGGGGGTGGGGGTAATGGGTGGTGAGACTGCTACCCTGTCCCTCCTCCCTCACCACATCAATGTCTGTGAAGCATTTCTAGAGGATCTACTGTGCAATGGAACCCTGGGAGCCAGGGGTGACTGGGGAGGCAGCAGGTGCAGGTGCTGGTAATGCCGTGCCATTGGGAGCCCCACTGGGGGTCCTCCATGAATCACAGGGGACCCATACCCAGGATACTGAGGAAGCTTCCAGAAAAAAAGAGTGATGCTGGCCCTGGATTGTGAGGATGGGCAGGGGTTTTTTGGAGTGGGAGAAGGGTACAGGTGTTCCAGGTCATCAGTCCAAGTTCCTTCACTCCTTCATTATTTACTTGCTCAGTCATTTCACAAACAACCTTTTTTAAAATAATTAGACAGGGGTCTCACTATGTTGCACAGGCTGGTCTCTCACTCCTGGGCTCTGGCGGTCCTCCCGCCTTGGCCTCTGAAAGCGCTGGGATTGCAGGTGTGAGCCACCATGCCCAGCCTCACAAACATTTATCTGCAGTCCAAACTGGATCCAAACTCTCCTCACCGCACCTCTGTTTCTGGAGAATGCTTCCAGGGCGCCTAGAATATACCAGGTCCTGACCTAGTGACTAGAGATACAGCTGCCACTCATAAATAAACATATGCTAGCATGGCAAGAAGAAAAGATGGCAGGATGGCAGAGAGAAAGCTGCTAGGGAGCAGATGCAGAATGAATATCTGGAGCAGGAGCAAAGGGCAAGAGCCTCCAGACTGGGGGGAAACGACCTGGGCATGCTCAAAGGCAAAAGAGGCCACTGGAGATGTGTGAACAGCAAATGGTGTGATCTGATTGGGATCGTAAAGGATCACTTCCACACAACAGTGATCACACTTTGTCCACAGGCACCCTTTAAAAAACCCCTTTCAAATTTTTTTTTTTTTTTTTTGAGATGGACTCTCACTCTGTCACCCAGGCTGGAGTGCAATGGCACGACCTCGGCTCACTGCAACCTCCACTTCCCAGGTTCAAGCGATTCTCCTGCCTTAGCCTCCTGAGTAAGTGGGATTACAGGCACCTGCCACCATACCCGGCTAATCGTTATAGTTGCAGTAGAGACGGGGGTTTCACCATGTTGGCCAGGCTGGTCTCGAACTCCTGACCTCAGGTGATCCGCCCTCCTTGGCCTCCCAAAGTGCTGGGATTACAGGCATGAGCAAATGTGCCTGGCCCCTTTGAAATTTTTATCATTAGCCTAAACTTGCAAATGATGCATTTGGTGGTTTGCTGTAGACTGTATATCATCTTTAAATATTTTTTCCGCTCCCGCTCCCGCTCCCTCTCCCTCTCCCTCTCCCCACGGTCTCCCTCTCCCTTTCTTTCCACAGTCTCCCTCTGATGCCGAGCCGAAGCTGGATGGTACTGCTGCCATCTCGGCTCACTGCAACCTCCCTGCCTGATTCTCCTGCCTCAGCCTGCCGAGTGCCTGCGATTGCAGGCGCGCGCCGCCACGCCTGACTGGTTTTCGTATTTTTTTGGTGAAGACAGGGTTTCGCTGTGTTGGCCGGGCTGGTCTCCAGCTCCTAACCGCGAGTGATCCGCCAGCCTCGGCCTCCCGAGGTGCCGGGATTGCAGATGGAGTCTCGTTCACTCAGTGCTCAACGGTGCCCAGGCTGGAGTGCAGTGGCGTGATCTCGGCTTGCTACAACCTCCACCTCCCAGCCGCCTGCCTTGGCCTCCCAAAGTGCCGAGATTGCAGCCTCTGCCCGGCCGCCACCCCGTCTGGGAAGTGAGGAGCGTCTCTGCCTGGCCGCCCATCGTCGGGGATGTGAGGAGCCCCTCTGCCTGGCTGCCCAGTCTGGAAAGTGAGGAGCGTCTCTGCCTGGCCGCCATCCCATCTAGGAAGTGAGGAGCGCCTCTTCCCGGCCGCCATCACATCTGGGAAGTGAGGAGCGTCTCTGCCCGGCCGCCCATTGTCTGAGATGTGGGGAGCACCTCTGCCCTGACGCCCCGTCTGGGATGTGAGGAGCGTCTCTGCCCGGCCGCCCCGTCTGAGAAGTGAGGAGACCCTCTGCCTGGCAACCGCCCCGTCTGAGAAGTGAGGAGCCCCTCCGCCCAGCAGCCACCCCGTCTGGGAAGTGAGGAGCGTCTCCGCCCGGCAGCCACCTCGTCCGGGAGGGAGGTGGGGGGGTCAGCCCCCCGCCCGGCCAGCCGCCCCGTCTGGGAGGGAGGTGGGGGGGTCAGCCCCCCGCCCGGCCAGCCGCCCCGTCTGGGAGGGAGGTGGGGGGGTCAGCCCCCCGCCTGGCCAGCCGCCCCGTCCGGGAGGTGAGGGGCGCCTCTGCCCGGCCGCCCCTACTGGGAAGTGAGGAGCCCCTCTGCCCGGCCACCACCCGGTCTGGGAGGTGTACCCAACAGCTCATTGAGAACGGGCCATGATGACAATGGCGGTTTTGTGGAATAGAAAGGGGGGAAAGGTGGGGAAAAGATTGAGAAATCGGATGGTTGCCGTGTCTGTGTAGAAAGAGGTAGACATGGGAGACTTTTCATTTTGTTCTGTACTAAGAAAAATTCTTCTGCCTTGGGATCCTGTTGATCTGTGACCTTACCCCCAACCCTGTGCTCTCTGAAACATGTGCTGTATCCACTCAGGGTTGAATGGATTAAGGGCGGTGCAAGTTGTGCTTTGTTAAACAGATGCTTGAAGGCAGCATGCTCCTTAAGAGTCATCACCACTCCCTAATCGCAAGTACCCAGGGACACAAACACTGCGGAAGGCCGCAGGGTCCTCTGCCTAGGAAAACCAGAGACCTTTGTTCACGTGTTTATCTGCTGACCTTCCCTCCACTATTGTCCTCTGACCCTGCCAAATCCCCCTCTGCGAGAAACACCCAAGAATGATCAATAAAAAAAAATAAATAAATAAAAATAAATAAATAAATAAATATTTTTTCCACACAAAACTGGGGCTACACATTTAGTCCCTTTAAGAAGAATGCCTGCCACATCACGCCCCATCAACACAGTCAAGCAAGACAAGACTTTCTTTCTGTCAGAAAACCCTGGCTTCATGTTTGAAATTCAAATAAGGGTGTGGCCCCATGACAACGTTCTCACTTCTGAGCCTTATCTGGGCCAAAGGAGTGTGACCCTGGTTCCTGCCCTCATAGTGTGCTGAGAACAGGCTCTGCCTCCAGGTACCTCTCTAACTACCTACTGGGGGTAGGAGGTTGTTCACAGGGCACTGCCCCATGGAAGGCCCAGTTGGGCGGGAGTTGTGCCTTTCTTGTGTGAGGTGGCAGGATACCAAGAAAGGGGACACGGGGGGCTGGGCCCGGTGGCTCACGCTTGTAATCCCAGCACTTTAGGAGGCCAAGGCGGGTGGATCACGAGGTCAGGAGATCGAGACCATCCTGGCTAACACGGTGAAACCCCATCTCTCCTAAAAATACAGAAAATTAGCCGGACGTGGTGGCAGGTGCCTGTAGTCCTAGCTACTCGGGAGGCTGAGGCAGGAGAATGGTGTGAACCCGGGAGGCAGAGCTTGCAATGAGCAGAGATCGCGCCACTGCACTCCAGCCTGGGCGACAGAGCAAGACTACATCTCAAACAAAAAAAAAAAAAGAAAGAAAGAAAGGGGACACGGGGAAGCCAGACAGGAGGATGGCAGCCACATGACATTGCTGTGCATCCAGGATTTGAGCGTGGATAGCTCTGAGGGAGAGTTGTGTGGGATCTGCACCCAGGCTCCATGCTCTGACATGGAGGATGAAGAGTGGGGAAAAGAGAAGGATCCCGGATACCACTTAGAGGCCACTGAGGCCACCTGGGAGATGATGGTGGCCTGGACTGGGGTAGTAGTAGTGGAAGTGCTGAGAGCAGGTTTAGTTCAGGAAATATTTGCCTTCTCCCTGGGTTCTGGAGCCTGGCACGCTTATTTGCAAAGGGGACCTCCCCACCCACAGGGGCTGCAGGATTAGGAAGCCACACACAAACAAAGCCACACACCAGTCCAGGGCAAGGAACAATTTTTACAATCCAGTATAACAAGCTTCCAGGCTGTGTGCACACCTTCCAGATAGGCAGGGGGTTTGCAGATGAAAGGGAACCGGTGGCACAGCGCACACTGAGCTGAGAGTTGGGAACCTGGGTTTGAGTCTCTGATCTTCTCGGGGGGTAACCTTGGGCAAGGCCCTTGGCCTTTCAGAGCTGTGTGCTCCCCGTTGGGACAGTAAGGACAGTCATCTAGACCTTTCAGCTTTGAGGGTTTCAGTTCTAGTTTCCTGGGTCATGCTGGCTGTGTGCTCTCACTCCTTCTAGGGCTGTGGTTTTGCAGGCCTGGGACTTGGGCCCTTCTTTCTCATCAGGTATGGGACCCAAGCACAGTGGGTCCTCAACCGCCGGCTCACTGACTCTTCAACCCATCATGATGCTCAGAGATAGCAGTGGCTGGGTGACCAGATGTCCCTGGCCATGCTCAAAAGTGTCCTGGTGAGGATGATAAATTAGACACAAGTGGGCATGGTGGCTCACACCTGTAATCCCAGCACTTTGGGAGGCCTAGACGGGTGGATCATCTGAAATCAGGAGTTTGAGACCAGCCTGGCCAACATGGTGAAACCCTATCTCAGGCCGGGCGTGGTGGCTCATGCCTGTAATCCCAGCACTTTGGGAGGCCGAGGCAGGTGGATCACGAGGTCAGGAGTTTGGGACCAGCCTGGGCTGCATGGTGAAACCCCATCTCTACTAAAAAAATACAAAAAATTAGCCGGGCATGGTGGTGCGCACTTGTAATCCCAGCTACTTGGGAGGCTGAGGCAGGAGAATCGCTTGGATCGGG
The DNA here is from genome assembly GCF_000001405.40 of Homo sapiens. Lineage (NCBI taxonomy): Eukaryota > Metazoa > Chordata > Mammalia > Primates > Hominidae > Homo > Homo sapiens. The sequence continues at coordinate 71,873,231 of NC_000010.11, read as the reverse complement.
AGGCGGAGGTTGCAGTGAGCCAAGACTGGATCATGCCACTGCACTCCAGCCTGGGTGAGAGGGCGAAATTCCTTCTAAAAAAAAAAAAAAAAGAAAAGAAATCCATCTATACTAAAAATACAAAAATTAGCTGGAAGTGGTTGCACACCTGTAACCCCAACTACTCAGGAGGCTGACGCAGGAGAATTGCTTGAACCTGGGAGGCGAATGTTGCAGTGAGCCGAGATCGCGCCATTGCACTCCAGCCTGGGCAACAGGGCCAGACTCTGTCTCAAAAAAAAAAAAAAAAAAATTAGATGGTCACCTTTCCACTATAGGTTGTAGGACCCACCAACAACCTAAGATCACTTCCATCTCTGAAGGCCCAAGGGAGGCCAGAATCTGGCAGTCACCCTGAGTGGGGAGGGAAACAGAGAATAATGTGGAATCAGCTGAGTCACGGGGTCCAGCCGCATCCCCAGAAGGTGCCTTCTGGGACCTGCCCTGACCTGGAAAATTAAGCCTTTTCTAGAAATACAAGCTGCTACTGGCCTGGAGGAGGGTGGCACACATCAGTTTCTAGCCCTGCTATGTGGCCTTGTCCCTGTAACTCCTAGAACAAAGCTTAATAAACCCTCCTCGTCTTTCCTTGGGCAAGGCTTCTGAGGCCTCAGTGATTACATGAAATCCCAAGTTAATTTTTTAAGCAGATTATCTCTATGGCCAAAGACCAAAACAGTGGAAAAAGCCTTGCCCAGGGAGTCAGAAACTTGGGGGTTTTGTCCCAGCTCTAGCCTCTTGCTGGGTGACCTTGGGGGAGCCTCTTGATCCCTCTGGGCCTCAGTTTCTCTTCCTGTAAAAGGAGGCCATTGGACTAGGGTGCTCTCTGAGGGACTGCAAGCTCTATTTTATTTATTTATTTATTTATTTATTTATTTATTTATTTATTTATTTATTGAGATGGAGTCTTGCTCTGTTTCCCAGGCTGGAGTGCAGTGGCACCATCTCGGCTCAGCCTCCTGTGTTCAAGCAATTCTCCCGCTGCAGCCTCCCGGGTTCAAGCAATTCTCCCACCTCAGCCTCCCGAGTAGCTGGGATTACAGGCGCCCACCATCATGCCTGGCTAATTTTTATATTTTTAGTAGAGATGGGGTTTCACCATGTTGGCCAGGCTGGTCTCCAACTCCTGACCTCAAGTGATCCACCCACCACAGCCTCCCAAAGTGCTGGGATTATAGGCGTGAGCCACTGTGTCATGCCTATTTATTTATTTTAGAGACAGAGTCTTGCTCTGTCACCTAGGCTGGAGTGCAGTGGCATGTTCATGGCTCCCTGTAGCCTCAACCTCCTGGGCTCAAGTGATCCTCCCACCTCAGCCTCCCAAGCAGCTAAGACCACATGCCCACAACACCACACCCAGCTAATTTTGTGTATTTTTTGAGATGGGGTTTCGCCATGCTGCCGAGGCTGGTCTTGAACTCCTGGGCTCAAGTGACCCTCCCGCCTCAGCCCCCCAAAGTGTTGGGATTATAGGTGTGAACCACCGTGCCCTGCCAAATCAAATAATCAAATATTTTCTTGGCTTTACCTTTTTTTTTTTTTTTTGGAGACAGTCTTGCTCTGTTGCCCAGGCTGGAGTGCAATGGGGCGATCTTAGTTCACTGCAGCCTCCACCTTAGCTTTACTTCTGTATCTGTCCCAGCTGTGTTCTCTCAGTAGAGCTCATGAATCACTTCTGGTTTGGATCTGCCTGATTCATGAGTCATCATTTGCTCAAATAAACTTTCTACACCGGGCGCAGTGGTTCACGCCTGTAATCCCAGCACTTCAGGAGGCCGAGGCAGGTGGATCATTTGAGGTCAGGAGTTGGAAACCAGCCTGACCAACATGGTGAAACCCTGTCTCCACTGAAACAAAAACAAAAACAAAAACAAAAATTAGCCGGCGGTAGTGGCGCATGCCTGTAATCCCAGCTACTCGGGAGGCTGAGGCAGGAGAATTGCTTGAGCCTGGGAGGCAGAGGTTGCAGTGAGCCAAGATCGTGCCACTGTACTCCAGTCTGGGCAACAGAGTGAGACCCTGTCTTTAAATAAATAAATAAATAAAATAAAATATGAATAAATAAACCTTCTAATTTTATTGTGCCTCAGTTTACTTTTAAATGTGTTATTGAGAACTTACAGAGTGCTGGCATGGTTAAGGGTTTTTTGCTTTGTTTTTGCAGATTTTCATTAATTTAATTAGATTAATGAGTATTAACATTTACTTAATTTAAATTTTTTAGGTTAAATTTTTAATTTAATTTTATATTATTTTACTTAATGTTTAAAGTGAAAATAGTTGTAATTACTTATAGTTACTTAAAATTAGTATTTAATATTAACTTTTTCCTTTTTTTTTTTCTGGGATGGAATCTTGCTCTGTCGCCCAGGCTGGAGAGCAGAGGCGCGATCTTGGCTCACTGCAATCTCCGCCTCCTGGGTTCAAGCGATTCTCCTGCCTCAGCCTCCCGAGTACCTAGGACTGCAGGTGCCTGCCACTACTTCCAGCTAATTTTTGTATTTTTAGTAGAGACGGGGTTTCACCATATTGGCCAGGCTGGTTTCAAACTTCTGACCTTGTGATCCGCCCGCCTCGACCTCTCAAAGTGCTGGGATACTTTTTCCTTTTTTTTTTTCTTCTTAAGAAACTGGGTCTCCCACTGTTGCTCAAGCTGGAGTGCAGTAACATGATTATAGCTCTCTCCCTCTCCCTCTCCCTCTCCCTCCTCTCCCTCCTCTCCCTCCTCTCCCTCCTCTCCCTCCTCTCCCTCTCTTTCCACGGTCTCCCTCTGATGCAGAGCTGAAGCTGGACTGTACTGCTGCCATCTCGGCTCACTGCAACCTCCCTGCCTGATTCTCCTGCCTCAGCCTGCCGAGTGCCTGCGATTGCAGGCGCGCGCCGCCACGCCTGACTGGTTTTCGTATTTTTTTGGTGGAGACGGGGTTTTGCTGTGTTGGCCGGGCTGGTCTCCAGCTCCTAACCACGAGTGATCCACCAGCCTCGGCTTCCCGAGGTGCTGGGATTGCAGACGGAGTCTCGTTCACTCAGTGCTCAATGGTGCCCAGGCTGGAGTGCAGTGGCGTGATCTCGGCTCGCTACAACCTCCACCTCCCAGCAGCCTGCCTTGGCCTCCCAAAGTGCTGAGATTGCAGCCTCTGCCCGGCCGCCACCCCATCTGGGAAGTGAGGAGCGTCTCTGCCTGGCCGCCATCCCATCTAGGAAGTGAGGAGCGTCTCTGCCCGGCCGCCCATCGTCTGAGATGTGGGGAGCGCCTCTGCCCTGCTGCCCCGTCTGGGATGTGAGGAGCGTCTCTGCCCGGCCACCCCGTCTGAGAAGTGAGGAGCCCCTCCGCCCGGCAGCCGCACCGTCTGAGAAGTGAGGAGTCCCTCCCTCCGGCAGCCACCCCGTCTGGGAAGTGAGGAGCGTCTCCGCCAGGCCAGCCGCCCCGTCTGGGAGGGAGGTGGGGGTCAGCCCCCCGCCCGGCCAGCCGCCCCGTCCGGGAGGGAGGTGGGGGAGTCAGCCCCCCGCCCGGCCAGCCGCCCCGTCCGGGAGGGAGGTAGGGAGGGTCAGCCCCCTGCCCGGCCAGCCGCCCCATCCGGGAGGTGAGGGGCGCCTCTGCCCGGCCGCCCCTACTGGGAAGTGAGGAGCCCCTCTGCCCGGCCAGCCGCCCCGTCCGGGAGGGAGGTGGGGGGGTCAGCCCCCCGCCCGGCCAGCTGCCCCGTCTGGGAGGGAGGTGGGGGGGTCAGCCCCCCGCCCGGCCAGCCTCCCCGTCCGGGAGGGAGGTGGGGGGATCAGCCCCCCGCCCGGCCAGCCGCCCCGTCCGGGAGGTGAGGGGCGCCTCTGCCCGGCCGCCCCTACTGGGAAGTGAGGAGCCCCTCTGCCCGGCCAGCCGCCCCGTCCGGGAGGGAGGTGGGGGGGGTCAGCCATCCGTCCGGCCAGCCGCCCCATCCGGGAGGTGAGGGGCGCCTCTGCCCGGCCGCCCCTACTGGGAAGTGAGGAGCCCCTCTGCCCGGCCACCACCCCGTCTGGGAGGTGTACCCAACAGCTCATTGAGAATGGGCCATGATGACAATGGCGGTTTTGTGGAATAGAAAGGGGGGAAAGGTGGGGAAAAGATTGAGAAATCGGATGGTTGCCGTGTCTGTGTAGAAAGAGGTAGACATGGGAGACTTTTCATTTTGTGCTGTACTAAGAAAAATTCTTCTTCCTTGGGATCCTGTTGATCTGTGACCTTGCCCCCAACCCTGTGCTCTCTGAAACATGTGCTGTGTCCACTCAGGGTTGAATGGATTAAGGGTGGTGCAAGATGTGCTTTGTTAAACAGATGCTTGAAGGCAGCATGCTCCTTAAGAGTCATCACCACTCCCTAATCTCAAGTACCCAGGGACACAAACACTGCGGAAGGCCGCAGGGTCCTCTGCCTAGGAAAACCAGAGACCTCTGTTCACTTGTTTATCTGCTGACCTTCCCTCCACTATTGTCCTGTGACCCTGCCAAATCCCCCTCTGCGAGAAACACCCAAGAATGATCAATAAAAAAAAAAAAGAAAAAAAAAACATGATTATAGCTCCTTGCTGCCTTGAACTCCTGAGCTCAAGCAATCCGCTTCTCCCAGCTCATCCTCTTTTAACAGGTGTTGGTATCTCGGAGTGACGGTCTCCTTTGCCCTGCCCTGTGCTTGCCACACCAGAGCCACCATAATTTTTTGCTAACTTTCTGGAAGTGATGACATTTGGCATGGAGTCAAATGCCTGTGGCTCAGCATGTGACCCCGCTGAATCACATGGCTCACATAGGGTGTTCTGGGTGACCCAGACAATTCTGAGGAGGACTGAGCCCTGTGGCTTGGCATTCACTGAATCACATGACCTAAGCAGCTGCAGGCTGTGGCTTGCAGTGTGCATCCTCAAGGCTGTGACCCCAGGTGGGGCCCGAAGGCCCCAGGAGGGAGTGGAAGGGGCTGTGTTTACCCTGGGGAGGGTGGGTGCTGGCAATATCTCCTGCTGGGCCCTTGGACAACGTCAAGCCTTGCTTAAGGTGAGTGAAGGCCACCTCCCTTTGATAGGTCTCACAACATGCAGGAGATCAGGTTTTTAGTTATCCAAAGAAGAAAGGGTTTTCCCCGAAGGGAAAAATATTTTTACTTGTCTCTTTTCCGCTTTTCCGCATTTTCTCAGTTACTGATAGTGAACAAATATTGTAGTCGCCCTTATCTTCAGGGGATACTTTCCCAGAGCCCCAGTAGATGCCTGAGACCTAAGTGATAGTATCGAACCCTATATATGTTCTGCTTTTTCTATACATACACACCTGTGATAAAAGTTGAATTCATAAGTCAGGCACAGTAACGGATTAACAACAATAAATAAGTAGAACAATTATAACAATGTGCTGTAATAAAGTTAGGTCAGCATGCTCTCTCTCTCTCTCTCTCTCAAAATGTCTTAGTATTTTTGGAACTTAGTTGACCACAGGTAACTGAAACTGCAGAAAGCAAAACCTTGGATAAGCAAGGGGGACTACTGTACTGCCTTGGTAATCAGAAAATAAACCTTGTTATCATTATTTTCATGTCTTTTTCTTTCTTTCTTTTTTATTTTATTTATTTATTTATTTTTTTGAGACGGAGTTTCGCTCTTGTTGCCCAGGCTGGAGTGCAGTGGTGCGATCTCGGCTCACCACAACCTCCACCTCCTGGGTTCAAGAGATCCTCCTGCCTCAGCCTCCCTAGTAGCTGGGATTACAGGCATGCACCACCATGCCTGGCTAATTTTGTATTTTTAGTACAGACGAGGTTTCTCCATGTTGGTCAGACTGGTCTCCATCTCCTGACCTCAGGTGATCCACCCGCCTTGGCCTCCCAAAGCGCTGGGATTATAGGCGTGAGCCACTGTGCCTGGCCACTTATTATTTTGAGACAGGGTCTCACCCTGTCACCCAGGTTGGAGTGCAGTGGTGTCTCCCACTGCACTCCACCACCCAGTACCTCCCTGGACTCAAGTGATCCTCCTGCCTCAGCCTCCTGAGTAGCTGGAACTACAGGCACTTGCCACCATGCCCGGATAATTTTTTGTAGAGATGGAGTTTCGCTACGTTGCCCAGGCTGGTCTCGAACTCCTGGGCTCAAATGATCCACCTGCCTTGGCCTACCAAAGTGCTGGGATCTGGGATTAGATGTGTGAGTCACTGTGCCTGGCTACATGATTATTTTTTAATGCCATTCCTGAGACCATCAGCATTTACCACACTGCTCATCTCAGGATTTTTTTTAAGGGGTCCAGTACTGGGTGGTGGGAAGGAACATCAACTTCATGTCTGTAATCCCAGTACTTTGGGAGGCTGAGGGGGGCAGATTACTTGAGGTCAGGAGTTCGAGACCAGCCTGGGCATCGTGGCAAAACCCCGTCTCTACTAAAAATACAAACATTAGCCAGGCGTGGTGGTTCACACCTGTGCTCCCAGCTACTCAGGAGGCTGAGGCAGGAGAATTGCTTGAACCCTGGAGACAGAGATTGCAGTGAGCCAAGATGGCACCACTGCACTCCCGCCTGGGTGACAGAGCAAGACTCTGTCTCAAAAAAAAAAAAAAAAAAAAAAAGTGGAAAGCCCTGCCCCACCATTTTCTAGCGGTGTGTCCTTGGGCAAGCCACTTAGCTTCCCTGAGCCCCAAGTTCCTTATAAGATGGGACTAGTAATAACAACAGTTAACCTTATTGTGGGCTTAACGTGTGCCAGGCACTGTTCTGCCCAGTTGACATGTATTCAATCAGTCTGTCCCAACTACTCCGTTAGAAAGGTACTATTTTGGCCTCATTTTATAGATGGGGAAACTGAGGCACAGAGAAGGTAAATATTCTGCCCGGGTCACTCAGCTAGTCCATGGTGGAGATGGGATATGAGTCCAGACTGTCTGACCATGAGGCCTGGAAGAGCCTGCCCACTTATTCACACTGGACCCATGGGGTCGGTGAAGTTTAAATGAGGTGGAGCACATGGAGGGCACAGAGTCCCGCACACAGTAGGGTTCCAACCCTTGCCCTCACTCCTTCCAGGGCCAGAGAGAGCCCATGCAAATGGCCAGCATCATCTGGGACACCTACCACCAGAAGCACTGGCCTCCAGGGCCACTGTGCTACCATGGAGTGGGGCCTGGATGACCCGTACCCTGGCTCCCACAGTCACATTGGTGATGGGGACAGCGCAACCGGAGGGGCGCAGTGCCTTGCCCAAAGTCCCATAGCTTGGTTGTGATGAGTGTGGACTAGGAACCAGCTCAGACTCCTATCAGGGCCTTTTCTGTAGACCACAGCCTCTGAGTCCAGGAACAGCTCCCGCTGGGATGCAGGGGACAGGCTCTGACATCTTGGGTCTGGGTGTTGTCAGACACTGGCTCAGCAGCTGGGCAGGCGGGGGAGGGGATGGGGGGATGCTGGGAACACCTGGACTGTGGGCAGATGAGGGGAAGCAAGAGCCCAGCCCACAGTCAGCACAGCACGCTCCTCAGCAACTGCTGTTGGCAGGGTTGGTGGCAGTGGACTGAGGGTCTCTCTCCTCCCCCAGCATTGACATCACTCCAGCCTCGGCAGCCCCCTTGTCCTGCTACCAGCACTGGGGTGAGGCAACCATGGGGATGGGGCTGCCAGGTAACTACACTTGTGGGGGCTTGTGGAGCAGATATAGGCCCATGGCGGGGGTGGGGCTGGGAGAGGGGAGGTTGGAGAACAAAGGTCCCCTGGGATGCACAGGCTCTGGGATAGTTTCCCCACTTTCTTTCTCCATTAAGAAACCCTCCTCCCCTTCTTAATAAATAAAAGGGAAAGAACTTCCCCCAACACCATCATTCACCTGCAGCCTCCTCCGCCTGTTGTTCCTGCTGATGGCATCCTGACCAGCACACAGCAGGCCCAGTGCCAGGTGCATTTCCTCCCTGCCCTCCTCTCATTTTCACAACAGCCTAGGCCCAGGGGCTGTCCACCTTCTGAATGAGGACACCAAGGGTTGGTGCCCAGCAGGATCTCACAGTTGGTACAGCTAAGGGATAGAGCGGGATTTGGACCTTAGCGTCTCCTCCTCTGGACACTTTCAAGCTAGATTGCTTAAGAGAAATATTTTATTGCCTCTTTTTTTAAAAAAAAGAAGATGAAGATGAAGACGAAGAAGAAGAAGAAGAAGGAGAAGGAGGCCAGGCATGGTGACTCATGCCTATAATCACAGCACTGTGGGAGACTGTGGTGGGTGAATCAGTTGGGGTCAGAAGTTCGAGACCAGCCTGGCCAACATGATGAAACCCCATCTCTACTAAAAATACAAAAAAAAAAAAAAAAAAAAAAAATTAGCCGGGCTTGGTGGCATGCACCTGCAGTCCCAGCTGAGGCAGGAAAATCACTTGAATCCAGGAGGTGGAGGTTTTAGTGAGCCGAGACCTCACCACTGCGCTCCAGCCTGGGTGACAGAGCAAGGCTCCATCTCAAAAAAAAATAAAAATAGCTGGGTGCGGTGGCTCACGCCTGTAATCCCAGCACTTTGGGAGGCTGAAGCAGGCGGATCACCTGAGGTTGAGAGTTCGAGACCAGCCTGAGCAACATGGAGAAAACCCATCTCTACTAAAAATACAAAATTAGCCAGCCGTGGTGGTGCATGCCTGTAATCCCAGCTACTCGTGAGGCTGAGGCAGGAGAATTGCTTGAACCCGGGAGGCGGAGGTTGTGGTGAGCCAAGATTGCGCCACTGCACTCCAGCCTGGGCAATAAGAGCAAAACTCCATCTCAAAAAAATTTAAAAAAAAATGTTATTTGGGTGTGGTGGCACACACCTGTGGTTCCAGCTATTTGGGAGGCTGAGGCAGGAGGATCATGTGAACCCAGGAGGTCGAGGCTGTAATGTGCCATGATTGTGCCACTGCACTACAGCCTAGGCAACAGAGAGAGACCTTGTCTCAGAAAGAAGAAGAAAATTTTTTTATTGCGTTATAATTTATATACCATGCAATTCACACATTTAAAGTGTACAACTGGGGCCAGGCATGGTGGCTCACACCTGTAATCCCAGCACTTTGGGAGGCCGAGGTGGAGGGATCACTAGAGGTCAGGAGTTCGCCACCAGCCTGGCCAACATGGTGAAACCCTATCTCTATTAAAAATACAAAAATTAACTGGGTGTGGTGGCACATGTGGTGTAGTCCCTGCTACTCGGGAGGCTGAGGCAGGAGAATCACTTGAACCTGGGAGGCGAAGGTTGCAGTGAGCCTAGATCGTGCCACTGCACTCCAGCCTGGGTGAGAGAGCGAGACTCCGTCTCGGGGAAAAAAAAAGTGTACAATTTGCTGCGTGAGGTGGCTCATGCCTGTAATCCTGGCACTTTGGGAGGCCGAGGTGGGCTGATCGCTTGAGGACAGGAGTTTGAATCCAGCCTGGGCAACATAGCGAGACCTCATCTCTATTTATTATATAAATAAATAAATAAAGTGTACAAATCTGCCAGGCACAGTGGCTCATGCCTGTAATCTCAGCACTTTGGGAGGCTGAAGTGGGAGGATCCCTTGAGCCCGGGAATTCAAGACCAACCTGAGCAACATTGTGAGACCCTATCTTTACAAAAAATAAGACATTAGCTGGGTATGGTGATGTACACCAGTAGTCCCAGCTCCTCAGGAGGCTGAGGTGGGAGGATTGTTGAATTAATGTTTCAGTGGACGGATTTGATCTCAAACCAGGTTTATGCCCTTAAAGGCACAATGATTCCTTCGGTGGGCACAGCTCCTCCCAGTTGCCAGACTACGTCCATGTTCGTAATGCACGTACTGAAGTATGGGGAGGTGAAGTTCTCCCCAGAGGTGACTCAGCCAGCAAGAAGCAGATCAAGGAGGAGATTCCAGGTCCCTGACATGAAAGCCAGTCCTCTCTCTATAAGCAAAGCTCTCAGGTTTGGGTTGGGTGTTGGGTTCCTGGGTGAGGTAATTCGAACTCAGAGTAGTACTCAGTCAAACTCCTAATAAGATAAAGAAACTCTGAAGACAGGATCATAACTTATAATGGAAATCTCCAGAAAACCTAAAGATTCAGAGGCCCTAATTCCAGCCCACTTGTGTCCAAGGTCATTTAAGACACAAACGTCCAGCCTGAGCCAAGCGTGTTCTCAGTCCACTGCCCTGAGGATTAGGATAGGTGTCATTGTGGAGGCCAGGGGCCAATTGGGAAGTGTCTTCATAGGGTGTCACAATCTTGATGAAGACACTGGGGTCCAAGGATCTTGGTTTACCTGGCCCAAAGAAAAGGTTAAGGTTTTCAGGGTGAGGCTCCTGAAGAAACTTACAAGAGTCTGATACATAAACCAGATTAAGTCCTTAAGACTAAGCTGACCCCAGGGGACAGCTCTGTCACCTTAACAGATTTATCTGCACAGCTGAGCAGTACACTGCACCTCTGAGATCAGACTGGTCAGTCATAGCGTCTGCTCAGGCATGTGGAGTGGGAATGTGGAAAGGTGGAGTGCGATGGCATCAGCCCCCGGTGGCCTGGTGGATCTTTGTACTTCGTGTCTGCTTCCCTTGGGCAATTCTGATTCTCAATGGAGACAACATTGCATAGACTTCAGACCCCAAATGATCTTGGGCTTGAATCCTGGTTCTATCAGGACCAGGGACATCCTAGGCAAGTCGGCCTCTCTGAGACTTGGTTTCCCCATCTGTAAAATGGGAGTAATCAAACCTTTGATTTAAAAATTGGAGGCTTGGCCAGGCACGGTGGCTCATCCCAGCACTTTGGGAGGCCAAGGCGGGTGGATCACAAGGTCAGGAGTTCAAGACCAGCCTGGCCAACATGGTGAAACTCTGTCTCTACTAAAAATACAAAAATTAGCTAGGCATGGTGGCATGTGCCTGTGGTCCCTGCTACTTGGGAGGCTGAGGTGGGTGAATTGCTTGAGTCTAGGAGGTTGAGGCTGCAGTGAGCCGTGATCACACCACTGCGCTCCAGCCTGGGCAACAGAGTGAGACTGCCAAAAAAAAAAAAAGAAAGAAATAAAAGAAAGAAAGAAAGAATAGATTGGAGATTGGCTAGGTGTAGTGGCTCATAACTGCAATCTCAGTGCTTTGGGAGGCCAAGGCAAGAGGATCACCTGAGGCCAGGAGTTTGAGACCATTTTGAGACCGGCCTGGGCAACATAGTGAGATGCTATATTTATTTTAAAATAAAATAAATAAGTAGCCAGGCTTGGTGCCTCACATCTGTAATCCCAGCACTTTGGGAGGCCGAGGCGGGTGGATCACTTGAGGTCAGGAGTTCGAGACCAGCCTGACCAACATGGAGAAATCCCCTCTCTACTAAAAATACAAAATTAGCCGGGAGTGGTGGCACATGCCTGTAATCCCAGCTACTTGGGAGGCTGAGGCAGGAGAATCGCTTGAATCCGGGAGGTGGAGTTTGTAGTGAGCCGAGATTGTGCCATTGCACTCCAGCCTGGGCAACAAGAGCAAAACTCCATCTCAAATAAATAAATAAATAATAGAGATCATGTATATATTGACCAGGCATGGTGACTCATGCCTGTAATCCCAGCACTTTGGGAGGCCAAGGCGGGCAGATCACTTGAGGTCAGGAACTTGAGACCAGCCCGGCCAACATGATGAAACCTCGTCTCTACTAAAAATACAAAAATTAGCTGGGCATGGTGGTGCACGCCTGTAATCCCAGCTATTCAGGAGGTTGAGGAAGGTGAATTGCTTGAACCTGGGCAGCAAAGATTGCAGTGAGCTGAGATCGAGCCGCCACACTCCAGCCTGGGCAACAGAGCAAGATTCCATCTCAAAAAAAAAAAAAAAAAAAGAGAGATTATGTATATAGAGTGATCAGTTGACAGTCAGGTATATTAACAGGCAACTAATTAATGCCAGTTATTATTATTAGTATTATTATTGAGACAGTGTCTTGCTCTGTTGCCCAGGCTGGCGTGCAGTGGGTCAATCATAGCTCAAGCAATCCTCCCACCTAAGCCTCCTGTAGCTGGGACTATAGGCCCACACCACCACGCCCAGCTAAGAAGCTTTGGTTTTAAGATATGCTAACATGGTCAGTTTGATTACAGCCCAGTTCTTGCTTTCCTTTTCAGGCTCAGAAACAACTGATCTAATCTAGTCTTTGTTCTTTTCACCCTCCAAGTTCACCCAAGAGTAAGGGCTCTAGCAGCAAATCATCTGAAATTTAGAGAAGGAGAAAGGTGCCTGAGGCTAGAGGAAGCAGGGGGGCTTCCCAGGAGGTGAAATGCAGCTGGGCCTTGAAATAAAGGGAGGCTTTGATAGATGCCTGGCACAGGGACATAATCTGATAAATTGACAGGACTGTGACTCAGGAGAACTGGCTCTGATCTCAGTTCTATTATTTATTGGTGTTGTGAGCAGTTAAGTCACTTCCCCTCTTTGGGTTTACTAAGGTTCTCCTTCTGACATCCACAGATGGGTGGCTGAGGCCTGAGAGCCTCCTGAAGTCAGTGCAAAATGTGTCTGAGCATTTTTCTGGCAGAGTGTTCCCAGCTTTCATCAGATTCTCTAGGGGCTCTGACCTCACCAACTTGCAGACTGCTACAGTGACTCAGCAGCTCCCGGCCTGCCCCACTGCCCTGCTGCTGCTGACTCACCAGCTCATGCAAGGCCTTCTTGGCAGCTCCTGCTCTCCCCAAGAGAGCAGCTGATGGGGGCCGCCTGTCCAATAGGAATAACATCTGGGGACAGAGCTGTGGGGCCAGGCCGCATCCCATGCACTGATCGGCTCTCAGAATAGACTGACTGGGAATCTGATCACCCACAGCCCAGCGGGTGACAGGGCCTCAGGGTGCCGAATGGGACGTGTGTACAAGGAGCCCTGATGGAGCTGTGGGCCCGGCCAGCAATCTGGCTTCCCCGGAGTGGGGACATAACAACGAGCCTCTTGTGTGGCCTTTCCACTCAGCCTGCGTGCTTCATTTCTCTGTCTTCAGCCCTTGGTACAGTGCCTGGTATATACCAGGCACTCAATAAATGTATTGCTAAAAAAATAACAGGACAAAATAAGAAATGCTGTTGAGATGTGAACAGATCCCAGAGGGAGCAGTGAGGAGGAAGTGTCCACCAATTCCTAAAGCATAGCAAATAGCAAAGGTTTCCCTCTGGCAGTATCTGTTTTTTTTTTTTTTTTTTTTTTCTTTTTCTGATATAGAGTCTCACTCTGTCGCTCAGGCTGGAGTATAGTGGCATGATCTCAGCTCAACCTCCATACCACCTCCCCTCCCCGCCCCCACCAGGTTCAAGCGATTCTCCCGCCTCAGCCTTCTAAGCAGCTGGGATTACAGGCGCGTGACACCACGCCCAGCTAATTTTTTGTATTTTTAGTAGAGACGGGGTTTCACCATGTTGGCCAGGCTGGTCTTGAACTCCTGATCTCAAGTCATCCACCTGACTTGGCCTTCCAAAGCGCTGGGATTACAGGCATGATCCACCGTGCCTGGCCTTAAATGGATTTTGAAGGATGAATAAGAGTTTACCAGAGAAAGAGGCAGGGAATAGAATTCGAGGTAGGGGATGGGGGTATTTATAAGGCACATAAATGTGGAGCTGCATAGCTTATTTAGACAATCTTAGAGAATGTGGGCAGAGTAGGTGGAACCATGGGATGGAGGGCAAGGTCGGAAGTTTGAGAGAACAGAGATTGCAAAGCTGGGCTAGGACCAAGGCCTTGTGTTCCGTAAAGCAGGGGTGTCCATTCTGTGGCTTCCCTGAGCCATACTGGAAGAAGAAAAATTGTCTTGGGCAACATATAGAATACACTAACATTAATGATAACTGATGAGCTTAAAAAAAATCACACACAAAAAATCTCATAATGTTTTAAGAAAGTTTATAAATGTGTGTTGGGCTGCATTCAAAGCCGTCCTGGGCTGCATGTGACCTGCAGGCCGTGGGTTGGACAAGCTTGCTATAAAGAAATGGCGGCCTGGCGCAGTGGCTCACGCCTGTAATCCCAGCACTTTGAGGGGCTGAGGCAGGTGGATCACCTGAGGTCAGGAGTTCGAGACCAGCTTGACCAACATGGAGAAACACCCTCTCTACTAAAAATACAAAATTAGCTGGGTGTGGTGGTGCATGCCTGTAATCCCAGCTCCTCAGGAGGCTGAGGCAGGAGAATCGCTTGAACCTGGAAGGTGGAGGTTGCGGTGAGCCGAGATCGTGCCACTGCACTCCAACCTGGGCAACAAGAGCAAAACTCCATCTTAAAAAAAAAAAAAGCAAAAGAAATGGTCAGAGAAGTAGAAGGATGACTGAGAGCAAGCAGAGTATGGTGGTGGAATTCACTATATAGCTTCTTCTTTCAGGACCAAGCCACCCACTGTCTCTCCACCATGGGCTCGTCTGCTGAGGGCTCACAATTGTGCCATCTCCAGGAATTCCCCTCAGCCAACGGAGCCCCTCACCCAAGCTTACACTCCCTCCCCTGGGACATATTATCTTGGGCTTTAAAGGCCCACACCCCTTACCCCAGTTGACAGCCGTTCTGCAGCACCGTCCCTGCAGCGCGGTATGGGCTGAGGCCAATGTAACAACCTTGTCGCAGTTTGGTTTCCCCTATCTTGCTGCCCTCACGGCCTCACAGGTGTGATCCTGAGAACATACCCCAATAAACTCCTGCCTGCTCATCTCAGCCTTAGACTGTGGTTCCCAGGCAACCCCATCTGAGACAGACAGCAAATATGTTAACCCAAGAGCCAACTTTGAAAGCAGAGGAGTACCGAGTTGACAAGGCTTCAGGAGGCAAGGTCTATTGGTGATGTCTGCCATGAATGAGGAAGCAGGCAGTGGGGACGTGTGTGGTGCATATTCAGCATCCCTGTGGAGTGGCACCCTGTCACTGATGCCAAAGGCGGGGGCGGGAGAGGAGGACTTGTAGAAAGGAGAAGCAAACCAACAGTGCCAGAGGTGAAAGGGAACAGAAGGTGCTGGTGGACTTACCAAGAAGGAATTGACTGTCTACTTTCCAGAAGCCATTTGGGGGATCAGTGGGCTGGATTATAGTTGGGAGGGATAGTAGTAGTTATGGTGAGTGTATATGCCATACTGAGTATGGCACTGAAGGGAAGGTGAGAGAAAGCACAGTGGCTTATGTGAAAGTCAAGGTGAAGAAAGATTTCTTTTAGGATGGGAGAGCCTTGGGCATACTTATAGTCTGACAGGGAAAAGTCAGTGTACAGAGGGAGACAGAAGATATAAAAAAGGAAAGGGGCTGGGCACCATGGCTCAAACCTATAATCCCAGCACTTTGGGAGGCTGAGGCGGGCAGATCGCCTGAGATCAGGAGTTCGAGACAAGCCTGGCCAACATGGCAAAACCCCGTCTCTACTAAAAATACAAAAATTAGCCAGGTGTGGTAGTGTGTGCCTGTAATCCCAGCTACCTGGGAGATTGAGGTGGGACAATCGCTTGAACCCAGGAGACGGAGGTTGTAGTGAGCCAAGATCATACCACTTCACTCCAGCCTGGGTGACAGAGTGAGACTCCATCTCAAAAAAAAAAAAAAAAAAAGAAGGGGGCTGGACGCAATGGCTCACACCTGTAATCCCAGCACTGTGGGAGGCAGAGGCAGGTGGATCACTTAAGGTCAGGAGTTTGAGACCAGCCCGGTGAACATGGCGAAATCCTGCCTCTACTAAAAATACAAAAACTAGACAGGTGTGGTGGCACACGCCTGTAGCCCCAGCTACAAAGGAGGCTGAGGCAAGAGAATCATTTGAACCCAGGGGACGGAGGTTGCAATGAGCTGAGATCACACCGCTGCACTCCAGCCTGGGGGACAGAGCAAGGCTCCATCACAAAAAAAAAAAAAAAAAAAAAAAAAAAAAGAGAGAGAAAATAAAGAAAGAACAATTGACAAAGCAAAGTACCAGAGCGGTGATATTAAAAATATTCACCGATGATTCCTGGTGATATAGCAGTTAGGAAATAATTAATTCAACAAAGTGAAGGACGCAGGCATTAAACAACCAAAATAGACAGAATATCAGTCCTGTCCTAAAAGTCACAGGAGCTGATCAGCAAAAGCATAGTAGTGTTTAGTGGCTAAACTTGCAAAGGGGAGGAAAATACACAAAGCCTTGCAAAGAAGAGGAAGGACATCTTCTTAGAGAAAGGGAAGGAGTAAAACAGTAAATGGGTGTGAAATAAATTAAAAATTACATAGGGGCTTGAGCATTGTTAACAAGATTAGGAATGAAGCAGAAAACTGAAGATAACAAAAACTTAATAAAGATAGGAGTTTGTTTACATAAATAAAGCCCGCAAGGGACAGCCTAGAGCAGGTACAATCATCAGGGAGGCAGGCTCCTCTCTTGTTGCTTTGTCATCCTTAAAGAGGCTTCTACCTCATGGTCCAGGATGGATGCTTGAGCTCCTGCCATTATGTCTGCAATCCAGGCAGCGGGCCGAAGAAAGGAGATTGTAGCCAGGGCTGATATTTAGCTGATACATATCAGTAGAACTGTACCAGTAATTAAATTATAAAGAGCAGGGTTGGTGTAATCCAGCACTTTGGGAGGCCGAGGTGGGCAGATCACCTGAGGTCAGGAGTTCAACACCAGCCTGGCGAACATGGTGAAACACCATCTCTACTAAAAACACAAAAATTAGCCGGGCATAGTGGCGCAGGTCTGTAGTCCCAGCTACTCAGGAGGCTGAGGCAGGAGAATTGCTTGAACCCAGGAGGCAGAGGTTGCAGTGAGCCAAGATGGCACCACTGCACTCCAGTCTGAGCGACAGAGCAAGACTCCATCTCAAAATAAAAATAAATAAATAAATAAAAATAAAATAAAATAAAAATAAATAAATTATGAAGGACTTCGTACCAGTTGGTAACACCTGCTAGCCTCCTGCTGCCCACCCCCGCTGCCGGGTCATCCCCAGGAACCATCCACCCCTCCAAGACAGCAGCCTGGCTCAGTTGGGGCCTTCTAGGACATTCCCCCAGCACTATGGCCAGTGTCCTGGCAGTACTAGTTGTTAAATATTTGAATATTTGCACTGGATATATGCCTTCTTTTAAAAAGCAGTACCTAGAAGTCACAAATTGGGCACTTGTTTTTTTAAATCTCATTGGCCACAGTGAAGTCCCGTGGCTGCAAGGGAGGTTGGAATGTGTAGCTTTTATTTTAGGTGGCCATGTGCCCTGCTAGAAATAAGGGGTCTCATTAGTAACTATCAAATCAAGGAGAAGGGGGTGAATGATATTAGAGGGTGTAGCAGACTCTGCCACAGGGGAGGCTAAATAGGTGCTGAGAAGCACAGAGGGCTTGGTGAGCTTGGCTGCACTGTTGAGTGCTCCATCAGTCCAGGGGAGGTGGGGGTATAGGAGGAGAAGTCAGAGGTTGGGAATTGGTGGGTGATGGGAGAGGTGTCCCTGGGACAGCCTGAGCCTGCCTTGAGTGACACCTGAGGTCTCATTCCAGGCACAAGGACAAGTGCAGGCTAGAGGGTCTGAAGCCAGAGGTCTCGAGTAGGAAGATGCTGGAGGGAGAGAACCTGTCATTGTTTGAGACAGGGTGAGGGGTCAAGGGAGGCTTCCAGGGCATTAGGGGGCTCCAGGGTTGCTGTTTAGGGCACTGGAGTGGAGCCTTGGGGCCAAGCAGGTGGGCTGGGCCTCAATGGTAGATATGTCTTATCTCCTTGGCTGTCTTGGCCGGAACTTTCAGTTGTAGAAAAAGTAACAGATGGAGGCCATCTGGGGCCACAGGGAACATCATTATTATTATTTGAGATGGGGTCTTGCTCCGTTGCCCCGGCTGACAAGCAGAGGTGCACCACTGCAGCCTCAACCTCTTGGGCTCAAGCCGTCCTCCCGTCCCATAGCCTCTGGAGTAGCTGGGATCACAGACCTGTGTCGCCACACCTGGCTAATTTTTGCATTTTTTTGTAAAGACAGGGTTTCGTCATGTTGCCCAGGATAGTCTCCAACTCCTGGGCTCAAGTGATCCTCTCACCTTGGCCTCCCAAAGTGCTGGGATTACAGGCATGAGCCACCATGCCCGGCTGGAAAATTATTAAAAGGGTCTGACAGGTGGGGATTTCAAGAGATCTCAGACATGAAAATTGGGGCCTCATGCAGAACTGAGATCCAGAACTGGAAGGCCATTGAGAAACCTTAAGCGTGGCTCACATTTCTAAGGAAAAATATCTTTTCAGTTCCTTGAAGACTTGAGCTCCCAGAGGGTGGTAGTGGAAGGGATTTTCTTTTCTCTTTTAAAATTTCCTATATTAATTTTGTTTTTTAAAAATTGCAATGTGGACATTTCCATGAGTGAAATAATGCAAGATGAGTTAATCCAAAGTCAGAATTTCCCCCCTACTTCCAATTCTCTGTTCCCCTCCTGGCTGAAATCCTGCACTTGTGGGAGGGAGAGGGACAGGGTGGAGGGCCATGGCTGCCCGTGCATCCTCTCTTTGGGGTGCGGCAGGCTGCAGGATCTTTTTTTGTTTGTTTTTGGGGTTTTTTTTTTTTTTGAGAGAGTCTCGCTCTGTCATCCAGGCTACAGTGCAATGGTGCGATCTCAGCTCACTGCAACCTCTGCCTCCTGGGTTCAAGCGATTCTCATACCTTAGCCTCCCAGGTAGCTAGGATTACAGGCGCATGCCAATACACCCAGCTAATTTTTGTATTTTTAGTAGAGATGGGGTTTCACCATGTTGGCCAGGCTGGTCTCGATCTCCTGACCTCAAGTGGTCTGCCCGCCTCGACCTCCCAAATTGCTGGGATTACAGGTGTGAGCCACTGCGCCCGATGGGATCCAGGATCTAGAAGCTCTCCACCAGTTCTGCCATCCTCTCTGGGAAGTCAGCAGCAGGGCTTACTAGCAGATGGGGTTTGGCCTCTCACTCTGCCCATGTTTCTTGGGACCCACGTTCCTGGAAGACTTGCTGCAGCCTAGCCCTTGCTCCCTCCTCCTCCTGTTTCAAAGCTGCTTCAGTACCGTTGCTCTGTCCAGCCAGTTTCCACAGTCATCTCTTCATTGTTCAGCACTTGGGATCTTTCCAGCTTCCATGTTTCTAAAGGGCCCTTCTGTGAACACTTCGGACAAAATATTCCTTCACTTCTGGAGTATTTCCCTGAGGGTACATAGCTAGGAAAGGCATAAGAGAGCCAGAGGGTTTGAGGAGCTTCACAGCTCTTGTTGCCTACACGCAGATGGTTCAGAAGGTTTTTTTTTTTTTTTTTTAAGAGGATTTAAGCGTCTACTGACAAGGTAAAAAAATTAATAATAATCTACTTATTGCTTTTATATTCTTTGTTAAAATTCTGTCCTCATGGGGTTCAGGACGAGGCGGATGAAGCAGCATATTACTGTTGAGTTACAGGTGAGGAGATGAAAGGCAGCAAAAGTTTCTCTCAAAAACACTGACATATTCCTCTAGGTATGAAGGAGGAATATTTAAAAAAAAAAAAAAGGAGGGGTGTGGTGGCTCACACCTGTAATCCCAGCACTTTGGGAGGCCAAGGCAGGCAGATCACTTCAGGTCAGAGTTTGAGACCAGCCTGGTCAACATGGTGAAATCCTGTCTCTACCAAAAAATACAAGAAAACTAGCCAGGTGTGGTGGCGTGCACCTGTTATCCCAGCTACTCTGGAGGCTGAGGCAGGAGAATTGCTTGAACCTGGGAGGTAGAAGTGGCAGTGAGCTGAGATCGCACCATTGCACTCCAGCCTGGGTGATAGAGTGAGCCTCCATCTCCAAACAAAAAACAAAACAAAACAAAACAAAACAAAACAAAAAAAACAAGTCCTGGTTCAGGCTCTGTTGTTAACCAGCCCTGAGATGTCAGTAGCTCTATAAGATGAGAGGGGATGATCTGAGGTCTCTGAGCGTCCTTTTGGCTTGGGGTCCTGTAACCTCTGCATGGAGCACTGGGATGCTTTGCTCCTCCATCTGCAAGGAGCTGAAGGATGGGGGATTTGTCCTAGAGCCCCAGCTCCCTTGCTTTTTTTGTTTGTTTTTTTTTTGAGACGGAGTTTCGCTGTTGTTGCCCAGGCTGGAGTGCAGTGGCACGATCTCGGCTCACTGCAAGCTCCGCCTCCCGGGTTCACGCCATTCTCCTGCCTCAGCCTCCCGAGTAGCTGGGACTACAGGCGCCCGCCACATCGTGCGGCTAATTTTTTGTATTTTTAGTAGAGACGGGGTTTCACCCTGTTAGCCAGGATGGTCTCGATCTCCTGACCTCGTGATCTGCCTGCCTCGGCCTCCCAAAGTGCTGGGATTACAGGCGTGAGCCACCGCGCCCGGCTAGCTCCCTTGCTTTTAACCAGTTGTTGTGTGGTCTGCCCCACGCTTCTGCCTGGCCTTGGGAAGCCCAAAGGTGGAGCAGCCACGAAGTCTCCATCTGGCCACTGAGGCCGACCTGTGAGGCGTCCAGTTGAGACCACATCTTGTCCCAACTCACTCAGCTGCCTCACATGGCCCACTGTGGTGCATGGGGCACACTTCCCCATCTGGCTCCCCAGAGGAAGTCAGAGCTGTGGTGGGGGCTGGGGGCACTTAGGGAGATTGCAGGGGAGCAGAACTGAAGGTTCTGAGGCCTTAGTCCCTGGGGTTGTTCTCCAGAGCGGATTGCAGATTGGAGGAAGTTGGAGGAACTGTAGGTTTGCCCTTCCTGGGTCAGGAAACCTGGCTTCGGGCCAGGTTCTATCTCTACCTGTTGTGTGACCTTGGATAAACGTCTTGCCCTCTCCTAGGCTCAATGTCCCTACAGGTAAATGACCTCTAAGTGCCTGCCCTAAGGGGCTAAGATTCCCCTCCTTTCCCTGCCTTGCGGTTGGCAGGTTCTTATCCTTCTGGAGAGGGTCATCATCATTCTCTGTTCAGGTCCTGGCAGGGGCAGCCACAGGCAGAGGGTCTTTGGGTCTTAATTTCTGAAGGCTTCCATGTCACATAAAACGTTGATTACATAAATTTGTTATGCTTTTCTCTTAAGCTGTCTCGTTACAGGAGTGTTGGTTGTGACTCTTATGATCTCTTATGATGGGTGAGGAATGGTATTACATCTTTAACGGTACCACAATGTGAGGCTTAAAAGTTTTTTGTTTTTTTTTTTTTGGTGATGGGAATCTCTCTCGCTCTGTGGTCCAGGCTGCAGTGCAGTAGTGCGATCTTGACTCACGGCAACCTCCACCTCCCGGGTTTAAGCAATTTTCCTGCCTCTGCCTCCTGAAATAGCTGGAACCACAGGCGAGCGCCACCACGCCTGACTAATTTTTGTATTTTTAGTAGAGACAGGGTTTCACCATATTGGCCAGGCTGGTCTTGAACTCCTGACCTCATGATCCGCCCGCCTCGGCCTCCCAAAGTGTTAGGATTACAGGAGTGAGCCAGCATGCCCAGCCCAGACTTGCCTTTGACCAGGTGCCACCACCTGCCCCCACGTGCCCCTGGCCAGGACTGAGCCCTGTACCCTGTTACACGACTACTTATTCTATGTGAAACCCCAAGCTATTCTATGTGAAACCCGCTACTACAATGGGCTAATTTTTTTGTATTTTTTTTTTTGTAGAGATGGGGTTTCACCACGTTGCCCAGGCTAGTCTTGAACCCTCCGCCCGCCTCGGCCTCCCAAGTGTTGGGATTACAGGCGTCAGCCACCGCGGCCGGCCAACAATGTGGAGATTTAAAAGGTATTTTACATATATAATCTCTGACCTATTCAATTAGTAGGGCTTTTCTTTTATGACCTTTCCCTTCCCTTTCTCCAAGTTCTTCCTCACTCCTCCCCATAGCCCTTCCTTTCGCCCCTCCCATTGCCCCCTCCTATTGGCCTCCCCTTCGCGCAGGCGCCCTCAGAGGCGCTGAGTCAGGGCGCTGTTGAGCTCGGGCAGGCCCGGATGGGGCGGGGTTAGCGCCTGCGCTCTGGACGGCTTTGGGGCAGGGCAGATTTATATCTGCGGGGGATCAGCTGACGCTCCGCATTGCAGACTGCGGAGTCAGACGGCGCTATGTACGCCCTCTTCCTCCTGGCCAGCCTCCTGGGCGCGGGTAAGCCCTGGGACCCTCATCCTGGGGAGGAGGTGCCTCGCAGCGTCCATCTGCCCCAGAATGGGCTGTGCCGGGCCTGGCCCCTCTGCTCCCCCTGCCCTAGTTGGCAAGGGGGCGCGCGCACTGCGCAGGCGCGTTCGCTGGCTTTCTCTGGCTTTCTCTGGGCGGCTGGGGGCTGCGGGGGGCGGGCTGCGAAAATGCCCCCGGGAGGACGGCCCAGGCCCTGGGCAGCATCTCCTTCGGGGCTCGAGTGGGTTCCTGCGCGGCTGGGGCCCCGAGGCCTTCCCTCAGGCTGCGCTTCCCACTGTGGGGGTGGGTGAGTCTTGTAGGGTGACCCCTTGGGCAGCTGTGTTGTGCCTGTGCTGGGCGCACGTGATCGAGGTGGGCTGGAGCCCCGTCCCGCAGGACACTTTGGCCGTTGGCTTCAGTTGCCTGTTTGTAAGGGTAGCGAAGCTGCAGGAAGCACATGTGTATCATCTATATTGACGTTTGCATATGTATTTACTCTGGATTCTAGGTGTTGACAAAACGAGTCAAACTCTGTAAAAATATTTTGAGATTTATTCTGAGGCAAATATGAGTGACCATGGCCCGTGACACAGCCCTCAGGAGGTCCTGAGAACATGTGCCTAAGGTGGTTGGGATACAGCTGGGTTTTACATATTTTCGGGAGGCACGAGACATCAATCAAATACATTTAAGAAATACGTTGGTTTGGTTCAGAAGGGCGAAACAACTCAAAGCGGCGGGGGGCTTCCAGGCCATAGGTAAATTTAAACATTTTCTAGTTGATAATTGGTTGAGTTTATCTGAAAACCTAGAATCAATAGAAAGAAAGTATTCAAGTTAAGATAAAGGATTGTGGAGACCAAGTTTTATTGTGCAGAGGAAGCTCTCAGGTAGCCGACTAAGAGAGCGAGCACGTTGTAAAATATTTCTATGGAAATGAAAGGGTGACTGGCTCTTAGTTGATTATCTCCTGGATCTGGAGAGGAAGGAAGGAAAACATAGGGGAAAGGGGATTCTCTATAGAATGTGGATTTTTCCCACAAGAGACTTTGCAGGGCAATTTCAAGGTATGGCAAGGAAATATATTTTGGGGTTAGATATTTTGATTTTTTTTTCCTTGTCTTATAAAATGTTATGCCAGAGTCAGATTGGAAAGTAAGTCACGATATATGGGGTCAAATAAAACCCATCTGATGAGAGTTTATGGTTTGTAGGGTATGATTCCTACACCCCTTAGATAGGAATTTGGGCAAGCTAAAAAAAATCGGAGCTTAATTCTCATAGGTATTGAAGGCGATATAGGGTTTTCTGGTCCAGTTATTTTGCCATGGGGTCCTCATTTCACTTGCTTTGAAATGTCTTGCATCTGGGTGCGGTGGCTTATGCCTGTAATCCCAGCACATTGGGACACCGAGGTGGGAGGATCGCTTGAGCCTAGGAGTTGGAGACCAGCCTGGGCAACATAGCAAGACCCCACCTGTGAAAAAAAGAAAAAGAGAAAAGAAAGTCTTGCACGCTATTGGCCGTTTTTTTTTTGTTTGTTTGTTTTGTTTGTTTGTTTGTTTTTTGAGACGGAGTTTCGCTGTTGTTGCCCAGGCCGGAGTGGTGCAATGGCGTAGTCTCGGCTAACTGCAACCTCCGCCTTCCGGGTTCAAGCCATTCTCCCGCCTCAGCCTCCCAAAGTTCTGGGATTACAGGCGTGAGACACCGCACCCAGCCCCCACCACAATGTCTGTTTTTTAGTAACTATATGTAGTTTAAGGGCTGGCTGCCATTTTTAACCTAGCTACCCAAATTTTAATAAAAAGTAACAAAGTGGATGACAGGGTTGATGCAAAACCGAAGAAATGAGTTAGCTTTCAGCAGCTCTCAAGAATGTATCTTGACCCTATACGAAGCTCTTAAATTTGTTTTACTTGTACACAATGAAAGATGATCTGCTTATAAAAAAATCATTTTGATTTTATACTCAAGCTTATACTGCAGTTATTCCATGGTCTGTATAATAAACTAATGCTGGTCTCTAAATTTTTTATACTGATTCAGGGCAATTTTTTTTCTTTCTTTTTACATTATCCATTGTTCTTGTTGACGTTGAGTCACTCCTCACAAGACCCTTAAGAGTTCTGATTCATTCACATCACCCAAAAGGGACTCAATCGTGTCTCGGGAAATATAAAATCCACCTCTGGTATATATGGGCTTATGGTTAACCACAATATTTAGTTAACCAAGGGACCCTCTTCCGTGAACACTCGGGTAAATGGGAGGTATTGTAATGGCCTTGGTTTAACTTTGCTGTCCTACCTTTAGGATTAGGCCAAAGTCAGTGCTGATAACAGTGTTTGAATGCTCCCTGGCCTTCACAGCTCTGGCCCCTTTGTGATATTGTGAAAATGTTACTCCTAAAATTTCTAGACATGATAATGAGTTTTGTTAGTGAAAGTGCCTGGTGACTGCAGCCATTGTCTGCTGCCCGAGAGGCACTTAGAACTTTCTTCGTGACACTGTCGTAGTACAGAATGCCACCCTGAATCGGGATGGGCTTTGTATTTTGTGTTTCAGTGATGTCCTGGTGGTAGAGACACTTGCTTTTGAGTTACTTTTCTGCCCATCCAGCTGCCCCTCCTTTTTCCCCACCTAAAAGCGAAAGCAAAGCCATGGCACCATGAGAGAATTGGAGAGCATGTAATCTGACCCCTTTGTAAGGAATGAAGACCTGGAGGTGCCCAGAGGTGACTCTCCCAAATCATAGACCATTTACTGGGGATGCCAGGACCAGAACCCAAGACTCCACAGTGCTCGCTTTTTCCATATCCCTCTGTCCACATGGACCTCTTAACTTTTAAAAACTTAGTGTAAGTTACATACGTGGACGATTAAGTAGACAACTTGATGAATTACCACAAAGTGAGCAGCCCCCGAGGTTGGGGAGCAGTGCAGTAGCATCCAGAGGCCCCTGTTCACCCATTCACTGCCCTGTCCCACTTGCCCCGAAGGAAACATTGTTAACCTTTGAACACCATAGATGTGAAGGCTGCAGTTTCGATCTTTTACAAATGGGATCATGGAGGGTATTGCTGTTAGGTGAGTCCTCTGGTGGAAAAAGGAGCGTGTTCATCAGCTAGGTGTAAGGCATGAGGGATGGTGCCTGGGATGTGGCAGGTGCTCCCTGAAGCTTAGATGCCCTGATAGCTGTCAGCTGTGTGGTGGCTAGCCTGCTGAATGTTGTCTACACCACGCTAAGACAGTTATGTTTTCTGGGGATGCTAGAAGGTGTTATATATATTCTTTCAATAACATGTGAATTTATAGCCTGGCCTGCTGAATATCAGTAGGAACTTCAGGTCTTGGCCTGTCAGGGATTTTGGATAAATCTCCTGTTTATTAATAGTAAATCAGTTTTATTCTGTGAAAATAAGAGTATAATTCCTGAAGAAAGAAGGGTTTGTTTTAACAAATCAGTGATTTGTCAAGTCCTTGAAGTACATTTGACAGGTTGTTTTGTTTCTTTTTTTTTTTTTTGGAGCAGAAAGTTTAATAGGCAGAAGAAAGGAGAAAGGAGAGCAGCTCTCTCTTGTGAGAGAGAGGCATCCGAAAGGGAGAAGCCTGACAGGTTGTTATTGAGATGGGAGTCTTGCTCTGTCCCCAGGCTGGTGTGCAGTGGCGCGATCTCGGCTCACTGCCACTTCCGCCTTCCGGGTTCAAGCGATTTTCCCACCTCTGCCTCCCGAGTAGCTAGGATTATAGGTGCCCACCACCATGCCTATAAAATCCACCTCTGGTATATATGGGCTTATGGTTAACCACAATATTTAGTTGACCAAAGGACCCTCTTCCCTGAACACTCGGGTAAATGGGAGGTAATTTTTTGTATTTTAGTAGAGATGGGGTTTCACCATGTTGGCCAGGCTGGTCTTGAACTCCTGACCTCAAGTAATCCGCCTGCCTCGGCCTCCCAAAGTGCTGGGATTACAGGTGTGAGCCACCGCACCCGGCCCTGACAGGTTGTTTTGAGAACAAACTATGAGAGTTGAAGTGTGTTGGATTGATTGGTGTGGCATTTTGTAGATGAGGGAAAGGAGAACTTGGTCTTCCATTTTCTTGGTGAGTGAGACCATGGGATGTCCAGGCAGCTGTGGGGAAGTGGAAGGGTAGGGCGGGGTGTTGCTGGCTGGGAACAGCACCTAATGAGGCATGCTTAGGAAGTTCTCAAGGCCAAGACCAAAGCCACTTAGACAGGTGTGCATGGCAGCTTTGGAGGCAGCTTCTAGCAGAGATTCTAGGTTACTGGCTACCAGGCTGTAAGCCTTGCTTTCTGGCTCCTTTTTGGTTCTGCCACCAGGAAGGAGGGTCTGGATATTCTTCAGATCAATGAAAGAGAGTACTAATTAGAATTACATTGCCCTGCTTGCCTTTTTTTTTTTTTTTTTTTTTTTTTGAGACAGGGTCTTACTCTGTTGCCCAGGCTGGAGTGCAGTGGCACCATCTCAGCTCACTGCAACCTCCACCTCCCGGGTTTAAGTGATTCTCATACCTCAGCCTCCCAGGTAGCTGATAGCTGGGATTGCAGGCACCTGCCACCATGCCTGGCTAATTTTTGTATTTTTAGTAGAGAAAGGGTTTTGCCATGTTAGCCAGGCTGGTCTCAAACTCCTGACCTCAAGTGATCTGTCTGCCTCGGCCTCCCAAAGTGTTGGGATTACAGGCGTGAGTCGCCGCACCTGGCTTTTTTTTTTTTTTTTTTAAGGGCTTTAAAACAATGATGATAAATACAGTGATTGGGATGAAGATTTTGGCTGTTGCAAAAGTACTAATTGCTTTATTTTTTATTACATGAAGTTCCAAAAAAATAACTTTGTGGCATTTGTAATTTTGTATGTTGGGACAAGATGATAATGTGGAGTGGAAGTTTCACATTATCTCATTGCTGACAGTAGCCGTACGACCTTGGGCAAGTTGCTTAAACTCTCCCGTATTTCATCATTTGTAAAGTGGCATTACTCATCTATTTCACTGGGTTGCTGTTTAGCTTTAATAAATTAGGTTAATACAGAAAAGGGCTTAGTTAGTATTCTTTGTTGCTGTACCACTAATAAAAGTAATGTATTGTCAATATCTTTGTCCCCAACAGCACAGCGGCCTATTTTCTGCCCTTGATTTTGTGATTTCCTTTGGCGTCTTTAATTTCAAAGGACGTTGTGACTTTAACAAAATTAAATTGACTTATTAAAAACATACATGCTGGGTATAATTAGTGAGTCAGGAAAACAAGCCAGGGTAGGTAGACAGCAGTTAGGAGGGAGTTGGCAGGCAGTTCATAGTCTAGGTAGCCAAACTAGGTTTAGCTGCCAGGGGATCTTGACATCAGAGCAGCCCAGCAGATCAGAGCTGGTTCCTGGTAACCCGAATGCTTGGGTCTAGATCTGTTGTCACTAATCCTGGACCTGAGGTTGTCTGTTCCAGCCCCCTAGTTCGGTTTCCCCATTCGTAAATGGAGGCGAGCTGTTTAGAGTAGATAATAGATGGACGTGGGAAGCCAGGTCAGTCAGTAGAATGGAGTATAGAGTACAAGGTTTGTCCCTGCCACTGCTGTCCCCAGGCCCTCCCCAAACAGCCTGGTAGCAGCTCCCTTAGAAGCTTGCAGAGGTACATCCCATGTGTGAGTTCCTTCTGCCTTTTTTCTTTTTAACACAAATAGTAGTATATTCTACTGACTGTTTTGCTTGTTGCTCCTTAAATTGTGAAACATTTGAAAAGTGGAAAAGTGATTATCATAAACATGTGTACGCAACACCCAGGTTAAGAAATGGAACCTGATAACCCAGCTGCCCCCGTAGAGAGCCACCTTCCTGGACTTGTTTTTCCTCCCCGTTAGGTCTTTTTCCTTCCATACATGTGACTGGAAGCTTCAGCAGTGTGTATAGAGTATTGTTTTGGATATTTTAAACATTTTGCAAATATTGTATCCAATAAATAGTCTTTCTCTTTATCCTTGGGGGTTATGTTCCAAGACCCTCAGGGGTTGCCAGAAGCTGTGGGTGGGACCAAATCTTATTTATATATGTATGTTTTATCTTATGCATACATACCTGTGATAAAGTTTAGTTTATAAATTAGGCACAGTAAGGGATTAACAACAACTAGTAATACAGAACAATTAAAACAATATATAATAAAAATTATGTGAATGTGGTCTTTCTCAGGATACATTTTCAGACCACATTTGACTGTGGGAATACATTTTCAAACCACATTTGACCGTGGGTAACTGCAACGGTAGAAAAGGAAGCTATGGTTAAGGAGGGACCACTGTATATTGTTAGGTTAGTTTTTTGTTTTGCTAGGGAGGTTTTTCTATGTTGAAAATGTATAGATTACTGTTATGTCTTTTAGAATTTGTCTAGAAGGCTTTCTGGTTTTTACTGGAAAGCCCCCTACAAAAATATGTAGGTCTATTTCATTTTCACTACAATATAGTATTCCATTTATGTAATTTCTTTTTTTGACACAGAGTCTTGCTCTGTTGCCCAGGCTGGAGTGCAGTGGTGTGATCTTGGCTCACTGCAACCTCCACCTCCTGAGTTCAAGTGATTCTCCTGTCTCAGCCTCCCGAGTAGCTGGGATTATGGGTGCACGCCACCATGCCTGGCTAACGTTTGTATTTTTAGTACACACAGGGTTTCACCATGTTGGCCAGGCTGGTCTCAAACTCCTGACCTCAGGTGTTCTGCCCACCTCAGCCCCCCAAAGTGCTGGGATTAGAGGCATAAGCCACTGAGCCTGGCCTGTATCATTTCTGTTCTAGTGATAGACATTTAGATAATTTCTAGTTTTTTCTATTACAGCCTGCTTCTGTAAAAATTCTCGTACATGTCTCCTTGTGTACATGGAAAACATTTATCTAGGGCATATGTCTAAGAGCAGAATTGCTGAGTTGTGGAGTAACTAACAATTGTAGAAGTGCTCTCAAATGATCTTGGCAGTTGCCATTCCATAACGTATTCAGTTTCCAGTTACTGCATGCCCTTGTTAACATTTGATATTGTTAAAACTTTCAATTTTGCTAATTTGATAGGAGTAAAATGACTTAGTGGTTTCATTTGCATTTCTTCTTGTTTTCTTAAACAATATATCCTAGAGGTAATTTCATGCTAACACAGATAGATGTACTTAAATTTTAAAATTTGAGATAATGTTAGATTTACAGAAAAGTTACAAAGGTAGTATACTGAGTTCCTGTATACCCTTCCCCCAGCTTCCCCTACTGTTAACGTGTTGTATAACCATGGTACATTTGCCAAAAGCAAGTAATTAATATCAGGACACTGTCAGTATCTAGATTGCAAACTTTATTTGGATTTTTACCAGTTTTTCCACTAATCTCATTTTTTGGTTCCTGGGTCCAACCCAGTATGCCACATTGCCCTTGGCTGTCAGGTCTCCTTAATCTCTTCCCACTTCCCAGCTGAGTATTTCATTGTATGGATGTGTCTTTTTAATCCCTATTGATGGACATCGACGTCTAATAAACTGCTAGGTGAATTCTAATGAGACTTGCAAATGTAAAAATTGTAAATTCTGGCCACATTTGGACAGATACTGCCTTTAAAAAATTATTTACATGAGTGGAAACGTCATGACTAAGATTGAAGAAGACGCAGAGAAAGTTCTTTTGGCCAGTATTTGTCACGTTACTTATGACTCTCTCAGTAGCTGTGATGGGATGCTGTTCTGTACGAGTAAGTCTCTTTTTCAGGCATTGATACCAGAGGGCCATGTGGCTTCCTATAGCACTAGGAATAAAACTCAAGTGTGTCCGCAAGGTCGCCTGTCACCTGGTGATTGGCCACCTCTCAGCTCCTCCCCCTCTCTTCTGTCTGGCCTGCTGTCCAGCCTTCTGGCCCCTTCCTTCTTGGTGCTCAGAGATTTTCCATTTTGAATTCCACCTCTCTGGAACATCTTCCTCCCTGGGTAACCCATGGGGCTTCCTCTCTGTGCATTCGGGTCCCTGCTTGATGTTGCCTTATCAGAGTTCCCCACTGATGTGCCTGAAATAGCTGCCCCACCCCACCTTGCTTTATTTGTAGCACTCACCGCTACCTGGCGTTGTGATGTGTGTGTTGTCTTGATCGCTTGCTGTGTCTGCAGCATGTGCGGCAGTTTTGGCACATAACAGGTGCTTAGCATTGATGAGTGCCAGGAGGTGTAGCCAGGTAGACTTCAGCTGTGGAAGTGTAGGCTAGTGTGCCTGAAACTTCATTGCTTCATAGTGCCGAGTCTTTGTCATGATTAGATAGAATATTATCTTTTATTTTTCTGAAATTAATTTTAAGAAATTGTTTTTAGGAGTTATGAAATTAAGAGTGACTTTGGGCGCAAATGAAGTGTTGACTTTTATAATAGTTGATGATAGTTTGGGACCTGCCCCTCCCACACCTTTTGGGGAGGGTTCTATGTAGGTGATAGGTACAGGGAAGTCTAATATAATTTAGATGTTCATGGTGGCTCTGATTTGAGGTAAATCTGAAAAGGGAAGCAGCTATAAGTTGAGGAAATTATCCCTCCCACTTTTGGTTTCAGAAGTTGGTTGTTCTCCAGATGTTTAGCTTGGAGGCTCTCAAACTTTTGGTTGCAGGATCCCTATATACTAATTAGTTATTGAGGACCCCAAAGAGCTTGTGTTTACGTGGGCTGTATCTATCAATATTTAACATCTTATAAGTTAAACTGTCAGTGTTTAAAAATTAATGCTTTGAAATATTGATAAACCATTACATGTTAACATATATATATTTATTGTATGTATTATATTTTTAATGAAAAAATATTTTCCAAAACACAAATATTTAGTGAGCAGCCTGTTTTACATTTTTGCAATCCTTTTAACACCTGGCTGGATTATTAGCTGCTTGGGCATTCAGTCTGTTGCAATGTCATGTCACATGCCTCCGCAGAAACTCAACTGGACTTTTGTGAATGAGCAAAATGGCAACTGATGTCTTGGTTTTATCATGAGGATTTTGCCCTCACCCCCTGAAAGAGTCCCTGGGATGCTCGGCGTTTTGGACCACACTTTGAGAACCACTGGTTTAGATGATTTGCAGAAACTACAGAAATTATAATAGCTAACCCATGCGGAGATGTTCTGCTTTTTTTTTTTTTTTAAGACGGAGTCTCACTCTGTCACCCAGGTTGGAGTGCAGTGGCTTGATCTCGGCTCACTGCAACCTCTGCCTTGCAGGTTCAAGTGATTCTCCTGCCTCAGCCTCTTGAGTAGCTGGGACCACAGGTGTGTGCCACCATGCCTGGCTAATATATATATATGTAGTAGAGACCAGGTTTCACTGTGTTGGCCAGGCTGGTCTCGAACTCCTGACCTCAAGTAATCCACTCGCCTCGGCCTCCCAAAGTGCTGGAATTACAGGCGTGAGCCACTGCACCTGGCCATTTTTTGTATTTTTAGTAGAAATGGGGTTTCACTATGTTGCCCAGGCTGGTCTTGAACTCCAGGGCTTAGGTGATCTGCCTGCCTCTGCCTCCCACGGTGCTTGGATTACAGATGGGAGCCACTGTGCCTGGCCCGTTTTGCTTTTTATTGAACATTAATTCATTTAATTCTCATAACAGCCCTCTGTGGTGAAAGCAACTGAATCGGAATTCTGGGCCAGTCTGATATCCTCCCGTGACCCATGCTGTGGTCTGAACATTTTAGATTTCAAGTGAAGGCAGTATTCCTATAAAGTACTAACTGAAGGAAGCCAAAAGTGACATTTATAGTAGACTCACATATATCTGGAACTTTTAAGTTAGTAAACAGTAGATGAGACAGGTTCAGAATACTGAATTTCTTTAATGAGGTTTGCATGAAACCTTTTTCAGCATATGATTATCTTCTGCAAATGTGCAGAGACCACGCAGCTGGTCAGCAATGCTCAGTGTGGGAGCCAGCACCAGTTTGTGTGGGTGCCTGTGCCAACTGCGGTGCAGCATGCTGGATCTGCAGTGGAGCTTTCTCGAGGATGGGGAGCCATGCAGAGCCCGCCTCTGACCCCTGCCTCCACTTGCTCACTTGGCTGGAATCTGGATAGTCCTGCCAAGGGCTAGTTTTTCAGTCATGGATTACCATGTAATCTTATCTAAGGTGATCTAAGTTCTTCTTTGATCATCACCTGATATGTTGATGCTTTGGAAGAAAAGCTTTGTTAGGAGTTTTTATTGGACTACAGTACCCTTGAATGAACTAGTTAGGAATTGTCCCCAAATTAATTAAGCCTCCATTGCATACAATCTGAGAAGATTGCATTCTTGTCCCCAGCCTCAGTCATTACTGCACAAGGTAATTTCCCTGAGGACTCTGTTGCCTTCTCCGTGTAGATAATGTCCTGCCCTGGAATCATCTGGCTTGTAAGGAAAATTAAGAAGCGAGGCTGTAGCAGCAGAGGAGAAGCAGGGAAGAAAGGACCTTTGTCTTAACACTTTGAGGCCAGAGGTGATGGGATGTCAGCCTAGTGAGCTTAAGAGCTTTATTGCCACTGATTTCTTATGTGATATGAGGACTCTTGGACCTTAACTCCTCCAAATCAAGGGAGACTACCTCTGAGCGTATACTATTCTGAATGATTCAGTGAGCTGTGTTTTTATTCTGCTCTGCAGACTGTTTTCCAAAGGCAGGATTATCTATGAGGAAGAGACAAGTGCTCTTTGCCATAGAAGATATTTGTGGCAATAGCTGTTTGAGTAGCTAGTGTTGAGTGCATTGCATTATCTCCTGCTCTTAGGGGATGGAAGTGCATGAATTCCTCTGAGAAATGCCCTGCGGTAGAAGCCGCTCCTCCAGGGGTTATCCTCTCTTGGTTTCCTAGCAACCTGCCTGTTGCCATGGTGCCGCCTTACCCAGGCAGCAGATCTGCTGCCCTGTGGAATGTAGGCTCTGATTGTCAGCACTGGGAGGCTGCATGCATTTTCTGTTACCTCTTTTTTTTTTTTCTGGTAGCTAGATTCAAATTGTACTTAGCATGTTACTAAAATATTTAAAAGGAAAAGCATATGTTGTATGGCTAAAATAATGAGACTGATTGTTTTATCACATTCTAGGAAATGTTGTCCTGTCATTTTAAGATTGCTTCAGAAAATCTTTGGTGATTATGTTGTGTACTGGGCTTTTCGGTATCCTCACTGGGGTAAGCCAGGAAACACTTGTTGGGAGACCTTTCTGTAAGCGAGGTCGTTGATTAAGTATGTATATTAGTTGGGCTTAGGTTTGACTGTAAACAACAAATACATAGAATAATAATGGCTTATTTGTTTTTCTTATTTTTGATGGAGTCTCGCTCTGTCGCCCAGGCAGGAGTGCAGTGGCGTGATCTCGGCTTACTACAACCTCTGCCTCCTGAGTTCAAGCGATTCTCCTGCCTCAGCCTCCTGAGTAGCTGGGATTACAGGCACCTGCCACCACACCCAGCTAATTTTTGTATTTTTTGTAGAAATGGGGTTTTGTCGTGTTGCCAGGCTGGTCTTGATTTGTGAGCTCAAAATGATTCTCCTGCCTCAGCTTCCCAAAGTACTGGGGTTACAGGCATGAGCCACCGCACATGGCCCTGAAATCTATGTCTTTAAAAAAGTCCCATTGTGGGGCCAAGCATGGTGGCTCACGCTTGTAATCCTAGCACTTTGGGAGGCCGAGGCGGGTGGATCACGAGGTCAGGAGTTCGAAACCAGCCTGGCCAACACGGCAAAACCCTGTCTCTACTAAAAATACAAAAATTAGCTGGGCATGGTGGCAGGCGCCTATAATCTCAGCTAGTTGGGAGGCTGAGGCAGGAGAATCGCTTGAACCCGGGAAGTGGAGGCTGCAGTAAGCCGAGATCGTGCCACTGCACTCCAGCCTGGGCGACAAGAGCAAGACTCTGTCTCAAAAGAAAAAAAAAAGAGCCCGTTGTTCCAAGCTGTCTTGCCAGGCCCTTGAACTAAGAAGTGAAGTGCTCAATTTGCCCCGAGTGCTGTTCATGTCTTTATGACACATTTAATTGGAAATCTTTAGGAGGTCAAACATTCTAAGAACTTTTTTGGAGTTCAGCATACTGCCTCAGAGAAGGAAGCTGGTATTTGGGGGTAGGGTGTGGGAGGATGAGAATAGAGATTAAAGGCTTTGCTGGCCACATGTTTTGAGAAATAACTCACGAGAAAGTGTTTTTGGGTAGTGTTTATTTATTAGTTATAAATGCTGAAAATGTTATCTGCCTTGTTAGAGTGAAGACTTGGAGCTCCTCGGAGCTCTTTTAGTTCAGCCCACCACTGAAAGGATCCCTCTTATATAGAATTGCTCATAAGTTATGCATTTTGTTTCTGCTTGTTTGCTTCCACTGTTGGTGAGGTCATCACCTAATGATGCCACTCATTCTCTCTTTTTTTTCTGAGACAGGCTCTGGCTTTATTGCCCAGGCTGGAGTGCAGTGGTGCTGGGGCACTGGAGTGCAACCTCCGCCTCCTGGGCTCAATCGATCCTCCCACCTCAGCCTCCTTGGTAGCTGGGACTACTGAGGCGTGCACCACCACGTCCAGCTAATCCGTTCTCTTTTTATGCCCCTGGGTGGATGTTAAATGCATTCTTTACCTGGAGCTGTGGTCTGCTTCCTTGCACCCATTGTTCAGAGATCTGTGGTCTGGAGCCACTCATACCAGCTCCACACCCTGGTGGAAGGTGTACGGGATTCTCCCCCTCCTTGGAGATGACCGCGTGTCTCTGAAACATTCCTTCTCCCGTCACTCATCCCCAGTCCTCCAGGGGACTCTCTGGGTGGGGCCCCAGGCCCTCCCCTCCCTGGCCTCTGCTGAGCAGCTCACGTTGCTCATGGGCGTGTCTCTCCTGGTGCTATTGGCCCTTGCTGTTCTGTTTTCCCTTTGAGTCTGCACAACTTCTCATGGAACCCTGTTAGTGCCATTTGCCCATCTTGTTCTCTTGGACTCTGTGTTAGCCTCTCTTGGCTCTTGCTGCTTCCATTTCTCATGTGGACGTTTTTGAATTCGCCTTCCAGTTAGGTGCCTGACATTGGTATCTCCCACCTCCTCTTCAGTTCTGCCACCTTGTGCCTGGGTGGTTGAGACCCACACATGAGCTTGCCTGTCCTGTCCCTCCCAGAAATCCCTGAAGCTTCCTGCAGTATCGCCCACGGGGTTGAGCCCTCACCTTAGGGTGTGTGGGGCAGGTGAGACCATTCCCCCAAGCACCTGAGATCTGTCTGCCTTTGCAGCCTGGCTGCCGCTACTTCCCTTGGCTTCGCTCCTGAAAAGACAGGACAGTTTCTTCCCTTCCCCACAGAGAACTGGACTCCTTTGGAATGTTCTGGAATTCCCCACTCCCTCTCCACGTAGCCAGCCTTTTCTGTCACCATCTTGCAGGTGCCAATTCCAATTTCGTTTTGAGGAAGGCTCCGTTAGCATTGCCTTGCCGCTCCCATTCCCACCGATGCGTGGGATCACACACCATTACTTAGATGTCTGTTCCTCCTGCTCTTTGGGGTAAAGAAAATCGTGACTGTTCATTTGTTCTTTGGCCTGAGGGCCTCGGGCTCTGCGCAGTCAGTGGAGCTGGTAGCCATGCCTTCAGCTGGGTTGTTTACCTGCTTGTGTGGAGAAAAACCACCCTTGCCTGTAGAGCTTTATGATTAATCCACAGCTGGGACCTGAGAAGTTCCTCAAGTGCTAGGAGAAATGTGTGTGTAATAAAGTTTCTGGGAAAGGGATCCATGTCCCCAAAAGGTTCTGACCCACTGTTTGATCCCCTCTTAGGAGATCTGCTCTGGGAGTGGGCTTTGCACCTCTTGGCGGCTGGGAGCTCCCCAGCACCACCCAGTGGTGCCTGCCCTGAGGACACGCAGTCTATGAACGTATGTCATCATGTCGTTCATCCTGGGAGATGGAATCCGTTGCATACCACAGGCTGTTTTTGTAACATGCACCTTTATGTTTGGCTTGTGGTTGGAGGTAGAAGGGGGTGTCTTGCTAAGAAGGCACTTTCTAGGAGTTGGAATTTACGTGTTACTTCCTGTGTCCACGGAAATCTGTTTTACGCTGGAACTTGACTTTATAGGCGTACCGAATTCTCCACCATGCGTATCTTTTTGCCTCCAGATCTGAGGAAGAGGCCTGCTGCCATTCAGTAGGTCATGGATTGGGAAGTGACAGTCAGTTTGTATTAGCTGGGCCAGTTTCAGATACAAGGGGCTGCCCAAGATTATTTTCAGTCCAGGTTGGCCGGACCAAAACAAGTAACAAAGTCATCATGGAAAACGATTATTGTTTCACATTCCTAGAGGAAGTAGGCAGCCTACAAAGTATTCTCACATGGGCCTGTGAGAGTGTGTTGTGTTCCGGAAACACTCTAGATTTTGGTCAGCTGTAGCTAGTTCCCTGCTGAGAGGGCTGGAGAAAGTAGCTGGGTGGACATTACACTGGATGAGCATTTTTAAGAATCGGGGGTGCTGGTCACTTGCCCCTGCTTTTGGTGGTGACTCCTCTGTCTTGGCTCTGGTCTCCTGAGGTCTGAGCCCATCCTCTTCTGGCTTCCCTGTGTATCACTCTGCCTTCCTCTGCCTAGAGACTCATTTGGTAGCCTCCTGTTCATCTTGATTTGGAGGTAGGGCTAGGCAGTGTATCATGGTGTCATCATGGGTCCTTTTCAGAGTCCTAGGGGCCCAGGGCCTGCTAGGGTGTGGTGGGAGTCATCAGGTCTGGGGTTCCTATTTGTGCTGTCTCTGTGACCGCACAGTCCCCAGAGCCCTTACCCTCATGACTCAATTCTGCCTCCCCTCCACCGCTCCCCTGAGATTTATAACTGAGGCTGGCGCCAGCCATGCTTGGCTACACTGCGGGCTAACTAAGCTTTTGTGAGCCATCTGGGGAGCTTGGTACTGATTTGCATCTGGCACATGTTTTCCCCTGGAAACTAGAGTCCAAACCAGCAGCCTCTGGAATGTGGCCAGCTTGGTTGAGGTTGCGAACTGGACGTGTTTGTGATTTTGCTCCCAGGGGACAGGGAAGGCTATAATCTGGGCAGCAGATGAATAATTCATTTGCTTGTGTCTGAAGGGGTGAAGGTGATCTGACTCGAGCTTTGTGGGACTCAGTCTTTGTGTGAGTAGCTTGTGGAGGTAGTAATGAAAGAAAGCAGTTCATTCCTTACCCTCTCCTGGAGGAAGAACACGTACTGACCTATACAACACGTGTTTCCTATGTGTGTTACACACGTATGTAGAATTGGCTTACAGAGGGAAGCAGCATACAGCAAGATTCCTGAGGTTCTAAGTGTGTTTCTCAGGTGATTGTGTTTTGTTTTTTTTTTTTTTTTTTCTGTCTCAGACTTGGGTCAAGTATCTATTGCAGCAAAAGTTTGTTCAACCCTACTGAGATGCCTGTTGGAGTTTGACCCTCATGCCACCATCCTCTATGTGTAGTCCGATGTAATCTCTTGTTTCCTAGCTAAATAATTGGGCTAGAAGTGAGATGTGAATCTGAGGATTTTTTTCCCCATTTTTTTGGTTCTAAAATCAAGGACCTGTTTTAAGAAACATAGGCACTCTCAAGGCAGTTTATAAAATATTTTTAGGGCTAGGTATGGTAGCTCACCGCTGGAGTGCAGTGGTGAGATCTCGGCTCACTACAACCTCTGCCTCCTGGGCTCAAGCTATCCTCCCACCTCAGTCTCTCGAGTAGCTGGGATCACAGGTGCGTGCTACCATGCCCGGCTAATTTTTTGTAGAGATGAGGTTTTGCCATGTTGCCCAGGCTGGTCTCGAACTCCTGGACTCAACTGACCCCACCTCGGCCTCTCAAAGTGCTGAGATTATAGGCATGAGCCACCGGCAGCTGGCCATTGTTTTATGTTATAAGGGTATGAATTTTTTTTAATTTTAATTTTTATTTTATTTATTTATTTATTTATTTATTTATTTTTTGAAACGGAGTCTCGCTCTGTCACCCAGGCTCACTGCCAGCTCCGCCTCCCGGATTCACGCCATTCTCCTGCCTCAGCCTCCCGAGTAGCTGGAACTACAGGCGCCCGCCACCACACCTGGCTAATTGTTTTTTTTTGTATTTTTAGTAGAGATGGGGTTTCACTGTGTTAGCCAGGATGGTCTTGATCTCCTGACGTCGTGATCCACCCACCTTGGCCTCCCAAAGTGCTGGGATTATAGGCGTGAGCCACCGTGCCCAGCCTGTTTTTCTTTTTTAAAAAAACCCTTCATTCTACAGTTGTTATCCATTTTACAGAAGTCAAAATCTTCCCTGTATTTGAATTTGTTAGTCTTTTCTCCTATGGTTTCTTTTGTTACTTATGGAAACATTTTAAGGTTATGATGATACCTTATTACTTATGGAAACATTTTAAGGTTAAAGTTCTGATACTCCCTGATACTGTTTAAAGGTAGCTAGAGAGGATGAACGTGAACCAGATACATGAGTCCCTTCTAGCCCTGTGACAGACAAGCCAGCTTCTTGACCGGGACAGGCGTGTATCTGTGTGGCTGGTGTCCCATACAGCTTGGTGAGGGGCTGAGTAGCAGAGTCCAGCTCAAGGACAGTCGCCCTCAGCCCTGGGGAAATAAGTCAGGTCGACCTGGTTTGCTACAAAATGGGCCACCTCCTCACGTTGGTTTTCATTTTAGCTCTAGCCGGCCCGGTCCTTGGACTGAAAGAATGCACCAGGGGCTCGGCAGTGTGGTGCCAGAATGTGAAGACGGCGTCCGACTGCGGGGCAGTGAAGCACTGCCTGCAGACCGTTTGGAACAAGCCAACAGTGGTGAGTGCCGCTGCCCTCCAGTCCCAGCCGCAGCACTCCTCTTGGGTCCCCTTAGAACAGCTGTAACTCACTGCCATATTGACAGAGCACTTTTTCTTGCCTTGTTTTGTTTACTTCTCACTGTGACTCTGTGTGGGAGGCAGGACCTATTGGTGAATGTACCCATTTTACAGCAGAGGAGATGGAGGCTCAGAGAGGTTAAGGTTTCACTCTCCTGAGGCTACCTGGTTTCTTGTGGCAGACAGGATGAGGTCCCCCATGCCTGCGGCTCCAGGTGCCTGCCCCATGCTGCCTCTGGGCCTCTGTGCAGATCCCACTTCTCACCTTAGATAAGAGGCCAGTGGGTTGGCAGTGCCCATTCCCACCACTGGGCACATGGGCGCGGCTCTATCCTTGGTCACTCACTCCAAAAAGTAAATGCTGAGCTTTTCAGGTACTTTCTGCCTGTTTCATATTTTGTTCTCTCCTCACTCCTCTCAAACAGGCAAACTGCTGATTGAGATCCTGGAGTGCAGTTGCCATTTAAAATTGGTTTCCAGCTGTAACCACACTGAGGAAGCTAGCACTGATTTTTCATCTAAATAATGCTAAATGTAGCGTATTAATGTGGGGCATGGTCTAAGGCGACAAGCCATGGGTGTGTTCCTCACGGTCCCAAGCCCTCTCAGGAGATGCTCTGCTGACCATGCCAGCTCAACACAGAGCTGCTGCCCTGGGCTCACTTGGGGCTGTGCCGGCCATCATGTGGTACGGGCTGTGTTTGACTGAGTGGACTTTGGGTTCTAAAAAACTTGTCAGTGGCCACTACTGCTCCTTCAGTAAGAGAAGAAAGCTTAGCACCATTCTTTTAGAAACAGTTTGTGAATTATTCACTGGAAAACTGCCTTCTGTGGCCATACTTGCCCTTTTTTTTGGAGGCAGGGTCTGGCTCTGTCACCTAGGCTGGAGTGCAGTGGCACAATCATGGCTCACTGCAGCCTCAACCTCCTAGGCTCAAGCAATCCTCCCACCTCAGCCTCCTGAGTACTGGAACCACAGATGTGGACCAGTATGCCTGGCTAATTTTTGTATTTTTTGTAGAGATAGTGTTTTTACCATGTTGCCCAGGCTGGTCTTGAACTCCTGGGCTAAGGTCATCCTCCTGCCTCCCATAGTGCTGTGATTACAGGCGTGGGCTACCACGACTGGCCTGAAACTACTTTCAGATTTGGTTTCTAATTTGCCTTCAATCTTGTTTTTAATACTACTTCCTGTTTCCAGGTTTAATGTGTGTCCCGTAAGGACTTTAAAACTTGATTGGCTGGTCTTGTCATGGCCCGGCCTTCTGTTTTTGTTTTTTGTTTTTTTTTTTTTTTGAGATGGACTCTCACTCTGTTGCCTAGGCTGGAGTGCAGTGGCACGATCTTGGCTCACTGCAACCTCCGCCTCCCGGGTTCAAGCAATTCTTCTGCCTCAGCCTGCCAAGTAGCTGGGATTATAGGTGTACGCCACCATGCCCGGCTAATTTTTGTATTTTTAGTAGAGATGGGGTTTTCAACATGCTGGTCAGGCTGGTCTCGAACTCCTGACCTCGTGATCTGCCCGCCTCGGCCTCCCAAGTGAGCCACCACGCCCGGCCCGGCCCTCTCTTGATATGGTTCCATGCACAGTACCCTTGACCCTCTGTTTCCACAAATGTTGAGGGCTGTCTGTGGAACTTGAGCATCCTGGGGTTTGGGTGTCCATGGGGGTCCTGGAATTGATACCCCCTCAGATACCAAAGGATGACTGTATTAGCCTGACTAGGTTCAAGTTGGTTTCTCTAAATGCAGCTAAGTTCATAGGTGTTCCTCAGTCTCACCCAGACATGTTTCTTCTCCATGGATGGAAAGTCAGTTGACATCAAGAAGGGAGCCTGGGCATTCTTCCCCAAGGGCCGCAGGAACCAATTAGAATTTCCATGGCCTCTGGTCCAGGTGGGGGCCTTGGTGCCAATCAGAAGATTGGCTTTGGTGTGGTCTTGCCTTGTTAACATGCCTGGGAGGCAGGGGATGCGCAGGTGAACGGTTCAGTGTGGGTGTGCCTTCAGAGGTGGGTGGGGCGTTTGTTTCTCTGTCCCACCCACCTCTCTGCCATACTGATGTGACTCTGATTTCACCTGAGCCTCAGTTTCCTCAGAGGTGTTGTGAGCATTGATGTGAAATTGACCTGTGCCACATGGGGTGCTGTGTGGGTATGAGCAAAGGTTCTGTGTCCTGTAACTCACAGTGTGTTCTGGTGAGTCACACCTCTTCCCTCCCTGCCGTGCCCCAGCGCTGCTCATGCAGGGTGGAGAACCAGGATGTGACAGGAGCGCGGTCATGATCATATCCCTGGTTAGAGAGAATAGCGAAAAGGCCATGGGGAGTTCCAGCTGTGTGGGGTGTGAATTTGTGTCCTGCAAATACAAATTTCTCGTATTCTTTCTCTTAGAAATCCCTTCCCTGCGACATATGCAAAGACGTTGTCACCGCAGCTGGTGATATGCTGAAGGACAATGCCACTGAGGTGAGCGGCGGTGAGTGGGGATGGTGCTTGAGCCACGGGCACGTGCACTGGTTCCTAAGAGAGCTGTGATTCCGGGTGTCTAAAGAGGAATGGTGTAGGCCTGAGGGTGGCAAATGTCTTCCACAAAGGATCAAGGAGAAAAGATTTTAGGGTATATGAGCCGTATACTGTCCCTGTCACACAGTCTCTTTTTAAAAATGTAAAAAGAATGTAAACACCATTCCTTGAGTTCTGGGTTGTACAGAAATAAGCTGAAGGGCCTACTTTGCTGACCCCGGGACTAAATGCCCAAAGTTAATTGAGATGTTGTATTGCATGCCACTAATACCTAGGTCCATTTTGGCCATCTCTGCTTAGAATTCCCTGTGCCTGCGAGACTGCAGGTCCAGGGATTTTCATTTTGAATGCTCATGTCTGCTTTTGCCTGATTGACCTAATAGAGCCATAGGTAACATGGCCAAGTCCTTTTCCCTGAGGGCTGGCTGTTTTCCAGGCTTGGTTTTTCTGGGAGCTATTGAGGGCCTCTTGCCTTCAGCCCATTTATTTCCAGGGAGGAAAGCCTATCGTGATTCTGACCCTGGTGTCCTCTCGTAGGAGGAGATCCTTGTTTACTTGGAGAAGACCTGTGACTGGCTTCCGAAACCGAACATGTCTGCTTCATGCAAGGAGATAGTGGACTCCTACCTCCCTGTCATCCTGGACATCATTAAAGGAGAAATGGTAAGTGATGGGGAATAGGCTTTTCCTTGAAGGTGCTTCTGGGGCCCAGGAGAGGCAGTGGCCCAGAGTAGATTGATTAAAATGGAAAGTCTGTTCTTAGCTCTGGAATTCCTCAACAGCATTTTGCTACAATTTGACATCCAGAATAGCTCCTTTGGCACAGCAGGCCACTCTGTATGTAACTTGCCCTGGGGTTAGCGAGGGTGCGGCTGCTGGGGACTGGTCGGACTGCTGAAGGAATGTAAACCGGCATAACCTTCAGAGATGTGAGTTGGATACATCATGTCCAATCTTTAACTGACCCCTTTGAGCAGGCACAAAACCTCACTTCTGTGAATTTATTTCTGTGAACTTATAATCAAGGAATAATTCAGGGAATGTATTGGGGTCTTTCATTCATCAAGTATGTATTGTACACAGACACAAACCCTGTGTCACAGACTGGGTTTTTAGCAAAGAACACGGAGCTAGCTTTGTGGAATTTGGAAAGGCCTTGACAAAGAAGAGGTGTTTAAGTAACTGAAGAGGGCCAGTGGGGCAGGACTTTCCCAAGACAGGACCAAGGTTCTGGTGAGGAAGGCAGGGGTTGTGTCATACACAGCCTCCTAGGCCAT
The DNA here is from genome assembly GCF_000001405.40 of Homo sapiens. Classification (NCBI taxonomy): domain Eukaryota; kingdom Metazoa; phylum Chordata; class Mammalia; order Primates; family Hominidae; genus Homo; species Homo sapiens. Next base: position 71,830,511 of record NC_000010.11, on the reverse strand, counting down.
CTTCAAGGATTGCAAGTGCAGCCTTGGAGTGTCATGATTGTAAGGGCATTTGTCAAAGGGTTTGGTCTAGGTCTAGGTCCCATTGAGGGAAGCTGCAAGTCCGGAAGCTGACAGGACCCTCAGGAGGTCATTGCTTTGTGAGTGAGATGTGATGTGGACAGTGGAAATGGCAGATGCAGATTCTCTTTTGGAGGATTAAATGGACTGGACTTGCTCATGAGGGGGATGTATAGGAGAGGAAGAGCTATAAATGTCTCCCTGGTTTCTGAGAAGATAAAGGTGGAGTTATTTGCTAAAATGGAGCTAGTTGGGCAGGATAGAATGAGGGGTAAGTTTGAGATGTCTGCAGGGTGGGCATGATTACAGAAGTTAAACACTTGGGAGCCATCAGCATATGGAAGGTGTTGAAAGCCATCGTGTTAGCTCATTTTGTGGGGAAGTGACTTAGAATTGCTGACTCTTCTCCTCCAGCAAGAAGCTCCTATTCCTTTATTTATTTATTTATTTATTTTTTTGAGACTGAGTCTCACTCTGTCGCCCAGCCTGGAGTGCAATGGCGCGATCTTGACTGACAGCACCTCTGCCTTCCGGGTTCAAGTGATTCTCCCATCTCAGCCTCCCAAGTAGCTGGGATCACAGGCACCCACCATCATGCCCGGCTAATTTTTGTATTTTTGTAGAGATGGGGTTTTACCACATTGGCCAGGGTGGTCTTGAACTCCTGACCTCAGGCGATCCGCCCGCCTCGGCCTCACAAAGTGCTGGGATTACAGGTGTGAGCCACTGCGCCTGGCCTCCTGTTCCTTTAAAGAAGAGCTGAGGGGAAAGAGGTAACATTTAGGAAGCCTGTATTAGTCCGTTTTCATGCTACTAATAAAGACATACCCGAGACTGGGTAATTTATAAAAAAAGAAAAAAAGGTTTAATGGACTCACAGTTCCACGTGGCTGGGGGGGCCTCAAAATCATGGTGGAAGGTGAAGGAGGAGCAAAGCCACATCTTACATGGCAGCAGGCAAGAGAGCATGTGCAGGGGAACTGCCCTTTATAAAACCATCAGATCATGAGACTTACTATCACTAAACAGCATGGGAAAACCCGCCCCCGTGATTCAGTTACCTCCCACTAGGTCCCTCACATGACACGTGGGGACTATGGCAGCTACAGTTCAAGATGAGATTTGGGTGGGGACACAGCCAAACTGCATCATTGCCTAATAGGAGAATTGAGGAAGCTTAGGGGCCACTGTGTGGTTAGGCACTCGGATTGGGTAATTTTGTCATTCTTGGTATGCTGAGCAGTTTGAATTTAGACAACAGGTTTGTGTTTCTTTTAAGGGATTTAAAGAGAGGGACTAATTCAGAGGCACTAGATGGCCTGTCTTATTTTCCCCTGGGGAGAGGATTTTCAGCAGGACTTCTTTCCATCCCACCAGAGCCGTCCTGGGGAGGTGTGCTCTGCTCTCAACCTCTGCGAGTCTCTCCAGAAGCACCTAGCAGAGCTGAATCACCAGAAGCAGCTGGAGTCCAATAAGATCCCAGAGCTGGACATGACTGAGGTGGTGGCCCCCTTCATGGCCAACATCCCTCTCCTCCTCTACCCTCAGGACGGCCCCCGCAGCAAGCCCCAGCCAAAGGTAAGACAACGGGCTGGCCACTGAGGACCCATTTTTGGTTGCACTGGAGATGAGAGACCAAAGGGACAGAGAGGGCACGTGTGGTTCTTAAACTGGGGCTTATCCCTGTGCGTGACTCTGCAGTCACATGAGCCAGCCTTTAAATGGTTGTACCATGAAGTTTCTAAAGAATGGGATATTTAAAATATGCAAAGATTAATCCCCTTTAAAAAAATTTACTTCTTTTATTTTTGAGACAGGGTCTCGTTCTGTCACCCAAGCTGGAGTGCAGTGGTGTGATCATGGTTCACTGCAGCCTCAACCTCTGAGGCTTAAGTGATCCTCCCACCTTAGCCTCCTAAGTAGCTGGGAGTACAAATGCACACCACCACACCTGGCTAATTTTTGTATTTTTTGTTTTGCCATGTTGCTCAGACTGGTCTCAAACTCCTGGGTTCAAGCGATCTGCCTGCCTCGGCTTCCCAAAGTGCTGGGATTACAGGTGTGAGCCACTGTGCCTGGCCAACCTTTTTATTTATACTAAACCCCCTTTTTATACCATACTGTTACTATAATGAACACTTAATCGATTTTAAGCCTATCAGTAATTTGAGAGCCTGTAAAGCATCTTAGGAACTGGTCAGCAAGTGCCCCCTAATGCTGCAGCCCTGAGTATATAAGGACGTTTTCCTAGGAATTTGAGTCCTCTTAAGTTGCAAACCTAACTGCCTCTTCTGTAGGATAATGGGGACGTTTGCCAGGACTGCATTCAGATGGTGACTGACATCCAGACTGCTGTACGGACCAACTCCACCTTTGTCCAGGCCTTGGTGGAACATGTCAAGGAGGAGTGTGACCGCCTGGGCCCTGGCATGGCCGACATAGTGAGCCTTGTGTCCTTGTGCATTGGGGATGTTCTGGGCCTGGGAGTTGGGCTGTGGAGGCTGGAGTAGGGCGTTCAGACAACATCCTTCTCTTTTTTCCCAGAAAGCAGCTTGAATAGGTAGTGCAGACTTGAATCTATTTTGGTTAATGGCATCTGGATATGTAACAAAACTGGGAACAAAAAGTAGGAGACTGTTTCTGGGAAGATTTTGTTTCCTGCCAGGCACCCTGTGTATTAGGAACACTGTAGAAATACTTTTTGCCCCCATTTTTTTTTTTTTTTTTTGAGACTGAGTGTTGCTCTGTTGCCCAGGCTGGAGTGCAGTGGCGTGATCTCAGCTCACTGCAACCTCTACCTCATGGGTTCCAGGGATTCTCCTGCCTTAGCCTCCCGAGTAGCTGGGATTACAGGTGTGTGCAATCACGCCCAGCTAATTTTTGTATTTTTAGTAGAGATGGGGTTTCACCGTGTTTGTCAGGCTGGTCTCAAACTCCTGATCTCAAGTGATCTGCCCGCTTCAGCCTCCCAAAGTGCTAGGATTACAGGCGTGAGTCTCTGCGCCCGGCCTTTACCCCATTTTTTTCTTTTCTTTTCTTTTTTTTTTTTCTTTTTTGAGACGGAGTCTCGCTCTGTCGCCCAGGCTGAAATGCAGTGGCGCGATCTCGGCTCACTGCAAGCTCCGCCTCCCGGGTTCACGCCATTCTCCTGCCTCAGCCTCCTGAGTAGCTGGGACTACAAGTGCCCGCCACCATGCCCGGCTAATTATTTTTGTATTTTTTAGTGGAGACGGGGTTTCACTGTGTTAGCCAGGATGGTCTCGATCTCCTGACCTCATGATCCGCCTGCCTCGGCCTCCCAAAGTGCTGGGATTACAGGCGTGAGCCACCGCGCCCGGCCATTTACCCCATTTTTGAAAGCTTGGCTAATGTATGTGACACTGAGAATTCCAGCTGTGCTCCTGCAGCAAGCATGGTCGCTGACCATGGTTCACCTGGAAGCCTCCCTTAGTCCTGTGGGCTCAGAAACTCATTTTCTTGGCCCCTTACTTAGATCGTTTCATTCTGGGACCCTATTCCAAGATTATTAATCACACTCAGGTGGATGTGTAAAACCAAAATGCCATTTTTAGTACCTGACAACTGAAGAAACCTGCTAGACTGGCAGCTGAGAAGCTGGTTGTAATTACTCTGTCCTTTGGGATCTAGCGAGGCTTTTTGGGTGGAGTGGCCGGCTCTAGGAGATGAGGCCTTCTCCATTTTTTTTTTTTTCTTGAGACAGGGTTTAGCTCTGTCACCCAGGCTGGAGTGCGGTGGCACAATCATAGCTCACTGCAGCCTTTACCTCCTGGGCTCAAACAATCCTCTTCTCAGCCTCCCAAGTAGCTGGGATTACAGGAGTGAGCCACCACGCCCAGCTGAGGGTTTCTCTCTGACTTTCCGTTAGGAATGTTAATCAGGTGAACATTCATTCATTTTGAAAGCCTAGGAATCCTGTAGCCTCATTTTAAGTGTCTTTGCATAACACCATTTAAACAGGTTTCCCAGTTGAACCCTCTCTGAGAGGCTGTATCATGTTACCTTTGGTCCTCTCTCTGTAGAAGCTCCCCAAATACAAGGAGCAATTCTGTGGAGTCTACTGGAAGTATCTAGATTGTCTGAAAATAAGCAGTTAAAAATCATTATAACTTGACTCTACTGGATTTAAGCTTTATAATGCCATCTGAGATTGTGTAAATGGCTTTGAAAGGTAAGCTCCAGTTCCTAAGCAGTGTATCTCCTAGCTGCCTTCTCTCCAAATTGCCACTGAATAGTTGCTGTGTGATCCTGGGGCACGTGAGGTTATAAGATAAAGGAGACAGGAGGGTGGAATCTTTAAGGTCCCTTAAGAAACATTTTCAAAACGTCTTTTGCACACATTTCCTATAAATGATAGAGTAACCAAATTGTCATTTTCATCTTATTAAAGCTGGCCCAGAGCAGACATTCATAAAATTCTACTTTAGAAACTTGCTTGATAGTCACCAGTTGACACTGTTGGAAATGCTGGGGGGTTTTTGTTGGTTGGGTTTTGGTGCATTGTTGCAGTGATTTGTTTAGCAATCTGTTTCTCTCTCCTCAGTGCAAGAACTATATCAGCCAGTATTCTGAAATTGCTATCCAGATGATGATGCACATGGTAGGTGGCACGGAGGCCCCTTGTTAGCATTTTTCTTTGTTTTTCAGGTTTCGTCATTTCTAGGAATTTTGAAAATTATATGGTTTAGTTTCCCTTTTTTACCTTAGAGTGCTGAATTGGGCTAAATCGACCCCTCTGGCTAGGAGACTCTCCACTTGCAATCTCAGTACCTCCCCTGTTACGGGAGAGGCAGGCTGAAGCATCTTGATCCCAGGACTGCCCTGGTGGCTTCCTGGCAATTTGTTTGCCTCTGCCCGTTCAGGCCAGCCATCAGGTTTCTAGGTCTGGCTTTAACCCTGGGATCTGTAGAAGTCAAGTGCTCTCTAACTAAGCCAGGCCTGAGAATGGCTGTGTTGCCACCTGAGTCGGGGGAATACTGCCTCCCGGAGTTTGTCCCGTGCATGGCAGCAGCGTCCGCTGAAGCTGCTGCTTGAGCTGGTAACTCCTGAGCTGGCTTTGGATGCATTCAGGTGGCAGGGGGCATTCCTTCATTAGAATCAAGAATACCCATTCAGGAAATGAGCTCGCTAGTCCACGCAGAGCAGGGCGGCCTGCTCACGTTGGGAACGGGCACTGCCTCCTTAGATCTGATTGGCAGGGCTGAGTGGGTGGGGGGCACCTTTTCCCTGTCTGTCATGCTTTCTGACTACTTGAGATTGACATACCAGCGTTTGAGTTTGTTCTCTGATCCAGGGGTCAGCAAACTGGCCCATCATGTTTTGTACTTAAAGGGTATTTTTTTGGAACACAGCGACGCCTGTTTTGTGCTACAGCAGCACAGTTGAGTAGTTGCAGCCAGATCTTATGGCCAAGGAGCCTGAAAGATTGACTCTCTGACCTGCTGTAACCACTCAAGCAAGCTGAGGAGGAGTAGTTTATTTGGGATTATTACTCACACCCTACCATGTTCTAAAAACAGTTAAAAGGCAGCTTACAGAGACATGCACCTGAAGTAGGTAAAGATAAGCATTGACGGGATTTAATCTCGTGAAGTACTTCCTCATAGCTAACTTAAAATATTTTTCTCATTATAAAAGTTATACTGTGTAGAAATGTGTTGAAAATATGGACAATACTTCCCACACAAAAATCATTTGGAGTTTCAGAATATATCAACGGGTTCATATATACTACCTTGTACTTTGTAGTTTGCATTTTTTGCCTAAAAATATGTTGGCCATTGAATATTCTTGTACAAATGACTAAATGCTTGCAGAATAATCACCTGTGTACATAGAAGAGAATTTACATAATTGGTCCCCGGTGGCCGGATGTATCTAGGTTGTTTTCAGGTTTGCCTTTGGGAAGATGAATATCCTTATAGCCAAATGCATACATATATGCATATCCCTGCCTTTCCCCTTATTATAGAGAACTAAAGCTGGAACTGCTGAATGGAAGCATGAGGCTTTGGATACATTGTTAAATTGGCCTTCCAGGCTGCCATTTGGCCACCTGCAGTAGATTGCCCTAGGATCCCTTACCCCTCAGGGATCCCTTACCCCCCTTACTTGGGCAGCCCTGTGTCTTGTTCTGTGGTGCTGCTGGTCACTAACCTGTGGGAAAGCCTTGTGGGCCCGGGGCCAGTGTGGGCTCCTGAGTATGGAGACCCTTCATCAAGCATTTTCTGGGGCTCTTGCTACACAGTGTTTTGAGTGTGATTTAGTGTGTAAGACCTGGAGATGGTGCACACAGAGCAGGACAGCCCCCAAATGGTCTATCCCTGCAGGGCCAGGAAAGCTTTCAGGGCCCCCTTGTCCGCAAGATAGCAGGAACAAGGTAGGTTGCTAAGATCTGATTGCAAGAGCATTTCCCCTGAACCTCTTGGGACATCCTTACACCTGGTTAACTGCTTGATTGTTGTTTTAATTTTTCTTAACTGTTGTGTCCTTTCCTTTCTCTTATTTTCACCTCCGATTTCCTGTTTTTTTGTTCAACAGCAGGATCAGGTATGTGTCGGGGAATCTGCTTGCAGTAGTGGTCTGCTGCTTCCTCTAGTTACTTTGCTTTTTTTTTTTTTGGGTATGGCATGATTAGCTCTGACAGATACAAGGAATGGTTACGAGAGGCAGGCTCCCTCTCTGTTAATAGGCTGGGGAGGGCTTCTGCATCTCTCCCCTGTAATTCAGCCCTTGAGGTTTTGGGGGTCTCATCTCCCCTTCGGGGTCCAGTAAAATGAAGCCAGCAGAGCCTTGTGCTCTGGTCACAGTCCACATACAGCATACGTACATGCAGGCCACCAGTGTGACAATGGGGAACCATGGGTGGCCCAGGAGGTGCCTCAGCCTCCTTCAACGTAGGCCAGTTAGGAAGTCCAGTGTAGGTCTGGCTTCCCCAGGGCACCTTGTGTCTGTCACAACGCAAGTAGGCATTGCATGTCTTTAGTGCTGTTTTTCATAAACACAGAAATGCTTCTGCTGCATGAGCAAACATTTGCAGACAGCCAGCAGACTGTTCCTGGCTGTTGGATCCAGAGAATTGGAAACAATCTCTTGATTGTGGCTTCTGCCCCTCTGGGTAACAGGGTCCTTTGGGATCTAGAGCCACATCAGATGGCATGCTACAAGAACCAAATGCCCAGTCCATACTTGCTCTGAGCCAGTGTCCTTCGGGGCCGTCCTGAACACTGCCACCTCTGAGCGTTGGCATCCATCTGCTAGGATTAGCATTGGAGCTTTTTTTGAAGGTATTTTGAAGTCTAATGGGAGAGGACTTTGGTTGAAATACCTGAATTTTTACCTAGGCCTCCTCAAGGAGTTGGAACAAAGCTGATCGAGGCAGAAGCAGCCCTATACCTCCTGAATATTGGCGTCTTTTTTTTTTTTCTAAAAAGCTTGCTGTATCTTCAGCTGCGTTCTTATTATTTATTTATTTATTTATTTATTTTTCATTCTTAAGGTGTGGCAGAGACAGGGTATTTGGGATATACTTTTCAGACTCCCCCGGTCTTATTAATTCTCGAACCTTCTTGATATTAAAACAAGATGAGCCATAGTCATGGTCTAGCTCTTTTCCCTTAACAGGTCCTGTTTTTAGCACTTTTGTTCCTGCTGCTTTAGGGTTTGGTGCTGGAAGGCAAATGCACTCAGGCTCAGAGCTAGTTGCTGGTTGCATTTATTTCCACAATATACAGAGTCTATACACTTGTCTCACTCTTGGCCATCAGAGTGTCATGGTCAGGATGTCTAGACTATCTAGTGCTCTGTGTTTGGTGTCTAAATGGTGAAAGGGGATCAATCTGGAGACCTTGTGGCTTAAAATGATTCATCCATTTGGCGGGTTGGGTTTTCATGTGCACTGTGTGCAGCTTGAACATAGAATGTGGTTTTTTAAAAAGCCAGCATTTCCCCTTAATGCATCATTTTAAATGGTCCTGCCGCTGAAAAATCTGGTGTGGTTTTATTTCTAACACATTTGGCTTTCTGTTAGTTTATGGGCATGGTAGTTCCCCCTCTAGAAAAAAGCATAGCTTAGTTCCTACCTAGAGTGACCTGAAAAGACACATTCTAGAACAGACCAGGTGTCCTTGGAGATGTGGAAGGTGCTGGGGAGTCTCCCTCGTGGTGGCCCTGGATGGAGACTCTGTTTGATGTTCCTTAGGAGCTTTGTGTGGTCTCCTCCCCGAGATGTAACTGGCACATATGCACTGCTTCAGACACGAGCCCTTTAACATGGAAACTGGAATCTGCCCCGTTGTGGGAGGGGGAGAGGGAGGTAGCCTTGACCTGGGCCCAGGGTGCTGTCCAGCTCCCTGTCCTCTGGCTGGATTGGGACTGAGGAGCAGTGGGCGTAGGCTTGCTGCTGACTGGTTGTTCTGTGCTCTCTTCAGCAACCCAAGGAGATCTGTGCGCTGGTTGGGTTCTGTGATGAGGTGAAAGAGATGCCCATGCAGACTCTGGTCCCCGCCAAAGTGGCCTCCAAGAATGTCATCCCTGCCCTGGAACTGGTGGAGCCCATTAAGGTACCTGGTGTCACTTTGTGTCCTGGTCAGGGCTGTGCAATGCCACACTACTCCCTGCTGTGTCACATCACATCTTACGAGTCACTTGTTTCTTTCGGTTCCCTGCCTGGCTCCTAAAGGTCTTTGAGTTTGTGATCACTGGTTTATCCTATCCCCTATACTAATGCAGCCCCCGACCCTGAGTTCTTTTGAAAACATTTTATTTCCTTGGTTGTAAACCCTAATGTTCGTGGGATCATTAGCCTGTGTATTTTCAGCATGCCATTCAAAGGTGACTTTGCAGTGCCTGGCTTCAGCCTCACCTTCTCACATGCACTGTCTGGGTCCTTCCCCATCCTGTGGCCCTGACAGACTGGATGTTCCCAGCACACCCCTCAGAGTGTACGGAAGCCTCACTGGGCCTGCAGCCTGTATACTAAGTACATGTGGGTGTCTATTTTATTTAACTAAAACACCTCACTTGGTGAAGATTAGACTACTTCATCCCATAATAAATTTGTATTTGGCATTTATTATGGGTCAGGCAGCATGTTAGGGGCTGTGGTGAACAGATGATGTCATTGTGCCCGTGGGGCTTACATTCTAGTTCTTCAAGGCCTGGGCTGTGTGATGCCTTAACACGTGGCACATGTACACGCTTCTTGTTCTAGAACATCCCACGGCACTTGACTGCCAGCTGTTGGTCTCTCTCTGCTGTCTCCTCTCTGCATGTGCAGAGTGTGTGACCCAGGGGCCAGGCCGAAGTGTCAGCTGGAATCCAGGAAGCACTGCTTCTTGCCTTCCTCTCCACCGGGTGCTCCTCAGCTCCAGCCTGCTGACCAAAGTGACGGCCAGAGAAAGTGAAGAGTTATAGCTCGCACTCCAACCACATGTGACTACTTAAATTTTAATGAAATACCATGGAGCAAAATTAAAAATTCAGCCCCTTGGCTACACCAGCCACATTGCAGGTGCTCAGTGCACAGGTAGCTGGAGCTTATAGTGGACAGCAGAGATAGAGAACATTTCCATTGCCACAGAACATCCTCTGTAACAGTATTGCCTTATTAAAGGTGGGTTCCAGAAGAGCATTCTCAAGTGCTAATGAGACATGGGAGACACACGAGCAGACCTGAAGTGTGTTCAACATTCTGTCTTCTAGATAGTGGACCGATAGTGAGCCCCTCACTTTGCTTTTGGTCCTTCATCCTCCTCCCCAAAATGAACCCTGAATGATGAAATGATTGTAACCGAACACATCATCAGGACAGCTCTTCGGGGTGGGGAAGGGACTTTCTGTCTCCTGAACTGTGAATTCCTGGGTTTTGTTTTGGTGGGGTTAGGGGGAGGTGGGGGTGGTAGAGGATTGGGGAAGGGGGTGAATGTAAAAATAGGGAATTAACTTGGATATTAGAAGCCACACGCCATTTGGAATTCAGGAGGCAGTGGCCCTTGATGTGCTAACCCACCCTGGTCTCTGTGTCCCCTTTCCTTTAGGGGAGCAAGACCAAGGGCTGTGAGTCCCAGCATTGAAAGTACTCTCCTTCTACTCTTTCCACAGAAGCACGAGGTCCCAGCAAAGTCTGATGTTTACTGTGAGGTGTGTGAATTCCTGGTGAAGGAGGTGACCAAGCTGATTGACAACAACAAGACTGAGGTATGCTGTCCTCCTGGCAGAGGGAGGGCCTCTCCTGCCCCCCCGAGCCTGAATGTCCCAGTGGGAAAGTCCCACAGGAGAGAGGGCTTGGCCCAGCCTTGACATGTGTACAGCCATGTCCCCATCTCGTGGAAGGCAATCCTCACCAGTGGGACCTCTAGGCTGGCGGGGGTCCGGGGAGGTGGACACCATTGCCCTGCTTTGTAGTTTGGTAGTTTTTTGTGGGTGGAAACGGCACCCACCATTGACTCATTTCCTGGCCATGTTAGTATTTTCAGAATGTCCCCCAACCCTTGTCCGGCCTCCCGTCTTCTCACACGATCCTCTCGTGTGTTTCAGAAAGAAATACTCGACGCTTTTGACAAAATGTGCTCGAAGCTGCCGAAGTCCCTGTCGGAAGAGTGCCAGGAGGTGGTGGACACGTACGGCAGCTCCATCCTGTCCATCCTGCTGGAGGAGGTCAGCCCTGAGCTGGTGTGCAGCATGCTGCACCTCTGCTCTGGCACGCGGCTGCCTGCACTGACCGGTGAGCGCTGGGTGTGGTGCGGGAGAGGATGGTGCCCCTCTTGGGTCTGGGAGGGCCCTGCCAGCGTTGAGCCCGCTGCCCTCTTATGTAGTTCACGTGACTCAGCCAAAGGACGGTGGCTTCTGCGAAGTGTGCAAGAAGCTGGTGGGTTATTTGGATCGCAACCTGGAGAAAAACAGCACCAAGCAGGAGATCCTGGCTGCTCTTGAGAAAGGCTGCAGCTTCCTGCCAGACCCTTACCAGAAGCAGGTACGCCCCGGGCTGGGCTGCGGTAGGCCAGCATGGCAGAACCTGATGAAGTATGCCAAGGCTGGGGTACATTTTGATGGAAAACCAGCTGTTTCTGCCTCCGGGCATGGAGTCCAATGAAGTTTTACTTGGAGGTGATTTGTTGGCTTAAGATGAGCCACTGGGGGAAGCAACCTGAAGTAGAGAGGCCAAATGTAGATAGGGTGTCTGGAAAGGGAGGCCCCAGGACCCAGTGGGCTGGGAATGCCAGGAGCTCTCAGGGAACAGTGTATCCAGGGCCTGCCTGGCCTTTTGTGCCCCACTATGCTCGGACACCCCCAGAGCTGGACCTGTGTCCCCACTTTCCTTTATAGTGTGATCAGTTTGTGGCAGAGTACGAGCCCGTGCTGATCGAGATCCTGGTGGAGGTGATGGATCCTTCCTTCGTGTGCTTGGTGAGCCTCACTGGGTGGTGTGGTCCTCTCGGGCAGCTGTAACCTGGGGGGCTGCAGAGACCCGGAAGGGTTGCTCTGAGACTTGGCCGTGGGGTGGAGTCTCTGGGTTCTGCTGCGGGAGAGCCAAGAAGGTAGGGAGCCAGCCCCCCAAGCCCCATCGCTTTCCTCAGCAACCCTGATGTTCTGAAAGAGCGTGGTGGAGCTGTGATCCTAGCTCCTTCTGGAAACTGTTTTCTTAGTTTTGAAAGCGATACATCGGGCAGCTCTCATTCTCCCCCTTTCTTCTTTCCTTTTCTCACCATATAGAAAATTGGAGCCTGCCCCTCGGCCCATAAGCCCTTGTTGGGAACTGAGAAGTGTATATGGGGCCCAAGCTACTGGTGCCAGAACACAGAGACAGCAGCCCAGTGCAATGTGAGTAGCTCAGCAGACAGTGTCACCAGCCTGTCTTGCCCTGGGGTAGCCTGTGTGAGAATCCTGCTTTAATGGGAACCCAGTGATCAACTCTCCACCCTGCTTTTATGTTATCAGAAAGCTGAGGCCCAGAGAGGTGGTTAGGCTTACTCATGGTCCCCTAGAAAAGACAGGGTGAACTACACTCTTGTAGTGAAGGGTGGGGTGGATTTTATTTATTTATTTTTTTTAGTATTTTTTTGCTTCTGCTTTGTTGCTTTTGTCTTCATTTCCCTTGTGACAGTGTCAGACTTGTACAAGGTCACTCCAGGGATTGTACAAGGTCTGTGGGATTCATTGCCCAGAGCTTTGCCCAGGTCCTGTCCCCCGGGAACATGTTTGCCCTTGCTGAAGCCGGGCCCGAGTCCTCACTCAAGGCCCTGAGAACTGGCCCCTGCCCAGCAGCCCTAGGGCACTGTGGCCCTGGCCTGGCCTGGCAGCCACCAGTTGGGTGACTTGTGCTGCTTCCCTGGGTGGGGATGTTTGGTTCGGTCCCTGTTACTTAATGTTGCTTTGTGCAACTTTTCCTTCCTCACCGGGCTTCCCTGTGACCATGTCAGTGGCGGTTGTGTCATTTCGGACCACTGCAGGGAGGGGCAGGGGGCCCCCATTCTGGCCATGTCCAGCTCTTTCCTCCAGCTAGGCTCCAGCCCATCTCCACCGCCAGCCCCACCCCACAGCTGGTTCTGCTGCTGTCCTGGGGAAATGTGGGCCTGCTTCTCAAGGCCCGAGCTGGTGTGTAGCCTAACTCAGGCAAGGAGGTTCTGCCTGGGAGTTAGTGTGCAGGCTGCTAGCAGGACGCTGGGTGCCGGGTGCAGGTAGATGAAGGGTCCTGAGCCCTGCCTGCGTGGGTACTCATCTGCAAACTGCTGCAGGCATCTGCTGCTCTGGACTCGTGCCTTAGAAGTTCCCAAAACTCTGATGGCCACGTGTTCCCTGTTTTTAAGTGAGATCCTGTCCTGGGTCTTCAGCATCTGGTGCCATCCAGCTGACCTAGGACAAGAGAACAGGTCCTGTTTTGGGGTGATATCTGATACATTGATGGGCCGGGAACGGAGTTTTTCATCCGAAGACTAAACTCAGCTTCCTCTCTCCTACCAGGCTGTCGAGCATTGCAAACGCCATGTGTGGAACTAGGAGGAGGAATATTCCATCTTGGCAGAAACCACAGCATTGGTTTTTTTCTACTTGTGTGTCTGGGGGAATGAACGCACAGATCTGTTTGACTTTGTTATAAAAATAGGGCTCCCCCACCTCCCCCATTTCTGTGTCCTTTATTGTAGCATTGCTGTCTGCAAGGGAGCCCCTAGCCCCTGGCAGACATAGCTGCTTCAGTGCCCCTTTTCTCTCTGCTAGATGGATGTTGATGCACTGGAGGTCTTTTAGCCTGCCCTTGCATGGCGCCTGCTGGAGGAGGAGAGAGCTCTGCTGGCATGAGCCACAGTTTCTTGACTGGAGGCCATCAACCCTCTTGGTTGAGGCCTTGTTCTGAGCCCTGACATGTGCTTGGGCACTGGTGGGCCTGGGCTTCTGAGGTGGCCTCCTGCCCTGATCAGGGACCCTCCCCGCTTTCCTGGGCCTCTCAGTTGAACAAAGCAGCAAAACAAAGGCAGTTTTATATGAAAGATTAGAAGCCTGGAATAATCAGGCTTTTTAAATGATGTAATTCCCACTGTAATAGCATAGGGATTTTGGAAGCAGCTGCTGGTGGCTTGGGACATCAGTGGGGCCAAGGGTTCTCTGTCCCTGGTTCAACTGTGATTTGGCTTTCCCGTGTCTTTCCTGGTGATGCCTTGTTTGGGGTTCTGTGGGTTTGGGTGGGAAGAGGGCCATCTGCCTGAATGTAACCTGCTAGCTCTCCGAAGGCCCTGCGGGCCTGGCTTGTGTGAGCGTGTGGACAGTGGTGGCCGCGCTGTGCCTGCTCGTGTTGCCTACATGTCCCTGGCTGTTGAGGCGCTGCTTCAGCCTGCACCCCTCCCTTGTCTCATAGATGCTCCTTTTGACCTTTTCAAATAAATATGGATGGCGAGCTCCTAGGCCTCTGGCTTCCTGGTAGAGGGCGGCATGCCGAAGGGTCTGCTGGGTGTGGATTGGATGCTGGGGTGTGGGGGTTGGAAGCTGTCTGTGGCCCACTTGGGCACCCACGCTTCTGTCCACTTCTGGTTGCCAGGAGACAGCAAGCAAAGCCAGCAGGACATGAAGTTGCTATTAAATGGACTTCGTGATTTTTGTTTTGCACTAAAGTTTCTGTGATTTAACAATAAAATTCTGTTAGCCAGATCTGGGCCTAATGTTTCTGTGACCCTTCAGCTGGAAGAGTTTGTTCCTCTCTGATGAGCTCTGAGCCCATGACACCTTTGGGGCCCAGCACTCCCATGACCCATCTTGGCCAGAGAATGAAAGCAAAGTGGATAAAGGAAGATCCCACCTCATCCTCCCCAAGACTCAGGGCCAGCAGTAGGTCAGGCGCACCTGAAGGTCGGCTCTGCTCTTCACCTGCCCCTGTCCCTGCTCCCTAGAGGCCAGAGTCAGAGCACGTTGCCAGTTCCTTGAGAGTTGCCTTGATTTTTAAACAAACCATTCCAGAAACTTGTAGTGAGTACCAGTTAAACAAAACCAAGGGGAAACTATTGAGGGAATAACTTAATTTAAAAAAGGAACACACACAAACACTCCACATTCAAAACCGGAGGGAACATCAGTCACTTCTGTTTATAAGCTGGGCACACATTTGGGAAGCCAGTGAAATGGAGAGAATGCTTGTTCATTGACATTGACTTTCTTGTCCACGTGGGGATGCCACCTCCACCTGGACGTCCAGCAGAGAGGGATGTGGCGGAAATGTAGCGAGACTTGGACTGGAGTCGGGTGTCCGGCCAGCAGGGGATGTCCGCGCTGGGCCTCCCTTGCGCCTGCTTAGCCGGAGGGGATGGTGCTTGCGGGGTGGAGCTGGGAGGGAGGAGGGCCTGTTTGGCCTCTTTCAGCTCAGCCTGAGCCAAGCTGGTCCCCAGACTCTTGGGCCCCAGTGACCCTCCTTACCTTGTCCTTAGATGCTTAACATTTTTGTTTGGTTTTCTTATAAAAATAACAGATCTTATGAAGGTAGAGGTCAGATGCTGAATGAGCGTCTGGCAAAAGTGGGATCTGAGCAGCTGATGCGGGCTGCCAGGGCCAAGCCAAGGTTGTCCCCAAGGCCTGGCCTTGGAGGGTCCCCCCCGACCGGCCCTGTCCCTGCCCTTGCTCCCTGGGAGGGGACGGTGGATGGGTGCTGCTCACACCCACAAGGCTTCCCTGTCTAGTCACAGCTCTGTGATCTCCAGGGGGGTCTCCATGATCACGTCGCGAAGTTTGTGCAGGGGTGTGGATTTGGCGGATTCTGTGCGGGCGTTGCGCTCGAAGGCAGTGGCCTCGGCAGCGGTCAGCGTCTCCAGCGAGCGGCCCAGGCCCTTCTGGTCTTCCTCGGGCAGGCTGTTGAGGTCGGTGGCCAGCAGCGTGCCCGTGCTGCCGTGCACCACATGGATCCCATCGGGCCCCTTGAGCTCCACTGGTGGCTTGTGGCGGAAGCGCAGGCTACCCTGCCCTGGGCTGTGGTCTCCTGGCTCCTCGTCCAGCTCAGTCTGTATCAGCTGCAAGAGGCCGGGACCCCCACATGCTCAGGGCCATGCCCAAGGGGTGAGCAGGTGGATGGCCCCAGAGACCCACTGGCTATGTGGCTGAACCTTGGGCTCCTACCGCAGCAGGCCTGTCAGACTCTGTTTCTCAAACTGCCTGCAAAGGGGAATCATGAATGCTTAAGTTGCTGCAGATGGGTTCTTGGGAGGATTGGCTTCTTGTGAAAATCTGTGTGTGTGTGTGTGTGTGTGTATCGGCTTCTTGTGAAAATTGTGTGTGTGTGTATCGGCTTCTTGTGAAAATTGTGTGTGTGTGTGTGTATGTGTGTGTAGACAGAGTCTCGCAGTGGCGCGATTTTGGCTCACTGCAATCTCCACCTCCTGACTTCAAGTGATTCTCCGGCCTCAGCCTCCCACGTAGGTGGGATTACAGGCACGCCATGTTGGCCAGGCTGGTCTGGAACTCCTGACCTCAGATGATCCACCAGCCTCAGCCTCCCAAAGTGCTGGGATTACAAGTGTGAGCCACCGCACCTGCCCTTTATTTATTTAGAGACAGGGTTTCTCTCTGTTGCCCAGGCTGGAATGCAGCAACGTAATCAAAGCTCAGTGCAGCCTCGGACTCCTGGGCTCAAGTGATCCTCCCATTTCAGTTTCCTGAGTAGCTGGGACTATGGGCGTGTGCCACCACATCTGGCTGAGAATCTTTAATTTTATGTATTAACTTTGGTGCTCTATAAACATCCTGGGATGCAACTGTGGTATCTGGGTTTGTTGCCAAATTGGCCTCAAGCAGATCACCTCTAATTGTGTCCAGGCAGAAAGTGTCAATAGGACAAGCTGCAGAGGATAAATAGGTGGGGTGGAGACTTGAAACTGGCACTGTTGTCCTCCTGTATGAGGCTATTCGACTAGCTTATTCCTGTTGAGAATATGGGCCCAGCTGGAGATTCGTTTTTAGGTAAAGCCTGACTTTTGTAAGTGTTGACATAATCATTACAGGCAAACATATGTAGGCCTATTTGACCCTGACGGCCAGTTTCTTTTCTTTCCTTTTTTTTTGAGACAAGTCTCACTCTGTCACCCAATGGAGTGCAGTGGCATGGTCTTGGTTCACTTCAACCTCCGCCTCCTGGGTTCCAGCAATTCTCCTGCCTCAGCCCCCTGAGTAGCTGGGATTATAGGCGTCCGCCACCAGGCCCGGCTAATTTTTTGTATTTTTAGTACAGATGGGGTTTCGCCACGTTGGCCAGACTGGTCTCGAACTCCTGGCCTCAATTGATCCTCCCACCTCAGCCTCCCAAAGTGCTGGGATTACAGGTGTGAACCACCGCACCCAGCCGGGTTTCTTAAAGTGACATCACCCCCAAAGGTATGTTCTTGAGGTCTTCCTCTAATCAGAGAAAGACTGCCTTAGAGACTACCCCATTCCTGTGAAAGCCCCCAAAAGCCCAGAAAGCAGATCCTGCTGTCTGACTTCCTGGCCCCCACCCATTGCTGTCTTTGGTCCTGGCTGCAGAGCTCCAGAGACATAGAGAAGGACAGCAGGACAGCAAGAGACAGAGAGCATCCCCAGGCTGGGGCACAGCACACAGCTCCCAGCCACCCAGCCGGCTACCTCAGAGATGGAGGAGTGGCAGGAGGAGGCTTTTTGCACCATCCGCTGTGCAAAGAGCTTTTTGAGCCGCAGGTAATCCTCCAGGACCACCTTCAGCAGCGAGCCCTGGGGGAGGGAAAGGGTTAACCCCCACCAAGGCCCTCCCCTGCCTG
Organism: Homo sapiens; assembly: GCF_000001405.40. NCBI lineage: Eukaryota > Metazoa > Chordata > Mammalia > Primates > Hominidae > Homo > Homo sapiens. Next base: position 71,813,196 of record NC_000010.11, on the reverse strand, counting down.
CCCCGCCCCTCGCCCACTCCCTCTGGGAGTAAGGGGTACACGGACATCTGATCCTGGTGATCCTAGGGCAGAGGATCAGCGGCAGAGCCTGGAGACAGTGGCCAGCCTGGACACAGGTGGACTCACTCCTGAGCCCTGCCCTTAAGGCCACCGCAGGCTGGAGTAGCCCCCCATCAGCCCTGGTGTTCTCGCCCCAGTGGAGGGTGGGTCTAGCTGAGCCTGGAGGTCTCTACCACCCTGTGTTCTCTGGAGTGGGGTCCAACCTCAGCCAAGGGACTGGGCGCGGAGCCTGCAGGGAAGGCTCACCTTGATTGGCCCCTCACGAATGATCTGGCCCAGCTTGGCAATGTTGTCATACTCCTGGATGGCAGCCCGCAGGTATCGGTCATCATCAGGCTTGACAGCTGCTGGCTCACGCCCAAAAGTTCCCTGGGGAGAGGGGATGTTAGCTGGAGCAGAGGCAGACCCCACACACATGTACAAGGGAGGGGGCCACCCCTTAAAGAACCCAGCTTCTTGGCCAGAGGTTGCAAAGACCCAGCCCCTCCACCCCTGCCCCTTGTGATGCCTGACCGCCTCTGGCTCACATGGGTGCGCGTGGGGCTGTTCCACAGGTCGGCGATCTCACTCAGGTTCTCCGGTAGGTCATCCTCATGCTCCGCCTGGGCGGCCAGCTCCAGGTTCCGACAGAAGGGATCCAGCCACACAGGGTTGGCTCTGCAGTTGGGGAGGGAAAAGGGTGGGGAGGGAGGGAAGGCTCGAGTAGACAGGTGCCCTTCCAGCCTCACCCCACATCCTGCCCATTTCCCTGGCCATATAGTGCCTTTCACTGACTTGGGGTGTGAGGCCCTGGTGCCTGTGGTGCATGCTCCCACCATAGGATCCTGCTGGAACCAGGACCGCATGTCAGTCTGGATTGCCTTTGGTGCAGAGGCTTCACCCTGCACCCACTGCCCAAAGTCTGCATCCCCTGGAACTTGAGGCCCACTGGGGTGGAGAGCCCCTGTCAGCCACGTGGTTTCTGAGGGTGGAGGGAGGGTGAAGGGAGGGTGGCCCGCCCACCAGGGGGCGCCCACAGCCTGGGTTTCGGCAGCCCCAGCGCTGGGAGACTGCAGCTCTCCCCAGCTGGGTCCTGGCAGGACTCCCCGCAGGGGACCGGGCAGGGCCAGTACCCCACTCACCCATCAAAGGAGTACTTGTTGGTGTTAGGCATGTCCATGATGTCGATGAAGCCACGATTCCCTGCAGGGAGAAGGGTTGGGGCATGGAGGGGAGGGGCATAGCCAGGGGTAGGGGTGGTGTTGGGGGGTGAGGGAGGATGGGGTGCGGGGCATGGTCCTGGGCCCAGTGAAGGGCCTGAGCCAGGCTTGTGGCTCCGGTGGGCACTCCAGGTCCCCAGCCCACTGCCTTCTCACCTGTGTCCCCACTATGGCCCTCACTTACCAGCTGAGCCAGCCACAATGGCCTTGAGCTTCCTCTTGTGTCTGGAGAGAAGCAGAGAGGGGCTGGTGAGGGGGGCCAAGCTGACGTCTCAGGCCCTGCCTGCCTCGTGGCCATCCGGGAGCAGGTGGTCGGCCCCCTGATGGCAGGGGTGGGGGACACTCACACAGTCCTGTAGTACCAGTTCATGAGGACAAAGAGCATGGCGGCCAGGAACAGGAGGATAGCCAGGACGATGATCGCCATCTGCGGGAGCAGGACCAGGGTAAGCCCGGGCAGTGGGGAGGGCGGCTAGGGCTGTGGGGCACGGTCGCCGGGTACCTGCAGGGCAGACATGTCATCCGGCAGCCGGACAGAGATGGCAGGCTGCACGTCCAGGACGTTGTAGTTCCGGAAAAGATTCCGTAGCTGCTCCTTGTTCTCATCGATCATCTGGATCACCCTGGGCGAGGGGCAGGGGTCTCAGCTCTCCTCCTCAGCCATTCCCCCACCACCGACAGTCTGCTCTGCTCCTGCCTCAAGCCTCCAAAGTTCAACAACCCCAAGCCTTGCAAGATTGAGGTCCACCGGCTGGGACAGCTTTGTGTTTTACAAGGTTCCTCGAACCTTCATGTAGGATCCTGTTCCATCCTTACAGTGGATGGAATACTCCCTTTTTTTTTTTTTTTTTTTTTTGAGATGGAGTCTTGCTCTGTTGCCCAGGCTGGAGTGCAGTGTGGCATGATCTCAGCCCACTGCAAACTCCACCTGCCAGGTTCAAGCGATTCTCCTGCCTCAGCCTCCTGAGTAGCTGGGATTACAGGTGTGTGCCACCATGCCAACTAATATTTGTATTTTTAGTAGAGACGAGGTTTCTCCATGTTGGTCAGGCTGGTCTTGAGCTCCTGACCTCAGGTGATCCACCTGGCTTGGCCTCCCAAAGTGCTGGGATTACAGGTGTGAGCCACTGCGCATGGCCTGAATACTCCCATGTTACAGATGGGGAGAGGGAGGCTCAGAGGGACAGAGTTGCTCATACCCCCAAACTCTGCTCTCTCTCCTAGCCCTGCCCCAGTCTGGGAGATGGCCCCACACAGTGGGCCTGATGGTGTGGTCTGTGTCTCCTTTGGTGTGTCCCCTCCCCTACTCCAGGGCAGGGAGGCAGGCAGACAGACAGGCTGACAGTCCAAACACAGGCCCCGACTCACCGGTCCACGTCCAGGATGCGGTTGGTATCGCGGTTCACCACGTGGATAAGCAGTTCTGTCTGCGCAAAGTTCACCCGGCCCTTCTTGTCCACATGGAACTAGATGAGAAGGGGTATTGTAGGGTGTGGCCACCACAGCAGGGGGCCACAGGGATGGGCAGGCCTCTTTTAGGAACCCCTTCTGCCCTTCCCTGCAAATAGACCCTTCACTACTGAATGTTTGAATGTTTGCTGAGGACCAGGCACGGTGCCAATCACTTCATCCACACTTGGCCAGGTACTATTTATTATTGGCCCCATTTTATGGAAGAGGAAACTGAGGCCCAGAGACCTGGGAGAACTTTATCAAAGCTGCACTGATAGGAAATGACTAAGTAGGGACTATACTGCCTTTCACGCCCTGGCCTTTGCACAATGCCCTGTCTCTCCTTGTGGCCTGGCCTCCCCTTCCTTCTCCCTCCACTGCCCCGGCCCCGGGTGGGCCCATGAGGCACCTGCACATTGTCAGTATTGACAATGGCCCCAGTGATGTTGGAGAGCAGGTGGATGAACTCCTCCTCGAAGCCGCGCACACGGTCGGGGATCTCGTTAATGACGATCTTGACGCGCTGGTCGTCCCTCAGGATGTAGATGCCGATGATGGCCGTGTCGTTGTGGCCTGCCAGGTCTCGGGCCACAATGTCCACCACGAAGTAGCCGGGGCTGTAGGCCATGAAGAGGTCGAAGGTGCGCAGAATGCCGTCCATGCTCCCTGCAGGAAGCCCAAAGGCGGGGTACGGCTCAGAGACTCAGTGCCCCGAATCCCCAGGAAGGGGCATGAGCCCTGGGGTAGGTGGGCACATCTAGGGGAGGCGGCACAAATGCCCACAGGGCACAGCAGGGAGCAAAGGTGACAGGCAAGTGGGAACGATGCCCATCTGAAGTGGAAATGGCTCGGGTCTCAGCCGGTTATCATCACAGGGGAGTGCGGATGACAAGTTTGTGACTCTGTTGTCCCATGCTAGGGTGCGAAGGACCATTTCTGAGCCCCCTGAGTGTCTGTCTGTTTCTCCTCTCTCTTTCAAACACATGTACCTCAGAATTCCACAAATAAGCCCGGGTGTGGTGGCTCACGCCTGAATCTCAACACTTTGGGAGGCTGAGGCGGGCAGATCACTTGAGGCCAGGAGTTTGAGACTAGCCTGGCCAACATGATGAAACCCCATCTGTACTAAAAATACAAAATCTAGCCAGGCATGGTGGTGCATGCACCTAATCCCAGCTACTTGGCAGGCTGAGGCAGGAGAATCACTTGAATCCAGGAGGCAGAGGCTGCAGTGAGCTGAGATTGCACCACTGCATTCCAGCCTGGGCAACAAACAGAGTGAGAGTCTATCACCAAAAAAAAAAAAAAAAAAAAAAAAGGAAAAAGAAAACAACAAAACCCATAGAAGAGAGATGGTCAGGTGGTACAGCATAGTCTTCTCTTAAAAGACAATAGATTGGGCTCAAAATTTGTCACTTTCTAGCTGCGTGACCTCAAGCAAGCTACTGAGCCTCTATGTGCCTTGATTTATTAAAATAAGAGCAGTGAGAGCTCAGAGGACAAAGGGATGGTGTCTGCTTGTGTAACTGGATGAGGTGGCACATGAACTAGACCTTGAAGGGTGGCGGAGGGATATCCGAAGGCAAAGAAGGGGTCAAAATGGCATTCCAGGCAATGAAGGCAGAGGGGTCAAAGGCCAGGGGAGAATGGGAGAGAGCAGGCCGTGGGGATGCTAAGCAGCTTAGCTAGGCTGGGCACAGGGCCCTTAAGGATAGCAGGTGACTGTGGAACAGAAAGAGGGATTAGGAGGAAGATCTAGTGAGCCTTGAATGCCAGGCCACAGACGAGGCATACAGAGGAGGAGCCTTTAGATGGAGAAGAAGGGGGAAGGGGTTGGGGCTGGGAGTAAGGTAATGGGACACCCACAGGGGCATCTTCTAGAGCCTGACCCAGAGGGTCTCAGCCATCCACACAGGTCAGTGCACAAGCAAACATGCACATCCATAGATATAAGTGTGAGCTTTGAATCCTGGTGCCCCAGTCCTAACACAATGCCTGACATAGGGGAAGGCGATGTGCGCAACTGAAAAAACAGGCAGATATTATGGGAGGGAGAGTGGGAAGATGGGTAGGTGGACAGATGAATGAAAGCAGGATGGATGGACAGATGGAAGAAAGGATGGATGGAAGAGACAGATGGACGGATGGAAGGATAAAATGAGGGATGGACAGATGGATGGAAGGATAGATGGACAGCCAGAAGTGTGGATACATGGATGGACGGATAACTAATGGATAGATGAGTTGAAAAGAAGAGAGAATGAAAAGAAAGGGCTGGTGGGTAGATGAAGAGGTGGATAGGTGGATACACTGGAGAACGGATTGCTGAATAGGTGGATGAATAGGATTGGTGTGGCTGGCTGGGGGGCCACCCATATCCTGTGGTGCTCCCACAGACCCCATCTCCCCCCAGATGACAGTCCATGCAGTGACTGAGAGGTCATGGCTAGAGGCCACTCATGTGCTGCCAGGCCCTACCCATGGTGAAGACCTGGCCCACATCTTCAGAGTCGTTGGCAAGGGCCCGGAAGTAGTGGATGGCCAGAATGCTGTAGAAGACAAGGCTGTTGTTGCCAATGTCTGCATCCAGGGCCAGCACCTGGATCAACTCTGAGCCCACCTTGGCGTCGGTGGCCACCCCTGCAGGAAGAGGCAGGTGGTGTAAGTGGCAGGGCAGGGGCCACCCCACACCTCGTGCCCAGGCTCCAGTCCCTGCACCTGCAGTGTACTCAGCCTTGGTGAAGCGTGGTGGCTGGTCGTTGATGTCCTCTAGCACAACGCGCACCTCCTGCAGTGTGAGGTCAGCAACCAGGTCGAGGGTTGGGGAGGGTCCACGGGGAGGTGTCCAGCTGCGATTGCTGGAGGCCTTGACGATGAAGGAGAAGATGGCTTCTCGCTCCCGGTCCAGGTCCCGCAGCACCAGCAGACACCCATCGGGCTGCAGATGGAAGTTCTTCTCTTCGTTGCCGGCTGAGGGTGGGATCATGGCACAGGGTGAGGGGGCAGGGCCAGGAGCAGGGCATATGTGGGTCATCTCTAGCCCCAGGGTAATCAGGGCACTAGCTCTGTCTGGCCCCACCTGCGATGAAGTAGTACACGATCGCGTTGGGGCCCTCATCTGCATCCACTGCGCCTGTCACGTTGCCCACGAGGGTGCCGCGTGGTGAGTGCTCAGGCACTGTCAGCAGCTGGTACTGGGGGCTGCCTTTCTGCAGAGGGAGGGGGATGTCATCACATGGGGCCAAGGGAAGACCCGAGCTTCCAGTCCCTGTTTCAGGGCCCTGGGCAGTGACTTTGTAGGTGCTGAGGGAGTTTACTGTCCAGGCCTTATGGGGTGAGTAGAACCGTTGTAACCTCAAGGGAGCAAAGCATGGCCCGCGGACCTGAGCTCTGCCCTCACGGAGTGTTGCCCAGAACCCAAATGAGTGCTTAAGTGAGAGAAGCACACACGTTACTCTTATATGCACATGCATGTGTATGCACTCACACTCAGCAGTCGCCAAGGAACATCACATCCCATGTGCACACAAGAAGAAAAAACAACCATGTCAGAGTTGGAGTCCACAGGAGGGGCCCTCAGCCTTGCTGTCAGATTTCATGTCAGCCCTATATCAATAAATCAGAGCTGGGCGGGGCGTAGTGGCTTATGCCTGTAGTCTCAGCATTTTGGGAGGCCAAGGCAGGAGTTTGAGACCAGCCTGGCCAACATGGCAAAAACCCGTCTCTACTAGAAATACAAAAATTAGCTGGGCATGGTGGCGGGTGCCTGTAATCCCAGCTACTTGGGAGGCTGAGGCAGAAGAATCACTTGAACCCGGGTGGAGGTTGCAGTGAGTCAAGGTCATGCCACTGCACTCCAGCCTCGGCAACGGAGCGAGACTCTGTCTCAAAAAAAAAAAAAAAAAATCAGAGCTGATTTTCATGCTTTGTGTGTGTGTATGTGTGTGTGCAGGCAAAGACAGGGCTATCAGCTCCATGAGTCAGGCATTTTGGTCTGCCTTTTTTTTTTTCAGCGCTCAATATAGCTCAATATAGTGTAACACAGCTGCTCAATAAATAGTTGTTCTTGCATGAAGTGCATGCAGACATGTTTCCGTGTCTAGCCAAATGTGTATTCTGGCACAGTGTATATAGGAGAGTGTGTGCTTGCAGGCAGGTGAGTCCCTGTGTGGGTGTGACCAGCGCAGGAGGTGGGCAAGCTCACTGGAGGCCTCACGAAAAGGGGTTCGTTGTCATCGATGTCCTCCAGGGCCACCTGCAGCGGCTGCATAGTCTCGTATGGCACTGGCTGGCCCAGGTCGCTGGCCACCAAGATGAGCTAGGAGCGGAAGAGCACAGTCAGAGGAAAAGACTGGGAGAGGGGATTGGCTTGGGGACTTCCCGGTGGCCAGTTCCCCTAGGGACTTTCCAGGAGGCGAGGTGCAAGACCCGCCCCCAGAAGAAAGCCCCGCCCCAGACCCCGCCCCTCGCACCGGGCCCCGCCCTTACGCTGTACACCGCCTGCGACTCGCGGTCCAGGCGCTGAGCAGTCTGGATGAGGCCGCTGATTGGGTCGATGATGAAGAACTCCCAGTCCCGGTTGCCCGCAGTCTTCAGGAAGCTGTAGCGCACCGCCCCGTTGAGGCCCTCATCCTTGTCCGTGGCGTAGACCTCGTACACGTTGGAGCGCAGCGGGATCTCCTGTGGGGAGCATGGGGAGGAAGGCTCCTGGACCCCTGAAAGAATCTCAGCTCCTAGGTCCTGAGGGAGCCCTTGCTCTTTCTCCTGCCGTAGCAGAATGTCCTCAACAGCTTACAGCACCCGCCAGGAGCGCCTGCCTGCTCGGCTGGATTCTCCTGGATTCTGGGCTTCTGCTAGCTGTTGTCCCTCTTCTCTCCTCCCCAACCCAAGCTAAGGCCATTGCACTGACAGTCCAGCCTGAGAACCACATGCTTCAAGCCTTCCCAGGGTGACCATCTTCCCAGGAGCTGCCTCCGCCCTTCCAGTCCCATTCATTGCATGCTGAGGTTTTGGGGACAGAGGGGATCTAAGTGCTGAGGCCACAGCCACCCTTCGTCCTGTATCAGTCTTGCTCTCTCTGCTACCCCAAACACAGGAATTCTGGGTGTCCCCAAACAACACCATCCATCCAATGGGGTACCTGAAAATGGGGGGGACACAGGCAGGGTGACATGGTGGATAGGATAGGGGTTGGCCATCAGGGTCTAGTCTGTTACTAACCTGCCTGGAACCTGGACTTGCCACCTCACTTCCCTGAGCCTCAGTCTCCTGAACGCTGTTGAGCTAAGTCCAAGATCTCGAAACCTCATTGAAATCATACATTGACCCATGACAAGGCTGCCCAGGGAAAAAGAAAGGGCACGTTTCTTTGCTTTTAGTTGAAAAATGATCAGCTCAGCATGGTTTCATTGTTTATCTCATGGATCATGACAACTGAAAGTTCTAAATGGCAGTTACGTCTAATTAATAACAAGTAGGACGACATATAGATAATTAATACATGCTGATTGTTCAGGAGACATAAATCTTTCCAAATGCAAAGCCCTTGAAGGGAAAGTGTTCATAAATGGGGCTTTTGGTGTGAAAAAGGACTAGATTATTATTAATTTGTACCCTGCCTCATTCCACAAAAGAGATTTAATGCAGGGGACAAGAATACATAAATTATAACAAGATTGATCAAGTTAAAAAACTAGAGTAAAGAAAAAAATTGGTCAGGAAGATGAAAGCTGAGGGGTGGGAAGCAAGGTGTAAGCCCTGTCCCTGCAGGGTCACTCGAGATATCCTGATCACTCTGAAAGAGCAAAGCAGAGCAAAGAGGACCGACTGCTCAATCACTGCCGATGAGACACTAGACACAAGGTAAAAAAGCAAAGCACCTGGTAAAGGCACAACGCTTCTTTGAGCTTAGCCTTGGGAGAGTTTTCTCCCGCAGGACCTCAAAGAGGAGACAGAGTGACATGATGGACTTAGCATGGACATTCTGAGATGTGGAGCCTGGGTGGAGTTTGGGGGACAAAGAACAAGTGGGAGACATTCTGATGGTGCCACTACGGAGCACTTTGGGCCTGTGTGCTTAGAAGAAAGGGGGAGAGCAGAAGACAAAGGAATACTTCCCCTATCTTTATATGGCAATTTAGACCGAGAAGTGGAAGACCTGGAGAGATTCCAGAACCTTGCCACTTCCCCTCATTTCTTATTTTGATGCTCAGCCTCAGCTCCTAGGCTGTCTCCACACTGTATCAGCAGGAACAACAGACAGATGGAAGGGGCGTGTGTGTTTATTCTGAGACAAGTATGGGGGAAGTGGGTTGTAGAGGAGTCTGTCCTTTTTGGTAGACATCTAGGAGCAAGAGATGGAGTATTTACTTATTAGTCCTGTTTTGCAGAGGAAAAAATAGACGTACAGAAAACAGACTTACAGAAGTCACTTGCTCAAAGTCGTTGGGCTGATAAGCGATAGAGTTAGACTTCAACTAAAGATTTTTTTTTTTTTTTTTTTTGACAAAGTCTCACTCTGTTGCCCGGGCTGGAGTGTAGTGGTGTGATCTTGGCTCACTGCAACCTCCGTCTCCCGGGTTCAAGCGATTATCCTGCGTCAGCCTCCCGAGTAGCTGGGATTACAGGCATGCACCACCATGCCCAGCCTTTTTTTTTTTTTTTTTTTTTTGCATTTTTAGTAGAGATCGGGTTTCACTATGTTGGCCAGGCTGGTCTCGAACTCCTGACCTCAAATGTTCCACCTGCCTTGGCCTCCCAAAGTGCTGGGATTATAGGTGTGAGCCACTGCACCTGGCCAAACCAAAGATCTTTTACTAGCACAGCCCATATAGTAACCACTGTTCAATACTGCCCTGTGTGGCACTGGGCAGGTCTGCTTCCTTCTCCGGCCTCAGTTTTCCCACCTTTACAAACTTTTATTTAATTAAAAAAGTTTTTTTTTTCCTGGAGCTACTTTCCTGAAGCCAAGTTTCCCCACCTTTAGAGTGGGGTGCTTCCACTCTTCTAGGCCACAGCTGGAAGAAGGAAATACTGGTGGGCAGGAGGCCCTCGGGGCAGGAGTACCTCTCTGATGTGGAGGATGGTGCCGTTGGGTGGGCGCACAAAGACAGGGCGGTTGTCATTGACGTCGATGACCTCCACCAGGAGCATGGTGGTGCCCCAGAGTGGGGGCTCTCCACCATCTGTGGCCACCACGGTCAGACTGAACTTCTCGTAGGACTGCAGTGGCCGCTGTGTGGTCACCAAGCCCGAGTCCATGTCCACATGGAAGGCCTCTGGCAGTGGGAGCAGGAGAGTAGCTCTGGTTGAGACATCCTTCCCACGCTTCCCTCTACTCCTGGCCTGGGCTGGCAGGCCTCCCCCTCCCACCCCCCAAGACATCATGGGTGTCCAAGGAAGGCCACATACCCACGCCAGGGCCCTCAAGTGAGTAGGTCAACTCTCCATTGGGACCTTCATCCTGGTCAGTGGCCATCATGGTGATGACCGAGGTGCCCGCCGGCTCATTCTCATACACGCTTGTGCTGAACTGGGGCTTGGAGAACTGTGGCCGGCAGTCATTGACATCCAGCACTTGGATCACCACCTGGGTGGATGGAGGTCAAGGCCAAAGGTAAGGAGCAGGATGGGGCAGCCTCAGCGGACCTGGTCATGCAGGAGTAAGCCTGGATAGAGGAAGGACAGGCACCAGCCTGGGAGGGAGGTAATGTCTTCTAATGTGTTGGAGTCTGACTTGAAGCAACTTATTTAACCCCCTGAGCCTCAGTTACCTTGGTTGCACAATCCTAGATCCTTGGCACAGTGCGTGGCTCAAGTAAACACTCAACAACTAGAACAGTGGTTAACAGGTAATCTGCACCTGGGCCCTGAAGCAGAAACCCCTTATCCCCTCACACCTCCTACTTTATTCCTTGCTGCTCCCCACAGGGCCCTATAAATCTGGCTCTAATCTCTATCCCTTAGTGCTGGATTGGTGGCATTCCTCCATTCCCCAAGGTTCTCTTGACTGCGATTTGTGTCTGGCCGGAGACTTGGCTTCCCTGGCTGACCCCCCAGCCCAGGGCAGGTCTTACAGACACAGCAAACCATGGGACCTTTGTTCCCTGGCTGCTGGGAGCTGCCTGAACTGCATCCTCTTCAGAGCCCTTGACAGCAGTGACTTCATTTTATTTTCTTCGATGGAGTTTCGCTCTTGTTGCCCAGGCTGGAGTGCAATGGCGCAATCTCGGCTCACTGCAACCTCCACCTCCTGGGTTCAAATGATTCTCCTGCCTCAGCCTCCCAAGTAGCTGGGATTACAGGCAAACACCACCATGCCTGGCTAATTTTTGTATTTCTAGTAGAGATGGGTTTTCACCATGTTGGCCAGGCTGGTCTTGAACTCCTAACCTCAGGTGATCCCCCCGCCTCGGCCTCCCAAAGTGCTGGGATTACAGGCATGAGCCACCATGCTCCGGCCAGCAGCCGTGACTTTAAAGATCCCCTTTCAGTGCACAGAGCACTTTCAAACCACCTCATGTCCCCAATTGCACATCTGCACCCTCCTTTGCAGATTTGACAATGGAGGCTCAGAGAGGTTGACTGACAAAGGCAGTGTGCTCAGCTCATGGAACTTGAGTCTTCTGGCCCCAAATGCTGTGTTTTTCCCAACACAGCACATGCATGTGTGACAGGGATGAGGTTTGGATATGTGCATGTGTTCCCAGCCCTTTCTCTCTACCTGCCAAAGAGAAGTGGTCTTGGCCCATTCAGCTGTTCACACCCCCGACCTTTCAAGAGAGTTTCCTTTGGATGATGAGATTATTGTGAGGGAGAAGTGAGTACTGCATACAGAAAGATAGGCCTGCCAAAGACAGAAGGGAGGAGAGAGAAAGAGGAAGCAAAACCTTGAGGCCTGGGACTTTGCATAGAAAAGGGGATTGAGAGCTGAGAGGGTGAGATGCTGGCCTCAGAACAGCTGCGTGGACACTGGAATGAGAATGGGGTTATGACTTGGAGCCCTCATTAGTATTCTTTAAGAGACATAAATAGGCCGGGCTCGGTGGCTCACATCTATAATCCCAGCACTTTGGGAGGCCGAGGTGGGCGAATCACCTGAGGTCGGGAGTTCGAGACCAGCCCGACCAACATGGAGAAACCCCGTCTCTACTGAAAATACAAAATTAGCCGGGTGTGGTAGCGCATGCCTGTAATCCCAGCTACTTGGGAGGCTGAGGCAGGAGAATTGCTTGAACCTGGGAGGTGGAGGTTGTGGTGAGCCGGATCACGCCATTGCACTCCAGCCTGGGCAACAAGAGTGAAACTCCATCTCAAAAAAAAAAAAAAAAAAAAAAGAGAGAGAGAGACATAAATAAAGATGATTCCTTTATAATTATGTTTGGTTTCTGGACTGTGTTTCTTTCAATGGGACACTATGGTGATACTGGGCCATGTGGAGCCCCAGGCATTATTTGGGTTACACCCAGGTATGTTTAGCTGCCTATTTGCCAAAATATTTTGCCAAATAGCAGTTTGGCAAAGATTTCTCCCAGAGGGTCCCTGTCTTCCTAAGCCACAGCCATTGTAACCCATCCAGTTACCCTCTTGCCTTCTCCTTTCTGTCACTGTGTCTCAAAGGGGACCGGGGGGCTCTGCTCCCAGTCTGCAGCAGTCCACTTGCTAGAGGCTTTGCTTGTTGCCTCCACAACCCCAGTCCCTGTCATCCCTGGCCCAGGTTGGCACCCCTCACCTGCACTGAATTTTCGCGACGGTTGCTGGCTACATCCCCAGGGTTGTCTTTGGCCAAGGCAGTCAGGATATAGTGGTCCTTCTTCTCCCGGTCCAGAGAAGACAGCACATAGATGTCACCCTAGTAGGGGGAGGGTGGCTTTAGGTCCTTCAATCATTCAAAAGATATTTATTGAGCACCTACTATGGCCAGATGCTGTTATGGGCTCTGGAGATTTGACACTGAACAAAAGAGACAATAACCTCTGCCCCCAGCAAGCTCCCATTCTAGGGGCTCTTCTTGCTCTCACTACCCCAACCTACCTGGGGATGGGGTGACCAGCCCAGCCTGGAGCTACCTGCCTGACCAGGAACTAGCATATAGTAGGCACCCCATAAATATGCAGTTGTCTTAATGCCAGGCCTGGAGCCATGTCTGATGGCTCATACCAAGCAGGAAGGAGTGAACCCCGCTGAAAGGGCAGAGTGCCAGAAGATGTGGACAGAGCAGGGCAGTGGGAGGCAAAGTCCAGTTCCAGCCCCAGCAACTGGGGAAGGCCCTGCCTGACCAACCAGACCTAGGCCACAGGGCTCTCTCTCTATACTGAAAATAACAGCTTTGAACCAATTAGCAGACATTTGAAATCATCACCCATCTTTTCTCCTGAATTTCTGGTCTTCCACAAGTCTGAGATTCAAGGAAATGTGTGGGAGGCACCCTTTGGGGCATCCTCCCTTCCCCAGCACTGAGTATAGGGCCATGTATACAGTAGGTGCTCAGACACTGTGCCCACTTTCTGCAGTGCTTCCCCTGCTTCTTTTCTGACTGTCTCAAAAAGAAGCCCCATGGACTTCAATCATGCTTTTTTAGTGTGGAGAGGACACATCTCAGATGTTGTCCCACAAAGGGCTCATTCCAAAAGACTTGGCCACTTCCTTAAACATCTGTTGAGACAGAAAGGCCACAGTCTACCAAATGTCTGGGACTCTGAGAACAGGGTTTGCTGACTTGGCTAAAGAACCTCTGGGGATGCAGATGTCCAGGCGACAAGACCCAGAGGGATTACTACAATACTTTTGGTGGCTGCTCAGTCTCTGACCCTGGGTCCTTCCCACTTCCAAATTCCAGGCCCTCCATCACTGCTCACCGTGGTGGGGTTGATGGCAAACTTGCTCTCTCCATCTCCAAGGCTGTACTCAATGAGTGCAAAGTTGCCTGAGTCAGCATCAGTGGCAGTGACTGTCAGGATGATTGTGCCCACAGGCACATCCTCAAAGACAGCCTCCTGGAGCCCAGGGGGCAGGGAGAGAGAGTAGGCCAAGGTCAGTCCCAGAGCCCGAGCACAGCCCTAGAACTCACTGATGCAGGCATCAAGCTGCTCGTGGGCTGGGCACTCCCAGGGGGCTTAGAGGCTGGCAGGGTGGGAGAGGAAGATGCCCAAAGACCCCAAGGAATGGGCGCAGGTCCTGGACCCAGCCTGTGGCCTGGCCACCCACCTGGTAGGAGGGCTGGTCAAAGATGGGGTTGTTGTCATTGATGTCCACGATTTCCAGGTAGACAGGGATCTCAGCTGCCCGGGGCGGGGACCCGTTGTCTGAGGCCCTCACGGTAAAGTTGAGCCAGTGCACCTCCTCGTAGTCCACTGTCCGGTTGGCAATGACCTTCCCTAAGACACAGAGGCTCCCACTGCCATTTTGGCCACTCCTCATTCATGGCAGCTCTCCAAAGTATGAGGAGAAAGACCTGGACTCCGAGGGGCAGCTGTGGTCACTTGAAGGAGGGTGGTCAGGCAGCACCACCCAGTTGCAGGGCACACGGCAGGGAGGGACTGGTGTCCAGTTTTTCTTATGGAGGGTGAAAAAGCTTCTCCCAGTCACAGGAATGAGCATCAACTAGCCCAGGACCTGAGACACCTCCTTCTTGGCCTTCCTGCTCCCTCGGTGGTACTAATAGTAGGAGCTTGGGTGGTGGGGTATCCCAGGTTTCCGGCAGACATCAAGAGGCTTCCATCCCAACCCAGGAGTAAGCACTCTGTCCCTTCCCCTGGTTTGGGCATCTGGAATCTGGCATGGAATGCTGGCCATCTTGGATCTGGCCCAGTCCACTGAGGAGCCACAGAGGGGCTGTGGTCTCTCTTGGGGACTAAGCAAGCAGAGATATATGTCCCCCAGCCCTCCTCTGACAGATTTCTAACCTACCTGCCGAGGAGTCCTCCAGCTGGACATACCCTGGGGGCACCAGGTCCAGCAGGGTGTAGGTGACCAGCCCATTAAGGCCCTTGTCAGGGTCCACGGCTGCCACAGCAATGAGTGTGGTCCCAGGGGTGGCCCCCTCCAGGATCCGCTCCATGTAGTAGGTGATCCCAAAGGGCTTGAACTGGGGCGTATTGTCATTGACGTCCAGGACGTTGACAGTCAGCTTGGCTGTGGTGGAGGCAGGGAGTGAGGGAGAGGGGAAGGACACTAGTGTGGCTGGGCCAGGCCTTCCTTAGCCTCAGCCAAGCCGGGTGAGCATGGCAGCATCCCACAGCCCCCCAGAGGCTGCCTGAGGATTGACCTGACCCTCAGGCTGCAGCACAGGAGGCTTTCCAGTGGTGTGCTCACTTGCTGTTCCATAAGAGGAAGGGCTAGGTGACCCTGGTGGAGCCCTCGGCCCTTCCTGTGCCCCGGTTTCCTAAACTGCTCAATGAGAAAGGGCAAGATAATCTTTAAGACCCTAGATCCTGTCTGAGCTGTATGTATCCCCTCTATGTAACCGGCCTGGGCCCTTAACCATCTGAGCCTCTGACATGGAAGAGATGACCAAGTCTGCCCTTCCTTCCGGAAAATGTGGGCTTCTGGGCTGTGAAGATAAGCAGTCATCATCTGCCAGGCCTGGCTTCCCCTATAGCAGCTGTCTGTACCTCATGGCTGAGGCAACTTGAGGCCACCCCATCCCCACTTCCCCCACTCAACTCTCGCTCTGCCCACACAAAATCCACCCCTCTGGCAGCCCCCTCCCAGCCCACGCCTCAGGCTGCAGGCAGGATGGCCTGGGCCCGATTGGCAGAAGGTAACACTGGGCCCCTCCGTTCTCCACCGTAAGTGCCTGCACCCCCAAAGCAGTGTCTGTGGCCTCAGGTTACCTCCCCTCATTCTTTGCTTCCTTTGTGCTAACCCTGTGGCTTCCTATAAGATCATAGGGTTCCCATCTCACATCCTACCCACACCCTGGTTACCAGTTCTGCTGGCTGAACCTAAGCCTCTGTCTAACCATTTTTTCTCAATCTGTTCCAGGCTCTACCAAGCCTCCTTCCTACTCTCAGCCTGGGGGTTCAGATCACACACAATTCTGAGCTTCTGGATCCTCCACTGCTGAGCTCTATGTAGCCATCACCACCCTGGGCCTCACGGTGGCTGCCACCTTTCATGCCTCTTGTGTTGCCTGACTCCTGGCCCCCAGAGCAACTGGGTCTTGTTGCTCCCTCCCTGGGGACAGACCAGTGCCTGTTCCCCACCTGCCCCCTGCCCTGATTGGCTCTGAGTGACCAATGAGAGATGTCTGCAGGGAACCTTACCATTTGGCACACTGACAGAGCGCTCTGGTAGGTCGCTGGCATTGTCAATCACTGAGAGAGTGACCTCATAGGTGGCAACCAGCTCCCGATTCATGGGGGACTTCACCATTACAGATCCTGTGGACCAGACCAGGCCAGGTTCAGCCTGAGAAGAACCCCCTAAAATCTGCCCTTCCCAGGGGTGCTCCTGGCCAAACCCTCCCAATCCCCACAAAGGATGACGGTCCCCAGTAGAATCTGGGACTTGTGGCTGGGGTGGGCCCACAGCCTCCTCATAAGCTTGGGTCACGTGGCTCTGCCCCTCCCATGATGCTTACTAAGCAGGTGATGTTGGGGAAGTTATGTCACCTCTCTGCACCTCTGTGTCCACATTTGTAAAACTAGATAATTACACTACCGACTGTCAACCCATCCTTTTCTCAATACCCTACTATTTTGAGGATTAGAAAAACAAAATGAGTTTCCATTTGTAAAGTACTTAGAACAGTGCGTGGCACACAGAAGCTATGTAACTGCTTGTTTAAAAACTGCTGTATTCCTTAACAATGCAAATGTACTTAACACTACTGGACTCTACAATTAAAAAGTGGCTAAAATGGTAAATTTCGTTATGTGTATTTTATCACCATTTAAAAAATGCTTAGATTCTAGGGAGATCAAGTTTAAAGGAAAGTCATGGTAGCTGAAAAGCCCTGAGGGGTTCCCTGGAGGGGACAGTGGTGGGACCGTCTGGATACTTCAGGCCCATCCCTTTGTCTTGATTAAATAGGGAGTGACATGGGCTGATTGTGGGACAGGAGCATTGGTTCCATGGCAGTCCTAGCAAGGGGTTTCCTTCTGTTCTACCCACTGCCTCCCAGAGTCCCTGCCTGCTCCCCAAATCAGAGAGGAACCCCCCAGAAGCATGGGCGGGGACTGGACAGACCTAGTTTGGCTGACCTCAGTGCTGCGTTTCTTGGGACCTTTCTTGTTCCTGCCTGTTAGAGGGCCTGGTGGCTTCTCCTCCCATTGGCTTCATCCCAGAGTGAGACCTCCTCTCCCTCTCAGGTACAGGGGTATCTGAGATTCCCTTCCCCCTTGGCAGATCCCCCTGCTGGGCTTCTGTCTTCCGTGGGTCCCCAGCCATGGGGTAGTCACTTACCCTGGGCCGCCTCCTCCTCCTCCTCCTCCTCCTCTTCCTACTCTCGCTCCCTGTCCCCCAGGCTGGGGAGCGAGGATGGGGAGAGGGCGGCTGCATTCAGTCTGCAAAGGCTGGGCCACGGCCTTGGCCCAGGCCCCACAGGACAGGAAGGGTGGTGGGGGTGTGGTGGGCATGGAGGAAGGCAATGGGGTGAGGCAGAGAAGAGATGAGGTGGGAAGTGACAGAGAAACAGAGCTCAAACCTGTGGGCCTGCCAGCCATGAGGAAGAGAGAAGAGGGTTAACATCAGTTAGTTCAGGGTGCAGCAGGGATGGAGCAGAGCAGGGCAGGGAGGATGGTGGGGACTCAGAGCTGACGGGGTGGGAGGAGGGAGGGAGGGGTGGAAACAGGGAGTGGGGAGGGGAAGAGGCACTGGGAAGGAAACCAGGGGAGCAAGTGGAAGCCCATTTGGAGTGGAGAGCTCAGGGGCTGAGGCTCTGGCAAGAAGAAAAGGTAGCAAAGTGGGCAAGGGAGGAGTGGAGGGCTGAGGAGGAGGGGGCAGAGAAGACACTGGAAAGAAAAATAGAGAAGAGAGTCAGCTGGAGGAAGGGGGAACAGGAAAGAGAAAAGCAGTAGGGGATTGAGCAGAGCCTCAAGTTGAGTAGGGACGTGGAGCAGCTCTCCATGGTCCTGACCAACCCATGCAGCCAGGAATTTTGCTAACCTGGGATGTAGCTGGTTCTATCTAACTTCTCCTAGTGCTCATGGTTTTTCCTTCTTCTGTTTCCCTTTGGGCCTCAAATGCAGATTGAGTTTATCATGTTCTTTGGCTCGCTGCACACTATGACCACTGGCACTTCTCTTGTTTTATGTGTGCGTCTACTCCCTTTCATTCCCATACTCATCTCTCCTTCCCTTCTCCCCTCAGGCAGTCATTGTAATGTATTGAAGTATATTTTTTGTTAATAAAAGTATTTCTGAAAATCATGTATTATTTTGTATGTATTTTACATTTATGGAAATGGTGCTGTGGCATATATCTCATCCCATTTATTATCCTTTTCAGTAAATACTTATTATTAGGATCCATCTACATTGCTCTGTGTGTGTCTAATTTATTGCTTCTCACCGCTGGCACTGCTGGCTGGTACCCCCATGATGCACACCCATGATATTTTACTCTTCAGTCTCCCAGAAATGGATACCTGCATGGCCCCAACTCCACCATCACCAATAACACTGCAGTGAGCATCCTCAGACAGTTTCATTAATGCCCTGAGACTTTCTCTGGAACATATACTGGGTAATGGTGGTACAAGTGTCCCTTATGCTGGATTGCTATCCAGACAGTGGAATCAGTCACAACTCCTACAGCAGTGCATGAGGGTTTCCATGTCCCCACACGGTCACCAATATCAACATTGTCCAGCATCCTAATGTCCACTAATCACGTGTGAAAAACTGATATCTTACTGCTGTTTTAGTGCTTTGTCACAGCCATGTTGATTCTTCTATCATTCCTCTGGGCCTTCCAAGAAGTACACGTATCAGCTCCATGTCCCTTTCCTAACTCCTCAAAGGAGAAAAACACTGAACTTTTGGGAAAATGATAAAACCATCAGCATTACAATAAACTACATACATTGTGAAAGATAAGCCATGGTTCTCTTGGTTTCGTGATAGTGTAAGAAAATCATTGATCGCATGCAACTTGCAGAGGATTTAAATGGCCAGCATACATATGAAGAAAGTGTTCAGCCACCTAGTTAGTAAAGAAATGCATATTAAACAAGGTATCACGGCTGGGTGCAGTGACTCACGCCTGTAATCCCAGCACTTGGGAGGCCGAGGCAGGTGGATCACCTGAGGTCAGGATGATCAAGACCAGCCTGGCCAACATGGTGAAACCATGTCTCTACTAAAAATACAAAAATTAGCTGGGTGTGGTGGCACATGTCTGTAATCTCAGCTACTCGGGAGGCTGAGGCAGGAGAATCACTTGAACCCAGGAGGCAGGGGTTGCAGTGAGCCGAGATTGCACCATTGCACTCCAGCCTAGGTGACAAGAGTGAAATTCCATCTCAAAAAAAAAGCCAAAACAAAAACAAAAAACAAAAGAACAAACAAGGTATTACTTTCCTCTAAAATTGCCAACATGAAAATGTTATCATATTTAATACTGGCATGATGTGGTGAGATAGGTGCTCTCATACACTGGTAGGGCGAGGGAATCAGGAAGGCCAGAGGAGCTGCTCAAGGGAGGATGAGGAAGCAGAGAAAGAAAGCAAGGGGAGAGATGGAAAAGAGAAGGACGGTTCTGGTTTCCCTCCAGAGGAGGGGGAGAGAAGAGAGTAGCAAGGGAACAGCAAAGAAAGAGAAAGGAGAAAGAAGGGGGAAGCAGGGAGCGAGGAGACAGGACTGGGAGCTGGGAGGGAGGTGGGAGGGGTGCAGGCCCTTGTACCTGTGTTGATATTCACAGCAAAGGCGTCCTCCTGGTTGGGCACCAGGCGATCAGTGTCGTCCTTGGCCACAATGCCGACAATGTGGTACTCTAGCTTTGGGTTGAGGTCGTGGTCAATGGCCGTGATATTGGCAATGACAGTGCCTGGCTCAGCCGACTCCAGCACGCTCACTGTCTGGATGGGGTTGAGGAACTCGGGGCGGGAGTCATTGATGTCATCGATCAGAATGGTGACAATGGCTGTGCCCGAGAGAGGAACGGTGCCCCGGTCGGTGGCCACCACCGTTAGCCTGTAGGACTCCTGCTCCTCTCTGTCGATGGTGGCATTACCAACACGGATGACCCCGGTGACCAGATGAATGAGGAAGCGGTCCTGAGCCCCAGCTTCTATTCGGTAGACCAGCTCCCCATTGAGGCCACTGTCCTCATCTGTGGCTGTGACTTGAAGGACTGAGAATCCTGTTGGAGAGGGAAAAGGGAGTAGCTGCGCACAGTGGCCTCTTCCAGAAAGATCTACCAAGACACATTTGTTGGTGATCTTCTCAAGTCCCCTTCTCATGACAGCCTTGACAGCATTTTCTTTTATACCTTTTTCATACTTGCAATTTTATAGGAAAATGGCATGTTATTTTATTTTATATTCTTTGATTAAACAATATTTTATAATGTAATAATTAGTTGTATCTTCTGCAAATGGTCTGCTTTTGTCTTTTGTCCATTTTTCTGTCAATTATACAAGTCACATAATTATGACAACTTGAGACATATATATATATATATATATATATTTTTTTTTTTTTTTTTTTTTTTTTTTTTTTTTAGATGGAGTCTTACACTGTCACCTAGGCTGGAGTGCAGTGGTGTGATCTCGGCTTACTGCAACCTCTGCTTCCCAGGTTCAAGTGATTCTTATGCAGCAGACTCCTGAGTAGCTGGGATTACAGGCACCCACTACCATGCCTGGCTAATTTTTTGTATTTTTAGTAGAGAAAGGGTTTCTCCATGTCAGGCTGGTCTGGAACTCCAGACCTCAAGTGATCCACCTGCCTCAGCCTCCCAAATTGCTGGGATTACAGGCGTGAGCCACCTCGCCTGGACCAAGACAAATATACTTTTTGGTTTGTTGTTTGCCTTTCAATATTGGCTATAATTATTTGATGTAACAAGGTTTAAATTAGCATGCATAGAAATTTAATATTTTTCCTCTTAAGTTCTTTTCTTTTATGCTTAGAACCTTCTTACCCAGAAATGAGTTATTCACCTAAGTTTTCTTCATTTATTGTTTAGTGTTTTCTACTTTTTAATATTTTCTTTTGGTTTTTATTTTGGTGTCTGACATGGGGGAGAATCTACACTAAATATTACATTATTATTATATTAGATTACATACAGATTATAATAATTGGATGTAATTGATTAGATTAAATAGGTTTTTGCACACTGAATAAGTAGCTTCCCCATTGGCCTCATTGCTTCCTTTATCACATCATATTTTATTCTTTAATTTACCAGTATCTGTTTCTGGGCTACTTTGTCCTGGAGTCTTGTGCCCATATTGCATGGCCTTAAATACTGTAGCTTTATAATATGTTATAAAATCTGGTAAGCCAAATCTGGCTTATTATACTTATGTTTTTCAAAATTTTCTTATTCTTCCAGAAGTTATATTTGATTTTGATGGGAATCATGTTGATCCTATTTTGACTTTAAAATAGTCAGTCTTTCCATCTGGGAATTCAAATGGAGAATACTTAGGAATCTTGTAGGCCAGGCGTGGTGGCTCACACCTGTAATCCCAGCACTTTGGGAGGCTGAGGCGAGTGGATCACCTGAGGTCAGGAGTTTGCGACCAGCCTGGCCAACAGGGTGAAACCCCGTCTCTACTAAAAATACAAAAATTAGCTGGGTGTGGTGGTGGGCGCCTGTAATCCCAGCTACTCGGGAGGCTGAGGCAGGAGAATCACTTGAACCTGGGAGGCTGAGGTTGCAGTGAGCCGAGATTGTGCCATTGCACTCCAGCCTGGGCAACAAGAGCAAAACTCCGTCTTAAAAAAAAAAAAAGAAAAGAAAAGAAAAAGAAAGAAAGGAAAAAAGAATCTTGTTTTGCAGGCAAGATACAGAAGCTCAGAGGAGGGAAGCAGGGGCCCAGGTCTCCTGACTCCCTCTCCAGTGTGTTCTACACTCACCCTGCTGCCCATCTTTCTCCCCACTGGAGGCAAACTCCGTGTCCAACCTGAGGCTCCAGTCCCCTGTGACCACCAACCGGCCCCTGGTTGTGGGGTGCTGGGGCCTGTCCCCTGCTTACCAGGCGGGCAGTTCTCTAGCAGATGGACAGTGAGGGTGGCAGGGCTAAAGGTGGGCCGGTTGTCATTGTCATCCAGGATGGTGATGAGCAGGTGGGCCGTGCTGTTGAGCAGCCCGATGTCCTCAGCCAGCAGCAGCAGCTCCAGGATGGGTGGCGAGAATGCCTCCCGGTCAATGATGACACCTGACCTCACGGTCACCACACCTGGCACCCGGTGCCGCCAGCCAGGGAAACACACAGAAAAGGGGTGCGGTGGGAAGACAGGGCAAGAACCAACAGGGAGAGAGCAGAGAAAGACAGGGGCACCATGGGACAGAGATGAAAGAGGAGCAGAGGCAGTAACAAAATGACTTTCTCCCCCACAGGCTCAACCACCCGTGCTGAGGGAGGGCCCCATGCATTTCCTGTGGTTGTCCCCTCTGCAGGTGCCCTCTGCTGTCTTCAAGACTCTTGCCTGGGAAGAGTGACCCAGGGCACAGGGTTGACCGTCTCTGTTGACAGATGTGCTTTCCTGTCGGCACCTGTCACCAAAGCGGCCTCCTGTCCAGGACCAGACGGATGTGGCATGGTCTGGTTGGAGGACAGGAAAGTCGCTCTGGCTACTTCTGCTGGACTAGGGGCCTGAGCCTCTGGCCTGCGCATGGGGAGATGACGGGAGTGGGCTGGGGGGCTCCCGGCCCAGGCTGAGAGTTCGTGCACCAACAGAGGTCCTGTGTATCGTCTCCAAGCCTCTTCCCACGTCCCCCTGCCAGGCCACTGGGTGATATAACCCAGCTGCAAGATGGGGACTCTGGGCTGTGAAAAATGGGGTCTCCACGGACAGCCTGGGTCCAGCACTGAGAAGGGAGGCCCTCAATCCAGCAGTGTGGCCATCCCCACCCCAGAATCAGGCTGGGAGTGCTGGGTGGCACAGAGGCCTCACCGGTGCTGCTGTTGATGTCAAAGAGGCCACTCTGGGCACCCAGCAGCTGGTAGGTCACCACGGCGTAGATGTCTTGGTCTGCATCCAGGGCCAGGATGGGCCCATTGAGCACCGTGAGAGGGGTGCCTGGGCCAGAAGGAGAGGGGTCACCACAAGACCAACCCAGCCCCCTGCCCTCCCACCTCCCCTGCCCTGTCCCGGTGAGCCATGGCTGACGATGGATGAGAGGGGAGGGAGGTGAGGTGGACAGGGTGGGGAGGCCCTGGGGGCGGGCCTGCGGCAGCCTTGGCAGACTGAACGCAGATGCCTGGGGAGCGGCCTCAAAGCCCTGCTGGGGAGAAAACATGAGAGTGGTGAGCAAGGCCCCGGCTGCCCAGAGCCACATCTGCCTTCCCAGCAGCCTTTGAGGCTGGCCGCTCCTCGGGAGGGTCTGGGGCTCCCTGACATCCCCTCCCCATGTGTGGGTCTCGCCTGTCAACACATGTGTTCACACAATGCTCTGCCTTTGGGGGCCTGGCCATACATGACTAGAAAAACCCACTCATGTGTGCATCAAGTTCTGTGTTCACATGGCCACAGGCACTTGTCCAGGAGCACGCACAGGCCTGGGATTCCCTGGTTGTGCACTCGTGTGCCTCTGCAGGTGGGCATGTCTGCACACGAGCGCATCAGTGGGCACCCATGTACCTATATGTGTCTGTGCACATGTGTAACCCCACGCACATGCCTTGGTATGGACACACACGGGCACATGTGTGAGCATACACACAGACAGGTTTAAGAATGAAATTCACCTAGGGGGGATGCCCAGCCAGAGATGAGGAACAGGGGCTGGGGAGACTGGAGGAGTGCAGGTGCCACCTCAGGGGACATCACAGAGGAGATTCTGTCCCTCTGGAGGGAGGTGAGCCTGGTCAGTGCATGTGTGTGGGGAGAGGGCTACACTGGCCTACCCAGGACCCCCTGACCTCCCACTTCTAGTTATAGATGCTCCCCAGGGCTTCCAGAAGGCCCTGGGATGCCCTGCACTCCTGGGGTGGAGGGAGCAGTGAGGGGTGGACCCACTCCCCTCCGGGGTAGTCCTCACACCTTACATGCCCTTCTTGAGGGATGGTGGGGCAGCTCTCAGACCACCCTGGGGAACAATGACCACGACTGTCTCTTCCAACCAGACCTGTGGCTTCTTTGTGCTCATAGGAGGCCCGGGAGCCCCAGCCCACCATCTCCCGGAGCTGCACCCATCCTTCCCCTCCCGCACCCACTGGGGTCTAGGTTCAGCTATGCCGTTAGGCATAAGGGAGGTCCTCAGGCATCCCAGGCCCCAGTGGTGCCTGGCAACAGCAGGAGCTCCCGGGTGGGCCCAGCACCTACCAGCGGGAGAGTTTTCCATCACCTCTGCCTGGTAGGTGCTTTTAGTGAAGAGGGGGTGGTTGTCATTCTCATCAGAAAGGAAGATCAGAAGCAAGTCATAATCCTGCAAGGGGCAGAATGGGGCACGTTGTAGGCCATGCTCAGCAAAGTGCCCCCACCTAGGTGGGAGGAGGGTTGGGAGGTTGGGGATTGGGGCACAGAGGTGGATGATCAGAAAAGCCCACACCAACATGAACTCACATTTTTCAAAAGAAGACATACAAGAGGGCAACAAACATGAAAAAATGTGGCCGGGTGCAGTGGCTCATGCCTGTAATCCCAGCACTTTGGGAGGCCAAGACGGGCAGATCACGAGGTCAGGAGATCGAGACCATCCTGGCTAACATGGTGAAACCCCGTCTCTACTAAAAGCACAAAAAATTAGCTGGGCGTGGTGGCACGCACCTGTAGTCCCAGCTACTTGGGAGGCTGAGGCAGGAGAATGGCATGAACCCAGGAGGCGGAGCTTGCAGCGAGCGGATATCACGCCACTGCACTCCAGCCCAGATGACAGAGCAAGACTCCATCTCAAAAAAAAAGAAAAAAAGAAAAAATGCTTAGTGTTGCTAATCATCAGAGAAATGCAATAAGCCACAGTGAGGTACCCTCTCACACCAGTCAGAACGGCTATTATTAAAAAGTCAAAAAACAACATGCTGGGCATGGTGGCTCACGCCTGTAATCCCAGCACTTTGGGAGTCTGAGGTGGGCGGATCACTTAAGGTCAGGAGTTCGAGACCAGCCTGGCCAATATGGTGAAACCCTGTCTCTACTTAAAATACAAAAAAATTAGCTGGGCATGATGGCTTACACCTGTAATCCCAGCTACTTGGGAAGTTGAGACAGGAGAATCGCTTGAACCCAGGAGGCAGAGATTGCAGTGAGCCGAGATTGTGCCACTGTACTCCAGCCTGGGCAAGAGAGCAAGACACCATCTCAAGAAAAAAACAACAGACACTGGTGAGGATGCAGAGAAAAGGGAATGCTCATACACTGCTGGTGGGAATGTAAATTCCTTCAGCCACTGTGGCAAGCAATATGGAGATTTCTCAAAGAACTAAAGACAGAATTACCCTTCAATCCCACAATACCCCTCTACTGGGTACCTGCCCAAAGGGAAATACATCGTTATATCAAAAAGATACTTACACTCACATGTTTATCGCCACACTATTCACAATAGCAAAGATATGGAATCAATGTAAGTGTCCATCCACAGAGGACTGACTAAAGAAAATGTGGTATATAGACCATGGAATACTACTCAACCGTAAGAAAGAGTGAAGTCGTGTCTTTTGCAGCAACATGGATGGAACTGAAGGCCATTATCCTAAGTGAAATGACTCAGAAATAGAAAGTCAAATATTGCATATTTTCACTTATAAGTGGGAGCTAAATAATGTGTAACCATGGATATACAGAATGGAATAAGAGTCATTGGAGACTCAGAAGGGTGGGAGGATGGGAAGAGGGTGAGGGTTGAAAAATTATTTATTAGGTACAATGTTCACTGTTCAGTGAGTGGCAGTGAGTTCACAGTTCAGTGAACATTGGACATAATAGGTAGTTTTGGGTACACCTGATGGGTACACTAAAAGCCCAGTCTTCACCACTACACAATATGGACATGTTAAGAAACCTGTGCTTGTACTCCCTGAATCTAAAAAAAAAAAAAAAAAAAAAATCTGAAAAGCGCCCACACCAGGGTTCAAAGACCTGGGTTGAAGACCCTATTCTGGGTGATCTTGGGTGCCTCATTTCCCCTGTCTGGGTCTCAGTTTTCTAGTCTGGCAAATAGGGATTTAACTCCTTCACGGAGGTGTGGCAAATGGGATTGAATCCTGTTCCATCTCACTTCAGGCGGGAAGATGAGTCCTGTTTCTCGACCTTCAAGGCCTTCCTGTTGCCCTGGCTGGAGTTCATTCAAACTCTGCCAGTGCCTCACTTCACACTCGCAAACCTCAGAACCTCCAGTACCCCTGTGCACTGTCACCACCTCAGAGACAAGGGAACCAAGGTGCAGAGATGGGGAGTGCCCATTCAGAGCCAAGTGGTGAGTTAGCAGCAGAGTGGGGCTTAGCCCCTAAGCCCACCGAGTCCTGCCACTCAATGCTGCTTTTACCCGGGGCCCTCCTGAAGCCAGGCAAGGGAGAGGAAAAATGAGAGCAGAAAAGAGAAAAAGTGGGGGCAAAAATGAGGGAGTAGAAGCTGGGCATGGTGGCTCACACCTGTAATCCCAGCACTTTGGGAGGCTGAGGCAGGTGGATTGCTTGAGGTCAGGAGTTTGAGACAAGCCTCGCCAACATGGTGAAATCCCATCTCTGCTAAAAATACAAAAATTAGCCGGGCAAGGTGGCGTGTGCATGTAATCCTAGCTACTCGGGAGACTGAGGCACAAGAATCGCTTGAACCTGGGAGGTGGAGGTTGCAGTGAGCTGAGATCACGATTGCACCACTGCACACCAGCTTGGGTGACAGAGTGAGACTCTGTCTCAAAAAAAAAAAAAAAAAAAAAGAGTAGGAAGCAGAGGAGCACCACATGGGAGGGGCATGTAGCTTATGAGTTTCTCCAGCCTGACGTCTCCTCTGGCTAGACCGATAGGGAAACTGAGGCCCAGAAAGAGTGGTGCCTTGGCTGAGCCACACAGCTAGTCAGGGGCAGAGCTGAGATGAACTGGGCCTGAAGGCTTCTGGCTAGGAATCTACCACAGATTCATGGGCTGGAAGGACAGAGCTGACCCCCAACCCAAAGGGACTGTTTGCTTTGCAACATCCACCTCCCTTTAGTCAAGAGCTCATTTCTTTGGCTTCTGAGGGGAGAGCCACCTGGAAAACGCAGCCCTTCCAGGACCTCAGAGCATGCTTGTGGGTGAATGCAGGCCCATGTGCCCCATGCACAAATGCAGTGTGTGTCCAGGTATCAGTGGTTTGGGGAGGAAACAATGATAGTTGATGTTCACTGAGTGTTTGTCACACTCCAGGCACTGTGCTGAGGCTTTCACATATATTGGCTCCTTCATCCTTTCTACAACTTTGGGGTAGGTGAGATCTTCATTTTGCAGAAGAGAAATGGAGGCCAAGAGGAGTTAACTAGCCAAAGCCACGCACCTACTGAAGGAGAGAACTGGGATTTGAAGCCAGCACGTGCTCACTCCAAAGCCTGTGCATCTAAGCCTGGCTATGCTGCCTGCAGGAGGGGTGATGTGTTCTCTCTCCATGCGCCTCTAGCTCCCAGCCCACTCCCACCAGTGCCCTCCAGTCTCACCCTCCTGGCTATGCGTGGATTCTCCGGGTTGTCCTTCACAGAAATGGTCAGCTTGTACTCTGGGATCCGCTCGCGGTCCAGGGGCCGGTTCACAGTGACGATCCCTGTCTGGGATGTGGAGGGTGGTGAGCTGCATGGAGACCTTTTCCCTGCTTTCTACTTTGGCCCACAGATGCCAACTGCTCTGCTTGGCCTCCCTAAATTGCCTAAGAGATGATCTAGAAGGCCAAAAATGTGGGTCGGCAGGGTCTCGCCGGGGCGAGAGTGACCCACTCATGCCCAGGCCTTGCTGCTTCTGAGAGATGGCCCTCGGAGGACCCCATGGTGTTGTTGGCCATCTACAGACACCTCAAGAGGCTAAGTGAGAACTTTGGTGCGTCTTGATTAAACCAAGTGGTCCCACAGGCTCTGGCCCCATCTCTGCACATGACAAGCTTCAGGGCTGGCTCTAGGTGGACTCCAGAGATGGTTCACTGGTGAATCCAAGATTCCATGCTTCCCACAGAGGTGTCCTCATCCCAGTGCAGGAACGGGAGCCCGGTGGAGCCCAGATGGTGGCAGCAGAAAAGCCTCTAGGGCAGGGTCCTCTTTTTCACTGGAAACCCTGGGAAGCTCCCTGGGGTCAGTCTAGGCCCTACCGTGGCATTGATGAAGAAGGCCCGCTCGCGGTTGCCCGCAGTGATGTTGAAGGTGAGGCGTGCATTGCAGCCACTGTCAGCGTCACTGGCCAGGACATGGGCGACAAAGCTGGAGACAGGGCTGTTCTCGCTGATGGTGATGTTCATGGGCAGGTTCAGCAGCACAGGGTCGTTGTCGTTGATGTCCAGCACCCGGATCCCCACCAGCATCTGGGCCAGTCAGAGAAGGAGGAGGGAGGGGAGGAAGAGCGACAGATGTTGTGCATGGCAACCGAGGAGGAGGTTCGCCAAGGGCGGCATGGAGGGAGGGAGGGTGCAGTTGGTCATGGAGAAGAAAGAGAAAAGGGGAGAGGAAGAAAGAAGAAAAAGAACATTAAAAAGGCAAGAAGATGAAAAGAGGATGATGAGGGAAGCAGGAAAGGCAGAGGCAGAGGAGGGGCAGTGATGGAGAAGGGAGTGATGGGGCAGGGGTTGGGTGCAGAGGGGCGCTGAAAGGCAGCCTCCCCAAAGAGTTGCTGGATGTGGCGAGAGGTCTATTAAGGGCCCCAGGGGCAGGCCTGGCCTGGCTCCAGGGCAGCCTGTGGCCTCTCTTGGCACAAGGGTAACAATGTTTACAAGAATCTCTGTGGCAAGTACAGGGGCAGCGAGGTGAAGCCAGCGGGTGGGGCCCCCAGACTCACTGTGGAGCTGAGTGGGGGCATCCCCCGGTCACGGGCACAGATGGTCAGGTTGTAGAAGGCGATGGTCTCCCGGTCCAGCTCCACGTCCTTCCGGACCCTTAGCACCCCCTCCACAGGAGAGATCACAAACTCCCCTGGGTGTCACCAGGAGAGGCCCAAGTTAGTCGGGCATTGGCAGGAACTGTGGAGACCCCAGGACTCCTTCTGCTTCCTCTAGCAAGCCTCACTCGTCACAGGTGGGGGACAGCTGGGGCCCGGGTCCTCCAGTGACCCCAGCTTCAGATCCTCATGAGATCTGCAAGGGCTGGGATGTGCAGGTGGGTGGTAGCGGATCACCACCACGGGTGCAGGCGGACACGGGCCACTCATGCCCTCATGTGCCAGACCAAGCAGCTTCCTTCCCTGGGCCACAGGCAGGCCAGAGACTGACCTGGGTAAGATGGCTATGTTGAAAAAGTGGGGGCTTCTTGCTACACTAGCACCCACTGTCTAAGCACTCTTGATCAATGAAGGCATCAGGTGCTTCGCAATGTACGATCCATCCCACATGCCATGGCTTGTAAAAAAGGATATTGGGAAGGGCAGAGCTGACCACAAAGCAATGCTTTGCTAATGGTGAATGCGCAGGCACCGGGCAGGCAGAAGGGGACGGATGAGGGGCAGGGAAGCCCCCAGTGCCCTCTATTTAGTCCCCATATTGAGCTATAGTTGGAAAGCAGAGTGGGTTCCCTACACCTGTGGTGACCCTGATTTCCTTTCCTTGATGTTTCTGAAGAGCCCCGCTGGCCCTGTGGCCCCAGAATCCTTTTCTTGGCTGGGCTGCAGGGCCCGATGTCTGACAGTCCAGAGCAAGAACCTCAGATTCTCAGATGCTGACCTGGAAGGCAGCCCAGAGACCGTCCAGTCCCTTGTGTCCTTTGGAGAATGAACTGGGAGCCCAGGGGAGGGTTACCACTTGTCTGCACTCCTGCAGCAAGTGAATGACAGACCAGGATTCAAACCCAGCACTCTGGGTCTTAACCCATTGCCTCGCACAGGACTTGTGTTCTTTCCAGACAGCACCACTCAGAGCTGACCGGGGCGGGGTGAGAACACGGAGGGTGGAGAGAAGAGACAGGGGGAAGGAAACCAGTGAGCAAGCGTGAGCCCAGCTGGAGAGGCAAGAATGGTGGGGGCTGTGGCTCTGGCAGGAAGAAAGTTGAGGGGATGTGAGCTAGGGAACTGGGAGAGCCTGCAGAAGAGAGGCCACCTCTCCGCATTCCCCCAGGAAATGGAATGGAGAGAAGGTTAGTTACCTCCTTCACTTTCCCTTTGAATACTTAGGGGGAAGGGCCCAGAATGGGGCACTGACTTGCTCTGGGACAGACAGCAGGAAGCACACAGCTCACAGGGCATGGCAAGGACAGGGGCCCAGGCGCCCCCACAGTTTTCTCTGCCTGTCTCTTCACATCCTACCTCACAATTCCCTGTCCCCAGCTCCTAACACTCTGATGTACAAAAACAGCCCCTCTCAGTCCCACCTGCAGCTGGGATTTCCCACCAGCCCTTCCGCTCCCAGGCTCTTCCCGTCCCATAGGCTTCACCCTGCCTGGGGGGTGGAAGCTGCTTAAAGCAGGATTTCCTGAGCATGACACCCCAAGGTCTCCAAAGAACTGGGGATTCCCTTTCTAGGTGTTTCCCAGCCCTGTCTCAAGCCCCGGCCATATGCAGGCAGAGGGCCTCTTGCTCTCCTTCCAAAGCCAGGAGGAGACACCAGCACCACTCCCTTGAAGGCTCAGGGAGGCAGGCCTGAGGGGCTGGGGGCTGGGCCAGCCTAGTTCCCCTGTGCAAATTCTTCTCCTTGGCAGCTTGCTCTGGGGCCAGACTTCCCCATCCCTCCACAACTCCTGGAGACAGGAGGTTAAAAGCCTAGGCTTTCGTCCAATCATATCTAGGTCTGCATCTGGACTTCATGCCTGTGTGCCCTTGGGCATGTTAAGGAGCCTTGCCTTGATGTTCTCATCTGAAAAATGGGCTAATAGAGAGATGCCACCTTGGGGTTGTGCTGATGCTGGACAAACCCTGGCCCACCTTGTGTGTGCTGATCCCGAAAGGGAGCCCAGGCAGGCCTCTGAAGGAACGGGGAGCTTTCAGGGAGGGTGAGGATGTAGGAAAGGGGTCCAAGGAATGGGTGTGACCAGAAAGGGCAGCTGAGAAGGCAGGCGCTGGCGGGAGAGGCTCAAGTGCATGTGGCCTGTCTCCCAGCTCTTCTTTGAGCACACAGCTCCTCCTAAGGGCTCAGTGGGGCTGGTAAGTGCTCAGAAATCTGGCATCTGTCTCCCTATAGAAAGCAGCCTTCCAGCCTCAGGCTGCAGTGTTGGGAAGGTGACCTTTAAGCTGGGGTCCCAGGCACGTCCCTCCATGCAGTGGTGCACTGTGAAACCAGCTCTCTCCAGACAGCGGTGCTGGCTGTAGCATCCGTCAACCCTTCAGTGACCAACATGAACCCCGAGGTGGGAGGAGATGTGGGAAATGGATGTCGTGACCCATGTCAGCAGTACCATCAGGCCTTCCTCACCTCTCTGGGCCTTCATTGATCATTTCTGAGATGCGGGTGGCGCTCAGAGACCCCAAAGTTATCTTTGGGCTCTAAATGTCTACTCTTCCTTCCTTGGGGGAGGAAGCCTCCCACCCAGGTCAGCCTTAGGAAACTCCTAGGCGTCTCTCACTCCTTTGAGAGCCTGCCTGTTAGTCTGCTGGGACTCCCCCACAAGGCCCCAAATTCTTAAGGCTCATCCCAATCACGTGTGGATTGAACCCAGGAAGTTTCGCTTGTGGCTTAAAGGCCATGGCATGGAGGTCTGCACTGTGCTGGAGCACAGGTGTGTGCTCTGTGCCTTGAGGCTGGGGTGCAGAGTGGGCCCCTCATGGGGAGGGGCTTCAGCTGCTCACCCAGCACCTGCCTCTCCACCAGGTGCCGGCATCCTCCTGTGCTCCAGGGACTCCCATAAAATTACAAAATCTCTGTGTTTGTGAAAACAGCAGAAGAGAAAGGCCCTTGCTCTGCTGGTTTCCAAAGAGGAAGGCCTAGTGCTTGGCCAGAGAGGAGACTTTGGGATCCGAAAGGGTAGCATGTCCGAACAGAGTGACCCCTCATAAGCTCTGGGCAGCAGGGGCTCTCATTCTGTCACTTGGGCCCTCCATATATAGGTTGTTGTTTTTTCCCCCAGCCTCTTAATTGCAAGCGAGGCTTGGGTTCACTGTTGAATCTTCGCACCGCTCTTTGTTTCCTGGATTTAAATACCTCTATGCTGACAACTCCCAAATACCCGTCTCCAGCCCAGACCTCTCTCCTGAACTCTTGGCTTGTATACGCAACCTCTACCTGGTATCTCGAACCGACCCTCCTTTCCCTCCACAACCTCCTGCTGCAGCCCTCCATCCGTCAATGGCAACGCCATCATCTTTTGGGTTGCTCACGCCAAAACCTTGACTTTCTCTCACATCCCACAGCCAATCAGTTAGCACATCCTACTGGCTCCACCTCTGAATTACACCAGAGGTGGCCACCTCTTTCCCTTTGGTGGTGATGCCACCACCCTCTCCCGGCTACCTCATTCTAGCCTGAGTGATTGCAGCAGGTTCCCATCCGACTTCCCTGCTCCTTTTCCTTCACCCCTACAGTCTGTTCTGATCACAGGAACCAGAGTGGTCCTGCTGAAACCTAAGTCAAATAATGTCTCTCCTCTGCTTAAAGCCCTCTTAGGGTTCCCACCTCAGAGCAAAAGCCACGCCCTCATGATGCCCCTCAAGGCCCGACAACATCTGGCCCCATTACCTCTCTGGTCTCATTTCTTCCTATGCTTCCCTTTGCTCAACTTTCCCCCAGCTGCAGGCCTTTTTGCTTCTCTGTGAACATCCCAGGCATGCTCCAACCTCAGTGCCTTTCCACTTGCTGTTTCCTCTGCCTGGAATGCTCTTCCCCAGATGTCACTTGACTCACCTTTGCCCTCCTTCAGGTTTTTGCCAACCTACAATTGCTGCCTTCACCCTGGCATTCCCCATCCTCCGGCTTGGTTTTATTTTTCTCCATAGCCCTTAGCACCTCCCAGTATACTAAGTCATCTACTTAGTCAGTTGGTTCATTGCCCGTGTCCTCCAACTGGAACGTACGTTCTACGGGGCAGGGATTTGCATCTGTTTGGTATCCCCAGCTCTTGGAACATGGCCGGCACACTGGAGGTACTCAAGAAATATTTCCTGCACGACCAATTAAAAAATCAGGATGTTTCACAAAGATTTGGATTTCTGCTTTTCTTTTCAAAATGGGCCCAGGTACTCCCAGGCTGGGATCTGGACACAGCTACTACTGGCAGGAGCTGAGTTGTGGCTGCGCAGTCCCCACTGCTCCTGATTCTTTCCTACACCATCTCCCACGAAGGCTCCTTGCCTGACCCTAGCTGGCGCCTTTGGATCTGGGATTCCCACTCTATAGTAATGAGTGAAAATGGACTTGAGAAGTTGCCCTCAAGGCCAAGGCAAACTCTGCTCTTCATCCAAGGAGAGGGCTGTGAATGGGTGACTATGAGATGTGCAGAGCAAGCCAGGCGCTCCCTTGGTGTGTGGGTTTGTGGTCCTGAGGGCGGGGGCTGTGTTCTGCACGCACTGTAAGGATGTGCTTCCCTCGTCTGCCCTGGGGCCCTTCCTCTGGGTATGCAACAGGGCATTTTTTAATCATGTTCTTAAAGGAGTCTGTGTCCCTCCAAGGCCACCAGCCCTTGTTCCCAGATTATAGGGTGTTCTCGCCACATCTCTGGGAATAAGAGGTGGGAGAAGATTATTTCCATCATTGTCATAGATGGGGAAACTGAGGCCCAGAGAGGACAAAATCACACAATGGTGAGGCCAAATGCCTTGAGACCTCCCTTCTTATCCTCCCCTGAGCGGGTGTGCAGGTGAGACCCTGTGGGTGGCATGCCCCAAGCCCCACTCACCCAGAGGGTCTCCATCCATGATGCTGTACTCCACCTGCCCGTTGGGTCCTGAGTCTCGGTCATGGGCCAGGAAGGTCCACACTCTGGGCCCCGGCTGGCCCTCAGTGACTTCAAATGGTCCCTCATAGTCCCGGGGGAAGGTAGGCACATTGTCGTTGATGTCATTCACATTCACAAGCACCTGAGATGGTGGAAAAGCTTAGCCAAGGCCTCACCCCAGCCAGCTTTGTGCTGGGCCTCAGTTCCTTCCTCTGTGAAATGGACCTGATAATTCTGCCTCATGAGGCCCATGCAGGAATCATATGGGAAGTCGGATATGGGTGGGGCTTTTAAGCTATGCATGTGGATGAGTTATCATTATTGCCAAAGCCTTTTATGGGCACAATCATCATATTAATAAAAATGCTATTGGCCAGACACAGTGGTTCACACTTGTAATCTCAGCACTTTGGGAGGCTGAGGCAGAGCCAGCCTGGGCAATATAGCAAGACCCCACCTCTACAAAAAATAAAAGAGTAATACATTAGCTGGGCATGGTGGTGCATGCCTGTAGTCCCAGCTACTTGGGAGGCTGAGGTGGGAGGATTGCTCTTGAGTCCAGGAGGTCGAGTCTGCAGTGAGCTGTGATCAAGCCACTACACTCCAGCCTGGATGATAGAGTGAAAACTTGTCTCAAAAAAATAATAATAGTACTGCCCATAAACTTCTATTTGTTGCTGCACTGTGGTTGTCTTACGTGGTTTCATTTACTCCTCTCACTCCTTAAAACATAGTTTGTATTGTCCTCCTTTCACAGATGAGGAAATGGAAGCAGGGAGGTTAAGCAACTTGCTCAGGGTCACACAGCTAGAAAGTGGAAGAGCAAGGACTTGAAACCCAGAGTTCATGGTTTTCCCATGAAGGAGAGGAGGGCAGGTATTGTCACTTGTCTGACAGATGTAGCCACACAGGGAAGTTCAGTGACCTCGTTAAAGTCACACAGCAAGTTTGAGTGAGTTGCTGAGATTAGGACAGGGGTCTTGGATTTAGGCATTTCCCTCAGACAATCTTCCCCTAACCCCTTCCCGCATCGGAGCTTTCTGGGTCCCATCCTTCGCCAACCTCCAAGCCCAAGTTGGGGCTGTGTCCCATGCACCCACCGTGGTGGTAGAGGTGAGGCGGTGGGATAAGATGGGGCACTGGTCTGTGGCAGTGACGATCAGGGTGTAGCGGCCGTGGCTGATCTCGTAGTCCAGCTCTTTGGCAGCAGTGATGACACCCTGGGGGACACAGGGAAGGGACAAGGATGGATCTAGGGGTGGTAGGTCTGCAGCACCCTCTGACCAATTTGGGAAGTAGGCCCTGACATTGGAGCTGTGATGGGGAACCACTGCCACCCCCTAGCCCAGGCTCCACTCCACCAAACTTTTCATCCTCCCACACTGAGTGCCCCCACAGTTTCCCCTAGACTGCATCTTTGCTCCATCCCCCTCCAGTGTCACTGAACTCCTTGCCAATCCCTGGATAGGTTTCGCCCCTTGTCTTGATCCTGCCATCAGCTGCTGACCATGTGTCTGTCGATGCGGAAGGTGTTGACGATGTTGCCTGCGACGATGGCATAGGTGACTGTGCCGTTGGGACCCTCATCCAGGTCCAGTGCCTGGATGGTGATGAGGCTGGTGTTGAGCGTGTCTGGGCCCTCATCCAGCAGCACCTCATAGTGGGGCTGCTGGAACATGGGCGCGTTATCATTCTCATCCACAATGGTCACGTACACGTGCGTGGTGGCCTGTGGAAAAGAGTGGGTCACGTCCTTGGTCAGGTGGCCAGAGGGACCAAGGTGGATCCAGATGGCTGTTCTCCTGGGCTGAACTCACTCCATGTGACTCAAACAGAAAGGGCAAGGAGAAGAAAGCAGGGGGTGGGTCACAGGCTGGTAGAGAGAGAAAGCTCAAAAACTCCACCAAAAGCCAAGTAAGGTAACTGCTCTGTCCAAGATGGCACTGGCACCACCACTCCTATGTCTGCGACCCCCAGCAGACATCACTAATCAATCACAGAACTGCTGAGGCCAGATGCAAACTTGGGATCCTTGTTAGCACAGTGGTCTAGTGATTAAGACTGGCATATGGGATGAACCCTGGTAGTCACCCCAGCTCAGAGCTTTACGAGGGCCTGTGTCTTATTGAGCCTATATGTCCTGCCAGACTACAAGAGGCAAGAATGTGAGGCACTCGGCCCAATGCCATATTTAACCTTCATCTATTGTTCATGTAAATGAAAGAAATACATATTTTCAGCATTTCCAGAAGGAGGACATTGGGTTTGTGGCAATTTCGTGGGCAGAACTTGTTGACCTGTGAAAAATAAGACTCACAGAACATAACTTCATTCCAAGAACAGCTTCTACAACATACTCTCCTGTGATCGGCCATCTCTGCCAATGCTTGAGTCAATTGGACCACAAGTAATATTCAGCTAATCAGAACTCGGCAATCAGCACTCAAGAATCAACTAGAAATGGTTCTTGCTCCTGCTTCCTGCCTTTCTCCACCTGGGAAGATGTCCCCTGTGGACTAACTGCCTTACCCTGGCTCCCTTGCTATCCAGCTTCCTGCTGGGTGTGGCCAATGGGAGGCCCTGGCTGAAGATGAAAGCAGTGGGGAGAAAGAGGCGGGGGTGTTTCTTCCACACTCCCTCCATTCCTCACTGCGGTTCTGCCCATGGCTGTGTTTCTCCTGCTTGGGGACAGGGGTCCCCCTTTCATAGCACCAGCTTTCACTGGGCTCCAGAACATCACTTCCTCTTCTTTCCCTTTGGACATGTGAGTGGTAGTGGCTTCCTGTGGTTGGTGCTAGTCTCTGGGTGCTTTACCAGCCTTCCTAAACAGTCCCTGTATTAAACTCTCTTCAGTTGAACCCTTTCTGAGTGTGCCATCTGTTTCCTGCCAGGACCCTAACTAATACAAATCATAATGAGTGACTAATATAAAATAATAAGGTGTTAATCACTGCAAAGGTGTCTGGGTAGAGAGAACGTGACTAGGCCATTGCCAGGCCAGAGAACAGAAAGCAGGTGGTACAGACAACTCAATGTAGGCAATTTGCATATGGTTTTTTCCTTGGGACTGGCTGGCTCTGGAGCTACCACTGGAAGAATGGACAGATGGGCAGGGGATCTGGACCCAAGAAGGCTGTCACTGCCCCTGAGGAGGCAATGATTCCTCTGATATGCAGCTCTGGATCTTGGGGGTGGAGGGCATTGGGTGTTTGCTGAAACGGTTTCCAAAGCAGATAGGGTTGGCAGCCTTGAAAAGGAGCTGCGTGGCCTTGGGCAGGTCACATCCCCTCTCTGGACCTTTTCTGTCTGTTTAATAAAGGACCTGGCTTGATTTCTAAAGTTGTTTCTAGCTCAGGGAGTTTGGGAGGTGAGTTTGGGAATGTGGGAAATGTCAGCATCCCCTCCCCAACAGGGAGGCTGGAATTCAGCCCCTTTCCTGCAATGTGGTGCTCTTGTATTCTTGCCGGCAAGTAAGGGGACTCAGGAAGGCTCAAGGCTGGGCCCCTCACCAGTAGAGAGTACTCACAGCTGCCTCCAGGCCCTGCAGAGCCACAAGATGGACATGGTGGCTTTCCTTGACAGTCATCTTTATTCGAATATTTGGGGCCTTCACCACTATTTTTAATGAAAACAAGCACAAACACATGATGGAGTGTGCAGGCTGCAGGGGCTGGGAGTGGAGAGTTTGAACAGAGTTGGGCCTTGGAGCCCCTCCTGCTCTGAGACCAGGTCTGGGCTTGGGGAGGGAAGGTGGGTTTGACTTCCTCTGGTCTCGGAGGGAGGAGAAAGTCAGTGCTCCAAAGGCCCTCTCAGCTGAGCCCTTCCTGTCCTGCCCTGGTGTTGAGGAAACAGTGCTTGAGGTTTCTGGACCATGGTCCTTGGGCAATGCCTGTGTCTCACCCTGATGCAACCCCAGGAGGCTCAGTGGTGGGCAGTGTGGTAGGGAGAAAGGAAGTGAAAAGGGGGGAGGGAACTGGGCCCAGCTCAGAGGCTCTATCCCCCTGGGGAAGGGGTTGGCAGGGCAATTGCTCCCCTTTCTCTAATTCCAGGCCCTCCCCGGCTGCTAGGCCCTGGGGAAGAGGGAGTCTGGTTTCAAGGGTGTCCTGAGCAAAGCCAGTCCAGGAAGGGTTGAGATGGGGTGGTGCTCTAGGATCTTGCCCTTAAGGGACCCCCCTCACTTGCCAGAGGATGTCAGGGTGAGAAGGGCCCGGTGTCCACCTGATCTCAGTTGGCTTTGTACCTCCCCTGGTGGAAGGGAGCTCATGCTATGCCAGCAGGAAGGGCCCTGGGCTGCCTTCCAAGGTGGGGTCACAAGGCCAGGAGCATGCCCAAGGACCTGGGTTATGTCCTGCCAGCCTCTGGGGCTCCCATCCTGGGGAGTTCACTGGCTCCAGGGGGACTGGGCCTGCACAAGTTCACTTAGTAATAACATGATGCCTCAGCCTTCCTCTGTTGTAGCCTTCCCTGCCCTTAGAGCAAGGGCTAAGGGCCTCCAGAGAGCCCGTGACTTGGATCAGGCCACCCACAAGGCCCCCAGGACTCCTGGCTCCCATTGAGTCCTGATACCCTGGTTCCTGACCCAGTCAGACTCTGAGTGTCCTCTGCCTCTCAGCCTAGGAGTCACCTATTAACCCAAGATCCCTAAAGTGCCAGAAAAACCCCTGGAAGCTTCAGCTAGACTGGGGTAAACTGAGTAAAATGGCTGTGCTCTTCCACTCCTGTGATCCCTGGTCCTGGCCACGATCACCTCTGCTCCTCCATCACACAATCACTCACTCACTCATTGGTTTGTCCATTCAGATAAAAGTGCAGTAAAACCTTCTCCACGCCCAGCTTTGTGCTAGGGTCTCAGAAACATCAGAGAGAGGTTTGTAGTTTCGCTCTGGAGGGCAGAACAGCCGGAAGAAGAACCAACTGCTGGTTATCTCAGGCTGGAGGTGGTAGCTGAAGGGGGTGTGGACAGTAAGGATTTGCCGGGAAAAAGGAAGGGTCAGGACATTTCGTGAAGTGGGAGGACTTGAGCTGAGCCCTGAGGGATGAGAAGAATTAGGAGGGGAGAGACATTCCAGTGGTGCCAGCAGTGCTGGGTGTGGGTGCAAGAGCAGAGGCACTAGAAGTTAGGGTGCATCAGAGTGTCCTGCAGATATCCAGGCACCAGGGAGGGAGGGCGGGTGCACAGCCAGGCGGACAGCTGAGGCCTCTGCCGGAGGGGAGCTTGCAGGATGTGCTGTGGGGCACGCCAACAGGTGTTGCCTGCATATCTGTGTGTGTCCCGGGGTAGGGATGTGCTGATCTTGGCGTGTAGTCCTGCACCTGTTCTGTGTGTGTGTGTGTGTGTGTGTGTGTGTGTGTGTGTGCGCGCGCGCATGCACTCAGGGTGCCTCAGGCTCTGAATCTACAGTTAAACTGGCTCCAGCTTGCCTAGCTCTTCACAATGTCAGATTTCATTCATTCACTCATTTACTCACTCATTCCACAGCTGGGAGTGCCTACCACATACCAAGCCCTGGTCTGGCTGGAGGATGTAGGGTACAAGTCTCTGTCCCCAGATCACTCAAAGGCTGGTGGCTGAGGGCAGATGCAAGCCATGGTAACGTCTATCACGCTGTTAGAGGTAGATCTACTTCTTAGGCTGCGCAGCAATAATAATTTCTCTCCAAAAGGACTGGGGGACGGTAGAACGGGCTTTAAACTGCCGATCAAGTGGAGCTGACTCGCTGGGACGCACGCTGGCTCCCCACCCACGGGGCCGGCCTCC
This sequence comes from Homo sapiens, assembly GCF_000001405.40. NCBI lineage: Eukaryota > Metazoa > Chordata > Mammalia > Primates > Hominidae > Homo > Homo sapiens. Next base: position 71,773,650 of record NC_000010.11, on the reverse strand, counting down.
GGGAAGCCCCTCCCACGCGGCCCTCGGAGAGGCAGTTCCCCCACACGGCCCCCCGGGGGCGCTGCGCGAAGGGGGCGGGTGCCTGGAGCACGGCGCTGGGGCCGCCCGCAGCGCTCACTCGCTCGCACTCAGTCGCGGGAGGCTTCCCCGCGCCGGCCGCGTCCCGCCCGCTCCCCGGCACCAGAAGTTCCTCTGCGCGTCCGACGGCGACATGGGCGTCCCCACGGCCCTGGAGGCCGGCAGCTGGCGCTGGGGATCCCTGCTCTTCGCTCTCTTCCTGGCTGCGTCCCTAGGTAAGGTCGGGGGAGGCGGGGCGCTGGGAAAAAGCTGGGAGAAGACAGCAGACTGGAGTGGGAACTGTGGGATGGGGGCGTCCTGGGGGCCCTCTCAGCCTGTGTGACCGTGCACCCCACTCCACCCACCGCCCAGAGGCTGCTGGGACCCCTAGGCAGGGTGCAGTGGCAACTGTGCCAAGTGCCCCAGCTAGGCATCGGGCACATCTGCATGCTCTGACAGCTGCCCAAGTGGCAGGCAGGGCTGTCCCCTGAGGGCTGCCTGTCCAGCCCTTCCCTGCCCAGAGAACCCAGGGCACAGGTAGCTTCTGCAAAGAAGGAGAGGCACAGGGTGGGGGCGGTCAGTGTGTTCTGGTGGATATCACTGGCTTTTGACAGCTGGCATCTTTCTGCCCCTCTAGTCTCAGGGCTCTAGTGTTGCAGAGGACACAGAGGGCGTGGTATGCTCAGCCAGTGCCCCATGCCCTGGTGAAACCCCTGGCTGAGCCTTGGTGGGCACTGGGCACTGGTCACGGTGGGTCCACTTTCAGACACAGAGGCAGCACTGCCCACCTGGTCCCTATTCTAAGGGTCTGATGGCCCAGGAATAAGTGGTCAGCTGATTCCTGCCATCCTAGCAAGGCTGCCACTCAGGGACCAGTGTGGAGTACTGGGGAGGATGTGGGACACTCTTCAGCTCAGCTATGAGCCCCTTCTGGGTCCCTGGATAAATTACGGCATCTCTCTGGCCTCAGTTTCCTCAGCTCAAACACAGAAGCCCACACAGGGAAGCACCATTTTCCCCTTCCAAAGTCCAGACTGTCAGCATGTTCAGATAGTATCCTGGCCCCAACACAGGGGCTCCCGGGCTGGGGGCAGAGGCCCTGGTACCCATGGCCTGGTTGCCTAGTTCTTGCCTGCCCAGAGCTGAAGAGGCTGGATCTCTTCAAAGAGCCTGTGGAACCAAACTTTATAGGGAGGGCCCAGGGAAAGTATGAGTCATGCAGGGACTCGGAGGGAGGCAGGAGGGAGGTGGAGGGCTTGGCACAGGGACCCAGTGGGCAGGATGGAATAGAAGGAGAGGGTGATAGGATAAGAGGGAGAGGAGGAGGCTGAACCTGGAAGATACCTTAGCAACCTGGGTGCCCACAGGCAGCTGGCTATCTCAGCACTTGGAGGCTGGCCTGGGCCTCTGAGGAGGAGGAGGGCTCCACATGTCACAGACACAGCTGCCCTAAGCCCCAGGGTGGATGCTTCTCAAGGTGACAGTCAGAGGGAGGAGGAGAATGGGAGGTGGAATGGACAGTCTCAGCACCAAGGCCATGGCTCATGGCAGGGCATGGCTTCCAGAAGGAACAGAGGATGGTGGCAGGCAGGCAAGCCAGCATCCCACCTGTCATGGGCCACCTGCCCTGCACTGCCCTCCCTGGTGGCCCTGTGAGACCCTTCCTGCTTTCTTGCCCACTTCCTGCCCTCACTTGGCTGGGCTGCCCTCTGTTCAGCAGCCCCAATTTGAGAAACATTTCTAGAGATCCAGGGCACAGGGACCCAGCTTGCAGAGCACCCAGTAGCAGAGAGGCCCCAAGAGGAGCTCAGGACGCCTTCCCCTATATTGCTTATATGGCCAGGGGCCTTTACTCCCAGAGGTCTTGGCTACTCAAACAACATGGTATACTAAAGGGTCATCTCTTCCTGGGCCCAGCACAGGGAGATGATTTAGGCTGGCTGCAGCTTTCCACTGAAAGGAGCCAGAAGCATTTGAATTGCTCTGGGACCTCAGGATTCTGAACTGTGACATGGACACACTATAATAGATATTCACCCAACTCCCTAGGACAGTGTGCACTGAGGGAGATAGCAGATGGGAGGCCTGGTTGCAGGCATGGTCAGCAGGATCTGTAAGTTGAGAAGATTGATCACCAGCCTGCCGAGGTGCTGGGTTGCCCTGGGTATGTTGCCCAAGGTCAAAGCCTTTATGCCAGGGAAAGTGAGATAGAGTGGCCGGGGCCAGCCTGTTCTCCAGCTCTTGGGGTTGGGCCAGCACTGAGGAGAATGGTAGTGATGAATGTGGTGTTCAGAAGCCCAGGAAACACCAAAGATACCCCTTTCCTGGGCCTGACTCAGGGTGAGATGGGTGGAGAGGTACACTTAGGGACCAGGACCCAGCAGATCTCAAGGGTAGCAGAGCCTCTTCTTCCCCACAGACATTCCCAGGACCCGAGGCAGTTACTGTCCTTGCCCTGTCCTCACAGGCTGACTCAGGACTCCCAACCTCTGGGACTAGCACATTTAAGTGCACTGGGGCTAGGGACGAGAGACCCCATCTTCTCCTTCATAGCAAACCAGGCTGCAGGGCCTTGTTGAGTAACCCAGTGCTGCAAGCCTCTGACGCAGCAATGGTCAGCTCTTAGGAAATCCACAACCCACTGCCCAGAGGCTCTGGAGTAGAGAGGAACAGCCTTGAGGCCAGTCCCTGGCATGAGGGGTCATCTACCCAATGCCAGGGACACCCAAGGGCCAGCAATACTGGGAGTCCCTTGCTGAGCTGTACTAGTTGTTCATGCTTCCACCCAAGCAGGGCAAAGGTTCCGCTGGGGTCTGACCTTCCTGGGAGAGGGTGGTCCAGGCAGGAGTGTGCTGCTGAGACGCTAAAGGGGTCACCTCCCTATCCGCACACAGTGTATGGGGTGTTAGGCCTGAGCAGATGAAAGGAAGAAAGGGATCCTCAAGGAGAACCCGTTGGCAGTGAGCGAGCCCCACATACCAAACTTGAGGCCCCAGGCTTTAGCCAACCAATGACCCAGGGTCAGTCTGGTCTCCCAGGGGAGGGTGGGCCAGGGATCAGCACTGTGGCTTCCAGTGGCCCCACAGATGCCCTTAGCTGCAGTCCCAGCATGCCTGTATATGGCAAAGCCAGGGACATGCATGCCAGGGCTTCCGTACAGCCCCTTGCTTAACTCTTGGGCTTTGTGAGTCACTCAGACCTAGGCTTAAATCCCAAGATGGCCATTTACTGCTCTGTGATATTGGACAAGTTATTCAGTCTCCCTGAGCAAGTTCCCCTCCCTCTAAAGTGGGAAGATGATACCACCTCCCTTGGAGGGCAACTGTGAAGAGCCAATGAACGAACACTTAACACAGCACCCGGCTCCTCGTGAATACTGTGTAATATTATGGTATTTCTTGGCTTCTGCAGGCCACATGCCATTGGCTTTCTATCTAAGCTGCTTGCTCTCTACAGGGCCTAATGGAGTGCCCAGGGCCTGGGAAGGCATTGGTGAGCTTCACTGGGACTAGATTCTCCAAAGCCTGGAGTATGAAGGGTGCATGGGCTGCGTCCAGCTACCTGTGAGCCCCTGTAGGCCCTCACAGTCTGAAATGCCCATGGAGGTGCCTACAGGTTCTCTTCTTAAAGTTGTCAGGAGATGGGGACATTGCAACTTGAAGGCAAGCCTGGCCCTGGGTTTGCTTATCTTGGTGGATCTTTCTTACATCTGATCTTTTTACATTCGGTCCATTCACTTTGGCTGGCCATCACCAAAGACAAAGACAGTGGCCACCATCTTTCTCATCAGTAATCCAATAATGAGGTTGCTCTGCTACTTACCAAGCCAAGCAAGCCCATTCCTTTAGCCTTTCTGCGTAGGATCTTATTTCCCATGGGGACCTGGGGTCAAACCCTGCCTCTGCTGTTCACTCATCATGGGAACACAAACACACACTTCCCCTTTGTCTGTGCAATGGACAGGTTGGGTGACGTGGTCTCAGTGAGGCTGACCACCCTCCTCTGAAGGTTAATTCCATGATGGTGTTTCCCTAGCTTCAGTCATTTGCTTATCACCTTTGTGATCTCTGCAGTGTCTGCCTTTCATAATATTTACTTATTTTTTTCTTTAAATCTACTCATTCTTTTATTTGAGTATGTAGATCTTTAAAAGGAAACTTTTTATCGCTGTCATTAGTGGAAAGCCAGTATCACTTGTCATAAATAGAACAAAACCATAAAAGAACGTAACAGGAAAACCATATAAGGGTATTGAATTCTAGTTGGAAACTTTAGCCTGGGAAGGCTCGGAGTCTGAAAACTGCTGCTTTCCCTTGCAAAAAATTAAAATAAAATAAAATTTAAAAAGAAAAGGAGATTAGCAAATGTTTTAGAGACATATTAGCATCAAACTGAGACTTTCTCTTTGATGTAATCAGGACTGAAATAATTGTAAAGGGAATAACCTCTTCTATATATGATTCAATGTTATTTAATGTAAAACCAAAAGTAAAACTATGTGGTAGACGTGGCCAGGCAAGCTGGGCTTTCATTGGTCATGACATTTGTCCGTCTTCAAGAAGGAGGTGGGGCCTCCAGTCAGTCCCCAGCTACCTCTATTCTCTAGAGAGTAGTCAGATGGCACCAGACCTCCAGAGGCTGACTACCTGGGTTCAGATCCTGACACCATCACTTATTAGTTGTGAGGCTGTGGGCAAGATACTAATCTCTCTGTGCTTCCGTTTTCTCATCTGTAAAATGGAGATGATACTAGTACCTACCTCATAGGGTGGAAGGATTACATAAACTAATCTATGTAAAAGTGTTTAGAATGAGGCCGAGCACAGTGGCTCATGCCTGTAATCCCAGCACTTTGGGAGGCTGAGGTGGGAGGATCTCTTGAAGCCAGGAGTTTCAAGCCAGGGGACCAGCCTGGACAACATAACGAGACCCCATCACTATGAAAAATTTAAAAATTAGCTGGGCATAGTGGCATGTGTCTGTAGTCCTAGTTGGGAGGCAGGGGTGGGAGGATAACTTGAGCCCATGAGTTCGAGGTTACAGTGGGCTATGATCTCATTGTCACTGCATTCCAGCCTGAGTGAAGAGCAAGACCCTAGCTCACTAAAGAAAACCAACCAAACGGCCAGGCACAGTGGCTCACTCCTGTAATCCCAGCACTTGGGGAGGACGAGGCGGGTGGATCACATGAGGTCAGGAGTTCAAGACCAGCCTGGCCAACGTGGTGAAACCCCGTCTCTACTAAAAATACAAAAATTAGCCAGGCGTGGTGGCGGGTGCCTGTAGTCCCAGCTACTCGGGAGGCTGAGGCAGGAGAGTTGCTTCAACCTGGGAGGCGGAGGTTGCAGTGAGCTGAGATTGCACCACTGAACTCCAGCCTGGGCAACAGAGCGAGACTCCATCTCAAACAACAACAACAACAACAACAGCAACAAAGCCAACCAAACAAACAAGCACTTAGAATGATGCCTGGCACAGAGTAGTAGGGGGCAAAAAGACTTGAGCTGGACCCTGAGGACGTCTTCACAGCATAGAAGCGTGAGGGTGGCTGGCTGGAGCCGGGAGCCTGAGCTGCACACAGTCCTCCTCCAAAAGGGCCTGGGGAGTCTGGGAGGGGTTCATCCACAGAAGCATCCACGGGCCGGGACCTCTGGCCAGCTGCCTAGGCCCTCCCTGGGGAGGCATGCTAGCCTCCAGCTCCAGCCCCGGATGCACGGAGGCTTTCCCAAGGTGCTGGAAGTGCCGCTTCCTTCAATAGAGCCTGGCTTCCCCTTCCCAGCCCCCTTGGTCTGATGTGAATGGACACTTCCTGCGGGGGCAGGTATCAATAAACACATCTGAGATGCCCTTTGTCCTCACTGGCCAGAAAGCCCCAGGGCAGACTTGCTGGCTTCAGGCCCTGAGCCTATGCCTTGTGACGCTTCCTTTCTTAGCCTTGGCAGCCCCAGTCCTGATTGATCCATGCCTCTGTTTCCCTCTGCATCTTGATAAAGACAGAACATAGTCTTTTCCTACAGCCCCAGCCCCAGCCTGTGGACCATCCTGGGGGATGGGGCCTGGCGGGGAGCTGGAACCAGGTCCCATTCTCTTTGGGATGTCCTGTGAGACCAAGGACGGGACCTTTTGCATCTAGTGCAGGGCCAGCCACAGCAGGCAATTAATAACTGTTTACTTGACAACCTCTAGCAGCTGGTCAGAGTTCAGCTGTTTGGGTGGGGCTTCCTAGGCCCGACTAACCAAGCTTGGGTCCCACCTCCAAAGGCTAGGGCGTTGCCTTGGCGACTGTGGGCTAAGCTCACGCCCTGTCATGAAAAATACACAGGCCTGTCCACACCCACACACACCCATCCCGTGCACACTCACAGGGGTCACCCGGGGCCTGCTGGGTGGAGAGAGGTGAAGGTCACAAAAACTGGCATTCTGAGAAGATGCCAACAAGAGCTCCTTTCCCTTGTACTGGGACAGAAACATCTGAGGGTGCCACAGCTAGAAATCTCAGGCACAGGTCCAGGCCCAAGTTCTGAGCAGATGCCCCTGATGGAACTCTGCATCCCCACAGCCTCCCTGCCTGGGCCTGGCCCATGTTAGGACCTTGGTAAATATTTGTGGAATGAAAGAATGATGTTTTCAGCTTGGGTCTGAGGCAGAGCAGGAATGTTGCACGGAGGGCGTGGAGGTCAATGCACGGTCAGTTCATTTTTTCTAAATAGCTGAAGGATGAGGCATCAGCCCCGCCTGCCCACTGGAGGGTTCTGGAGAGGTGGGTGGCTCTTCCTGTCTGCAGTGCTGGCCTGTCCAAGGTGTGAATCTCAGCTCAGTCACACAGCACTGTGTGGCCTTGGGCAAGTCACTTCTCTGAGTCTGTTTCCTCATCTTTAAAATAGGGATGATACCACCCATGTTGGGGGTGTTATGAGAACTAAATGTGACAGGTATAAGATGCTCAGCAAGAGCCTAGCACATAATACATGGTCATAAGACAGCTCTTCCCTCCTGCCCACAGGATTTTAGAGCTGGCAGCCCTCAGGTTAAGATGAAGAAACGGAGGCTCAGAGAAGGGTGGGATCTGCCCAAGGGCACACAATGAGGGCACAACTAAGTGGACACTGAGGCCCCAGGACGTTGCAATCCAAGCGAGAGTTTTACTCCTGAGACTCAGGCTTTCCCAGGTTCACGGCACTCTTCCTCTAGGTGGCCCTGCCTCCTTACCTGGTGGCAGGTGGCGGGTGGCGGGCGGGGGGCCTGGGTCTTGACAGCAGCACGGCAACTGGACGGTTCCCGCCTGGCACATGCTCAGGCCCAGGCCCCGGGTCATTTTCCTGTCCCACATGCTTTTGGCCACCCTGGAGCCAGGGGCTTTCCTCCCCACCCACTTTTCCCGGTCTCCGACAATGACCCAGGTGTCCAAAAGGATCTGCTCCTGACAATAAGCAACATCCTCTCGCCAAAGAATTGTAATTTTAGCCGGGCTGCACAGCTTCCCTGACAACACACAGGCATGTGCACAGATGTGGAGTCCGCGGGGCACGTGCAGGCCCCTCTGCGTGCTGTGCGCTGCCCCTCTCCCCCATGCCATGCCTTCGAGTGTCCTCCTAACGACAGGCTGCTGTGGGCCTTGTCCCAGCTGGAGTCTCAGACACAGTAAATGGGGTGTTTTCTGGCCTTCCCTCCCTCCCCAGGACAAACCCCTGTGGACCCTTGGTTTGTCCTGTCCCTCTGGCTTGTCCTGGACCCTCTCCTGTCTGGCCCTCTTGCTTGAAAACTGAACATCCTCCCCTGCTCCCCAAACTTGAATCCTAAGACAGCTTTTTTCTAAAAGGGGAACAACTCCTTTGGGACCTGTGGGATGGGTGGCCAGTGTGTGAGGGGTGGGGAGGTGTGGGGGATTGAGCAATGCCCCCTCTCCCGTACTCCCTGAACTCTGCTTTCTCTCTGATGCACCCACCCGCCGTGCATCTCAAGGAAGTTGCCTCCAGGGGAGAACATCCCTTCCCTACTGCTGCGGGTGCTATGGGTACAATCCTGGGGTCATTAACCCCATTGCTTAGACCCTGAGGGCTCCCAGCCTGGTGCCCTGCCCCACCTTGTTCACAGGGACACTCAGGCCAACAACCACGCTAGCCCCACTTGTCCACACCTCTGTCCACTTGAGGGCCCCCAACCCCACCCAGCTCAGCTTTGCGCATCTTGCTTTGGCTGCCAGCTCTACTCTGCCTGCCCTGCCATACCCTCCTCTGGCCTGCAGCCCCGTGTCTGCTGAGCCAGCCCTTTGGCCAGCCCCCAAGGTATGTGTGCTGGTGGTAAATACTACCGTAGCTGAAGCTGGAGCTGAATTCAGCTCCCAGCCCTGGGGTGGCTCTGGGGTAGGAGGTGATGTCAGGCAAAGGGAGAAAGGGGCAGAAGCTGGGAGAGGTGCTGGTGGGACCTGCCACATGGCCTGCTGGGGAAGGGGGCAGCACAGGGCCCCCTTGGGGCAGGTTTTGTTTCTTCCTGGGAGTACGTGGGAGAGCCCTTTCCCTAGGTCCTCCTCACTTCTGTTTCCCGGCAGAGCCATAGTTTTGCAGCTACACCCACCCCACTCAGGTGTGAAGGGGAAGTCCAGGCCAGCACGGACAAAACCAGGGGCACAGCCAAGCTTCCTGGGGCTCCTTTTCCACTGAGCCTGCTGCAGGGGTAAGGGCAGTGGGTTAGCAGAGGAGAGTTGGCTAGTCCCTGCACTGCCAGGCTTTCCCTGGGGACCCTGGGTGGATCATCTCCTCTCTTGAGTCTGTGGGTCAGATTTGTAGCATAATGGGTTTGGGCAGTAGAGTCCCATGCCAGCTAGCCCAAGAAGCCACACTCATTCATCACAAACTCAAATGTCCACAGGACCAAGAAACCACGGTGAGAGAGTGAAGCAGGCCAGGTGGAATTATTAGGGAGTAGTACGGACGGACTCTGGCGAACTGGAGTGCCGGTGCCCCCCAAAAGCTGCTACTGAGCCCCAGCTGACAGTTGCCCTGTGGGAAAGCTGGTTTAGCATTATCTTCTGATTTTCTAAGGAGAGCTGGAAGTCAGAATTTTCATGTCAAATTCCTGGTTTTTAAATGTTGCCATCTCAAGAAAATTAAAAAGATTTTGAGGATCCAATGAAATATGTGTGAAGGCTGGATGTGGCCTGTGGGCTCCCAGTTTCTGGCCTTTTTTTTCATCAGTATAGTGTCTATGTGTCTGAGTTTAATTCTAGCTCTAGCACTTGCTTGCTGTGTGATCATCAGTGAGTTACGTAAGTTCTCTGTGCCTTAGTTTCTTCATCAGTGCAATGGGAATAAAAACAATACCTTATGGCATTGTTAGATATGCCCATGAAACCCTTAGCGTAGTGCACAACACATGCTGTGTCTTCTTATTACGGTTCTGCCTAGATCCTGCGTTACCTGAAGTCCCCCATGCTCCAGGCTTTGAGATCATACCCTCTGGAACTTTGGAACTTCAGTCCAACCACTTTCCCTTTCTGGGTCTCTGTGTTTCTGCCTGAAAAGGAGACCTGTATCTTGCCAAAGAAGTTCTGAAATCTCTGCTCACCCTGACAATGACTCCAAAAATCTGGGGCTCCCAGACTTGGCTCTCTGCCTAAAACTCCACTCTTGCAGACATGCCGTTTGGGGCTTTGGTGCCTTTGGAGACTCTCCTTTAAACACAAGCGCCCCAGGATCGGATCACAAGTTGTTATCAGTCATTCACACCTTAGCAGGAAAGACTTTAAAGCTGGCTTCTCCATCCCACTGTGCTTCTCACTCCTAGGAGGCACTTCTTGACTTGCTGAATGAATTAGAGACCTGTCTAGCTCCCAAGTACCAAGCGCCGACTACTCGCATGGCACTTACAGAACACTTCATGTGAATTATTACTAACCGTTGCCTCAACTCTGCCAGGGAGATGTTTTCATTTCTGGGAAAAACATCTGTGAGTGAGGAGTCGGGGCTCAGCGTCTAAGTGGCTCACAGCTACTGGTCCAGTACAGGCTGGCCAGCTCCAGAAGCCCCACCAGGCTGCCTCCCTCCTGGCTGGGCAAGGCTTTCAGCTCTTCCAGTGGGTCCCAGCCTGCCGCCGAGGGTCCTGGGCTCTAAGGGCAGGGAAGGGGCATCTGAAGGAGGATGTGGCATTATATTGGTTCTGGGCAATGCCCCTGGCTGGGGCAATGAAAAGGATGTATCAGTTTGGATTCTGTACATAGTTCTAACCCTCCTTCCCTCTCTGCTAGACCCACAACAGCCTGACATGCCATTTAAAATAAAAATACCACTGGCCGGGCGTAGTGGGTCACACTTGTAATCCCAAGACTTTGAGAGGCCAAGGCAGGAGAATTGCTTGAAGCCAGGAGTTCAAGGTCAGCCTGGGCAACAGAGGGAGACTCCGTCTCAAAAACAAATAAATAAATAAAAATAACACCAACGCATAATAATTATAGCTATCCCTCAGATGTCTGCAGAGGGCATTAGAGCTCACATCTTGTGTTCTCATCTTTCCCTCATCTAGTCCTTTTGCAACCCTGCATTGTAGCCAATAGTTTTCTCACTGCACAGAGGAGGAAACTGAGGCTCATACAGTTAGATAGAAACGCGGCCTCTATCCAATATTCTGTTTTCAAAAGCTCATGGTTTTGAGGGTCAACCCAATTAAATGCTGGAGGATTGGGATAAGGCAAAGTGGACCAGGGAATTGCTTCATTTGCTTGGTGAAAAAAACCAAACAGAACTAGACAGTTTTCTAAGTTTGGCTGGAAGGACGTGCATGGATGAGATGACCTTTCATATACTCTCTGTCCCGGTCCCTCAGACACTGGGTTTTCCCATTTTCACACTATCTTGCCTAGGACACCCTTTCTACTGGCTGAAATCCTATCTATGCACCAAGTCCAAAGACTCTCCCTCCTTCAGGAAGTCCCTGACTGTCCCCAGAAGGCTGTTTCCTCCCTCCTCCAAGTGCCCTGAGGGCTGGCATTGGATTGCCTTTGCCATGGGGTTCTGCTGTCGGGAATGCAGGCCTCGTCTGCTCAAGGGGAGGCCATGCATTCAGCATGCAGGTGAGATGCAGCACCTGGCCCAGGCCTTGCACACGCAGGTGCTCTCTTAGTGCTCCCTGGCAAGGATGGGAAGGCATGTTCAGTCCTAGGAGTAGGAAGGGGCAGAGGTGTTGATGGCCCCTACAGAGCGGCCAAGGACAAGGAGCTGCTGTTCGAAACAGCCTTCCTGCTCCCCAACCTGCCTCCCACCCAACAGGTTTTGCATATACTCTACTGGGAAGAGGGACACACCCGACTGCATCACTGCCCTCCAAGTCTCTCCCTGCCCTGTCCAGCATCCAGGAGCACCCCTAGTTGGGGAAGCTTCTGTGACTCCCCCTACAACAGCCTAGGATGGAGTGGGGTTTGTGAACAAATGCAGAAGGCAGTCTTAGGGAGGTCAGCTGACATGCCCCTGGCCTGTGGCTGGGAAGTAGCAGAGGCTAAGGTTCTTCCCCGCTCTGGGGTTGCCAGGAGTAGCACTGGATCAGTCAGGTGACAGGGCTCTCCTCTCTCTGAGCAGGTCCGGTGGCAGCCTTCAAGGTCGCCACGCCGTATTCCCTGTATGTCTGTCCCGAGGGGCAGAACGTCACCCTCACCTGCAGGCTCTTGGGCCCTGTGGACAAAGGGCACGATGTGACCTTCTACAAGACGTGGTACCGCAGCTCGAGGGGCGAGGTGCAGACCTGCTCAGAGCGCCGGCCCATCCGCAACCTCACGTTCCAGGACCTTCACCTGCACCATGGAGGCCACCAGGCTGCCAACACCAGCCACGACCTGGCTCAGCGCCACGGGCTGGAGTCGGCCTCCGACCACCATGGCAACTTCTCCATCACCATGCGCAACCTGACCCTGCTGGATAGCGGCCTCTACTGCTGCCTGGTGGTGGAGATCAGGCACCACCACTCGGAGCACAGGGTCCATGGTGCCATGGAGCTGCAGGTGCAGACAGGTGAGGGCATCCTGCACGTGACAGCCTGGCGTGTGTGGAGGGCTGCCTGTCTGATGGTGTGACCATTCATGACACTGTGCTGGGCAGAGTGTGAGGCTGCATGGGTAACACTGGCACTCCAGGGAGTGTGTGGGTGAGATGGGGTGGTCAAGGGTGTGTGGAGTGTGGGTTTGTAGTTAGCTGGAGTGATGGAGAGGGAGGGTGTACCTGGCTCCATTTGTGACAGTGAGACTTTTTAATGTGTGAGGCTGTAGGTACCTGGGCTGGGAGTGTGACTGCTCATGATGACATCATGGCTGCTGTGGGTATAGGCATCAGTGGGACTGATTGGTGCCCTGGGGCATGACTCAGTGGATGGCTGAATGGCTGTTGGAGAATATATGCGTGTGTGTGTCTGTCTGTTCAGGTGAGAGTGCAAGGGCCCATGGTTCGGATAGAGGTGTGGGCACCAGCGGGTATTCACATGCCCCTGGGAGTGGCATGAAAATGGGCAGGGTGAGAACATGCCAGGGTGTGTGTGGGTGCACACGTGTGCAGGCTGCCACTGGGCCAACACTGCCGAGTAGGCACTAGCGTGAGAACCTGGGGCAGGAGGGGGACACTGGCCTGGACAAGCCTCCCTGGCCTCCTGGGCCTGACACCCACCTAATGGCCCTTCTGTTTGTTCCCACAGGCAAAGATGCACCATCCAACTGTGTGGTGTACCCATCCTCCTCCCAGGATAGTGAAAGTAAGGGACCAACCTCTTGCCCCTTTTGGGTTCTCTGTTTTCTTCTGTCCTCATCCTGCACCCAGACCCTGTTTGGAACTCTGGCCTCATCACCCCAAGCCCTCAGAACCCCCCGGTCCTCCTCCTTTTCTGCTGCTGCACATCCCTTCTGCTTCCTCCTTGGTGCAATCCCCAGAAGCCCACTCTCCTTCCATCTGCTCTGGAGTCTCTGCTCCTCTTGACTCTCTGGAGTGGCTGTGCCTTGGCAGTGACCTTTGGCCAGGGCAAGTGCCTCATGACAGGTACTGGGTGCCCCAGGCAGCTAAGTGCCGCCCTGCCCACCAGCCCCCTATGGCTTGGGAAGGCTGGGGGTCCTCTTGGCCTAGAATTAAACTACTTCAGATTTCTGTGTTCTGTGTTTCTATGTTCTTCAGATGTTCTCTGTTGCAGGGGAGGGAGGAGGAAGAGGTTCAGGAAGGGGAACAGAACTACCTTTCCTGAGTTCCCACTGTGCTGGGCACTGGACTAAGTCTTTTTAAGTATTATTATCTCAGGGATATATATATATATATATGTGTGTGTATATACATATATATACACATATATACATACATATATATGTATATACATATATATACATACATATATATGTATATACATATATATACACATATATACACACATATATATGTATATACATATATATACACACATATATATGTATATACATATATATACACACATATATATGTATATACATATATATACACACATATATGTATGTATGTGTGTGTGTATATGTGTGTGTATATATATGTGTGTGTGTATATATATGTGTGTGTGTATATATGTGTGTGTGTGTATATATGTGTGTGTGTATATATATGTATGTGTGTGTGTATATATATGTGTGTGTGTATATATATGTGTGTGTATATATATGTGTGTGTGTATATATGTGTGTGTGTATATATGTGTGTGTGTATATATGTGTGTGTGTATATGTGTGTGTGTGTATATATATGTGTGTGTGTGTGTATATGTGTGTGTGTGTGTGTGTGTGTGTGTATATTTTCTGAAACACGGTTTCACTCTGTTACCCAGGCTGGAGTGCAGTGGCGCGATCTGGGCTCACTGCAACCTCCGCCTCCCGGATTCAAGCGATTCTTCTGCCTCAGCCTCCCGAGTAGCTAGGATGAGATTACAGGCGTGCACCACAATGCCTGGCTAATTTTTGTATTTTTAGTGGAGCTGGGGTTTCACCATGTTGGCCAGGCTGGTCTCAAACTACTGACAAATGATCTAACTGCCTCGGCCTCCCAAAGTGCTGGGATTACAGGTGTGAGTCACCACGCCTGGCCTCAGGAATTTTTTTTTTTTTTGAGAAAGACTCTCTCTCTGTCACTCAGGCTGGAATGCAGTGGTGCAATCACAGCTCACTGAAGCCTCAAACTTCCAGATGCAAGTGATCTTCCTGCTTCATTCTCCCAAGTAGCTGGGACTACAGGCACGCATCACCATGTCTGGTGAATTTTTAAAAATTATTTTTGGGGTTAGGTGCGGTGGCTCACGCCTGTAATCCCAGCACTTTAGGAGGTCAAGGCAGGCAGATCGCTTGAGGCCAGGAGTTCGAGACCAGCCTGGCCAACAGGGTGAAACCCCATCTCTACTAAAAACACAAAAATTAGCCAGGCATGGTGGTGCACGCCTGTAGTCCCAGCTACTCAAGAGGCTGAGGCAAGAGAATCGCTTGAACCCGGGAGTCAGAGGTTACAGTGAGCCGAGATCGCGCCACTGCACTCCAGCCTGCTGATAGAGCAAGACTCCATCTCAAAAAAAAAACAACCCAAAATTTGCCTGGCATGGTGGCAGGCATCTGTAATCCCAGCTACTCGGGAGGCTGAGACATGAGAGCTGCTTGAACCTGGGAGGCAGAAGTTGCAGTGAGCCGAGATCACACCACTGCACTCCAGCCTGGGTGACAGAGCGAGACTCTGTCCCAAAAAATCAAAAAAATCACTTTTGGTAGAGATGCACTCTCGCTATGTTGCCCAGGCTGGTCTTGAACTCCTGGGCTCAATTGATCTTCCCACCTTGACCTCCAAAGTGCTGGGATTACAGGTGTGAGCCACCATGCCTAGCCTCAGGGAATTCTTATAAGAACTCTATGAAGTAGGCATCACCATCTTCTCTGTATCCATGGAAAGAGAGGCCTAGAGATGTATGCTAACTTGCCCAAGCTCACATAGCCCAGGGTAGCATAGCTGGGATCTGGCTGCAGGCCTGCTTAGCTCTGCATACTCACCTTCTTCCCAGCTTGGGGCAGTGCAGTGGGTAGCAGTTAGCCCCCCGGTGCTTGCCAGAGAGGTGCCCTACAGGGTAAGAGGGCACTGCCCTAAGGGTGCCTGGCGCTGAGAGGTTGGGTGAGAATACCCAGCAGCTTGGAGACAAAATGCAAGGGCACCTCCCTCTTCTGAGAAGAGGTCTTGGCTTCCACACCCCTCTATACCCTGTATGTGTCAGACATCCAGTGGGGACCAGCCCCTGCTAGGCCCTGGAGATACAAAGGCATCCAGGAGGACATGCACGAGGACCTAAGCCGGAATGGGGATCAGCTAAACCACGGACCCAACAAAACCCAACTCAAAGGCTACAGTGACTTTTTACTCAGCTACCCTTTTTTCAAACCAACAAACAGGCCAAGAGCAAAATTAGAACATGCATTTTGGTCAGAGCCATGTTGGTCAGGCTGGTCTCGAACTCCTGGGCTCAAGTGATCTACCCGCCTTGGCTCCCCAAAGTGCTGGGATTACAGGATTGAGCCACTATGCCCAGCCCCAGTGCCAGCCTCTTAATGTTATCCTTGGGAAGTAAGAGTGTAGCTTGACTATGAAATAACATGAAAGTACAAGTTAACCTGAGGTAGGGGAATGAGACTAGAGAAGTTGGTGCCCAAGGAGCTCCTGCATTGCTGAGGGGCTGTGGTTTCTCAGTGAGCTCAGAGAAGGGGTCTAGGCAGCTCATCTCCCTTTGAACTTCTTCCCACCCCCCAGCGCAGCAGAATGTGCTGTCTGCTTTCACCCAGCTTCCTCCCTGGGAAACCAGGCAGCCCAACCCTCAGCAGCCGAACTCCCTCCTCCATATATCCCCGTGGGCTACCAGGCAGGCCCTGGACAAAGGCCGCCTGAGCAGGCCAGGCCCCTCCCATCCCACCCTGCTGTGTCAGGGCCTGGCACACTCCTTAGTGCGGTGTCGGCAGCTACCTCTGCCAGCGCCTGATCACCTTCCCAGGATAAGCCTGGCTCTGGATGGTGAGTGAGTATGCCTGCCTTCCCCTGTGAGTGCCAGCCCAGGCACTGGCCACGCTTGGGGGAAGGGGTGGGGAACTGTGGCGAGGCTGAGCTCTGCAGAGATGCCTACGGCTTCAGAAAGCAGCTGGATCCACAGACTTGTCCCCAAACCTCTGCGCCCCTCTGCCCCAGCCTCAACTCAGCCCAGATCGTAAGGAAGCCTCAGGCTCTCAAAGTGAAATTAAGTCCTGATCTGATAGAGGGTCCACATAGGGGAAATCTCTACCTGGGGATAGAAGTTAGGCAGGGATATCTGGCCAAGCTCACCCTCCAAAGGCAGATAGGGAACAGGTATCAATGAGCACCTGGCAAAGCTCACAAAATGTTGCTTACTAGCCGTCCAGAGGAGACCTGCTTTGATCACTAGAAGAGAGTGCTTTGCAACTGGCTTCTCAAATATTGCCCACAATAAGGTCCTTTGATGGGGGTTTTGAAATACTGAGGTGTCTGGGTTATAGAATGTCTTTACTTTCAATATTCCACGTCAAAATGCAGCCTTGCTAAGATCTGCAGGGAACCTGCTGTAATGTGGAGCGGAACTTGCTTTGTAATTAGCATAGCAACTGTTCCTGTACCAGTGGGTACTTCTAAAGTGACTGAAAACAGTTTGTTCTCATTTGCAGTATGAACAAACCTCCTGAAAGCTTGTTTACGCTGTCGGATTGTAGAGCAAAACAAAAACAGCCTTTATTCCCAAACAAATAGCGGAAAGGCAACATTTAGACCACAGCCATTTACCTCTCAGAGCTCTTTGGGGCGAAGTTGACACTGTGACAAGGTATCCCAGCCCATCTTTTGGCCCTGGGAAAGGCTAAAATTGGGAAGGAAATGCGTTTATGTTGGTTGTGGTTCTGAGGGCACGTCTGTTCCCAGCTAAACTCCTGCAGTCAGCAGATGCCCTGAAATAAATCAAACCTCCTCATGCTGTTGGGACAGCGAAGCTTCGTGTACACCTTTTTGGAGGGCAATTTAGCAATAGCCTAAAAGAAAATGCACATACTCTTTGGCTCAGCACTTTGACCGCTAGGAATTTACTACAGATTTCCTTGCTGAGTGAGCCAGGCTGCGTGCACAAGTTCATTGCTACATTATTAGTTATGCTGAAAATGGAAACAACATGTCTACCAACAGGGGACTGCTTCAATAAATTTAGTGGGAGCCATGTGATAAAACTCTAAGCAGAATGAGGCAGGGGAGACAGAGAGATGTCCAAGCTGTGCTCAGTGGGAAAAGCATTGTCATATGATGCTGCGTCTGCTGTATTTGCAGGGAATATAACTAGGACCATAACACAAAAACCGGCACACAGGGATGATCTCTTCAGAGGGGGTCTTGGTACAAGGGGAGGAGGAGATTCGAATATTTTTTAAACTTGTACTTTTTTTGGTAGTTTAATAAGTTTAAAATTGAAAAACATTGTACAAGGATTCACGTTTTTCTAGTTCTCACCCCGGGTGTTTCTCCTGTGACTTGTGTGGTGAGATCAAGGGGTTCTAGAGGCCCCATCCCAGAGCTAAGGAGTCTCTGGGATGAGTTGGGGCTTTTTATCTATTATGATAAAACATATATAATGTAAAATTTGCCATTTCAACCATTTTAAGCCTACAGTTTGGTGGCATTAATTACATTCACAATGTGCAACCGTCACCACTGTCTATTTTCAAAACTTTCATCACTTAGGCTTCTTTTGACCTTGAGCTCTGTGGCATGGGGTCTGCGAAGGCCCTGCTCTCCCTTTTCAGAGAACAACCTGTAGCCAAGGGTGTTCCAGCTGTACCTTGTGGGCTGGGATGAGGACTCTGTTCCCTCTCTTGCCTGGAGCTGCCTGAGCTGTAGGTGACAGGTCTTGTTTCTGAGTGCTCCAGGGGCATAGGGCGGCAGGCACAGGGCTCTCTTTGAAAGGAGAACCGCCTTATCTTCCATGCCTCTGTAGGTTGCTGGGGGTCTAGCTGTGGGACTCTGGGGAAAGGCGGGTCTCCTGCTTCCTGGCCTTCCCTCTCTGAGCCTCAGTTTATGCTCAGGAGGAGCAATGGGAATGGGGCTTCACCTTGGCTACCTCTCTGCCCTTTCAGACATCACGGCTGCAGCCCTGGCTACGGGTGCCTGCATCGTAGGAATCCTCTGCCTCCCCCTCATCCTGCTCCTGGTCTACAAGCAAAGGCAGGCAGCCTCCAACCGCCGTGAGTATTCCTCCCTGCCTGGGGTGGGTGGACGGTGCGAGTGACCTGCTCCAGCCCCCAGTTCAGCCCCTGGGATTCGCAAAGGCACGATGCAGGCACAATTCCTTTTCATTTGAGAGTTGGGAGCAGCTGCACTTCCCGCCAGGAGCTGGGCGAAATGGCCGAGAGAAAGGAGGCATGCCATTTCCGGGGGCCAAGTGCCCACCAGCCCCTTTGGCTCCCAGGCAGTGCTGGCTCGGCACTCAATACATGTCTTCTGAATGAATGATCATATGCAGTAGCTCAAGTTGCTTTATAAAAGCAAGTTGCTGCCACTCAGAGATCCTTGGGGGACCTGTTTAAGGTATGGGCGTGCTTGTTTTGTAATTAGTAGCAATTGTTGGGACAAAAAATGATCTTTGGAATATCAGAAGTGGAAGGGGTCTTACAGACAACTTAGCTCAACCCTTTCTTTTTCCAGATGAGAAGGCTAAGATCAGTGGGGTTACATAACTGACTGAATGTTACGTAACTTAGTAAGTGGCAGAGCTAGGACTCAATCTCAGAGCTTTCAACGCATGCTCTTTCCAGGGAATAGAAGTCCACCATATAATAAAAATGCTCTCACTTACTCCTCATTGCAAGTCCAAGAATTTGGTCCTACCATTGTCCCCATTTTACTGATGGGCAAACGGAGGCACAGAGGGGTTAAGTAACTTGCCTAAGGAACCACACAGCAAATAAGTGGTGGGGCTGGGCTTTAAGTCATGGGCACAAACATCTTTCACCTCCCACCCTGGCCAGGTGACAGTGCCCCTTGCCTAGTTCCTGACCCTGCCCTTGAGTCTTGGTTAGTCTGAGTCCTCCAAGAAGGGGCTAGGGAGTTTTTTACCCTTGCCTCCCCTCCCTGGCCTCTTCCCGTCTGCCTGGCTACAGAGGTAACTGAGAAAGGATTGCTCTGGTGCCAGGTGGCTTTTGGCTCGCAACTTATTTCCTGTGGCCGGCCCTTAACAACTTGTCATCCCTCCCTCCCCTCATTCCCGGGGGCCCCCACGTGAAGCCCCATAGTGGGTCACTCGGGGGCTGTGGCCACCTCACCCTTGCTTTCAGAACTCCCCTATTCCTCTCCTAGAACACACCACAACCTACCTGCAGGAATACCCATGGCTGGGGGTGGGTGGGGGCAGGTAAAGGGCTTGGAACAGAAGAGCAACGCTGGGCAGCAGGGCAGGGGGAGCAGGTGTTGCTGTGCCCTCCCTGGTGGAAGGCTGGCCCAGAGAGCCTGCTCAGGAATGAGGCACTCTCAGGAAAAAAAGAAAAGGAAAGGGCTGGGAGCCTTGAGGACGGCAGTTTGCTGGAGAGGCCAACAGGTGTGGATTTCCATCCTGCTTTGGACTGAGCCTCAGTTTCCCCAGCTCTAAAATGGGACCAACAACCCTCACCCCAAAGGGTGGCACAGAGGATGAGATGAGGGAATACCCGTGTGCACCTGCACGAAGCCTGACCCATGAGTCGGC
This sequence comes from Homo sapiens, assembly GCF_000001405.40. Taxonomy (NCBI): domain Eukaryota; kingdom Metazoa; phylum Chordata; class Mammalia; order Primates; family Hominidae; genus Homo; species Homo sapiens. The sequence continues at coordinate 71,753,862 of NC_000010.11, read as the reverse complement.
TGTAAGCAATAGCCATGGTTTGAATAGATTTCAGGAACTTTTGGGTAACTTCCCTGTGTTTGTTCTGTTGTTGTGCCCCTCCCCCACCATCTGTTTCCCCATCGTAATCAGCAGTAAATCTCCTTAAAACGAGAAGCATCTGTGGGAGGACATGGGGTGCTGCATGAAAGAGGGAAGTTGGGGTCACTGCATCTAATTGGTGGCCAGTTTGGGGGGTGGGGTGTCCCAAGGCTGAGGCAAGCGGCAGCAACTTGGATGAGAAGCAGAAAGTGAGTGAAGTGGCTGGGAAGTGATCGGGGACTTGCACCTTGTAAGGTTTCCCTGAGAGATGTCCCCTAGAATGCCACCCTATTAGGCAATGTAGGGGATAGGACAGAGAGGACCAGGAGCCCTCTAATTAGGAACTGACCTTAAACACTCCCACCCAGTAAGTCATGGCTAAAGACCAGAACCTGGCAAATGTTCAAACAAGAGACACCAGTTAGCAAATTCAAGAGTTGACCTTTGCTCGATACTTAAATCCTGAAGGTCTGACACTGTGTAAGTCAAGCCATAGGAGAAAGCGCTGGCTGCCTTTGGTCTCCTGATGGCAGATAGCGTTCTTACACTCCTGGAAAATGCAGATAGAGTTTCATTTATCAGTCGTCAAAATGGGCCCCTCATGGAGGCCCCATCTGCTGGACAGACACGCAGATCGCTTGCTGGACAGCACCCATGTGAAAAGAAATGGAGTCCGGAGCTGTGCAGGGCCCTCCTGGGCTCGCTCCTGTTCCCTGCAGGGCATCTGCCAGCAGGGGCAGGGATGTTGTATGGGGAAGCCTTCCCTTCCATGACCAGCTTCTCTGTCTGTCTGTCCCTAGGTGCCCAGGAGCTGGTGCGGATGGACAGGTAAGGCCCATGGAGACCTTCTTGAGAAAACTTCCTGGGCCGGCTATCCAGGAAGAGATACTTCTGTGCAGTAGGGGCCCTGTTTAGCTGCCTAGAGCAGCTGGTCAGAAGAGCCTCTGCCATCTGCTGCTGAAGCCTGCACATCTGTGCAGATTGGCTGTTCTCCTGCCACCCCGACTCAGCAGGCTGAGCTCTGATTCTGCTCAGATGTGTCATGCACCCACCTTCGGGTCTCAGTGGTCAGCCTGGGCCAGGATGGGGACAGGGAGGAAGCACTGTCTGGGGCAGACAGTGAGACATGCAAAGGAGGCCAGCGGGCCCAGCCCCAGCCACAGCCCTTGAGCTGTGCCTCCTGCCCGCAGAGAACTCCAAGGAGAAAGCTGTTAGGCCGCTGCAGGCCACAAGGGCAGAGGCTGAGGGGTCCCAGAGTGGTGCAGTGGGCTGGGTCTAGGGGCAGAGGGGATGGGGACTGTGTATTGGTGTGCTCTGGGCAGGAAGCTGCCATGCAGCCTGGCCTGGAGGGTGTGTTCAGGGAACCCAAGTTCCTGCCCCGGTACCTGCAACACCAAACACAAAGCTCCTCTAGGTGTTTGAAAGGGATGATCTTCAAGACAGGTTGAAGGAAGTCCTGCTTGCAACTCATCTAGAATCTAAGAGTTGCAGGGGTCTTCAGAAGTTATCCCACTCCCAACTGGGAAGAGAAGAGAACCCCTCCCCTCAGCTCAAGACAGGCTTTGGGGATGTTCGATCCTAATGCCATCAACTCTATTGACCAAAGAGAAACTTGTCCCCAAATTCCTGAGGCTGAAGTTCTAGAAGTGTCTGTGATTTTTGGCTTCCTGGCTGTGCCCGGGGTTGATGGTCAGACCACAGGGAGGAGCTGGGGTCTGTTCTGGTGGGCCCTGATGCCCTCAGCTCAGGACAGGTGGGCAGGTGCAGCCCATGGCCTTTGCTCTGTGGGCCTGGCTCCTGCCTTCTTGCTTGGAGATGCTGCTGAGGCTTGGGGATGGGGATGTAGGTGAGAGAAAGGGAGGAGAGAAAAACTGGGGGCAGGGAGGGCAGAGTTCACGCTCCGGACAGCACAGATGACCTTCCATTCTGGTTCTGTGGCAGCAACATTCAAGGGATTGAAAACCCCGGCTTTGAAGCCTCACCACCTGCCCAGGGGATACCCGAGGCCAAAGTCAGGCACCCCCTGTCCTATGTGGCCCAGCGGCAGCCTTCTGAGTCTGGGCGGCATCTGCTTTCGGAGCCCAGCACCCCCCTGTCTCCTCCAGGCCCCGGAGACGTCTTCTTCCCATCCCTGGGTAAGTGTTTCCTGACCTTCACAGCACGATGACCTGTAAGGTCATGACCTCATGGCCTGCAGGGCATCGGCCTCACTCCCTGCCCTCCCTGAAGAGTTCCACGGCCTCACGGGGTGGGGTTGAGGGTGAGGGACAGAGGGGCCCCCATTCACCTCCCTGAAGAGTTCCACGGCCTCACGGGGTGGGGTTGAGGGTGAGGGACAGAGGGGCCCCCATTCACCTCCCTGAAGAGTTCCACGGCCTCACGGGGTGGGGTTGAGGGTGAGGGACAGAGGGGCCCCCATTCACCTCCCTGAAGAGTTCCACGGCCTCACGGGGTGGGGTTGAGGGTGAGGGGCAGAGGGGCCCCGTTCACTTTGCTTCTCCTTTTCTTGCAGACCCTGTCCCTGACTCTCCAAACTTTGAGGTCATCTAGCCCAGCTGGGGGACAGTGGGCTGTTGTGGCTGGGTCTGGGGCAGGTGCATTTGAGCCAGGGCTGGCTCTGTGAGTGGCCTCCTTGGCCTCGGCCCTGGTTCCCTCCCTCCTGCTCTGGGCTCAGATACTGTGACATCCCAGAAGCCCAGCCCCTCAACCCCTCTGGATGCTACATGGGGATGCTGGACGGCTCAGCCCCTGTTCCAAGGATTTTGGGGTGCTGAGATTCTCCCCTAGAGACCTGAAATTCACCAGCTACAGATGCCAAATGACTTACATCTTAAGAAGTCTCAGAACGTCCAGCCCTTCAGCAGCTCTCGTTCTGAGACATGAGCCTTGGGATGTGGCAGCATCAGTGGGACAAGATGGACACTGGGCCACCCTCCCAGGCACCAGACACAGGGCACGGTGGAGAGACTTCTCCCCCGTGGCCGCCTTGGCTCCCCCGTTTTGCCCGAGGCTGCTCTTCTGTCAGACTTCCTCTTTGTACCACAGTGGCTCTGGGGCCAGGCCTGCCTGCCCACTGGCCATCGCCACCTTCCCCAGCTGCCTCCTACCAGCAGTTTCTCTGAAGATCTGTCAACAGGTTAAGTCAATCTGGGGCTTCCACTGCCTGCATTCCAGTCCCCAGAGCTTGGTGGTCCCGAAACGGGAAGTACATATTGGGGCATGGTGGCCTCCGTGAGCAAATGGTGTCTTGGGCAATCTGAGGCCAGGACAGATGTTGCCCCACCCACTGGAGATGGTGCTGAGGGAGGTGGGTGGGGCCTTCTGGGAAGGTGAGTGGAGAGGGGCACCTGCCCCCCGCCCTCCCCATCCCCTACTCCCACTGCTCAGCGCGGGCCATTGCAAGGGTGCCACACAATGTCTTGTCCACCCTGGGACACTTCTGAGTATGAAGCGGGATGCTATTAAAAACTACATGGGGAAACAGGTGCAAACCCTGGAGATGGATTGTAAGAGCCAGTTTAAATCTGCACTCTGCTGCTCCTCCCCCACCCCCACCTTCCACTCCATACAATCTGGGCCTGGTGGAGTCTTCGCTTCAGAGCCATTCGGCCAGGTGCGGGTGATGTTCCCATCTCCTGCTTGTGGGCATGCCCTGGCTTTGTTTTTATACACATAGGCAAGGTGAGTCCTCTGTGGAATTGTGATTGAAGGATTTTAAAGCAGGGGAGGAGAGTAGGGGGCATCTCTGTACACTCTGGGGGTAAAACAGGGAAGGCAGTGCCTGAGCATGGGGACAGGTGAGGTGGGGCTGGGCAGACCCCCTGTAGCGTTTAGCAGGATGGGGGCCCCAGGTACTGTGGAGAGCATAGTCCAGCCTGGGCATTTGTCTCCTAGCAGCCTACACTGGCTCTGCTGAGCTGGGCCTGGGTGCTGAAAGCCAGGATTTGGGGCTAGGCGGGAAGATGTTCGCCCAATTGCTTGGGGGGTTGGGGGGATGGAAAAGGGGAGCACCTCTAGGCTGCCTGGCAGCAGTGAGCCCTGGGCCTGTGGCTACAGCCAGGGAACCCCACCTGGACACATGGCCCTGCTTCTAAGCCCCCCAGTTAGGCCCAAAGGAATGGTCCACTGAGGGCCTCCTGCTCTGCCTGGGCTGGGCCAGGGGCTTTGAGGAGAGGGTAAACATAGGCCCGGAGATGGGGCTGACACCTCGAGTGGCCAGAATATGCCCAAACCCCGGCTTCTCCCTTGTCCCTAGGCAGAGGGGGGTCCCTTCTTTTGTTCCCTCTGGTCACCACAATGCTTGATGCCAGCTGCCATAGGAAGAGGGTGCTGGCTGGCCATGGTGGCACACACCTGTCCTCCCAGCACTTTGCAGGGCTGAGGTGGAAGGACCGCTTAAGCCCAGGTGTTCAAGGCTGCTGTGAGCTGTGTTCGAGCCACTACACTCCAGCCTGGGGACGGAGCAAAACTTTGCCTCAAAACAAATTTTAAAAAGAAAGAAAGAAGGAAAGAGGGTATGTTTTTCACAATTCATGGGGGCCTGCATGGCAGGAGTGGGGACAGGACACCTGCTGTTCCTGGAGTCGAAGGACAAGCCCACAGCCCAGATTCCGGTTCTCCCAACTCAGGAAGAGCATGCCCTGCCCTCTGGGGAGGCTGGCCTGGCCCCAGCCCTCAGCTGCTGACCTTGAGGCAGAGACAACTTCTAAGAATTTGGCTGCCAGACCCCAGGCCTGGCTGCTGCTGTGTGGAGAGGGAGGCGGCCCGCAGCAGAACAGCCACCGCACTTCCTCCTCAGCTTCCTCTGGTGCGGCCCTGCCCTCTCTTCTCTGGACCCTTTTACAACTGAACGCATCTGGGCTTCGTGGTTTCCTGTTTTCAGCGAAATTTACTCTGAGCTCCCAGTTCCATCTTCATCCATGGCCACAGGCCCTGCCTACAACGCACTAGGGACGTCCCTCCCTGCTGCTGCTGGGGAGGGGCAGGCTGCTGGAGCCGCCCTCTGAGTTGCCCGGGATGGTAGTGCCTCTGATGCCAGCCCTGGTGGCTGTGGGCTGGGGTGCATGGGAGAGCTGGGTGCGAGAACATGGCGCCTCCAGGGGGCGGGAGGAGCACTAGGGGCTGGGGCAGGAGGCTCCTGGAGCGCTGGATTCGTGGCACAGTCTGAGGCCCTGAGAGGGAAATCCATGCTTTTAAGAACTAATTCATTGTTAGGAGATCAATCAGGAATTAGGGGCCATCTTACCTATCTCCTGACATTCACAGTTTAATAGAGACTTCCTGCCTTTATTCCCTCCCAGGGAGAGGCTGAAGGAATGGAATTGAAAGCACCATTTGGAGGGTTTTGCTGACACAGCGGGGACTGCTCAGCACTCCCTAAAAACACACCATGGAGGCCACTGGTGACTGCTGGTGGGCAGGCTGGCCCTGCCTGGGGGAGTCCGTGGCGATGGGCGCTGGGGTGGAGGTGCAGGAGCCCCAGGACCTGCTTTTCAAAAGACTTCTGCCTGACCAGAGCTCCCACTACATGCAGTGGCCCAGGGCAGAGGGGCTGATACATGGCCTTTTTCAGGGGGTGCTCCTCGCGGGGTGGACTTGGGAGTGTGCAGTGGGACAGGGGGCTGCAGGGGTCCTGCCACCACCGAGCACCAACTTGGCCCCTGGGGTCCTGCCTCATGAATGAGGCCTTCCCCAGGGCTGGCCTGACTGTGCTGGGGGCTGGGTTAACGTTTTCTCAGGGAACCACAATGCACGAAAGAGGAACTGGGGTTGCTAACCAGGATGCTGGGAACAAAGGCCTCTTGAAGCCCAGCCACAGCCCAGCTGAGCATGAGGCCCAGCCCATAGACGGCACAGGCCACCTGGCCCATTCCCTGGGCATTCCCTGCTTTGCATTGCTGCTTCTCTTCACCCCATGGAGGCTATGTCACCCTAACTATCCTGGAATGTGTTGAGAGGGATTCTGAATGATCAATATAGCTTGGTGAGACAGTGCCGAGATAGATAGCCATGTCTGCCTTGGGCACGGGAGAGGGAAGTGGCAGCATGCATGCTGTTTCTTGGCCTTTTCTGTTAGAATACTTGGTGCTTTCCAACACACTTTCACATGTGTTGTAACTTGTTTGATCCACCCCCTTCCCTGAAAATCCTGGGAGGTTTTATTGCTGCCATTTAACACAGAGGGCAATAGAGGTTCTGAAAGGTCTGTGTCTTGTCAAAACAAGTAAACGGTGGAACTACGACTAAACCCTGGGTCTCCTGCTTCCTCCTCACTGAATGGATTGGTATTATGGGCCAGGGCCTGGCTTGGCCTTCACCTTGGACTTGCTTAGAGCACATACAAGGGCTCTGGGAGATGAACTTGTGCCCACAGGTCCAGGGCTCCACTGTACTGCACACCAGAAACGTTCCTATCTGTGCTCTGCCTGCCCTGGCCTGGGCCTTCTTCTGGGTCCAGAAGACGCTGCTGCTGATGGGTAGGCTCCTTCCATATCAGCTCCTGCCACTCCCTTTTCTGCCTGCCAACTGTGGAGCTAGAGGACTCCTGATAGGCACAGTGGCCCATGCACCCCTCTTGCTTGCATTAGGGGATGGGGAAGGGAGAAACCCTCAGCAGCTGAGCCCCAGGGTCTCTTGGAGGAACTTAGCCAGTTGTATGTGGAGCATCTGGGCAGCTGTGGAACATCCCTCAAGAAGCCAGGCCAAGGGAAGGGTCTGGATGTACTTGTGCTGGGTCAGGGAAGGCCAGCCTTCTTGGTGCCACAGAGGGTGAGGGCCAGGCTGGGACCTTCTGATCTCAAGCCAGGGGAAGCAGAGTTCACAATAGCAGGGTCCAAGTCTAATAAACAGAAGGGGCCTCTGCTCTAAAGACATGAGGTGTACTGCCAAGAGCAGTGTCCCCAGCTCATAGACCGTCACGGGGCCGCTGCTGGGGACTTGCATACCAGAAGGGGGCGGTGGGAGATTTCTGTCCTTCTGCCTGGATAGGTGACTTCTGCAGGTCCTCACCAGCCTGAGAAGCCAGGGCTTCTTATCTGGAATAGTAGTATCGGTTGGCTGCAATTCACGTGGCAGGGAGGCCACAGTTAGGCCCTCCCTCCCTCTCCACCCCACTGCCAAGTGCCTCTGAGGTTGGGCTAACTCCTGACCTCCCAGTTACCTTCCGCCCTTCCTCCCTGGGCCCAGCTCTTCCTTTGCAGGGGCCTCCCTGACAACCACTTAAACCCCTCCCCCAAGCCTGGCCTGTCTTCCCATGGCCTGGAGCTAGGCAGGGGCTGAGGCTCCACAATGACTCCCCCGGCCAGTGGCACACCATTGTGTGGCGGGCCTGGGTCTGGCCCAGATACCCCTTGCAGCACAGCTGTTCCGAGTTCGGGTGATATGGGCTGAGGCCGGATGGGGGTGGCCTAGGCTGTTTGCAGGAATGTCCAGCTCTCAGGAACCTGGGGGGACGAGGGTCTCAGGGAGAAAAGTAGAGCTGGAGGGACTCAGAGAATTTCTCTTGGCTCTGGGGAGGGTCTTAGCAGCCAAATCTCAGGCCCCCTGCTTAGGGAGCCACATCTTTCAAAACAGGGATGCAAATGATGCTTCCTCCAGAAAACCTGCCCTGGCTTCCAGGCTCCTAGCACTCTACCACATCACAGTGTCAGCTCTCCAGTACATGTGCCTTCCCCTGCCAGACCGTAGGCTCCTGGAGGGCAGACCTGTGCCTGATGTATCTCTGGTGTCCTAGCCTGTACTACAGGCCTCACACATAACACATACTTGGTGTTGGATGAACAAATGAATGAATCTTTCATGCCCTTGTCCTCCAGCAAGGTTGGTCCTGAGCCAGTGAAGGCCATTTTGAAGCCAGGCAGATAACTGCAGTGGGAGTAAAAGGATGGCAAGTGGGCCTGCTGGCTTTCTCTGGATGGATCTATGCAGGGTAGCAGCTGCTGTCTCACCCATTAGACTGTGGCAGCCATTCCTGGAATCTCAGGGTGGTTGGCTGCATGCTGCTCAGGTCTCTGGTTGCTCTAGGAGGGGCTGGGACAATGCTCCTTCCTCATACACGCATCCAGTGAAATCTGCCCAGAGGCAGAGAAGGGCTCTGCTCTTGGGGATATTCATAACCCTGAGGGGTTTACTGCCCAAAGTTGAGGGTCTGGTCAGTGGAAGCAAATCTTCAAGGGTCCAGTGCTCCTTGGAGGCAAGCTACCCTGGTAGGCACTGTGGGCTGCAGGACCCCTGCTTGCTAGCTCTGCCCCATCCCCACCTTGGCTCGGCCAGGCATGGAGGCAGTAGAGGGGGGGTCTTGAGAAGGCAGCGGGAGCAGCTCTTATGGCGAGTCCCATATACACTGTCCCGGGAGGATATGGAAATAGAGAGTCCTGCCCTTGGCCTTGGAAGCAGCCCCGGGCCTAAACCACCTGTGGCTCCCAGAACCCATCCCTGATTATTGCTTGCTCTTCAGCCTTTGTGCAGGCTGAACCCCAGAATATGCTTCTTTCTTGGCTGTGCTAACCAAGACTGACCAACAAGACTCGGCCCAGGTGTCACCTCCTCCAGGAAGCCTTCCCCAAGCCCTTCTCAGTGCCCCATTGCACACCAGTGTTTTCATTGCCTCCCTTACTCAACTTCATTTCTTCAGGCCACAGACCACATTTTCTTCATTTCGGTATCTCCAGTGCCTGGCACATAGTGGCCATTCAGGGACAATGGCTGAATGAATGAATGAGTGAATGAGTGAATGAGTGAATGAATGAATAAATATGGTTTAGTGCTAGTTTCTCTATGTCCCTATGGTCACTGCAATTCTTCACTGAGGTGTCCCCTGCAAAAACCAAATGATAGCAATATTTTCCCAACTTGGAGAAGCAGGGGGAAAAATTGAAGATGGATGGATTCTTTTCGACTTAAAATTGTTTTCCTATACATCTTTCAAGTTGGTACCTGTTGCTGTTTATATTACGGTCTGGAAGAAAGCATCATGGTTCAGCCCAGGAAGCCCCATATATATTCCCCTGGAGATGGATGGCCTCAGGGTCCCTGGTCCTAATCATCCTGAGGGTGTTTTCTGGGGCCTCAGGGAGCAGAGCTGGTGATGACCAGGATGAGCAGGGCGGATGCTACCCAGCTTCTCCTGCTCTCACCGGGGAGCTGGTATGGGCTGAGCCCTGCTTCAGTGAGAACCAGAATGTCAGGGGCTGACATGTGAGGTGGGAATGCTTATGCTCCCCAAGGGGTGGGATGGGTCCCTGCAGAGGGTTTGGCCAGCAGATGGAAACTCTTTTTAGCCATGGGGACCAATCCCAAGATTTTAAAGGATTGCTTGGATAGTGGCCCATGCATTCTGGGTGATTAACTGTGGCCAGGGTGATTTTCCATTTCTTCAATTCCCATTTATTCTGGGGACCCAAAGGAAGCCTGATTTTGCCTACAAACTGCAGGGTCTTAGAATGTTATGGATTCCACCGATGGTCTCCCTGAGAGACCCTAGGACTGTGGGGGTTGGAGTGTGGGTGGGGAGTGGGGGTGGTGCGTTGACTGGCCTGCATTAGGATTGGGGAGGGCAGTGTGGCAAATGCTGTCAGATGCCCACCCCAAATCCATTCTCCACTTCTTCCTCACTGACAGAGGCCTGCTTTTGTGTGGGAAGTGATATATCTGGCCCCCAAGTAATATGCTGACCATGATAATCCTGTCCCTCATTTTTTCTAACCTCCCTTGCAGCTAGGGTGCCCACGTGAGCCACTTCTGGCCAAGGAGACACAAGCAGCACTCTGGAGGGTGGTTCTGGGAAACCTGTTGCTTTCCTGATAAAAGGGCAGAAGTAGCTGCCATAGCCCTTTGCCATCTTTTTGTCATCTTCCTGCCTTGGATGCTGACTTGATGCCTAGAGTTATAGTAGCTATCTTGCCACCATGAGGGAAAGGCCAAGAAACATGAGCTCTGACACCTCTGAGCCTGAAATCCACATTCTCTGTAGAATTTTTGCTCTGTAGGAAAATGCATTTTGATTCTTTATGACTCCATAGTCAGTTTCTGTTACTTCACAAATGCTATTGAAGGGACGACCAAGATGATCCACCCTGAAGCCAAGTGCAGTGGGGTGGGGTCATGTCGAAACTGGGTCCTCCCACGTTAACACAATAAATGATACCCCTCTCTGCCCCAGCCCCACCCTGCCCAGTGAGTGACACGTGTCCTATAAATGTATCCTTGTTTAGCCCACTGGGTGTGAATGGCTGAGGTGGCTAGTGATGACACTGTGCAGCCATGGGGCTAAGGATGCCCACAGGGGTGCCCAGAGTCAGTCTCATTTCCTGGACTCCTCAGAATGTTGTGGTGGGGTGGGGATTCCTGGATTATTAACCCAATCCCAATTCCTGGAGTTATTGGACCAACATCTCCAGAGAAGCTCCAGACAAAGAGCCCTGCCCAGACCTGGTGTGACCCCACCTCCCACAGTGCTGCTGTCAAAGGGGAGAGGTCTAACCTGCTATGAGAGGGACAGAGCTGGGGCCTCATTTGCAATCAGGGTCCTTCCAGGAGACAGATTACAAAACTGTCCCTGAACTCTTCACCTTCCTTGTAACCACACTCTTTGCAGTGTGACTTTGTAGCTCATTCCTTCAGAAGGTAGAGTTTATTTTCCCATAGCTTGAGTCTGGGCTGGCCTTGTGACTTGCTTTGGCCAACAGATTGTGGTAGAAGTGACCTTGTGCCAGTTCCAAGCCAGGGACTCAAGAGGCCTTGCACGCCTCTGCTGTCTCTTCTGGACACTTTCCAGCCCCATAAGAACAGGCACGGGCTAGCCTTCTGGAGGATGAGTTGTCCCTGTCACCCCAGCTGCTGGCGAGCCAACCCTCAGAAGCATAGCACCCTGCTGACAGGCAGCTGCCCACATACAAATGCAGAAGCCCAGCTGAGACCAGAAGAACCACCCGGCTAAGCCATGTCCAGATTGCCAGCCTGCAGAATTAGCGCTAACTATGTGGTTATTGTTTTACTCCTCTGTTTTGTTTGGTTTGTAAGGCAGCATTATTGTGGCAATAGAGAACTAATAACAGTCCTCTTCCTCCTCATGGTTTACCAAGTGCTTCCACAGACATGAGCTAATTTGATTCCCCAAACAACACCTATGAGGTAGATATTATCTCCCTTTTGCAGATGACAAAAGCGATATGCTGAGAGGTTCTGACTTGCTCAAGATCATGCAGCCAGCCACAGTGCTCCTGACTCCAAATTCCCTGCTTTCAGTTTATAAGCCACTCCCAACACAGCTCATCAGCTCCTAGAGATCTCCATCCAGCCCTTGAGGACCACAAGTCCTTCCCTCACCTGGCAAACTTTGAACATTGCCTTGGGCAGTGGTGCTGTTCATTCGAGCGTTAGTGTGAACCACAGACACGAATCCCTTCCCACCCTGACGTGTTGTGACAGCATGCCACACCACACAATGTAGGGGAAGAGGGCCAGAGAGGCACCCTTTCTGTAAGACACCACCATGCACATTGGTGTGACCTCACAGTGCATAGGTGGGCAAGTGAAGCGGGGGCTAGATTCATACCCACTTGCTCCCTGGGCCAGGCCCCAATACAGAGGCTCAACCTGTACCACCCCATAGAGCTGCTCTGTGAGAGAAAAGAGGACTAAACAGAGCTTCTGAGTAGCTATAGACTCGGGAGGCCAAACTAGCACCCCAGCTTTGCACGCAACAGGCCTCCGTAAGGGGAGGCCATCTTGGGCAGATGGACTAAAGGCAGATGGACTAAAGGAGTTGTCAAGGATTCGCCTGCTGTGTGGAATTCCATTCTCACCCATCTTGTTCCCCTCACTCGGAGGCGGAGCTGCCCTGGCCCACCCGCTCCTCCCTGTGGCCACCCCCATCGCTCACCGACAGGGTTGGGGTGCCCTCGTCCTCCACAGTGGCCACCAGGTGGTAGAAGCTCTGGCGCTCGCGGTCAGGCGGGGCAGGCCGTGTGGCGATCTCACCGCTGATGCGGTCCATGCGGAAGGCCATGTCCTTGTTGCCCTCGGTGATGTAGTAGGACAGAACACTGTTGATCCCGATGTCACGGTCAGTGGCTCTCACCTGGACCACAGCAGTACCTCCACCCACGTTCTGGGAGGAGAGCAGGAGAGCAGTCATTCTGGACTCAAGGCATTGGGGCACAGTCTGGCACCTGCTCCTGTAGCCCGAAGGCTCCCCCTGTACCTCCCAAAAGCTTTGCTGCATCTACCCCAGAGCAATGATGGAGATAATAAGGATGATAGCAGCGAACATTCTGTGAGCACCTCTGATATGCTGGGGCCTGCATTAACTCACTGGGTCCTCTCTCCAACTCTGTGAGTTAGGTACTGGCATCATCATCCTCATTTACAGAAGAGAAAACTGAGGTGCAGGGAAGGAATGTGTGCAAGTCCACACAGCCAATCAGTGGGCTGAAGTGAGGGAGTCTGGCCTGAGAGCTAGACTCTGGCCACATGTCATCCTGCCTTCATGAACGTCCAACCTAGCATGATACCCAGCAATGCCAGGGCAGATTGGAGTGGCTCAGTCTTAGGGCTGAATAATAAATACATTTTTTAAAAAAGCAAGCTCCCGGGGTAAACCTCAGTTTCCTGTCTGGTGAAAGGCAACTTTCTTCTTTTTCTCTTTTCTCTTCTCCTCTACTCCAAAAAGATACTGCATTCTAGGATCCAGGCTAGGCGTTAGGGCTATCACTACGAATGAGCCACAGTTCCCATCCATGAGATCTGAGGGACCAGTGGGCCAGGCAGACATTTAAACAGGGGCTGCATGGTTGGCTCGTGCCCACGGTCCCCCCGTATGTCCAGCTATATGGGCCCCGGGGCTGCCCTCACCTCATTCACACTGACATTGTATCCAAAGGGGCTCTCGATGACTGGAGGGTTGTCATTGATGTCCAGGATGGTCACCTGCAGGATGTGGTCCTTCTTCCGTGGAGGGGTGCCTCGGTCAGAAGCCACAACCTGCAAGGAGGAGGGCAACTGGAGTCAGGGCTAAAGCGTGGCGGGCAGGATTGGGAATATGGAGTCCAAAAGGGCTGTGCAATCAGTGGGGAGCATTTGGGAGGGCAAAGAGACTCACTGAGAACCCCTGGGTGGCCTGGCCAGCCCTGGGCTCTCCCGGCCAGCCCTGGGCTCTCCCCAAAGCCTTCACCTTCTGCCCCATGCTGCAAATGATTCTTGCCCAATCGTCGTCTGACTTGGGATCCTCGTTTGGAATCTGATTAACATGTACCCAAGCCTTGACCTCCTGACCTACCTCTGACTGTATTCTGGGCTGTGCCAGCCTTTGACCATGACCCTGGGCCTGCAACCTGACCCAAGGCTCCTGTCTTTAGCTTCAAAGGCCTCTGTCCCACGCACTCTGTCCCATGATCTCTGGCAAACGGGAAAAGAGCCTCAAGTAATATTATAAGCAATGAGCTGGCGCCCTATGGCTGAGCCTGTTCCTGGGAGCCTTGATGCAGTCATAAGTGCTGCAGGAGCTGAGCCCTCTGCAGAAGCGCAGTCCTGAGGTTCCCAGAAAGCCCTTGGCAAACATCCCAGCCATGGCCATTCTGCAATAATGATAGCCTTCGTGGCTCCTCAAGCCTGCACTTGCTTCTTCCCTCCACAGGGCAGGCCAGACGGGGATTTTTTTGTACATTGCATAGGTGGGGAAAATGAGGCCCAGAGTTAATAACCTGTCCAAGGCCACACTGTATTTGTAGAAGAGCTGGGGCTCTCCCAGCTCCACCAGGCTCTCCCTCATCCTCCTGGCTCTTACAGCAGGGGAAGACACCTCAACTACCTCCTCCTGGGTATCTAAGGTCCCTCCCAGGTTTCCCTATCCTGGGTCAGCCTCACTGTGCTCTTGGCCCCGATGGGTGCAGCTGGCCCCATGTTACTTGGTGACAGCAGGGGCACTGACCACCAGAGTGTGCTGATGGACAGGCTCTCTCCTGGATGGAGAGTAGTGACCGGTCTAGGCACTTAGCCAGTGGTCTCTCAGTCCAAGGGAGGCCAGGCCCCACCTGGAGGATGTAGTGATCCAGCTCTTCTCTGTCCAGGGGCCTGGCCACAAACACTTCGCCAATGGAGTCATTGGTGGTGACGATCTCAAAGGCCCCCGCGATGTTGCCAGAGGCCAGGGAGAAGACCACCTGTGGGGAGAAGAGAGGGTGAGGGGTGAGCAGGTGTGGAGGAGAGGTGGCCAGGTCAAGCCAAGGGGGACTCCCTGGTCCTCCTCTGCCCACGTGGGCCCTCTGTTGAGCAAGGGCTTTTGGGAGTGCAGTGTTTTAAGCAGAAGTGATTCATCTCCCTCAAAATGGGGGTGCAGGCCCATGGAGGTAGTGTAGCACCCATGGAAAGTTCCGGGGCTAGGAGATATCAGTATCCTGGCCTGGAAGAGTGGGGCTTGAGTCCCATGGCACTGACGTCTTCCCAGGGTAGAGGGGATTGTGCTCACGCTGCTGGGGTGGGCACACGCTGCGGCATTACCTGGACTCTACTTGGTTCTTACGGCAACCTTGACAGAAAGCAACTGTTCTCAGTTCACAGAGAGGAGGCTCAGAAACATGGAACAACCAGCCAAGGTCACACAGCTTGCAAATGCCAGAGGTCTGAACCTACACACTTTTGTCTCCAAAGCCAGCATCCCTCGACCCCCTAGACCATGCAAGCCATGCTAACACCCGCAAACACACGGCCTAATGCACGGAACAGATGAAAGCTGTGTGAACACTGGCGGGTTTCATCACTTCTCCCTCTGCACTCTGGGGTGTCCAAACCTGGAGCGACAGCAAGCGCCTCCTGCCATGGGGCTGGGCCTAGGAAGCAGGAGAGAGGACGAGCATGTCCTCTCAGGGAGCTGGGGCTGCGTGGGAAGGAGTTACCCGGAAAACAACTTCACTGAGGGGTTGCGCCTTGGCTGGCCTTCGGGCTCCATGTCCACATGACCCAGGCAGGGCCACCGGCCTGCATAGCTCTGAGGCAGCTCTGTCCCTTCTCCCTGACCACAGACTGGGTGATTGCAGGGGCAGAGACCGGAAGAACCTGGTGCTTGGTGATGGGGGTGGCTCAGAAGGCCCCTCCAGCTGTGAGAGCTGTGGGAGCCCCGCTGACATGGTGGATCCTGGCTGTTTCACTCGGTGGCCCACCTGCCCATTGCTGCCAGCATCAGGGTCCCAGGCCTTGACAGTAGCCACTCGCTGGCCCACAGGGCAGTCCTCGGGTATGCTGACCGCCGAGTCGGAGGTGAAGTCAAACCGGGGGCTGTTGTCATTCTCGTCCAGCACAGTGATGTAGACCTGAGGGTGAACGTGGTCAGAGACCTACAGCCTCCTTCCCCTCCTTGGCCCCAAACACCTGGGTCCCACCGTGGGTCCAGTAGGGACCAGATCCCCAGTGGGTTCTGGAACATCAGCAAACCCTCAGAGCCCACCGAAGCCTATCCTGACTTTACAAAGGAGGCCCTGGGCCCATGGCTCCTAGCAGTCTGATTGGTGTGGGGTGGCAGGTAGACACACTTAAATCTTGGCTAGGAGGGCAAGGGAAGAGGCCTGGTGGGGAGACTGTCAGAGGTGGTGGGGACAGGAGAACTGAAAAGCCAGGCCATGGCTAAAGTGGATGGAGGCTAGGAATGCTGGTCTAGCATGAGCAAAGCTTCCTGTTTTTCATGAAAAATAAGGAATCTAGATTTTAAAGTGAAATTGGCTGATGAGTAATAAAATTTAGAGAAGAATATTATGTGTGGGCTGTCCAAAACACATCTGGTGGCCAGATATTGCCCGAAGGTGTCTTTGTTTGCAACCTTGGGCTTAGAGGGAAGGAAATGGGCCCAGGAGCAGGAGGGGGCTGCAAGGTGGCTTGGTTCCAGTGGGTAGAAGGGCAGATGGGGAAGGCATGTGAATTTCTGACTGTCAAATAAAAACCGGGCATGCAACAAATGGCACGCAAGAGCATATTGTTTTGTGTCTGTGGCTCGGGCTTCTTGTGGAGAGGCAGGAGAGTGAAGGCCTGCCGCGGGTGAGGCCTCCAGTCCACGGACGGCCACAGGCCACTGCGGCTGGAATCACAGGTACCCAGGGGTTCACTGATGAGGGTGTGAGGGGGGTTGGAGGAGCTCAGGTTTTAGGTATCCCAGGACAGGCCTTCTCCCACTGCCCTGCCCCAGGCCAGACCCCATTCTCTGCTTCCCTGCATGTGGGGTTCAGGGGCTCCCAGGTCCTGCTGACTCTGCACAGGACTCATGGGGAGCCGGCTAAGCCTGTGCATGCTGCAGAGGAAATTCCATGTCATTCTTCCTTCTATACAGGTTTGACTGCTCAGTCCCAGCCACACTCCCCTATCTGTAGGCAGCTCTCAGAAGTATAGGAGAGTGAGCCTGGGCTTCGCAGCTAGGCCAACCCAACCACTTATGAGCTGCACGATTTTGGAAAAAGTTATTCAAGCTCTCTGATTTTCCATTTCCTCAGCTGAAAATCAGAATGACACCTGTTGGGAGGAATAACTGAGCAAACAGAAAGTGAAGGGGTGGCACCTACTCTTCCCTGTTCCTGCTTCCTGCCTGGCAGACATTCATGATTTCTCTTGCCAAGACTCTACCCATCTGTCATGAGTTTTGCTATGGAGTTCCCTGAGGTCCCTGAGCCCCAGTCCGCCCATTTGAAATGGGAAAAACAATACCTATCACACTGTTCTCAGGGTGAAAACAGACAAGGGTCCTTGTGATCGGATCCCTCCCAAACCCCCTCACTCTAGCTAAGGCCTCATTTAGACTCACCGTGTTTCCTCACACCACAGGGCTTTTGTGCTTGCCGTTCCCTCTGCCCGAAATGCTCTTCCTTTTTAGGCTGGGTTAACTCTCATGCATTCTGACGCTCTCAGCTTGAGTCCCTTCCTCAGGGAAGCCCTCTTCTAGTTCCCTGACACCTTATTATAGGCTTTCTCTCAGGGCATACATTTACTGCTGTGATCATTTGATCAATGTCTTTCCCTCACTGTATCGTACACTTAGGAAGGCAAGGGATATGTCTAATTTTGGTTTCTTGCTGTAACCTGAACCCAGCCTAGTGCCTGGGACACAGCAGGTGTTCCCACAATGACTACTGCTCTGATCTTGGTGAGGCTGCAAGGCAGGGGTGAGGGGGGCTGCTGGACTTCCCAGTGGAAGGGGGTTGGCCTCAGTGGGTGAGGAAGGAGGACAGGTTCCCAGGCCTATGGGAATGAGATGGGTGTCTGTGTCTTCACCCAGGGCCTCACAATCCACATTGCCCTCCCCTACCCCCTGAAGGCCTGAACTTACTCAAGAGCTCTTATAGCAGAGCCATGCCCTACCCAGCCTGCCCCTTCTGGTCTGCCTGACCACTCCTTCTGGGGCCGGCCAGGGCTGCTGGGGACAGGGAGGAGCCAGGTGGAGGTGAGCTGTGGTTTGGGTTCCGGCCTAGCAGAGGAAATGTTTCCACCTTTAAAGGGCCCCTTCCTCTGCCTCCACCCTAGCACCTCAAACAGTGTTTGGGGCTACCGGGGCTGGTGGATCTGGGGCAGCGGCCCCTGGGAGCCTCTCAGAGGAAGCCAGGGCAGAACAAAAGGGGGTGGGCCCTGCTAACCGGAAGAGGGCAAAGCACTGTGGAAATACAGGGGCACAGGCAGAAGTGTGTGCTCCGAAGCCCTCAACAGCCGTGCTGAGGAAGTGGCTGGCAGTCCACGCAGGGGGACCTCCTTTCCATCCCTGCCACCCTTGGGCTCCCACTGGCCTCTCCTCCCAGCCTTCTCGCAACACCTGCTGTGTGAGGGCCAGGTGGGCCCATTGTATGAATGAAGAGGGTGAGGCTCAGTAAGAGGGTCCCACTTTACCCCTGAGTGTCTGCCCCTTGGCTGGGAGTGGCAGGACGCAGGTGGCTCGGCACCCACTGCCCGAGCGCTCTGCTCACCGGCTGCCCTTGGGGAGCATAGCTGAGGGGAGCTGTGGAGACTTCTTGCCCATCACAGCCTCACTCACCCCCAGGCTGGCCCCACGGATGGAGGGGGCCTTTAGGTATGGCCCAGCCACAACCAGTGCCGCTAGAACTGGGCACCTCCAGGGAGCCTTGGGGCCAAGAACCCCAAGAAATTGTGTTTGGCTCTTGGCTTGGACACTGAGTTGGCTTCTAGCTTTTTTAGGTTAATGTGACAGGGACTCAGCAGGGCGTGGCAATGTGGCTGTAACCAAGGCTGATGAGGAGCCTGATGCCCCAGGTGGTCTCTAGATGGTAGCTGATGTGACTGGCCAGTGTCCAGGCCAGATTGATGGCTGAGTGTCCTGGGATCACCACAGGATGCCATCCCATGGACCTCTCTCAGGTAGCTGGCCCTGGACCCACTCCCATTGCAACCCCAGCATGAGCTCCCCTGCCTGCCTCTCCCTTCAGGCCGGGCCGCCTCTTCTAGGAACGTTGTCTGGCTCTTCTGACCTCAGTGGGCCCCCCTCCCCCAGGGGCCCAGCACATGGTCTTCTCTGCCTTTACTTAGAGGCTGTCCTGAGGGAGAAACAACCTGTGCCCATGGTCCCCTTCCTAAGCGCTCCCAGGCCCCACAATGTGCATCCCACCCCACACACTTGCACCAACCCCCAGGAGAGGGAGGGGGTCCCCTTTATGGATGCAGCAGCTGAGGCATCAGGACAGAGCCCCACTGCAGTCACATCTGCTTCCAGGACTGGCTTACAAAGGGCTTTCTGCCTGCAATCTCTTGCTGCTTCCATCTCATCCTCTGAGGATGGCAGGGATGCTGGCATGACCCTCGTTTTAGACCCGAGGAAGGGAAGCACAGAGACGTTAAGCAGCTTGCCTGTGTCACACAGCCATCGAGGAGTGGAGCTGGGATGAGCCCTCAGTGGTCTTCCAGTGACTCCTTTGCTAGTACTCTCCCCACCCAAGACCCTACCGGGGCTAGGCAAGACACAGAGGACAGAGTTGGAGGCAGGGGACATGCCCCAGAGGGGCCTGAACTCAGGTGTGAGAGTGGAGGCACTGGGAGGGGGCCTGCTGCAGGCCTGTCCACGTGCCTTCTCTCTGGGAGAGGTGGGAAGGTCCAGGGCCAGGCAGAGCCCGGCCAGCACTGGCCACAGCCAACAGCACAGGGGAAGCTCCAGCCACAGGCTACTCACCTTCTGTAGGCAGAGGCAGCAGCAGGAGGGGAGTGAGAGAAAAGGCAAAGATGCAAATGGTTAGCCGTCTGTGGCTCTTCCAGACCCCACTCCCGGCAGTGTCTCTGGAGGTGCCACCCTCCACCTGCCTGAGGTCTCATCCTAGCCCAACCTGCTGGGAAGGTGTGGCATGGCTGGACATGGCGAAGCCTCAGGCTATCAAGACCCTCGCCCGCTGCCTGGCCCATACATTGGGTGGCTGGCGAGGACATGGGTTAGGAAGTGTCATGGCCAGCGATGGGCCGCACCTGAGGGACTCTCACCCTGGTCCCACTCACCACGGTGGAGTCCACCTTGGGGCCGCCGTCATCTGCCACCACTGTCAAGGTATAGAAGTCGCCCTTCTCACGGTCCACCAGGCCCTGGACTGTGATCACACCCTGCAGGGAAGGGGCCAGATGGGTGAGTGACAACATCGCACCCTTGTTAACCCTGGTCATTCTGCCCACTTTTCCACCTCCATGTCACTTCCTCTGTCCGGCATAACTTCCCCAGGACACTCTGTCTGTTGAATTCCTTCTTCTCTCTCACATTCCACTGGGAAGCCACCTCTTCCATGAAGCCTTCCTGCTTCCCCAGCCAGGTATGACTGCTGGGCCCTGAGGGGCTCCACTACCCCTCTGTTGTAGTTCTCTGCACATCTTCTTGTGGCGCTCTGATTTGCATCCTGGATTAGTTCCATTTCCACTTCTAGCCTGAGAACTCTTTGAGGACTGAGAAGGGTCTTGTTCATCTTTGTGTCCATTTGTGTTCCCAGTATCCTCTAGGACAAGGCCTGTCACGTTGTAGTGATTCACACCTTGCCTACTTTCAAAGAAGGAATTCTGATAAAAGATACACTAAAGCAAAGACGAAGGAGTAAGAGCCTGGCAGTAGATAAGAGACTGGTGTACCAGACAACTAGCTAAGAATAACTATTGCAATGAAGCCCAGCATTTATGTCTGAGCTTCCTAACAGCCAAGGTGAAAAGGGAAATATGACTTGCAGAGCTTTCTGTGACATTGTGATATAAGAAATATGCATTTGGTCTCTGTCCCTGGTTCCTGGCACAAAGCTCTTAATCCCCTGGCATTTCCTAGGTGATAGGAGTCTTTTGTTCTAATGAGGCAACTCTTGGTGGGGTCCTCGGTTGGGGCTGATCACCAGAAAGACCAAGCCAGGATAAACAGCTTGAAATGTTCAGCCCTGCCTCTACACCCTTTACTTTCCAGGAAGAGGACAGAGGCTGGAGATTCAGTTAATAATTGATCGTACCTATGTGATGAAGCCTCCATAGACATCCCTGAACTACAGAGAGCTTGCAGTCTGCTGAACATGTAGGGGTGCCTGGAGGGTGGCATGTCCGAGGAGGGCACCGAAGCTCTGGGCCCCTTCTCCCATGCCTTGCTCTGTGTGTCTCTTCATTCAGCTGTTTGTTGGTATCCTTTAGACTATCCTTCATAATACTTTGGTAATAGTAAGTAAAGTGTTTCCCTGAGTTCTGCAAGCTGCTCTAGCAAATTCATCGAACTTGTGGAGGGGGTTGTGGGAACTCTGATTTAGCCAGTTGGTCAGAAGCATGGGTCAAACAACCTAGAGGTTGTGATTGGCAGCTGAAGTGGAGGCAGTTTTGTGAGACTGAGCCCTCAACCTGTGGGATCTGACACTATGGTGTCTACTGGAGAATTGCGTGGTGTGTGGGAGGGACTGAGCTGTGAGCCTGTGGGATCTGACGCTAACTCCAGGTAGAAATGTTCAGAATTAAATCAAACTATAGGATTCCCAGCTGGTGTCAAGAGAGTCAGATAATTGGTTGCCGATAATGGGGGAAAACCCCACACACACTTCGATGACCAGAGGTGAAGGATCTGTGATGGGTGTGAAAACAGAAGGAAAAACAGAAGGATACCAGCCTGCATAGGTATAAACTTTATCTTACTCCTACATATGAAAATGGATGTGTTACAGGGATATTGATCTCGGGGACTTTTTTTTGTTTCTTTGTAAGAGACAAGGTCTCACTCTGTTGCCCGGGCTGGAGTGCAGTGGTGCAAACGCAGCTCACTGCAGCCTCCAAACTCCTGAGCTGAAGCAATCTTCCTGCCCCAGCCTCTCAAGCAGCTGGGACTACAGGTACCTAACACCACACTTGGCCATCTCAAGGACATTTTATGACAAAGAGGAGAGTGCTGTGCACACAGAAGGAGCTCAACCAATGTTGGTTAGATTGGAAGAAATGGTGCTCCCTGCCCCCAGCCCCTCACCGTGATGGCGTCTATCTTGAAGAGGGCTTTGGCCTGGGTGCTGGTGTAGGCGTTGAAGCGGTACGTGATTTGGTTGAGGTTGTCGATGGAGTAGGCCTGGACCCGCACAATCTCAGTACCCAGTGCCAGATTCTCCAGGATGGCAGCCTCGTATGAGGCATTGGAGAACTGCACGGCCTCGTCCAGCTCGTTGAGCAGAGTGATGTAGACGCTGCAGAAGCCCTGGTTGAAGGGCGGGGCCTGGTCAGTGGCCGACACATTCATCATGTAGCTGGTCTTGGTCTCGTAGTCCAGGTAATTCACGGTGATGATAAGCCCTGTGCTCTCGTCAATCTCAAACTTCCCCTCTGCGCCCGACAGGATGCGGTAGTTCACCAGGCCACCATCCCCTGTAGGAGGACACAGAGGCTGTGCAGTCCCAGATAGAACTGAGTGGGGCTGCGCTGTGGCTTCTCAAGCTGCCACACCCATACCCCCTGGGTGGCCCACCCAGCATGGGCTGCCCCACCTCTGCCGGCAGGATCATCCTCAGAGATGCAGCAGAGGATGTGTTAAGGTCAATGTGGATGGCAAGGTCCAGCATGCACTGTTGAGCCTTCCTCTGGGGCTTGGCCTTGGCACCAGAGATAGGACAGAAAGAGTTGGGTCTGCTCCTGGAGCCTCAAAATTCAAGCTCATGTACCTCCCTTTGATATCTGGACATACAAGCATTGGGGGAAATGAAGGATCTCTTGTAGTGGAGGCTTTGATCTAGAACGCATCCTCACAGATGGCCAAGCCTTGGTTTGGTCCCTTCGACAGAAGGGCTTCAGTGTCAGGGACACCTTCCCCCATCCTCCCCACTCCCTACGCCCCAAATTCCTGTGCCTTGAAACAAACCATTCAATCAGGAGCTAGAGCTGGGATTCCTAAGCTGAAGTTCACAGACCTCAAGGGGCCACAGCCGCGTATGTGCCCTAAACTCTCCTAACATGCCTGAGATTCCGCCTGAGAATTTGCAGCCATTCCTCCCTCCACCCCATCCCATGCATGCCACAGATAATCTGAGGATGCTGAGAGAGGAGTTGGGAGCCACCAGAGTAGCTGACATGAAGGATGAGCAGCTCAGGGAGCCTCTCTGGGGGACAGTGGGTCTCCAGAAAATGCTCCTTTTCAGCTGTATCCCTGACTGGGGTACAGGCCAGACAGCCCAGGCCGCACGGAGGGCCACAGAGACCCGGCATGCTTCCCCTTCATTTTGCACTGCGGGCTGTGGCCGCCTCTGGGGCTTGGGCCCTCAGCAAGGTTCAGGCTGCCTTCAGGCTACTGCCCTGCGGCACAGGAAGGGTACTGCCCCTTGTACAGGGTCAGGGGGTCTGCGTGTGCTAGGCCCTGAGCTGGTCCTGGAAGGCGTGGAGGGGCTGGAGGAGCAGGCCAGGCCGCAGCCAGCTTTCTGACCGGTCCTCTTTACCCCTCCCAGCTCTGCCCAGCCCCTCTCTAAAGGCTAGTGGGAGCTGCTGGGTCCTGGGATGACGGAGCTGGACTTCTCAAGCTTGTGGCCTCCCCTCTGTCCACCCAGTGGTTGGGACAACTCTCCCTGATTCCAACCCTCTCAGGCTGGGGCCACTGGTGGGAAGTGATCAAGACCATCCCAGCAGCCCCTCCCTGGCCTAGACATGGCTAAATGGGGAGCCTGAAGCATCAGGGATGACCGTTTCGAAGGAGGGGCTGGGTGAGCTGGGGAGGTTTGCTCTGAGCAATGGGATCCCCGGCTTCCTCCTGCCAGCCTCACCAGAGTCTCGGTCTGTGGCTTGGACCACGATGACTGACGTTCCAATGCCTGCGGTCTCTCGAAGCCCCAGACGGCTGTACTGCTGCTGTGTGAACACGGGGGCCTCATCGTTGATGTCCTCCACGTACACAATCACCTGTGGGAGCCGGGCCAGGGGTGCAAGGTCAGGGTGGGGTGGAGGCTGGGAAGCCCAGGGCTTGGCCCACTGTGGCCGCCTTGTGTGGTCACTGCTTTCCTGGGCCTGCTGTGAGCTCCCTCTAGGACCCCAGGCCTGTCTGGTGGGTCACTGTGACCACCACCTTGCACAGCACCTGGCGCGTGGCAGGTGCTCAAACATTACTTGTTTCGGAATGAACTTCATCTTGCTCTTGGCTTTTTGACTAATGCTGTGGAACATCTGACTAATTAGTGACTCTTTGGGGCCCCCAGTTTCCCAGCTATAAAGTGGTAATATTAAGATAATAATTCGGCCGGGCGCGGTGGCTCACGCCTGTAATCCCAGCAGCACTTTGGGAGGCCGAGGTGGGCAGATCACGAGGTCAGAAGATCGAGACCATCCTGGCTAACACGGTGAAACCCCATCTCTACTAAAAATACAAAAAATTAGCCGGGCGTGGTGGCGGGCGCCTGTAGTCCCAGCTACTCAGGAGGCTGAGGGAGGAGAATGGTGTGAACCCGGGAGGCAGAGGTTGCAGTGAACCAAGATCGCGCCACTGCACTCCAGCCTGGGCAACAGAGCGAGACTCCATCTCAAAAAAAAAAAATTAATAATAATAAAATAGTTCACACTCCATGCCACTCCTAAGGTTGTTATGAAGACAAAATGAGCCAGGGCCTGCAAAAGTTCTTGAAAAAATTCAAAGTGATCCCAATCAAATATTAAAATATATCTTGGAAAATAGAGGTGAAAATACAATGGCAGTTGTAGTAGAGAATGTCAGTGCTCAGTACTCTTTACTTGTGCACCTTCTCACGGCCAGCTCCCAGCCCCTAAGGCTCTTTGGGGAAGACCAACCCCACCCCACTGCACCCACACCCGGGCTGTTGGAAACCAGCCCAGTGAGCAGAAATGCCTGGGAACTTCCGTCCCCTAGGGCAGCCCTGAGCCAATGATTGATGGGCGTGGAGAGCAAAGACTCCAGCTTCCCTGGCCCTGTTTGGGGCAGTGAGGGGACGCTTTAGGGCTCCCTGGGGGACGGAGGCCTAGCTCCCTCCATGACACTTTGCTGTCTGTTTTTCCTTGCTGGTTGCACCCTGTTCCACCTTTTCCTGTGGGCGCTTCTTACACATTACTTTCACACCAATCCTTGTCTCAGGGTTTGCTTCTGAGGCCCCCATCCAAGGCAGTGGCTGTTTCTGAATTGTGCAATTACGCACCATTTTCCTCACCGCTTACCAGCACTAAGTTCTCTTTATGAATGTGTGCACTGTACATCATGAACGTAATACAGTTTAAAAGGTGTTTATGGAGGCCAGGCATGGTGGCTTTTGCCTGTAATCGCAGAAATTTGGGAGGTTGAAGTGGGAGGATCTCTTGAGCCCAGGCATTCGAGACCAGCCTGGGCAACATAGTGAGACTCTGTCTCTACAAAAATTACAAAAAAAAATTAGCCAGGGGTGATAGCACGCACCTGTAGTCCCAGCTACTAGGGAGGCGGAGGCAAGAGGATCGCTTGAGCCCAGGAGTTTGAGACCAGCCTGGGCAACATAATGAGACTCTGTCTCTAAAAAAAATTAGCCGGGGGTGGTGACATGCATCTGTAATCCCAGCTACTAGGGAGGCTGAGGCGGGAGGATTGCTGGAGCCCAGGAGTTTTTAGCTTTTAGCTCTTTGCTCTATGCTGGGGTGAGCTGGCCCCAGAACAGGAGAGGCACCCTCT
The DNA here is from genome assembly GCF_000001405.40 of Homo sapiens. NCBI lineage: Eukaryota > Metazoa > Chordata > Mammalia > Primates > Hominidae > Homo > Homo sapiens. The sequence continues at coordinate 71,728,724 of NC_000010.11, read as the reverse complement.
TCCCAGCCAAACAGAGCTGGGGCCGGTAGGAACTTGCCAGCAAAGTAGAGAGGGAAGCAAATGGGGAAGGGGCTGTGATGCCCCATACAGACTTTGCATGTGGTGACCAGCACTAAGGGAGGGGCCTCTGCATGTGCAGCAGAGGCGTGTGTGTCTGGCATCTGGTCACTGCCTCTGGGATCAGCCCTGCTTTCTCTTTGGGGATTAGCTGGGAATCAGCTGGAGAGAAGTGACAGAGCTTCTGGCTGGTAGAAGCCGAAAACAGCAGCCTGACCAGTGGAGGACTCTGGGGTGGGGAGGGTGGCAGGGCTGGGGGCAGAGAGGCATATGGGTGTAAAAGTTTCTCTGCATCGCTGCTTCTAGGGTTCCCAAAGCTCTGCTGTGTCATTAGAATTTTCATGTCCAGACACCCAGAACCCACTATGCAAACTAACATGTCCACTCCAGAGCACAGCTGTTCACAGGCTGGAACCTAAATTTGGCTTCACCCAGAACTTGGCTGGGGAAGATCCTGGGTAGGGTGGGTGCGGGGGGGAGTTTGCATGGATGAATTTCAGGAACTCTTTTTCGGTAAACAGAAACTAACCACTCCTCTTGCAAAACTGTGCGCCTTACCCTTCCTCAATCTGCTTGTCCAAATGACCTTGACTCCAAGGGTTGTGGGGAAAAAACAGGGCCAGGCTGACAGTACAATGACAAGATGAGAGAGGTGGCAGGGAGCTGGGGTGTGGCCTGTCCTCCATGAGTCTGGCTACATGCCACCAGCCTCTGGTCGGTTTCAGCCTGTTTTTAGCAGCAGAGACAGGAGGAGGCAAGATGGTTTGCAAACCTGAGAGGCACAGATGTACAGGAAGCAGAGGTCTGTCAGGTTCTTGCTGAGCAAGTGGGAGCAACTGGGCTTCCTGGAGAACCAGACCTGCTTTCTGTCCAGTGCTGTGCCTGTCCAGTGCTGTGCCAGTGCAGTGCTTTGCCTCAGTTTCCTCATCTGCAAAATGGGGTGCTAGTGGTTAGGAGGACAGGGAGAGGAGGTGTGCGTGGGCATATGTGCGTGTGTGTGTGTGTATGTGTCGTGAACACCCTGAGACACCCAGTCTCTAAGGGGACTGTCTCACTCTGTACTCCCCGGCCCCTCACTGGGGCTGTCCCCGGTCTCTGAGGCAGGAACTGGAGGATGTGGATGGTTCCTGCAAGCCGTCTCTCCCCTGCTGCTGGGAAAATGAGTCCAGCGGAAAGCCAGAGTCCCCACATTGCCTTCAGGAAGGCCCCCAGCTCTCCCGGGTCTCATGGGTGTGGAGGCTGTGTACTACAGTGCCACCAAGCACCTGCCCCAGGGGCCAGCCCTCAAATTCTCACCTTAAAATTACCCTGTGGGGATGAGGCAGTGGTTTCTGACTGGGCTTTGAAGAGGCTTATGTGAGGCAGTGGAGTGTAGTGGTTAAGGGGACAGGCTCAAGCTGGCTGCCAAGGCATGAAGCCTGGCTCCACCCTTACCGCTGTGTGACCCTGAACAAGTCGGCTAATTCCTCTTTGCCTCAGTCTTGTCATCTGTAAGATGGGGGTATTAACAGTGCCTACTTCATAAGGCTATTATGAGGGTTACGGAGGTTAAAGTACACGAGGCATTTAGAAAAATATCGGGCACGTGTGAGGGTTTATTATTCCTCAGGGTTCAGGGGAGACGGGCAGGACGTAAGTAGCTGAGCAGGTGTGGCTCTGGGAGCCCCACCCCTGCACTGATTGTCACAGTCTGGCTTCGATCTGTTTTACACTGTACCCTGGGATGCTGCATATCATTTTGTGTATACAGAAGGTTTGTGGCTAAAGGAGGTTTGCAGCCACAATGCTGAGGCACTGATGGGAGGAGGCAGGAGCCCACCACGCCTGGGTGAGGGAGCGGGGAGCGAGGGCCACATGGAGGGCTGTGGTTAGGAAGCCTGAAGTCTGGAGACCCAACCCCAGCTTCGCTGACATCAGTCACTCTGTGCCCTGAAGTAGGCCCCACACAAGGCAGGCTCTGATGAGGGCGTACTGACCAGCCCACGAATAAGATTCACAGTCATGCAAGCCAGCATGGCTATGTGCATGTCCAGGTTACTGTGTCTGAGTCTCCATCACCAGGGCCCTGTAAGAACCAGGGGATCTGACCCTCTCAGCCATTTCCACAGGGCAGGTCTCACTCAGGGCAGTTGCAAGGACCCAGGTGTCTTCCCAGCTCTTCTTGGGGCAAAGCGTTGGAGGTGTCAGCAGGAGCTGGGTCAGGGCTGAGTCACCCACCCCAGCACAGCCCCTGAGCAATCAGACCCATCGTGTTTGTGATCGTGAGTACCCGGTGACCACCGCTCATTGTTTCCAGCCTGGGGGAAGCAGGGGGTGGAGATGGGGCTGATAAGAGGAGCCGGGCACTCAGTTCTGGGTGAAAGTCCCTGCTTGCTCTGCCTGACTCTTCCCATCTCCCTCCTACTCCTGATGTCTGGGGTCTGACTCACTGGTTTAGGGGAAGGGGCTGGGGGCTGCTGAGTGTGTAGGGGTGGGGGTGAAGCGGCCTTGAGAGGTCATCTCATTCATCTCAGTCATCCCCCTGCTGGCGGTAGTACACATAACACAACCAGTGGGAACATCTGTGTGTAGGTTTTCAGCCATTCGGGAGGACTAAGGCTGATTTGATTTTGGCTGCACAGATAAGGCTGGGCAGGAAAGAATACATTTGATGAGGCAGCTGGGAGAGGTGACTGGAATATATTAGGGTCACTTTCATTGGAAAGGGCACTGAACTTGGATTCAGAAGATGGGGGCTCCAGTCCTGATTCTATCACTAGCAACTTCTCTGTGCCTCAGTTTTCTCATCTGTAAAATGAGGTTAGCATCTGTACCTCCAAGATCACCCAAGTGAGATTTCCTTGACTTACCCTAGAGAGCTCTGTGGATACAGGGGTTAGTACAGTAAGGACACCTCTTTCATCCCTTAGGACAGACATCAGTATCACTGACTCCTTTCCACAGCTGGAGGAACAAACTCACAGCAAAATGACAAGTCCAAGTCCCAGGCTGGGCACCTGTCACCGAACCCTTAGGCCCAGATGTCATTCAGCACCTAAATCAGTGGTGGCCCTGCCCACACCAGGCGCCAACTAATGGCCTTCTCTGTTCTAGCTGTGGGCTTGGCCCCGTCCTGAGGTCAGCACCCCAGCCCGCCCCTAGCCTCACCCTGACGGAGCTCCGCATGGGGCCCAGGTCGTGGTTGTAGGCCTCCACTATCAGCACGTGGGATGAGTTCCGCTCCCGGTCCAGGGGCCGGGGCCCTCGCATCAGGAGCCCATTGCTGACATGGATCCGGAAGTTGTTGCCATGGTTACCTGTGTGGAGGGACAGACCCCCTGGAACACCGGCCCTGCCCAGAAGTCTCCTGCTGTGCTGGCCTGCCATGGTTGGGGGCAGAAGTTCACCAGTCCCCTCCTTGTGAGGAGGCTGCGGGTCTTCTGGGACACAGAATTCACAGTGGAGAGGAAGCTGGAGGACTCTGTGAGGTGGGGCAAGGCAGACAGGCCATCCCCAATGCGTTTCACCTGCTCCGGGAAGGCCTGCAGCTCTTTCCTGAAAGCCTTCATCTTGGTGTTGATGGTCCCCAGCAGGTGGGGCTCCTGCTGGTCCCCCTCGCCCTGCTCCTACACCCACAGATGTGGGTAGTGTGAGGCCTTTTTAATATTTCAGAAGAACCTGGGGCACTCCAAAAAGAGGGACTGAAACCAAATTCTCCATGGGTGGTTGAATCCAGGATTTAGTGGACATCTCAGGGCTGGTCCAGCACTCATTCCCCCATCTTTTGGGCACAGCACCCTGATTTTTCTTTGGGGATCTACTCTCCTCTACTGTCAGTCCATAACATTTGTGGGCAGTGACTTTACCCCTGATTCGAGAAGTGGGAGGATCAGCACATTTTATTCTCTGGCCATAGCGATTGGTTCAGGGATGGGCACTGGATTCTGATTGGACCAATGAGACCCAGTCCCTGGGGAGCGTGCTGCTGGGGGCTGCCCTGGGCTCTGGGCCCTCTCTGTCAGGGCCATGGCTTTGGGAAGCTCTGCAGGACAGCAGGACTTCAGGAACACGGCAATCAAAAGCCAACCCAGGGGCACGGTGGCTCACGCCTGTAATCCTAGCACTTTGGAAGGCTGAGATGGGTGGATCACAAGGTCAGGAGATCAAGGCCATCCTGGCTAACACGGTGAAACCCTGTCTCTACTAAAAGCACAAAAAATTACAGGCATGCGCCTGTAGTCCCAGCTACTGGGGACTGAGCTACTGGGGACGGGAGGCTGAGGCAGGAGAATCGCTTGAACCCAGGAGGCAGAGGTTGCAGTAGGCCGAGATCACGCCACTGCACTCCAGCCTGGGCGACAGAGGGAGACTCCGTCTCAAAAACAAATAATCAAAAAAGCTTCCCCCTCACCCACCTGGTGTGAATAAGGAGAATGTCCCTGTTTCCTCCCTCTGGCCTCGCCCCATGTATATGGCCCTGGGGGTTCTCTTGGCCTCATCTCCCAGACCTTTGGCAGCCTAGAGAAGCTCTGCCCTCCCCTGGGCAGGAGGACCGCCCCCCATCCTAGGGCAGCCCCACTTACCATGGAGGATGCGGTACCACACACGCCCAAACTCGCCCTCATCTGCGTCCGTGGCTTTCAGCTGAGGAAGAATGAGACACGAGTTACTTCTTGAATGCCACCCAGCAGGGAGAGAAGAGGTTTTTAGAGTTCCTTTCCTTCCCTTCACGCATCCTACCCCATCCTGCCAAAACCTGTGGTCTCCCTCAGAGGCTGGGGGTGTGGGAGACAAGGGGACGTGTATGTCTTTCTAATCCCCAAGAGGATGTCCGACCGCTGATGGCCCCTGCAGCCCTGTCCAGGACCAGCTCTGCCCCGATCCTCCTCCAGGTTCGCAGGGAGGCTGGGGGAGAAGGTGAAAGATGGCACTGCAGCTCGCTGGGTCCAGGCTTTCTCAGGCTGTTCCATCCCTCCACATTCCCTACCCGGCAGCCTTTCAGAGCCCAGGAGCCTCTCCCAGGGTGGCTGAACTGCATGGCTACTTCTTGCCCGCATTTCCTTGGCCTGAAGTTATTCTGGCCACACTGGGTCCCAGCCGGCACTGTACACTGTAACGGTCACTTCGTGGAAGCCCAGGAGCCCTCCTCCCACACAATGGCTCCATGCTCATTCACACGCACCATCACCCCAGTCTAGCTTCAGATCGGCCTGGCTGGCGTGGCTGCGACTCAGGCTTATGTGTTTATGTGTTTCCTCTGGTGGGCTTGTGTGTGGGGGGGGACGTTGTTGTCACTCTGAGACACTGCCTAGTGCTCAGCCCTTTTTACAAGGAGTGCAGCCTCGAGGCTACTGGCAGAACCATAGCTGACCCCAACATGAGTCCTGTCAAGCCAATAACTGAATACCTACTTTACCCACTGCCCACCCAAAACAAGTGGAGAACAAACACCCCCCAGGGCAGTGCAGGAAGAGGCTAGACCCTCCTATGACATGCTGTCCTGTTGGATCTGTGGTGAATTGCTTTGTAAGGCCCTGGGCTCTCCCACTTCTTTTGGGTCTGCCCCTTCTTGTCTCACCACCTCTCACTTCAGCCCTGTGGTGTGCATGGGAGCTGCCATTTTCTTCCTGACCCTGCCAAGACGGTCAGAGGGGATTGGTCCAGGACTGGGTGCCTGATCAAAGCTGAGCCAATCACATTCTTCTCTGGGATTGTTGACCTTGGGCCCAGAGAGATTGAGTCAGTCTTTCTAGCAGTAAAATGTGGGAATATCAACAGCCCCTCTCTTGCACATCCCTGGGCCCCACTTCCCACCACTCTCTCCTCTTAACTGCCCTGGCACACTGGTCTCCTGGCTGTTTCTTGAACACCAAGCGTGTGCTGGCCTCATGGCTTCTGCCCTGGCTGTTTCCTGGCAAGCTCTCCCTCCAGATATTTGCATGTTCATGCCCTCATCTCCTTCAGGTCTTTGTTCAAATATCTTCTCCTAAGACCCTCCCTGAGCACTGCATATGAAATTATAGCCCCCACTCCAATGTCCTGGCCTTCCCTACCCCTGGTCACCCTCTGATACATGCTATCTTTGCTTATTGCCCATATCCCCACAGGAAGAAAGGGCTTTGTGCACTGCGATATCCCTGGTCTCTGGAACAACAATCCTGGCACACAGTAGGGTCAAATATGTGAACGACTTAGGAGCAGAGCTCCAGGGAGAGGAACTAGGCTGACACTCAGTAAGCACGAATGCAGGACACATACAACATTCAGCCCTGGTTTGCATCCTTGGGCCCAGTTATTCCAGGAGCCCATCTGTGCCTCGCTCCCTGTTTGATTTTTCCTTTGATCCTGTAGGGTATCCCAGTATTGCTACAGTACACTTCTCCTTCTGCCTAGATTATTATTATTTTTTTTGTAGAGACAGGGTCTTGCTATATTGCCCAGGCTGGTCTCGAACTCCTGAGCTCAAGCAATCCTCCCGCCTTGGCTTCCCAAAGTGGTGGGATTACAGGCATGAGCCACCATGTCTGGCCCTGCCTAAGATAATATAGAATGGATTTTCTTTCTTGCCACCCGAAGCCCTAATGTAGGCTTTCCTATCGTTGCTCACTGGACAAAACTGCAGAGAAGATGGGGATGGGTTCCTGCTAGCAAAGATCAAGAAAGCAGTGAAGGTGGGATTGGCTGAAGGTTTCCAAAGGAGGGAGCTGGGTTTGGAAGGATGGAGGAAACCTGGCTTAGCAGAGAAGGTTGGGAAGAACATTTGTGCTGGGAAACAGTGTTAGCTGAAGTAGAGGCAGCTGGGGAGGCTAAGGAAGGAACTAGGACCCCAGTCTGGAGTGAAGGGCTCATGCAGGGACAGCAGAGGGCTGTGGTTGGAAGAGTGGAATGACAGCCTCAATCAGCAGCACTGATGCCCTGGAACCTCCACAGGACAGGGAGTATAGACATGGTGGTATGAAGGCAGAGCGAGGAGCCTGTAGCAGGCGCTGGCCTCGATGCACATCCGGGCACTGCGGTAAGTGTGTCTAAGGATTCTGATGAGCATGTTGATGGTGGGGAGGAGGACGAGTACACTGGAGCAAAAAGAACAAGGGCCCTGGGTCAGGCACACCCAAGCATGAATTTAGGCTTTGTCACTTACTCTCTATGGCACTATGGATAAGTACTTTAGCCCCCTTGAGCCTCAGTTTTCTCATCTCTAGACTGGGCACAATGATGACCAGCCTTGCAGGGTTGAGGGGAAGATCAGAAGTCATCTTGCAAAGCGTCTTGGCTGGTGCCTAGCATGGGGATGTGTGGTGAAGGTCAACATGAGTGATGCCACCTTCTCCAGAGAGCCCTCTGGATTTATGCCAGAGCTGGGGATGGCTGGATTGCCCCTTGCCGTGCAGTTCTTTCTCTCTCCATTCCCTGAGAAACCTTAGGAGCTGGCAGGTGGAGGGATGTAACAGGGTGCTTCAATTGTCCAGATCTGGAAGGGCTCAGGATGGTGAAGAGAGCCACGTTGCCCAGAGCATGCCCTTGCATGCCTATCCATGGTGAGATTTCCTTGATGCCTCCCTGCTCCAGCAGCCTGCACCACCCTGGAAGCTTTGTCTTCTGTCATCTCAGGAGGAATGGGGGCCACAGATGAAGTGTTCAGTTGGTTTCAGGAGAGGAAGTTAAGGAAAATGAAGGCAGTGAATGCTGTGATGGAAGGTGCAGGAATCCCAATGGGGACTCTGGGCATTGAAAACACCTTTGGGCCGGATGCTTTGCCTACCCTGGATGCCTACTGCCTGCCCCTGCCCACCCAGCACAGGGGAAACACCAAGTCCCCCACCACTCACTTGCTGGGTGCCCCTGGGCAGGTCACACCTCTCTGGGCCTCAGTTTGGTCATCTGAGAGAAGACGGGGGCTCTTTTCTCTCAGAAGAGGAGTTAGATGACCCCTGAGGACCTCTCCAGCTTTAACAGTCCATAGGAAATCTCTTGTCCATCTTGGGGTTGGCAGACAGTGCCTCTTTTTATGGGCAAGGGCAGGAGGGAACAGCTAAAAACCAGAAACTGGGGCTCCAAAAAAGGGAATGGGTCTGAGGCTCAGGTCTTGGACAGGGCCATGACTCCTGTCTTGAGTTGCATTTCTGGGAGCTTGGAGGTCCCTGGTGGGGAAGCTGCCAAAGACTTGGGCTCCTAAGCAGGCAGCTGGTTGTCAGGGAAGCTCTGGCTTCTGGGGAGAAAGAAGGCTGGGGGAGGGAAGTGTGTGTGTGTGTGTGTGTGTGTGTGTGTTTTGGAAAGAGCCTCCAGTGGAGGTCTCCCGTGGCCCACCCGCACTGTGGGGAGCATGGCCTTGGAGGTCCGTCAGTCCTATGCTTTCTGCCCTGGGATCCCCCTGACCTTTGAAGATGCCCCTCACCCCTCGCTTCTGTAGCCAGACACCTTCAAAGGGAAGGTGCTTTTCTACAAGCTGAGGGAAAAGCCTGGAAGGAATGGGGCCCAGGGACGCTGCAGGAGGGGCCTCAGGGGCTGCCAGGGACCAGCACTCTCCCTGCTCCCCTCCTGCCATGGCTTGTAGCCCCTCTCCAGGGTAACCTGGTGGCTGGCAGGCACTGAATAGCGAACCTCTGGCTGCCGCCGACCATACCATTCAAACTTCCGACAGGGGAAGGTGAGCGCCATGGGGCCGCAGAGGCAGTAAAACCCTCCCCCTGCGTCTCCCCAGAGTCTTCCACCCCTGAGAGGGCTCCAAGGAGACAGGCTGGAGAGAGGCGGTGGGAAGGCCAGGGGGCATCCCAGAGTCTCTGGACAGCTCCCCTCTCCCTCTTCCCAACCCAGTTGCCATCCCTACTCCCTTAGCTATCCCCTCCCCCAAGGCAGGGCCCAAACTCTTCTAGACAAAGCCAGGTCCAGCTGGGGAGTGACGGGGAGGCCACTCTGCTGGCCAGGCTGACCGAGGGCTGCAGGGCACAGCAGAGCCTGGCAGGGCTGGGGTCACAGGCACTGCCCAGGGCTCCTTGGGCCTCCCTTCCACAGCTGAGAAGACCTCTCCACGGAGCTCCGGACGGCTGGGGTCTGGCTCTGAGGTCAGTGCTTGGGGGACTGCAGGAGAAGGCTTGGAGAGGGAAGTGTGGTGGAGACCCTTGCTGGGGACTCCTGGGAGAATGTGAGGGTATGCTCAGACCTAGGCAGTCCTCTGGTTCTGTAGAGAGGGGAAACAAGGCCCAGTAAGGGGTAGGGACTAGCCCGAGGCCACACAGCAGTCTTCTCTGCCCACAGCAGGTCCTGCTCTGTGGAACTCCAAGGGAAGAGGAGGGTCCTAGACTGAGCTTGCAGAGATATGTCCAGAGCAGGGCCCGCTGGTGCACCCTGGCCCCAGTGGGAAGGGAGTGGCTTCAACTGCCCTCCAGATGATTCCTGGCCTTGGTCCGGGCAAGGCATCCTCTCCCAGTACTAGCTGGCCTTTGCTGGTTGGTCAGTAGCCGGGTGTCAAGGGGCCTGGCAGCTGGACTTGCCTCGTGCTCCAGGAAGGGTGTTGTGTTGTTTTCAAGCACTTAGGAATCTCTCGTTGCCACAGGAACTACTCAGATGCTAATTACAACTCCACTTATTTTTTTTTTATTTTTTATTTTTTTGAGACAGAGTGTTGCTCTGTCGCTCAGGCTGTAGCGCAGTGGCATGATTCTAGCTCGCTGTAGCCTCAAACTTTTGGGCTCAAATGATCCTTCTGCCTCAGCCTCCTGAGTAGCTGGGGCCACAGGCACATACTACCACACCTGGCTAATTAAAAAACCTTTTTTTTTTTTCTTTCAGAAATGAAGACTCACTATGTTGCCCAGGCTGTTCTCAAACTCCTGGGCTCAAGTGATCCTCCTGCCTTGGCCTCCCAAAGTGCTGGGATTACAGGTGAGAGCCAACACGCCTGGCCTCACTTATTTTTTAAATTAAAGCAGGTCCCAAGGCCTGAAGCCTGGATCCTATTTGCTAGCCCAGTAGGGTCTCCAGATTCCTTTGAAGGCCTTGAAATAACATTAGAACTAGTAGGATTGAGGCATCTCCCATTTCAGACTGCCCTTTTCTTACTCCTGGCCAAGCATTGTCCAGGGTAGGAGAGAGGGATGGCTGATTTTCTCCCCACGGGAATGAGCGGTGGGCACACCCCATCCCTCCTCCCTGCTCAGACTCAAGGAAAGGCCAACCCATGCACAGCTGCCCAGCCAGAGTGCTCTCTAGGCCTGATGCCGCAAAGGCGGAGGCCCTGGGCAGCTAGACGGGCATCACACTTTCCAGCCAGGCACTGGGAGGGGTCGTTTTCTGCCTGGAAGTGCTGGGAGGGGTGGTGGTGGGGAATGGGTGGGAGGTGGGGTGCTCTGCATGCCCTCAGTTGGCTGGGCGCAGGGAGCCAGGAGTGAGGTCCTGCGGCTGCTGGTGAGTGCCTGGGGTAGGGACAGGAGTCCCTCGGGTGGGGAACTAGGTGGCCCACTCCCCTCCCCACTACCTGTGGCAGGGTTTCTCTGAGCGTGACCTGACATCTTTCCTCCTCCTGAGCTTCCGTGCTAGAAACTCAACTGTTATCTAAGCTGCAAGCTGGGAAGGAGGAAAATCTGCTATCCCCCACCCTCATGAAAAGGAAAGACCCCAAGGTTAAAGGGAAATCATGACTTTTTATCAGACCCCCTGGGATTGCTTGTCCACGTCAGTAGAATTTAAATATCACACATGCTGACCTGCAAGCTGGACGTCCTCTGCTTATGTGTTTGGTTTGGCCTGTGTAGTGTTTCAAATATTTGAAAATTCATTTCACATTATTTTGAAATCAAGTTTATTTGGCTTTTGCTGTGTTCTCCCCCACCCCACCTCTCTTCTTTCTTGCCTTCAACAAATTTGAATTAGCTGCCAACATTTAAACGTCTAGAATGTTTGCCTTTAAAAAAATCCAGATTTCTGGCTTCTCTTGGGAAACTGACAGAGCTGACCACACTGGGCCTGCACTCCGGCACTGACAGCACCATTCTGGGCTGAGGCCCCTCCACTTCCTTGAGAGGGCCCAGCCAGTGCTCTCCAGGTGGCCCTGCTCATCTGTACCCTCTGGTCATGTGTTATCTGCTGGCCAGGATCTGTGAGCATTTTTATTACAACCCCAGACATATTGAGCCAAAAGCTCAGCCTGGTTTTCCATCGACAAGGACCGTCTGCTGCACTGCGTCTAATGGGATGATCTTCAGTGGGAAAGGAAATGCCCTGTCAGGTGTATGATGTCCCTGGGGGGTTTCCAGCCCCCTTGTCAACTCCTTGTGGGTTTATTTCCCACCTGTTCCCAGAGCAGCTCACTGAGCTCCGAAAGGGCTGGGGGCCAGAGGGGTGGCAAGGCCATGGGGCCAGGAGTCAGGAGACCTGCTTCTGACCTTCACTTGGCCATTGGCTCACAATGTGGCCTTGGCCTTCCCACCACCAAGCTGCCCCACCCCACCCTACTGTGACCCACAATGCAGCCAGCCAAGCCTTCCCAAGGAGTGAGCTCTGGCTTGTCACTCCCCACCTCTAAAACCTTCACTGGCTCCCTAATGCCAAATCCCCTCTTCGGACCTCAGTTTCCCACCTGTCGTGGGAGCAAGTTGGACTGCATGGGGAAGCAGTCACAGGAATCCCCACGGGGCCAGGCAGGTGAAATAAGGTGTGTGGTGGGCCTGTGGGGGAGGGTGGGGAGCTGGAGGTCAGTGCCCTGTCTACAGGGGGCAGCGGCTGCTCAGCCCCAGACACAGGGATGAGGCAGGAACATGGGCCAATGCCAGTGGTGAAATTCTGACATTTCAAGAGAATTCAGGCACCCATATATTTTTGTGAAATCTGTTATTATTTTGAAAATATTCATAATTACATTGATAAAAACATGGCAAGGACCCAACTAAACACACCCGTGGGCCCCCAGTTTGCAGCTTTGGTATTAGATTACTGCTAGGGACCCTGGCAGCTGCGGCCTCTTACCATCCATAACTCGTTCCTGGCCACAGAGCAAGTTATTGACAGAGTTGGTCTTAAGTTTCCAGGCCTAAGACCCTGTGATGATTCATGAGGATTGATTTGAAAATGCGGACAGGCCACCGCCCTCTTGTCTGCATGGCAGATGGGCACAGGGTGGAACAGGAAGAGGGCCTGAGCTTGGGCCCAGCTCCATCACTGCTCAGCTGTGTGTACACTTAGACTTGTGATGTCTCTGGACCTTGCTGTCTTAACCTGTGATGTGGCCATGATGCTGTCCAGTTTAACAGTGCCTTGCCCCCATCCACATTCCCTAGGTAAGTCTTCCCTATACCCGCTGCCCTGGGTCCAGCTGATCTGCCTTTGAGCTTCTGTCTTGTTGCTGTTGCAGGAGCCATGAGCACAGAGGGCCCCAGCCTCGCCAGCTCCCCAGCCATCAGCCCCCTCGCCTTTCTCTCAGCTCCCGTCACTCCCGGGACCCTTGCAGAGGCAACTGACCCCCTCCCCATGCTCATCGCCCTGGCCTGCATCTTCCTCCTGCTGGCCACCTGTCTGCTGTTCATGACGCTCTGCAAGCCGGCCGCGCTGGACCCGAGCCGCCGCAGGGCTCACGAGTGCATGCCCCACCACCCTGGGAGCCCCAGTGAGCCCCAGCTCCGGCTCTGGAAGCGCCTGGGCTCCTTGCGCCTCTCCCTGCACAGCTTCCGCCATGGCCGGCCCACCGTCCCTCGACAGCCCCTGCCGGGCCCCGAGGACAACCGCAGCCACTGTGACTACATGGAATCTACCAAGATGTAATGGGGTGTCCACAAACATGCCCCCACATCCCCCTAGGTCTACCTGTAGATCCTCCTGCTTCAGAGACCGGTGCTGCAGGCTGCAGGAAGACAGTGGCCCAAGCAGTCTGGGACACACACTCACCCCCCGAAGCTCCTTGCATGCCCAGGCCAGCGCCCTTTCCCAAAGATGATCCTCAGAAGAGCACCTTCCTCTCTGCAGACCCCCTCGCTGCTGCTTGATGAAAGACTTCTGGTCAAGAGATGTGCACTCGTGGTCATCTGGGCCTTTGGCCTGAGGCTCCACAGGGTACAACCTGGGGCTCGTAACCACCTCCTAGAAGCAGCACCCTCGCTCGCCACAGAAGCCTTGCCCTCCAGGTGCCAAAGCCCAGCATGGAGAAGTTGCCAAATGGCAAAGGTTCCCTTTAGTCAAGTGAAATGCTCAGCCTACACCGGGGCCAAGACACTGTCCTGGCATCTGTGCTGGCCCAGTGCTGGGGCAAAACCTCGGGGCTCTCTTCCTTGGGTTTCCCGGGTGCTGCCAGCATCTGCCTGGTGCCCTGTGGGAGCAGCTGCCTCCCTCCTGGTGGAACAGATGCCTGGGTGCCAGCTGGGAGGAGGAGCAAACAGGGCTCTCCAAGCATGGTCTTGGCAGCCGTCTTGGTGGCCCCTCTTCAGGGCACCCACGTTGGGATCAATCAGGAAGGGATTGAAGATGATCGAGGAGGCTCCCTTCAGAGGCCAGGGCGGGTGCTGTGACAGAGTGGCAAGAGGCAGGGCATTTCCAGCAGCTGGAGGTGATGCCACCTGGACTCGGAGGAGGACAGCTCACAGCAGCTCCACACCTCACCCAGGGAAAGCGGCAGCCTCCCCGAGGGTGGGATGGTCTGGACCTCTCCAGGACAGCTGTGGGGTCCCAAGTCCTGCCCACACTAGGGATGCTATCTGTGGTTTTGGTGAGTGCTTTGCTGATGACCCGTCAAAGCAGTCCCACCCCAGGATGGGCTTCTCAGAATCCCAAACCCTTGACCTCTCCTCACAACGCGAGGGTTAAACACTTTGGTCAGGTCCCAAATTTGAAGGGTGGGCAGAGGGAGGACCTGGGCTGCCCAGCTCCTGTCCCAGTCAGCTGGCCAGGATCCCACCACAAAGCTGCCCCACCCCCATCCTGCTGTGACCCACAGTGCAGCCAGCCACGTCTCCCCAAGGAGTGAGCTCTGGCTTGCCACTCCCCAGCTCCAAAACCTTCACTGGCTCCCTAATGCCAAATGGATATAGCCAAAGCTCCTCAGCGCAGTGTGCAGTGCCCTCTGGGAGCTGGCTCCAATTAATCTTTCTAGCCTCATCTTGATCCAAAACTCCAGGAAAACTGAAAGACCTGTCACCCACTAACTGTGGCTTATGCTTCACACACACCCACTCTGTGAAGCCCTCCTGCCTGGAGCCGCCCCTACTGTCTCCTACCTCTCTTGGGGAGGAAAAGGAACATTCTCTTGGCAGCATGGGTCCTTTTTGTCTATGTCTTCTCTTTCCTACCAGCTTGGGAGCTTGCAGAGAGCCAGACATTGTCCAGCCCCTCACTTTGACTCCCCAGTTCTGTGCACAGAAGTATGAGGCTTCTGTGTACAGAGTGAAGCGTGGCCCAGCCTGGGTGTGTCCCCACCCTCTGAGGCAGGAGTCTTGGTGGAAGCTGGCATAACACAGAGCCTCATCTTCCCTCAGATGACTCTAGAAAGATTTCTCTCCAAGCAGGCTCTATTGGAGAAGCCCACTGTCCCTTCCTTCCAAGTCAATCTGATCTCAAAAAGTGAGTCCGGCTTCACAAGAAACTTACCAAGAGGACCTTGGAGAAGTCATCCTGAGACGCTGCATTTCTCCCTGAGAAATGGGAGAACTCAGGGCTGCCCTATATTAACTCGCTGGCTCTAGGATTTCAGTAAGAGTAGTATTGTGTAAATAGAAACCAAGTCTTTGGGTTTAGAAAGTGGGGCAGGCCTCCTCCCTAAGGGTTTTGTTCCTTCCTCCCTTCCTGCTCAGTAACCTCTTCCTGGTTTGCTTCCCCTGGGGCCTCCCTGCAAATCCTAGGCTGGATTCAGCCTGTAGCCATCCACCTCACCAGCAGGCCCTGCTGGCCACTAGGCACTGTCTTCCTGGAGGTTGGGGTGGGGGTTGAGGCTGCCCTGAGGCCTGAAGAAGGAAAAGTCCAGGAGGGGGAGGGCTCTCAATTGGGTTTCAGGCACCAGGCCAGGGGGGTATGCTCCAAGTCCTCACAAGCTGAGGCCCTGATCGAGAGAACCCTCTACTTCCTCCTTCTGGAGCTAGCCACCACACTCTCGCAAATCCTCAGGGCTTTCTGGGCTCTCTGTGTTTCTGGGAGTCAGCTCCCTGCTCCCCAGCCCTTTCCTGCCCGCCTCCTGGTCCCGATGCAGGGAGGGGAGCATTGCCAGCCTCCCACGCTTCTGTCCCTCCCAAGCCCGGGAGCCTGCCCCAGTGGGCAGGCCCAGATTCCCTGTTTGGCTCAGCCTCCGAGTCGGAAACCCCATAGTTGGTAAAGAGACTCATTCACTCCGGGCCTCCCTCCCCACCCAGCAACTGAGGCCTCTGGGCAGAGGTGTGGGTGCACACCCAAATTGTTTTCAGGGTCCTCCCTTCTCTCCCTCTGAGCCTTGGAGCTGTTGCGCCTGCTCCCTGGGCAAAGGAGCCCTTTCTTCTTGTGCCTGTTTACTTCCCAAGAGGGGAGCCTCGGCCAAGGGCTCTGTGAAAGCAGCTCTGTTCTGGGCCTTGCTGGGCCCTGGCTCTCTTCTCAACTCCTTTCCGGGAAATTGTGACGTCTCTTTCTCCCCGCTACTCTGAAAGGCCCTTCTGGGTGGGGCGGGAGATATGCAGGGGGAGGCCAAGTCTTCCTCCTGTTTGTGGGGAGCCAGAGCCCTATCCTCAGCTCTGCAACCTGGGGGCCCACACTCCCTGGGATGGGAGAGGGCCTGGGTCCCCCTTTCCCCACAGCACCTTCCAGAGCAGCGGACCCACCCTGGGCCCCCACCTGCTTCCGCCTCTGGTGCCACTGAGCATGTGCCCTCAGGGCCGTGTGTGGCTCCGCCTCCCCCAGCCCACCACCTGCCCCAGAGGCCACGGGCCACCTGCCTGCAAGATGCTGTGGCCTTCAGGGATGTCCTCAGGGACGCTGGCCTCATAGCTGCTCTGCAGAAAGATGGGCCGGTTGTCATTCACATCCAGGACAGTGACGAACACGGTGGCTGTGCCCGTGTGTCGCTTCCCTACAGGGCCGTTGTCTGTGGGAGTTGAAGGAAGACAGGTGTTAGCAGCTGCCTGAGAGAGGGGCACACTTCCTGTGACTTTGCACACTCCCGGGCACCGGCCAGAGAGGTGCCCTGTTCCGCCCCATCTGCCCTAGCCTTTGCAAGGGGTGACTTCCTTTTTAGCTTAGGAATAACACTAACAGTATCAAATACTTAGATAACACCATGTGCCAGCCATTCTTCTAACCCATTCAGTCCTCACAGCAACCCCATGAAGCAGACACTTTACTGTCATCCCCATTTTACAGAGGAGGTAACTGAGGCACTCAAGTGGATTGAATGATGGCTCCCAAAAAAAACAGACCCATGTTAAACCCCTGGGAACCTGTGAAGATTAATTTATTTGGGAAAAGGGCCTTTGAAAATGTAATTACGTTAAGGATCTTGAGAAGTGATCATCCTGGGTGAGCTGGGTGGCCCATAAACCCAATGGCAAGTGTCCTTACAAGAGAAAGGCAGAGGGACATTTGAGACAGAGAGGAGGAGGCCACATGCAGATGGAGGCAGAGGCTGGAGTTATGCTGCCACAAGCCACCGAATGCCTAGCGACTCCAGAAACTGGGACGGTCAAGGACTGATTCTCTCTAGAGCCTTTGGAGGAAGCGTGACCCTGCCGACACCTTAATTTCTAACTTCTGGCCTTGAGAACCAGGAGAGAATACACTTCTGCTGTTTTAAGTTTGTGGTAGTTTGTCGTGGCAAATTTAGGATGCAGATACAGGTACTAAGAGCAAAAAGCCAACTGCTGTCAGGGACTGGCGGGTATAGCACCTGGGTCAAACACCTGGATGGGCCCCGCTGGAAGGGCAGCTGTCCTCCACTCCAGTCCACAGCGGACAGGCAGAATGTGGGCCCAGAGACACCAGATCTTCTGATTTCTCATGAGAAATTGAACATCTGAGCTTTTAAATAAAATCTCCTGATCTTTAAACTTTCACAACTAATGGTCATTCTTTATAAAATATTGGATAGGTCAAACAAACGTCCCCTCTGCATTCAGGAACACGGGCTTTGCTTGGGATCTAAGCTTAAGGTCCCCGGAGACTCTGTCCCTCCAGTTCCCACAGGACCCTCCCAGGGCTGGGAGGTGGTGAGGATGGGGCACTGACTCAGCCCCAGGCAGCTCTTGGGTTGTCCTCCCTGGAGGAAGGAGCTTGTAACCAGCGCTGCATGTCCAGGCAAGAGTGGTCACCCCAGGGGGTGGTGCAGGCAGCTGGAGTAGCCTGGAGACCTAGGGTGACGCCATCCTTCTTCCCCAGGCCAGCTGACCATACGTGGCAGTGCTGTCGCTCACTGGAGGTAGGTCTTCTCACCCTCCAAAGCTCCTCTCCAGACCAGCCTCCCACCACCCTTGGGGGTTGGCTTATTGCTCTGGCTGGGATTGGTGTGTGTGTGGGAGGCTCCCTAGAAGGCTGGCAGAAGCCCTCTCCTCCTGCCAGGCAATGCCCAAAGTGAGGGCTGGACTCAGGGGTGATAACAAGTCTCCAGAGGGTGGGCAGCCATTCCAGGAGGGGAGGAGAGCAGGGCAGAGGGCAGAGGCATCTGGGCATGGGCGGGCTGGGAAGGGATTGATGGTTGGAAAGAGTGAGGCCCAGAGAATTCATTCCCTTCTTACTCAGCTCACTGCAAACTTCCTGGGAGGACCAGGAGCACCCGGCGGCACAGGTCTCATCATACCACTCTTCCCCTCTGGGGCCCTCAAGGGCTCCCTGCTGCCCAGAGACCAAAGACCAAACTTCTTGGCCAATGTTTAGGCCTCCACACATGGCCCTACCTGATCACAGCCTCCCCTTCCCCAGTGTGGGCCACTCCATGGGCCAGCTGCGGTGCATGCACGCATGCTTGTGCACACAAGGCACTTTCCCACCTCCAGGCCCTTGCATGGGCTGGTGCCTCTGCCTGAAGTGCCCTCCCTGCTTCTTCATGTACTGAAACCTTATGTGGCCTCCAAGGCTGCAGTGGGCACCCCTTGTTTCTGTCCATCAGCACTGCCCTGTGCTCCCCTGGGAAGGCCATGTCCTGAATGTCCCCCTGTGGACCCTCCCTTCCAGGCTTTGAGGCCTGGGATGCTGGGTAGGTGGGACTGCCCCCAGCTCCCTGCACATCCTAGGCTGGATTCAGCCTGTAGCCATCCACCTCACCAGCAGGCCCTGCTGGCCACTAGGCACTGTCTTCCTGGAGGTTGGGGTGGGGGGTGAGGCTGCCCTGAGGCCTGAAGAAGGAAAAGCCCAGGAGCAGGAGGGCCCAGGATGGGCATGTGACTTAGGCTTAAGTAACCAGCACATCTCACTTCCCTGGCTACAGTGAGGGGCTCAGGAATGGGCACTGGGGCAGAATGGATCTATCTAGAGCTGATCTGAGGGCTTCTGCCAGGGAGGGGAAAGAGACAAGTGCTGTCTTCCATGCCGCTGCACTTGAACCTGAGAATGTGTACAGGTGAGGCTGGGGCAACGACCTGCCACCATGTGAGTTGAAGAATAAAGCCAACTGATATGGTTTGGCTTTGCGTCCCCACCCAGATCTCATCTTGAATTGTATTCCCATAATTTCCACATGTTGTGGGAGGGAGCCAGCGGGAGATCATTGAATCATGGGGGCATTTTCTCCTACACTGTTCTCGTGGTAGTAAATAAGTCTCATGAGATCTGATGGTTTTATCAGGGGTTTCTACTTTTGCGTCTTCCTCATTCTCTCTTTGCGTGCTACCATCCATGTAAGACAGGACTTGCTCCTCCTTGCCTTCTGCCATGATTGTGAGTTCCACGTGGCCTCCCCAGCCACGTGGAACTGTAAGTCCCATTAAACCCTTTTTCCTGTATAAATTACCCAGTCTCGGATATGTCTTTATCAGCAGCGTGAAAACAGACTAATACATCAACACACAGGAGGCAGCGCCAGCCAGTGCAGAGACTGAAGCCTGAGGTGTCACCTGAGCCCTGAATCCAGTCATACTGGGAGTTACATCTCCCAGTGGACTGGTTTTGTGAGCCCATATTGCTGAAGTCAGTTTATTTTATTTTAAAATTTTCAACTGAAAGGGTCCTAACTCACTCAAAGGCACTCCCAGATGCCGATTCGTGAAGGAAGCCTCCCGTGACCTCTCCCACTCTGTGTTTGCACCACTGCCCAATACTCTTATGTCATCCTTTTCCCTTCCTGCTGGCTTGCCTGGATTTGCAGTAATTTGTCTACATGTGGGTCTCCCATGTAGCTCCCACCTTACCATCCTAGTGTCTTGCATGTGGCACCATGCAGTGAGCCTCATGCCCGGCAAGTGCTGAGTAATGTTTGGTGAGTGCCTGGTGGCCCTTTCTCCACTGGCATCTGGGCAGAGTTCAGCCTTTAGCAAAAGGCCAGCTCCTGGGAGGCACCCTGTGTGAACTCTGCCCAGATCACTGTGTTGGTGGGTGCGGGACTGGTGCATACCGATGGCCTCCAGGATGAGCATGTAGGCGGCTGTGGTCTCCCGGTCCAGGCCCACCACGGTTCTCACAACGGCATCGCGGTAACCCACGCTGAACTTCCCATCCACGTTGCCACCTGTGGGTGAAGGAGAGGAAGCTTCCGGCTGGGAAACAGAGCTCCCGGCCAGGGGAAGCGGGGACTCTGCTCCTGAGCTGGGACCCGCGATGGTGAGTCCAGGAGTGGGAGGCTGTGCTGCTGATTCGGCCCTGCCTGAGGTGCTCTGATGCGGGTGCAGCTTGGGTGGGCTCAGCGGGGGTGCCAGATGCCTGGAATCCGTTCCTAACCTTCACGAAGCACCTCCTGTTTACAGGTACTTCATGCAGACCATTTCATTTAGCCTCCACCTCACAGAGGAGAACCCCTCACTCAGTGATGTGCCTGTGCCACTCTGGGTTTCTCCATGCGTGGGTCCCTGGGCTTATCCTTCACCCCTCTGCTCCCTGCCCGTCCTGCAGAAGCGTCTGAGCAGCTAACCTGCATAGGGGCTTGTATATGTTGCTGAGAACTCTGGGGTTGGCTGAGCATCCCCCAGGCCCCTCATCTCGGAGGTGAGATGGGCTGAGGAGCGAAGCTTCCTGAGTGGGGACATGGAGGCTCCACAGAGGGAGGAGTCAAGGCAGGTGTACAGGAGACAGGGATTACTGAGTCTCCTTGAGTTCTGGGACAGGTGGGAAGTGTGAGGGTCTCCTCTCGCGGTGGACGGGAGTCAGGAAGGAACTCCCAGAACAGCGTGGAGACCCCTCCCCTGCCAGCTGGCGAGCAGTGTGGTGTTCTGGGCAGCAGAGGGCGCCACGGCACCAGCTTTGTGGTGAGCTTGGGCAGGACTGGGCTCAGCTCCTTGCAGAATGTGCACTGAAAATCCGGGAGGGCTCTGGGCAGGTCAGCGGGAGCCCACCACTCTGGGGTGCTGAAGAGTCATCCTGCAGGCTGCCAGGTGCTCCCCCTGTTCTTGCTGGTTTGCCCCTAGGGAAAGCCTCCTGACCCCCAAACCTCCAGTGCTCCCCAGTGTCTGAAGTACCATCTGCAAGGGACACACTCTGACTCCCGGGGAGCCCAGGGCAGAACTAGGACGTAAATAGTGTGGGCAGTGGAGCCACGGAGCTGGTGCCATGTGAGGGGTCTTAGTAACTAAGCCCTCCCTAGGGCCGACTTGAGGGCCAGACTGTAAGGAGTGGGCCTGAGGGTGCTGGGCCCCTTCAGGGAGGTGAGGGAAGAAAGGGAAGGCTGAGGGCTGGGAGGTCACGTTGGCCGCAGCAAAGCCACAGATGGGCTGTGAGCTGGGCATCCTTGCTTCATGGGGAGGCATTGGGAAGGCTGGTGTGTGCCCTGCTCGTGTGTACAGGCACACATATGCAGAGGCAACATGTGTGTTGGTAGGCAGGTCATGGACAGAGAGAAGACTGAGCCAGTAAAAGGGCCAAAGAGGGTTGAGGAATGGGGAAGACTGCACCCCCATGTGTCCCAGCATCTCTCGTGTGTCGGGGAGGCTAAGAAGCTGTGTTCTCATCCAGGAATGGCAAACCCATGGCATGTGCGCCACCATCTACCAATCCTACCACTGTGGCAGACATCACTAATCCATTGCAGCTCACTTTCCCCTGTGAGCCAGGACATGGCCTCATCATCTGTGGCCACAGCTCTGCAGACAACAGCCAGGCAACATTTTTGAGCTAAAACCATTTCATTTAGGGAGATCAAAACCATCTGCCTCTAAACAGGTGGGAATTCTCAACAGGTCCCCAAGGAAGGATGAGGCCACATTCCTCCAAGTCACTGCTCTGTCACCCAGACTTGGGGCGGGGAGTGGGGCTCAGGGCTCCTCCCTAGGAATCATGGGGCCTTACCTCCCTCTAGAATGAACCTTGGTAGATGCTCCCCGTCCCTGCAACCAACAGGTTCAGGAGGTCCCCAGGGAGCCAGTCCAGAGTGATCCAGCTGCAAAGCCCTTGGGAAGAGCCAGGAGCAAATCCTCGGGAGGCACCACCAGAGGCTAAAGCCCAACAGTAGAGCCCTGACCTCTTTTCCACCCTCACCTGCCCCCACCTAGTCTGGCTGTCCATCTGGGAGGGGTGGAGGCAGGGCCCCAGGAGGCCTGCACAGGTGGGCGGAGGCCGGGGCAGCACCTGTGATGAAGTAGCTGAGCTCTGCATTGAGGCCCACGTCGTTGTCCGTGCAGTTCAGCCAGACCACCCGGAACTCGCGTGGCACGTCCTCGGACACAGACACATTGTACACGGCCGGGAAGAAGGTGGGCGTCTCGTCGTTCACATCCAGCACTGCGGGGCAGAACGGGCGCCGGGGCTAGGCCTGGCTTCTGCCGCAGAAGACCCAGCTCCAGAGCAGCGTCTCCAGCACCAGACCAAGTAGGGAATGAATTCCCAAGGGAGTCACGGGCTCCAAGTGGCATCTGTGTCAACACCTCCTGGCCATAAGCCCAGGGCCCCCCATGCCCACCGGGGCCAGGACCAGGCCCACCAGTGCTCCAGACCCTCCCGCTGTCCCTGTGCCCTGGGGGCTTATTGCTGCTCAGCTGTCAAAGGGAGGAGAGAAAACCTTAGAACCTCTCTCCAGTACGCACCTAACAACGACCATGGCAACACGGACAATCATGACAACGATGACGACAGTGACCATTTACGAGCTTGTCCAGCGTGCCAAGCCCATGCTGAGTGCTTCCCATACAGGACCACATGCAGCCCTCTGAGCACCCTAGGAGGTGGGCATTATTAGACACACTGTGGAGCTGAGGAAGCGGGAGCTCAGAGCAGCTGAGTGACTTGTCCAAAGTCACACAGTGGCACAGTGGAGGGCTGGAGCCTCAAGGTCTACCCTCAGCATGCAACGGACTTTCAGCAAAGGGAGCTCACTTTGAAAATCCCACCCCCCGAAATAAGGTTTAATTTCCCTTACAGATGTGTTTACTCCGCTCTGCATGCTAGGCCCCTATTCCTCAGGCAGATGGGGCTTGGACAACCTTCATAGCGAAGTGATCCCCACCCCACTTGGGTTCCTCTGAATGGTATCACCAGGAGAGATCCTGGGCCCATTTGATGTTATGGCTTCTGCTGAGTCTTGGAGAAAGGCCCTCCAGGGGTCCTCTCTTAAAGCTGGGACATATTCCCTGTCCATCATCGGCCAATAAGGGGGTCCTGAAACTGGCAACAGAAACCCACAGGCAAGCTTCGGACCAATGGGAGAGAGAATGTTGTGCTCTCTGAAATCCTCACCATCTTAGGTCTCAACTGAAGAGGGTCAGTGTCTGAGCCTGTGCTGAGCTAACTACACCCTCCCCCGCCCCCTACCATCCCATGGAGGCCAGCAGAGCTAGGATGGGATTGAACAGGCTCAGGGAACAGGCCATGTCTTGCCTGCTAAACTCTGCCCTTATTTCCCTGGGGTTATTCCTGGCCCCTTGGCAACAGCTCATGTCTGCATCCTGTCCTGAAAATTAAAGACTCATCCAGAGTGGAAACAGTACCCCGTCCCTTCACCAATAGAGGGCAGAGACACTGGGAATGAGCATGAGAGTCCCAGGGGGATGAGGATCTTAGGGAGTCTGGGAGTCCCAGCTGCTCTCTTCCCAGGGTGATGCCCTGCTACTGCCAGTCCAGGGGTTCCACACCCATGGGAGGGGGAGGTCTCCTTTATGTCTCCCAAACAAAAACTCTGGCCTTCCAAAGAAGACAAAGGGCTCTGCACCCTCCCTGCCTGTTCATGACCCTGAGGGTCCCGGGCCCTGCTCAAGCCCTCTCTGCTGTTGCCACGATCAGAGGCTAGGAGGGGTGGGGTTGATGGGGCTTTGGCAGCAGGTCCAGGCCACTGCCCCTGAGCTCTGGGGCACTGAAGGCAGTGGTCAGGTGTGGAGAAGGCTCTGCTGTGTTGAATGGCTCCAGCTGGGGAGGGCACCTCATTAACAAGGGAGCCTGTGCCTACAAGTCCAATAGACAGCAGTGGGGGACATGGGCTCCCCTCTACCCCTGCCCCTGACCCAGGCCTGTGCCCACACACTGAGCACACAGCAGAAGCCCCTGCGCCCCCTCACCATGGATGGTGAGCGTGCTGGTGGAGCTCTTGGTGGGCGTGCCTGCATCACTGGCCACCACCCGCAGCTGGTACTCCGCGATGCGCTCGCGGTCCAGCTCGGTGGTGGTGACCACCACGCCGCTGCTGCTGTTGATGAGGAAGTCCATGCGGGGCATGCCCACCGGCATGCGGTAGGACACCAGGCCGTTCAGGCCCTCATCGAGGTCGATGGCCACCACCTGAGGGCAAGGAGGGGCAGCATGAGGGTGGGGAGGGGACACTGGGATGGATGCTTCTCCCCCAAGAAGTGCTCCTCCTCCCTGCCAAGCCACACTTGGCTGCAGCTAGACACATCTGCTCCCCTCCAAGCCTTAGGCCAGGCCACTGTCCCCAGGGCACCCTCCCAGGCACCCTCTAAGGGGGTCGCATGTCAGCTGAAAGGCGTCCAGATGCACCAAGTGAGGCCGGTGATGGGGTGGCAGAGGGACTTTTTAGAATAAGAGCTCAGGTCTCTACAGCGCTTTCTCCCCTTCATCCCCTGCTCTCCCCATTAGGAAGCCCTCCCAGATTTGGAGCAGCTGTTCCAGCTTAAGGACCCCACCATTATCTGGAGTTCAACCACGTAGAAGGCTGGATTCACAGACTTCCCCTGCCCCGCTTTGCTTTGATTTGTGAGATAGTAACAACAAAAATAAAATTACATCAAGGGTTCTTTTTTAAAAGTCACTTGAGGATTTCATTATTATTATTTTTTTAAAAAACTGTTTGTGGCCATGCACAGGCAAGCCTCCTCCCAAATTCCTACACTGTTCTCATCTGCACCTCCAGTCCTGATCAGATTGCCCGACTCAAGACCCTGGTACCCTGAATGTTTTACTGAAGTGGATTCAAGGCATTTGGGGAAATGTGTAATAATAAATAAAATAAGAGTTTTGGATTAAGCCAAGACTCTCAGGATTGGGAGACAATATCAAGGTCGTCTGATCTATTTCACATCCAGCAAACTGGACGAGAGGTGTCTGGACTCAGCTTGAATGCTTTCCAGGACGGGGGGCTCAGTACTTTTACTTTACTTGCGCACAGCTCTACCCCCTGGAGAACGCTCTTCTCCACAACCAGCAGAAATCTGTATCTCCTGAGGTCCTAGGTGGGACCAGGGAGCCACAGTTCAAGGGAGGGCCCTCATCGTGTATGTGAGGACAGTTTCCAAGTTAAACGCTCCCCGCTCCTTCCTCTATGAACTCAGAAGTTGCATTGGTGGGCATCTTTCTTCGCTGGTTGTGAGCCCCCAGAGAACAGGGTTTGGGGGTTGACTTGCTCTCACCCCGCCTCCCCTCCGGTCTGGGGGCTTCCTCGGGGACCGACTGCCGTTCCCTGGATTGAGGCGCTCCCTGCTGGGAGTTTGGGGACCTGCCAAAGAACACCATTCACCTCCTCCTACAGATGAAGAAACTGAGGCACAGCGGGCCTGTGGGGCACCACCAAGCTCACCCCCTCTGGCATCCTGACAAACAACCCCATCTTCTTCTAATGAGAACAGGCTAACCTGATACAGCCATTGTGTCTCAGGTATAAGCCCTCGTGACCGACACACAGTGATCACCACAGCTACTGTGTTTCCTGTGTCCAAGTTCCAGGGTGCTTCATACGTGTGTCTGATTGAGTCCCCACAGCACAGCCAGGCAGGTACTATTATTATCTCCATTTCACAGATGAGAAGCTGAGACTCAGAGAGGTTAAGCAGTTTGCTCCAAGTACACAGCACCCTGGTGCTGGAGATGGGATTCACATCCCCGTTGGTTGGACTCCACGGCCCATGCTCTTAACCAGGAGGGTCTCCAGTGTTTCTGAATGGCCCCCGGAGGGCAGAGGTGTTGAAAGGACTTGAAACCCTGGATGTCATCTCCCCTAAACCAGCACCTTCAGGATCCCTCTAATCAGAGGATGATGGAACAGGAGGCAAAGAAGCCAGGCCCAAGATCAGACCATGTGCTTGGCCAAGGGGTCTTGGGCAAGTCTCTTTAGAGCCCTGCAAAGTAGACAGAGGCCCCTCTACTGTAGTAAAGGGAGCTGATCCGGGGCTTATGAGAAGGCATGGGAGAGGCAGATGCCCAGGGCTACACTCATCTGGCCTTCTTTGTATTCTAGAACCATCTGCAGGCTTAGGGAATGGAAGGTCCAAGGTCCTGGGCCAGACCTCCATAATCAGGCCCTGAGAAACTTGGACATGACTTCCAGAATTCCATCTTTGCCTCTCTCCCTCTCTCTACCTCTGCCTTTGCCCATCTCCCTATCCTTTTCCTGCCACACTTCCCTCCACATCTCCAGAGCCTCTGTCCTTCAAGACCCAGCTCCTCCCCTGCCCCAGCCCTGCAAAGTTTTCAGCCTGGGCTAGGCTCCTCAGGCACCCACTGCCCACCTCTGGGCTGGTAGGAATGAGATGATAGAGACTCACTTGGTAGATGGAGACCCCCGCCGGGATGCCTTCAAGCACCTCGGCCACAAAAGGCAGGTTCTGAAAGGTGGGGTCATTGTCATTGAGATCCAAGAGGTTCACAAACACTGTGGCACTGCTGGTGGCTTTCAGAGGGGGCCTGCCACCTGGGAAGACCAGGGCGAGAAGGGGCCAAGGACAGGGTAAGATGGGTGCAAGAGAAAACGGACAGGAAGAAGGCAAGTGGTGAGAGGGTGGCAGATTCAGAGCCCTCCATCCCAAAGGCCCCTCCAGGAAGCAGCCTAGGCCTCACAGCTCCCCTCCCCAGCTCCCTCCGTTCCCTCAGGGTGCTCTAGGAGTCACAACTGGGGCGTGGGTATTACTCTACTCTTGGTGATCAGACATAGACCTCCTGGGTGGGCCCCAGGTACCCCAGAGGCCCAGTCACCAGGGACACCCGCAGCCTAAGGTGTGGGGGCCGTGAGGGGCGAGAGGGGTCCATACAGTCAGTAACAGAGACGACGATTTTGCGCATCAGCTCGGCCTCATGGGGGTCGGGGTTCTCCCGGTCCAGCATGGCGTGGGTGGTGCGGATCTTGCCCGTGGTGCTGTTGAGGCTGTAGAACTTGTTGGGTGGCTGGATGCTGTACACCAGGGTGCCATTCTCCCCCAGGTCTGGGTCAACAGCCACCACCTGCCCGGGAGGGAGCAGACCCCTTCACTGAGCCGCGCCTGGGGAGGGTGTCTCTGGGCTGGCCGGGAGTATCTGAGCTCAGACGTTGGTCCTGGGGAGGGGACATCCTGGCTCTGGCCCAGGAAGTGGGCATCCCCGCTGGGCCCGGTAGGGGGGTCCGAGAGGGCTGGGAGGCAGGAGTTCTCTAGGGGAGGGGCTGGGAATGGCTGGGGAGTCTGTATTCCAGCTAAGATTTTTGAAAGGATTTGAAACCCTGGATTTTGGAGACTGGGTTCCTCCTCATCAAACCCTCCCTCCCTTCCTTCCTTTGAAGCATTAGATTGTGACACCAGAGATGACAGGGCATGTGAAGGAAGCCATGGCTGGGGCCCAGTTTCAGAAGGTGGGACCCAGTTAGCTGGGGCAGTCGCAGGGCTGGGGGAGTGTTAAGGAAGGAGAGGGTGGAGCTCCCTGGAAGGGAGGTACATGGTCCCTGATAAGGGGCAGGGTCTCAGGACTGGACCTCAGACACTCTGGCCCCTTCAACTCCCCGGCCTACAGCCTGGTTCCCCACTTATAACCCCCACGTCATGAAGGGGTCAGTGCTCAGTGCCATCCTAACCCAGGGGCGGTGAACCCCACAGCCTGCTGTCCCTTAGTGTCCCAGATCCCACACAGCCAGGTCATAAACAAAAGGCAAAGGGCCCCCTGCAGCCTTTGAGGGCTCCTCATCTTCGCCGAGGCCCCCTGCGTGCACCGATCCCCCGCTCTGTGGGGAAGCTCCCTCGTCCTCCAACCGCCCTACCTTCCACAAGGAGAAAGCAGAGCCCAGAGAGGCACAGGCCAGTCTTAGGGTCACACAGCACCAGCCTTGGAGCTGACCCAGCTCCCAGCCTGGAGGCTCCTGAGGTGGCCCCTTACCCCTCGCTCACCCCCGACCCTGCATTGCAGAGGCCACTGTGGCACCAGGGGTGGACAAGATCAGTGGTGGTGGGGGGAGAGAGGTGACTACAGTCCCTGGGGCCACATCAGGACAGTGTTATTCTTAACTGCAGGACACTCGGTGATGACAGCCAGGCTTGTCAGCTCCTTCATCTTACTTGATGTGGAGCCTTTTGTGCTTTGGCAGCAGAATCTGTCCCTCCTCTGCTTAATCCCCAGCCAGAGGTGTCTCTGGGGCCACCAGACCAGAACAGACAGATGAGCTGCCCTGGCTGAGAACTCCCATCTGCCCCTGTCCATGGGTCCTGGGGAGGCCGGGGAGAGAGAGGCTGATGGAGGGCTGAATGCTGTGGCACCCTAGGCAGGCTTCTCCTTCAGAGAGGTGGGGGCAGCCCCCACTCCCACCAGGGACTGCTCGGCCCTCCTCTCCCTTCCCAGCCTCGCAGCACCAAAGGGTAGAGGAGGGGAGGTCCCTGCCTTCCAGGTCTGAGGTGTCCTTATCTTGCTGTGGGCACATTGCCTCAGTTTCCCTAGCCTCCATAAAGGGAAGCCCAACACCCCCATTTTGCAAACAGGAGATAGGGCTCTTAGGTACTCCAGGCATAATTTAAAACAGGCCAAGTCGTTTCACAGATGGACATAGAAGACCAGCATTCCTTGTGTTTCTACAATGCTTCTCTCAACAGTTTGAAAAGGGAGAATTTTTTTTTCTTTGAGACGAAGTCTTGCTCCATCACCCAGGCTGGAGTGCAGTGGTGCAATCTCGGCTCACTGTAATCTCCACTTCTGGGGTTCAAGTGATCCTCCCACCTCAGCCTCCCGAGTAGCTGGGATTACAGGCAAAAGCCATCACGCCTGGCTAATTTTTGTATTTTTAATAGAGACAAGGTTTTACCATGTTGGCCAGGTTGGTCTCAAACTCTTGACCTCAAGTGATCCTCCCGCCTCGGCCTCCCAAAGTGCTAGGATTACAGGTGTGAGCGACCGCACCCAGCCTGGGGGAGAGATGATTTTCTCCCTATTTTATTTTTCTGGATGGGGAAACTGAGGAAGAGAGCAGCTAAATCACTTGTTCCAGGCCAGGCCTGTTGCTGAACAGGCTGAGATACATTTCACATGGTGGGTGGTTTCTCCTCTTCCATTCCCTCTTCCTGCCCCTACCATGCCAGAGAGTGCCAGGGTAGCTGCTTCCAAGTGATCCTGGTCAGGGCATGGGCAATGGTTTTGGGTCTCTTGACCCACTCTCTGGTCACAGGGCAGGTTGGGAGTACAGGAGAGGGTGGAGGGCTGTGACCTCTCCTGCAGGCTCCCTGCTGGGCGATTTTGTAGAATCTCACCACTTTCCCCTCATTTATTTCCCATTTCACGCCCGTCATTTTTCTCCTAGCCTGATGGGGAATAATTCTCTCCTTCTCCCCTCTCCTTTATTTTGCTGGAGGGCTTTGAAAGGCTCTAAATCAATGCCCATCAGCCAGGTCCTTGAAGGCAGCTGCAGGAGCCAGGAAGAAGAGTGGGACCAAAATCTCCCTTGCAGACAGAGAGACGGCCACTCCGCCAGCGCACACCAGTGCAGGTGGACATCCTCAGTGCCTGCATGCCAGGCCATACCCAGTGCATGCAGATGCACACACTGCACCAATTCCAAATGCACCCAAATGAAGCCACATGTGGGAAGACACTTGTCTGCATGCAAGCTCTGAAAATCACTGGGGTTGCCTTGTGCCTCCGACTCCAGGTGCTGTGGCCCATGCCATGTCTAGAGAGGGCTCTTGAGAGAGTCTTGGGCCATACGCCCTAGTCTACCTCCGACAAGGAAGACCCAGCCACCTCCTGGCTGAGCTAGGGGGTAGGGGAAAGGAAAGGTAAGATATTCACCAGCTGTATCAGTCCTCAACAACACATATTTTGAAATATTTTGAACACCTACAATGTGCCTGGAACTGTGCTAGGCAGTATGGTTTGACAGTGAACAAGACAAGTGCGATTCCAGCAAAGGAAGCAGATGATGGTAATGATAGTGATGATGGTGACAGCTACCATTTACCGACCACTCCCCATGTGCCAGTGCTTCCTATGTCTTGGCTCAGTAAGCGCTGATCACAGTTCTATCGGGTGGGGACTCTTACTAGCCCTATTTTTTAGATGAGAAGAACTGGAGCACAGAGAGGTTAAGCAACTTGCCCAAGGTCACACAGCTGGTAAGTGGTGTAGCTAGAGTGAGAACTTGGGCATTTTGGTACCAGAGGCTGCCTGCTTAATCACTAAACCACGTGCCTCTTAATAAGCAAATAGCCTACAAAACAAATAAGCACAGATTGTGGGTCCAGCTCTGCAGGAAACAGAATTTGGAGAGGGGTCAGAGCTACTTTAGACAGTAGTCAGGCAGGGCCTCTCTAAGACAGCTGACGTTTTAAGCTGGGACAGATGAAACAGAATGAGCTACCTATGAAAAGAGCAGGGGTCAGGGAGGAAAGGGCTCGTGCAAAGGCTCTGAGCTGGGGGAGAGTTGAGTGGGTGCAGGGAAACGAAAGGCCTGTGTGTTGGGGATGGGTGGTGGTTGTGGGCGTGGGTGTGTGCGGTGGGTGTGGGAAGGGTGGGGTGGGAGATGAGTCAGGTGGTGGGCCAGCCCCTGTTCAAATATCACCTCCTCCTTCTGTCACCTGAAACTCTGTTAGCTATTCCCTCTGTAGCCACCTCACCTCACACTTTGGCCACAGACCCTACCTCAACCTGGGGCACTGTGAGGCCCTAGAAGTCTCCAGGGGGTCCTCTCCAAGGTAATGAGACATACCCATGTATATACATATGTATGCATATATACATTTTATGGCTATAAAATTGGAAATAATTTTTATAACTTCCTTTTCAAAATATTTGGCTATGACAAACTTGACTAACATATAAGCTTCTTGATTTCTGATTTCCTGGCAATCATCATACGTAACTGGGAATTCCAGAAAATTCTGGAAAATTTTCAAGAATTCTAGAAAAATCTAACCTCCAATTTGTCCTCGAATGTAATGAAATTTTCACAAACACTAAATTTCATAGTTACTAAAGCTGCCATCTTTCATCTGATAGATGTTTCATATAACAAGTTTTAATTTTGATTTTGCCCTTTTATCTTTGAACTTTCAGGTCATCACATTTATTTTTCAGGTCTCAAATACTACCCTGGGGCACCAAAAATCTCCAGCCTGTGCCCACCTGACGCCAGCGGTGGAACAGCCACACCCGCTCTGTACTACAGATAGGGATGATGCGGCTGACTCCTCAGGGGTGACAATGGGGCAGACCCTGCGGGTTTTGTAGGTCTGGCAAGGGCTCTGGCTTTTGCACAGGGTGAGATGGGAACCACTGGGGTTTGAATAGAAGAGTGACATGACACTCCCCAAAGGCAGGCAGGGCGGGAGCTTCCTTTTTTTTTTTGAGACAGGGTCTCACTCTGTCACTCAGGCTGGAGTGCAGTGGTGTGATCTTGGCTCACTGCAGCTTCTATCATCCAGGCTCAAAAATCATCTTGCCTTAGCCTCCTGAGTATCTGGGACCACAGGTGTGCACCACCACACCTGGCTACTTAAAAAAAATTTTATAAAGGGGGTGGGGATCTTACTATGTTGCCCATACTGGTCTCAAACTCCTGGGCTCAAGCGATCTGCCTGCCTTGGCCTCCCAAAGTGCTGAGATTACAGGCGTGAGCCACTGCACCTGGCCTGGTGTTGCTTCCTGTACCCTCAGCCTGACAAGCGTGGGGCCTGGCATGCAGTAGGCATTCCCTGATAGCTCGTGGATTTCCTGGAAAGTGAGGAGGCACTGGGCAGCAGGTCCTTGGTCCATTGTCCATGCCTGCTCATGGCTCAGAAGGACATGTGGAGGGCAGGAGACCTGGTGAAGGGCGGGGGGACCAAAGCTTGCAGATGCCCAAGACTGTGTGCAGTCCTCACCTGGCACACCCACGCCTTGTCTGCCGGGTGTACTATTTGATAACGGCAATCCAGGCTGGTGTCCTGTGCAGCCCCCTTTTCCCAGAGCAACCTTCCTCACCTGCCCCTCAATCCCCTTTGGGAGGAATTTCCCAAAAACCTAAGGGAAAGGTGAGGGTTGACCAGAAGGTGTTCAGAGGTGAGATCCAGCCCCAGCTCTTGGAATCCCTGGCTGGGGTGGGGAGGAGGTTACCCTGGGCCAGTGCAGTGCCCACAAGGCGGCAGCAGAGAGCACCCACCAAAGAGCCTAGAGAGCTGTGTCAAAGGGCGAGGGTCCTGGTTTCTAAACCTGGCCCTGGGCTGGAAGGAATTCCTCTACGGGGCTTTGAAAAAAATCGCAGATTCCAGATCCCTCACCTCTGCCCTATTCCACTGTGCCTATTCCAGTGCCAGAGCCATACTTGGCAGTGGCTCTGGATGGGAGAGGAGGTCAACCTGGAAGGAAGGACAAAGAGGGAGGGAAGGATTGGCCGTCATGCCTATCTTCCTTTCCACATTGTTCACTGACTGGCTGTCAGCTGGTGTGTGGGTGCCCCCTCCCAGAGGAATAAGGACTGGGCCAGGTGGTTTCTAATCCCTTGTCTCCAAGTCAGACAGACCAGGGTTCGAGTCCTGACCGCACCCTTTACTAGCTTTGGGACCTTGGGCAAGCCTTTAAGCTCTAAGTCTGTCTCCTCCACAGTGCAGTGGCAACGGAATCCCTCTGCCTTGTGAGATTACAGTGAGGAGGAGAGAGTTCCTGAGAAGCCCTCAGGGGAGGCTCAGAGCACATCCCAGGTGTTCAGTCAATTGCCAGGATTCATGTCCCCCACAGGGCTGGGTGGGTGGCAGTGGGGATGTTCATGTGGGGACAAGCCTCCTCAAGTAAGGCCACGTGGTGTACAGGGTGGGGGAGGAGAAGGCTGAAAAATGTGGACCTCCCAGCAGAGCAGATGGTGTGGGGGTGGGACCTGGGCTTCCTCAGTTTCCCCAGGATTCTGGTCTCCGCTGGAGATGCCCTGGCTTTGACCGTGTCTCCCCTCTGCACCCTGAATTGTGCACATTCCTGCACATGAGCACACAACACACACAGGGGCCTGTGCAAACCTGGCAAACCTGTGCCAGAAAATTCCTGAGGTGAACAAAACCCCTGCTGGGCAGCCGTGGGGGCCAGCCCGTGGGGGAGGTGACCCAGATGGATGACTGCAGGGGCACAGCAGTGAAAGACAGGTGCTGGGGTGGAGCTGGGGCTTGTGCAGTGTAGGGGTGGGAGCTCTCCAGAGGGGGTGGCCAGAGTCCTGGGCTCTAAGGGCACGTGTGGCTCACAAGCGGAACCGGCCAGAGCTCCCCTGCCACTGTCCCTGGGCTGCCTGAAGCTCCCTTTGACAAAGCCTGAGGCCTACTGACACTGGAGGCCGGATGAGGGCTTTCCCTTGACCTCTGACTGCCTTTCACCATGCAGGAGAACCGCTAGAACTCTATTGCAAGAGCCAGCTCAGAGGGACACAGAGTCCACCAGCCCCATAGGGGAAGGCCCCCTGGAATCGCAGTGGGAGGGGCACAGACCCCTGGGAAGGGCCGCCTGGCAGTTCTGCTGCTCTGCCACCACCTACCGTGGTCACATCAGAGTCTGGAGGGGTCATCTCCACCAGGTTGATGTAGTAGGGTGCGTCCTTCCACGTGGGGTGGTTGTCATTGATGTCCAGGAGGGTGATGTTTACCTGTGAAGCCATAAGGGGCGCTGGGAGACACACCCAGCTGAGATGGGCCAGGGCAGGGCCTGCCAGGGGAAAAGTGCTCAGATGCCCACGGGCAATCTTCGCATTAATTCTGCCAGCTCCACCAACCTTGGGAGCCTTGGGCAGAGCCTGGGCTTTCGAGGGCAGGAAGGAGCCAGGCCGCTTCAGGAGAGAGAGTTCCAGTGTTGTCCCATCAGGAGGCAGTGGAATGGATGTGATAAGCCCTGAAATCCTTGCTGTGACCTGGGGCTTCCCCCATCCCTGCCTCCAGTCTTGGCTGAAGGTGACTGACAGGGTGGGGGATCTAATAGAATCCCTTGAGCCTCCCCGTCTCA
The DNA here is from genome assembly GCF_000001405.40 of Homo sapiens. NCBI lineage: Eukaryota > Metazoa > Chordata > Mammalia > Primates > Hominidae > Homo > Homo sapiens. The sequence goes on along the minus strand of NC_000010.11, from coordinate 71,695,064 downwards.
GCTACAAGCCAAGCAATTTCCCTGCTCACCTGCCACCAGGTACATTATTTATAGGGCTCTGATTCCTATTAGTAGGAGCCTCCCTTGACAGAGTAGGGCACTGGGGATTTTTCCATCAAATCCCTGGCCACGCGATACCGTCTCCAGCCTCTCTGGCTGGGTAAGGATGGGGTGGCTGCTGCAGACTGGGTGAGGGCCACAGTTTTGAGGGTGAGCCAAAGAAACCGAATGGGGAACAAAGAGGGGAGGTGGCTGGAGTGACTGTCAGCTGGTCCTCCCGCTTCCTCTCCCACAGAGGGCTTCTCACTTCCCCTTTCACTTCTGCAGCCGAGAGCTCATTCGAGGCCCCCACGTTTCGTTCCTCTAGCTTTCTACTCTCTGGGGCACATTAGATGGGGGAGAACAAGCCCCCAGGGACCCTCCAGGGCCCTGCTTCCTGCTCTGAGCTGCTCTTCCTCGCAGGAATGCCTGCTTCTGCTTTGTTGACAGGCACCAAGGCAAGGAGGGGCCTATGGGGCTCATGCCTTCTGCCACCTGCCCTCCTGGATTTTTAGGGGCAGGAGAGAAAGTATTTCATTTTGCTCCTCCCAAGTGCCCCTACATTCCTGGTGGTGATGCCTTTCTTCCCCACAGCTGTGGTGGCCCCGGGGGCTGACCTCTGCTGCTGATGGGTTCATTTTCGCCCCCTTGCTCATTCTCACAAAGCCTCACACTGGCTCAGGACACGGGGGTCCAGAGGTACAAGCAGGGAGCAGCAGCCTGGCCGGCGAGGGGGAGCTGGGGCACGGGAGGGGAGCGCACTCACGGTGGCGATGCCAGTTTTCTGGTTGTGGCCCACACCCCCGTCCACTGCGCGAACGATGAGGATGTATTCAGACTTGGTCTCTCGGTCAAGCAGAGACGTGGTGGTGATTTCCCCTGCCAGAGAGAGAAGTGGGTGCGTGAGAGGGTTTGGGTGGGCCAGGGAGAGAGGGAGGGAAGAAGAGAGAGAGCGAGGGAAGGAGAGAGGGTGAGAACTTGCACGAGAAATGTTAGCAAGCTACCATGATCTGGCGGCCTGGATGTGTTCCTGAGCTGGTGCTCACAGTGGGAGACGGGAGAGCTCCTGTGCCTTGGGAGCTGGTTCCCCAGGGCTGGGCAACATAACCCCATGAGGAGGAAATATTTGCAGATGTGGGAAAATCTAGGCTGATTCTCGGGGTTAGGGGCTGGAGAACAGGGCAGGAGGGCCATTAGGCCTTAAGCTCAGTCACAGATCACCTCTTGTTTAGACTTTTGACATTATCTTACTGGCTTTCTCACCTGGAGCTAGTTACTTCAATCCTCTGTGCCTCAGTTTCCTCATAGGGTCCAAAGGGAACCATAATAGGAACTACCTCATAGGGCTATTGTGGGGTTAATTTAATTAAGATCATGGAAATCTTAGAACAGTGCCAGGCACTGTTTATTTATACAGTCACAGAAATACAATGACAGGAAATAAAAACACCGGGTGTTCACATGCGTCTAACTTGTGACTCATTACTGGACAGTTCAACCTATCCAACCTTATCGTGCATTGATAATTAATAGTTATAAAATAATTTCCTAATTACATTGTGAAGAGCATAATTACATTGCCTCGAGTTGTTTTAGTGTGCTAAATCTGAACAATTAAACAACATTTCTTGTTCGCCTGTATTTGGTCTTTCTTTGTATTTTGGTGTAACTGAAATGCAAACATCACCCTGATAGTGGCGTGCTGGTAAATGTTTGACAACTGGCTCCCCAAAATAAAAAAAAAAAAAGGCATTTGCCAATTTCCTTGGTGTAAATAGCCCCACCAGGGCCCATTTTAAGCTACCAACTTGGTGGTATTGAATATGGAGTTCACAATTGAGTGCCTCGCTAGCTCTTGGGAGCAGGGTGAGCCAGTCCCAGCAGACTTCAGCAATCACAGCAGCCAGGCCATTTACTATCTTGCATCAGCCATGGGAGAGCACCCACGTGGTGAAGATGTGAGATGTGGATTTGAATTCTGATTATGGCCCTTCCCAGACGCTTGGCCTTGGAGAATTTTAATTCTTTGAAGCTTCAGTTTTCTCATCTATAAAATGGAGATTAGTGTGACTTCCATGCAGAGCCGTTGTGAGGCTACAGTAATTCTAGGTGAGGCTCCCAACACTCAGAAAATGACTGTTTTCTTCCAATGGACCGTGAGCATTCTCCACGGGCAGGGCCTGTGTGCTATCCATCTTTTTATCCCCATTGCCTGAGCTGTGTGACCTGGGCCAAGTCGCTTAACTTCTCTGTGCTTGGTTCTTTCCACCATAAAACAAGGCAGCTGGACCAGATTGCTTTTAGGACTGCTTCTACCCTGACAGTTCCCTCTGTGGCACACTGGCTTGCCCTCTGGTCTGTGCAGGGGCTGAGCAGGGAGCTGGGGGTGGGTGACAGGGCAGCTTAGGTGCTGAGGCCAGGAATGGAAGACTCACAAAGGTCTGCCCAACGAGCCACACTCCCTGCCAGGGTGGTGTCAAGTAATTGGCAGGGCGAGGAAGAAATTAATCTCTAAAAAGTTTTAAACGTGAACTTGTCGGCATGATAGATGGCCTCTCCTGTCTAGGAAATTAGATCCAATTAAGGCCACCTCTGTGGAGCAGCCCTGGCTAATTTGACCGAGGAACTCAGAGGAAAACACTTACACCTTTGGAGACAAAGTCGTGTTAAGGCAGCAAGAAAATGTCTGTGTCATTAAAGGCCCCAGGTGGAGCTGGAGCCCCGACTGGGGAGGCAAGGGCGGGGGTGGCTAAAAGGCCAGGGAGCTACTCATATAATGGCGCCTTTAATGTTTGGATTCTGGAGTCAGAAGTTCGTGCTCTGCGAGTCCTCAGTCAGGTTACTTAACCTCCCCAGTGGCTCAGCTTCCTCATCTGGAAAATGGGGATAAGGCTAGTACCTGCCTCACAGGTGAGGAGGGCAGAATGAGATGCTGCTGCTGCTCAGAGCCCTGGGAACAGTGCTGGGCATGTGGTTCATATCCATTCATGACATGACTCTGAGACCCCTGGGAATGAGGGCTCACTGTGGGGGAAGCTCCTGAGAGCTGGGAGGAGGGCCCTCACTTTCTCAGAGATAGAAAAGGAGGCTCACAGTGGCCCTGGGTCCCCTTCCTCAGTCTTCGTACCCATCAGCACCGGCCATCTGCTCCCCAAGCCTCCAGGAAAAGGGATTGAAGGCTGACTTCCAACGTGGAGGGATGGATAGCAGGAAGAGCTGATGCCCTGCTGGCCACTGACCACCTGCAGCAGGGATGGCCAGTGTCCACCAAAGATTCCTGCTCCCTTCCCAGGGGAGAATTATTACTTGGATGTGACTGCCAGGCAGGGCCTGGCCCATAACCTCCTCCTAGTGCTCTGACAACCCATGCTCTCTTTTCCCTTCTGCAGTGACCTTGGAGCCACAACATGGAAGGGGCCTGGGTCCCAGAATCATCATGTGGAAGGCTGTCACTCAACATCTACATGGGTTGACTATATGAATTTGAATTTGTATTGTCTCAAGCCACTGAGATAGGGTGTAGCTGTTTAGCATCGACAGTTCCTTTAACTCATACAGAAATGCGTATTGGAAGTGGGGTGCCTTGCATGCCCACTGAGCTGACTAGCAACCTCATGAGGTCAGAGCCATGTCTTATTCCTTCCTGTACCCCAGCACCTGGCTCAGAGCAGCCCCCACCCCAATTTCTGAATGAACATATGAATAAATGAACATATGAATGAATGTACAGAAGTCCCAATTCTTCCCCAGGTCTGGCTGAAAGCCTGGATCTCTTGCTGCTTCTTTCTGCCCACTTTTTCTCCCAGCTTCAAGGAAGAGAGAAAACTGAGGAATGTACATGGAGAGACGAAGAAGAAAGAAGAGAGTTACATGGGCTGAGCTGGGAGCTGGGGGCAGGGGGCTCACAGGTGAATAAACAAAAGAGAATAATGATGGTAATTTTTTTTAGCACTTTTCGTGTGCCAGGGACTAATCAAAGTTGCTCCCTATTATGTATCATTTAATCCACACAACAGCCCTAATATGATCTTCCTCATTTTACAGGTGGGGAAACTGAGGCACACATCCGTGTAAGAAGAGGAGCCAGGCTTTAAGAATGAGGTCAGCAGCTGAGGGAGGGGGACCCTGAGGCTTTAATAAAGGTGTTCCTGAAGAGGGGTGTGTTAACCAGCTCTTTGTAAGATGGAGCACATTTAAAACATAATACAACTCTTCACCCTTGAAAGACGTCCTTCACTGGGTCAATTCACGTTGTGATTTTTTGGGTAAGATCAGTAATCACACTCAAATTAATATTTCATGGATTACACTGGTGCTCAAAGCTGGTCTGCTCAAAACTGAAAGGAAGGGGACCTGGGCCCAGAGGCTGGTCCTGGGGCCGGGTATGGACAGTCAGCCTCAGGGTGTGGAGGACCAGGGTACTTGGGGTGGGGGGGCTCACCTGAGCGGGCATTGATCCGAAACTGGGTGGAGCCTTCCAAGGAGTAGATGATGGACTCCTGGCCGTACTCCCGGGAGCGGTCCAGGTCTGTGGCATTCAGGAACAGCACCGTGGCTCCTTCAGGGGGAAAAAGGTGGGGGCAGGGGGTGCTGCTCACCCTGGGCCCCTGGCTTCAAGGCCCCAGCCCTGGGAGCAGCATTTGCGCTGGCCCAAGAGGAGGACGTGGGACCCTCCCAGTGACCAGCTCTCAGGGAGGTGGGAGGCCTGCCTGTTGCGACATCCCTGGGACAAGGGCGGCTCAATCGTTGCTCTTGGAGCTGAGATCGCTGGGCTGGGTGGGGACAAGGCTCATGAGAGGCTTAGGGATGGACTGGGCCCTCTGATGTCTTCCTGTCTCCCTGGCCCCTGCTTGGCTGGCCACTATATTAAATACACTCAGATTGGCCAACTGTCACTTGGAGTCAAAAGACATGAAATTCCATATTAAATTATTCTACATTTACTGTATTCAATTTCAGTCTAGTTTTATCTCGTTCAGGGGAATTTATAAGGGTTTTTATTTTCTCTTTAATGTTCAGTTAAGGCCTTCACTTTTATTTCCAGTTCCGTGAAATCCTGACTCAAGGTATCAGCTTTTCCAGCCACCCTGTCCAGACCCTGAGAACAGCTTGTCCTGAAGCTGTGCCCACCAAGGCTTCTGGCTCCAGCCCCTCCTGCCACCCAACTGCCAGCTCTGGCCCAGTGGTGAGGAGGTCCGGTGCACAGGTTCCTGGAATCTTCACACCCAGACTGGACCCCTCAGGGCCTCGGCAGGCGCCTTCACCTGCCTGAGCATCACTTCTTCCCCTGGGACCGGGTCTAAAGATACCCTCTAACTTGTGAGTTTGCTGCTGGGATCCTGAGGGATAAAGCATTGAGGCCACAGGCTGAGCCCCACAGGGAGCTCCACTGGGCTGCAGGGCTGGTGGTGACCATCCAGCGGATGAATCAGCAGTCCCGAGGGGCAAGGGGCCAGGCAGGCCATAGTGGCCCTGTGGCCCTGGGGCCTCAAATATGACCCTCAGGCCTGCCTTGAGCAGGAGGACAGGCACATGAGCCATAACATACCCCTGAAGAGAATTAAGTGCCATAGTGAAGGCTTCTCCTTGACACAGTCCCCAGGGATGGGGGTGTAGTGCTGGAGGCAGCTCTTTAGCAGTGACATTCTCCAGGGGATGCCTGACTAGGACAGGCAGGGTAGGCTGGGTGCAGCCCAGCACCCACCCAGCTCATTGTCAGGTGCCAGAGTGGTACCCAGAGGTTCTCTTTAGAAGGCCTCGTGGTGCCAGGAAAGACCAGTTCTGACTCCACCATACTGACTCCACCATCCCTGACTCCACCAACCCTGGCTCCACCACCCCTGACTCTACCACCCCTGACTCCACCATCCCTGACTCCACCACCCCTGGCTCCACCACCCCTGGCTCCACCACCCCTGACTCCACCACCCCTGGCTCCACCACCCCTGGCTCCACCACCCCTGGCTCCACCATCCCTGGCTCCACCACCCCTGACTCCACCACCCCTGACTCCACCACCCCTGGCTCCACCATCCCTGACTCCACCACCCCTGGACTCCACCACCCCTGACTCCACCACCGTTGGCTCCACCACCCCTGGCTCCACCACCCCTGGCTCCACCATCCCTGGCTCCACCACCCCTGGCTCCATCATCCCTGACTCCACCACCCCTGACTCCACCACCCCTGACTCCACCACCCCTGGCTCCACCACCGTTGGCTCCACCACCCCTGACTCCACCACCCCTGGCTCCACCATCCCTGGCTCCACCACCCCTGGCTCCACCACCCTTGACTCCACCACCCCTGACTCCACCACCCCTGGCTCCACCACCGTTGGCTCCACCACCCCTGACTCCACCACCCCTGGCTCCATCATCCCTGACTCCACCACCCCTGGCTCCACCACCCCTGGCTCCACCACCCCTGACTCCACCACCCCTGACTCCACAACCCCTGGCTCCACCATCCCTGACTCCACCATCCCTGGTTCCACCACCCCTGACTCCACCACCCCTGGCTCCACCATCCCTGGCTCCACGACCCCTGGCTCCACCATCCTTATTCCACCATCCCTGGCTCTACCATCCCTGGCTCCAGCATCTCTAACTCCAATGTCCCTGACTCCACTATCCATGACTCCACCATCCATGACTCTACTGTCCCTGATTCCAGCCTTCCTGTCTCCTTCAGCCACTGCAGCAGTTCCTGATATGGGCGTTTTCTTTGCTAGGATCATTTGCTCTGAGGGTAAGGGCGAAGCTGCCAGCCTGCCTCAAGGGCAGAACAGATCCCCTGGAACCTGAGTGTGGAGCTGGTGGTGCTGGGTCTGCAAACTGAGCCCTGCAACCTGAGCCTGGCCCAGAGATTAGCCTCTCAATCGCATCCTCACATAGGAACACATGCCCCGCTGTAAGGCCACCCCTCTGAAATCATGGCCCCTGGGACCTGCCTCACAGTGCTATAGTCTCAGAGCCCTCTGTATACTTGAGACTGTTTAATCAAGATTGCTTAATTAATCATGGATCATTATTCTTTCCCCACTAGACTATAGTTAGAGGAGAGCAGGAACCAAGTGCCCAGCACAGCACCTGCACATAGCAGGTGCTCTGGAACTAGCTGTTAGCTGGCAGGTAACTAGATGTTTCCAAAGGCTCCCCGATTTGTCAAGGAGCTTGGCCGGGGAAAGAGAAGGCCATGGACCTCCCACAATTTGTGTGCAGAGCCGGGGTCTGCACATCCTGGGTGCCGTGACTGCTGGCTGCCTACCTCCATGTGCCCCCCACCCCCCGACCTGAGCCTGTACCTGCCATGATGTTCTCCACCACGGAGACGAAGTAGGCGGGCTTGCTGAAGGTGGGAGGGTTGTCATTCTCATCCTGGAAGGAACACAGACAGGTTGCAGGAGGCTGCAGGGAGGCAGGTGGGCTGGCCAGATGTCTAAGGTGGGCACCAAGGAGTCAGGCTAGGTCTGGCTGGCCCTAAAGAGCTTTGGCCTCTCCGTATAACCAGAGCCAGGTGAGGTGTCAGCAGGGAGTCAGGTAACCCTCTGGCAGGCTACAGCTCTAGGAGGTAGGACCAGCCTTGGGGAAACATGCAGGCCTCAGGAAGGGATGGGGAGGCCCAGGAAGAGGGAGTGTGCCGGCAGCAGCTGGGACTGCCGACAGCTGCCAGCTCCCCAGGCTCCCCGCTGGTCCTCCAGCTGAGCCCCAGGCTCACTCCAGCACTCACACCCCCAGCTCCCATGCTGGGGATGCCCACTTGGACCCCTGCGTAGGTCCACCAGGATGATGACAAAAGCTTCTAGGACTCTCCTCAAAGATACTGAAGTATGCTATGGCAGCTCAGGGTCAGGTGGTTCCCAGAGCCCAAACTCTGGCCCTGGGCTGGCTGCTGGCAGGTACAGCTAGATTCCTCCTTGCACATGAGAACAACGGCTCTTCCAGCCCCTGGGCCACCCCTGGCCTAGAGCCCCACCCCTGTCAGTTCTAAAGCAATATCTCTTCCAGCCCAGCCTTTGCCAATAGCCAGAGCACGGTGCTTGGCTGAGGGGCTGAGCCTGGCAGGGTAGGGTGGGCAACTTCTGCCTCCTGCTACGCACCCCCCAACTCCTTCACACCGCGGCCCTTCCTCTTCAATTAGAAGAGACTTTCCTGCCCTTTAATACTCTTATCCTCACCAACCACTCTTGCAATCTCCCAACAAGAATTCCTCCCTGCTTCCCTCTTGGAGGAAGCCTCCCCAGCCCACTTGGCTCATGACCTTCTCCCCTTTCCCAAGAGTCCAGTGCAGAGCTCAGGAGTCAGGCTGAGTCCCGGCACCGTTGGGCAGTCTTTATGTTACAGTCTTTGGCAGTTCCTGTTCGTTTGCTAGTGCAAATAGGAGTTCCATGAGAAGGCCTGGCTTCTCATGGAACTGAGAGCTCTTAGGGGGAAAGGATCCTGTATGAAGCCCCCTTTGCTGGAGTCGCTGCTGACAGAGCAGCCATGAAAGATGGGGGCATGCTCTCTGGCTGCACCCCCCTTGGGACATCAGAGAATCTCAGCCTGCTAAGATTGTGGGTGCCCAGACAGGAGTGATCCTCTCTTTCTCCAATCTGCCCCTTGGCTCTGGATGGCACCCTGGGTCACGCTGACCTGCCCCTCTCCCCAGATACCCAGCAGTCTCAGGATTCCCCTGATGTCCAATGCCCCAGCTGCGTGCCTGGGCATCTCCCCTGTCCCTGGTGCGGGTGCGAGCGCCCCATATACTTATACATTTAAGCTTCTGCTTGGCTGCACGAAACGGTGTGGAGAATGTCAGTGACAGAGCATGAGGCAGAAACTTATTAGCGGTGATATTTCCCCGGATCTTGGCGCTGCATTCGCTATTAGTTCTAAATCAGCGGCTCGCTCTACAAAAGCTTATTGTCCCCTAATGGGAAATCTACAAACCGAGTTTGACTTCTTTATTAAAAACCAACAAGCAGTGGATGAAAAAGAATCACCTGGCCCCTCCGGCCCCTCCTCCTCCTGGAGCCCTGTGGTTTCCATCTGCCTCTCCCCACCCCCAACCTGTGCAGGAAATGCTGCCATCAACAACTTCATTGCTGCTGGGTTTTTAAATTCCAATTGGGAGAAAATCCTTTTGGTGGAGGGAGGAGGCCGCTTAGCCGAGTGACAGCTACTTAAAAACCAGCCACGTGCAAAATCACCCTGAAGGTGGTGACCTTTTCAAGTGTGGTCCTCAGACACAAGTGACTGTGCCATCCAGAGGCCCTGCTTGAGAGACAATGTTCACTCATAGCCAAGGTGGCACCTGTCTTTGTTGCCAGACTCTCCGGCTGCCCCAGGGCCAGGGTGTACTCGGAAGGGAAGTGCAGGGCCCCTGCTTGTCCCTGGGATGGCTTTGAGGGAATTTGAAAATGGGGCCTCTTCTACTAGGCCACTGTGGTTTCATGCCAGGGCACACCCTGGCTTCCCAAGTGCAAAGTGAGGTGGGTTCTTACCCCCACCCACCTCCTCTGTGGTCCCAGGGAGGGAGGCTGCTGGTCACACTTTTATTTGCAGGGACAAAAAGTGAGTTCAGTCCCTTCACCTTCATCTCTCTGCATGCTCCGGCCCCTTTTAGGGGGGCTGAGGCACAACGAGATGCTCCAGTCCCTGCCTTAGCTGAGCTACAGGTTGGGACAGGTCTGGGGTTTGGAGCAGAGCTCAGGTTTCAAAATCTCATGAGGGTGGGTCTCTGAAGGCCTTGCTCCTCAAAGTGTTGTCCCCTGACCAGAAGCATCCACATCACCTGCAAGCTGTGTGGGAGGACACACAGAATCCCAGCCCTGCCTCAGACCCACTAAATACGAATCTGCCTTTTAATGAAATCCCCAGAGAATTCCAGGGCCCAGGGAAGTTTGAGAAGCACTGGTCTCAGTCATATGTGGATAGGGATGACCAAGGTTCCAGGCCTGTGGCTGTGGTGGAAAGCATGTCAACATGGGAGTCATTCAGGTCAGGGTTCAAGTCCCAGCTCTGCCAGTAAGGAAGAAAGGCACTGGTGAGCCTGGGTCCTCCCTGAGCCTCAGCCTCCCCATCTGTAAAGTGGGACTGAAAGGGGCTGGGTCATGTGAAAGGACTTGGCACGTTCCTGGAGCTCAGCACATTTTAGTTTCCATTTCGCTACTTAGGCCTGTCTAGCCCCGGGCTAGCCAGAACACTTAACTTATTTCCCTAGACCTCCCTTACTCTTACCCTCTCCAGCATCCACTCCCCAAAGCCTGAATGGCTCCCTCTCTGCCTCAGCCCACTCATGGGAACTCCCATTTGCACTAGCGACAGGCTGGGGCATGGGTGCGGCTGCTGCTATGCATGGCTGTCATTACAGCGATAAGACATTCCAGGTGCCAGGTGCCACCTGCACAATCCCATTTCAGCCTCACAAAAATATCATGAGGCAGGTATCACGATTACCACCATTTTGCAGATGAGGAAGTTGTTTCAGAGACCCAGGTCACACAGCAAGAGGGCAGCAGAGCCAGGTTTCAAACCCATGTGCCTCCACAGCCACACCCCTCTTTCCACAGCCACACCCCTCTTTCCACTTGGTGTCTCCAGGGGGGGTGGAGCAGGCTGCACATTCACCTTCCTGTCCTACTGGGGGCCCAGCACAGAATTCACTGCCTCCTTGTGCAGAGCAGCATCCTGGCTGGTTGAAAGCGATGGGTGGGTTGGTCAGGGTTGTGAGTGCAGCTACGATTAGAGGAGGCTTGGGGGCTGTGGTCAAGTCTGGGAAACTAAGGCCAGGTTTAGGTGATGTGGTCAGGGTCGGGCCATGGGGTAAAGTGCCAGTCCATGGTCATGACTGCCAGGGAATGCATTATCGTTCCCTACCCTCGGTGTTTCTAGGTGGGAGGTTACAGGTTCGAGTCAGGCCGTTTTTTTTTGTTGTTGTTTGTTTGTTTGTTTGTTTTTTGAGATGGAGTTTTGCTTTTGTTGCCCAGGCTGAAGTGCAATGGTGCGATCTCGGCTCACTGCAACCTCCACCTCCTGAGTTCAAACGATTCTCCTGCCTCAGCCTCCCAAGTAGCTGGGATTACAGGCACCTGCCACGATGCCTGGCTAATTTTTGTATTTTTAGTAGCGATGGAGTTTCACCACGTTGGTCAGGCTAGTCTCAAGCTCCTGACCTCGTGATCCACCTGCCTCAGCCTCCCAGGGTGCTGGGATTACCGCGCCCAGCCCAGGTCAGTTTTAAGGTTTCTGAAGATCTCCTGGTCCCTGTCCTCCTTCCCCCAACACTCCCTGAAGTCTGAGGTGCCAGGCACAAGGACTCCAGAAGCCAGGCCCCAACTCTCTGCCCTTCCCTTTGCTATCCTGGTTCTGTATAGCCTCATCCTCCTGGCCCCCCCTAAATTCTGCTCCCACATGCCCAACTGGAAGGCTCTCCCATCAGGCATCACTTTGACTTTCCCATCACTTCCAGCTGCATCCTATTCAGCAAGCAAATTGGGTCCCTGGCCCAGACAATGGCCTTTCCGCTTGGAAGCTGGCCCTGGAGCTTCAGCCTCGGGTTGAGAAGACAGAGCTTGTTAAGGCCGGGCGTGGGCAGTGGCAGAGGCTGCTGGTGAAGCTGGCTGTGACAGGAAGGCTCTCCAGCATGTCTGCTCCAGGGTGAGATTTTCCTGAGCTTATGTGAAATCACAGCGCATCTCTGAACCTGACAACCTGATCTAATCCTCCCGGAGCCGATAATGCACTAACTCTTCGATCAACACGCGTTCGCTGTCTCCCACAGATGGGGAGGGGGCAGGCGGTGCATGCACAGGTGTGTGTGGGGAGGTCTCCATGCGGAGGGGCCCATTGGTCCCGCTGTCATACCACTCTCTGCATCCCCGTGTGGCATTGGGCAAATGAACCAGCGTGGAGATGGATTCAGCAACTGATAATTTCAGACACAGAAAATACTAAGGTGTGCTTGATATTCATGTCAGAGAAACTGTGGCTTGGTTTCAGACCGCTTTAGATCTTCAGAGGAGTGGAAAAGGGAAGAAAAAAAGGAAGAGCAGGATAGAGAGAGAGAGAGAGAGAAGGGAGAAGATGACCTTCTGGTCATTCTTCTGTTCTTCACAGAATGCAGCCATAAATGAAGGAAGCCCACGACATTTCCTCCTCACTTGACTCCCAGCTCCTGTTCCCCACCGAGGGTGTCCTGGGGCCCCCAGTGAAGTCAGAGCAGACAATGTGTCTCTTCCTGAGTACCAGGGCCCTGGGCCTTCCCTGGCCAAGCGGGGAGGCAGTGAAGTTGTTGCAGCAGTGGAGAGACTTGCTAAGGGCAGGCTTTGGGACAGATGGCTGGGTAAACTCCCCAAGGTGCAGGGACAGCCAAGGAGGTGGGGGCCACAGTCCTACAGTACTGGGTTCACAGGAAGCACTCACCATCCCTTACACTAGCAGGGCAAGGCCAGTGGCCCTGGGTACTTACAAACACCTCGATGGTGACAGGGACGGTGCTGTTGAGAGGGGGGTTGCCAGCATCCATGGCCATGACCGTCAGATAAATCAGCCCATTGGATATCTGTTCATAATCCAGGGGGCGACTGACGCTGATCACTGCAATGACAGGAACAGGCCAGATCCCTCTGTAAGCAGACTTGAGATGCCCGTCCAGACAGGGGTCCCCTTTGGGCAGAGAAGTTATGGCTGGCATGGCCCGGGCCAGCTCTGGCTTGTTTTCTGAACACCTGGAGCCTCAACATCTCGACTGAGGTTTCCTGACTGCCTGAAATGTGCCAGACCCTGTGCTGCGCCCACCAGGTGATAGCTGGTGGTAATGTAAGCCCCACTTTTACAGATGAAGAAACCAAGCTCAGAGATGTTCAGTAACTTGCCCAAGGTCACACAGCTCTCAACAGAGTGGGGAGATGAGCCTAGGTTTGGCTGAATCCAGAACCCAGGCTCTTTCTTAGTAGGTGCTCCTGTCTGCTTGTCTGTCTGTCTGTCTGTCTGTCTCACTCACTCATCTGGCACTTTATGGATTTTCCCCGTCAGTCTGGAAGCTGCTCGAAGGACAGGGTCATGCCTTGGGCCCTCCAGGCCTCCCTGTCACTACTCCTCTCTCCAGGTAAGCACAGAGTTCCCCAGAAGTTGCCCAGCACTGGGGATGCCAGGGAGGACCAGGCAGTGGGGTGCAGAAGGCAGGACCCTCCTCGGTCTCTAGCCCTATTTCTCTAATCTTCTTCCCTCCCTTCTCCTTTATTTATTTTCATTTAAAAAAATTTCTTTGTAGAAGCAGAGCCTGGCTGTGTTGCCTAGGCTGGTCTCGAACTTCTGCTTCAAGCAATCCTCCCGCCTCGGCCTCCCCAAGTGCTAGGATTACAGGCGTGAGCCACTGCCCCTGGCGTCTCTCTCTTCTCTTCCCTCCATTTCCTCCCCACTTTATGCTATGGGCTCTTCATACCCATCCAGTCACCTACTCTGGGCACTGTTTAGACCCCATGGGGAGGTACTCGGGGTTAGGTGCTGCAGACCTTACCTTCAACAGAACTCTGTTTAGAGGTGGGCGAAGAACCCTAAGGCCAAAGGCAGACCCAGGCTGAGAGGCAGGATTTGCAGGGAGCTAAGATAGATGCCTGTGCCCTGAAATATCCCTACCACTGCACACGACTGAAATCTCTCCATTAGTACTTGTTTGTGCTAAGCCATTGATTCTCAACTGGGGAGGGAAGGTATATTGGCTTGGGAGTGGGGGGCATGGGAGGTCTTAGAAGGCATTACAACAATATTAAATTACAACTTTCTATTTGGAAAAGGGAAACAAGATTATTGCTTTAGTAATATAAAATCTAAGGGGGATTCTTCTAGTTGAGAGGAGGGTGAGGTATGGGGCAGGCAGAAGCATGGAACTTTTAAGTTTTTGAAAGAGGGATGGGCCAGGCACAGTGGCTCACACCTGTAATCCCAGCACTTTGGGAGGCTGAGGCAGGAGGATGGCTTGAGGTCAGGAGTTCAAGACCAGCCTGGCCAACATTAGCAAAACCCCATCTCTACTAGAAATACAAAAATTAGCTGGGCGTGGTGGCACGACTGTAATCCCAGCTACTCGGGAGGCTGAGGCTGGAGAATTGTATGAACCCACAAGGCGGAGGTTGCAATGAGCCGAGATCGAGCCACTGCACTCCAGCCTGGGTGACAGAGTAAAACTCTGTCTCAAAAAAAAAAAAAAAAAGAAAAAGAAAAAAAAAAAAGAAAGACAGAGGGATGTAGATTTCATAGAGAATGCAATTTCTTTTTCTTTTTTTTTTTTTTTTTGAGACGGAGTGTCACTCTGTCACCAGGCTGGAGTGCAGTGGTGCAACCTGGGCTCCCTGCAACCTCCGCCTCCCAGGTTCAAGTGATTCTCCTGCCTCAGCCTTCCGAGTATCTGGGATTACAGGTGCACACCACCACGCCTGGCCAATTTTTGTATTTTTAGTAGAGACAGGGTTTCACCATGTTGGCCAGGCTGGTCTCAAACTCCTGACCTCAATTGATCCGCCGGTCTCGGCCTCCCAAAGTGCTGGGATTACAGACGTGAGCCACCGCGCTGGTCAGAACTGCAATTTCTACAGTGGCATTTCTCTGAACTGAACTAACTGTGGGGTAGTGGGAGGAATGACCACTGGACCCAGAGTCACTCAACGCACATCGATTCCTTCTGCCCTGGGGGCACCTAACCCAGGCTCCAGGAATCAGAGAAGCTTCCCAAAGGAGGAGGTGTTAAATGAGCCCTTAAAGCTAGCCAGGGGCTACACACTGGACAGCCAAAGGGAGGCAGGACCAAGGGGCAAGGAGGAAGGGCTTTCCTGGCAGAAGGAACAAACTCTGCAAAGACATGGGGGTGAACACCAGTAAGGGGAGACAGTGTCAAAGTGTTCAAAGAGGCTGGACTCTGGTGGGGCAAGGGCTGCTGAGAGCTGAGGCTCGCAAGGCAACCAAGGGCCAGACCACACGGGGACTTGGTGCCAAGCTCAGCAGCTTTGCAGGGTGAGCTCAGGCAAGTTGCTCCCTGTCTCTGGGCCTTAGCTGCTTTATCTGAAAAACAAAATAGTCTCTCTTGGGATCTTGGAGCTTGAGGTTGCTGCTATTTCCTACCAGGGCTCTAGGGATGGGGACCCACAGCAGGCAGCAGGGCATGGTGCAGAGTGCCTGGTCCCACACGGCCGCCCAAAAAGTAGGGAGTCTTGGCTAAAGAGCTTCCATCCCACGGACCTGCCTGCAGCCTTGGTAAGAAACAGAGAACCCCAGAGATTCTGTTAACATCACACTTCTGGCTCGATTGCAGGGCTGGCCATGGCCTAAGAACCAGAGAGAGATCCTGCTGATGAGGGACACAGATGTTGACCCTACGGAAGGGCGACTCAGGCCACATCCTGCTCCACCCCAGGTGCTCCGGGCAGCTTCCTGAGTAGCCCAGAGTGTCAGGGAGACAAGGAGTGCCCGCCTCATCCCCACAAGGGAGGTGTGAGTGCAGAGAGCCCCCCAGCCCTCCTCCTGGCTGGGCCCCGAGTTCTGCCCCACACCTACCTCCATAGCCCTCGTACAGGCTGATGTCGAAGTAGCTGCCAAAGGCAGATGCACTGACAATGCTGTAGGTGATCTGGTTGTTGGGAGGGGAGTCTTCATCTGTTGCCTGAAAGGAAGAGGGCAGACAAGGGCCGTGAGCCTGCAGGAGACTGGGGGCCAGAAGAGGGTGGGCAGCTGGGAGGGTGGGGAAGACTGGCCCTGTTCACAGCTCCTTTTTTGGGTGATCCAGCCCTGGGTCTTGTCCTGGCCCAGGACGCCAGGAGGCACCCCTTGTGCTTCAACTGGAGGCCGCACTCTGGCTCCCAGCAGACGCCCTGCTCCCCTCCATGTGCTGGGTGTGGAGGCAGCCTGGGGAATCTAGAGGGCAGGTGGGAGGCGCAGGAATAATGCAGAGGCCGGGCCTTCCCAGAGGCTGAGACACAATTACCTCCCACCCCCAACCCCAGCTGGAACACCCCCACCTGCAGATGCCCTCCCTGACTCCCGGAGCCGGTTAGGGCCCTAGGGTTGCATACCCCATTGGTCCCCTTACACCCAGTGGTAATTTCTTATCTAATTTCTGCCTCCCTCACTTAGACCGTCAGCTTCATGTGAGCAGGAACCTTGTTTCTTGATTGCTGCTGCATACCTACAGGCCAACACAGTATTTGGCCACAGTGGGTGTCTAATCCATGCATGTTGCATGAAAGCAAGGAGGAAAGAAGGCACCTGGAGTGGGGCCAGGGATCCCTCTACCCCTTGACTGTCTTCTCTGGGAGCTGAATTAATAAGCTTCTTTCCAGGTTGTCCCTCACTCTAGAGCCTCCAGTGGTCCCCACCACTCCGGGTACACCTGGAGCTGAGCAGGGAGGGCAGGGCAGGACAGGGTTGTACGGGGGGCCGTGGCCAGGCTGGGCGGGCACATGTTCTGTTCTTCTTGGTATCCCCTGTGCTCACCCTTCCAGCCTTGCCTTCATCCCTACCTGCTTCAGAAACAAGTTCCAAATGGAGGCTCTGGGTCCCATCCCTTGGGGTAGGCAGCATGGGGAAGGGGGGACATTTAAAAGTCTCTGGTTAAAGGTCACTGAAGCCTAGTGGGGGACTTGCTGCAGGAAGCACTTGGAGAATAGCATTCCGGGACTAGACCTGGCTCTGCTACCCGACTATGTCTTCGTGGGCAAGCCTCCTCCCCTCTGGGTTCCCCTTCTGTAAAATGGGGTTGCACTCCATGGTCTCTGTGGCTCCTTCCAGCTGCAGCACTTCCTGATTCTAGTCAGTCGTTAAAGGGCTTGGAGGAGGTCCTGACACAGGGAACTGCTCCCCACTCAATGCCCTTGCTAAGGGAGATGGCAGTGGATGGGTCGGGGGGTGGGATCTTTTGCTAAATTCTGACCTAATATTTAAGCTGAGACAGACACTGTGTATAAAGCCCCACTTGGTACCAAGGATATGAGGCGTTGCTCAGAGAAGGCCCAACACAGACCAAGAATTTGACTCTGAAATCTGTGCAGTATTCTTTGCGGATAGAAGGTCAGCCCCTCTTGCAGTGGGTTCCCTAGGGGGTTGGTCAAGAAGAAAGCACAGGCTAGGCACGGTGGCTCAAGCCTGTAGTCCCAGCTGCTAAGGAGGCAGAGACAGGAGGATTGCTTGAGCCCAGGAGTTTGGGGCCGCAATGAACTCTGATTGTACCACTGCACTCCAGCCTGGGTGAAAGAGTGAGACCTGTCTCATAAAAACAAAAACAAAAAAGAAGCAAGCAAGCAAGTACAGGGAGAAGGCTAAGATAAATGGCAGGAGTGCAGGGCTCCCTGGCACCTTACCCGGAGCCGCACCAGCTGTGTGACAGAAGGCTCGTTCTCCCGCAGAGCACCCACGTAGGCATCCTTCTGGAAGGTGGGCACGTTGTCGTTGACATCCAACACATTGATCCTGACCCGGCCTGTGGTCTCCTCGCCGCCCCCGTCCCGGGCAATGATCGTCAGGGTGAAGCGCTGGATGAGCTCATAGTCCAGCCTGGCAATCAGCATGATGAGTCCCGTGTCCTTGTCCAGCGAGAACCTGTGCCAGGCCGAGAGGATGGAGAGAAGGAACACCGTGGTTTAAAACAGGCTTGTTGATGGGGCCGGCATTTCCCAGCCTGTCCTTGCCCAGAGTGACAAACAGAAACAAATGAAGTCTGAAATCTGCCTTCCCTTTCACTTGCCCTGAGAAGAGCTGCTATTTCTAAAGGGGGTGGGTGGGTGGCGGGGATCAGGATCACACGAGGTGGGCAGGAGGAGTTGCCTGATTTAAGCAAGGAGGAAACCCAGGCAGAACAACCCTCCTGCTATGAACAGGAGTTCCTACCTACTGCAGATATTTAGATGCTGGAGAACTGTGAGGGTAAAAACGTGTGCCAACCCAGATCGTTTTGCACCAGAATGCTAGGAATGGGCAGAAAGCAGCTGGTGAAGGGCAGGGTGGTTGGTCCGCTTTTGGGAGCTGCCCCTTGACTTTGAGGAAATGAGCCTTGAGTGGGAGGCTGGTAGACATCTCCCAGGTAGCAGAAAGGTCCGGCAAGACAATGCCTCCAACTACCTCATCTAAATGTCCCCTCAGGAGCCTCATCTGAGCTGTCAGTTGACATCTGTGTGCTCTGACCACAGCTGCCAGCCACCAAGCCTGGAAGGTTCTGGCTTGGAGTGAGGAAAGTCTCAGGCCCAGAAGATGGGAAGAGGTGAGACCATCCAAGATGACCAGGATAAGGCCACGTGAACACGGGTTCCCTGGGGAAAGGGCTCCCTGTGCATTCAGCCATGCTGGTGACTTCCTCCCATTTCAGACCCCCATCACTGAGTGACAGAGAATGGACAGATGCCCCTAACAATCTCCCTGTCTCTTCTTTTTTGAGATAGGGTTTCACTGTGTCACCCAGGCTGGAGTGCAGTGGCACAATCTCAGCTCATTGCAACCTCTGCCTCCCAGGTTCATACCAGTCTCCTGCCTCAGCCTCCCAAGTAGCTGGGACTACAGGCGCCTGCCACCACGCCCGGCTAATTTTTGTATTTTTAGTAGAGATGGGGTTTCACCATGTTGGCCAGGCTGGTCTTGAACTCCTGACCTCAGGTGATCCACCCTCCTCAGCCTCCCAAAGTGCTGAGATTACAGGCATGAGCCATGGCATCCAGCTCCTTCCCCATCTTTTCTTGATCCTTCCCACGGATAGCTGGGGCCAGTCATTCAAGCTGACACCCACCGCCTCACTCACTCCACCGGGCTTCCCAGTGCATCAGACACGTGGCCTTCGAGCATGTTAAAAGTGAGAGGGGGCCGGGTGCAGTGGCTCATGCCTGTAATCCCAGCACTTGGGAGGCTGAGGTGGGTGGATCACCTGAGGTCAGGAGTTTGAGACCAGCCTGGCCAACATGGTGAAACCCCATCTCTACTAAAAATACAAAAATTAGCCAGGTGTGCTGGTGGGTGCCTGTAATCCCAGCTACTCAGGAGGCTGAGGCAGGAAAATTGCTTGAACCTAGGAGGTGGAGGTTGCAGTTTGAGCTGAGATTGCACCATTGCACTACAGCCTGGGCAACAGAGTGAGACTCTGTTTCAAAAAAAAAAAAAAAAAAAAGTTAGAGGGCTGCCTTTGGCTTGGATTAACTGAAGACAAGGGAAAGAGATGGCCCAAAATCAAGCCCGGACCAATTTACCATGAAGGGTGATGGGGCAAGGCTGGCATGTGTTAGGCAGGGAGGTGAGTAACCCACCTACAAGTTGCTGCATGTTGAGAGCCCTCTTGGGGCAGGCTGTGTAGCCTAGTGGTGAAGGTCACATGCAGAAGCCTGACCACGGCACTTATAGCTGTCTGACTTTGGACAAGTGACTTAGCCTCTCAGAGTTGCACTTTCCTCATCTGTAAAGTGGGGATGATAAAAGTGCCTAGCACTGAGTTCTTCTGTCATTTCACTGAGAGGATGACACAAGACAATGCCTGTGAAGCCCTTGGCCATCATGAGCCTGACATGTAGTAACTGCGGCTGGCGGTGGTGGCGGTGTGCTGTCGCTAGTACTTCAAAGCCTCTCAGAGACACAATGGATCCATTCCCAAAGCTAAAGGCTATCTTTTGAGGGTCAGATAAGCTGTGCCCCAGAGAGTTGAGGAGACTTGACCAAGGCTGTGCCACAATCAGAGTCAAACCAGCCACAGTGCCCATGGGTTCCAACTTCCAGTCCAGTGCTCTAGCCACAGGACCCAGCACCTCCCTCCCTGGGCACTGAAAAGTTCCCAGATCTCATGAGTCTGGGGAGGGCCAAGGACCACTGCGGAGGGGCCTGAGGGGCTGTGGGCAGAGTCTCACCTGTCAGGGTCATCACTGAAGAAGTAGCTGACTTCCCCAAAGGTGCCTGCATCATTGTCAGTTGCCTGCAACAGCGAGAACAAGAAGTCATTACTGCCAGGCCCAGCTGAGGCTTCAGGTCCACAGGAAACCCATGTTCCTCTCGCACGTCTCCTTTGGCCCAGGGTGAATTTTCTGAGGCCCAGACCCCAGTGAGGCCTGGTGAAAGCCTGCTGCCAGTCTGGGTTAGGAGCGGGTCAGAAGCAGAGTGGGACAGAAACTGGCCTCTCCACCGCCACCAGGTGTTCCTCCACACACCAGGTGTGGCCATCCCAGGGAGGCCCTCCTCCATCTCCCCTGACCTAAAGTTTTAATGGGGGTTTGGCTTTTGTGGCTTGGAATATTGGCTTCCATATTGTCCCTGGCATGGTTCTAATCCACAGTGCAGGCTAAATGACATCGTTCATTCACTCAACAGTTACTTATGAAACACATAATCCATGCAAGGATTATGTACTGTCTTGATGCCTCAGTTTCCCCATCTGTAAATTGGAGGTGGTGCTAATAATAGTACCTACCTCACAGGGCTGTTGTGAGGGTGAAGAGGTTGTACATAATCCATGCAGTACTTCGAGACAGTAAATAATCCATGCAGAGGTCTAGATGTGACCTCTGCTCTCTTCCCAGACCACTGCCCCAGAGCTGGGCAAACTGCTGCCTGCCACCAGATGCCCGTAGGGAAAGGCCTCAGACTGACTTTGGGGTCCACTTGCATCTGTTTTATATTTAAGGTATCTCTATAAGATTGTAAGTGGATAAAGCCCTCATGGCTAAAAATGTATTTTGATCCCTTTGCGCTCAATATTTTTGAGGTTCCTTTTAAAGTTCCTGGAGTCTATTAAATCTAGTAAATTCTATGTTCTTTATGATAAGCCTGAATTTTCAAGGAAAAGCTAATTTGTGTTTAGTACATTCAGTTCAGGAAGGCAGATAAGTGAAAAATATATTTCTATCCCAAATGAATGAAATGAAAAAAAGTTTATACCCAAAGGATTAAGATCTTAGTTATCCAGAAAACTTGGCTATACAGAAAGATGCCATTTCTGGGGGCTCTGGGCTGCCAGCTTGTATAGGGCTGCCTCTTGTGTTGGATTTCCTTTCAATATCCCCACAGCTTATGCTCCTATAGACGGTGCAGACCTCTGTCCCCGCCACCACCCCAGCCAGGCTCAGAGCTCATCCCAGGTTCTCAGGGGGTGCATGCTGAACAAGTGAAAGGAAGGCACTGAGCCATGTCACCACCCTCCAACCCAGGACTGGCTCCTGGACGGGGCCTCTCCCACTGCCTGTGCCATTCCTCACAACGGCAGCAGCGACTGCTGGCTCCTGCACGCCTTCTACCTACAACCCCTTCACCCTCACAACAGCCCTGTGAGGTAGGTACTATTATTAGCACCACCTCCAATTTACAGATGGGGAAACTGAGGCATCGAGACAGTACATCGTTCACTCAAGGCTTCACAGCTAGAGAAAGAACTGTGCTGGGTTTGAATCCTGTGCCACCTAGCCATG
Source organism: Homo sapiens (assembly GCF_000001405.40). NCBI lineage: Eukaryota > Metazoa > Chordata > Mammalia > Primates > Hominidae > Homo > Homo sapiens. Next base: position 71,673,625 of record NC_000010.11, on the reverse strand, counting down.
CCCTTGCCCTCCATCAGTGATTGCCTCTGAGCCAAGAGGGGCGCTTGTTCTCAGAAGGAAGGGAGCCTGGTTATTCCAGGCGAGAGGAGACCACACTGCCCAAAGTAACCCCAGATTCATCCTCATTTTACAGGGACGGAGGAGAAGGGGAGCAGGAGGAATCCCAGAGTCCTTCCCACCCCCAGGTTCCACTGACAATCATGGTCATCAATGCATGGTCTTGTTGGACTGTTACAACTGCAGCTTGGTCTTGGGAAGATCTGACTGCCATGTCATTGAACCCCTTGGCGAGGGGTCACTGTGGTGTGGAGGCCTCAGTTCCAGGTCACTGTGTGACCAAACCATACCTCCTTGGCCCCCATCATTTGCCTTTGTCAAAGGAAAAGGGTTTGGGGAAGGACGAGGGCAGGGCAGGCACCTGTGGGGCTCACTGCACAGCACAGACGGTGCCTGGCATGCAGTAGATGCTTCATAAATGCCTGAAAAATGAATAAGAAGGGGGTGGTGCAGAGAAAATAGGGAAGGGGCAGAGAGACAGCGGTGAAGACAAAGAAGGCAGGACTCAGAAGAAAGAGGACAGAAGTGAAGCAAATGACAGAAAGAAAAGGAAAAGGGAAGTAGAGGAGAGACAGCAGGCTAGGAGGTGGAGGAGAGCAGCTGAGAAGCAGAAAGTGGGGTGTGCAGGAAGGGAGGGGCCTGGGTCATGGGGGGTGTGCTGCCCCTGGAGAAGGTCACATCTGAGCCCTGGGGATGAGCCCTTCAGATCTGGGTGCCCCACAAAATTGCTCTGGACTGTCAGGACGGGAAGGATATGTGAGGTGCCTGCATCCCATCCCCTTCACCCTGGGGCCTGGAGCAGCTGAGGCCCAGGGAAATTAGGTGATGAGTGCCAGGAGACAGGACTGGACTGTCTTAGAGCAGAAGCTGGCTTCACACCCCCAACCCCTGCAAGGCTTGGCCTCCCCTGCCCACGTTGGACTGGGCACAGCCATGGTTCCCACAGTGACCCTTGTCCCCAGGGCCTCTCACTGCCTGCCCAGGCTGCGGATGCTGATCAGGGAAGATTTGTGAGTCCTTCAGTGCCACCGCCTAATGACCATGTGAAATATGTATGCCTGGGTGAGGAGGAGAGGGAGAGCTTCATTTTTCAAGTGTAGGAAGCCGAACTAGATGAAAAGCTGCTCCTTGCCTCTGCCAGGGTGAGGGCAGCAGCACTGACCTTGGGCCTTGATGGGTGCGGGGCCAGTGCCGGGCTGCAGCAGGGCCTGTCAGGGGCCCTGGGCCTGGGAGGAGGCGGTAGATCTGTGCTTGAAGGAAAACCCCTCCCCTCCTACACACATTGTCGGCCCTGAATGTCTAGCCTCATCTCTGACCCAGACTGGACCACGTGTAGCTCCCAGGACCTGGCTCTGCCCCCTCCGCTTGAACAGCGCCCCTCCCTCTCCTGCCTAGCTCACACCCTTCTGCCCTCCCTGACCCCCAAGGCAAAGTTAGGGCTCCTCCCTGCGCACACTCAGTATTCCCAGCCCTGATCACACTGAGGCACTGAAGCTAAGGTTAACGTGCGTCTCCCCCAACCAGGATGTGGCTCCCAGAGGGCAGCGTGGGGTCATGGGGTCCACATGTGCCCAGGGCCTAGTATAGGGCCTGGACATAAAGGCAGCTCAAGAAAGGTACGTCTATCTCTGTCACCTATAACTACAACTGCACCCACGTTCTCATGACACATATTAATGTATGAATTTAATTTTGACCAGAACTCCACAGGTAAGTACTGTCATTACCTCCCACCCACTTTTGCAAGTGAGGAAACAGAGGCGCAGTGGTGTTAAGTGACTTGCTCAAGATCTCACAGCTGGTGAGTGGAGCTGGTCTTCGTATTCCCAGAGCAGCCCCCCAGATGCTGGCTGACCCGACTCCAGAGAGGACCCACTGTGGCTGCTCCACCGCCCACCTGCCATCCTGCCCTATCCAGGCAGCAGGGGCAGCGACTGAGTCTATCCCAGCCCCAATCTGCTTGTCATGGCACCGTTTAAACAACCTCCTCCCAAGCAAGACTTGTTTGTGGTTGACCAACTGAAAGTCCAACAGACAAATAAAGTGGCAGACAGACAGTGACCCTTGGGGCCCATTTTAGGAAGGAGGGTTCGAGGAGTGCCAAGGGCCTATGTATAGAGAACAAAATTTCCTCTTCCTGCTGCAAACACCCCCTTCCCTGCAATGTTCTAGGAATGAGCATCTCTGTCTCCCTGCAGGGTAACTTCCAGGGTCTCACAGGCCAGCCAGATGGTGACAGGGATTGGGGAAGGGGATGGCCCAGCTGGCCATTTTCATATTGTACCTAAAAAATGCCAAACCAAAGGCCAGGCATGGTGGCTCACACCTGTAATCCCAGCACTTTGGTTTGGGAGGCCGAGGCGGATGGGTCACTTGAGGTCAGGAGTTCAAGACCAGTCTGGTCAACATGGTGAAACCCCATCTCTATTAAAAATAGAAAAATTAGCCAGGCATGGTGGCAATTGCCTGTAGTCCCAGCTACTCAGGAGGCTGAGGCAGGAGAATTGCTTGAACCTGGGAAGCGGAGGTTGCAGTGAACCGAGATTGCACCACTGCACTCCAGCCTGTGTGACAGTGAGACCCTGTCAAAAAAAAAAAAAAAAAAAAGATGCCAAATCAGGGCTCCAGGTGAGCACCTCAACTGTGCTCCAGGCTCCTCCCTCTGGTGTTTCTGTGTCTCTGTTGCCATCTAATGGCTCCCCACTGGCTCTAGGCTGGCACTCAGAGGTACACACTAGTGCATTTTACTACTTGTGAAGGCTCTCATAAGAGGCCCAGGGGCAAAAAGTCAAAGCCGGTAGCTAAAATTATTGTCCTTCTCTGCCCAAAATCCTTCAATGGCTCCCTATGATCTGCTGAATTAATTTCAGATCCATACCCTAGTGTCCACAGTCTGGTTGGGCTTAGTGTTCTCGTATCTACCTCTTCCCTGGTACACCCCAGACTGTTCTCTCATTGCTGGTTCCTCTATCCTTTCCTTCTGTAACTGCCTTCCAAACTCTGATCCACCCCCCAGGCCCATCCCAAATGCCCCTCTCCTAGAGTCCCTAACCATTCACTGGTCTTGACCCGGGAGCCCCTCGTCATCCCTCTCTTGGAACATGTGGCAGAATCTGCCATTCCTGAAAACTGTCTGTGTGTGCCCCACTTTCCTCCCTGTGAAGGAGAGAAGTTTGTCTAACTCATTTTTGCATCGTATGTAGTACCCCCATACAGGGCTCAACATCTCTGCCCAATTTAGTAGAATGTGTGATTTCCACTGCCAGCCACGGAGGGCCAGCATAACCTTCCTTCTGTGGGGCTGATACCCCACCATCAGACACCATGGTGGGCAGCAAGCAGCGACAGAGGGGTTGCTGGATTGCATGGGGCGAGGCGGGGTTTATAGAGCACCTCCAACACCCTGGCCCCTGCCGAGGCTCCCTATTGCCCCTGCCCTGCCCAGAAGGAGACAGGCACAGAGGATGTGCAGGAGCAGCTGAAGATGCCCGGCACACCTCTGAAGCCACCTTCATGAAAACAGTGACCAGACACTTGTTCAGTCACATATTTAGTAAATTTTTTTTTTGAGACGGAGTCTCGCTCTGTCACCCAGGCTGGAGTGCAATGGCGCGATCTTGGCTCACTGCAACCTCCGCCTCCCGGGTTCAAGCAATTCTCCTGTCTCAGCCTCCCGAGTAGCTGGGATTACAGGCGTGAGCCACCTTGCCCGGCCTAGTAATATTTTTTGAGCTTTTCCAATGTGCTGGCTGCTGTGCCCAACAGTGAAGTCACATCCTAAGCAGGACAACCTGGACTGCCACTTAAAATCAGAATGGGGAGGCCAGGCACGGTGGCTCACGCTTGTAATCCCAGCACTTTGGGAGGCCAAGGCAGGCAGATCACCTGAGATCAAGAGATCAAGGCCATTCTGGCCAACACGGTGAAACCCAGTCTCTATTAAAAATACAAAAATTAGCCGGACATAGTGGCACATGCCTGTAATCCAAGCTACTCAGGAGGCTGAGGCTGGAGAATCGCTTGAACCCGGGAGGTGGAGGTTGCAGTGAGCAGAGATGGCGCCACTGCACTTCAGCCTAGTGACAGAATGCGACTCCATCTTACAAAAAAAAAAAAAAGTCAGAATGGGGAGACAGATCACCAAGGGGAGAAATAACTAAGTAATGTAATTCCAGGCAATGGTAAGAACTACGAGGAAAACAAGGCTGAAAGTGGGCTTGAAGGTCACTGAGGCTGCTGGCTTAGAAAGATTCATCCTGGAGAAGCTGTCTTTGGGCAGGTGTATGCCAGTCTATGGGACAGTCATCGGCTGCGCACCTAGAAGTCCAGGTAGCTCCTGGAGAGAGGTGGGCACTTGCTGGCACCAAGGCCTGGAGAAGGCCTCAGGAAGCCTCTGCCTCCCCATCAGCCTCCCTCAGCAGAACCATCAGGGGAAGATCTGTGAAGATCAATGGCCGCTCAGCGCTCAGCACTGTCCTTGCAGTCAGCCTCTGCCCTACAGTCAGCATGTGGGGGAGAGGGTGCAGCCGAGACTGGCTGCTCCCTAGTGCCTGATTTATAAGGCGTTCCTTCTGATTCTCCCCAATGCTGGCATTACCAGCAAAACTAATTCTGTCATTTGGGCCTTTATAATCGCATCTGCAAGTGCTTATTTCTGTGATGGACAATGCCGGCAGAAGTGTAATTTTCTTCTGCTGACAAAAAGGAAAAAAATAAATACATACGGGGGTGAAAAATTCCAAGGTTAATACAAGGTGATTGGAGGAGCCTGTGGTGGGGGAATTGCTACATGCTTGGACTGGTGAGGCCTGAGTCAGCAATGCCAGTCTTTCTCCTGGCTGTAGCGAGGGGAAGGGGCAAGAGGGTGCCCCTCTGACATTTCGTTTTGAGCACTTAACTATGTGCCACCAAATTTACCAAGCATTTCCTGCACTTTATTTCATTCAGTCTTCCCAACAGCCCTATAGGACCAGCACCATAGTATCCCCACTTTATAGATGAAGGAGGGGACAGAGACTCAAGAGAGATCAATCGACTTGGCCAGGGTGAAACAGTCACAGCGCTAGAACATGAATCAACATGGTTAACTCCAAGGCGTGTGCTCTTAAGACCTCCCCTCCCTTGCTCCTCCCTTTGGTGGGGCTGGGGGAGTGAAGTCTGAGCCTGAGAAGTCTGAGTCTGAGCTTGAGAGCTCGGCCATGGGATCCAGGGTGCTCCTACTAGGGTCATCCTCCTCGCCCTGTTGAAGACCGATGGGCCCCCACAGGCAGTTTGCCCTTCTTGCCATGGTGGCTTCTGCTCCCTACGTTCTGCTTGGAAAGAGCGGGCTCCCAGCAACTCTAGCTATGCCTGCCAGCAAAGGTGGCAGGGGTCTCTGGCTGTGGTGGCAGGGGTCTCTGGCTGTGGTGGCAGGGGTCTCTGGCTGTGGTTTCCCAGGATGCAGCCCCTGAGCCTAGACCCTCAGATACCCAAGCAGGTGCTTCCCACAGACCCTTAAAGAAGGACTCCACCCCATCCCAGGCTTGGTCTTGGTCTGTGCAGGTGGCTTAGGGCCTGGATTGGAGGGAGCTGTGTGGCCCAACCTGAGGCCACCTTGGAAGGATGGGGCAGTCTGGCTGGCTGCAGGTGCCCTTCCTGACCCACCTGGGGCTTTTCCCATGGCACCCTCTCATGTAGTCCCCCTTCATCTTGTGCATTCAAAACTCTATGTCCAGCCCAGCTCCCGGCCCTCTGGTGCTCAGCGCAACATCTTATGCCCACTCTCTGGGGACCCGCTATTCCAACAGTGTTCAGGCCCTCCTGTCTCTTTGTCCCCTTCCTGAGAACCCCTTCTTACCCAGGCTTTCTTTGCAATTAACAGTCATCATCTCTCACCCTTTTCCATTGATTTGCCCTGGAACAGGGTCCCCCACCTTACAGGTTGCCTGCCTTGTGTGTCTTCGTGTCATCTCTCTTCCTGTGTCTCCATACTTCCTACTTCTTTAAACACATGCACGCACCACACACAACCCCTTTCTCTTCCTCTCTCTGCATCTCAGGCAGCTGCGAACAACTTTCTGCATCCTGTACCCCCTGCACACTCTCCTAGAAACTTTCCTTTTCTCTCCCTGTCTGGCTCAGGTAGACTCTACTCAGAGGTCTCCCACACCTCCACCCCTCACACACACACGCGCACACACACACACACACACACACACACACACACACACTCTCTCTCTCTTTCTCTGCCTCAAGCAGCACCCCTACTTGTCTCCAGCCCAGTCTCAGCCCCTGTGGTCTCCTCCACACCCCCTCCCTAGACACCTGGGTGTCTGTCCCTGCAGACCACAGGCTGGCAGGCACGCACTCAATCACTCCTCACCAGCGCCCACACTCCCGTCACGCACGCACACTCACAGGAATGCCCCGCACGGGGCTTCTGCTCTGAAGCAAGGCAGGCCCAGCTGCCTCCGCAGCAGCCCTGGGTCCCAGCAACAGAGGCAGGCGGCCGGTGCCGGTGAGGAGTTCTGCTCTCATGCACAAATCTGCAGAGAAGGGCACGCGGTACAATTTGTTCAGGAAACAATAGCAATGTTTGACATGTCATAAGGATTGATGGAGCAGAAATTTACATGGGAGAATGCATTTTTAAACAGCTCTGTGGAGCCCCGGTGCTTCGCTGGTAATGCTTTCCTCATTCATCATTCACTGAGCCCCTCTGTATAAGTCCTTAAACTGTGTGAGATTAACTGCACTCTTGTAAGCTCTGGGGGGTTGGAGTGGCTGGCAGGAGGTAGGAGGACTCTGCTGCAGGAACCCGGTAGCCCAGAGGCCAGGGTGACCTCCACATGCCTGCTGGGGCCCCCGAGGCCCTTTTTCCTTCCCTCCCATAGTGCTGTGGACAAGGGTTCCAGCTTCTCTCTGGCGTGTGAGGTAGAAGCCAATGGCCAGCAAATACCATCCAGTCTGCCCCACACTTCTAGGAAAATGCTTGGAGCCTTGATTTTCCCCTCTCATCTCAGAAGGAAGTGATTTAATCTGAGAAGGAAGCCAGGGCTGGATGGATGGGAGCATGGTGGGTGTTAGATGGGCAAAGGGGAAGTGTGGTGGGAAGCTGCTCTCTGAGTGCCTTTATGGGCATTCCTGGGGGTGGCCATGCACCTGGGAGAAAAGGAAATGATGGGTGCTTGAAGGAAAATGGCTCCCATTGCATTTTGTGTGACGGATAAGAGAGTACACGTCCTGGGTTGGCAATGGTACCAGGGAGTGAGCGGTGGGGTGGAGGGGAGATATTGGGGGGCTGTGATCACAGGAAAAGGCTCTCGTGCCTGCTCTGGGCCTTCTGAGCATGTGGGAGGCCGTAGAACAAGAGGGTGCTACTGGGAAGGGGGGCTGGGCTGGAGGCTCAAAGCACTGGTTGGGTGGAGGGACCAAGCAGGAGAGCAGTGAGGACAGGATGGGGACCTGACTAGTGGTGAGGCCTGCAGAGAAAGGGAAGGGGACCTTCCCTCCCTTTTGTTCCATTGTGGACTTGGGCTGGACAGCCAGCACTCCATCACCAGTGCCAATGGTAGACATTCCTAATGGATCACGGCATTGACTGCAGAGGAAGCCTCAGAATATCTCTCAATCAGTCTTTCCAACAACCAGTTGCAGGTGGAACTTGTGTTAACGCATCTTTGCTATCCTGTTGGACTCTCTGCTCCTTGAGAGTGAGAAATGTGCTTCTCCCTGGGGGGTGCAGTGCAAGACCAGGCACAAAAAGCCTCCAAAGGGATTTGTGGCCAGGTGCAAAGTCATGGAAATCCCACTGAGCTCGGGGGTGGGACCTGGGTTCTGCCCTACGTGCACGTGGGACGTTGGGTAAGACACTGGGGTTGGCCAGCATGCTGCATATGCCTTCTCCGCAGTGCCTGCTCCTGGCTGTCCTTGTGCCAGCGTCCATCCTCAAGCAGCCTCCTCACCTCGCCCACACACTGCCCTCTGCTCCTGCCTCTCAGACAGTCACTAGGCTCCTAACAGGCCAAGCGGCTGCAGCCTCACACCCTTTGCACCCACAGGTCCCTCTGCTAAGTCACTCTTCCCCAGATCTCTGGGTTGCTGCTCCTTCTCTTCCCTGCGACCTCAGTGGGCACACTCTGATCTACATTTGCAAAGCACTTGCATTTGTAAAAGCAAACTCTGACTACAACTCCAGGGCAGGAACAGAGGCTCCGAGATGAGGCAGTTAAGGCAGTCACACAGGGGTAGTGGGAGGCAGTGGGGGCTTGGACCAGGGTGGTCAGGGAAGTCCAGCTGGATGTGGCTGGACTCCAGGTATGTTTGGAATCTGGAGCTGACGGTTCTTGCCAGCGGATAGGTGTGGTGGGAGAAAGTCATGGTTTTGGTAAGAGCACCTGGGTGAATGTTGACTGGGCTTCCCCCCACCACTAGAATATAAGCTTTATGAGGGCAGGAACTGAGTCTGTCTTGTTTCCCAGGGATCCCCAGCACCCATCCAGTGCCTGACACACAGGAAGCCCTTAACAAATATCAGCTAAATAGATGAAAGAATAAATGAGATATCTGATGACTTATGAGGATCTTTTTTTAGCAGACAAGCTAAGGATCTTAATCCTGAGTAGATGGACTTCTAGGGAGGAAAGGACATCAGAAAGATGATGATGGGGGCTGGGGGAGAGATAAAGGAAGATGGGGAGGGGAGAGGGAGAAGGAGAGAAAGGAAGTGATCAAGGGAGGAGGAGAAGGAAGAGGGGAGAGAAGGGAGGAGGGGGAAGGGGGAGGAGATCAAAGGAAGAACAGAAGGAGTAATCACAGTAATATCTGCTCTGAGCCTCAGTTTTCCTATCTGTAAAATGGAGGTAATGAGAGCACCCACCTCAGGGAATTATTGTGAGGATTAAGGAAGGTAATGCACACAGGTGCTTTAGCTCTGTGCCCAGCACACAGGCGCCGCTTTCTAAGTGGAGCTAGTATTATTATTTCCACTTCCAGTTCTACAAGCTCTCTTTGTCCAGCCCTCTGCAAACATGCTGCTGCTGAGCCTCCTCCCAGGCCAGCCCTCCCACCTGCCTGTCCTGTGCCAGCAGCGGGTCCGTGGAGGTGGAGCGGAAGTGGTGCTAAGCCCTGCAGGAGGGATGCTCTAGGGAAGCCAGGCCCAGCCCTGGGTGGAGGCTGATGGGTGCTCTCGAGGTGTGAGGCCCTCGGCTTGTTTGTTATCACAGACATGGTGGTGTTCTTGGGCTCCGAAACCTTCTTCCTTATTTCCCTTTATTTTATTTTAAAACCTGGAAATAAAAATTGATGGGGAGCAAATTGCTCTGGCCAGCAGCTCTGGGCTTAAAGAAGTCGTAGTGGGGGAAGCAATTACGGTATGTCAAAGGCTGTCAGGGTGGCCGGTGTCTGCCTGTGCCAAGTGCCTGGCACCACCTGGTGGTCTCTGGGGCCTCTTGCTGGGGAGATGCCTGGAGGAGGGGTGTTGGGCTCCCCTCAGAGGCACAGGTCATTCCCTTGCTGAGTGCCATCTGTGGACCTGGCACTGTGCAAGGCACTTCATGCAACCAGTCCGTAATCCTTTTTTTTTTTTTTTGAGACAGAGTCTCACTCTGTCGCCGAGGCTGGTGTGCAGTGGCACGATCTTGGTTCACTGCAACCTCCGCCTCCTGGGTTCAAGCAACTCTCATGCCTTAGCCTCCAGAGTAGCTGGGATTACAGGTGCCCACCACCATGCTTGGCTAATTTCCTAATCTTTAAAATAACCAGAGACACAGGGGTCACATTCCATTTTACAGGCAAAGAGACTGGCTGACGATAACTGCAAAAATAGTAGTAATGCTCACTGATTTAATCCTTACTGGGTTCCAGGCATTATTCTAAGAAATGCACATGTATTGACACATTTAATCTTCACTCCCACTCTATGAGACAGGTACTAATACTACTTTCATTTTATGGACAAGGAAAGCGAGGCTCAGAGAGGTTAAGCAACATGCCTGAAGTCACAGTTCCCACACGGGGCAAGAAAAAAGACCCAGCAAGGCCAGAGGTTAAAAGTCCAAGGATGGTGTAGACAGGGAGTGGCAAGGGAGGCAAGGGCCGAGAGGAGTCCAGGGACCATGAGTCAGTCAGGGCTTCCTGGAGGAGGCAGAGCAGAGCTGCAGCTGGAAGAAGAGGTGGGGCCTTGAGATGCAGGGGAGACGGCATTCCCGGCAGGCAACTGAGGGAGAAGCCCAAGGAGGCTGCAGTCTGGGGTGGGTGGTTCAGAGACGGGTCGGGGCACGGAGAGAAAATACGAAAGCCGGCATTGGAAGAGCTGTCAGGTCCCCATGGCTAGCCCTTCACGTCCTTATCAACATGTCCCTGTCACTACTTAAGACACCTTCAAGGGTGTGTAATGGGTTGAATGGTGACCTCCCAAAATATAGATCCATGTCCCAACCTCTGGGACCCACAAATGTGACCTTATTTGGAAAAGGGGACTTTGAGAAAATAATTATGTGGAAGATTTTGAGGAGACCATCCTGGGTTATCTGGGCAGGCCATAAATCCAATGACAAGTGTCCTCATAAAGACATCCAGAGGAAAGGCACAGAGAAGACGCATGCAGAGACTGGAGTTCTGCAGCCACAGGCCCTGAACGCCTGGAGCCTCCAGAAGCTGGGAAAGGCCAGGCAGGATTCTCCGCTCAGCCTGAGGAGGAAGGACAGCCCTGCCAGCCCCTCCATTTCAGATTTCTGACTCCAGAGCTGCAGGAGAATACATTTCTGTAGTTTTAAGCCGCCCAGCTGGTGGCACCCTAGGAAACGGATACAGGCGATACCCAGGGAAGGGGCAAGGGAGCAAGAAGCTCACAGTCAGAAAGGACTTGGGCCCTCTCTGGGGCCAGTTATCGAGTTGGGATGATGTGGTAGAAAAGGAAAAGGGGAAGGGCCTGAGAGATGTGGGGACAGACACCGTGTCTGAGGCTCAGTTAAGTGGGACATTATGAGCCAAGGAGATGAGAGAAGGGGGCAAAGACAGTCCAGTCAACCCCCTGGGGGTGCAGCGAAACCTGGGCTGGTAATGACGCCTCCTACCATGACAGCATCTTCCCAGTGTCCCCACCACAAGTCATAAGTCTGACACCCTCCCTCCTCTCCCTTGCCCTGTGGGATACGCAGGTGTCAGGCAGCCCCCAGTCTAGTGGGAAGGTGGAGAGAGGTACCTGGGTGGAGGCTGGTCACTGCCTATGCTCCAGGGACATGTCCTCACTCCAAGGTGACTTGGTGCCTGGCAGGACACCCCCCACGCCTGTCACTGGCGGGTGCTGATTGGGTTGGCACATGCGGCTCACTAATGAACCATATTGATTCCACATTCTCATGTTGTCTCCCTAAATGGCAAGCCACACATCTGATAGATTAAATACCCACACGATTGCTCGCCTGACATCTCCGTCACTCCGCCCGCAGGTCCCTGATGAATTTTACAGCCCCAGGCTGCCGGAAGAAATTAAGGTCAAAGTCCCACGCGGGAAATATAAATCACCCATGATCTGTGAGACCAGCAGAGGCTGCGGGCCCAGCCCCTCACTCACCTGGGCCCACGCAGCCCAGGGCTGCACCGTGATGGTGCAGGGATGGTGCAGCTGGGTTCTGTGTGTGTGCGCGCAGGGTGTGAGGAGGCGCGCAGGGTGGAAGGGGGCGCGCTGGGTGGGAGGGGGCGCGCTGGGTGGGAGGGGACGTGCAGGGTGGGAGGGGACGTGCAGGGTGGGAGGGGGCGCAGGGTGGGAGGGGGCGTGCAGGGTGGGAGGGGGCGCGCAGGGTGGGAGGGGGCGCAGGGTGGGAGGGGGCGCGCAGGGTGGGAGGGCGCGCAGGGTGGGAGGGCGCGCAGGGTGGGAGGGGTACGCTAGGAGCACCCATGCCAAGAAGCAGCCCTCACTCCCAGTCCCCTGACATTTAGGTTTCCTGACTCCTCTGCCCACCCCACCCCAGTTATCAGAATGTCCTAAGGCAGGCTGGAGAAACCCACTGAGAGAAGAGCCGCCTATCTCATTTATTTGCTTCCCAAGGAATCCAAAACACTCTGGCCTCACTGTTTTAAAAACGTCCCCAGAAGGTAGAGAGGGCACAGTAACATCCTCCCCATTTTGCAGATGGAGAAACGGAGGTGTTCAGAGAAAAGGGGCTGGTCCAGGGTCATTCAGTGAGTCAAACACCTGAATCTTCTGACTACCAGTTTGTAGGTGGCGATACAGTGGAAGCCTAAAGGGCTCTTTTGTCCTGGCTTTGTTCCCTTTTTAGGTGGGTGGGTGGGTTTCTCCTGCAGGAGGCTGGGCCGGCAGAGGGAGCGCTGGGCCTGGGTCAGCTTGTATGTTGGCTAATCAAGTTCAGTTTCTGTCTCGTCACATCTCAGCCCTACAGATTCGCCAGGCTCTCGGGGAGCAGTTCAGTCTCCATGAGGGGGCTGCACTGCCCCATGGTTAAGGGAAAGAATTTTGGCATCTTGCAGACAAGGAGGTTCGTGCCTCCGTTATGCCCCTTTCATGGGAGTGTGGTCTGACACAGAGCTACCTTCTCTGAAACTCAGTGCTCTCATCTACAAAATGGGGAGGATAATTTCAGCCTCACCAGGTTGTCATGAGGCTTCGATAACACACGTGACAGGAGCGCAGCTTGGCACCAGGTCCTCAATATTAGTACCTATCATTTGATTAGCACCTGGTCTGTGTCAGGCATTGGGCTAAGCACTTTACATGTATGATTTCACTGAAGCCCACATAATTCTACAATGAACTATCACCACCCACACTTCCAAAAGAGGAAATGGAGGCACACAGAGGTGATCTGGCAGAGACTAAACAGCCATGCCTTCCCTAACTTTCACAAATTAACAGAAACTGATTTTTTTTTTTTAAGGTGGACACAATGCTACCTGGCTAAAAATGCTAAATTTCCCAGCCTCCTTTGCAGCTAAGCACAGCCATGTGAGACGAAATTTTGACCAGTGAAGTGAGATGAAAGCAGAAGTTTGCAAAGCACTTCCAGGAGGTATCCTTAAAAGGGAGGGGAGGTTCCCTTTTTCATTTCCTCCATCCTGTAGCTTGAGAGACGGATGTGATGGCTGGAGTTCTGGCAACCACCTGGGACCATGAAGATGAGGGACACACCCTAGGGGTGGTGGAGAAGAGAGCTGGAAGGAGCCGCCCAAGGCTGGTCATCTGTATACTGCTTTTACATGGGAGAAAAATACACCTTGATCGTATTTAAACAACTGTTTTTGGGGTCTCTGTTGCTGGTGGCTGTACTGGCTCATTGTTGATACAAGTAACCTATTCAAAATCATAGCTCAGAAATGGCTGAGTCAGGCCGGGCGCGGTGGCTCACTCACTTTGGGAGGCCGAGCGGGGTGGATCACGAGGTCAGGAGATCGAGACCATCCTGGCCAACATGGTGAAACCCCATCTCTACTAAAAATACAAAAATTAGCTGGGTGTGGTGGCACGCGCCTGTAATCCCGGCTACTCAGGAGGTTGAGGCAGGAGAATCGTTTGAACCAGGGAGTCAAAAGTTGCAGTGAGCCAAGATCGCACTATGGTACTCCAGCCTGGCAAGGGAGCGAGGCTCCGTCTAAAAAAAAAAAAAAAAAAAACGGAAAGAAAGAAAAGAAAAGAAAAGAAACAGCTGAGTCAGGGTAAACCTGGGTGATCTAAGTCTGGAGGACGCGGTCTTTATCCCTTTGCTCCCTGTAGTGAACACTAGAGAAATACAAGTTGATACTACCTTCCTCCTCCTCATCAGATGGTGAAGCAGAGAAGGCTCCTTCTAGAGAGGTTCAAACTTAGTTTGGTTGAACATCTATCCATTAGTTGGTCATGAAATCAATCTAGTCGTTCATGGTTAGCACTTAGAAAATGAAATCTAGCAGAATTAAATCAGAAAACACTAGAGTGTATTATTACATGTGTTCAGGAAGTACTGCTTTGCTGGAGATAAGTGTCCGTGTGAGTATGTGTCCTGGGTCATGAAGTTAAATGTCGTTTTTATGACAGGCATATGGAACTTTGAGCCACTCCAGAAACAAGCTGGTAGGAACCACAGCTACTATCCCCTGTACAGAGATTACAGAGTGAGATTAAGCCACCCCAAACCCACAGAGCCAGCTCAACCTCTCCCTAAACCTCTGTGGGTCCCCTACCCACCTGCTGCTCTAGGCTTTCTCCCAAATGTTCCCTGGACAAACTCTCAGGCCTAGTTCCCAGTGGCTGCTTCTGTCACTCTCTCCCCTCTCTCCCCTGTCACCTGAGTTCCAGGGCTCATAACCTTCCTAGCTCATGGCACTGGTGGACTCTGAACAGGCATTTGGTCTGCAGCATTTACAAACTCATTCTGGCGCTGGCCACTTGTACAGCTGCCCATTGTCCCCTGGCCCAGGGGGTCCATTGTCTTCGCTCTGGTGTTCTCTGAGTGATTGTCTGAGCAGGAACAATCAGCAGCGAACCTACTGAAGGGTGACTTCTGACAGGAGCAGAGCACAGGGTGTCACGGGCTCTCTGTGCTGGAGGTGACTGTCTACAGGAACACTCAGGTGTTGTTGGCACAGGGGGCCTTAGAGAGTGTCCAGCAGAACCCTTTCATTTTCCAGATGAGGACGCTGAGGCCCCTTCAGCCATGGACCTGCTCAAGGTCACCCAGGGAGTGAGCTGCTTCCACCTTGCAAGCCCACTTTCCCTGGACTTTGGAGACAGCTGACTCCAAAAGGCTGGAGCCCAGCTTGGGAGGTGAGCCCTGAGGGTGACTGGCAGAATGGAGGGGAAGCCAGGGGCTTTGGGGTCAGACCGTCTGGGGTCTGAATCCCGGCATGGCTGGTCACTAACTGGCTGGCCTGGGACACGCCGCTCACCTCTCCGGGCCCCAGCTTCTTCTACACAATGGGTACAGAAGAGACAGGGAACGCCCTGTAAAATGCCTGGCATTCACTAAGCTCACACCACTGCTTCACCAGGCCTGGGATGAACGCAGTATCCTCTTGTTTTGGCAAAGGGGCAAAGATTAGCCGCAGACAGAGCTGCTCGGTCAAGGATGGTAGATTCTGGAAGTGCTGGTGACAGAGGCTGTGGAGTGCTTCAAAGGCGGGACAGGCAGTGAGGCCTTAAATCAATTTGCCAAAAATCAATTTGTTGAATGACCAATCAGCTGAAAACCATCAGACCTCACACAAGGTCCAGGACAATTCACTTCCGAGGCAGAGGCGGGGGCACCCCAGCCGCAGTGGAAGAAAGGCGACAGCCTGCTATGTTCTCTCTCTCTCTCTCTCTCCATCTCTCGCTCTCTCCTCCCTCCCTCTCTCTTCCTCTTTCTCTCTCTCTACCCCGGTCCTACCTCTCACTCCACGCCATTTAGGTTTCAAAGACAGATATTTAGATTAAAGAGATAAACACAGGCGAGGGGCGCTGAGGCCTGACAGAGGAACTCCGGACCCGTCAATCACTGACAGCCAGCTCAGCCTCCTCCAGCTCCCACCCCAGCCCCTCTGAGGGAGATGAACAGAAGAGCCCATTAAAGGGGCCCAGAAGTACATCCGTAGACACCCCCAAATGGGAGCGAGTGTGTCCACAGAGGCCTTCCAGGCCAGCCTGGGGGCAGGGCTGGAATGACCTACTATTTTCTGTGTGTCTGTGTGTGTGTGTGTATGTGTCCCTCTCTATTTAGCCTCCCTCTTCCCCTCCCCAGGCTGCAGATAAAGAATTCAATTTTCTTTTAAACGGTGGGGAAATTGGAAGAGATTTTGTTCTGTTTAAGCACAGCTGGAGTCTCAGGTCTCAAGGGTTTGAGAACAATGAGATCAATTAAGATGCCAATGGTGGGGGTGTCAGGAGGGGGTGGGGAGGGAGGATACCTGGCAGGGGGGTGCTGGGGAATGCGCTGGAAGAGCTGAGCAGGCTCTGGAAGTCCAGCTTCTGATGATTCTTGGGCAGAGGCGCAAGGGCTGTCTACCCTGCTCTGACCGGCTTGTCCTCTTGGTTTTGCTAAAGCCTGTGGACCGGGCCTACCTCTTGGGCCCTGTTATCATCTCCCAGGCTTACTAATAATTCACGTTGGCAAGTTTTGTCATCAGCTTTATACAATGGTAGAATCAAGTCGAATGGATGCTATCAGAAGCAGGGAGAGACGACTATTCTAGAAAACCATGGAGAACCCTGGAGGTCTGACACAGCAGGCATTGGTACGCTTTTGGAGCACTTGCTGTAGGCAGGCCCTGGCCTATGACCTGGCCATACATTATTTCATAGCATTGCTGAGATAGGAATTACTCTTCCCATTTTATAGTTGAGAAAATGGAAACCCAGAGCCCTTCAGTCACCGGCTCAAGGCCAACCTGCAGGCAGGAAGCCGAGGCAGGACCCCAACCCCGCCTAGGGCCTACTTGCAGCCCTTTCCACTTGACATTCGGGATGGTGCAGGGCCCACCTGGTCAGTCAGGCGGAGATGGAGACGCATGCACCTTGCTGGCCTGGGAAGGAGAAGAGTGAAGCAACTCCAGCAAGGGTGGGGAGAGGAGGGTGAAGCAGCAGGAGGGATCTGGACTTCCACTGTCCCCACCTGCGTGGTTGGATACTCATCCTTCCCTGCTTCTTGCAGTAGCCTCAGGGCAGGTCTCCAGCTTCCACCCTGGTCCCCTCCATCCCCTACCCCCCGCCTATTCTCCACTGAGGAGCATCGAGGAGATCCATCCTCAGGGCTCTCCTAGACTTGCTACCCACGATGGGCTCCCAGGCCTCATCACCTCCCGGCCTCCATGCCCCTCCTGCTCTCTGTGCATCCACCACAGCCAGGCTGTTGCTCAGGGTCTTTCACCTGCATCCCTCACCTGGGCTACTCTTTCCTGCATTTTCAACCTGGATCCCAGCTGGCTTCCTTCCAGGTTGTTTCATGTCACTTTCCAGGAGAGGCCTGTCCTCCTGCACCACTTGATATAACGATGCAGTAGCAACCCCAGCCCTGGCACTCCCCGCCCCTGCCCAGTCGTATTTCCCCACATCACTCATCCCCATCCCATGGGCTCTGAAATTCCTTGTTCATCATCTGCCTCCTGCCCCTGGAACAGACAGGGAAGTTGTCTGGCTCACCACTGTCATTCCAGGCCTTAAATAGTCGCTGGATTTGCATCTGGAGGGCACCCTTTGTGCCAGAGAGTGCAGAGTTCTGCTCTGGGAGGGGAAGGAGGAGAGCAGACGATCCAGGGAGACACAGGGGCTCCCAGAGGGCCAGGAAGGCCCAGGGCACCTGGCCCTGCCCAGAAGTAGCCAGGGAAGCAGGGTCAGCTCCCGCCCACCTGTCTACAGGGCCAGACTGAGAGGCAGGGCAGATTTCAGCGTTGACCTTGGACTCGTATGCCCTGATTAGGACTAGGAGGCCCAGGCGATCCTGGAAGCTGGTGGCCATTACACCTCCCTACCCTTGGCCTTGGTCCTGGGGCTGCGGTCTGCATCCCCAGGGATGCCTGATCTATGAAGGGCATTCAGAAGGCCTCCAGCCCATCTTCTCCTTGGACTGAGCAGGAAACTAAGGTCTGGAGAGAGTATGAGAATGGGACAGGGTCACACAGCAACTCAGTGGCCTGGAAGCCAGGCCTTGGGGTTCTCTGGCCAGCAGTCTTCTGCATATGCTTGTCACCCGAGGGGATGTTGGGGGAGCCTGGCACAGAGAGTGAAATGTGGGGTTATGAGGCTTCAGGCTTGGACAAACATCTCCGTTGCCGATGGGCTGGGTGGCCTTGTGTATGTAATTTACCATCTCTGTGCCTCATGTGTCCCCATGAGGCCTCTGCTAACCTTCTCCTGCCCACATTCCTTCCTCCAGCAACTGTCCTAGATACCCCAGACCACCCCAGACACCAAAGTAGGAGTCCAGCCTACTTTGTGTTGCATACACCATGGGTGGGGCCCCTGAGACAGAGAGAACCTGCTTGGGGAAGGTTTTCAGTGGCGTGGGGAAGGAACACTTGCCAGCGAGCCCTCATACAGGGGTGGGAACAGCCACAGACAGCAAGGCACACAGCATGCTGGGGCCCCAGAGAAGAGGCAGAGGAACTCGAGAGGTGACACATGCCAGTTACCAGGAAAAGTGGGCTTTTTAAGGCGGTGCTGCCAAGGAGGCTGGCCCTGAGGTTCAGCAGATTTTGATGGTCTCCAATAGGAAGGAGGGAGAGGCAGGTGAGTAGCAAGTAAAGACGCCGTGGCAAGAAAATGCTGAGGGTTGAGGGGTGTTGAGGATCTGAGTGGGCAGGAGAGAAGGGTGTGAGGGGTATGGGGGCAAGGGCTGGAATAGCAGCTCAAGGCCAGGCTGCAGAGGCCAACCCAGGTCTAGAAGGCTTGAATTCCACTGGCCAGGGAGTGCCTGGGACAGCAGGGATCACTGTCTTTTCACTTCCCAGTCACGGAGAGCTCGTCCCAGGCTGGAAAGGGGATTTGCAGGTTTCCCTTCTGCTCTCCTGCTTCCTTTTGTGCCCTCCAGGAGGAGGTGAGGGAAATTGTGGCATCATGGCACTGTGCTCATGCATGACTGCTCAGAAGTGGTATGGAAAAGTGACCTCTGAGTGTTTCTATGACATTTACGTGTGTGTAAATTCTTGGACGTTCTCTCCATTGACAGCTGGGGAGATCTACGTCCTCTCTCCTTGAATCTGGACTTGCCCTGGTGACTTAAAACCAACAGAATTCAGCAGAAATGATGCAGTGTGACTTGGAGGCTGGGTTGAAAAACGCCACGCAGCTTCTGTCTGGATCTCTTGGGACACTCCTCCCCCAGAGGCCTCCCTGGGGGTGCGCCTGCTCAGAACTCCCATGCTGGGAGATGTCCGGACACGTGGGGAGGCTACATGTGGGTGCTTGGGCCACAGTCCGGCTGCACTCACCCTTCAGCCAAATGAGCCAAGGGCACAGTCGTGGCAGGGTGAGAACACCATCAGAATGGATCCTCCGGGCCCTCTGTTTCCAGACTCCAGCTGGTCGAGTCACCTCAGATCCCAAGGAAAGAGAAGGCCTCCCTACCGCACCCTTTCTGTATTCCTGACCCACCAAATCCATGAGCCATTTGTATTAAAAACAGCTATTGCTTTATGCCACTAAGTTTGGGTGGTTTCTTATGCGGCAATAAGAACTGAAGCAAGCTCTGTGGGAACAGAAGGCCCCAGCACTTCAGCCTTTGCTGACTGTTGACTGAATGTAGGGATCGATGAAAACCGTGGAGAGCCACTGAGTTTATTTGGGCAGAGAATGATAAACTCCTGTGCCAGGGCAAGCCACGTAAGCTGCAGGGCCCAGAGTAACATGAGCACGCAGGGCCTCTGTTCAGAAATTATCAGAATTTCAAGATGGTGACAGCAGAGCATTCCACCAAGTTTGGGGCCCTTCCGAGTCCATGTCCCCAGACCACCGCACAGGTCGCACACCTGGCAGCAACTATCGTCTGCGTCCCTCCGAAGAGGCTTGGTTCTCACCTGCAAGCTTGTTTAACCTTTCTCTGTGTTCTGTTCCTTGAGGCTAGACTCAGTGTGTTGGCTTCCCGGGGTTGAGCACAGACAAAAACTCAACCAACGCACCAACTGAGAGGACCCAGAGTCTAGGGAAGTCACAGCCAAAGGCAGAAAATCTAGGAACCAAGAGACCCAAGCTTAAATACCAATGCTCTCTGAAGTTCCACCGACTCCCAGATAAGACACCTGCCATTTACCCAGTGCCTTCTAATACACAAAGTGCTTTAAATGCCCCGTCTCTCTTCATTGTGGGATAAGTATTATTATTATTCTCTCTACAGCACACTCTGGAGACTGAGGGTCAGGACACAGCTAAGCACCTGCCCAGGGCCATAGAGACAGCAGGCAGCAGAGCCAGAATTTGAAGCTGGGTTTCTGGTTCCAAAGCCTTGCTCCTATAGCAAGGTTCCCTCCTGCAGTAGTAGATAGATACAGCTGAGAGGCTTCCACAGATGTTGCAGAGCAACATGTCCTTCTGCTGGGGGCAGAGGGACCAGGGAGGAACTGGGGTTTGCCCCAGGGAGCACCAAGACTAAGACAGGCAGTGAACTGGCTTTCCTGGATCATCTGGCTGGGCTATTAGGTTTCCAGCACCTTGAGTAGAACCCATGTTAGAGTTCTTGGATTCAGCAGCATGGAGGGACAGGGGTGATCTCTGAGCCTGAAGGCTGGGGGTGTCCTGACAGTTACAGAGCAGAGGGAGAGGCCCTGTGGCCTTACAGCTGGTGGAACAGGCCTGCTGCATTTGAAGTCCTCCAGGATTGAAGCTTGCCTTCAACACGGCCAGCCCAGGGCAATGACATCATACCCACCTTTTCCTTGTGGGGTCAATGCTGTGGGTGGGAGGGGAAGGAGAGATGGGGACAAACAGCAATGGGGCTGACATTGATGCAGCAGGGCTGTCTGCTGATGTGGCAGGAGAGGGAGGCTGGGCTGGACCAGGAGGAAAAGCCAGTTAGCTCTAGGAGGGGGAAGTGAAGTCCTGGGGAATCTTCCTGAGACTTCCAGATGGGAGCTGAGAGAGGAGGGGTAGGGCAGGAGACGGGCTCTAGAGGCCAGTGGGTGGGTGGGGACCCTTGCAGGGTGGGTGGCACGTTCATGTTGCTGGGCATGAAACTAAACAGCAAGAATGGCTCCCCTTTCTCCTTGGACAGTGCAAATTGGAATTAAAGCCTCACCAACCCAGAAGGCCCTGAACCAGCCCCTGGCCCAGTCATCTCACTGGGACCCAGAGGTTCAGTGACTGGCCAAGGTCACATGGCTGCCTGAGGCAGGGCCACAGCTCTGAGGGTGGTGTCCTTGCCCAGGGCCCGTGCTCCCTGGAGGCTCAGCCAGGAGGCCAGGCATGACTTGCTGACATTTCCAGCGTGTGTTCCTAGCCAGCCTCTGTGCTGTGTCTTCATGAATCATTTCATTTGATTCTCACAACAATCCTCCAAGGTAGGCTCCTAGCAGGTTATCTCCCCCAGCTCACAGAAGAGGAAACTGAGGCCCGGTGTCTTGTCCAGGGTCCACTGCGGCAGAGCTGGGCTTGTCCACAGGCCGAAGGGCTGGTGGGCAGCCAGGTGAGACCCTGAAGGCCAGTGATGAAAATACCCACTCCTGCCATCTGTAAATCTTACCTGTTTACACCACATCACTGCAATGGGTCTCCCAACAACCCAGCACTGCAGGCTGCGCAGGCACTACTTTCCCATTTCATAGGAAAAAAGCCAAGTCCCAGAGAAGGAGTGACCAGCTCATAGTAAGACAGGATTGCAGGGACTCCCTGGATGTCTTGTGGCCCTGCCCAAGATGCTGCCAGCCTCCCAAGGACAGGCTGGGAAGAGGGGGCAGGGAGATGAGAGAGGAGCAGGCTTTTAGGCCACCTCCAGCCAGCCCTGTCTGTCTGGAGCTGAGAGGTGGAGCTCTACCCACGGCTCAGCAAACCACAAGCTGGTCCTGGGGCCCCACACCTGCCCAGTCAGGACTTTTCAGGGCCTCTCCTTTCTTGGCTTCCTCCGACTGGGGAAGAAGCCTGTCTTGTCTGAAGTCCATCTTCTGCCCATTTCTGCCATGCCCCACCCCCTGCAGCAGGGATAGAAGGCCTTGGAGCTCAGTAAGCCCTGCGCCAGGGGGGCTGCCACCCTTCCTCAGCACTTCGCCTCTCCCACTGCCCAGAGGACATGGAGCTAATAAATAGAGGGACACGTGCCCCATGCTGCAAGAGGCCAAGCTGGCTCCTCACACATCCTAGGTACCACCTCTGCCAACTGTTTCCCAAACGCCTGCCACCGTCACAAGGATGGAACAGGCAAGGGGGTATGGATGGTTTGATATAGGCCTTCCCCACTATCAGAACAGCATCCCAAAGGGCATATTGTGGGGAGTATCAATTTGGGAAGAAGAGAAACAGCCAAGCCTCTTGTGCTTCAAAGGAGCAGGACCCCACTTCCCCACACATCACACACGTCCTCACTGTACTCCAGCCACGGGGCCTTTGCACATGCTGTTCTCTCCTCCAGTGGTTTTTTTTTTTTTTGAGATAGGGTCTCACTCTGTTGCACAGGCTGGAGTGCAGTGGCTCACGGCTCACTGGAGTGCAGTGGATCACGGCTCACTGAAGTCTCAACTTCCTGGGCTCAAGTGACATTCTCACCTCAGCCTCTACAGTAGCTGGAACTAAAGGTGTATGCCACCACAGCTGGCATTTTTTTTTTTTTTTTTTTGCAGAGACAGGGTTTTGCCATGTTGCCCAGGCTGATCTTGAACTCCTAGGCGCAAGTGATCCAGTTGCCTTGGCCTCCCAAAGTGTTGGGATTCCAGGCATGAGCCACTGCTCCCAGCCTCTTTTCTCCAATGTTATTCCCTGTCTGCCTTCACCAGTTAATGCTTACTCAAATGCCACTTCCTCAGGGAAGCTTTCCTGGACCCCAGGCAAGGTCAGGTACCCTATTAGAGGTTCGCGTACTCCCTGATCTCTCCATCACAGCAAGTAATACTCAGTGTGAAGATTCATTTCGTAGTTAGTCCAGTTTTCCTGGAAGACTATAAACTTTATAAGTACAAGACTCACATCACCATGTGTCCTCAGGGCCATGTGCCTAGCACACAGCAGGTATTCACCAAACGTTTGTTGAATCAATGAATGAATGAATAAATGATTAGGTTACTCTTGTACTTCTTGTACTGTCCAGTGGTGCCCACAAACCCTGCCAGGCCCCAGACACTGGCCAGGCTGCAGGGCTGCCCCAAGCCTAGCAGGGTCCCAGGATAAGACACTCCCTGGCCTTCTCATCTGATTTCAATTGCCAGGTCAGGAGGCAGGACTGGAAGGTGTGAATCACAGAGCAGCCTGGGATATGAGAGGGAATAAACCACACAGCCTAGAGGATGGGGAGCCACCAGCATCATCCATGCATCGGTACAGGCACA
This sequence comes from Homo sapiens, assembly GCF_000001405.40. Taxonomy (NCBI): domain Eukaryota; kingdom Metazoa; phylum Chordata; class Mammalia; order Primates; family Hominidae; genus Homo; species Homo sapiens. The sequence continues at coordinate 71,650,660 of NC_000010.11, read as the reverse complement.
TACATGTACACACACGTGTGCACATGAGACTTGTGCATATAGTGTACGCACATCCCCAAATGCATGTAGTCGTAACATGTACGTGCACAGGCACACATGCACACACACATGTATATTACATACACATACCTCTGAGTATACATAGCTGCAAACACATGTACATGCACAGGCACAAAAAAACATGCCTGCCTACACACACCCCCATACACATCCCACAAGCATACCTCACATGCCTGCGCACATATACACATATGCACCCCCGCACATCCTTCCTCTGTGTGATCACCCTTCAGAGCACATTCATCCTGAACCCTCCCTCCTTCCAGGGGACCTTTCCTCACAGAGACAGCTCTGGGCTGCCTTGGTATTCCTGCTTCCCTGAGCAAAGTGCTCGAATATCTCTGAAATGGTTTCTCCATCAGTGAAAACACTCACACAGCTCTGTCCCTGGAGCAGCTTAGGGCTCAGAGATGTGAAAATTCACCTGGTGGTGCCACAGGCCCTAAAAGTCTTGAGCGCCACCTAAGAACACACCACCTGGAGCGACCCTGGGACCTGTCCCTGTGGATACCGCAGAGAGCACTTTCCGGCTCCTCTCTTTACCCTCAGCTCTGAAGGTTGCTGAAAGGACTAGGCTCAGTGGTCCCACATAGAACCTTCTGGATGGGTGGCCTCGTGGTTAAGAGCCTGTGGCTTGGGATATGGAGTCGCTGTGTGAATCCAGTTTAGTCACTTACTAGCCCTGGGGCCCTGAGCAAGTTACTTAACTCCCTGAGCCTCATCTGTTTCCTCATCTGTAAAGTGAGAATAACAGCGCCTACTTAACAGGTTAGAGATACAGTTGGCCCTTGAACAGCACCTGTTTGAACTGTGTGGGTTCATTTGCATACAACATTTTTTTCAACCAAATTTGGATGGAAAATACAGTACTCCATATATGCAAAACCCCTGTATACATACAGAAGGTGGACTTTTTGTATGTGTGGGTTCTGCCAGCGCTGACTGTGTGCATGAGGGTGTCCCCACTCTTTTCCTGCCACCAGTGGAAACTCATTTTGCTGTAACTGGGGGCCATAAGGTCCAGGGACCTGGGAGGTGAGAAAGTCTGGCCCTTCCACCCCTGCTAGGACACCTGGACTGGTGGTGACAGCCCTTCCTATTCCAGCTTCCCCAAGCCATGTTAAATGACCACCTTCCCCCAGGACAGGTGACCAGCCACTGAAGCAGGGCCACGCCAGGATGAGAGCTGGGGACGCTCGGCTCCTGCCTTCATTGCATATTAAAACATTTCCTTTTCTTCATAATTTTTTTCCTGACACAACTCCCCATGAAACATTTTAATAACATCCCAGAAAAGGTCACGGAGAAGGAATTTTACAGTCCCTGAGCAGGCAGCCATAATTTCAGCCCCTTTTGTGGCAGAGGAGGTGGAGAGATTGGGCTGACCCCGGGTCTGAGCAGAGAGCTGCCGGGTGAAGGAGGCCAAGAGCAGGGCAGGGCGGTGTGGAGGGTGTGGCCAGGAAACACCCTGGGGAGACTGGGAGAGGAAGGGGGGAGGGTGGGTCACCCAGGATGTTTTTATATCTCCTTTACAGGAACAGAATTCCAGTTTAGTCACTTACTAGCTCTGGGGCCCATTTTGCAGATGAGAAAATGAAGGCGCTAAGAGTGGCATGGATAGGCCAGCACGCGGGGTCCCCACCATCTCCCTGCAGGGCCTGAACTCCTTTAGGCACACGGTCCTGCTGTGAGAGCTGTTACCTGATGAAATGGGCCCTCACCTTTCATGGCTTCATAAACCCTGGGGCTGGGAGCTTGAGAAGGGGGTGGGTGAGGCTTGGATGAAGGAAGCCAGGAACCCAGGGAGGCTGGCCGGATCTGCTGGTTCCTAGCGACTCACAGAGGAGGCTGAGCTCAGGCCCAGCAGCTGCCCCAGTTCTGGATAAAAACCTAGCCTGAGGGGCTCGGCTCACATTCACCAAAGCCTGCTCCCCAGCGCCAGCCCCAAACTGGACTGGGCCTGACACAGCTGTCCTTGGCACCACCGACCAAGGGATGCCCCTTCTCATATTTCACATCTCCTCCCGGCTCTATAGGTTTTCCCCATCCCTTTCCAAGGACCATGGGAACTTGGGACTACGAAGTGAGGAAACTCTGTCCCAAGCAAGAACACCTGGAAGGAATCCCCTGACACCCACTAAGCCTGGATCTGACACTAGAATTCTTTGCCACGTGGTCCCAGACCCACAGGGGACAGAGCCTCCCCTCCACTCTGAGGCCTCTAAAGCATAGGCTGTTGGCTGCCTTTTACCCAGTCCTTCGAAGGGGGATGGTGGGTAAAGACACACACTTTGGGTCCAGAAGGCCAGAGCCTCTGGCACTTGCTCTCTGGCTGGGCACTGAGAGGCTGAAGGAAGGTCCAGGGGGCCTCAAGCGCCTGGTGATTTATTGCAGGGAGCACCTTGGTGAAAGCTGGAGGAGTCATGGGCTAGAGACGCGGGAGGTGAAGAAAACAGCTGCCGCAGAATTATTGTTTACGTCTGACAGCCTGACTGGCTAAACATCTGTTTGAAATATTAATAACTGTCAGAGGGGAAGGGCCTGGGGGCTCAGTGCAGTTTCATACCATCTGTCTGTAGAGTAAACACACTTCGGAGCGGGGTCTTGGTATCACTCTGCTTGGAGTTGGGACGGAGCAAGAAATGGAAGCAAGGACTCTGGGAGCCCCAGGTGTGCAAGGAGGAGAAAGCAATGAGTTAAACTCCGTGACATTTATTGAGCACCGACTGGGCAAGACTCTGAGCTTGTGTAGCACACATCTACCACTTGGATCTGCTTAGCATTCAATCCCTTGTCTTAGAATAGAAGCCCCTTCCCCATTCTCAGACGGTGTAATTCAGGCGGGGCTGACCCCAACCCCTGGGTCCACTAGGGGGAGTGTGATCCCTCCCCGGCATACCAGAATCACAATTGGTTCCAGGATGACACAACCAACTGGGCCGATGAGAATCTGCTGGAATTACTGCAAAAGAACTTTTCCCACTAGGGGTGATAAATTGGTAAGAAGTCAGCCTAGAGGTGCTGGTGCCCCTCTTTGCCAATACAAAAAAGCAGAGCCCAGTGTTGAAGACAGATCCCTGCTCAACTGAGTGCTTGGATGCAGCCGTGCCTGAAATCACTTGCACTTTTTTTTTTTTTGAGACAGAATCTGGCTCTGTCGCCCAGGCTGGAGGGCAGTGACACAATCTCGGCTCACTGCAACCTCCGCCTCCTGGGTTCAAGCGATTCTCCTGCCTCAGCCTCCCTAGTAGCTGGGACTACAGGCGTGTGCCACCACACCCGGCTAATTTTTGTATTTTTAGTAGAGACGGGGTTTTGCCATGTTGGCCAGGCTGGTCTCAAACTCCCGACCTCAAGTGATCCGCCCACCTCGGCTTTCTCAAGGTGTTGGATGACAGGCGTGAGCCACCGAGCCCGGCCTGAAATCACTTATACTTTTGAGTTACATGAGCCAATCCTTTTTTGCTTGAACTACTTAAGGGTTTCTGTCCCTTGCAACCAAGAGTACTGACAGATACAAATGACACTGGGAGGGCCCCTTGTCAAAGGGCAAGTCCAGCCATGGGCAGCTGGGGGTGCCCCGGTACCCTCCAGGCGCCTGCCCCTCTCTGGTGCCTGTGCTCACATGGAGAGGGTTGCCCTTCTCAAGGATGGCTGGCACCTTCCCACCCATTTGAGGGGGCTTCCAGGGCTCCCAGCCCACCCTCACTGAGTCTCTCTCGGGGAAAGGCAGAAAACCAGTGTCCTCAGCTCAGTCTCGTCACCCCTCAGGTTGGCTCCTTTTCCATATTGCAACCTAGGTCAAGGGAGCCCCTTCCTGAAGAGTCCAAAAACTTTATTTAATACACCAACAAACACAGCTCAGGGATTTGGGGGTGCCTCCTTCCCTGATTGCTGAGGTCCCTTGGACAAAATCCCTCTGGGTGCCTCACCACAGTCGGCCCTGGAGAGCTCAGTGGCCCTGCAGTGAAGCGGGGACTCACCAGGACTGTCAGCACAGAGGTCCCCACGGTGACGTTCTCGTACAGGCTGATGTTGTACAGTGGCTGGCTGAAGATGGGCCGGTTGTCATTTTCATTGATGAGAGTGATCTTCACCTTGGCATAGCCCACATGGTCAGGCACACTCTCATTGGCAAAGAGCTGGGGGTGCAGAACAGGGGCCCAGGTAAGCTCCCACATGTCCCCTCCCAGAGTCCTTGTCCCTGTAAGTCCTCTCCATGCCTTTGCCGGCCCCAGCCCAGAGCACCTGTTAGAGTCTCTGCCCATCCCAGCTCTGTGCTACTGCGAGCCCGTCTGTTATTGCTCTAGGGATGGCTGCTGATTCTGCTAGGGCAGGAGGAGCTAGCAGGGGCTGATCTGGCAGGAGATGGGTTGCAGAGGCTCCTGATGGGAGTCTGGTAAAATTCCACTCAATTACTGGACATATCCTTTTCCTCCTTGGAAAAGGGAGACTCAGCCCGGCCCCTGCCGTCTCTTGGAGGGCTTATCTGAGTCAGATCCACAAGGGAAGATGGGCAGCAGTGGAAGGTGGGATCTAAGGGAATCTTCTACCCTACCCTCGCCTCCCCTGAAATCCACCCCCCACCCCACTCCAAAATGCCAGTGAGTGGGGCCTTACATCAAAGTCGTAGCGGTCCACGGTCTCGTAGTCCAGTGGGATGGCCACCCGAATACGAATGTCCGCCTTCCCCTGGACGGAGGTCGGGGAGATGATGAAGTGGTGGGAGTTGTTCCCCACCAAGTACACCTCAAACATGCTGTTCAGGCCCTGGGTCAAGAGTGCAGAAGAAGCCAGTCAGGAAGGGCACAGTGGCCAAAGCCTAGACCCAAATGGAGGAGCAGAGGCTCCTGGAGAGTGAGCCCAGAGCTGCTTTGGTTGGGGCAATGGATGAGGCGCTGGGACAGAGCAGGGCTTTCCCAGAGCAGCTCCAAGACTCCATGACCCACCCATGTCTAGGCCCTCTGGAAACCTCCTCTGGCTCTCTTTTCCTTCCTTGTGCTGTCGGATGCCCACAGTGTCCCCTTCAGGTGGTTTGGTTCACTCTCCATTTCCTGCTCCCTTTCTCTGTCCCAGTGACCCCAGCTGCGGAGGGACCGGCCAGCTGCAAGACCCAGCGGGGAGACAGAGGAAGGAGGAGGAGAGAGGATGTGAGGGGAGTGGAGAGAAGAGAAGCAGTTAAGCGGCCATGACAGGCTTGGCCAGGAGAGGACACAAGGGATGCAGATGCTGTTCTTCCCCTCCTCCTCTGGAACGTGTCCAGCAGGGAGAACACTGGTTTGCTGACATGTGAAATGGGAATAACCCAGAGACTGAGTGGCAATGTGAATGGCCAGGGATCCCACACTGTTGCCAGTCCCGGGGGGCCCAGGATCCCAGACTGAGCACAGGGTGGCCACCCCATCACAGGTTCTGCTGTGTCCCAGAGGCCCAAGCCCATCATTTCAGGGAGGTGGGTGCCTCACTCAAGTTCAGGCATTTCTGATTATTCTAACCAGGGCTGTGGCTCACAGAGCCCCTCAGATGCTACCTGACTCTCCTCACAGAAAGCATGTGATGTGACTGAAGTCTCCAGATCATGGGGAGGAGACATGGCTGAAGGTGGGAGATTCAGCTTACTGACTCCCTGAGGTCTGGCCTGCTCAGAAAGTGATTCTACTTCCTCTTCCTGCCTGCACTTGGGGCAAGGGGATCACCTGCGCCCCCAGACTCCCCTCCAACTGGGCAGGCGGCCTGTGATGTGTAAGAGCCTCCTTCTGACCTCTCTTGCAGGTGCCCAGTAGGTCACTGACCTTGGCTTTCAGTCCAGAGGCAGAGGCTCTGGCTTATGGTGCAGAGCCCACCCCTAGCCCAGTGGCCAGCTTGGCACATGGGCCCTTTTCTCTTGAACCAGTGGCTGGCAAGGGAAGCCCACCCTCACATCTTGGTTGCTTAGGGTATGTTGTGGGACTCCTCTTAGAAACCTGTTCCTGGTGAGAGGGTGGCTGCGAGGTCACCCTGGCCCCAAAGACTCTCCGTGGTCTAAGGGGATAGTCCCTGCAAGGCTGGTTCCCATCCCGCTCAGGGCAGAGGGGGAATGATCAGGAAGTGATACCCCCAGTGAAGCCTGAGAGTTCACAAGATTCATGGGCCCCTGGGGCTGCCCCCTAAATGCTCAAAGGCACTTGTGGAATGAATGCATGCTAACGTTTACCCATCAGTCTCTTGGGTTTTTCCCATTTTAGCAAACTGGCAAATACACTTGCTGCATTTAGACTTTTCTTAAAGCCTGGAGACAGGCCTGTGCCCTGTTACTGGCACAGAGGTTTGGATGGAGAGGTGGAAGCTGAGCTCCCTAAGCCCTCTCTTGCCAATTCTGGGGTCCAGGCAAGCCGCGGGGCTCCAGAGCCCCAGCCCAAAGTGGCTCCCCAGGGGATGTGGGGGCAAGGCTCCTCTGGGCCTGTCAGGCTGTGGAGGTTGCAGCGCTCCCTGGTGTGGAATGCGTCCCGTCACATGGAAGGGACCAATTAAATGCCCGAAGGGGCACTAATAGCTGAAGCCAGTGGGGTGTGACAGTTTGAACAGGTGACACCAACTCCTCTCCTTCCCCTGAACCTTTGGTCCCTCAACCACAGGAGCTGGGGGCCTGAGAGGGTGGGGGAGGGCTGAGCTGTGCCCTTTTCAAAGCCCCTCCCCACTGTGCCCACCACAAGCCCTCCCCAAGCCCAACCCCTGCCCTTCAGAGGCTCACTTACCAAATTCTGTCAATGGGAGTCGGTCAGTCAAAGGATATGGAGACAGACAGAAGGAGCCGGAGAGGTATGGAGAGGAGGAAGGAACCAGAGAGAAAAGACAGTGAGACCCTGGGTCATGGGAGGGACCCCAGGATCACACCCTAGAGGAGCAGCTGTCCCCAGCCTCTGATGGGCCATAGCTTCTGGGGTCTGGAGGAGGCGTATTGTGTGAGTGTGCACACATGTGTGCTGGACAGTGAAGAAGAGGGACAAGCATGGGACCCAGAAGAGGCTCAACGGCATGAAGGGTGAGGAGGTGAGGGGGGGGCAAGGGCTCCTGTCTCCCTGATCTCTGTCCACTCTCACCCAGAAGGCCTCAGTGTAGGCTGGGATGGGAGGGGCCATCCCTACATCCTACATCCCTGGAGCCTGGATAAAATCCCTGCAGGAAACAACCCCAAACACCCCCATGTTTTTATTTTCCTAACATAAAAAATGTCAGAGACATGATGAGCAGAGACATGGCAAATTTTCCAGAAGTTAAAAAGTGTAAGGGGAACACACGCCTCTCCCTCTCCCCCTGAGCCCAGGTACTGACAAACCTCCCAGGGCAGCCACCACACCCCATTCCTGGGTCTCTTTCCCCAGGAAATCCATGCCTATATGACCATTATGGGTACATGCCACCCTGCTGTGACACTAACAGCATGCTATGCACATTGCTCTGTGTCCAGTCTTTTCACTTAGAACTACATCTTGGTGATTGGTCCATAACTGTGCATATAGATGATGATGCGAACGAGGACACTAACAACCTAGCACCTACTCTTGGTCAGGCACTATTCTAAACACTTTGTAAGTACCAAGTATTTGCTTTGTTTTCCTTAATGGCTGCAGAGCACTTGCATCACTGGGTTACAGTTCCCTCTGTGATTATTCTGGAATGTCAGCAGCCCCTTGAGGCTGTAGACCATGCCTCAGGTGGTGAAGATTCCCCAGCAGACCATGACACACAGTGGGTGCTCAGGGAGTGCCTGGGCTTCAGCAGCTCTTCCTTGTGTGTTACTGCTACTCCTCCCACGGGCCCCTCCAGCCCCTCCAGTGGAATTGAGTTCAGAGAGGTTGACTGAGCAGCCCATGGTTGCATAGGGAGCTGGTGGCAGAGTGGGGGATAAGAGGCCGGGCCCAGGCCGGGTGCGGTGGCTCATGCCTGTAATCCCAGCACGTCGGGAAGCGGAGGTGGGTGGATCACTTGAGGTCAGGAGTTCGAGACCAGCCTGGCCAACATGGTGAAACCCCGTCTTTACAAAAATACAAAAAAATTAGCTGGGCATGTTGATGCACGCCTGTAATCCCAGCTACTCGGGAGGCTGAGACAGGAGAATTGCTTGAAGCCGGGAGGCGGAGGTTGGAGTGAGACGAGATCATGCCATTGCACTCCAGTCTGGGCGACAGAGTGAGACATCATCTCAAAAAAAAAAAAAAAAAAAAAAAGAGGCCGGGCCAGCTTCTGGGCCAATGCACCTTCCCACAACCCTGTGCTGCTGCCCCAGCCAAGGAAGTGGAGCTCATGTCTGATGCGGGCATTCCCCATTGGCAGCACGAGTCCACAGTGTGAAATGCATTGGCCTTGCAGTCAGCAATGTTAGTTACCAGAACAAACTGAGATGTACCATCTGAGCGCTCCAGGGCCCAGTCTAAGGGGAGGACAAGCAGAGGAGGTTGCCCCAAGAAGGGGAGTTCTGAGCTGGTGTTAGGAATGAAGGAAGGTATTATTATTATTATTATTATTTAGATGGAAGCTTGCTCTGTTGCCCAGGCCAGAGTGCAGTGGTACAATCTTGGCTCACTGCAACCTCTACTTCCCAGGTTCAAGCGATTCTCACACCTCAGGCTCCCGAGTAGTTGGGACTACAGGTGCACACCACCATGCCCGGCTAATTTTTGTATTTTGTTTTTGTTTTTTGTTTTTGGTAGAGACGGGTTTTCGCCTGTTGGCCAGGCTGGTCTCAAACTCCTGACCTCAAATGATCCACCCTCCTTAGCCTCCCAAAATGCTGGGATTACAGGCATGAGCCACTGTGTCTGGTCAGAAGGTATTATTTTTGGACTCTTTTGGACTGGCAGAAAAGGGATTTCGGGTGGAGGAAGTAGCTTTAAACACAGAGTTCTTGATCCTTAGATCCTTAGCGTGTCTCAGAATCACCTGCAGATTGCTCCCCGATTCTTCTCCCTCCCCCAGGAATTCCTGATTCTGTAGGCCTGGGTTGAGGCCTGTAACTTTGCATTTCTAACCAAGTTCCAGGCGACGCTGATCCTGATCTGAAGCCACCTTTTGAGGAGCACTGTCCTAAGCAAAGGCACGGAGTGTGGAGAAGAATCATCAATGACTTATTATTTGCAAAGGGTCCATGTCGAGAAGCTTGGAGTCCCAGGCAGATGCCATCCTGAGGATGGCATTATTTCCATGAGCGAGACGGAGCCACTCTGAGCTCTGCAGCAGGGGAGAGGGAGGTGGCCTTGCAGCCACGTGCGAATCACACCGGTGCTGCCCTCCTCTCCCTAGATACACAACAGAATCACCAGTGGCGTTCTAAAAAGAAATGCAGATGCCCAGAGCCAGTGTGTCATCATCTCTGGGGGCTGGGAAAAGCTACATTTCTCTCGTGCTCCCCAGGGAACCACACTGCATAGCCAGGGTTGGGAAGACATCACTGCGGCAGGGAGAGTAGCTTGGAGGCACCTATAGGAGTCGAGAAAAAGGTGAGCAGTTGGAGAGGCAAAGAGGGGTAGTTCTCCACTGGCCACATATCAAAATTACCTGGGGAGCTTTACATAGGGTGCTGCCTATGCTGCACCCTAGACCATGGAGACCAGACTGAGGGAGGGGGTGGAAGCATAGGCATCCGCATTCTATAAAGCTCTCCAGTTATTCATTCCAAAGTGTATCCAAGGATGAGAACTACAAGGGTAAAACAGTGGTTCTCCAAGTGTGGTCCTGGGACCACAGCATCAGCATCACCTGGAGCTTGTTAGAAATGCAAAATTGGGGGCCACGCCCAGATCTTCTGAGTCAGAAACTCTGGGGATTGGGCCCAGCACCGTTTCCTTTCTTTTTCTTTTTCTTTTTTTTTCAGACAGAGTCTTGCTTGGTCGCCCAGGCTGGAGTGCAGTGGCGTGATCTCAGCTCACTGCAACCTCTGCCTCCCGAGTCCCAGTCCAAGCAATTCTCCTGCCTCAGTCTCCCGAGTAGCTGGGATTACAGGCATGCGCCACCACGCCCGGGGAATTTTTGTATTTTTAGTAGAGACGGGGTTTCACCATGGTGGTCAGGCTGGTCTCGATTTCCTGACCTCATGATCCGCCTGCCTCGGCCTCCCAAAGTGCTGGGATTACAGGCGTGAGCCACCGCTCCCGGACTGGGCCCAGTACTGTTTTAACAAGCCCTTCAGGCATTCTGATGCTCACTAATGTCTGAGAACCATCAGGATAGAGTGATGCTGGGAAGAAGCAAGACAGAACTGAAGAGCATTGGCCTGTAAGGTATAAGCAGTAAGGTATGGTGGATGAGCAGAGAAGGCTTAGGAAGAACCATGTGTCGGCTGGGGCGGCACCAATCGTGTGCAGGCTGAGGTCAACAGTGAGGGACTGAAAAGATGGTGTGAGCTCAGTGATTTTGAGCTCAAAGATGCCTGGAAGATGGTGTGAGCTCAGTGTAGCTTCTGGTTAACTACCTGGTGAGGCAGGAGCACCCAGAGGGACAAGCCTTCGGGACAGCTTCCTGACCCCTTTAGGAGAATTCTTGGGGTTTCAAATGAATGAGACTTGCTCCCTTCTCCTTGATTTGCTGCCAGGGGCTGGAAAAGCTCACGCAGGCCAGACGCTGCAGTGGTCAGGACACATGTCCTAAGACCCTCAGGATCACCTACTGACCAAGTCCTCTAAAATGCTCAGCCTGTTCCTTCCAGGACTTTACCAGCTGGCCAATTCCTGCTTGGTCTGGATTTGTGACTGTCAGCCCTCAGGATAGGGGTGTGTGTGAGAGAGAGATATTCCAGTTTGCTAAGTTGGTGCAAAACCCCTACTGATCGCAGTCCTGTGCTGCTGAGCCTTTTATGACAACAGCTTCCATTTGTGAAGCCCGGCTATGACACAGGCGTCACACACCTTAACCAGAATCCACACGATGGCCCAAAGACAGCGTCAGTCCACTCCTTTTCTTGGAGAAAGAAACTGGGGCCAGAGGGGGTAAGTGTTCAAGCCACACAGCAGCCAAGGAAGGCTTGGAACTCAAGTTTGCCCCCACCCCGCCTCGGAGTCAGAGCTCTTAACCATGCAGCTCTCCTGGCCTTCCCACTACAGAACGCTGCTCCAAGTGCGATGCCAGGAGCTGGCATAGTGAACCCCTCCCTGTGCCACACGTGGCAGAAGGAGGCCCACAAGCACCTCAGCTCAGGTCAGGGCACAAAGCCTGGACTGGTGGAGGGCACACCCACCTCCCTGCTCCTGCTAGGCCTCCTCCCTGCCCTTGTCCCACAGGGGGCTGGGGGACTGCCTTCATGGGGTGGAGATGCGGAGGAGGCTGGAGGGGCTCTTGGAGCTGCAGAGGGGCGATTTTGTTGGAAGGGAGATAAACAGAAACATCAAAAGGAGCCCTAGTGTGTGTGGAGAGGAGCCTGTGGATTAAATTCTCCTCCAGCTGAGAGAGGCGATGAGAAGGCTGATAGCGCCCACCGCGGGTCCCGGAGCCAGAGCCCAGCCACTACAGGCTGCGGAGCTGGCAGCTGCCCGCGGGGAGGCCGAGGTGACAGCTTAGCTTTATTTATTTCTTGGGAGGGGAAGGACACATGAAATCCCTCCTGGCTCCCTGCCGGTCCCTCCCCGTGTAGCTCCTGCACTTTGCTCCTAGGGCTGCAGCTTTCCCACCCCCACGAGGGCAGCGCCTTATCAGCCGGCTGCCAGGAGGGCTGCCCCGCAACTTCCCTAGACCTTGCCCCCTCCCTGCCTCCCATTCCTGGAAGTGGGGGGTAGCTTTGAGAAGGGTCAGATGAGCCACTGCTCCCTCCTAGTCTCTCTAAGGCTCCCAGAGCCAGCCGACCTGAGTCTGTCCCAGCAGACCCGGCTCCGTGTGCTGACCCAGCGTGGTTGTCCAGCTGTTTGTTGAGCTTACATGTTGGGCCCTCAACAGACATCAGCTCGTTAAATACTCCCTTGGGAGGGAGGGTCAAGGGTGATATTTCCGCTACTTAACCACCTGCATGCAGACCTTTCCCTGCCTCAGAGGGGTGGATTTCAGTCTAGGTCCTGCCTTTGGGTTGGGTGGCCTGACTTCTAAGCATGGCTTCCCTTGGTCATTCATTACCTGAGGGCTCTCAGCACTGGCGCATTCCGCTGCAGGTGGCCTGGGCCCCCAAAGGGAGGGAGGCCTGAGCCAGCCTCCAGGCTCCCTCCAGCACAACGAGGCCTGCAGATGCCTCCTTTGTCTCTCTGGCTCTTTGGCCCTCCCCATCCTGAGGCACTGCCCTGCTATTGGTGACACCAGCTTGCCTCTCCGGGATGTTTGTCTCTCTCTGCCATCAGTCAGGGTGGCCCCTGGGTTAGTGACCCAGGGGCGTGACGCAATGTTAAGAGAGCACAGTTCAACGTTGAGGAACAGGCTGGGTCACTTCCTAGCTGTGTGACTTTAGACAACTCACTTCCTCTCCTGAAGCCTCAATTTCCTCATCTGTGAAGTGGGGAGGGTAAGCACATCTCACAGAATTAAATGAAAACAGTATCATTTCTCTGCTCCCCCGTGTTTTGTAAGCATGTGAATTGTGTTTTCTTGCCTAAGCCAGGAAATTCCCTATGGCAGGGACCTTGTGTGTTCTTTTCTTTGTACCTCAAATGCTAGGGGACCGTCAACCAACCCTGTAAACTACAATGTGCCCTTGGAGGAGGTCTTAATTCCTTTTCATGGAAGAGGAAGGACCAGGGTCATGTGAAGGCAGGGTGGCCTCAGGAGCCACAGCAAGGACCAAGGCCACCTTTATGTTTGGGGTCGGGGGGTAGGGGGATGCTGGGGCAAGATAAAGGGCCAGGGCTCTTGTGAGGCACCCAGGGAGTTCTGGTTGGTGGGCTGGTGTGACACCCTCAGCCCAAGCTGGATCGGGGCTGGGAATCTGGAGTGCGGAGTGGGGCCCCCAGAGTCAGTGCTGCCCTCACCAAAACCAACCCTGTCCCCAACTCGGGTCTGCCAGGGAAGAGCCCCATGACCTGAGCTTCCAGGGTATAGAACCTTGGAAGCCACAACCTCTGGAGTTGAGCCTAGGCTCAGGCACTGCCTTTTACAGCTGTGTGATTTTTGCATACACAATTTTATATCCTTGAGCCTCAATTTCCTCATCTGTAAAATGGGAAGAATGCAGCCTATTTGATAGGGCTACTGTGGGTGAGCTGCCAAATCTTGGTCAAGCATCTGGGACGGAATAAGTGTTCAATAGAGGAGAGCTATTATTATTGTTCTAGGAGTAGTGGGGGTAGGAGAGGAGGCATCCCTGGGAAGGAGCTGATTTCTAGACCATGGCCAGAAATGAAAGGAGCAGGCAGAGAAGGGCAAAGGCTTGGGTGACGGGACCCACCAGTCCCACCCTGGGCGTGGGGCGCAGGTTTCCCTCCTTCCTCGGCTGTACTTTCTGTTGGTCTCATCCATAACATTGAGCAGTAGAAAATAAAAGCCCATCGAATACATATTCTTTATCCTTCTTTGTCCATCCTTTCACTTAATTCACCCCAATCAGACATGGCAAAGGGGACCTCGGCAGGAGGTAGGCCTCTCCTTCCACCTTCAACTCAAAGCCAGCTGCTTCTCCCTCCAACCCCTACATTAAGGGGGGTGCTAAGTCTCTCTGCCCACTGAGATGCCAGGATACAGAAGGCAGTGGAAGGAGCCTGGCAGAGGACACTGCTTCCGTTTCTGACTCCACCTCAACCCCTGGTACCCAGCAAGCCCATGTCACATGGTGGGTGGCTCTGCCCTGCTGCCTCTTTTTCCTCTGCCCTTCAGGCCTGCCCCGCCACTCATGGCTCCAGGCCTCCGTTTCTCCACTGTGGGAGTGGAGCACCTCTTGGGCCTGCATCAAGGTGAAGGACGTCACCCTCATTTCAGGCTTTCATCCTCCTACCTATGTCCCCTCCCCAAGCTCCTCTGTGGCTTGGCCCTTGAGTACCATGGGCCTGAGGTCAGGAGTCTGTTTTCTCTGGAGCTGCCCTGTATTACTACGCAACTGGGGAAGGCCCTGTTTTCCTTCTGGGCTTCTGATCTACCACATGGGAAGCTTGGATGGGGTGATTCTCTAAGGCCCGTAATGCCCATTAATGTGGTGCTCTTTCTTTTCTCTGAGACAGAGTCTCACTCTGTCACCCAGGCTGGAGTGCAGTTGATGCAAACACTGCTCACTGCAGCCTCAACCTCCTGGGCTCAAGCAATCCTCTCAAGTAGCTGGGACCACATGTGTGCACCACTATGCCCAGCGAATGCTTTTTATTTTTTGCAGAGATGGGGTCTCCCTAAGTTGCCCAGGATGGTCTTGAACTCCTGGGCTCAAGCCATCCTCCCGCCTCGGCTTCCCAAAGTGCTGGGATTACAGGTGTGAGCTACCGCACCCGGCCCACTGTGCTCTTCCAACTGCTTTCCATGACTCCAGCCCAAACTCTCTCTCCCATTCTCCTGATTCTCTCTCCTCCCCTCTCTCCTCGCCTCCTCTTGTGACTCCTTTGCTTGTTTCTCTCTTTATCTCGCCCTCATTTCTTCTCATCTGCTGGAGACAGAATGCTGGTGTCCCCTTCCCCAAAATTCATGTTGAAATACTAACCCGCAAGGAGGGCAGGGCCTTTGGGAGGTGATTAGGTCATGAGTGCAGAGTCCTCATGAAAGGGATTAGTGCCCTTATAAAAGGGACCCCAGAACAATCCTTGCCCCTCCAGCCATGTGGGGACACAGTGGGAAGCAGGCCCTCACCAGACACCACATCTACTGGGCCCTTGATCTTGCACTTCCCAGCCTCCAGAACTGAGAGAAATAAGTTTCTATGTTTACAAGCCAACCGTCAATGGTAGTTTGTTACAGCAGCCTGTGCAGACTAAGCCTCTCTTCTCTCTCTCCTCTTCCTTTCCTTCTTCTGTCCCTCTTCTCCTTTCTCTTTCCTCCCCCCTTCTTGCCCTCTCACCTTCCTCTTTCCAATCTCTCCCTCTCCAACTCCCTCCTTCCCCCTCTTGCCCTGCCTCTCTGCCCTTCCTGTACCTCTCAGCCAGCCTCCCCTCCCTCCTCTCCGCAGGTTATCTGCTGAATTCCACACACGCCTGCACAGACGGGATCAATCCGAGGCTGCCTCGCCTTCAGCTTATCTCTGCTCCAAATGATTGATTTTCCCTCTTTAAGGGTAATTTGCTGGTGAATTCCATGTATTTCAAAAACCCTTGTGAAATCTAATTCAATCCGATTGGCAGCTGGCACTTTGGGGGAAGAATACCAGAGCACCATCATTTTCACCGCGGATGTGTGTATTATCTGTCTACAGATGAAGGCACGAGGTGGGCAGGTCCTCCTCACCTGCACGTGCAGACCTTCCCCCACTCCCTCCGGTCGGCCCTGAAGCCAGCCTCCGTTCTCCTGAGAAAAGAATTATAATGTGCGTTGGTACTTGCATTAAGGCAAATGAGGGGCAGGTGCTTTTGAATTCTATTTTCCTAATCTGCAGCCCACTGACCCAGTGCACTATGGGAATCTTATACTTCCAAAGCCCAGTTATACTTTACCACCTGTCTGTACCCACTCCTGTTCCTGGGCACAGACTTCCAACTCCTGGGACCCAGCCAAGCCCATGTCACATGGTTCATAGCTCAGCCTTGCTGTGTCTTTCTCTTCTGCATTCCAGACCCTGGACCTCTAGGGACTAGAGCAGTCAGCCCAGAGGGTACTTCCTGAAACAAAGTGGGCTTAGAGGGGCTAGCCAGGAGGGTGAGGCTCCCCTCAATCACGCCCATGGGTATGGCCAAAGGGCAAGCTTTATGTGGAGATCGGGGGACACACGGTCCTTTCCAGTTCTGTAGATGGAGCAGCTGCTGCTGCTACAGCCACCTGGACTGGTAATTCATGTGCAAAGGACAGAGGGAACCACAGAGGATTTATGTGGCCTGAGTTCTTAACTCAAGGACACCATGCTCTACCCTCCAGCCTCCCACGATCCCAGGGAAGCCAGGCCATGTCCTCTTCTCCCTTCCTCCAGCATGGGCTCTGTTTGGAAGGCACCTGGCCCACGTGGAAAACTCAGCAATCCCTTCCTTGTGGCCCTGTCTTGCAACCCCAGGCAAGCCTCCCAGCCCCAGTGGCCATATTTCCAACTTCAAGGTCTGCCATTCTCATCAGAATCTGCTAATTTGAACCTCATCACTCTACCTGGCCTCAATCCCTTTCCTCACTCCAATGGCAAACTCTGCACCCAACTTTTGGCTGGGGTTGGGGCAGGGGGCTAAAGTGGGGTGTAAGTGTTTTCAGAGATGCACGGAGAAGAGTCCAAAATGCAGGGCAAAAGGATGTGTGCACCCAGGCCTGTCCCAAGCCCAGGACTGTCCTGCCCCTCCTTCTGGGGCCCCTTCTGGGGAGAATCACAGGGCCTGAGGGGCAGCACCGCAGAGAGGGAGTACTCGCTGGCCTCACCAGCCTCCTGGGTCTCCAGCCCTCTGCTTTCTGGCCAGGCCCTCTAGAGGCCTCCAGGCAGGGAGCAGGGAGGGCCAGGGTGCAGAGCTGGGAGCTGGCTCTCCCAATCTGCAGCTGCCTGGCTCTGGCTATTTCCTATGCTAAAATGATTTCCCTCTTCCCACAGAGAAATGTGTGGCCAGGCAAAGAAATCTAAATGCCTTATGGAAATCAGGAGGGGACACCGCTACAGCTGCTAATCACACCGCTTTGTATTCCACTGCCTCTCCTCCAAGAGTGAGTCTGCCTCTCCTCCAAGAGTGATTCCACCTTTCCTGCATGGTTGGGTGGCAGAGAGGGAGCTGAGAAGAGTGGAGGGGACAGGAGATGGGGAGCGAGGACTGGCGCTGGCCTGCTTTGTGACCTCGTGCAAACTGTCTGCCCTCTCTGGGTTGCCTTTCTACATCAGGGATCCCACCGTCATAGGAGGCCATAAACTTGGTGTCCTGGAACCCTGGGAGCCAAGAAGGAGCAGGTAATTTCATCTCCCTCTCCTTTCTAGTCCTCTTCCAAGGGAGCTGCCCGGTCTTGGGTCCTCTTCCCAGTGAACAAAGACATCACAAATGTCTTAAGGAATAGGTCCTGGGCTGGGACAGGGTGCTGGGCTCCGGGTAGAGGGGTGACCATCCCTGGTGACAGTCCTGTGTGTCACTCAGCTGCCCCCAGGCAGGGCTGCTCAGGCATGCAAAGGGCTCCTCCTACTTGACATATTCCCTATCTTTGGGGCGTGGGGCGTGTATGTGTATTGGCCGCATAGTTGCTATGGGTGAATGGACGAAGGGATAAAGGCATGAATGAATGAGTTGCATGTGTTTATCTGCTGTGCATGTGTGAGTGTGAGAAAAAAAATCAGAAGATAGAGACAGACACAGAGAAGGAAGGATGGTGCTAGGGTTTGAATGTCCCCCTCCAAAATTCACGTTGAAATTTAATCCTCAGTGGCAGTATTGAGAGGTGGGGCCTTTAAGAGGTGATTGGATCGTGAGGGCTCTGCACCCATGAATGGACTAATCCATTCATGGATTAGTGGATTAATGGGTTAATGGATTAATGGGTTATCCTGGGAGGGGGACTAGAGGCTTTATAAGAGGAAGAGAGACCTGAGCTACTGCATGAGCACACGTAGTAATCTCATCATGCGAGATGCCCTGCACCACCCCGTGACTCTGCAGAGAGCCCCCACCAGCAAGAGGGCCCTCACCAGATGCAGCCCCCTGACCTTGGACTTCTCAGCCTCCATAGCTGTAAGAAATAAATTTTGTTTCTTAAGTTACTCAGTTTCAGTTATTCTGTTATAAGCAACACAAAATGGACTAAGACACGTGGGAAGGCAGGTGAGAGACAGAGAGACAGGGAGAGAGGATCAGATTCAAAGACAGATTAACAGAGGGAAAGAGAGGGCATGCAAAGGTGGTGGAGGGTGTTCAGGTGAGGAGCTATACTGAGGTAAAGATGGAACCTGGCCGCTGCACAGCAGGGTGGTGGCAGATGGTGGCAGCTCCCATCTTTTTCTCCATCTAGCCCCTCCCCCAGCCTGCCCTTTTGAGCTTCTGTCACTCCCATTGCTGGAACTCTAAACTGCAGCCTCATCTCAACCTCTGCCTTTCCTATAGACCCCACATCTAAGCAGTCCTGACCCCTCGTCCAGTCCCCACCCACCGGTGCTCTCTGTCATTGCCCACTGGTACCACCCCCATTCTCCATGTGTCTAGATTAATCAACCTAAAGCATAGCTCTGAGTACATCACTTATGCTCAAGGACCATCTATGGCTCCCAATTGCCTGCTGAATTAGATTGAATCTCACAGCGGTGTTCAAGGCCCTCTAACTGGCCTTTCTAGCTGTATAGGAGGGTGCAAATTACGCACTTGCTGATTTAATGACGGTGGAGAGAAGGATGGGGCTATCTTAGTCTAGAAGCCCACCAGTGCTGCTGCTCATGCTGGTGCCTCTCACTTCATCCTTTTTGGGGGATGGGTGTGGGGGTATTCCATAATTTATAGTTTATTTTCTTAATTAACATGTTGTAAAGTTGACTTTTTTTGGTATATAGTTCTATGAATTTTAACACATGCAAAGATTCTTGTTACCTATCCCCTCCAACCAGGATACAGAACAGTCCCACTGCCCCCAGCACTTCTTTGTCCCGTCTCTTTACAGGGACTCCTCTCCCACCCCCAGCCACCTCTGACCTGTTCTCTGTTCCTATAAGTTTGTCTTTTTTGAGAATGTCATGGAATTATGCAGCACAGGGCAATAGCGAGTGGCTTCTTTCAGCACAATGCCTTTGAGATTCCTCTGATTCTCAATTCCCTTTGGTGATCTATTTATTTAAGCACAGTCTGTCCCTGTAGGACTATTTAGCATATCTGAGTGATCTGCAGAGCTAGGGAGGGGACCTCTGGCATCCCTCTTAGAAGGGTGGCCCCCTGGTGTGCAAGAGGAGGGCTCTGGAGGCAGGAGAGAGAAAAGGGCCAAGAGGATTAAGAAAAGAAAAACAAATCCTGGTAGACCTGCTCTGTAAATGTTAGCAGGTTTGGACATTCCCTAATGAGGGCTATCACAACAAGGCATCATGCCAAAAACAGAAATGGACTAAGATATGCGTGTTAATTTGCCACTACTGAAAGACATTAGGGCTGCCTCCAAGTCTTCTGAGTCCTGCCTCTGTTCCTGCACACTCCACTCCCTCCTTCGCCTCAATCTTCCTCCTGTCATCAGTGCTCCCTCTTGCTCCTCTTCCCCTTCCCTTGGGGGTGGCTCCTCAGTCATCCTCATCTCCCCTAAAGTGAAGCATCAGGGTGTCCTGGGGCTGCCCAGTCCCCAGTCTCCTTTCTGCTCTATCCACATCCCTTTCCCAAGTGAACCCAGCTAGAGCGGTGGCTTTATTTATTCATTTGTTTTAGGTAGAGTTGGGGTCTTGCTCTGTTGCCCAGGCTGGAGTGCAGTGGTGTGATCACAGTTCACTGCAGCCTAAATCTCCGGGCTGAAGCGATCCTGCTGCCTCAGCTCCCCAGCAGCTAGGACTACAAGTGTGCGCCACCATGCCTAGCTAATTTTGAATTTTTTTGTAGAGATGGGGGTCTCAGTATGTTGCCCAGGCTGGTCTCAAACTCCTGGGCTCACATAATCCTCCTGCCTTGGCCTCCCAAAGTGCTGGGATTACAGGTGTGGGCCGCCATGCCGGCCACCGGTGGCTTTAAATACAATCTGGGTGTTGGCAACACTTTCATTCCCGCCTCCAGCCTGGATCCACATGGTGGTAGATGGGGTTCTAGAGGCTCCTGAGAGCCAATGGTTGGATTTCTAGAATCTGGGAGAGCCAGCTGAGGCCACGCCAGTAGCTTGAGATCGGCCATCGAGGAGCATTGACACCACAGAGATTACTAAATGCTATGAGGCAGCCCCTCACCGAGGCCCTGGAGCTGCTCGCTAGGTATCTACCAGCACAGCCCATGTGCCTTCTTGGCGTCTCCATCTGGGTGTCTAACAAGCATGTCAAACGTAACACGCTGGAAGCTAACCTACGGATTCCATCATGCCCTCACTGAATCGACTGCTTTACCGTATCAGGAAGTAAGAACTCCATTTTTCTAACTGCTCAGGCCAAAAACCTTGTGCAGTCACTCTTAACTCCCTTCCTCCCCTCCCCATATTGGCAAATCCCATTGACTCTCCCTTCAAAACAGATCCAGCGGCTGACCGCTCCTCACCCTCCACAGGCCCCATCTGAATGACGGCAGTCACTCCTAGGAAAGGCCCCTGCCCCTCAGGGTCAATTCACCCACCCCCACCCCTGGCAGACACAGCATCCTTTAAAAAAATTTTTAGGTTGAGTGCGATGACTCACGCCAGTAATCCCAGCACTTTGGGAGGCCAAGGCAGGATGATCTTATGAGGCCAGGGGTTTGAGACCAGCTTAGGCAATGTAGTGAGGCCCCATCTCTACAAAAAGTTTAAAAATTAGCTAGGCACAGTGGCATGTGCCTGTAGTCCCAGCTACTGGGGAGGCTGGGGTGGGAGGATCACTTGAGCCCAGGAGTTCGAGGCTGCAGTGAGTTATAATTACACCACTGCACTCCAGCCTGAGTGACAGAGTGATACGTTGTCTCAAAATAAAAAATAATAATAAAATAAATGTTTAAAAAATGGAGATACAATTCATATAACATAAAGGTCATCATTTTAACCATTTGAGAGCGAACAATTCAGCATTTTTCCTACATTCACTGGGTTGTACAACCACTACTCCCTCTATCTAGCTCCAAAACATTTTTGTGTCCCCCACAAATGAAGCTTTGTGCCCATTAAGCATCACTCCCCATTTCTCTCCCCCAACCCTTGGCAACCACTAATCTGCTTCCCGTGTCTGTGGATTTGCCTCTTCTGGATGTTTCCCACACGTGAAATCATCCACCAAGTGGCCTTTTGTGTTTCCCAGGGCTATGCCTGCTGTAGCAGCTCAGTGCTTCATTCACTCCTGCAATGGCTGAATAATGGCCCACCGCATGAAGGCATCACATTCAGTTTCTCCATTCGGCAGCGGATGTACAGAAGTTGGGTGTCTTCCACTGCACCTCCTCCCGAAACTTCACTCCTGTCACATCACTGCCTGCCTGCTTCCCTTAGGCGGCTTGCCATCTCATTCCTGTGAGAGCCAAGTCCTGACCACAGCCCTGGGCCTCTCTGACCTCCCCTCCCAGCCCCTGAGCCTCCTTCTGCAGAGCCACTGCACCTGCCCTTCCCTCTGCCTGAACGTTCTTCTGCCAGATATCCACAGAGCCTGGGCCCTCTCACTTCACCCAGGCCTGTCAAGGCCTCCTCTGATGGTTCTGCCCCTCCCAGGATTCCCTTAATCCCCTTCCCTGGCTTTCTTTTTCTCCGTGGCTCTTCTCACCACCTGACATCATTTGCATCTGTTTGTTTCTTTGGTCTTCCATCCTTGGAACCTTAGCTGCCCAAGGGCTGAACTTTGTGAATCGATGCTAGAATCACATCTGACACTCAGTAGGTGTTCAACAAATATTTGTTGAATGAATGAAGGAATAAGCCAATCCCGCCTCCCACTCAACGTGCACATCCCTCAGGGCATCTCTTCCTTGTTCCTGCCAGAGGCCCGTGGGCGCCTGCTACCTGTGTGCTTCGCTAGCCACCAGGCCTCTCTTCCCACGCTCTGTGACCTTCCCTAAAACATTTCCTCTCTGAGCCTCGTTTTGCCCATGTGAAAAGAGCAAAGATATCATCCGTGTGTTGATGCTAGCAC
The DNA here is from genome assembly GCF_000001405.40 of Homo sapiens. NCBI lineage: Eukaryota > Metazoa > Chordata > Mammalia > Primates > Hominidae > Homo > Homo sapiens. The sequence goes on along the minus strand of NC_000010.11, from coordinate 71,628,888 downwards.
TAGTCAGAACCAGGGAGGGGAAAACGTGCTCTGCACCTTGCAACCTGGGATGTAAACCTGTGACAACTTCGATGCTGAAAATTTTATCTCAGGCCGGATGTGGTGGTTCACACCTGTAATCTCAGCACTTTGGGAGGATGAGGCAGGAGGATCACTTGAGGTCAGGAGTTCAAGACCAGCCTGGTAGACATGGTGAAACCTCATCGCTACTAAACATACAAAAATTAGCTGGGTGTGGTAATAGGTGCCTGTAATCCCAACTACTCAGGAGGCTGAGGCAGGAGAATCACTTGAACTGGGAGGTGGAGGTTGCAGTGAGCCAAGATTGCGCCACTGCACTCCAGCATGGGCGACAGAGCAAGACTCTGTCTCAAAAACAAAAATTATCTCACTCTCAATTACTTTGATATGAATTCCTTTTTAACAGATGGAGAAACTGAGGCCTGGAGAGGAAGGGAGGGTCTGCCCTAAGCCTGCATGGACAGAGTGAGAGCACAACTGTGACACTTTGCTTTGCCATGAAATGCCTTGCCTCTCCCTCTGCCCTGTGCCCAGCCCCATCCCTGCACTATTCTCCCCTTTCGGGGGACAGAGTTAGTAGGCGCCTGGGCAAGCAGAGCCCAGCATGGGCTGGGAAGGAGGCTTCTGCGTTCCTGGTGGCCCACTGTTGCCACAGCTGCCCAGCAGGACTCTGCAGTTCCTCTTACTTGTTGATTAGGACATTTCACGGCCCATGATGGCGATGGGGTGAGACACACAGGCACAACTCCCAGCCGAGCTGTGCTTACTGCAGCCTTGTTCAAGACAGGGGGAAAACAAGACACACCTGTCACTGTTAGGGGTATGAGGTGGGGTGGCCAATGGGGCAGGCAGGGGGAGTATGGGAGGTTCCAGGGTGAACTGGGTTCACTGGCACCCACAACGAAGGGGCACCAGGGAGGGTACAAGCCAGCCAAGAGGTGCTGGGGAGAGGAAGAGGCATGGAGAAGAAAGTTTGCCAGCTCTGCTTCTGATTCCCATTGGGGTCTTCAGGAAGCCCCGCCACTGCTTTGAGGGAGCATGACTCCATGGGTAAAATGATTCTCACTACTTCCCATGGTGCCAGCCCTGCTCAGGAGTGTGGGTGGCCGTGGGTGTGGGGAAGGAGCCTGCCAGGGAGGCAGGTGAGAGGGGAACAATTTCCCAAATCCAACATGAAAGATGAACTCCAGCTGTTAGACGGGACTCCAGGCTGGGAGCTGCGGGAACCGGCGTGTGGAGGAGGTGAGGGGTGGGCACTGGTACCGCGGCTGCCACACAGGCCCTGCCTCACACCCCCTGCCAGGGGTACAGGGCTTGGCGTAAATAGCATGCTAATTAGATTTACAAAGAGACTAAATTAGGAGGTGTCTGACTCATGGCAGAGGCCACCCTCTGGTCCCCAGGGAGGCTGGAGCTTAGCACGCTGGGAGGAAGCACGCCATAGGATGCGGCCATGGACAGAAAAATCTTCATCATCATCATCATCATCATCATCACAATAAGGGCCTCACTGAAGGCAACTGGGGAGAAATTAATGGGAAAACGCACAGTCTGGGCTGTCCGCTCCCTCTAGCTTCTCTTCCAGAGTGGCTTTGCTTTGAAGTCAACAAATATTTTCCTGGAGAGACTAAATCTTGGGGGAGGAACCCTAGAAATGTGAGCTGAAGCTGTGAGACAACCGAGGCCTTGCAAACAGACCCCTGCCTACAGCCAGGGCAGAGGATGGGGAAACAGAGATGCGGAGAGGTGCTCACCGGGGCCCCAGGAATCCCAGGTACCAGCTGTGTGGACACTGTTTTGTGTGGATGCTCAACCCTTGCTGCGAGGTCAGAGTCACCAGAGAACCTTTTCAAAATAAGAACATCCAGGATGGGCTCCCTGGCTTCCGGCATGGGGCGAGGCAATGAAGACCCCCACTTCTCTGCATGCCTTGCCTTGATTGCTCCCTGGACAAGGGCCCTCTAACCCCTCTCTGCTTTACTTCATTGATGAAATCACAAGCTGGTGAGAGGTACAGAATGTTGGAGGCAATCCATCCATTTCCTTTTTCTAGCCAGATCCCAGTTACCACCTTCATGGAGGAGAAAGAAGGGTCTGGAAAATAGGACAATTGTACATCCGAGAGTACGAACCCTACATCTGCCCCACGGGATGCTGGCAGCCTGCCCCCTTCTTTCCCTCACCTCTCTTCACTGCTTCTAGAGTTTGGTTCTTAATTCAAGTTGCTTAGGAGACAGAAAAACAGAGGTCCATGCCCTAGGTCACACCAGCAGGTGGGGAGAGTTGAGGGCAGCTGCACCCACTCTCTGGGGTGGCAAGAATGTGCATTGACTGGGTCTCTCCCACTGAGCAGATGCTGGGGTGTACATTTCTGGGGCTCAGTTGAACAGTGTGGTCCAGAGCTGGAAAAGGGACCCTCAGCTGAACACGTGACATGGAGCCACGGGTCTTGTCTCCTCCCTGCTCCCACCCTGTCCATCCCCACACGGTGTACGGCTAAGGCTAAGGATGCCAGCTCTAAGAACCAGCAGACGTCAGCCTTGCAGTAAAGGCCCGAGTGGGGAGCTAGGGTTAGCGCAGTACAGGGACTAAGGGTGGGGTGTTCATCTTTTTGTGCCACGACCCTTCTGAGAGTCTGGTGAAGCCCAGGCACCCCCTTCTCAGAAGAATTTTTATTTTCCACACACTAAAATACAAGGAACCACAGAGCCAACTAATTATTTTGAAATACAGTTACCAAAGTATTCTAAAAGGTTGTTATAATCCTGTATGCGCTTCAGGATGCATTAAACAAGGAGACTTAGCAGTCAGTCTCATACATGCTGTAATTTCAGAGCAGTGATGAGCGTAAATGGTATTTTGAGATTTCTGTGACACCTGTAACGTGATATGAAAATATCTGAGATGTCTCTTGGGGTCAAAGCCACAGGTAATGCTAATACCACTGTGGTTTTTTCTGTATTTGTAATTAAAAGAATGCTGCGGCTCACTTAGAAGCTGGTGAAAAGAAAGATGCAGATTTTTCTCCACCCAGGGCCATGGATGCCTTGGGTGGTCCGTGGCCCCCCTTCCCCAGATGGGCTGAGAACTCCTGGACTGAAAGGAAGACTGAAAGGAAGCCGAAGAGGCCCGCAGGAGAAGCCTGCAGCCAGGAACGCAACCTTTGCAGAGCTGCGTGGGGAGGGCCTGGAGGCACTGCAGCCCAGACAAACTGCCTAACAGGACCAAATGTGAAAATAAATTTAAATAAATACAAGGTTGTGGGCTGATGCTGCCTGACAGGCCTGGAACACATGTGGAATGGAAAATGAGGGTGACGGATAAAAATAAAGACTGAGATGAGCAGGAGAACAAGAACAGTCTCCCCTTCTCACCTCCACCCCATCACTGCCTACCCCCACCCGCCCCCCAGCATTCAGGAATATGGCCTTTTCTCCTTGTCATTTTTTTTTTTTTTTTTTTTTTTTTTTTAATTTATTTGGTGATGTTTTCTCCATGGGGAGGTGGGTAATTCTTTCCGTTTTTTTTTTCTATGCCCCTCAAATAAATGAACCATGTCATCTCCTGCCTGAAACGGGAATCAGTTCCTGCCAGATGTGTCCCCGTTCACTCTGCAGTGCAGGCCCCTCCGCTCGGTGGGACCAAACCTTTGGGAGGTCGCCCAGTGGATTTGAGCCCTGTGACTGAATTCTCAACCCTCGGGTCCCAAGCGGCCCCCAGTGGGGGTGCGTCTCATGCCAGCAGAGGCTGACTTTCTATCCCCATTCACGGGGGGCTCTCACTTCTTTAAGGCCCTATTCAGAGCCGTTTTCCCCATATTGGACAGCTGTAGTCGGATGTGCCCACTCTTGTCTAATGCTGTCACTCAAGCTCATCTTCTCAGCAGACACTGGGAAGTAAAAATTATCAGAGTTTGGAAAACTGAGATGAGAGAGAACAGGAAGCCATGTTTGCAAATGGGGAGCCCTGCAACACATGCAAGAAGTGCAAGGTTGAGAGTTCAAGACCAAGTTCTGAGACCAACTAGCTGTGTGACCTTAGGCAAGCCGCTTAACTCCTCTGAGCCTTGACTTCTTCCTCTATAGAAAGGACAGGGGATAATAATAATAATAATAATAATAATAATAATAATAGCTAATGTCTAAAGTATGCTTTTTCTTTTCTTTTAGAGACAGGTTCTCTCTCTGTCACCCAGGCTGGAGTGCAGCCGTGCAATCATAGCCCATTGCAGCCTCAACCTCCTGGGCTGAAGCAATCCTCCTGCCTCAGCCTCCCAAGTAGCTGGGACTACAGGTGTGTGCCACCATGCCCCACTTCAAGAGTGCTTTTTATGGGTTGGCACTGTTCTAAATACAGATACGAACCCATTTAATCCTGATAGACGCTCTGTGAGGTACAGTGGCTATTGTCTCTACTTTGCAGATGAGAAAATGGCATCAGAGGATAAATAAGTCCCCAAGGTCACACAGATCAAAAGTACGAAAACCAAGTGGCAGACCCAGGCTGTCTGGCTGGTTAATTTTATTTCTAACAACTCCAGCTGCCTCTCTCGTCCTTCCCTGAAAAGGGATGCTGCAGGGGGTTTTGAATACACAAATACAAGGCAGGCTGGGGTTGGGGACAGAGATGAGGCCCAGAGAGGCGCCCAAGTCCCTCTGCTTGAAGTGGGAGCTGGGTTTGCCGGAACCGAGTCCGTGGAGCCGGCTCAGGGAAAGGAGGATGAGCTGGCTGCAGGGTCAGTGGGCAGGGGGAAGGCCCGGGCGGCACCTTCCCCTTCCTACCCGTGTCCTCTTGGATGAAGAGAACATTAGGATTTGTAGAGTCTTAAAGACTGACTGGCCCAACTCATTGTTTTCCAGAGGCAGACACTGAGGCACAGCGGGAGGACGAGTCTTGCCTGGAATCGCACCTGAATGCGGAAGAAGAACTGGGCTGAGAACCTGGCTTGGGCGCTCTCTCTGCCACCTTCTCAGGGCAGTTGGGGTAGGTGTGGTAGTGGAAGGCTGAGGTCAGAGTTCAAAATCCTGGGCTGATTTGAAATCACAGAGCCTCTGTCATAAAGGCTGAAGGGGCCAACTCAGTGTCCTGGGAAGAGTTCCTAAGAGCAGTTTCTATTGGACTTTTAGGGTTCTATGATCATGGAACTGGGGGTTCTCCAGCTTTCTGAAAACACCTTAAGAGGAAAATGGCTAAACTGCTAAACCGTCAGACACTGGAATGCATGGTCACGGGAGTGGGGAGTGTCTCCCGTGTGGGAGACTTCACTCCTTTTCACTGCTTCCACCCTGCACATTTCAACACAGCCATCAGAGGGCTCCTTGAGAAAGGCGACTCAGACCACATCAGCTCCCTGGCTTCCTGGGGCTCCCAGTAACAGAAAAACGCCTTCCTGTGCCTGACAAAGCCCTGCCTGCCCCCGATGAGGCTGCAGCCTGGCCTCCTGACACCTCCATCCTCTTGAGCTCTGTCCTGGACATCCACAAGAGCCTCTTTTCTGCTCCTTGAAAATGCCAGGCCATTTCCCTTTTGGGGATCTCTGCCCTTGTAGGGGAGCGTCTGCTGCCAGAAATGTTTTGCCTCCACAGCTCTGCATGGCTGCACCTTCCATGCCACTTAACCTCAGCTCCAACAGCACCTTTCTGAAGGCTTTCTGGGACCACAGTCAGGAATCACCCTATCCCACCCTGTCACTCACTCACCCTGTTTATAGAGTTCTGAACATCCATTTCTACTGCAATTCTGTCTCCCCACTGGAAGGAAATATAAGCTCTGGGAGGGCAGAGGCTACATCTTCAGCTCAGTCCCCCCAGGACCTAGCACAGTGGCAGGCACATAGTTGGTGCACATAACACTTGTTGCTTGAATTAATAACTAACCCCCAACCTGCGTAAGTTTCAGCATAGTCCCTCAGGAAGGCCAGGGGTTCGGCAAATTAATGAGGCCCGAAGGCCTTTCTGAAATATTCCAATTCCCAGAAGCAGCCAGAATCTGGCAGCTGAGGCCTCTCTGGGGTGGGGAAGAGAGTGGTGTCCCAATCCCTACCCCGATCCCTCTCCTCTGCACAAAATATTCTCAAGGACAGCAGCAAGTGTGTTCTGAGAAGCTGGGGGTCAGGAGTGAGGCAGAGGAAAGTGGATCAAATGCTCCCAGCTCTGGAGAAGGAAGGCAGGACATCCGCAAATGGTATTTCTCCTGACAGCGGATGAGAGGAACTGTCAGTTTTCAGCTATCTGGGTCAGCGGGGAGGGGTCGTGCATAATGAAACAACTATTTAAGAACAATACCCCTTGCTGGGATTTGTAAGGCACCCAGAGGTGTGGATGGTCTCCGAGCCACCCTGCCTCCGTCCCCCGCCCCCTTCTGCTAGTCTGACTCTTCGGAGGGGGATGCCACACAGAGGTAATCCACTGGCGCCTAAGTGGAGGAACGTTTTCTAGGACAACTGAACAGAAAATTCCAACCCGCGCAACAAACTGTCCCCATGCAGAAGGGAAAACAGGACTGCCAGTGGCTGACTCAGCTTCCAGGCATGTTAATGAGGTGAGGCAGGGGAGGGCTGCAGGCAAGGCCAGGAGAGGAAAAGTTGACCCAAGTGGAGAAAATACAAAGAATATGTTGGGGGCAAGGGCGGCACAGGGGGTTTAAGGATATATACATTATAGGACTCCAGGTGGGTGAGTGAGTTGCCGATTCACCGTGGCTCCCCAGAACACCAAGGAAGACACAAGAAAACGCCCAGCCACCAGGTGCAGGGGAATGAGGCTGCCACAACCTTTAATTTGAAACTCAGAGATGAGCTCCCAACACCAAGGCTGACTTCTGGGGCTTCTGCCTTTTGGATTTTTTTTTTTCTGATTTGCATCACAACCAGCTATTTGCATCTCAACTGTCACAAGGTACAAATGGGTTGTTGCTGGTTTCAGCCCACCCTGTCCTTTCCTTCCCTGGTGTCTGTGGGTTTTCTATAGCCAGGCAAAGGAAAAGAAATTACTCAGTGAGACTTGACAATGTGAATGGAGTCCTTGGGAGACAGAAAGGACTGCTTTCAAGCACCTTTGTTGTTGTGAATGGTCTAGCAGAGTCTGAGACTCAGTGAGAGACTGAGCAGAATCTTCGATCTGGTGGCGGCAGTGAATTCGATTAGCATCCTCATTAGGAGAGACTGCCACAGAGTTCCTATGGAGAGGTTACACTGCTTCTTCCTTCCCTTTCTGTTTTGCATCAGCTCCCTCGACTGCCCCGCAGAGGATTTCTGAGGTCATCCTTGCTACACAAACTCAGCCAGACCTGGTTTGGAAAAAGCCCTGGGCCATCTCGCTGATACTTGGGCATTTAACCATGCATTAACTCAACCAATGCTCATTTCCAGAGTGCCATCAACGTTCCAGGCAGAGCATGAGGGCCTGGATTACACTGGTGAGCCAAACTAAGCATGCCCCACCCCCGTGCACCATTCAGTGCAATCAGGAGTTAGATTTAGTGGGATCCTCACACTAATCGTGGGCATGTGAGAGTCACGTGGCTCCACAGAGCCTGGGACAGAGGGTTCTGACTGCTCTGCTGGCTCCCTTCCCTTCAGAGAATTTACTCAACGAACACATTTTCCTGCCACACCAAGCAAATCCAGAGTCACCTTCAACCCAGACACAAATCCCAACAGATGTATTTTTTCCTCAGAAATGGACTGGCAAGAAACAACACTTTTCTAAAAATCTTTTCTCTAACAGTTGCCTGATTTCTCTTTGTGGTTCCCTGATTTTTCTGGCTCTGGACACTCAGGCAATGTTTAACTGCTTTTGCAGTCCTTCTTTTGCTCCTGTTGACAATGTGGCTAAATGCTACACGGGGGTCCCTGGGCCTGATCCTCCATCATGATGGGGCCTCCCCTATATCCAAGACTGGTCCTCTGATGCATTCACCCGGCCAGCTCCGGATTCCTCCAGAGAAGAACATGAGATACACGAGAGCAGGGCTGGGCCGAAAGCAACTCATCCCTCCCTCTTATTGAGGAATGAGCCCGGTGCCACATGAGGGATGGTTTGGGGGCCGCCCCATCTGGAGGCTGGAAAATGGCCAAGGTGACCTCAGGGTTGGGTGGCCTGGGCTCCTGGGCTGCCTCTCCTCATTGGCTCTGTCTCTGCAAGTTATTGTGCCCTGGAGAAGAGGAGGCCAGGCCTGCACTGTCAGAGACACTGACCAGCTCCCTTGGGAAAACAGCCATGGAGAGCAGGGAATGGTCCCTGGTGGGGTTGGGTGCCCTGACTGCAGCGGGTGTGCCAATGGCTGAGCCTGGGTGGGGGGCGGTCACTAGAGGCGGGTTGGACCCAGATACTCCTGGGCATTCCTGCAGACATTTCAGAAAGTGCTTCTAGCAAAGGCAGCCTGAGATAAAATCGGAGGTGTCAGGGTTACATTGCCCCCAACCAGTTGGGGTGAGCAGTCCTGGGGGGTTCCGGCCTTACATCTGGTGGCACTCGCTGGACTCAGGCCTGGTCAGGA